>NC_000001.11:200684587-201934587 GCF_000001405.40 Homo sapiens
GGCAACATAGTGAAACCTCATCTCTACAAGAAACTAAAATGTGTGTGTGTGTGTGTGTGTGTGTACACACACACGTATGTATACATGTATATACATAATTTGAGATCTTTAAAATATGGGGAAAGTTGGGTATTTGACTTAATCTATCAAAAACTTCTAAGTTTGAGATATCCTTCTTACAAATCATTGATAAAATGTGAATTCAAAATTTGTCAAGATTTTTAAATGATAATATCCAGCTTTAGTAAGCATATAAAGAAACTCACGCTCCTGTACATTGCTAGTCAATTAATACAATAGCAGTATTTTTTAATCAAGTGCTTAAAAATATTTGTACTTAGCAATTTTTCTTTCTAGGTTTTTTTTCTTATGGTGTAATTACTGATACAAATAGAGCTATATTTTGGGGATGTTTATTATGTTAAAGATAATGTTATTCTGAAAACAATCTCTTAAGTATTGAGTAAGAGATTAGTTTAACTAATTTTTATGCATCTGTACAATGGAATATAATGCAACCGTTAAAAATTAGGTTGAATAGGCCGGGCACGGTGGCTCACGCCTGTAATCCCAGCACTTTGGGAGGCCAAAGCAGGCGGATCATGAGGTCAGGAGATTGAGACCATCCTGGCTAACATGGTGAAACCCCGTCTCTACTAAAACTACAAGAAGTTAGCCGGGCGTGGTGGCTGGTGTCTGTAATCCCAGCTACTCAGGAGGCTAAGGCAGGAGAATGGTGTGAACCCGGGAGGCAGAGCTTGCAGTGAGCTGAGATCGTGCCACTGCACTCCAGCCTGGGCAATAGAGCAAGACTCTGTCTCAACAAAAAAAAAATTAGGTTGAATATTTAATGACAGAGGATATTAATGGCCTATTAAGAGAAAAAAAGTTAAAAACTGCATGCTTGGTATGACTCAATGGTTTTGAAAAAATAAATGTGAAAAAATTTATATGAAAAAAGATGAATTCATAGCAAATATTAATAGTTGCACAAGCATAGACATATAGGTCAGAAAAATAGAATTGAAAGTCCAGAAGTAAACCCTTTCACTTATGGTCAATTGATTTTTAACAAGGGCGTCTAGCCAATTCAATGAGGGTAAAGAATAATCTTTTCAATAAATGTTGCTGGGATGACTGGATATCCATGTATAAAAGAATTAAGTTTGCTGGGCATGGTGGCTCACGCCTGTAATCCCAGCACTTTAGGAGGCCGAAGTGGGCACATCACCTGAGGTCGGGAGTTTGAGACCAGCCTGACCAACATGGAGAAACCCCATCTCTATTAAAAGTACAAAATTAGCCAGGCGTGGGGGCGCATGCCTGTAATCCCAGCTACTCAGGAGGCTGAGGCAGGAGAATCGCTTGAACCCAGCAGGCGGAGGTTGCTGTGAGCCCAGATCACGCCATTGCACTCCAGCCTGGGCAACAAGAGCAAAACTCCGTCTCAAAAAAAAAAAAAAAGAATTAAGTTTAACCCCAGCCTCACACTTACCAAAAATTAAATCAAATGGATCAGACTCTAATCTCTAATGTCAGAGCTAAAGTTAGAAAATCTGTAGAAGAAAATACAGGCACAATTTTCATGACCTTGAGTCAGACAAAACCTTCTAAGATACAGCACCAAAAGCGTAAGAGACAAAAGAAAAAAATAGATAAAGTAGACTTCATCAAGTTAAAAACTTTTGTGCTGCAAGTGATACTATCATGAAAATAAAAGACAATTCATAGAATGGAATAAATGATTTGTAATTAATATATATCTGATAAGAGACTTGTAACCAGAATTTATAATGAAGTCTTAATACTTTAAAAAAAAAACAAATTTTTAAAAGGACAGAGGATCTGAATAGACCCTTTTCCATAGAAAATATGCAGATAACCAATACATGAAAAGATGCTTAACATCATTGGTAATTAGAGAAATGCAAATCAAAACCACAATGAGATAGCACTTCACACTTACTAGGATAGCAATATATATATAGTTGGCAGACAATATAAAGGGTTGTCAGGATGTGGAGAAATTGGAACCTTTATACATTGATGATGGGACTGTAAAGTGGTACAGCCATTTTGGAGAATAATTTAGCAGTTCCTCAAAATATTAAACGTAGGGATACCATATGACCCAGAAATTTCAGTCTCCTAGATTCTAAGAGAATTAAACACAAGTATTCAAACAAAAACTTGTACATGAATATTTATAGCAGCATTATTCATGACAGTCAGAAAGTGGAAACAACCCAATATCCATAATAAATGGATAAACAAATTATGTTATGTACATACAATGGAATGCTATTCGGCAATTTAAAAAAATTAAGTACAGATACCTGCTACAACATGGAGGAATCTTGAAAACATTATGCCAAGTGAAATAAATCAGTTGCAAAAGGCCACATACTGTGATCCTATTTATATGAAATATCCGGAATAGGCAAATCTCTAGAGACAAAAAATAGATTAGTAGTTGCTTAGGACTGAGTAGGGGGAAATGTGTGTTAGGGAAATGAGGAGTGATGCTAATAGGTTTCTTTTTGGGGTGATGAATTATTCTAAAACTAGGTGCTGATGATGGTACAACTCTAAATACACTTAAAAAATTGAGTTGTGCACTTTCAATGGGTGAATTTTATGGGATGTGAATCTCAGTAAAGCTGTTAAAAGTGTTAATAGTAGTTATCTCTGATGGTGGGCTTATGGTAATTTCTTTTTCTTCTTCTTCATAAATATCTCCTACAATAAAAAAGTATCGCTGGGCGCAGTGGCTCATACCTGTAATCCCAGCACTTTGGGAAGCCGAAGCAGGCAGATCACAAGGTCAGGAGTTTGAGACTAGCCTGGTCAACATAGTGAAACCCTGTCTCTACTAAAAATACAAAAATTAACCAGGTGTGGTGGTGCATGCCTGTAGTCCCAGCTACTTGGGAGGTTGAGGTGGGAGAATCACTTGAACCTGGGAGGCGTAGGTTGCAGTGAGCTTAGATTGCGCCATTGCACTCCAGCCTGGGTGACAGAGTGAGACTCTGTCTCAAAATAAATAAATAAATAAATAAATAAATAAATAAGAAAGTGTTTTTACTTGTAAGAAAAAAGGAACAGTTATTGGTTTTAGTGGATTATCTCAACAAGGCAACAGAATTTAGTAGAGCGTTTCAGGGGTTTGAGAGCATTTTTTTTTTTTTGAGACAAGGTCTCTCTCTGTCACCCAGGCTGGAGTGCAGTGGCGTGATTTTGGCTCACTGCAACCTCCACCTGCCAGGCTCCAGCAATTCTGTCTCAGCCTCCTGAGTAGCTGGGACAACAGGCACCCACCATCACGCCCGGCTAATTTCTGCCATTTGCCCGGGCTTGTCTCAAACTCCTGAGCTCAGGTGATCCGCCTGCCTTGGCCTCCCAAAGTGTTGGGATTACAGGTTTGAGCCACCAGGCCCGGCCAAAACCATTCTTAAATACATGTCCCTAGAAGAAAACTGCTCCATTCTCCCATTCCATTTCCCACATCTTATTGTTCTCTACTGTAAAATAGAAGGTTTTTTTTCCCTTAAAATAATGAAACCTGTGAGTGTTTCTATTTTCTTCATTTTATGCAGGATTCATTTCAGGCTGAATGCCTTTTCATCTTTGACTTCTCATTGTTTGCTGCATCATAAGAAACTTCTGCACTTCAAAATCTTAATTTTTATGGGAATACATTCAGTGTGCTTTCAGAAATTGAGCTTAATACTTTAATCCAATTTAACAGATTGCATTCTTGCTCTTTCCTTATCCCAGGACCAGATATCATTTGGTTATAATCCCTTAACAGTTATAAATATTAACAACAATGAATGCAGCTTGCAAAAAAATTAAATTTCAATTTAACAGTGTAATAATGTGCTGTGAGAATTAAAATGACTTGTTAAAATATAGCCTACAAATTATATGAAAGCATTGTCGAAATTAGGGATTTTCTGTTTATTATAGCATATTTTGATGTGTTGATTAATCGATTATTGCAGGTAGGTGGATTATTCAGTGTCAGATGATAACTGGACTTAAGTATGAGCGATCATGGTTGCTTAAAAGAGGTCTACTTAGTTGAAAGGCAATACTACTCAAACAGTGGGAAAAATCCATAAACATGTTATAATATCAAATTTTCCTCTTAGATATACACCATGAAATTTAAAATGGCTACATTAAATTGTGGGAGACATAGCCCACAAAATCTGAAATAACTGATGGAAAAGTACTTGAAAAAGTTAAGAGCTTTTTTTGTGTGTGTGAGATAGAGTCTCGCTCTGTTGCCCAGGCTGGAGTGTAGTGGCATAATCTCAGCTCACTGCAACCTCCACCTCCCATGTTCAAGCGATTCTCTATCTCAGCCTCCCAAGTAGCTGGGACTATAGGTGCATGCCACCACACTTGGCTAATTTTTCTGGTGGTTTTTTTTGTTTTTTTTTTTGTTGTTTTTTTTTTGTAGAGACAGGATTTCACCATGTTGGTCAGGCTGGTCTTGAACTCCTGACCTCAAGTGATCTACCCACCTCGGCCTCCCAAAGTGCTGGGATTACAGGCATGAGCCACTGATCCCAGCCAAAAGTTAAGAGCTTTATAAAATATAAAATATTATCATTATTATCACATGAAGTAAGAAGACTATGTGTCCTTAGAAAGGATGAACATAGGCCAGGCGCAGTGGTGCACACCTGTAATCCCAGCACTTTGGGAGGCTGAGGCGGGCAGATCACGAGGTCAAGAAATCGAGACCATCCTGGCCAACGTGGTGAAGCCCCATCTCTACTAAAAATACAAAAATTAGCTGGGTGTGGTGGTGTGCACCTGTAATCCCAGCTACTCAGGAGGCTGAGGCAAGAGAATCGCTTGAACCTGGGAGGCGGAGGTTGCAGTGAGCCAAGATCGCATCACTGCATACTCTAGCCTGGGAAGCTGAGTGAGACTTCGTCTCAAAAAAAAAAAAAAAAAAAAGAAACGATGAACATAAGCATTTGCAAGAAATATTCAAGTTAAAGGTTTTTCGTTTTGTTTTAATGTTTATTCTTGAAGTCAGCTTTCTGAAAAACAGCAGGAATTCTGCAGAGATGCTCGGAAATCAGGAATGAGGGTAGCAGCTTTCAGTTTTATACCGAGGGGTGATTTCATTTAAACACAGGATCTGGAGTAAAAATGTTTGAAAACCATGACCGAGGCCTGGCGCGGTGGCTCACGCCTGTAATCCCAGCACTTTGGGAGGCCGAGGCGGGAGGATCACAAGGTCTGGAGATTGAGACCATCCTGGCTAACATGGTGAAACCCCGTCTCTACTAAAATTTAAAAAAAATTAGCCAGGCGCGGTGGCGGGCGCCTGTAGTCCCAGCTACTCGGGAGGCTGAGGCAGGAGAATGGTGTGAACCTGGGAGGTGGAGCTTGCGGTGACCCGAGATCGCGCCACTGCACTCCAGCCTGGGCAACAGAGCGAGACTCCGTCTCAAAACAAACAAACAAACAAACAAACAAAAAAACATGACCGCAGATGTATATGTTTAAATCCTTTCAGTATTAATTGATGGATTATGACCTACCCCTGAATAATAAGGTGGAGAACTGAAGGCTCTTCTTTCTTTGGTGAGGCAGGCAGACCCATAGCTGGGCTGAAACCTACTGTCAGAAGTGTTAGGTATGTACGGTAATGGCCCAAGTTTATTATTATTATTTTTATTTACTTTTTTTTTTTAGACGGAATCTCACTCTGTCACCCAGGCTGGAGTGCAGTGGCACAATCTCAGCTCACTGCAACCTCGACCTCCCAGGTACAAGCAATTCTCCTGCCTCAGCCTCCCAAGTAGCTGGGATTACAGGTATGCACCACCACGCCCAGCTAATTTTTGTGTTTTTATTAGAGACAGGGTTTCACCACATTGACCAGGCTGGTCTTGAACATCTGACCTCAGGTGATCCACCCGCCTCGGCCTCCCAAGGTGCTGGGATTACAGGCGTGAGCCACCGCGCCCAGCAATGTCCCAAGTTTATAAGAGCCAAGGATGTAGTTGTGCTTGCATCCCTTGGAGATTATATTTAAGCAAAAGGACAGTGATGGGGGTGGGAGGAGAGTGCACTGGGGGTGTGTGTTTGTCCTTATAAGCAAATGCAAGATTAGGCTTTCACTCAGTGTTATAATGTAATAATTATTTTGGAAGAAAAATTTCACACTGGGGCTATATCAGAGCTTTTCACTAGGGTTTCCTGCCTGTTTCCTGGGCCGCCTTACTCACTCTACTGTAAAATCCCTGAAGGTAAACACTCTGACTTTTTTACCTTTGTATCACCAGCACCTTGGCAGTACCTGATACAAAAATATTTGAATTACTTACAAGATTTAATAATCTAGCAAGCTACCAACAAAATGATAGAAATTTATTTTCCAGCTTAGGGTAATTGATGGCCCTCACACTAGAGAAAGCATTAGCAGGTGCCATTTGCAGATTTTTTTGGAAAAGAATAGAACCAAAGGGAGCTCCTGGCCCCAATATTCTCCCTCTTAAACATTCTTATCCCTACACTTAGAGTTTCCATACTTTTTATAAGGTTAAGTCATGCAAAAGATTGCACTGTAAACCTGGATAGCCTGTTTTTCTGGAAGGTCACAGTTTTAAATAACTGTGCCATTTTAATTATTCCCAAAACAACATTTCAAAAAAGCATTGCAAATATTTTCTGATTTGAATTAGATTTTGAGAAATGTGAAGATGTTACATTTTTGGAGTCAATTAAAATTTTGCTATGAATATGGCTGATACATCTTAACCTAATTTGCTTTCTATAAATAGGCAAGTATCAATTTGTATATTTTCTTAATTTTAATTTTTCACCTTGTCACTAAAAAAAAAACAGTATTTAGTTTACTGTTTAATTGCTTTTTAAAATAATCATAGTAGCATAAATGTGTCATATAGTAGGCTGTGGAATTGATTTCCTTTCATATGTAGAAATTGAAAAATAATAAATAATAATTTTACCTAGCCTTACTTATGTTCATCTTACATGTAGATAGATTTCATAATGACCAAAAAAAGAAAAAAACCTAAAATTTTCATGGGTTACTTTTGGAGGATGCTAGGGAATCAACTTACAATTTTAAAATGTGTAAGTAAAAAGAAAGAATCAAACGATTGTCTGACCTTTCTGTATAAACTGTACCTCAGGGTAACCATTAGTGGATGAAAGAAAGTTTTCCTTTATGGGGATATTCTAGCTAATGAGTAGAGCAGGCATAATAGAATTAGAATATCACAGTGCTGCAATCTCTAATGAAATAATGGATGCAAGCAAAGATCACCAATGATTGCTAAAAGCATTAGGGGAAAAGCTGACGGAGAACTTTATAGCATATGATTCAGCCTGGCAAAGCCTGAATCCACTGATCAATCAGCCTCACACAAAGAGACAACCATGTATTGTGTGTCTCTAATGAAAGTACACAAACCACTTACAAAGTATCTCACCAAAAAATTGAACCTCAATTGAATTGAACCTCTAGATGTATTCATTTACAGAAAATATAACAGATAGAGGAATCTTTTAAACGACATCAGTGGGATGCAATTAGCAAAATTCAGACTGTGGGAAACTTTACGGGAAAAACGACAAATACATTTCAAGGAAAGAAAAGTGAGAGTGACAGAAACAGGGGAGGAACCCATAGTTTAAAAGAAACATACTAACTAAATGTAGTATGTGATCCTTATTTGCTTCCTCATTTAAAGGAACTGATGGTAAAAAAAAAAAAAATAAAAATTCAAGAGCTAACAAGAAGCTCTTCCCTACTAAAGACAAAAACAATATCAAAAACTCCTTTCTTACTGACTTTTGTTGGCGTAAATCCTACAATAATAGAAGTGTACCTTTTAGTTAAACCTTTTTGTCCTGAAATGAACACTCCTAGGAGTCAGCACATTAAATCTGTCAATCACAAACTTTACTGAGTTTATGAGCCCATTTTCCAAGGGCAGATGTTAGTGAAGGACCTGAAGCATGAAGATGATGATTAAAAAAAAAAAAAGTCCCTAGAAAAGGGAAGATAAGATGAAGACAGAGAAAACTCAGGAATCAAAGCAGTCTCTCTTCATTCACAGTTTTGTTTCCAGTGATATCAGTTACCCATCGTTAACCACAGTCTGAAAATACTAAATGAAAATATTAAATTCCAGAAATAATACGTAAGTTTTAAATTGCTCTATTTAAATTTACTCAGAAACTTATCTATAATTATTCTATTTTATTATGTTATTGTTGTTCATCTCTTACTATGCCTAATTTATAAACTAAACTTTATCATAGATATGTACATATAGGAAAAAAACATAGTATATAGTGCTACCTGTGGTTCCAGGAATCCACTGGGGTCTTGGAACCTATTTCTCTTGGATAAGGGGCACTACTGTATATGAAGGAGTGGCCCAACCCACTTTCCTATTAAGGATACAAGCTGAAAGTTACATGAATCACTTCTACTCACGTCTCATTGGTTATAACTTTGCCACATGGCCACACCTATCAGTAGGGGAAGTGGGAAACATAAGGATTATTCTGACTAGCCATGTTCCTGGATACTAATTCTCTGACTTCAGAATAAGGAGATAATGCATAGTAGTGGACTATTGGCATTCTTTGTGACGATAACTCTAAAAAGAAGCTATGTGACCAGATATCATAATGATAATGTGTTCTAAACTAAGAGTTTCACTGAAATACCCAAATACAAGTAATATGTATGTGATGGACATTTGTCCTTGACTACCTAACATCCATTCACTCTACTTTCAGTGATATACTCATTTTTATTTGAGAATCCATTCTCCCTCACTCTTAGTCCATGGGGCTCTGCAGGTATGACTCCATTCTTAGCTCTAGCAGTGACTTGTGACCAACTCTAGGGGTGACTTGTGACCTAGCCTAGCCAACCAGAACTTCACATTCCCTAGACAACAACAGCTGTTTCAAGAATGGGCACATGACTTCATTACAGCTACTAGGAAAGCTGACTTACTTTAAGTTTACAGTCATCTTGCTGCATGGACCCTGGCAATAAGACCAATTTTATGTTATTTTATTTTTATCCTAGGATCCAGCCATATTTGGAGTCTGCTCTACACTGGAACATCTTTTTTTTTTTTTTTTTAGATGGAGTTTTGCTCTTGTCGCCCCGGCTGGAGTGCAGTGGTGCGACCTCAGCGATCTCAGCGATCTCAGCGATCTCAGCTCACTACAACCTCTGCCTCTTGGATTCAAGCAGTTCTCCTGCCTCAACCACCTGAGTAGCTGGGATTACAGGCGCCTGCCACCACGCCTGGCTAATTTTTGTATTTTTAGTAGAGATGGGGTTTCACCAGGTTGGTCAGTCTGGTCTCGAACTCCTGACCTCAGGTGATCCACCCACCTCGGCCTCCCAAAGTGCTGGGATTACAGGCGTGAGCCACCATGCCCAGCCTACACTTGGGCTTCTTAGGCACAAGATCCAGTAAGCCCTCCCTCCTCCTCCCCACCCCTTTTTTCTTTACACTAGTGTTTTCTGTAATCCTGCAACAGAAAGAGTCCTAACTGATATATTTGTGACCATTTCTAAAATCTCCAAAATGTAAAATTATACAATTAAGAATTAAAATAATTTTTTAAAACCAAGTGATATCTGACTGGTTCATATATTTAAATGAATAAATTATTATCATATAGAAAAGAAATGCAAAGCATCATTGTTCTACTCTGCATTTCCAAAATTTGAAGCACTGGTCTGATTATAGGCTTCAAAATCTAGTTCAAGAATTCTGTCTCACACATTGCCAACCAACATTACTGTAGATTCGAGAGCTTAAAAATTTGGTCATTATCAAGAATTCAGCCTTAAGTTCTTTCTGGAGTGAAGTAGGACTATAGATAAGTTTAAAAAGTCATCAAGCAATTTTTTTCTCCTTTGGACAGCTTCTTTTCTAAGAAGTCAGTCTCTGTTTTCACACAAACCCCATATTCTCATCCTGTGGTACTTTAAAAGCACAACAATACTTCTTACCACTTAGAGTGAATAAATAATTCACAGTAAGATAATATCAAATGTAACACAGAATTAGTCAAACATCTTACAAGCCCCTTGAGAAGTATCTTCAAAAGAAAATACCGAGGGACAATTTTATGGATTCCTGTATTTTTTCCAATAAAGTCAACACAATAAGAAACATTCATATTTCGTGTTGCCTTTTTGGAAAAGTCCCATTTGATCAACAGGGTAGCTCTGGTGTTCTAATGCACAAGAAGCCCAGACAGCTCTTGCAGTTTGCCAGATAATAGAATATAAGCTAAAAGGAGCTGAGAGGTCTTCCAGCACATCTTCTCTAGGGAATGATTGCAGCAGAATTATGCTAGAAATGAGAGATTTATCTCTCTTTAAAGACCGGCAGAGAAAGGAATTCCATTCTTGTCTTAGTAATCCATTTCAGTGCATAACAAGCCTCACAAGAAATTGATCAACTATATTTTATACAAATCCTTTGAGCTGAAATTTTTCTGTTATCAGTGAAAATAGAAAGCTGCTAGTGACTGTCATCAGTGTGAGAGCCCTTCATATGTTTGGACACTGGAAAAAAGAGTTCTTATTTATGATGAATATCTTAACCCCTTTAACTTAGTAGTTCTCAACTGGGGGCAATTTTACCTCCAAGGGACAGTTGACAATTTCTGTAGACATTTTTTAGTTGTCACAGATGGAGGGGGAATGCTACTGGCATATAATGGGCAGAGGCCAAACATGGTGCTAACCACTCTACGATACACAAGACAGTGTATCACACACACACACACACACAACAAAGAATAATCCCCAAATGTTAAAAGTACCAGGATTAACAAACTCTGCTACCTTTCCTCATATAGTCTTATTTTCTAGACCCTTAATAATAATTCTCTTTTCTTTTTTTTTTTTTTTTTTGAGATAGAGTCTTGCTCTGTCGCCCACCGCCCACACTGGAATGCAGTAGCACAATTTCAACTCACTACAGCCATGACCTCTCCAGCTCAAGCAATCCTTCCACCTCAGCCTCCCGAGTAGCTGGGACCACAGGCACGTGCCACCAAACCTGGCCAATTTTTGTATTTTTTTGTAGAGAAGGAGTTTCGCCATGTTGCCTGGGCTGGGCTCGAACTCCTGGGCTCAAGTGATCTGCCTGCCTCTTGGCCTCCCAAAGTGCTGAGATTACAGGCATGAGCCACCATGCCTGGCAAATTTGAATTTTCTTTGAGCCTCCTCTCAGACTTAAATTAGATTTGAAGCTATGAATTACAAATGGGCCTGATTATTAGTGAACATTAAGGACAAATTACTTCATAATTCCTTCAGTCTGTGATACTTGTTAAGCGATAATTGAAAGTGACTATGTCCTGCATGAAGGTTATAGACACAGAACTCTCTGGGGATATAAATGACCCACATCAAATGTTCTAACCTAAGAGTTTCACTGAAATCCTCAAATACAAGTAATATGTATGTGATGAACATAAGTATTTTGATGAATTATAAGTGCATACCCAAAGTACTATCCAAATAAGATTACCACAATATCTGAGACTGACAGAAAAGGAGACGGGCTGAGTGTGGTGGGAGGGGAAACCTCCATTTGATCTTCTTGAGCTACAGCCAGAGAATAAGAGTGATGGAAAAGGGAGGTCTCCCAAAGCTCACTCTTACAACTCGCAATGGAGGTGACCAAAGAAAGGGACTGAGTGAGGCTTCCTAGCTTCAAGTGTTTCATTGTGGCCTAAGGACATGTATTTAAGTTAACTTTTGGTGATTTTATAAACTTCTGTAACTTTTTATTTTATTTTATTTTATTTTATTTTATTTTATTTTATTTTTTGAGATGCAGTCTCACTCTATCACCAGGCTGGAGTGCAGTGGCATGATCTCAGCTCACTGCAACATCTGCCTCTTGGGTTCAAGCGATTCTCCTGCCTCAGCCTCCGAAGTAGCTGGGACTGCAGGTGCGCACCACCATGCCCAGTTAATTTTTGTATTTTTGGTAGAAATGGGGTTTCACCATGCTGGCCAGGATGGTCTGCATCTCCTGACCCCATCATCCGCCCACCTTAGTCTCCCAAAGTGCTGGGATTACAGGCGTGAGGCACCGCACCCGGCCTAACTTCTGTAACTTTTCTAATGTTAATTTTAAATCTTCTATTTCTCAGTAATATAGACCAGTAAAAACCCTTTAAGTGCACAGATTTGTGAGCCTGCTTCAAAATAGCAGAAACAACCCCCTTTAAGGCAAACTGTGGAAAAATGGATTTCCGGGAGAAAAACTGGACTAGCTAGGAGGAGAATCAATCTGGGAGAGTCCCTGAAATGTGCAAGAAGAAATTTGGGATCCATGCAGAGCTAATGCTGGGGTTGGAAAAAGTGCTTCACGTCTTCAAATATGGATGCTGAGTTCTGCTTTACATAGCGCCTCATAAGAGGATTTAATACATGTTTTTCTGATTTTGATTAGCATTTTGCTTCTAAATACTGTTCTTAAATTCAAATTATAGCTTTCCAGAGGATAAAAAAAAAGATGAAGAAATATGCTGAGGTCTGCATAGAGATCAAATGACCATTCCACTCTAAAACCATGGATTCTGACATTTGTTGGGTTTTCATGCCAGGTTTGACATTTCTTACGCTTGATGTCTACATACAAACATTCACATTGGAGAGTCTGAACAAAAATCACTTGGTTGGTTTGAGCATTGTAAGGAATACATAAAATGTTCCTTGAAATTATAGTTCCAAGTTTGCTTTTATATTTAGATGACTCGTTGATATGGTTAGGCTCTGTGTCCCCACCCAAATCTCATCTTTGAATTATAATCCTCACATGTCAAGGGAGAGACCAGGAGGTAATTGAAGCATGGGGGCAGTTTCCCCCATGCTGTTCTCATGATAATGAGTGAGTTCTCACAAGATCTGATGGTTTTATAAGAGGCTCTTTCCCCTTCACTCGGCACTTCTCCTTCCTGCTGCCGTGTGAAGACGGTACCTTGCTTCCCATTCACCTTCCGCCATGATTGCAAGTTTCCTGAGGCCTCCCCAGCCACGCTGAACTGTGAGTCAATTAAACCTCTTCCCTTTATAAATTATCCAGTCTCAGGCAGTTATATATAGCAGTATGAAAACAGACTAATACACTCACAAAGACTTTATTTGCACACTATCCATTTAGCATGAAAGATGATCTGGATGAATATGAAAAACAATTAATTTCAAATTTAAGTAAAGAAAAGATGGCAGCTTAGTGTCTCTCACATTCTCTCTCCTTCCAACTCCATCTTGACTCCATCTGCTGGGGCCAATCAGTAGGCAGGAGTGACCTGGAAGGGGAGAATCATAAACCTGATGTAATGGTTTCTTCAGAGCGGGAGGGACAGGAGCTGAGGATTAAAGCTGGATAGTCCTGACATGAAAATCTAAAAATGGTGGTTGCTGGCAGCTGGACCCTCTTGTGGTGCCATGATAGCTGGCCTGCCAAGAGGTTGATTTCTGCTCTGTGAAAGTACACATATTCTCCCTGACTGCAGCTGCTGGGGGAGAACCAAACTGAGGCCAGGAGAACATGAGGAGATCAGGGAGCTTCCTTCCTTCCTGAAAAACTATCTGCTATTATACAACATGAAACATGCAGACACTGCTGTCTTTCACCCTTTCGGTGACACTGAAGCTACTTCCAAGGCACCCAAAACCAGGAAGAGAAGGAGAAAATTGAATAGAGTAAGTCCCTTATGAAACAGAGTTGCTGAAAGAGGCAGATGATAACTTGTGCAGCAAGAACAAATTAATAAGAACACAAAGGAGGTCTAAGTGCAGCACAAAAGAAATGCTCTGGAGATAAATAAAACCATGATTTTTCAGACTATAAGTGTAATAATAAAATAAAGGCCAGGGTTGAGAATAAAATTAGAAGCCTAGAAAATCCAATGGAAGAAATATCTCAACTGACAGAGCAAAAATACAGAGGGATAGAAATTATGACCAAAAAAAAAAAAATCAAAGATAAGAAATTTGGAGGATAGACCCTAGAGGATAGATTCTAGAAAGAGAAAAAAAAAAGAAGATGGAGGAGAGATAATAATAGAAGAAAATATTTTGTGTTGAAGAAACATCTGAGTCTGCAAATTCAAAAGGCTAAGTTCCAGGAATAATTAATGATAAACATATCTAAGCATATGCTGGTAACATTCTTGAACTTTTTTTTGGTTTTTTTTTTTTGGGGGGGGTTTCTTTTTGTTTTTGTTTGTTTGTTTGTTTGTTTGTTTTGAGACAGAGTCTTGCTCTGTCGCCAGGCTGGAGTGCAGTGATACAATCTCGGCTCACTGCAACCTCCACCTCCCAGGTTCAAGTAATTCCCCTGCCTCAGCCTTCCGAGTAGCTGGGACTGGGACTACATACAGGTGCTTGCCACCAAGCCCAGCTAATTTTTTTTTTTTTTTGTATTTTAGTAGAGATGGGGTTTCACCATGTTAGACCTCGTGATCTGCCCGCCTCGGCCTCCCAAAGTGCTGGGATTACAGGCATGAGCCACCGCACCTGGCCACATTCTTGAACTTTAAAAGAAAATCTAACAAGTTTCCACTGGTGAAAAAATGAGTAAATTGACAAGAAAAACAACCAGACATGTAATTTATCTCCAACTTTGGAGGCTAAAAGAAAATGGGGCATACTCTACAAACTACTGAGAGAAAAAGACTACAATCCAAGAATTCTTTATCAAAGCAAGTTATTTGCATGTCAGTGTGAATGAAAGATATTTGTAAATATACAAGGACTCAGAGACTATATCACAGACATACTATCAGTTAAGAAAAAGATTTAAATATACAAATTGATAAATTATTTTTGAGATGGAGTCTCACTCTGTTGCCCAGGCTGGAGTGTAGTGGTGTGCTCTTGGCTCACTGCAATCTCTCTGCCTCTCAGGTTCAAGCGATTCTCCTGCCTCAGCCTCCCAAGTAGCTGGGACTATAGACATGCACCACCATGCCTGGCTGATTTTTGTATTTTTAGTAGAGACGAAGTTTTGCCATGTTGGTCAGGCCAGTCTGGAACTCCTGACCCCAGGTGATCCATCTATCTTGGCCTCCCAAAGTGCTAGGATTACAGGTGTGAGCCACTGTGCCCAGCCATAACAAATTAACTTCGATATATACATATATAAAATATATAAAGTGCATACATATATAATATAGAAATATAATTAATTATCTGTCATTGCATAACAAATTATCCCAAAATTTAGTGACTGAAAACAACAGTATGCATTTGTTATCTCTGTTTTTGTGAGCCAAGAGTGGCTTAGCTAGGAAAATCTGTCTTGAAGTCTCTCACAGAGATGAACTCATGATGTGGGCCCAGGCTGCAGTTACTTGAAGGCTAAACAGGAACTGGAGGATCAGCTTCCCTGGTGAGTCACTCATATAGCTGTCAAGTTGTTTAGCTCTCGGCAGGAAACCTCAGTTCCCTGCAGGTGGGCTCTGCTAGGCCTAGGGCTGCTCAAGTGTCCTCATGATATGGTGGCCAGCATGACCCAGGGCTAGTTATCCACAACAGAGGAAGCCAGGAGCAGCCTCAGAGGTTGCACAGTATCATTCTAGAAGCAAGTCACTAAATCCAGGCTATGTTCAAGGAGAGGGCAATTAGATGCCACCTTTGAAATAAGAAGTGTTAAAATATTTATTTTGAGATGGAGTCTTGCACTGTTGCCCGGGGTGGACTGTAATGGCACAATCTTGGCTCACTGCAACCTTCTCTCCCCAGGTTCAAGCGATTCTCCTGCCTCAGCCTCCCAAGTAGCTGTGATTACAGGAACCCGCCACCACCCCCAGCTAATTTTGTGTATTTTTTTAGTAGAGACGGGATTTCACTATGTTGGCCAGGGTGGTCTCAGACTCCTGACCTTGTCACCCGCCTGCCTCAGCCTCCCAAAGTGCTGGGATTACAGGCATGAGCCACTGCGCCCGGCCTGTGAATATATTTTAAAACACCACATATATAAAGTAAAAGCTAATAGAAATGCAGGGAAAAACCTAATAAAAATTCAATCGTGTTAATAAATTTCAACATATCTTTTTTCAGAATTGGACAAATAAAGCAGACAAAAAATTAAGGAAATGTAGAAAAAATGCATTAATATGCAGATTTAATAAACATACATAGAGCCTTATATCCCTCAGAAAGAGCACATACATCCTTTAATCCATAAAATAAATAAAAGGGAGACCTAAAGTAAAAACATGTAGCAATATATTTGCTAGCATTTTTTTTTTAGTTCATTCTGTATGGCAGGTGCCTAAGCACTTTACATGTAACAATTTATTTAATTCTCACAACAACCCATGAAGTAGGATTACATTAACCACTTGGAAATAACGAAACATATCAACACATGCTAGCTTATCTTTGGTCTAAAGAGGGAATAAAAACTGAAATTATAACTGGGAGTGGATATTCATCAAAGTGCACTAATACAGGTATACTGGAGTTAATGGCTAACATCCATTCAACTGGTAGGTTCCTGCACAAAACACTGGTTGTTAAACATTTTTAATATAACCCCTATTATAAACTATCTAAAGAACTTTGAAGAGAATACTTCATAAAAATAGCTTGCACTTTATACAAAAATTACATCAAAATGGATTTCAGACTTAAACATAAAATTTAAAACTATAAACCTTTTTGTAAAAAAGTAGGAGAAAATCTAGGGAATTTAGGGCTAGACAAAGTTCTTATACTTGACACCAAAAGCATGAATCATGAAAGGAAGAATTAATCAATTGGACCTCATCAAAATTTAAAACTTTTGCTCTGCCAAAGCCCATGTGAAGAGGATGAAAAGATAAACTACAGATTGGGAGAAAATATTTTCAAATCACAGATCCGACAAAAGATTAGCATCTAGAATATATAAAGATCCTTTTGAACACAACAGTAAAACACCCAAGCAACTCAGTTAGAAAATGTGCAAAGACATGAACGAACATTTCACTGAAGAGGCTCTGTATAGCAACTAAGCACATGAAAACATGCTCAACATCATTAGCCATCGGGAAATGCAAGCTAAAACCACGATGGGATTTAACTACAAACCGGTCAAATAAAATTTAATAAATTAAATAAAATGAATATAAAATAAAATAAAATAAAATTTAATCAAAGCTGGAACAATTCGAGCAACAAAATAAAGTAGTATTGAATTATAGTAAAATAGTGAAAACACCAAATGCTGGCAAGGATATGGAGAAATTGGACCACTCATATTTTGCTGGTGGGAACGTAAAAGGGTACAACCACTCTGGAAAACAGTTTGGTAGTTTCTTATAAAACTAAACAAGCAATTTACCATACCACCCGGCCATTGCATTCTTGGGCATCTATCCCAGAGACATGAACATTTATATTAACACAAAAACCTACACATAAATATTTATAGCATTTTTATTCCTAGTGGCCCCAAAACTGGAAGCAGCCCACATGTCTTTCAGCAGGTGAATGATTAAACAGACTGTGGTATATGTTCATTGTAGCATTATTCACAGTAGCCAAGATCAACCTAAGTGTTTACTGATAGATGAATGGATAAAGAAAATGTGGTATATACACAGAGTGGAATACTGTTCACCCATCAAAACGTTGGAAATCCTGTCATTTGCAACAACATAGATGAATCTGAAGGACATTAGGTTAAGTGAAATGAGCCAGATACAGAAAGACGGATACCACAGGATCTCACTTACATGTGGAATCTAACAAAGTTGAACTCATTGAAGTGGAGAGTAGAATGGTCGTTTCCAGGGCTAAAGGGGTGGGGGAGATTGGGGAGATGTTGGTCAAAATATACAGAAGTTCATTTAGACAGGAGGGATAAGGTTTCAAGAGACTGTACAACACGGTGACTATAGTTAATAATATATATTGTATACTTGAAAATTGCTGCATAGATTTTAAGTGTTCTTGCCCCCCAAAAATGTGTCTGTGAGATAATACATATGTTAAGTAGCTCAATTTAGTCATTACACAATGTATAGATATTTCAAAATATCATATTATACATACAAATATATACTTTTTATTTGTCAATTTAAAAATGTTTAAAGTTGTGGTGTATACACACTATGGACTAATACTCAGTAATAAAAATGAACAAACTATTGATAGATACAATAATTTGGATTAGTCGTCAGGGAATTATGCTGAGGGAAGAAAAGCCAAACCCAAAAGGATACGTACTATATAAGTCCATTTATATGACATTTCTGAAATGAAAAAAATTAAGAAATAAAGAACAGTTTAGCAGTTGCCAGGGGTTAAGGACAGGGGTAGGGAGGTTGGTGTCATAAACGAGCAACATGAAAAATTACTGGGGTGGTGAAACTTCAGTATCTCGACTATGATGGTGGATACACATGGAATAATATTATACAGAACTAAATATACACACACACACACACACAGGCATACACAAAAATCAATACAAGTAAGGAAAACTGGGAAAGCCTGAATAAAATTGGTGGATTGTACAATGTCAATATCCTGGTTCTGATATCGTCCTGTAGTTTTCCATAATGTTACCACTGGGGAAATTGGGCAAAGGGTACAAGGCATCTCTCTGTATTTTTACTTATAACTGCATGTTAATCTATGATTATCTCATTACAATTTCAATTAGAAATAGATAGCTTCTAAGTTTTTATTTTTATTTATTTTTTTGAGACAAGGTCTCACTCTTGTTGCCCAGGCTGGTCTCAAACTCCTGAGCTCAAGCCATCCTTCCACCTCAGCGGGACTTTCCCAAAGTGCTGGAATTACAGGCATGAGCCACCGTGCCTGGCCTGAACTTTTAAAATATTTCAAAGGGCATGAAAAATGAGAGAAATAAATGCCATCTGTTATTGAAGACATGTAGCTATAGGTGGACTGTCTATCCATCTGGAAAAAAAATACAGTCAGACCCTGTGTCTTATTATGCAAATTATACCACATAAATAGAAGAAGAGATCATTAGCTTCATCTTTTATATATGTTTGTACCATGTAATTTTACTTGTTATTGCAAGCATGGGTTACTGCTGTAATGTTCAAAAAATCAAATGGAGAATTTTTTTAAGCCAAGCCCAAGTTTTTCCCTTCAATACGTCAAATGTTTACCACAATCTGCATGGAGTGCACATATCAGAGGAATATGCTAAATGTCCATTTTGGAGACAGTATACAGTCACATATTGGCTTAAAAAATTACTTTAGGCTGGGCATGGTGGCTCAAGTCTGTAATCCCAGCACTTTGGGAGGTCGAGGCAGGTGGATCACCTGAGGTCAGGAGTTCAAGACCAGCCTGGGCAACATGGTGAAACCCCGTTTCTACTAATAATACAAAAATTAGCCAAGCATGGTGGCACATGCCTGTAACCTCAGCTACTCCGGAGGTAGGAGAATCCCTTGAACCTGGGAGGCGGAGGTTGCAGTGAGCCGAGATTGCACCATTGCACTCCAGCCTGGGGCAACAAGAGCAAAACTCCATCTCAAAAAACATAACACAGAAAGAAAATAATACTCAAATTTAGGTGCACAAATATGTATTTAAGTTCATCTTGAAAGAATATTAGATAGCGACTGAAAAAATAAAGCAAAGCAATGCTCCCTAATGCAAAGCAAGAAAGAGACTGACTCAGTGTGGATGGGAATATGATGCTGCCTGTAACACACAGCAGCGACTATTCAGGCCTGTGGGCACTACCTGTATTAACTCAGGCAGCCACAGCACCAGGCAGAGCCAAACTCATCATTTAAGACAGTTTGCTGAGGCCTGTAGGAAGACCACCAGGGCCTTAGGCAAATTGTAAAACAGAAAAATTTAAGTGTATTCCCTTTCCTTATGTCTTCCCCTTCCTCAGACTCCCATTGCCCATGTCATTGGATGTGGAAAGAGATTTTCTTGTCTGAAAATTTCAGCACCAGCCTCAAAGCTGTGGATGACAGGTGACAAATGCCCCTGTGTTCAAAAGAGAGATGTTAGATACATTCATGCAAGACTTACTAAAAGGTGACCAAACCGATCTTTGTTTTTTGTTTTTTGAGACATGGTCTCGCTTTGTCACCCAGGCTGGAGTGCAGTGGCCACATCACGGCTCACTGCAGCCTCAACCTTCTGGACTCAGTGGATCATCCCACCTCAGCCTCCCAAGTAGCTGGGACTACAGGCACGCACCACCATGCCTGGCTAATTTTTGTTTCTTTATTTATTCATTTTGCAGAGACTGGTCTTGCTTTGTTGCCCAGGTTGGTTTTGAACTCCCAACTTCAAGTGATCCTCCCACCTTGGCCTCCCAAATGTTTGGGCTTACAGGCATGAGCCACCACACTGGGCTCCTGATCTTTAATAATCACTACTATTACCCATCTCCAAGTTGGTAAGAAAAGGGGAGATTTATTAATGAGCTTCTTGGTAGTAAGAGAATTCGTATAATTAGAATGCCTTATTAACATGCTTCCTCTCCCACCAGCAAGTCAAAAGAAGCAGTTCCACTTGGAAGGGATCCAAATGATCTACTTTAGAGATCGGCGCTATCTACAGGAGAGGAGACTGGCATCTCATTTTTCCATCTGGAAGCTGGATGTCTTGCTGCCACAGTGAAATACAGGAGCATTTTGGGGAGAAAATGTCTTCAGGAAATTGTGTTATACAAGATAAAAGTAGAGACTAGTGGCTTAACTCTCCCCTCATAGGGTGGGGGCCTAGCTAGAGTTGCCCATGGCATCAGACAAGATTGTCTAACAAGCCAGCCCAGATTCTTAAGAATCACTCCTTCCTCTGAGTTCCATATTGCTGATTGGCAATGAAATAAAATATTCTGTCTCTGTAAGCACCCTCAGATCACAAAACCTAATTTTCAGTTGAAAAATGTGGTCACCCTACATCTAGTCTTTCTCATTTATGTCACCATTTATTTTAATGTTTATACCCTACATGTCACTACAAATTCCTTGACAGCAGGGTTATTCTTCTTATTATTTGTCTCATTATATCCCCAGACTTAGCATGCAGTCGATTCTAGGTAAATATTTGTTGCTGGTGTTTATGTTGCTGATAATTCAGTTCTTTCTTTTCTGCAGTCCTTCTCACCTTCTTCCTGGGGACCTCTCCCTAATACTTATTGCCCTTATGTTAACTTCCTTTTTCTTTTTTTTTTTTTTTTTTTGAGATGGAGTCTCGCTGTGTCGCCCAGGTTGGAGTGCAGTGGTGTGATCTCAGCTCACTGCAAACTTCGCTTCACAGGTTCAAGCAATTCTCCTGCCTCAGCCTCCTGAGTAGCTGGGATTACAGGCGCCCACCACCACGCCCGGCTAATTTTTATATTTTTAGTACAGACAGCGTTTCACCATGTTGATCAGGCTGGTCTTGAACCCCTGACTCGTGATCCACCCGCCTCGGCCTCCCAAAGTGCTGGGATTACAGGCATGAGCCACTGCGCCTGGCCACCCTTACATTAACTTCCTAATGAACTGGGAATCAAAACTACAGGCTTACTGTTTTACCAATGATCTGTGGCCCAGATTTCTGAAAATGCTATGTTCCACTTTCTCTGTTTTAAAAATGGGAACAACAATATATTTTTTTCTGTCTAATCACTAAGCATATTAGCAGAATCAAATGAGATGATGTGACTCATGTTGCTCTGTAAATCTGATTATGTATCATTAGCCCTTTGCAAGATCATTTCCAGAGAGACACAGAAATAACTTATCTAAAAGGATACTAGCTTCTCACAGGATTTTCTTTTTTATCCTCTTGTCAAACTAGAAATCAAGATTGGTAAGATTTCGGTCCTATAGGAATGAGATAGCTGGGCCATGAAGCAATTATGACTTATTTCAAGGATTTAAACAATGTAAAGAAAGCTTAGCTCCAAGGCTTCTCATTCTGTAAAGGTTAAAAATTGTATCCTAATTTCCATTTCTGGAATCTCTATTAGTCACAAGGAGGAGTCTACTGTGCCCTAGTTTAGCAGAAGGCAGATTAAGTACAAGATCGACATTTGCTCTCAAAGAAAGCAAATAGCCATATTTTGTCTTGAGAAACTACCACGATATGGAGAAAAAGATGAAAGATAATAAGATTATCTGGTGGGTTTTATTTGCCGTGTTAATGCTCTGGATGATTCAGGAAAACAAGCCCAGAAACTGAATTGTCTAGATTATTTGTCATCATCTGAATCTGAATTTGCTTATTCCACAGATAAATCAGCCAACCCTTCATTTTCCTGCTGGTTGTTTAAAAGTAGGGAAATGAATCAAATATCCAATTTTTCTTCCCTGGTAGTGGAGAGTCCAGAGCTCTGACCTCAGCTAGAATTTTGGGGGTACAAAATCAGAACTGCCTGGGGTACAGGTGAACAGCAATGGGGGCCTGAGGTGGGGGACCCAATGAAGGAGTCTCGGGAAGCAAAAATAGAGGGCCAAAAAGATCAATGGCCCAGACAAAAGACAACTGGATTCGAAACAAAGATCTGCAATAGTGCATACAAGATGGAGTGACTGCGATGACTGAGTGTGGGGGTACCTGAAAGTGCAGCAGGCAGAAGGACATCCTACGAAGTGCCCATTTCTGAGCATCATTAGCTGTAGCAAGTCAGAGCAGCAGCTGTCACTTCACATAACACATTGCCAAGCAGAACTGAGAGTATCTAGTGATTTCCAAAGTACCACAGAGAAGTCAACTAATAGAATCCTTGCTAATTTATTCACCCATTCATTTCTTCATTCAACCAACACTAATCGAGTGCCATTCTATGCCAAGATCTGTTCTGTGCTATTAGGATATGGCAGTGAATGACACATGTGGAGCTTCGAGTCTAATGAAGGAAAACTACAACTATAGACAAAGTAAATAAGAAAGCTATATGGTATTTAATATTTAAGAAGATATTAAGGGCTATGGAAAAAATTACAGCAGGGTAAAAGGTATTGAGAGTGCCAAGAGTGGGAAGAATTTGCCATTTTAAGCAGAGTACTTACTGAGAAGGGGATGTTTGAGCAAAGACTTGAGAGAGGTGAAGGAGTTTGCCATGTAGATATCTAGGAACAGAATGGTCCACAGTGTTCCAGGCAAAGAGGACAGCCAGGGCCTGAGTCAGGGACAGGCCTGTTTGGGGGAACAACAAGGAAACCAGTGTGGTTGGAGGTGAGAGAGTGAGGGGATGAAATCAGAAAGGAAAGGAGGGGAGCAGAGTTGCAGATCACACTGGGCCTTCTAGGTCTTTAGAAAGACTTTGACTTTTGATCTGCAAGAAATGGGGAATTGTTGGAGGTTTTGCAGCAGAGGAGTGATGTGATCTGATTTAGCATTCAAAAGGATTTATTTGGAAACTGTATTAATAAGAGACTGTAGAAAAACAAGGGTGGAAGCAGAGACTAGTTAGGAGGCTTTTGTGTTATCCGAGAGAGAGAGATGTCAGTACAAGTGACGGGTAAAATTTAATCTGCTGTTCCTCAGTGAGCAGTACATTTGGATATTGTACCTATATTGATTCTTTTTTTTTTTTTTTTTTTTTTTTTTCAGACAGGCTCTCACTCTCTCACCCAGGCTGGAGTGCAGTGGCATGATCATGGCTCACTGAGCCTCAACCTCCCAGGCTCAGTTGATCCTCCTACCTCAGCCTCCCAAGTATCTGGGATTGCAATCTCTTTATGCCTCAGGCAGCCAATGGTGTTCACTGACATGGGGCTTGGTGATGAGTCAAGCTAAAGACCCAATGGCAAATTGATGAGGTCTGTTATAGCATTTAAAAGGAATCTAAACACAAAGCAAAATATTCAAAATATCTAAATATCTCATCTGTATTTTCTCATCTTTGTCTATCTAAATTTCATCTATATTTGCTTATGCATTCTTGTTGGGGAGTTTCTACTTCTTTTTACTGTCATATTTGCTGACTCTTAACATGTGTTTTCTGAGGTATTATATCTACAAGTTATCTTGAATCTCAAGAACCCATATGATGGACAGAGTCTGGAGTGGTATGGGTCCTGTACCTCTTCCAACCTTTATTCTTCCCTCAGAGCTGCTAGGTCCACCCTAGCTGGCTGATTTCAGGACCCGTCTCATGGCAGGTGGAAAACTACATGTCAGGGAGACTTAAAGCTGGACCCAGATTTCCTTATGGAAAACAAGATCACTGCAAGAGCTGTCTAGGGCCTGTGAATGTGGGGTGAACTGGGCAGGTATTCCTCTGCTGGGAGATGCCAGGGCTGGCAGGAGCCAGACATGCATCACCTAAGATATGCTGCTGTGGAATTCACAGTGGGCCAGTCACTGTGCTGAGGAGGATCTGTTGTTTGAAGATAGTGATGACTCAGTTTCTGATGCAGTGAACATCAGTGATGAAGTGAATCCTCTGGATACCAGCAGTGACAAAGGATTTCATCTTCGAGAGTAAATGATTTTCTTGGTTTTCAGGATGAAGATTAAAATATTTTATTAATTCTTGGATGTTTTGTGACTGATTTTACTCTACTACATGGAGTGAAATATCAGCTTTTAAAAAAATTCACTTAATTTTCTCCTCTTTGCTCACTAGAGTGTAATGTGACATATGAAGGAACATTACAACATAGGAATCTCTTCTTTTCTGTTCTTTTTTGAGACAGAGTCACTCTGTCGCCTAGGCTGGAATGCAGTGGTGTGATCTTGGCTCACTGCAACCTCCACCTCCAGGTTGAAGTGATTCTCATGCCTCAGCTTCCTGAGCAGCTGGGACTACAGGCACATGCCACCACACCTGGCTAATTTTTGTATTTTTAGTAGAAACAGGGTTTCCCCATGTTGGCCAGGCTGACCTTGAACTCCTGGGCTCAAGTGATCTGCCTACCTCAGCCTCCCAAAGCGATTGACAGGCATGAGCCCCTGTGCCTGGCAGGGAATCTTTTCAACATTTTCTGTTTCTATATTTTTTGTGACCATTTTCTTTTCTTTTCTTTTTTTTTAACTGTGATATTTGTTAGTCTACATGTACCAGAGTCTGTCAAGTAAGAATCTTTGCTTTCAAACATCAGAAACAGACTCTGGGCCAGGCCTACTGGCTCACGCCTGTAATCCTAGCACTTTGGGAGGCCGAGGTGGGCAGATCACCTGAGGTCAGGAATTCGAGAACAGCCTGGCTAACATGGTGAAA
Organism: Homo sapiens; assembly: GCF_000001405.40. NCBI lineage: Eukaryota > Metazoa > Chordata > Mammalia > Primates > Hominidae > Homo > Homo sapiens. Next base: position 200,709,811 of record NC_000001.11, read on the forward strand.
TGCCGTCTCTACTAAAAATACAAAAATTAGCCAGTCGTGCACCTGTGGTAGCGAGCACCTATAGTCCCAGCTACTCGGGAGGCTGAGATAGGAGAATCGCTTGAAACCAGGTGGTGGAAGTTGCAGTGAGCCAAGATCGCACCACTGCATGCCAGTCTAGGCGACAGAGCAACACTCCATCTAAAAAAAAAGGAAAGAAAAAAGGAAAAGGAAACAAACTCTGGCTAATCTCATTCAGAGTGAATTTACTGGAAGGCTATTAGGAGCTCATGGAATTGATGAGAGGCTTAGAATCCAGCTTTGGAATAGGTCGGATACAAAGACAGTTACTAAGCCTAGGAAGCAGAACTCAGAGGAATTGTCTCATAGTAGGGACCTTCTGGTTCCTTTACAATGACCAGGGTGGCAGAAATTTTGACTGCTTTTAGTCTTTTCATCTCTTTGATCATGATCCAAATTTGGGTGTGGTGGGGTGGTGATGACTGTTAGCCTGGGCCCTCTGAGAAGAAGGCAGACACCAAGATAGGATTAACATGCAAGGATGGTTTTAGGAGAAAAGCCTGTGAGGGGAAGGGGGAGGGAGCTGGGAAGAGCAGAAGGGTCATCAGATCGTAACATGAGTCTGACTCTGAGTGAAGGAGTTAGGGAAGGAAGATAGGGTGGAAGATCCTAGATGGCTGTGCAGTCTAAGGAAGTTTTGGCAAAGGCCCTGGGGAGTTCTCCAACCGAAGCCACCCATCAGAGGAGGTCTGTCTCTCCCAGGAATGGGCCTGCTGCATTTAGTCATTGGCTGGGAGTAGCCCCGGAGAAGCATGACCTCTGGTGTAAATGTGGCCGTGGGTTTCAGCAGGCAGCAGCTGGGGACCCTAGGTCAGTTATGCTCCCTGTAGTTGGATCTCTGTGAAGTGCATTCTCACGGTTGCCTCAGCAACTGACAGGCTTAGTATGGGCCATGGTCCCACTCTGTTAGGGCAGGGAAGACCCCTGTTACGGTATCACAGATGGAAGATGTAATTATCCAAAAGGAAATTAGGTCCTGCTACAGAGGGGAAATGTATGATGGGTGGCCAATACCCAACAAATTCCACTTCTTGTAGCTACTTGTTTAGAAATTCCTTAAAATTACCTATTTTGCCACTTGTTTTGTGCCAACTTTAAAAAATGTATCTGTTTCATCCACATGGGCTATTAAAATTCCATGCAGGTTGGGCACGGTGGCTCATGCCTGTAATCCCAGCACTTTGGGAGGCCAAGGTGGGCGGATCACCTGAGGTGGGGTGTTTCAGACCGGCCTGGCCAACGTGGAGAAACCCCATCTCTACTAAAAATATAGAATTAGCTGGGTGTGGTGGCACATGCCTGTAATCCCAGCTACTTGGGAGGCTGAGGCAGGAGAATGACTTGAATCTGGGAGGGGGAGGTTGTGGTGAGCAGAGATCGTGCCATTGCACTCCAGCCTGGGCAACAAGAGTGAAACTGTCTCAAAAAAACAAAACAAAACAAAATTTCATGCAAACATATATTATGTTGATGCTTTTGGTTATGAATATTTGCTGAAATTACTACTGGTATTTGCTTTGATAGCATGTGTCTTATAAGGATTCTATTAGTAAACATATGTGCTGTTGCCTGTTATCTACCAATATTCAATATTACAAATATATTTCTTTTGCTAAGGGAGTTTATACTTATTTTAGGATTTAGTCAACTATTACTGCATGTCTAGAACTTAAGATTGTTGACTTTGGATTCCAGTATTCTCTGCATTGTATTTACATGAATAAAATAATGTTTTCTTTTATTTAAAAAACTTTATGGCCTGGCCCGGTGGCTCATGCCTGTCATCCCAGCACTCTGGGAGGCCAAGGCAGGTGGATCATGATGTCAGGAGATCGAGACCATCCTGGCTAACACAGTGAAACCCTGTCTGTACTAAAAATACAAAAAATTAGCTGGGCGTGGTGGTGGGTGCCCGTCGTCCCAGCTACTTGAGAGGCTGAGGCAGGAGAATTACTTGAACCTGGGAGGTGGAGCTTGCAGTGTGCCAAGATGACACCACTGAACTCCAGCCGGGGCGACAGAGCCAGACTCCGTTTCAAAAAACAAAACAAAACAAAAAACTTTATTTATTGATTTATTTTTATTTTTTGAGACAGAGTCTTGCTCTGTCACCCAGGTAGGAGTGCAGTGGTGTGATCTCGGTTCACTGCAACCTCCACCTCCCGGGTTCAAGCGATTCTCCTGCCTCCGCCTCTCAAGTAGCTCAGACTACAGGGGTGTGCCACCATGCCCAGCTAATTTTTGTATTTTGAGAAGAGACAGGCTTTCATCATGCTGGCTAGGCTGGTCTTGAGCTCCTGACCTCAAGCGATCCACCCACCTCAGCCTCCCAAAGTGCTGGGATTGCAGGTCTGAACCACTGTGCCCAGCCTATTAAAAAAAACTTTAAAATGAGACCCTCAATACATGTATTAATTTATTTTATTTTATTTATTTTTTTGAGACAGGGTCTCGTTCTGTCGCCAGGCTGGAGTGCAGTGGCGTGACCTCGGCTCACTGCAATCTCTGCCTCCCAGGTTCAAGCGATTCTCCTGCCTCAGCCTCCCGAGTAGCTGGGACTAAAGGTGCAGGCCACCAAGTCCAGCTAATTTTTGTATTTTTAGTAGAGAAGGGGTTTCACCATGTTGGCCAGGATGGTCTCGATCTCTTGACCTCGTGATCTGCCCTCCTCGGCCTCCCAAAGTGCTGGGATTACAGGCGTAAGCCACCGTGCCTGGCTTTAATTAATTTTTCCAGAGAAAATTTTCTTTGTAAAATTGGAGCATGCCTTATATGGCAGTAATCATGGTGGTTTGGGGAAGGAAACCCTGCCATATCCATCAAACTTCTGATAAATTCTCCAAATTTAAATAAATATAAATTGTACATCATTTACTTTACTTCTAATTGCTAATATTGGAGGTTTTCTCCCAGCCCTCTGTAAGTGGATTATGCATCATATGAGTCCCACTCAACATTTTCTTTTTTTTTGAGACAGATTCTCGCTCTGTCATCCAGGCTGGAGTGCAGTGGCTTGATCTCAGCTCACTGCAACTCTGCCTCCTGCGATTCTCCTGCCTCAGCCTCCCGAGTAGCTGGAACTACAGGTGCGCACCACCATGCCCAGCTAATTTTTGTATTTTTAGTAGAGATGGGGTTTCACCACATTGGCCAGGCTGGTCTTGAACTCCTGACCTTGTGATCTGCCTGTCTTGGCCTCCCAGAGTGCTGGGATTACAGGCGTGAGCCACCGCACCTGGCCTGAGTCCCACTCAACATTTTCATAGAAATTATCCGGGCATTTTATAAAATTTTTACCAATTTTTAGTTATTAAAAGTCATACTGCTCAAGCACGTAAGACTGGAAGATATAATTTGCTCATGTTTATAAGAGTTTTACAGTAATAAGGGTTGATATGGCAATATATAAAAGTAGGAATCATTTCAATGTATCCCAGATGATAGTGGCATTAAATAAAAATAATATCAATTAACTAGTGAAAATAGTCTTTCTGATGTTTCTGCTTTTTAGAATATAAAATGACAAATCTACTACATTTGCTTCTGTAAAACAAACTTTGTCTTTAAATATAACATGTGGTCAGGAAAGTATACAAATAAAATGTATGGCTCAATGAATTTTTACGAGGTACATTTTGATAATCACTAGAATGCATCTTCCTGACCTCTAATAACAAGGAGCCTAATTGACCACTGTGCTCTACAATTTATTATTATACCTGAGCTGAGGCCACTCTGGCCTTGGGCTGCTTTCCATCAATGACTGTGTTACTGAGGCAGGCCCATTACGGGGAGACACAGGTCTTCCTTGATGGCCAACTTAGACTGGAGGACTCCCCAACACCCTTGCTGAATCTTCCCCAGACTTCATGGTGCTCTAGGATACTTTCACCCAACATATCTTCCCTTCCTCTTTTACTCAGGGTCACACTTGCATGTGACCACTCTCTCAGTCTTTCCAACTCCTTCCCTATGTTCTCACACAAGCATTTTCCTAATAAAATCCTTGAAGATTTAATTCTGTGTTGGTGTCTCCTTCTTAGAGAACTCAAACTAACACATGAACCCAACTATGTAACTGGCCCCAGATCAAGAGACAGAATATAACCAGTATCTTGAAAGAGCCTTTTGTGCCTCTTCCTAAAAATTATGTCACAACCAGCCCTCTATCAAAGGTAACCATTATCTTCACTTTTAATTCCATAGATTAATTGTGCCTGTTTTAGAATTTTGTATAAATGAATCTTACAGACTATATTATTTTGTGCCTGTCCTCTTTAATGCAACATTATGTTTGTGGCATTCATCCATGCAGTTATATATAGCAAGATTTCAGATAGATTTTTGTGTCTTATTCATTCTAGTTGTTATTGATAGGAGTATTGATCTACCACATTAAGGTGATAGTGAATGTCCTTCACTAAATTTATATTTAGTAACTGTAGTACACCAAAGAATTTATTACCTAAAGAGTACCTTGTTAAATAAATAAGATCTATTCAAGCCTTCACTGGCTTAAAAATGAAGTTTCATTGACTTTTACCTTTAAATGAATGTACATCCCTGGAGGATGTGGATGTCAGGGAGGGACTTCAAATAGAAATGAAATAGACGTCGAAAAATGCTTTATGTTATATACGTACAAAGAATTCACAGTATAGTGTGCCTTTCATCAGCCTTGAATTTATCACTCCAACCCAGTAAAAATGCTCTCTTAAGATTACTAGTGACCTCATAATTGGTCACCTTGATACTTTTCAGCCCTCATTTCATTCCATAGTAGTGAATGACACTGTTAAATTAAATTTGGCCTATGGCTGCCTTCATAAGCAGTAAACTGAAACCTAACTCAGTATGTAAACAAACTGCAACTGAATTAAGCCTATATTCTTGTAACAGGTAGCTGATTCTCAGCCAATCATAGCAGCTGAACTTCAGCCAATCACAGGTTGCCAACTGATTAGACCATGTCCATAACACAAATGGTGACCTGTAAACAATTAAACTGTTTCTGCACGTCACTCCCTTTTTCTGCCTGTAAATACCACCTGCCTGCATTGCTGGTGGAGCTCCCTGAATCTCTATTGGTTCAGGGTGCTGCCCATTTCATGAATTGTTCTTTGCTCAGATAAACTCTGCTAAATTTAATTTGTCTAAAGTTTTTCTTTTAACATCAATGACAATATTCTTCTTAAAATTGTCTTCTTACTTAGCTTCTGGAGGGAGAATATAGTGAAGAGTTTAAAGGTACAGGATCTGGAGCCAGATTGCCTAATTCTGAATACTAGCTCTAAACAGCATTCTGTTTGTAATGTGTCAAGATTATGTAAGCTTTCTATCCTTCTGTTTCATTATCTTCACAATGGAGATAGTAATAGTGTTTGCTTCAAAGGGCTATTGTAAGATTTGAATGAATTAATATTTGTAAAGCACTTAAAATAGCACTGGCACATTTTAAACAGTATATGTTTGCTGTTATCAGTCTATTCACATTACTGATTCATCTCTGATATCCCAGTGGACCTCAGTTGTCTCTGCAGGCTCCTCTTTTTCCCAGTTCCCTAAAGTTTTTGTTCCCAACAATTCTCTGCTAGTCTTCTTGTCGCTTATTTATTTTAGAAACAGGGTCTCACTCTGTAGCCCAGGCTGGAGTGCAGTGGTGTGCTTGTAGCTCACTGCAGCCTCAAACTCCTGGGCTTAAGCAATTCTTCCACCTCAGCCTTCCAAGTAGTTGGGACTACAGGTGTGCACCACAATGCCCAGTTTTTTTGTTTGTTTGTTTTTTGTAGAGACAAGGTTTTGCTATGTTGCCCAGGATTTCCTCTCACTTTAAACACTCTCCTCAGGGCAACTTTACCCATGCTTCCAGATGAAAGACCACTTACATGCCAATGGCTCCTTAGCTTAGTCAGCCATTTTGGCCTCTCTCATGAGCTCTAGATTTATATTTTCAGCTGATTACTAAACATCTAGAGGTACCATAGACACTTCAAACTCAACATGTCAAAAAGCAACTTTATTTTCTTGTTGTCTCCATTTTTCTAAACCTTCACTTTATGGCCAATGAAGAGCCCTAGAAATTAGGGCAAGATGTTCTTCATTGTTAATTTAATAGAAGAGGATGTTGTAGTATTAAATATGGGTGGGGGCAGGTGCTGTTCAAGTTCCTTTAGTGGCAGATATAGTCATGCCTTGTAGACCACATGAAGGGTTTTGGAACAAGACGGGTATGTGTTCAAGATTAGTTTTGAGATACCTAGAGAAAAGGTGTATTGTAGTCCAGGGTGGATACTTTTACCCTTCTCTCCTCCCCTACTCATGTAAGCTAAAGCTCACTTCTCTCCCGTATCCAACAGGAGAATTCAGACTGAGGAGAGAAGAACTTGATCTGGAGCTCAGTGCAAGGTTCTGCAATTTACTAAACACACGAGAGAACTTGATTTTTGATGAAGAAGTGGCACATTCTGGAAAATAGAAGAGAGGTTAAAGACATCAGAAAAGGGATGAGTTAAAAGAGAAAGGGACTGTGGGGAGAAGAGAGCAGATTAGCCATAAGAAAGGTGGGAGTCTTCAACCAGGGACACCTGGAAGATCTGAACCGTGAAGCTCTGTGCTCTTGTGGCCTGAAAGGGGATGAAAGGAATGGGTTAGGGGCACAATGCCTACTTTTCTACCCTCTGACTATATAGGGTTTGGATTTATCACTGATGGCTTTATGTAAAGAACTGTTTAAACACCCTTAAGCGTCCAGTGTTTGTTTACTGCAGAAGCAGTTTTCCAAAACAGAATCTGGAATGAGGGGGGACTATTTTCCTTTATCCTGATTTACCAGTGGCAGTGTTATATTTACTATGAAGCTAAAGAAGCATCAGCTGTACGGACATTCACTTGTGTGAGCCCTTGCCAAGGCCCTTGGAGAAGAAACATATGCCCCTGGTCAAATGTTTTTATAAAATTTGAACAGGCAAGATTTTTTGGTATTCTTTTTCTATGAAGATCTCCCCCACATCCCACCCCTATAAAATTATAGAAGCTTCAAACTATGTAAAATCTGACTGTGACACTGTCCCCCTACAAACAACAAACTTTAAAAACATCTGCATTGTAAACTACAAGGAAAAAATGACAAATCAACAAGGATGGGGGAGATTATAACATCCTTTCTCAGTGACTGATATATAAAGCAGACAAAAATTAGAAAAGATATAGATGTTTGAAAACACAATTAACAAACTTTATCAAATGAACATATATAGAACCTTGTAACAAATAATTAGATAAATTCTATTCTTTCCAAGCATATATGACACATTTATAAAAATCACATAGACTGCCACAAGAAAAAAATTTTAACAAATAACAAAGAATTAACATCATACATAGGATGATCTCTGAACATACCATCATGAAGTTACACATCATTAGCAAAGTTAACAAAAAGGGATAACTACAAACTCCACACATTTGGAAATTCAAAAATACACACCTATAAATTTGGCAAAATTTTGATAATTTTGACTCTGGGTGTCAAAATTCATTGTGGATCTTGGAAATTTTTTCATAATTAAAATATGCTTTTAAATAATTCTCATGTCTGCCAGGTGCGGTGGCTCACGCCTGTAATCCCAACACTTTGGGAGGCTGAGGCAGGCAAATCATGAGGTCAGGAAATAGAGACCATCCTGGCCAACATGGTGAAATCCTATCTCTACTAAAAATACGAAAATTAGCTGGCGTGGTGGCGCGTGCCTGTAATCCCGGCTACTCAGGAGGCTGAGGCAGGAGAATCGCTTGAACCCGGGAGATGGAGGTTGCAGTGAGCTGAGGTTGCACCACTGCACTCCAGCCTGGCAATAGAGCAAGACTCCGTCTAAATAATAATAATAATAACAATTCTAATGTCAAAAAAAGAAGTAATAGGCTACCTGATAGGCCAGGTGCAGTGGCTCACACCTGTAATCCCAGCACTTTGGGAGGCTGAGGCCGGACAACCGCTTGAGGCCAGTTCAAGGCCAGCCTGAGCAACATGGTGAGACTCCACCTCTACAAAATATACAGAAATTAGCCAGGTATGGTGGTGCATGCCTGTAGTCTCAGCTACTCAGGAGGCTGAGGTGGGAGGATTGCTTCAGCCCAGGAGGTCAAGGCTACAGTGAGCCATGACTGCACTACTGAGCTCCAGCCTGGGCGATGCAGTGAGACCCTGTCTCAAACACAAGAATTAAAAAAAAAAAAAAGAAAAAGAAGTAATAATGTAAACTATAACTCTTGTATACACACACACACACACACACACACACACACACATCAAAACTTGTGGGCTGAAGCTGAAGGTGTTCTTAGAGGGAAATTGATAGCCTTACATGGTTACATTGACAAAGAAGAAAAAAAAGGAAAAAACAGAAAAAGTGAAATTAGTGAGGTAGCATCAACTTAAGATGTAATAAAGAGAACAATGTGAACTCAAAGAAAACAGAGGAAGGAAATACAGAGTAGAAAATTAATGATACAGAAAACAAAGATCAATAAAAACAAAAGCTGGTTTTTTAAAAAGTTTAACAAGATAGACATACTTCTGGCACGACTAATTAGAACATAAGAGACAAGGCACAAAGAAGCAATACTGGGAATGACAAAAGGGACATAACTACAGATAAAGCAGAAACTGACATACTGAGAGAATGCTATGAGCAATTACACCAATCAATTTGAAAATATAGGTGAAATAGAAAGTGTTCCTAGAAAAATATAACTGATCAAAACTTACTCATAGAAGGCCTGAATAGACTTTTTTTGTTGGGGTGGGGAGGACAGTCTCGCTCTGTCGCCCAGGCTGGAGTGCAGTGGCATGATCTCGGCTCATTGCAACCTCTGCCTCCCAAGTTCAAGCGATTCTCCTGCCTCAGCCAACCAAGTAGCTGGGATTACAGTTGTGCACCACCATGCCCAGCTAATTTTTGTGTTTTTAGTAAAGACGGGGTTTCTCCATGTTGGCCAAGCTGGTCTTGAACTCCTGGCCTCAAGTGATCCGCCCGCCTTGGCCTTCTAAAGTGCTGGAATTACAGGTGTGAGCCATTGCACCCAGCCCTGAATAGACTTTTAACTTTTAAAATGTTGATTCAAAGGTAAAAATTCTTCCTCTACAAATACTATCAGGCCTAGATTTTCTCAGTAAAGTTCTATCAAACCTTCAACAAGTTGATTATCCTATTTTATGCTGCTCCAGATAACAGAAAAAGATAGAATGCCTTCAAATACAATTTATGTAATTAGTGTATTCTTTATGCCACAATCGGACAAAGAAAGAATGTAAAGTAAGTTCAGAGGTGATCTCAATTATGAAAATAAATGCAAAAAATAATAGTCCATATCAGAATTGATAATACTCATCATGATTAAAACAAAACAAAAGCTCTTGGAATAAAAAGAAACTTCCTTAATCTGATAAAGGTTGCCTTCCAAAACCTTATACAAACAGGATACTTACTTGTGAATTATTATAAGTACTACTTTTAAAGTCAAGAACCATCCATGGAAACCTGTTATCACAATGTATATTCATCATTGTACTGGAAGTTCAAGTCACAGCAGTAAGACAGTAAAGCAAGAAAGATATAAAGATTAAAAAGACAGAAACTATACTATAACAATTCACAAGTTACCAACTATCACAATTAGCGTAGAAAATCTAGAGAATCAATAAATTATTAGAACAATAGAGTTTTAAAAAACTGAACTGCATCTACATATTTCAACATAACAGTACCAAAACCCTTAAGATTCTTAGGAGTAAAACTAACAAAAAAAAAATGTCAGGGACCTTTTAGAAAATAATTCTGAAACTAATTGAAAGAAATGAAAGAAGACCTACATAAATGCAGAGATATACTTTGCTCATTGGAAAATTCAATACTGTAAAAATGTCCAATCTCCCCCAATTAATCTCTGAATTCATTGTAATTCCAGTGCAAATCGCTACAGAGTTTTGGCAAGTGAATTCTGAAATTTACATGAAGAGATGCTTTTAAAGAAAAATAACGAGGTAAAGGAGTTTTTCCTACCATATTAGAAAGTGTATTATAATTAAGCTTTACGTGATAATAAAGACATGGTATTGATGCAGGGATGGGAAAATAAATCAATAGAGTTGCAAAATGAAAACATTTATGCATGGAAACTGTATACAACATTACAAAGCCGTGGGGAAAGGACAAACTTCCCAATGATTGGTGCTGGAAAAACTCATTAATCATATGAAAAAAACTAAAATACCTATTTCACACAATCTGCAAAGGAAAATTTTACATCAAATAAAGACAACACAAAAGCAAAATGGACAAAAGATAGGAATAGGCAAGTTACAGAAGAAAAAACTCAACACAAAATAAAAATGTTCAAGCTCACTTTTAGTTCACTTGTAATCAGAGAGATGCAAATTATAACCAAAATGAGCTAGCATTTCATCCTACCAGAAAGTCTGATGGTGCCAAATGCTGGTATGGATGTGAAACAGGAGAAGCTCATACACTGCTAGTGGGAGCTTAAATTGGATCGATCCACTTTTGAGAGCAATTTAGATATATATAGTCAGGTTAAAGATGCACATATTCATAACTCTTAACAACCCTTACATGTACTCAAGAAAATAAGTACAAGAATATTCTAACACTGCTTGCAACAGTGAATAACTAGAACACCTAAATATCCACTAGCAGCAAAATGCATAAACAAATCATGGTGTATTTGTATAAGAGAATTCTATCCAGCACTGGAAGTGAATGAACTTGAGCTAAATGCATCAAGATAGGTAAATCTCAACATTGAAAGGTAGTATGACATCGTTAATATGAAATTTAAAAACATGTCAGTATAGGTTTTGTTTTACTTATTACACATTCATAAATAATAACAGTATAAAAAGGAAAAACATTTGGTGTATAATAGTGCATGCATGTAAGGTAGAGGGTGATGAATCGAATGGGGAAGAGTGTACAGAAGATCTCTTTCTTTTTCTCTCTTTCTTTCTTTCCTTCCTTCCTTCTTTCTTTCTTTCTCTCTCTCTCCTTTCCTCCCTTTCTCCCTTCTTCCCTTCCTCCCTTCCTCCCTTCCTTCCCTCCTTCCCTCCTTCCTCCCTTCCCTTCCCCTCCCTCCCTTCCTTCCTTTCCTTTTTTTTTTTTTTTTTTTTTGAGATGTAGTCTCGCTGTGTCACCCAGGCTGGAGTGCAGTGGCGCCATCTCGGCTCACTGCAAGCTCCACCTCCCGGGTTCAAGCCATTCTCCTGCCTCAGCCTCTCGAGTATCTGGGACTACAGGCGCCCGCCACCACGCCCAGCTAATTTTTGGTATTTTTAATAGAGAAGGGGTTAGACCGTGTTAGCCAGGATGGTCTCGATCTCCTGACCTCGTGATCTGACTGCTTGGCCTCCCAAAGTCCTGGGATTACAGGTGTGAGCCACTGCACCCGGCCTCTTTCTCTCTCTCTCTCTCTCACTGCTGCAACCTCCACCTCCTGAGTTCCAGGGATTCTCATGCCTCAGCCTCCCGAGTAGCTGGGATTACAGGCGTGCATCACCACACCCGGCTAATTTTTGTTTTTCCTAGAGATAGGGTTTTGCCCAGGTTGTCCAGGCTGGTCTCGAACTCCTGGCCTGAAGTGATCTGCCTGCCTCAGCCTCCCAAAATGCTGGGATTACAGGCATGAGCCATTGCCCCCAGCCAGAAGGTTTCAATTGCATCTGTAACATTTTATTTTTAAAAGTTGAAGCAAAAATAGCAAAATATTCAGATTTGACAAAGATCAGTGGTCAATACTTTACAATATTACTTTCTGTAACTTTTGGTAAGCTTGAAATATTTTAAAATTAAAAAAATACAGTAGAACCAATACTGAGTGATTTATACCTTCAAATAATTACATTAGTGTCTTAATGTAGTAATGACATATTGCATGATGTTAGAAACATTTTTCTAACATTTTCAACTTGATTAAAGATGTCTTATGAAATATTGACTTAATAACAGTATTTTCTTCTTCTTTTCTTCACAGCAAATAATGAAATAATTTAAAATCAAGCAGCACTTGCTGAAATTGCTTCACTAAAGCAAAAGAGTGAAGACAGCAGTGTTTAGTGAAAACGAGTGAATGATGAAGGAGAAGGTGAAATAGGCTGGGGTGGAGCATAGGGATAGAGAGAGGAATATTGCTGAGCAACCAGGAGGAGACAGGACCAAGAGGAAAAAGGACAAGAATTAAAAGGGATGCACCCAAGACCAATGATAAAGTGAGTACATTGGAAAGTAACAAATCAGCCTGGGCAACATTAGCCGGGTGTGGTGACGCATGCCTGTAGTCCCAGCTACTCAGGAGGCTGAGGTGGGAGGATTGCTTCAGCCTGGGAGGCCAAGGCTACAGTGAGCAGAGATTGTGCCACTGCACACCTGCCTGGGTGACAGAGCAAGAGCCTGTCTCAAAAAAGAAAGAAAGAGAAAGAGAGAGAGACAGAAAGAAAGAGAAAGAGAGAGAGACAGAAAGAAAGGAAAGAAGGAAGGAAGGAAGGAAAGAAAGAGAAAGAGAGAGAAAGAAAGAAAGAAGAAAAGTAACAGAGAGTAATAGGTAATTTTTTAAAATTATTTATTTATTTATTTATTTATTTTTTGAGATGGAGTCTCGCTCTGTCCCCCAGGCTGGAGTGCGATGGCGCGATCTTGGCTCACTGCAACCTCCACCTCCCGGGTTGAAGTAATTGTCCCACCTCAGCTCCCGAGTAGCTGGGACTACAGGCATGTGCCACCAAGCCTGGCTAATTTTTGTATTTTTAGAAGAGACGGGGTTCCACCACGTTGGCCAGACTACTCTCAAACTCCCGACCTCAAGTGATCCTCCTGTCTTGGCCTCCCAAAGTGCTGGGATTACAAGCATGAGCCACCGTGCCAGGCCAATTCTTTAAGTAACTATAGAAAGTAATCGGGCCAGGTGCGAAAAGAGCCTGGGTGAAACAGCAAAACTCCGTCTCAAAAAAAAAAAATAAATAAAAGTAATTTAAAAGGCAGACCCAGATGCTAAATGTGATTTGATTTACTTAGACCATAGAATTTTACGGTTACTAGCATTTTTTTCAACACTCTTATTTCAGAATGGGAAAACTGAGTCTGAGTTAAGCACATTTCCCTATGGTTAAGTGTAGAGCTGAGAGTAAAACTCATCCTCTGGAGGCACCTTGATGCAGTGATTCTTCCATTTCACTGCACTGCCTAATATTACCAGGGTCTCCAACAGGCCATGCACTGCTGCTGGGTGGGAGTGCAGTGTGAGAGGGAAGCACAAGGGACTCACCCAGGGCAGGAAAACTTCAAAAAATGGTTGCAGCAGAGAGACATAAACAGAGCTAGCTTTTTATACCTGTATAGTCCTCCTCTTCTGTTTTTAAGCCTTTAAAAAAGAGGCTTGTGGGACATGCTTCTCCTGTTTTAGGTATTTTAATGGACAAATGATATGAGAAATTTAAAATGGTGAGTTGAAAATAAAAAATGTTGAGAACGGTTATACTAATCTATTCTTACACTATTTTTATTTTAGTTTTTCTGGCAGAACATTCTCTATAACATATTCCTTGTAATCCAGTAGAGAAAGTATCAAAAAGGAATCTTCTCTAATTAGGCCCTAAAATAAGATTACAACCCACAAAAGAGGAGCTGGTCTATAAACACTTCTATTATGATTACTCTGATTTCCCTTTTTAAGTGTGAATTATACCACATTTGAACAGTAAACCTTGGCTTTTAATGGTTGTTTGATTTTTCTAGTTAAAAGATGGTTTTTTATATATATATAATATATAGGTATATCTTTTTAAAAGATACATATATTTTAAAGATGGTTATAGTTTTAAAATTATTTTTAAAAATTTACTTCTCTGAAGATAATGCTAGATTTCTTTTTTATTTTTATTTTTGTAGAGACAGAGTCTCACTATGTTCGACTGGTCTCAAACTCCTGGCCTTAAGCAATCCTCCCACCTAGGCCTCTCAAAGTGCTGGGATTACAGGTGTGAGCCACTATGCCCAACCTGGTTATATGTTTTAAGACAGAATATGAAATTAAAAAAAAAACAAGCAAAAACATTGGTTGTGTGATACGCTGAACTTTAAGTTTCTCAGTTTCATTATTTCCTGATGAAATATATGTGCCCAAATAATTTTTGGTTTATAAGAAGTCTGATGCATAAAAAGATGCCCAGTACATTTTTGTATGTTTCTTTCCATGCCTTTGAGTCTTCCTGATAAACTTCACTAACAGCTCTAGCAATCTTATATTTAGCTGGTGACAGACTCAAGCATTAAGTGGCTGACTTGACTCATGAATGAGTCTTTGTTTGAGCAGAGAAGTTGTACTGCAGTGAGGGCACTGTCCTGCCCAACACTTGCCATTTAAACCTCCCTTTGCTGAGATTTATGACTTGGCTGGAACACTTTATTCATCATACAACTTGGTGTCAGAGGATTACTTTTTATAAATTCTAAAAACCCACATACCAAGTAAAACAAATCAAACATTTCATAAATGGTAGAGCCTGATTTTCTCCCTTCATAAGTTGTGTTCTCATTTTTTGGAGAAAGGATGCAATTAGGGAAGTGGGTGTTTCAATGAGACCTTTGATTAAAAACCAATCATACTCTTGGCAAGCATTTGTTACATAACGTAGTTATAGTTTCATTTGGAATCTAGCAAGAACTAAGACATTTGTTTGGGAAAAGTGTGGTAATTTGTTTTCTTTTACAGCATTTCCTCTTAGAAAAGGTACCTGAGATCCTACTGAATCAGTTTAAAAACTGATTGTGGTAAAAGTCACTTAGTGTCTAAACTACAATAATTAATATATTTTTTAAATAATGTAATACTCAATTTTTAAGAAGTTCCACAAAACTGTCAGTATCCACTAAAGTGTTGCAGAATTCAAGGATGAACCGGACTCTGAGGTCACTTGGCCCATCTTTCCACCAGGCAGGGCTGTCCCCTGTATTGTTTCCTTCAGCATTTTCTCCAGGCTCATGGAATGTCTAAAGCAACACAATACAGTCCTTTGAATTATAATTGTTTTTTGAAGTTTTCATCAACTGGAGCAATGCTGAGTGGAAATCATTTTTCTAAATTGAATGTTGCTTTTAATCTTCATTAAGATATTTAAAATTAAGCCAATAATACTTTTAAATAAATGTTGGTATTCTATTTGGGAGTGGGTGTTAGCCTGTATGCAACTTACAGACTAAGCAATGGTTCAAACTTTTACTATAATTAGTTATGTTTCAGAAGAGATAGCTCTATGCAGAGTCATGCTATAATGAGATGCTACTGTAACACATAATATTTTGAAAATGTATTGCTTTATTACATACAATTATTCCATAAAATGCTATACTATCTAAGTATTCAGCTGGAAGTGTTTGGAGAAAAATAATTTAATGAAAGAAATTACCTCAAGACACAAAGAACATTACAGCTGATGGACCCTAGGGAATAACTGCAGACACATTTATTAAAAACAAGTAGGACAGGCACGGTGGCTACGCCTGTAATCCCAGCACTTTGGGAGGCCGATGCGGGCGGATCACGAGGTCAGGAGATCAAGACCATCCTGGCTAACACGGTGAAATCCCGTCTCTACTAAAAATACAAAAAATTAGCCAGGCATGGTGGCAGGCGCCTATAGTCCCAGCTACTTGGGAGGCTGAGGCAGGAGAAGGGCGTGAACCCGGGAGGCCGAGCTTGCAGTGAGCTGAGATTGCACCACTGCACTCCAGTCTGGGTGACAGAGAGAGACTCTGTCTCAAAACAAAAACAAAAAAAAAACAAAAAACAAGTGAGAGACAATTAAAATGCTTTACTTGTGTGAGTGATACGAGTAAATAAGTTGAAAATCTATTATTACATAAACTACAAATATATCCTCTGTCATTTATAAGCACTGAGTTCTAAGTGGAATGGACAATTCTATAAGCAATTTCACCACACCAGTGAAAAATTTTTGAAAAGAAGTACAAATAGCTTTTACTTTTGTGTTTTCAGCTGTTCATCCCATCCCTGTCAGCAAGTTTTCTTCATGGCAAAATACATTTTGTGTTTGTGGATCCATTCTTTTTGTTCTGTTCTTGCATAAAAATCAATGACATAATTTGACTACTTAAAATCACTGTTTCCATAGTATAGTTGGTTTTAAACATTCCCTAAAGTTTGACTATAAAATAACTATTTCCCCAAACAGTTTATTTGAAATCCTTGGGTTGCCCACCCAAAATAGGCACAAAATAAATGAAGAGGCTGCTGGAGGATTGGGAGGAGGAGTGGAGAATCTATCACATATAAATCTACCCCATGGAAGTAATTTGGATGGGGGAGGTGGTGGTAATATGTAATAATCAAAGCTGTTTCCTTTACACACACACACACACACACACACACACACACACACACACACACACAAATCCAGACCAATTTATACAACTCTTTTCATTGCTATTTGATTGGGAAGAGAAAAGGAAGGGAGAGAGAGAATGGGGAGGAAAACAAGGATAAGGACAGGAAGGTAGAAAAGTAGGGTTGTAAGGAGAAGGTCTGGTGAGGCAGGTGGAGGAGTAATACAGAGAGGGGCATTTGCTTTAGCACTGATGGAGAGCAAACTACCACCCAAATACCATCTCCGGGAAGTCTTTTCTGACCCCTCCTCCTGACTCACTGGCATATCCCCTTTATTAGCCATCTATTACTATTTAACAAATTAACTCAAAACTATCTCACACAGTTTCTGAGTGTTGAGAATCCAGGAGCATTTTAGTGGAATCATTGTGGCTCAATCTTTCATGAGGCTATTGGCTGGGCTGCAATCTATTCAAGGCTTGACAAAGACTGGAGGATTTGTCTCCAATATGGCTCACTGACATAGCTCTTGGCAGGCAACCTCAGTTCTTTAGCAAGTGGGTCCCTTCATAGGCCTTTTGATTATCCCAATATGGCAGCATGATTTCCCGGGGCTGGGGTGTACTTCCAGAAAGAGTAAGAGGGAAGCTGCAATGCCTTTTATGGCCTACTCTCCGGTGACCATGTTATGGATGCTATCTCTTATGCCTTTTAAAATTCTTTGGAATTGTGTTCCAATTCTTTTCTCTGGGAGGTCCAGCCCATGTTCAAAGGAAGAGGAATCAGGCTCCACCTTTTGAAGAGAATATCAAATGATTTGTAGACATATTTTGAACCATCACATCACTTACACTGCCTGGGCTGACAGAGAGGTCCTGAGCTCTTGTGTGGTATAGTAGCATAATTTACAATATCAGTTCTCAGCCCATCAGTCTTTTATTCAATTCATAATAAAAACTGCTAGTAGAAATAATCCCTATGAAATAAAAAGGACAATGGCCCAGATTGCGTAAAGTAAAAGTTGTAATAGATAAAAAGTTTTGCTTGGAGAATCACATCTTTTTAACAAAATTAGAGCTACAAAAATGTGACTGAAAACTGAACTTGTTAAAATAATGGCCGAAAAAGAAAATTTATGATAGCAAAAGCTCTTGCTGTTAGAATTTGATGTGGACAAAAAAAGTTGTGCAATACAATAAAATCTTTATTGTAAATTGACATGGAACATAACTAATCCCAATAAAAATATTCTCAGTAAAACAGCAAAAGAAAATGAAAAAATCAGAATAGTTTAACTGCAGAGTAGAGAAAATTGATAAAATAAACTAGCCTAATGGTGCTCACCCTAAAAACACTATCTTCACAATCAACCTATTTGGTAAAATTCTGATTTAAACACTTGTGTTAGTATAGAGAGCTAAAATGTTCTTGAGATCAAAACAGAGGAGTCTAAATATCTCTGGAGACAAAATGTCTGTATCAACACGTTTATTCATTTATTACATGAATATTTATGTATTCAGTTGTATAGCCTTTTGGGTGGGAGTGGCAGTGGAATAAGGGCTTTCCTAAGGTTGACATCTAAGGCAGAAATTGTAAAAGATTGATAGACTTGACCACAGAAGAACAAATGCAACCCAAAATGCTAACACTAACATTAAAAGAGAAATGATCAACTTGGAAAAATTACTGCATTTTATAGACAAAGAATTGATAGGCTTGGTGTGGTGACTCATGCCTGTAATTCCAGCACTTTGGGAGGCCGAAGCGGGAGGATCACAAGGTCAAGAGATTGAGACCGTCCTGGCCAACATGGTGAAACCCCATCTCTACTAAAAATATAAAAATTAGCTGGGCGTGGTGGTGCACGCCTGTAGTCCCAGCTACTTGGGAGGCTGAGGCAGGAGAATCACTTTAACCCAGGACACAGGGGTTGCACTGAGCCGAGATCGTGCCACCGGACTCCAGCCTGGCGATGGAGCAAGACTCCATCTTAAAAAAAATAATAAAAAAGAAGAGTTGATAAACAAATTTATGCACATCTAAGAATAATCAGTGAGGTAGGCAAAAATGTATGTTCAAGGGTATTCTTTATGGTGTCACACTATTATTCCATAAAAACAAAAATCTAGAAAGAATGAACATATCCTTAACAGAGGCTTGGTTAAAATAAGAAATAAAAGGATGTATCTCTATAATGAAATTCTATTATGCATTAAAATTATGTTTTAGGTGAACATTTACCAATATCAAATGATAGAAATAATATTGTTTTATGAAAGAAGTTATAAATGGGATGTACAATATGATACCATTTGGGCACAAAATGAATGGAAAGATATACAAAGGGTATCTGTAGATAATGAAATTATAGATGTTTATTTCCTCCATTTGCTTTTCTTTTTTAAATTAAATAAATGAATATAGATTGCTTTCATTATTAGAAAAACTGTGATTTTTTTAAGTATAAAAAATACACTCAATTGTAATTAGAAGGCTGTCTAGCTTTATTTGTAGTCTTGATGTAGGGTTCTTTAAATTATTTATACTGTTTTTGGCCAGGCACAGTAGCTCATGCCTGTAATCCTAGAACTCTGGGAGGCCGAGGCGGGAGGATTGCTTGAGCCCAGGAGTTTGAGACCAGCCTGGGCAACAAGTGAGATCCTCGTCTCTAAAAAAACAAACAAAAAAGAAAAACAAAAAAACAAACAAACACAAAAAATTAGCTGGGCATGGTAGCTTGTGCCTGTGGTCCCAGCTGCTCAGGAGGCTGAGGTGGGAGGATCACTTAAGCTTGGGAGGTTGAGGCTGCAGTGAGCTGTGACTGCACCGCTGCACTACAGCCTGGGCAACAGAGTAGGCCTCTGTCTCAAAAAAAAAAAAATCATTTATACTGTTTTTCCTCTTCCTGATGAAAAAAATAACATACTTTTAAAAAAAGAAGCTGGCTAAGATTTGGGTACAGGCTGTAGCTATTACCACCCCCTGTTCAACCCTGCCCCCACAGTCCACGTTTCCACTCCAGTTTCCCATTCCTACCCTCACTCTGAAAAGTTAACCTGACTAGCCAAGTGGCTGATGGAAGGTAAACAATAAAATTTATTTGAAGCAAAGTAAAAAGTTAAATGATTACGGTATACAACCTGCTTGGACCAATCCCTTTATGTGAATATGAATGTAAACATACAAGGCTTGGTAAGGGAATAATGGTTTACTATTAGCACACATCCAGGCAGTTCTTCAATTTCCAGTTCTAGTTATAAATAAATAAAAATTTCCTAATTTAGAAATGGTTGTTATTCTGAATTGTATTTCAAATGGCTGTAATTATTCTGGATTGTGTTCACTAATTTCATGTAACAAAAAATGTTTTAAAATACAGTAAGAAAAAAGAGAGAAAAAATACAGTAAGAAAGGGGCTTAAGCAGATTTTAAATGGATTAGTAAAAGCACTAGAGTATTTCTTCTATTTTTAAAGAAATCTTTTATTTTGGATTTGTGAAGGACTAGGTCAGCACATTTTTAACCCACTAGGCTTTGTTGTTGTTGCTGTTGCTTTTCTTTTCTTTCCAATTCCAGCTTTCATTTTGAATAATCTAAAAGTAAAGTGTTTCTCATATGGCAAAAGTAACATTCTGAGCTATCTAAATTCTATAAAGAATATCATTTTGGATGCCACAAGCTTTTGCCTTTTCAAATTCTCGACGTCAAGCTATAATTTTCCTCTTCCAGTTTTATCCAGAACCTTTAAATTAACAGCATAAGAAAGTAAACAGGAAGTTACATTTCTCTGATGTAGAAAATTAGGAGGAAGATGGGGAACAGATGAGAAAGCTAAATCAGGGAAGGACGCCACCATGTTTTGTTTCTGTTAATCAAATCATATATTCAAAATCCTCCTAGTATCCTAACTAAAAAGATGAAGTATCAAAAAGAAGTGTAATATATTTTTCCAGCTGTCCATAGGTCATAATGAAAGGAAGAAAAAGACCATTTCCTCTGATGCACTGATGATTCAAAATCTATTTAAAAAGAGGTCCATGAAAGTTAAAGCATAGCTCCTAACTAATGTTTCAAAGGAAGATTTGATTTATATTTTTAGAGATTTAAAAAGAAAGAAAATTTAGCCCATATGCCACGACTAGTTCAAATACCAACATATTTGAAACGACAACAATGACTGTTTCCATAGCAAATATGAAACACAAAGATAACATATTTTTGCTTTGTTTTTCTGAATGCTATTAGGAGCCAGTTTTGTTAAAGAAGCAATCAGGACTAAGTCACTTATTTTGGTTAATTAGAGCGATGACCTCCACACTCTGGGATTTCACAATGCAACCAAGTTTCTTAAATGAATAAATGAATTGGAGAGAAGTGAATATAAAGGTATTAACTTTTTCATTTTACTAAAGGAGACTACACAAAAGCTCAATTAGTATCTACAACCACTATCATTTCATAAGAGAAAGGACATTTTAACAGAAAAAAAGCAGAAAGAAAATTATAATTAAAAAATAGTCATTCAGAGGAAAAAAATCAGGTGTATTAAAAAATCACTACATTTTCTCAGAATAAATTTTAATAAAACATAATAGCTTTGTGTTTAGGAACCACTGGGAACCACTTGGTATAGCATTAAGGAGATCAACTTTCCATCTTTAATTCCCATATAAGCTAGTCAAGTTATATTGATATATTTCATGGCCCTAGAATGTGTGTTAGTATGTATTTTTTTGTTACCTGCTAATTCACTGATTCTTTCCTCTATTCAAGAAATACTTGCTGTGGTCTATTATATATTAAGCACTGCTAGTGAAGCAGAATAAGATTGTCTTTTCCTTTATGGAACACAGAAAGAATTACAATTCAAGACAAAACATACCACAAGAGAGCACAGATATATCAGGGACCCAAGAGTGGGGCAGGGAAAGCTTTATGGAAGAGGGGGCATTAAAATCATTAATGAAAGATGAGAAGATTTCCATAGCACATGTTGGGCTCATGAAGGGCATTATAGAGAAAGGTTAACAAAGGCCAAACCAATAAGCCTTAAAAAGACTTAAATATGTTGAAGGTCCTTAGAGCCGTTTGGCTGGATATATACAGGAGGATACTAGGGAAATATGAATGTAAAGATAGGATATGTTGTAGAGGATCTTCAAAGTCAAGACAAATGTTTATATCTGGTAAGCAATGCATAGCCACCAAGCTGTTGAGTGAGAAGTTGAGTTCAAGTGCAGGAAAGATTCCTGAACTTGAATTCAGGAACCATGAGTTTGAGCATCGGTTCTGCTCTTTATCATAAAATCTTAAGGAACTTCCTCAGTCTTTCTGAGCCTCCATTTTTCATGTATAAAATTAGGCTAATCTCTATTGTTTTAAAAAACATTTAGACAAATGCAATTTAGCAGAGTTTATTTGAACAAACAAATAATTCATGAATCAGGGCAACACCCTAAATCCTTAAAGGTCCACAGAGTTCCACTCAGCAATGTGGGCAAGCAGTATTTATAGACAGAAAAAAAAAGTGACATACAGAAATAACCTGATTGGTTGCAGCTTGGAGTTTGCTTTATTTGGACATGTCTGAGCCTATTGCAGCTTATGATTGGCCGAAAGCTTGGTGGCTGTGATTGGTTGAGATTCAGTTACTTGTTACAAGAATATACTCTCAAGTTAGATTGCAGTTTATGTACTAAATTAGGTTGCAGTTTGCTGTGTATGGAGGCAGCCTTGGGCCAAATTTAACACTACGTTACATGCTATTTTACGATTAAATTAAATAAGATTCAGTATGTGAAAGGCCTAGTACAATCTCAGACACATGGTCTGAAGTCCCTAAAGTTTGCTGACTGTGGATATTTGTTGAATCCTCAAAGTTTGGTTTAGGAAGGTTAATGTGTTAACGTGTAAGTTCAAAAGAGAGAAACAGTAGGCGTATATGAGAGGAAATAAGACATTTGTGGGAATGGAAAAGAGTACATGGAAGTGACAGACATTTGGATTGCTTGCATGGGGTGAGATGAGAGAAAGGGGGAGCTCAGGGATGACACATTTTAAGCAGAGAAGGGTGTCATTAGTAGAATTTGGAAGATTGGGACTAGAAGCCAAGTAAGAGGGAAATCTCATGAGTTTGTTTTTGATATGCTGAATTTGAAATCCTAGGACTATATCTGGGTTAAAACGCTCAACAAGCTTTAGGAAGCTACTCAGGAAAGGGATCAGGAGCTGAGATACAGATTGGGGAACCACCTCCATAGAGATGAGGGTTGAAGCCAGAAAGAGATCATTGAGCCAAGTTGGGGACAGTAAAGGACGGAGGTAAATAAGGATGGACGGAGTCGAGTAGCTGCCCTGCTGGGAAGGCAAACAAACAAAGGAGGTGAAAAGGGCAGCTGAAAAGGGATTCGAAAAGTGACAGTGAACCAGGTGCCTAAGGGAAGTCCCTGGAACCAGAGAGAGAAGATAGTTTTAAGAACTCCAGCCTGGGCAACATGGCAAAAACCCATCTCCACTAAAAATACAAAAATTAGCTGGGCGTGGTGGCGGGTGCCTGTAATCTCAGCTACTCGGGAGACTGAGGCAGGAGAATCACTTGAACCCAGGAGGCGGAGTTTGCGGTGAGCCGAGATGGTGCCACTGCACTCCAGCCTGGGTGATAGAGTGAGACTCCATCTCAAAAAAAAAAAAAAAAAAAAAAAAAGGAACAAAGGGACACTCATAAGAACTACAAGCTATAGAGGCCAAAGGAGAAGGAGCACAAAAGTCACGACAAGGAGTTGTAATAACTTTTGTGAGAATAGTCTCAGTAGTATGGTGGGAGCAAAAGCCACATTGCTGGGAAAGATTGAAAAGGTTAGTTTCAGAAATATTATTAATTTATATTTTAAGTAAGTAAAAATGAGAAGGTGTGAGCCACCGCGCCCGGCCTCCTTCCATTTTATTTATTTATTTATTTTTTATTATTATACTTTAAGTTCTAGGGTACATGTGCACAACATGCAGGTTAGTTACATATGTATACATGTGCCATGTTGGTGTGCTGCACCCATTAACTCGTCATTACATGAGGTATATCTCCTAATGATATCCCTCTCCCCTCCCCCCACCCCACAACAGGCCCCGGTGTGTGATGTTCCCCATCCTGTGTCCAAGTGTTCTCGTTCTTCAATTCCCTCCTTCCGTTTTTTATTTAGTCTCTACCTTAGCTGGAGGATCCCATTTTCTGCTGTTACCTCCCCTTGCCTTTCTATACAATCGTATCTTAAAACTTTCTGGAAATAAAAAAGTAACTACTGCTCTAAAGATTTAAATCCTGAATACTAGGCAGCGGACTGATTTAACTTTCAGTTATAACCTAGTAAAGTATGTAGATGTCATCCTCCTATCATAGACTATTGGTAATAAGGGTACTTTAGAATGTGCCTGGTTCTATCTACCCTGTTGTTTTATTGCAGGGGAAACCTGAGAGGAGGGAGGTGGCACGTGTTTCCTCAAATCACATGGCAGATATAAAGAGCAGCACTGGAACCCAGAGTCCATCCTCCTAGCCTAGTGCTTTTTCTGTTACCTCCTAACACCCTGACCTGCCTTCAATGATGTTAAAAATAAAAGAAGCATTGCCCATTGTTGGAGGCTAAGGGTTCTTGGTTTAAGTAGGGGATTAATCAAGGAAAAATGTTTTAGGGGTCTGGGAAAATATGGTGCTGTACCTGGACACCTGAGAGCCGGGTTTCTCTGTTTGGTTCAGACACTGACTCACAGTGTGACTCTGGAAAGTTATGTGGCCTCCCGGTGTGTCAGTCATTCCAGCCACACACTTGGCATCATACTACGCAGGCCTCGCTAGAACTATTGTGAAGGTTGATGAGGTAATTCTTATAAAACTTTGCTAGCTATTCCAATGAAAGCCACGAGTGTATCTAGAAATGATAGACTGTCAGATATATAGCACAGACTCTTCTATCTCATGTTGGTTTATTAGAGGCGGCTATACTTCAACCAAGTGAACCTCTTATTGTCATCAATTAGCTTAGCATTCTTTCTCCCCTCTTCACGCCCACCCTTGGCCATTCTTAACCTGGTTGATTTGAAGTTTACTTATTCTAGTCCCTTGAGTTTCAAAGGAACGTAAGGTCTTCACCACTCAAAATTAAGTCTTCTGCCCCTTGGTTTCTCCAGCCACCAAATGAGGATGATAATAGGGGCTGTGGTGGGGATTAAATAAGTTACTATAGGATCGGGACTGCTACATAGAGAGTGCCAATAACTGTTAGCTGCTATTAGTGTAACTTATTGAAAGTGAATGATAGTACATGTGTATATGCCTTCTATTTAAGAAAATAATGTGAAGTCCTACTTATAGTGCTTGCTGGTTTAGTACTTCTTTGCTTCTGAGGGGACACACTGAAGACGTCTATAGGTGAAGTCACAAGGCTTCTAACTTACGGAGATAAGGACATGACAATGAAGGAGAGCTGGGCTGCTCAGGCCATAGGATTTCCAAGTTTTCTTACCAAAACTTTGCTTCTTCAGCTGTCTGTTTAACATCGCATCCTAGCACCCAGGGGCTCTATCAATACTGGCTGATGAATGAATGAACTTATGAATCTATCAGACAGAGAAATAGAGGATCGCCATATGGAAGGAAGTCTGGCTGGCATTTTGAATTCTCCAGGAGAAAAGAGAGAAACATGTTTACAACAGAGAGAAGGAGGGCTGTCTGTGCGGGAATAAGGGTAACTGTTGCTCAATGAACTGAGCCCCTAGGCCTGGAGATAAAAAGTAGAGGGATAGCTGTGCAGTTGGACAAGCAGGTCCAGAGAACCACTGGGTTTTGTTCTGAACAAAGTCAGATATCTTAAGGGGAAGTGGAGAGCATTTCTTTTTGACAGTGATATTCTGCAGAGATTTCCAGGTTTTAAAAGGATCATTCTGAAGGTGACACAAAGAACACCCTATTAGAGTGTCTGTCTCCCTGAAAATGAATCCTTCTTCTTTGTACTCAGGGTGTTTCCCTCTTAATAATAGCCTCCTACTATGACCCCAAGTTGTTTCACAGCCTCCCTGACAGTAAAAGCTGCTCATTGTTTAGGCATTTTGTTTTTTCCCATTCCTAAACACACTCCTTCCCAGTTGGGGTTCTAGTAATGCCATCTCTACTAAATGCATCACCATTGAATCAAGGGACAAGTTGCAGCAACTTACTTTGTTTCCTTCTCTTCCTTGTCTTGTTCATTTAGGTTGAAATAGTTTTCAATGAAATCCAACAAGTATTTACCCAGCACCCATTGAGAGCAAACTACTGTGCTAGGTCACATGCAACATCAAGGTGATTAGGCACGATTTCTGGCCCTGAGAATCTTGTATTGGCTTGCAGATTATTATAATGACTGGTAAAATGTTTCAGTATCTCTCTTCAACCTTTCTGGGCTATAGGTTCTTCCTAACATGATTTATGTGCTCTAGAATTCAGTCAAAGTTGCATTTGAGAACATTAGATTCAACAGATGTCTCCAAGAAACCTTCCCAATCCCTCCACCTATATATGGTCTGCCTGCAAGCTTTTTTTGGTTTGTTTTTTGTTTTTGTTTTTTTTTTGAGATGGATTCTCGCTCTGTTGCCCAGGCTGGAGTGTAGTAGCATGATCTTAGCTCACTGCAACCTCCGCCTCCCAGGTTCAAGCAATTCTCCTGCCTCAGCCTCTCAAGCATCTGGGACTACTTGCGCACATCACCACGCCCAGCTAATTTTTGTATTTTTAGTAGAGATGGGGTTTCACCATCTTGGCACGGCTGATCTCGAACTCCTGACCTTGTGATCCACCTTCCTTCAGCCTCCCAAAGTGCTGGGATTTCAGGCATAAGCCACCGCACCCGGCCTTTTTTTTTTTTTTTTTTTTTTTTTTTTTTGAGACAGAATCTTGCTATGTTGCCCAGGCTGGAGTACAGTGGTGCGATCTCTGCTCACTGCAATCTCTGTCTCCTGGGCTCAAGCAATTCTCGTGCCTTGGCCTCATGAGTAGCTGGGATTACAGGTGTGTGCCACCAGGCCTGGCTAATTTTTGTACTTTTAGTAGAGACAGGTTTTTGCTATGTTTCCCAGGCTGGTCTTGAACTCCTGACCGCAAGTGATCCACCTGCCTCAGCCTCCCAAAATGCTGGGATTACAGGCATGAGCCATTGTGCTTGGCCCCTGACTGCACTTTATATCTCTTACAGCACTTATCACTTTTACATTGTATTATAAATTTATTTATGTACATGTTAGCCTCCATAATGCGGAAAGAGAGCAGGCACAGGGAAAAGTGCCAGAGGAGTGGAGCCAGAAGACCTGTGCTTGAATTTGAAGCCAGACTCAGATATGAATCAACCATGAAATCTTGGCCATGCCACTTAATCTTTGCAATTCTCAGTCCTGCATCTAGAATTGGAAGACAATAATAATTCCTACTTCATAAAATAGATATGGAAATTAGTTATCATATGAACATGCTTTGTGAGTTGTTATCTATCTGTTAATTTTATTAACCTCCATGTGATACAGCAAAGGGCCTTCCTTGCCCATGAGAAAAACCCTATTAATATTAATTAAATTATTGGAAAAATTACATCAACCACCCTCTGGCATATTATTATTTTCAAATTCTTTTCATATCCCACATTGTTAGCAAGCCTCATCTGTTGTGTCCTACTAGGTTTAAGGAGGAGTGTTTACAGGGATTAAACAGAAACAAAGGGACCTGCTTTTTGATGGAGCTGCCCTCTGCCTTTACTAGTTGTGCAGAATAAGAGTAATTAATTTTTTTTTCTGAGCCTTAGTTTTCTCATCTGTATAATGAAGATAATACAGGATTTTATAATGATTAAAATTAGATAATGCTAGCGCTTTGGGAGGCTGAGGTGGGAGGATCCCTTGAGTCCAGGAGTTTGAGACTAGCCTGGGCAACATAGGGAGACCTCATCTCTACAAAAAATAAACAAAATTAGCTGGGTGTGGTGATGTGTGCCTGTAATCCCAGCTATATGGGAGTCTGAGATGGGAGGATTGCTTGAGCCTGGGAGGTTGAGACTGCAGTGAGCTGTGATTTTGCCATTGTATTCCAGCCAGGGCAACAAAGCAAGACCCTGTCTCAAAAAATAATAATAATAGGCTGGGCGCAGTGGCTCACATCTGTAATCCCAGCGCTTTGGAAGGCTGAGGTTGGCGGATCACCTGAGGTCAGGAGTTCGAGAGCAGCCTGGTCAACATGGTGAAACCCCATCTCTACTAAATACACAAAAAATCAGCTGGGCGTGGTGGTGCGCGCCTGTAGTCCCAGCTACTCAGGAGGCTGAGGCAGGAGAATCGCTTGAGCCCTAAAGGTGGAGATTGCACTGAGCTGAGATCTTGCCACCACTCTCCAGCCTGGGCGACTTAACAAGACTCCGTCTCAATAATAATAATAATAACAACAACAATCACTTAAAAATAAAATTAGATAATGTATTAAAATGAGACGTGAGGAGCTAGTGATTTAAGTAAGCTCAGTATGTGTTAACTTTGATAATATTCACATGTAGTCCATTAATTGAGCAATTATACTATGGGGCTGGGCACCGTATAGCTGCTGGAGATATACCCTGTCATCATGTCATCAATGGGAAAAACCGACAAGTAACTGATTATTGCCACACGATGTGACAGATGCTACGACAGAAATAAGAACAGGGTGCTCCGGGAACAACAGGGGAGGCACCTGTGTGACAGCCCTGACTGGAAAGTTGTCAGCAGCTGTCAGGGAAGGCTTCATGGAGGAAGTGACTACTGTGGAGTTTGAAGGTGCAGTAGGAGTAAGCTGGGTGGACAGAGGAACCACCCTGAGCAAGGAGGTAGAGATCTGAGAAGGCATGCTCATTGAAGAAAATAGAGAGCAGTTCTGACAAAATGAAGCTATAAAGGCCTGTAGATGCCAGATCACAAAGGGCATTAGCTTGTTTTGTGAAAGAATTTATGCTCTTTTCTGAGAGAATGGGGAGGCATTGTTGGACGTGTGCCCTCTCAGAGATAAAATTTAAGTGGAGAGCACTGAGTTAAGAAAATATCTCGATATCATGAAATTAACACAGGTTTGGAGCCCCCACAGATCCTCAATCCTGGTTAAGTTCCATGTATGACCTAATCAACTCCACCTCTCTTTCGTGGACAATCAGCAATGACATCTACCTCTCAGGATTATTGCGAGGGCTAAATGAGATAGTGCAGGTCAAGTTCGCTGCAAAGTGTGTGTCACATAATGAACATTTTAAGTAAATATCAACTCTTTTCGATGAAGCACTGTGTAAGTAGAATACGAAAGCTATTGCCAGGCCTCTCCCTCCTCCCTCCCTTCCTTTTCCTCTCTCAGCAGTGCAGGCAGCAGCAGCCAAAAGCCAGGGACGTGGAGGATGTCCACTGAAGCGAGTACTCCAGAGCGATGATTAAAAGGCAGCCGCCCCGAATCCCGGGCGCGGGCGGGGAGCGAGGCTGGGCATGCTCAGTGGGCCGGAGACGGGAGGGAAGCGGGGAGGGGGCGGGGGCGGGGGCGGGGGTTGGGGGGGGTGGGTCGGAGCCGCGCGAAGGCGCATGCTCAGTCTCCGCATCTGCTCCTTCATCCAGTGCCGCAGCCGGAAAACCGCAGCGGCGGCGGCGGCGGCTGAGGGGGAACGATCCAGCGAGCTGCAGAAAGGGGGGCAGGAAAAAATTACAAGGACATTACTGATAAGACAGGAACTGAGAGCTTGGGATTCGCGGCCTCTCCCCGGCCACCACCTTCGCCGTCAGCAAGGGAGGAAGACCCGGGAGACGGCAGCGGCGACGGCGGCAGGGGAAGGAGGAGACGGCGACGGGAGGGAGCACAGAGGAGGGGACGGGCCGGCGGCGGCCTGTGAGCCGCAGTGATTTTGACGTTTTCCGCTGCTGCGTCTCCGGCGGGCAGGGGCCGGGCTGCGCTGGGTGGGCCAGCTCGCCCCGCGCTTCCCCCTCGTCCTGCTCGTCCCTCCGCCCACCCGGGGCCTGAGGGGTCTCCCCGCTCCGAGGGAAGGGGAGAGGGAGGCGAGGGCGTGCGGGCATCGCGATGGCGGGGACATTTTCCACAACGTGATTGTTGAAGGCTCCCCCCATCCCCCCTCCCTTAAAATTCCGGGCCCTTCCAGCCTCCACCCTCCCCCAAGCCCGTGTGACTAAACCGAGACAAAGGGGAGGCGGCCTCGCTCACACGCGGGCTCGCGGGGCGGGTGGCTCGGAGGGGCGCGGGCACGGGGCGGACCTCGCGCGGACGGACGGACGGAGACGGCGCCGCCACATTCCTATGCCCGGGAGCGGCGGCGGCGGCGGCGGCGGCTCCCGCGGGAGGCGGCAGGCGCGCGGCGCGGACAGCTGAGCTTCTCCTCCGTCGGCGCCCGGGCGGACATCGCCCGGGCCCCGATGGTTTGAGCTTGCTTCTCCCTCCCTCCCGACCCCCGTGGTGGCGAGGCCACGCCATGTGAAGGTTAGGGCCGGGACATCCCGAGGAGCCGCGGTGAAAGATGGGGGATGCTGCAGACCCCAGGGAGATGAGAAAGACGTTCATTGTTCCAGCCATCAAGCCTTTTGACCACTATGATTTCTCCAGGGCCAAAATCGCCTGCAATCTGGCCTGGCTGGTGGCCAAAGCCTTTGGGACAGGTTAGTGGTGTCACCCTTTCCCTCCCCTCTTCCTCCTGATGTGGTCCACATCTCGGTTTTTGTTCCCGATTCTCGAATCCCTCCCTCCCCGTGCCTGTCTTCTCGTACAGGTTAAGGGAGATGATGGGAGGCTAGGAAGAGAAAGAAAGGAGAAATAAGGAAAGCAGGTTTGGTCTTCAATGAAGGGCACGTGAATGGTCAGGTGGGATTTGGCCAGATTCCTTTTATTGGATGGCAAAATGTCCCCCCCATCCCCCAGTGAGCAATTTTATGTTTTTACATAGAGTGGTTTTGATTTGTGGTATTTTCTTCATTGTGTTGCGTACATTTCTGCCTCAGTCATAATTGTGATTACACCACCAAGAAATCTGAGTTGGTTTCTTTATTATTGCAAGAAGGTGGATGGTGCATAGTACTATATTGATTTTGACATTTGTAATGATGGCTGCTATTCAGGCTCCGTTGGATGTAAGGTGGCCTGTGTCGAGTGCAGTATTAATTTTTGTTGTCATTCTTTAAGGCTGTATCAGCCTTCTGCACGCATGTTAAGTTCTTATTAAATCAGTTATTTAAAACCAGCGTTCAGTTTGCTGACTGTAGGGTGCAGTTTTCATTTCATATTATCAGTGAGGCATATTCTTTTTTCCAAATGTATTTTGGCTTCATAAATTAAAAGAAACAAAAACTCCCTACTTTGGGAAGTTTTTTAATAGATGAGTTTTTCGAAGGCGTGTGCTGTTGACACAGAAATTGTATAGTACAGTAGCAGTTAAACACTCCCTCCATAACCCAGTCTTTGCAAAATAACAGGAAAAGGGCCTCCCGTTATGATTCTTTAGTGTTGCTTTAGGAGCCCATGTTGTGAAATGTTAAAAAAATTAGAGAGCTGCTTTTCATTGGAAGATGCTTCTGTAATTTGGTAACTTTTAAGAGTAATTTTACAAGATTTCTGTTCCCTAGTTAATGAAGTTTAGATATATGAAATATTTGTTGAAAAGTTCCCTAGTACTCACAAATTTCCACATGTTAAATATAGGGTTTTTCAGGGGGAGGGTGACTAATTTCCAATTTTAGGACTATGTAATGTTTTGGTAAATGGTTTAGTTCAGTTTTACTGCTTAAACTTACACAGCTGAGTATTTTCAGGACTTACACATCCTACTTAAATAGCAGATTAATCTCAGTGTTTGGAAAATGATTTGAATTTGTTTTTGGGGAAACTTGACATTGATGTGATTTTATGTTTATGGCAGCCTTAATTTTACTTGAATTTTTATGCTTTGATATTAAGCTGGCATCAGGAATAAATATAGTAAATCCTTTTCAAATTATTTAAATTTTAAACATCTCTTTGAAATTGAATGTCTAGCGTAACTCATAGGAAGAAACACAAAGTGTTACTGCCTTTATATAAAAACATTCTGGCACCACTGATATAAGCAGTGAGAATAATAGATGTATTTTGGTTTTAACTTAAGCAGCACACTGAAGCCGGTATCTATTTGGATGGCAAATCAAGGCTATTTAAGTGCTTAGAAAACATGGAAAGAGGGAAATTTACATAGTCACCTATGTGGAAAAGTAGTATGTATAAAGTGGAAGGCAAAGGGAATAAGAGAAATATTTTCTTTCCATCTGGAACTGAGAGGATACTTATAGGATACAGATATCAAAATTTTGCCATGCATACACAAAAGCTTCCAGCTAGAAAATGGCCTACTTTCTGGGTATGTGTCAGGCAGGTTCGTAGATTCTAGACCACTTGAACATATTGAACACACCTGAAGAAGAAAGGAAATGAAGGGAATCTAGTATCAGTGGAATCTGATGTCTGCCAGGCACTCTGCTGGATGCTTTGCAGTAAGTTGTACGTTAGAGATTGATAACAAGTCTCTGATGTAGGTAGTGTGTTCCCCATTTAAAAAATAGGAGGAAATCAGTGCATAGAGAGGTTAACTTTCCTACTATCACAGTGTTAGTAAGTGGCAGAAGTGAGTTTTGATTTGAGGTCTGACTCAAAAGGGTAAAGGTATTGGTGGAGGTGGAACACTGCTGTTAGATACCCAGCACTCTGAATACATTACTTCATTTATTCCTGCAGCAACCCTGTAGATACTGTTCTCATTTTGCAGATAAGGTAACTGGCTCACAGATTAATTTGCACAAGATTAAACATCTGGCAAGTGATGTGTTCTGCATGTCTGACTCTGAAGCCTTTGCTTATTACTCTATACCGTTCTGCAGAGTAACCGTTTTATCTGCAGGTGTGAAAAATGTGCACATAGTACATATTGAAGTCTAATTTTTTCTTTAAAAATTGTACAAATCTTAATTCATTTTCAGATAGATGATATTGTTGGCTATTACATTTGCCTTGGCAGCAGTTGGAATGGATGAAAAGACCATATTCAAATGGGATGAAAAACAAGTTTAGAAGACCTTGAGTGACTTAGTAACAATATATTAATACATTATTAAGAATGTTATGTTTGTACATTTTGTTTATTCTTTATCAACAGTCTTTCAAAACAAATTTATATGGAGTGAATAGAAAAAAATTAGGAATTTTTTTGATGTAAATATTCTTTATTTGCTGCAGATACACTTATGCAGGAAAGGTTAATAGATAGCATATTTCAAAGGTATTACCTAATTATATTTAGTTGTTCAAAAAATCAGCCCAGCTTTCAATATGATTTACTAAAATCACTCCTTTAACAATGACTTACAGGGTCTTCAGGCACTGATTTGGTGTTTTCTATTAGAAACTTTCTAACTTTTGATGTACTGAAAAAGTAGTCAATTTTATAACCATATGTTGTAAAAGTCATTTAAAATGATAGCTAGAAATGTGAGCATAGAATGAAGTAATTGAACTTAAAAAAAAAACACTGATGTTGTAATACCTAGAAAGCAAATATGGAATATTTACTTAATTTGAAGTCTTAGGAGCCTTGAATCATTTTCTTCTCTTTACAGTAGTATTACAAAAGTATTACAAATAGCCCAAATTTTAATAGTTTATTTTGTGGAAGATGCAGATACAGGTTTGATTAAATGAAGAATACATTTTTATAGATGAATTTGAAACACTAAATCGATAATCCAAATTCCAAAGGAGGAAGTAGTTCAACTATCTGTGCCTTTTCTATATTTGAAGAGCTTAACCCATTTAAGCAAAGATTTTACAGAATTTTCTTTAAATGTTCTGTTCTCTTAAATCCTTTGGGGGAAATGGTAGATGCAAAACCTCTTGTGACACTCTTACTAAACTCTTGAATTTGGAATTCAAGGCCCACTTCCTAGTGTCAGTTTATCACTTCAATCTTCTCAACTATTATTCTCCTTTTTATCCCATTTAGTTTAGTGATATAAAATATTTCCTATCATAAATATACCTTGTTACATTTCTTTGTCTGTCTTAACAAATCTTGCTGTCAAAGTCCTGTATAAGGTCTGACTCTTGTGCATATATGAAGATAGTTGAGAGCAGTGGGTAGCATTGTGGTTAAGAGAGACCCGTAGCAGAGGGGCCAGTTTGGGACATTATTGCAAGAGTCTGGGCAAAAGATAAGGTCCTGTGTCTTTGACTTTGTAGTCAACAGAAAATTTACCAATAAGAAAAAAAAAAAAGAAGTTCATGAGGTCTTGAAGTGGTAGGGGGCGGGTATGATAATAAAGCTGCTAATATAGGCTGGGCATGGTGGCTCATGCCTGTAATCCCAGCACTTTGGGAGACCAAGGCGGGTGGATCACCTGAGGTCAGAAGTTCAAGACCAGCGTGACCAACATGGTGAAACCCCGTCTCTACTAAAAATAGAAAAATTAGCTGGGCATGGTGGCGAGTGCCTGTAATCCCAACTACTCAGGAGGCTGAGGCAGGATAATCGCTTGAACCCAGGAAGTGGAGGTTGCAGTGAGCCGAGATGGTGCCATTGCATTCCAGCCTGGGCAACAGAGCAAGACTCTGTCTCAATAAATAAATAAATAAATAAATAAATAAATAAATAAATAAAGCTGCTAATACTTATTGAGCTCCTACACTGTGTGTCAAGCACTTTACACATACTGTATCATTTAAATCCTCATGACAGCCTTTTGAGGTGGAAAGGTTACTTATTCCAATTTTACTGATGAGGAAAGTGTCCGGGGACTTAGGAACTCTTCCAGAGTTACCCAACTAATGGAGCTGGGATCTGAACCCAGGGAATTTGACTTCAGCCTGTACTTGTAACTACTGTTCTCTATGGGTAGAAGTCAAAAAATGGAAAGGAGGCAAATGATAGAAAAAATGTTGCAGAGATTTAATCTCTAGTATTTCTAAGTGGGTACATGGGAAATGGTTTGAATGAAAAGGGAATGTGTAAGAGGGTGAGGTCGCCTGAGGTTTTAAGAAGGATGAGGTTACCTGAGATTTTGAGATTTGGTGACTGACAGGCTGAATTGAGATGCCATTGACAGAGAAGAAAGTATAGTAACACTGAAGCCCTGGAAGGAGAAAATTTCAAGGAGAATGGTCTGATTCAACAGTGTCAAATCCTATGTGTTTAAGCTATGCCTTTCTTTTAAGAGTTTATGCTTTGCTAGGGGAGGTATGATAAATGTATAACCACAGTAGAGTTCAGAAATAAGCTAAGAGTCATATAATTGGAAATATGACATTCAGAGGGAGACTGGTGGCGTTAGGATGCGGTGGGGTGGCAGGGGAGAGGCCATTTCCAGCCTCATCAGTGGTCTGTGAAGGAAGACCTCTCTAGTGGAGGTGGTATTTAAGCTATAGGCTGAATTGAAAGTAGGCATGGTAGATGGAGGAAATGGTTTGTGTGTAGACATGGAGTTGTGAAACCCAGGTAGTGCTAATGAAACAACATAGACCAGATTGATGGGATGAGGTTTATGTAATGAAGCAGTGAGAGAGCCAGCTTGAAAGACAAACGGACAGAATTATGTGAAGGGTGAGGTGAAGGAATTTGGTATTTATTTAGTAGTTAAATTATCCTAAGCACATTGGATTAAAAAAAAAAGAAAAAATACTATTAAGTATATTAAACATGTAATTTGTGCTCATTATTCTTGTAAGCGTTTTATATGCATTATTTATTTTAATTCTGAGAATGAGCCTATTAAGTAGATATTATTTTATTCTAAGACTCTAAAACAGGGTTTCTCAACTGCAGAACTATTGGCCAGATAATTCTTTGTTGTTGGGGGCTGTCCTGTGCATTCTAGGATTTTAGCGGCATCTGTGGCCTCTACCCACCTGATGCCAGTAGTGTTCCCTACCACTACCCCTACTCCTACCCCAGTTGTGACAACCCAAAATGTCCCCAGACATCTCCAGATGTCTCCTGGGGAACAAAAGGAGCCCAGGTTGAGAATCACTGCTATAAATATTATAAGACACACTATTGTGATCTAAAAAGGTTTTTTTTTTTGTATGTTGAAGTACAAATTAATTATAAGACATACTGATTTCACAAATATTCAATTTGAAAATAAGAATTTAGGAAATATTATATGATAGTTCACCCTTTTTAAAATAAACAATGAGACAGATTTAGAGGAGTTAACTAACTTGCCCTTGATCATACAACTTGTAAGAGGTGGAAACAAAATTAGAGTCTAAGCCTTTGTGATACTGAAATTTGTATCTTAACCTCTGAGTTACAGTCTTCCTGGATTTTTAGTAGAGATTGGGGTTTTGCCATGTTGGCCTGGCTGGTCTCAAACTTTGGGGTCAAGTGATCCGCCTGCCTCGGCCTCCCAAAGTGCTGGGATTACAGGCATGAGCCTTTGTGCCTGGTTGATGATGATGTTAAAATAGATTGTTGACCATGTGAACTTATTTTCTAATTTACGTTTTATAGAATTTTGTCTCGTAACAGATTTTGAAACAGCAGAAATATTTTCTATTATCTACCCTTTAAAAAATAGATGCTAGAGGTCTTTATTTATATAGGTTCTTGAAAATTTATTGACAGTTAAAAAGTTTTTAAAAATAGGTATACAGGTACAGATTCAAAACTCAAAGGTATAAAAGAGTAGATCTTGTGAGAAGTCTTCTTCCCACGTGGACCCTGAGCTAGTCAGTTTCTGTTTTAAGCGAGATGAAATCATCAGAAGATTTGTTTTTAGAAAATCTCTTGGAATACACTTAAAAATGGTTAAAATAGTAAAGTTTATGTAATGTATATTTTACCACAATTTTTAAAAAGATGTCTTGGAAACAGTAGAAAATGAATTGGAGGAGGGCCAAGAGTTATGAAGGAGGAAACCACAGGGAAGTTATTATGTTTCAGGTGAGAGATGATGGCATCTTGAATGTGGATGGTAGTGGTGGGTATGGAAAGAAGTGGATGAATGTAAAGGATAAGGCTTGGTGATTGATTGGATATGTGGAAGAAAAGATGAGATCTTGGGAAGTGTTAAGATTGATTCTATTTTGTGAGAAAGGGAACAATGGAAGAGGGCCAGTGTATGTGTTTAAGAGCGGGTTGGGGGGAAAGAACCATGTTGAGTTTGAGGAATATAAAATGGTGGTGTGTGCATTAGGCCTGTGGAAATTCATGTATGGAGCTTAGAAGACTTCAGGGATGAGAGCTATAAGTGGTAATTAAAATTTAAAAAGTAGGTGACTACCAGTCACTAGTCACATTTTTTTTTTTTTTTTGAGACGGAGTCTTGCCCTGTCGCCCAGGCTGGAGTGCAGTGGCGTGATCTCGGCTCACTGCAAGCTCCGCCTC
The DNA here is from genome assembly GCF_000001405.40 of Homo sapiens. NCBI lineage: Eukaryota > Metazoa > Chordata > Mammalia > Primates > Hominidae > Homo > Homo sapiens. The sequence goes on from NC_000001.11 coordinate 200,746,710, forward strand.
CCGGGTTCTCGCCATTCTCCTGCCTCAGCCTCCCGAGTAGCTGGGACTACAGGAGCCCACCACCACGCCCAGCTAATTTTTTGTATTTTTAGTAGAGACGGGGTTTCACCGTGTTAGCCAGGATGGTCTTGATCTCCCGACCTCGTGATCTGCCCCCCTCGGCCTCCCAAAATGCTGGGATTACAGGCGTGAGTCAACTGCGCCCGGCCTAGTCACATTTTTTTTAAGGTCTCACTGTCACCCAGGCTGAGTGCAGTCATGTGATCAAAGCTCATTGCAGCTTCAAATTTCTGGGCTCAGGTGATCCTCCTGCCTCAGCCTTTTGAGTAGCTGGGACTACATGCCTGGCTAATTTTTTTGAAAATGTTTTGTAGAGATAGGGTCTCACTGTGTTGCCCAAGCTGGTCTTGAACTCCTGTATTCAAGCACTTTTCCTGCCTCGGCTTCCCAAAGTGTTGGGATTACCTGCGTGAGCCACCCCACCCAGCTGACTGCCAGTCACTTTGAGGGAGCGTATGGAGAAAGAAAGGACCCAAGACAGGCGAGCCAGCAAAGGAGCTAGGCATAGGGTAATTAGAAAGAAAACCAAGGGAATGTGGAGGCTCAGAAGACTAGGGAAGAGAACATTGAGGATGAAGGAATATGAGGTGTAGCTGAGAAAGATTAATCGAGGACTCTCAAAAAGATCCATTAGATTTAGCTACAAGGAAGTTATTGATGATTTTGCTGAGAACATTTTGAGGGGAATGTAGAGACAGAAGCATGACTAGGTTGAAAGTAAATGGGAGATTGTATCAATTATGCCGTCCTCACTTGTAGTAACAAAAAGTCCACCTCAAATTGGCTAATAGTAAAGAGGATTTATTGTTTCTGAAAAAGTCCTCAAGTGGGATGGGCTTTGGTTTTGATTTGATCAGGGCTGTAGCGTCATTTCTCTGTGATTCTTTTAGCTGTGCCCTTGTTGATGTGTGGATTTCATTCTCAGGCTGTCTAGTCTCATGGTAGAAAATGGCTGTAGCGGCCGGGCGCGGTGGCTCACGCCTGTAATCCCAGCACTCTGGGAGGCCGAGGCAGGCGGATCACGAGGTCAGGAGATCGAGACCATCCCGGTACTAAAAATACAAAAAATTAGCCGGGCGTAGTGGCGGGCGCCTGTAGTCCCAGCTACTTGGGAGGCTGAGGCAGGAGAATGGCGTGAACCCGGGAGGCGGAGCTTGCAGTGAGCCGAGATCCTGCCACTGCACTCCAGCCTGGGCGACAGAGCGAGACTCCGTCTCAAAAAAAAAAAAAAAAAAAGAAAATGGCTGTAGCAGTTCTAGGTCTCACATCTATGTACCACACCATTCAGAGCTCTTCTCTAATCACTGAAAGTTCTACACTCTTCTCTTGCTTTTTTCTTGCTCTTCAAACGGAAGGATTGATTATAGAAAATCTCAAATATATACAATAACAATAATCTTTCATGTACCCATCATCCAGCCCCTGCTGTCATCAACTTATGGCCAATCTTGATTCATCTCTAAACACTCCCCACCACTGCCAATTATTTGAAACAAATTCCAAACATCATGTCATCCCATCTATACGTGTATCAGTATGTATTTCTGTAAGTCCACTCCCTTTTTAAAATGTAATTGTGGCACAGCCATCACAGCACTGTTGTCACAGAATTCCATATCATCAAATCAATATGAACATTTCTGATTGTCTCATAAATGTTTTTTATTTTTATTTTACAGTTTTATTTGTTCTAGTTAGGATCCATCTAAAGGCCATACTTTGTAATTCGTTGATATCTCTTTATATTGTTGTGTTTTTTTTTCTTTTTCAGGTATATATGACCAGAAGATTTTTTTTCTTAATGTATAGGCTCCTTCTCCATCTCATTTTAATCTTCCTTGCAGTTTATTTGTTGGAGAAACCAGAGTATTTGTCCTATAAAGTCTCCTACAGTTTGGAGCTCCATGATATTAACAAGTTTCTCTTTGTCCTCTGTATTCGTTATAAATTGATAGTTAGATCTAGAGGATTGATTGCATTCAGGTTTGATTTTTTTTTTTTTTTGGTATACTTTATACGTGGTGTATAGTTCTACCACAAGATACTTAATATCTAGTTGTCTCTCTATCATGACTTCTCTATTTATTAGCTGAAATGCTGTTTTAAAAATAAATTTCCCTTTATTATTTGGTTACCCTGAGTGCTGTGTGGGAAATTACCTTGATCCAATGGTAGCCTCTAAGTGCGTGCCATACAAAAACTAGCCTAGAGGTCACAGAACAGAAAGCTCACAGAACAACTTAAAATGCCCAAATTATGTGATTTGTTAAATCAGTTTTTAGTGAGAAGCAAGAGGAAAGAGATAGGATGAGTTAAAACACTTAGGATAGGATGCAAACAGGGAGGAAGGACCACACTCCCTGAATGCTGCAGTATATACATTTCATGTGTCCTGTCTCTACTGCATTAGCCTTCTCTGCTGATAGTGTGGTCACCAGGACCAGAGCTGAGGTTTGAACAAAGAGGCCCACACAGACATAGGCCAGTGCCACACACTTGCTCTATTAGACATGGGACAAGGAAGCCTGCCACAGCTGTAGCTTGCCACAAGCCTGATGATAGCCATGGGCATTGTGTTCCTTGGGCAGAGGACACATGGGCCAGACTGGGCATCATCAATGGGTAGCTGAATTAAGGACTCATGAATATCATGCTCATGTGTTCATTGACTCTTGTTTAGTGTCATGCATATTTACTCTGTCATGAATATTTAGTACTTAGTATATTTAGTGTATCATGAATATTTAATACATAGGTGCCTCATAAATATTAGGTATCTTGTTTTTTCCATCCCTTTCTATGTTTAATATATGTGTGCTATTAACTGCTTACCTTTATTTAACATGTTCTATCAATTATATGTTTAACAAACTTTTAAAACTAGCTCCTTATCTATACTTAAAATATCTTTGAACATTTCATCTACATTTTACAAACTTTTTCATCTTTATTTATAATAGAATTGAATAGTCTCAAAAGTAAAATTTTATTACATTGAGATACAGGGAAAGCAGGATAAATGCTATATTCTTTCTCTTTATGGGGGGGAAATTGGACCAGACTGAATGGATCACTGGCCCCTGAGAATCTGAAAGGAGGTAAAGAATAGGGAGAACATTCCAGAGAATGTGAAAAGGCTCCGGAGTGGAAGAGAGCATGGTTTCCAGGAACTGAATGTGACTGGCAGGGATAGGATCATTCCATTCTTGTAGGCCAGAGGAAGGATTTTAATCCTTAGAGAAGTGGGAAGTCATTGGAAACCCTTGGGGATGGGGTGGTGTGTGTGACATGACCAAATTTGCTTATGGGAAATAAGCAAATTCTGGCTACAGTAGAGAATGGTTTGGAGCGGGGAGCAGAGTGAATGTGGGAAGACAAAATTTGGAGTAAATATAGTAATTAAGATAAAAAGTGCTGGTTGCCTGAACTAGGGAGAACCAGAACCTGGAGTCTGAGATTGTGAGAAGGGGGAAGACTTTAGCCTGGATTCTGTAATGGATTTTATTTATGGTTGAAGGAGAGGGAGGCATTAACGATGACTCCTAGGTTTCTGACTTGTTCGGCTCGATGGATTGTGGTGTACTTTATTGATATAAGGAACACTGAAAGATCATCAAGTTTGGGAGAAAAGATTGGTTTGGGGCATTTTGAAGTTTTGTAGCTTTTTCAACATAATTTCAAATGTGTAAGAATAGTATAAAGAATTCCCAAATACTCTTTACCCAGATTTACCAATTATTTTGTCCCATTTGTTTTATTATTCTGTCTCATTCCTTCTTCCTACCTCCCACACAAATGCCTGTATGTGTGTGTGTGTGTGTGTGTGTAGAGAGAAAGAGATAGATAGATAGATACATCTTTTTTTTTTTTTTGAGACAGAGTTTCGCTCTTGTTGCCCAGGTTGGAGTGCAATGGCGCAATCTCAGCTCACTGCAACCTCTGCCTCCCGGGTTCAAGTGATTCTCCTGCCTCAGTCTCGCGAGTAGCTGGGATTACAGGTGACTGCCACCACACCCAGCTAATTTTTTTTGTATTTTTGGTAGAGACCGGGTTTCATGATGTTGGTCAGGTGATCCATCTGCCTCGGCCTTCCAAAATGCTGGGATTATAGGCATGAGCCACCGCGCCTGCCTTTTTTTTTTTTTTTTTTTGAGACAGGAGTTTTGCTTTGTCACCAGGCTGGAATGCAGTGGCACGATCTCGGCTCACTGCAATCTCCAACTCCCGGGTTCAAGGGATTCTCATGCCTCAGCCACCCAAGTAGCTGGGATTACAGGCACGTGCCACCACGCCCAGCTAATTTTTGTATTTTTAGTAGAGATAGGGTTTCACCATGTTGGCCAGGCTGATCTTGAACTCCTGACCTCAAGTGATCTGCCTGCCTCAGCCTCCCGAAGTGCTGGGATTATAGGCATGAGCCGCCATACCCAGCAATGTATATATAACGTGTGTGTGTGTGTGCTTGCATATATATAGGATATAAATAAATATATATAATATTTCTGGACCATTTGAGAATATGTAAAGAGATATTGTACCCTACACTCCTTCAGTGTATATCTCCTATAAAATGAAGGATAGTTCCTGAACATAATCTCATTTAAAAATTGGGAAATTTTAGCTGGGTGTGGTGGTGGGCACCTGTGATCCTGGCTACTTGGGAGGCTGAGACAGGAGAAGCACTTGAATCAGGAGGCGGAGGTTGCAGTGAGCCATGATCGCACCATTGCACTCCAGCCTGGGTGACAAGAGTGAGACTCCATCTCAAAAAAAAAAAAAAAAAAAAAAAAGCTACAAGCTACAATATGAGGCTATGGTAAAGGCAGGGACCAGACTACCAGATTAGTCAGTTCTCTCTAAATCATAACAGAATATTTAACAAACCCTAGGAGCAATGGAAGGTCACTGGTGTGTCAAAAGCTTTCCCTGGCTAATAGTAAGGATGAAAAGATGGTGAGAGCACAGAAGTGTTGCTGGAAGTCACGCAAGAGGTATGGGACCTGGAATGAGGTAATTAAGATGGAGAGACACAGAGGTGTTCACAGTCTGTGTGGGAATCTGTGTTGGAAATAGAGCTTGGTTATAAATTAGATGGAGAATAGGGTTGGGCTGTGGGTGTAACAGGTGCAAAACTGAGCCTCAGTTGACTCATTTGGAAATAGCAGAGTTGTGGTTTACTGACGTGGAAGCACTGGATTGGGGCAGACTTATTGTGTGCAACATGGGCCACATTAACTTGGAAATGCCTGTAAAGCATACAAGGGAAGATATCACAAACATAATCTGTGGCTCAAAGGGGAGGTCTGGGCTACAAATCCAAATGTATTTTTTTAATTTTATCTTTCACTTTAAATTAAACATTAATGCATGACCGTTGGGGGAAAAAAAGCATTAAAAATGACCATAGAGTTCTTTCTCTACATGTGTACACATAATTATTATTTACAAAAGAATTATATTATTTTTAATCTGATTTTTAACATTTTGAGCACAGTTTCTTCAGGTAAATATAGATTCCTTCTGTGATATGTAACTTTACTGAGCATATAATATTGCTTAATGTATCTATACTGTAAATTATTAACCTGGTTCTTATTTTAATATATATAGATGGTTTCTAATATTTTGCTACAATAAGCAGCACTACAATTAACACTCTTATATGTCTTTGTGTAATCACTTAGTAAAATTCATAATTCATAAGAAAAAAAATTGGGAAATTTAACCTTGACGTGATACTCTTATCTGATTCACAGCCCGTATTCAGATTTGCCAATTATGTTGATTTTCATTATTGCTATTTTATTTCCCAATTCAGGATCATGCTTTGCATTTAGTTGTCATGTCTCCTTTTTTTTTTTTTGCTGAGATGGAGTCTCGCTCTGTCGCCCAGGCTGGAGTGCAGTGGCGCCATCTCAGCTCACTGCAAGCTCCACCTCCCAGGTTCACACATTCTCCTGCCTCAGCCTCCCAAGTAGCTGGGACTACAGGTGCCCGCCACCACGCACGGCTAATTTTTTGTATTTTATAGTAGAGACGGGGTTTTGCCGTGTTAGCCAGGATGGTCTCGATCTCCTGACCTTGTGATCCACCCGCCTCGGCCTCTCAAAGTGCTGGGATTACAGGCGTGAGCCACCGTGCCTGGCCTAGTTGTCATGTCTCTTAAGTCTCCTTTAACCTGGAATAGTTCTTCAGTCTGCCTTTGTCTTTAATGATATTAACACTTCTGAAGATAGAGCACCAGCCTGGGTGTGGTGGCTCACCCCTGTAATCCCAGCACTTTGGAAGATTGAGGTGGGCGGATCACTTGAGGTCAGGAGTTTGAGACCACCCTGGCAAACAAGGTGAAAACCCATCTCTACTAAGTGGTGTGTGCCTGTAGTTCCAGTTACTTGGTCCGTGCTTGTGGTTCCAGCTACTCGGTAGGCCGAGGCAGGAGAATTGCTTGAACCTGGGAGGCAGAGGTTTTAGTGAGCTGGGATTGTGCCACTGCACTCCAGCCTGGGCAACAGAGGCAAAACTCCATCTCAAAAAAAAAAAAAAAAAAAGATAGAGCACCCTTAGCTGTGTGCTGGCTGGATATCAAGCCCCTTCCTTAGGCATTGTCTTAGCTCTTGCCAAACTTTTGCCTGTGTGTCTGGTACAAGCAGCCAGTTCTCTGCAGGAGCTGACTGGGTGCCTCCTTCTTTGTGTTCCTCTTTACTCTGGAGTGCTGGGCCCTGGTTTAGCAGATGTCCCCCTCCACCCTTGGTTCAAATGACTGGGACAATGATGAGATCCTTACATGGGTGCTGGTATTGATAGGAATACCTAGACAGTAGGAAAAAAACAAATTACACAGAGTCCTGCCCTCAAACAAGAGCTGATGGAGACCCAGGAACTGGAGACCATCTCCTAAACCCCTACTACTTCTGCCCTCTGGTGCACCCTATCTTTTGGCTTTCTTCCCTCTTTCGTACTTCCCTTCTTCCCTCTCTTCCATTCACTCTTCCCTGCTCCCCTCTGGCAGACCCACTCTGTACTCCTCTTGCTTGTCACTGCCACTACCACGACCACCAGTTGTCTCTCTGTCAGCAGATGTGCCGTGTTGCCTCTCTGCACAGTACCATCCCTGCATTCCACAGAAGACTTGGGCAAGGGTGCCTGAGAGGTACCCAGAGACAAATCACGTGGCAGCCAGGCAGCCCCAGAGCAAAGATATTCAGACAGATGAAAGTCTCCTTACCCCCATTTCTTCCAAGATCAGAACAGCTTGACATACTCCTTCATACACAGTGATGCCAGGAAGGCAGGGGAGGCGTGGGAAGTCTTCCTTCCCAGTACCTGCAAAATGTCTGAGCATTATGTTGATTTTTTTCCTTTATTAAAATGTACTGTTTAATCTTATAAGAACAATATGCCTGTTATTTTATAGAATGTCTCTAAATTTGGATTTGTTTAAGGTTTCTTTATTCAAGTTTGATAAGGTTCAAGTTATAGAAGCCTGGTAGACTACTGCAGAAGAGATGTTGTAGTCTCAGTAAATCATATCAGGGGACACATAATGTTTGTTCCAGTATAGGTGATGTTAACTTTGATCACCTGGTCAAAGTGGTATCTGTAGTTTTCTCCATTATAAAATTATTTTTCCACTTTAAATTAATTAGTAATTTATAGGGAGGTAATTCAAAATATCCTGTTCATTAAACTGTTACCCACCATTTTAGAATCCAGTAATGATCTTGCCTGAACCGATTATTGCTGTTGATTACTATCCTTTTTTTCCATTTGTTTGTTGGTATTATTCTACCACAAGAAAGAGCTCCTTTTTTTTTTTTTTTTTTTTTTTTTTGAGACGAAGTCTGGCTCTGTCGCCCAGGCTGGAGTGCAGTGGCCCGACCTCGGCTCAGTGCAAGCTCTGCCTCCCGGGTTCATGCCATTCTCCTGCCTCAGCCTCCTGAGTAGCTGGGACTACAGGCACCCGCCACCAGGCCCGGCTAATTTTTTGTATGTTTAGTAGAGACGGGGTTTCACCGTGTTAGTCAGGACGGTCTCTATCTCCTGACCTTGTGATCTGCCTGCCTCGGCCTCCCAAAGTGCTGGGATTACAGGCGTGAGCCACCGCGCCTGGCCGAAAGAGCTTTTTTAATGTATTATTTATTTGTGTCAGGATAGACTCATTGATGCGTGTTTTATTCAGTGGGTTATAATTCTTTATTATGTATTCTGATGTTGGTGTTTTCCCAGTTTTAGCCAATGGCATCCCCTTCCATCTGGATCCTGTGTTCTTTTGACATGGCTCCATTATTTGTTAGCATTTCCTTACTTTCTGGCACATACCACAACAAAGATGTTCTAAGCATATCTTATACTTTCCCTGCTCCAGACCTGGAAACATTTCTTCAAGGAGCAGTGTTGCTTTTGGTGGGGAAGGTATTAGAAACCAAGATACAGGTGCTAGGCTTATTGCTAACAGTGTTATTTAGCAGACAGATAGTAAACACACACATATATACATAGTGTATAGCTAAATCTATTTCTTTTGCTATCCATATAAATAAAGAGATATATATCTGAAGCATCATGTATTTATAATGACACTTCCCATTTCAACCAGCACCACAGAGTTTATTCTAGTTTTTCCTTTTTCCATATTTGTAACTCCCCTGGTCACTGAGAAACCTGGCTCCCATTTTGAGTTAGGTTTCTTTGTGACACCCAAGTGAAGAGCTGAGTAGGCTGATGGCTTATAAGGATCTGGAGCTCAGAAGAGGTGCTTTGGCCTTATAGGGTAATGGGAGGAGTAGAGGTGATAATTTAAGCTCAGGAATGCTGTACCACACTTACCATGTTAGGTAATAATGTAGAGGGCAGGAGGGAGCTAACTTTTAATTGGTACCTTCTTGGAAGGCAAGGCTCTATGTGTAGGTACCGTACAGTCTTGGTAAATATTTGAGTGCGTACTGTGTTTCAGACGCAGTTCCAGGTACTAGTGACACAGGACAGATAAGTATCTTGCTCTCCTTCAGGTACCTTATAGTGAGAGGAGGTAGAAATAAAATATTATGGGATAGTAATAGTTGTTATCTAGAGAATTAAACTACAATGAGTGACTGGGTGGTCAGGGAAAGTGTGTTTGAGGAGGTTACATTTAACTGAGATCTGAATGGAAAGAGCCAACCATTCATTCGGTTAAGGGGAGGAACATTAGAGGCAGAAGGCCTCTAGTGCATGGGCCAAAAGGTCTGAACCTGGCATATTCTAGCAACAGGAAGAGTTGGGTGTTTGGAACATAGCGGCCTGGGGAAAGTGGAGGAAGTTGAGGTCAGAGTAGGAGTAGGCAGTACATTTGTGGAATATGGAGAAACTAAAACTCAGAGAAGTTAATTACTGAACTCAAGATCCCATCAAGTAAATGGCTGGGCCGGGCATGGTGGCTGGTGCCTGTAATCCCAGCACTTTGGGAGGCCAAGGCGGGCAGATCATCTGAGGTCAGGAGTCCAAGATCAGTCTGGCCAACATAGTGAAACCCCATCTCTACGAAAAATACAAAAATTAGCTGGGTGTGGTGGCACATACCTGTAGTCCCAGCTACTCGGAAGGCTGAGGCACAAGAATTGCCCGAACCCAGGAGGTGGAGGTTGCAGTGAGTCGAGATCACGTCACTGCACTCCAGCCTGGGCGACAGAGTGAGACTCTTTCTCAAAGAAAAAAAGAAAAAAAAAAGAAAAAAAAGTAAGTGGTGAAATTAGGACTCAACCGATTCTTTTAAAATCTAAAGCCTATACTTTCTCAAAGCCCAAATTTTTCCAAATTTTGGAATGGATGCAGGTAGTGAATGTAGGTAAACTGAAAACCTATGTGGTTTTGAGAGGGATTGCTGTCACAGAAATTAAGTGTGGCCCAGAGAAAACTAAAGTTTCTCAAAGCGTGTACAAGGAGTAAATAATGATTACTAGCACAGAATCAGGTAGTAAACTTGAGGGGGAAATTTGAAACCTGGGAGTACTTTCAGGAAAAGGCTAGTGACTAGAATTTTTTTTAATAACATTTTTATTTATTCATCAAATCTTTCCTTACCACGTACCAGGCGCTGAGTTAGGCCCTAGAGATTCATATCATGGTAAATGAGGAAGACATGATCCTTGCCCTTTGGTCATATATTAGGGTATTCATATCGGTACACCCTTGTCAACAGTGGGTTTAAACTTTTTTTTTGTTTGTTTGCCATTTTGATAACTTTAATTACTGGTACTATGAAGTTTTAAATGTTATTGATCATCTTTATGTCTTTTGGTTAATTTCAAGTTCAGATTCTGTGGCTTACTTTTAATTGGAGTTCTTTGAAACTTAGAAGTTCTATAATAGTTATTACCTTAGAAACTATTTTTTAGATTTGGAAAATAAGGTGGCATTCCTATGATTTAGTGTGATGATATTTCTAAAATGTACTCCCCTCCTGCTTCCTGCCCCTTTATTGCTTTTAATAAATCTGTGTCACTTGCTGGAATGTGGATGCAACTGGTAGCTAACCCAGTTTTATAGAAAATTGCCTTGAGCAGTACTGTCTCTGCTCCCTCTACCTGTACCTCAAGCATTTCAGGTGGATGTTACTTTCAAAACTTAGGTCTAGTCAGGACTTATAGTAGCATGATTAAATTATGTTCTGCTTAAGTCATGGTATACAAGAAAAACTCATCTCATATCCTTTGCAATTCTAGCAGTGGTATTTCATTCAGCTGTTCTGTCTGTATTAATTTCTTACTTTTTGTGTTCTGGAGGTTAGGGAGAGAGTGAAACCCCTTATCTTTGATTTTGCTGTTTATTTTCTAATATGCTGTTTCAGTTCATTTTTTTTTAATGTGGTACAATTCCAAACTTTAAAAAAAATAATAGTTTTATACCATTGGTAAAATGATAGACACATTTGAAGTCTTCTCTTAAGTATATTTAGCTCTTGAAGACTTGTTTTTAAAATGACCTATTTTATATTCAGTATGAAGTTTTACATTCTCTTGAGGGCTGAAAAATCTATTTTTGTTGTATTCTTGAAACAGTCTTTGATTAGCTGTGGATCCTTTCCCTTTTCCTTGCATTGGGGTCTTTTTAAAACTTACACTTTCACAACTTAGGTTAGTGGATATGCTTTAATGAAATGGAAGCAACCCCTGGACTCTTGTCTTCCACCTTCCACCCTTTTGATCTTGGCAAATCATTATTATGTTTGAGCCTGTTTAGCAAGATGGTGTAGAGCTATAATTCTGTGCTTATCAGCTATGTGCCCCTGGGCAAGATGTCCTTTCTTGAGTTCTTTATCTGTAAAATAAGGTAAGAGGGTTGTCAGAATTAAATGACAGAATGCATGTTTAGGACTGTGTCTGACAAGATGTTATAAAGGTCATATATGAAAATGGATGTAAAAGCAGTAAGTAAATGCTAGGTGGATATATAGGTATGATAGATAAATTTGTAATCCTGATAATGAGCATTTACTTTTCACAGCTAATATTTAGATGCCAAATAACTTATATTAGCCATTTTTTACTGATACAGGAAATAAAAATCCATTGTTTATACATTTGATAAGTTATCTTAAAATCAAATAATTTTCCTTTTACAGCTGTTCTACTAATAGTTTCTGTTTATTTCCTACAATACTAAAGTGTAAATGAATACCAGCACTATATTCTGCAATTTAAAACTGAACTTCACCATCACGCTGAGGCAGCTATATTAAATTTAAAGCTGGCTCACTACTGGGTAGTGCATCTACGAAGAAAGGAAAGTGTTTTCAATTATTAAATGAGGATGATATTTTTAGATGTCACCAAAATCCCAAATTGATACATCCACTCTTGACCTCTTTCCAGAGTCCTATATCTCCAGCTGCTTATTGGATATTTCCACTTGGATATTTTTGCTATTGTTTCAAACTCAATATGTCTAAAACTGAGTTTTTGATCTTGCTTTTAGAATTGGTGCTGCCTCTGATTTTCATTTTTCTATTAATGATATCACTGTTTCCCTCATAACGTAGGCTTATTATTGATTTCCATCTTGACCCTCTTTCTTTGCTTTATTCCTGGGTACTTTTTGTTTGTCTTTAGCAGTTAGTCTCTTATGTCCTATACTTTCTGTTTTCACTACTGCCTTTGAACTTCATTTCCTTATATCTATATGGTAATCTTCTATCTCTGATTTTTATGGCCATCAATATTAAATACCAGATTGTTCCAAAACGTCAGTCTTAATGTGACACTGTCCTGTAAAACTGTCAGCACCTCCTTGTTAGCTAATATACAAAGTCCTCGTGTTTAAAAGATGAATATTTCTTTCAAGTCCTCATCACGAACCTCTCCCATTCCAGCTTTGCCTCTTACTGCTTTCCCACATGAACTCTTCTCTCCACCCAGATTGTTCAATTTGGTGTCTCTTCACATCTTTTTTCCCTACTCTTTCTCTCCTCCCTCTCCTTACGTTTAGAAAGGCTCTTTTTTTTCTGACTAAAATTCTGCCGATTCCTGCTATTCTATTTTTTTTTTTTTTTTGAGATAGAGTTTCACTCTTGTTGCCCAAGCTGGAGTGCAATGGCGCGATCTCACTCTCTGCAACCTCTGCCTCCTAGGTTCAAGCAATTCTACTGTCTCAACCTCCCAAGTAGCTGGGATTACAGGCACCTGTCACCATGCCTAGCTAATTTTGTGTTTTTAGTAGAGAGGGGTTTCATCATATTGGTCAGGCAGGTCTGGAACTCCTGACCTCAGGTGATCTGCCCACTTCGACCTCCCAAAGTGCTGGGATTACGGGCGTGAGCCACCGCGCCCAGCTGCAGATTTTTCGAAGTACCAGTTTTGGTTAGTATTGTGGCATTATTGAGCTTATATTAAAGCTGCCTATTCAGGAAACAGCTAAGATCAGTGATGGGATGGCTGGCTTCAGAACCTCACTTTCTAGAGAGAAGGCAGGTGAGGGACTGGCTAGGTCTCAGGACAGAGCTATCAGGTTCTATAATTGCAGCTCCATGTTAACCTCTAACTCAGAAGCCCTACCTCTGGGGGACATACCTCATCCTTGTCCTGCTTCGATGAGAGGTATAGAGCCCAGGTAAGAAATGGAGAGGAGGAGGAAGAGATACAGGGTAGAATAGGCAAGAAAACTTGTAAAACAATGAGAAGTATTTTGTTTCTCTCGTTTGTTTTGGTAATTTTGCTGCTGTCAAATACAAATGCCTTTGCTTAAGTTGATTTGGGAGCAGACATTGGGAGAGTGGGAGTGGACATTGGAAGAGTAGGACTTGGCATTCTTAAAGGGTAGTGGCTAGCAGGAAAGAGAAACTTCGGAGGAGATTTTGGTTTTCTTCCCATCTCCCATTTCTAAACTACTACTTATGTTTTAGTCGAACTTGTCAGTTGGGTGCCCAGGAAGTCTTTTTCAGGTAGGATGGGGAGTGGTCAGTGGTAATGTGGCAATATCAGTGGTTTACTAGTGTAAGGGATTTTTAAGAGTAGTTCTCTCCTAAACAATTGCTATAATTCTTTTTCAGTAGTGTCAGCAAGCTAAGCATGAAGGGAGAGACGGCAGAGGTCTTGAGGCAAAGAGATAGAATAAGTTAGGCAGTCTCTATTCTGCAGCTCATTAGCTGTAAAACTGGGCAGATGATTTTGTATTCTCAGGTGGCAAGGACTAGCAGTCTCCTGAAATACCTATTGTGCATTTCCATGTTGACAGCTTGCCTGTGAGGAGCGTCATTGAAATTAGTTTTTAGGAATCTTATAGTTCATTCTGTAGATTTGACTATGAATGTGGGAATACTTTCCCAAGAGCCACTAGACTCAGAAAGCTTTTCTCCTTGTCTTGTAGTCCCTTTTTGGAATATACTCAGAAAGTATCTTCTGTAAAGGAAATTTGTATCTTTGTCTCATTCCAGAGTATATGTCAAAGTTTAATGAATCATCTTTTCAGTTAAAGGGTTATTGCTATATTTTTAGAGGGAATCTTAAATTCTATGACATAAATAATAATTATTAATTAAATTCTATGTTTCTTTTATAAAAATCTTGTAAGAGAATTTTTTCCATTAATCTTTATAGAAAATGTGCCAGAGGAACTTCAAGAACCATTTTACACAGATCAGTATGACCAGGAACACATCAAACCACCTGTTGTTAATTTGCTTCTATCGGCTGAACTATACTGTCGTGCTGGGAGTCTCATTCTCAAGAGTGATGCTGCAAAACCCCTTTTGGGCCATGATGCTGTAATCCAGGCTTTAGCACAGAAAGGTCTTTATGTCACTGACCAGGAAAAATTGGTAACTGAACGAGATCTCCACAAGAAACCCATACAGATGGTGAGTCTTTATATACCCAAGATTATTTTAAGTTTGAAGTGTGTACTTTTGAGTGTGAATGATATACTGTAAAACAGAGGGAAATGTTTTGAAATTGGATTGTATTTTTGCCTAGAGTTTACAACTCATCTTTTTCTTAACCTTGTTTCCAAATGAAGGAAGATTTTAACGATTTTGGAATGTTTGGTGCCATCTAATACCTTGGAGAAACAACTACATAATTTCCAACTACCTTAATGTAATTTTAATTGAAAACTTTTATTTTTTCCGTTGTAGAGACTGGCTAGAAGAGATGGAAAATGCATCCTTGACTTTATCATTAGGAAAGAGTTGAGATTAATAAGTGCTGATTTATGGCCGGGCGCGGTGGCTCACGCCTGTAATCCCAGCACTTTGGGAGGCCGAGGCGGGCAGATCACCTGAGGTCAGGAGTTCAAGACCAGTCTTACCAACATGGAGAAACCCTGTCTCTACTAAAAATGCAAAATTAGCCGGGCATGGTGGTGCATGCCTGTAATCCCAGTTACTTGGGAGGCTGAGGCAGGAGAATCGCTTGAACCCAGGAGGTGGAGGTTGCGGTAAGCTGAGATCATGCCACTGCACTCCAGCCTGGGCAACAAGAGCAAAACTCTGTCTCAAAAAAAAAAAAAAAAGCTCATTTATGTACTTGAATAACTTCTTGGTAAATTTCTGCATATCAGATATTTTCGTTTATTTGATAGCTTTGAACTCATTCTTGTAGACAACACACACAGAAGGCCTCTAAGCTGGCCTGGGGCCATCATGCAGGAACTCTCTCATAGGCAGTCTCAGGAAACATAAATCTAAATGTTTAAGTTCATTGTATGCTGGTTCAGTCCATTGTACTGCTTTAGCTTGAGTTTCACAAAATGTGGACATCATCAAGGATGGTATTAGAAAGAAAAGTGGTTTTTCCATACTCGATTAAATCAAAGAGTAGTAGTTTTGCTTGGGAGGAAGGTAAGGTGTATATGTAGAAAAGTATATTATAAAATTTATGAAGTTATGTAATTTAGGAAGAATGAACAAAAAAATTAGTTTATAAAATCTATTACTAAATGAGGTGATGACCTGTTTTGTTTTCTGGTTTTTTTCCTTCTTTAAAGTAACTCTTTTAATATTTCTAAGTAATGGAAAATAATGTATTGATTAGTTAATGGAATTTATAGATTTACAATATAGTTATTAACAATAACTAGAATATTGATTATCCAGTATGAGATTGTCATCTTTCATTGATGGCTCCAAAATCACCTTATAGTTACCCTCTGACTTTGGCATACCTGCTTTGCATACATATCATATGTGAACAGTTTGCCCATACCAGGGACAAGCAGAATCTACTTAGGTCCTTATCAGTGTCTCATATTCATCTCCCCCAGAATCATTCCCCTAGCTGGACACTCCAGCTTGTGATTACTTCTGCTTCCGTTGTTTGAAGGCTAAGTGGATAGTTAGAAAGCACATCCATGACTTTGTGAAGCAGTGTTTGTTTAGTTGCTGTTCTTTCAGATACAGATATATATGTCATAGATAACCTACTTATCCTTAGAGTGTCTATTTCAGATCCTCTAATAAGAATGAAACAAATTTAACATGTTTTCTACATTTTTTTCCAGTGTAGTTTGTATGTGTGAAATACTTGGACAATTAATTTTAAAATGAGGGGTTTGGTAGACTGCTGATTGTGTTACTCATGTTTCTTTCACACTTTATTGATCCTGCTGATAGCTTTGAATGTATTTTAATAATATTTAAGGAATGGAGTTTAAATGACTTAGAATCTTTTTTTTTTTCTTAGTTGGAGTCTCACTCTGTTGCCCAGGCTGGAGTGCAGTGGTGCGATCTTGGCTCACAGCAACCTCAGCCTTCTGGTTTCAAGCAATTCTTGTGCCTCAGCCTCCCAAGTAGCTGAGATTATAGGCGTGCATCACCATGCCCAGCTAATTTTTGTACTTTTAGTAGAGGCTGGGTTTCACCATGTTGGCCAGGCTGGTCTTGAACTCTAGACTTCAAGTGATCCTCCCACCTCAGCCTCTCAATATGCTGAGATTACAGGTGCACGGCATGGGCAACATAGAATCTTTATCTCTGGTTCTAACTTCTATTTGTGGATTGTTAGAACTTGAGAACTTCAGGCTGGGTGTGGTAGCTCACGCCTGTAATCCCAGCACTTTGGGAGACAAAGGCTGGCGGATCACCTGAGGTCAGGAGTTTGAGACTAGCCTGGCTAACATGGCGAAACCCCATCTCTACTGAAAATACAAAAATTAGCCAGATGTGGTAGTGCGCGCCTGTAGTCCCAGTTACTCGGGAGGCTGAGGCAGGAGAATCTCTTGAACCCAGGAGGTGGAAGTTGCAGTTAGCCGAGATTCCGCTACTGCACTCCAGCCAGACTGGGCGACAGAGTGAGACTTTGTCTTAAAAACCAACCAACCAAAGAACTTGAGAACTTCATATTTGACCTACATCATCTTAACCCTTTGCAGTGTCACATTTACCAACCTGTGTTTTAATTGTTTACTTTCAACTTTTATCACAATTTGATTTAAAGTTTTCCAGTTGCTGTGGCATTTTGATTGATGATATTTAATGTAACTATTTTCCTGAAACCTGCGTGAGAAAATTTCTCAGATTACTAGTAAAAAGTTGTTCCTTAAGAAACTATGTTTTTGGCTGGGCGTGGTGGCTCGCGCCTGTAATCCCAGCACTTTAGGAGGCCAAGGAGGGTGGATCATGAGGCTAGGAGTTTGAGACCAGCCTAGCCAACATGGCGAAACCCCATCTCTACTAAAAATACAAAAATTAGCCAGGTGTGGTGGCAGGCACCTGTAACCCGAGGTCGGGAGGCTGAGGCAGGAGAATCGCTTGAACCTGGGAGGCGGAGGTTGCAGTGAGCCGAGATTGCGCCACTGCACTCCAGCCCAGGTGACAAGAGCAAGACTCCGTCTCAAAAAAAAAGAAAGAAACTATTTTTTTAAAGAGTAAAGTAAGAGTTAATGTAAATTAACAGTTTTTTTTTCCTGCTTTTTGGGAAGTATCATGAAAAATAGTGTGTTTAATTGCACTGAATATATTGCCCCCCACTTCCACTTCTAAATTATTTTTAATTTGGGATATTTTATTTCTGTATGCCAGCCTTTTGGGGGGAAAAAAAGTGTGGTGGTAGCAAAAGTATCATCCTAATTTTTCAAGAAATAATGTTAGTACTAATTCTTTTTCTTCAAAGTCTCAGTATAAAAATTTCCTGTGAAATAATATATATGAAGACAGAAATCTTTAGAAGAATTTACACCAGACTGTTAACTTTGGTTTCTTCTGTGAAATGGGATTAAATAGGATTGGAGAAATAAATGGTAACTTTCATATCTTATTTGATGTATTTCTGCACTATTAACATTTTTATATGATTTTACTGTTTTAAAATTTAAAATGTAGAGAAGAAATTTAAATTCAAATAGAAATTATCATTATCTGAAATAACATGCCTTGTATGCATACTAAATATTTCTGATAGTTAAATTGTTAAAGAGAAATAAGTATCCTGCATTTAGCCTTTAAGCAGACATAGGAAATAAGAATAAATATTGAAGACCTCTCTAAATGGTTAAATTCCAAATATCCCGTAAATGGCAATTCAAACCTTTAAGATATCTTTTCTGTAGTTCCTTTTAGTAATCAATCTTTAAAAAGAAAAGATGTGGCTGGGCTCAGTGGCACATACCTGTAATCCCAGCACTTTGGGAGGCCAAGGCGGGTGGTTCACCTGAGGTGAGGAGTTTGAGACCAGCCTGGCCAACATAGTGAAACCCCATCTCTACTAAAAATACAGAAATTAGCTGGGCGTGATGGCAGGCACCTGTAATCCCAGCTACATGGGAGGTTGAGGCAGGAGAATCACTTGAAACCGGGAGAAGGAGATTGCAGTCAGCCAAGATTGCACCATTGCACTCTGGTCTGGGCAACAGAGTGAGATTCCATCTCAAAAAAAACAAAAAAACAAAAAAACTCAACGTAACTTCTCAAAACAAAAACATTTCTCTCAATCTCCACCCCAAAATTAATACTACAATCTGCTTATCAGTCAAACTTGCCTTAGTCATACTTCTTTATTTATTTATTTTTTCGAGACTGAATTTTGCTCTTGTCACCCAAGCTGGAGTGCAGTGACACAATTTCAGCTCATTGCAACCTCCACCTCCCAAGTTCAAGCAATTCTCCTGCCTCAGCCTCCCGAGTAGCTGGGTAAATTACAGGTGCGCCACCATGCCCAGCTAATTTTTGTATTTTTAGTAGAGATGGGGTTTCACCATGTTGGCCAGGCTGGTCTCGAGCTCCTGACCTTGTGATCCACTCACCTCGGCCTCCCAAAGTGCTGGGATTACAGGTGTGAGCCACCGCACCCGGCCATATGTTATGTTCTATGTATCCAGCTGACCACTGACATCTCCGCTTGAATGATGTTTGAACTAAAAATCTAATGAGGAAGAAAACTGGGAAAAAAAACTAGACAGTATGAAATAAGTGTTCTAACTTTAAGCAATAGATACTGAGATCTTAGAGGTGGATGTGATCATCTCTATTAGGGAGGATCAGGGAAGGCATCACAGGGTAGAATGATAAATGGGATTTCAGTAGTTGGGAAAAGGGATGGGATGAGAGTAGTAACTGGGTTGAAGGAATTGTTTGACTCAAGATTGAACTGTGAAGGTATGTTAAGTATTATAAATTAAAATATTGACTGCATGGAGGGATAAATGTCAGATGAGGCTAAAAAATAATTTAGAGCTAGATCATGAAGAGTCTGTAAGTTAGATAATGAGGAGGCTGTAAGTCTGAGTTAAGGATTTTTAACTTTCTGTGGGTTACAGAATCATGGAATAGATTTTCATACTATATTACAAAACACTTGGAAGCATTGCAAACTGAACCGCTATACTGTCAGCTTAGTTTAAATAATTATTGCAGTCTGTTAATTCTCAGATTTTATCTATTGTTTATTTATGAGACTATCAAGTAGCTCTTTTTTTTTTTTTTTTCCTGAGACAGGATCTCACTCTGTTGCCCAGGCTGGAGTGCAGTGGCGCAATCACAACTCACTGTAGCCTCGACCTGCAGGGCTCAGGTGACCCTCCCACCTCAGCCTCCTGGGTAGCTGGGTCTGCAGACGTGCACCACCCCACCTGGCTAATATTTTTTTATTATTTTTTTTGTAGAGACAGGGTCTCCCTATGTTGCCCAGGCTGATCTCAAACTCCTGGGCTATGCTGGGATTACAGGTGTGAGCTGGGATTACACCTGGTCTATCAGGTAGCTCTTTTCATTTAGTTTACTGTGTGCCATGCAGTGTGCTTACACTTTAACACTCTATCTTACGTAATTTAATTCTTACAACAACTCCAAGAGGAAAGGATCATCCCTTTTCTATTGATGAAGAAACTGAGGCTTTGAGAATATAAGGTCACAGAGCAAGTATAGTTAAGTAGTGAAGGCAGGATTCTGAACATCTCTGCTTTAACTATAAATCCTATATTCTTTTTCGGTTTTTTTTCTTATTTTACTTCTCTTTTACATGATAACAGGATAAATCCTATGTTCTTAACCACTAAATTGTATTTTCGTCTTTGCCTAGGGAATAGGTAGATGGGAAGTAGTAAGGTGGAAGGAAATAGAAATGGTGTGCCACCTGGAACTCTGCCTGGTGGTTTGTTTGAAATCTTGGTAATTTGCCTAGGTTTCTTTCCAAAGTAATTTCCCCTCTCTGTTCCATTTACCCACTCTGTTCCTGTATTAAAGGTTATGTTAATTCCATGTACCTTAGGAGTAATTATAGCAGTTAAGTAGAATGACTGCTGACAGGGGATGAAGTAGAGTTGTGACAGAGTCTAGGTGGACATGAGTTAATTGATACAGTATTTAAGAATATGCAGGCAGGGCGTGGTGGCTCACACCTGTAATTCCAGCACTTTGGGAGGCCAAGGCAGGTGGATCACCTGAGGTCAGGAGTTCGAGACCAGCCTGGCCAACATGGTGAAACCCCATCTCTACTAAAAATACAAAAAAAAATTAGCTGGGCATGGTGGCGCACTCCTGTAATATCAGCTACTTGGCACATGCCTGTAATACCAGCTACTTGGGAGGCTGAGGTGAGAGAATCGCTTGAACCTGGGAGGCAGAGGTTGCAGTGAGCTGAGATTGCGCCACTGCACTCCAGCCTGGGCAACAGAGTGAGACTCCATCTCAAAAAAAAAAAAAAAAGAATATGCTGAATAATTCTCTAGTTACCATTATTTTTGCTGGATACACAAAATGTATTGAGAACAGAGAAGCTGATCCCAGGAACTTTGTGTTGTCCCTCTTTTTTTTTTTTTTTTTTAAACATATTGGTCTTATTTGGCAACTATGCTTAGGAATTTCCATTGTGTCACCATCTGTTGGAACTCAAGTGTAATTTACTTGTGTAGAGGCTTGTTAAAAAAAATCCTTTCCCTGTTTAAGAACAGGATTATATAAATGTAGTATTGTAATAGTAGGTGAGAAGACATTAATTTCTGGTCACCCTTGTATATGAGTGGCTTGCAAATTTATAAGCCAAACCTGTCTTTGAAAAATTAATTACATTCTCATAGATGTTGTTGAACAGGGTTTTCTTCTTCATGCACAGTGCTAGAACTCAATTTTCTGTTTACTACTCATGTACCTAATAATGTTCCATTATTTCTAGGTAACATCTATACCTCTGTTACAAATTCACAATATCTTTTGATACCTTACAACCATGTTTATCATGTTAGAGTAACTCTTTATTTGTGATCATTTATTTGGAGCTCCAAGTTTACTTTCTCATAGAAATAACTTGATGAATGGTACTTACTTTACTAGGTGATCTCACAAAGACTCTTTTTAATAAAACTGAATTGTCAGACCATTTATTAATTTATTTAAGGAGCTTCTGCATTGTCCTTTGTATTTTCTACCATGATTACAAAGAGTTTCATGTTCTTCAGTGTCTCACTTTCTAGCGGTGGCTTATAGAAAACTGTCCAATGTTTTAGGAGTGTAAAGGCACCAAACTCTGTACTACACTTCAACTGAGTTTTGAAGGATGCGGAGGAATTTACCACATAGAGAAATGAAGGCTGTGTTGTACGGTATTGTATTTGGGAGTATAATGGGATGTTAAAAGGGAGTGTGAGAGCATGGTGACCCTCAGGTCAAAGGAAGCAGCTTAGTTGTGGCGTTAGCACTAGCTGCCTTTTGAGGGGTGATAAGAAACGAGATCACAGAGTTAGATAGGGTTAGGGCATGAATGATGTTTTGTGCTATGCCAAGTGTTTACGTTATCCTGGAAGTGATGGGAACCCTAGTGTAGGGTTTTAAGCCAGAGAGGGTATCATCAGATTTGTGTTTCAGAAAGTCACTGTGGTGTATTGTAGAAGAGATACCACTTAGGAGGCTGTTGAAATAGCTGGAGGCCTGAACTAAGGTGCAGGCCATGAAGATTTATTAGTAGGGTTGAGTGGGAGAGACTTTTTTTTTGTTGTTGTTGTTTTGAGATGGAGTCTTGCTCTGTCACCAGGCTGGAGTGCAGTGGCGCGATCTCGGCTCACTGCAACCTCCATCTCCCAGGTTCAAGCGATTCTCCTGCCTCAGCCTCCCAAGTAGCTGGGACTACAGGCGTGTGCCACCACGCCTGGCTAATTTTTGTATTTTTAGTAGAGACAGGGTTTCACCATGTTAGCCAGGATGGTCTCGACCTCCTGACCTCGTGATCCACCCACCCTGGCCTCTCAAAGTGCAGGGGATTACAGGCATGAGCCACTGTGCCTGGCTGGAGAGACCTCGTTAAGGTAGGATTGAGATGATACCTTGATTTATCAAGAATTGGGAGATTAGGAAGAGAAACCAGAACAGGGCTGGCAAAAAATATTTTATCCCTTATGTCAACTCTAATTAATTAATTAGTAGTTAACTACTGGAAGGTGGGAAAAACTAGCTCCTTGGTTTTCACTCTGTTCCTTTGAGAGCCTCGGGGTCTAGATGTTCCCTTCCCCATCCTTTGTTCCTCCTAGTGCTTTTGAACTCTTGTATTTTTTACCTAATAGTGGTAAATGACAAAAACAAGTAAAGGAACAGCTTTATAAGTTTGAAGTCTTGAGCTGATATTGCTAAACTTACTATTTTTGATGAGAAAGATAAAGGCTGTTCTGTAAGACTCATACTAAGTTTCTCTTTTCTTCTTAGAAAAAGAGTTGAAAAGAGTTTTTCCCAACACACCAAGCAACGGACACCAGTGGGGTGTCCTCTAATTCAGTTCCAACATTATCTACCTGGAGATAGTATCAGATCAGTGTCAGATCCCACAGGTTGAGGGCTTAGTCCCCAAGACTACCCCACCACCACACCAGTCACAAGTCCAGGCCTCCGGTACTTCTCACTGACCGGCTTCAAGTTGGGGTTCCCATGACCCCCTCTTTGGGTTCAGTTAATTTGCTGGAGCAACTCACAGAACTCAGGGAAACTCTTACTTACATTTACTGGTTTATTATAAGGGATATTGCAAAGGATACAAATGAAGACACGTTTAGGGCAAGGTATGGGAGAAAGGGTGCACCACCCTCCAGGAACCTCACTGTGCTTAGCTGTCCAGAAGCTCCCTGAATCCTCTTCTCAGTTTTTTGAAGCTTTATAATCTTGGCATCCCTTTTCCCAGGGTATAGGGTGGGACTGTCTCATAGAGGGTCTTAAGACCCACAGTCAGAAAGGCAGGAGAAGATTAGATTCCTGCCTTGGGGCAGGTGAAAGGAGGGCAGGAGATTCTGTTTCCTGAGGCCTAACACACCCAAGATTATAATGAAAGACTATAACAAGGGCTTTAGAAGTTATGAACCAGGAACTGTAGATGGAAAGCAATATATATCATAACACCACAGTGATCAAGTAGATAGATGATTCTCCCCTATCATGTCTTGGAAGATGTGAGGTGTGGGATTAAAAAAGTGAGTGTGGAAACGGGATAGGACCGAAGGTACAGAATTGTAGGGATGACATGAGGGATGAGGAAAATTGAGTACACTTTACAAATATTATGAATGTAATGTATGATATAGGTGGTGCCCTATTGATGAGGAAATTGATCTATAACTGACTCCAAAAGGTGAGTTAACTTGCCCAAAGTCAAACAGGTAATAAACGATAATGTTAGGATTTAAACTTGCATCTGCTGATTCCAAAGCCCATGCTTATTCTGTTTACACCATGAGGCCTTCCCAAACCAAAACAAAATGTCCCCCTACTATTTCTTTTTTTTTTTTTTGAGACGGAGTCTCTGTCTCCCAAGCTGGAGTGCAGTGGCGCCATCTTGGCTCACTGCAAGCTCTGCCTCCTGGGTTCATGCCATTCTCTTGCCTCAGTCTCCTGAATAGCTGGGACTACAGGTGCCCGCCACCACACCCAGCTAATTTTTTTGTATTTTTAGTAGAGATGGTGTTTCATTGTGTTAGCCAGGATGGTCTCAGTCTCCTGACCTTGTGATCCACCCACCTCGGCCTCCCAAAGTGCTGGGATTACAGGCGTGAGCCACCGCACCTGGCCTACTATTTCTATAGTACTTAATAGTTTGTAAAACATGTATACGTTATTATTATTATTTTCTGATAATAACCAGAGAAGGCAAATAGGGCAGTTATTACCATCTCTTTTTTCACAAGTAAGGAAACTTTACGGATGGGTTTATTTAGTAGATACTCGGTTCTTAGTGGAAAGAGGTGTAGAAAGAAAAAATGCATAGATCATGATCACATGGCTAGGCTAGTTAGTAACAGAGCAGAGATAGATCCCAATCTTCTTACTTCTAACCCAGTGCTTATTCTACAAATGCATCCTGCAGCCATCCTTTTTCCTGTCCTTGTGGATTATACCATGTATTGATTCCGGAAAGACTAACAGAGAATATGAGCATGGAGTAGGATGTCAAACACTGAGAGGCGATAGCAAAGAAGGGGAGAGGGGAACAGGGCAGGAATCCCAAGAATAGGAATAGAAGGGAGAAAAGGGGATTGTTTTGCTCACCTGACTAAAGCATTATTTTCTCATATAAGAGATATATCTTGTTTAGTGACCACCGACAGGAAGATTTAGATCTACAAAAATAATTTACTTTGCAAAGTAATTTTTTATTTAAAAAATGTTTAGAATTAATTTTACATTGTTTTAGAAAAATAGAACTTGAAGTAACAAGTTTTCAAGAACACATGTGAAATGAAAAATACCATATTCATTATAATGTTTAATATAATGTTGATTATATTAAAAATTATCTCGTTCTTAAGTAAAATATACATTCTCCTTTACTGATAACATATTTTATATTTTTTATATTGTACCACATATCATGCCTGGTACATAAGGGCTTGATAAACAAAGTGTTAATTTCTGGTCATAAAGAGATATTTTAGACAAATTGGGGAGGTGGATAATTCCTTATTTTTCCAGAGACCATGTCTATGCCTCTCACTTTGCTTTTGGCCATTGCTGATTGATCTCAGGATTAAGAAATCAGATGTAAGATGGGCTGACTAGATTGTTTTCTGGAAAACTGGAAACCCAAAGGGAGGGAGAATGACTGTACAGTGATGGAAGGTGGTTGGAACCACCCTGTCTTATAGAAGCAGTGCCCTAGGGAGAAATCTGTGAGCTCCTGCTGCTGAAATACCGGTGCTGCTCAATTTCCATGCTTTCTGAGCTTAGTGTTTTGGCTCTTCCTTAGATTCTGTGAACTACTTTAGTGTTCCCTCAGTAAATTACAGCTAATTTAACAGGGTTAGATTCTGTTGCCTGCCATTAAAAGAACTGTAGCTAAACAATAAATAAATAAAAAGCCACCCATTGACCATTTTTACTCACTTGAGGACAGATTTCATTACAGAAGTATAGTTTTAGAGCTGAAAGAGATCCTAGCAATCATCTGGTCTCGAGTTTTGAAATTCTCTTAACTATGACTCACAGTTAGGAATGCATTTTACTTCAAGATACCCACCTGGTTTACCTAGTTACACATGTATTACAGAAACAAAAGTACTTATCCTTGTAACTTTATTTTTTTAAGATTCTATTTGAAAAAAAAATATGGGTTGTGACCAACTAAATTGACTTTATGCATGACCCATGAATGGGTTATAAACCCACATTTAAAAAATACTAATGTAGGCTGGGCACAGTGACTCACACCTATAATCCCAGCACTTTGGGAGGCTGAGATGGGTGGATCACTTGAGGCCAAGAGTTTGAGACCAGCCTGGACAACATGGCGAAACCCCGTCTTTACTAAACATACAAAAACTAGCCAAGTGTGGTGGCATACGCCTGTAATCCCAGCTACTTGGGAGGCTGAGGCATGGGAATTGCTTGAACCCAGGAGGCAGAGGTTGCAGTGAGCCAAGGTCATGCCACTGCACTCCAGCCTGTGCGACAGAGGGAGACTATGTCTCAAAAAAATAAATAAAAATAAATAAATTAATTAAAAATACAAATGTAGTTAAATTGCTTTATCTTATAGAGAAGAGTGGTAAAATGACAGTGTTACTAGAAACTAAATACCATACCCATGTTTTTCTTTAAAAATGTATTTTCATTTTCAAATTACCAATAGCATCTATTTGTTTGAAAAGAGCTATGGAAATAATTTGTTGTACATACTCTTACTTCCTTGAAGTTTGTCTAATCTCTATGGTATACTGCTGCCAGATTAATTTTCCTGAAATATCACTTTGATATCTAGCTTATTTCCTAATTCAAAACTTTTAATTATTTTATTTGACTTAAAATGCCATATATATTTTGGTTTCAGATGTATGTCCTTTTAAATTTGTCAGATTTTCAGAGCTAGCAACTGTAAGTATGAGGGAAGAAGTTGCTGCAAACTTTGTCCATAAATTAGATAATTCACTTTTGAATAGTGGAAGTTTTATATTCCTTTGTTTGTAATCTTATGTACATAAGAGACAATTCAAAGTAACAAAAGCTAAGATACTTAAGGAGTTGTCTGATATTACAGACCTGCCAGCAATAATTTTTATGAATATAGAAGATGAATTAAGCATATATTAACCATGACTTTTCATTTTTTATTTTTATTTATTTATTTATTTATTTTGAGACAGTCTCCCTCTGTTGCCCAGGCTGGAGTGCAGTGGTGTGATCTCGGCTTACTGCAACCTCTGCCTCCCAGGTTCAGGTGATTCTCTTGCCTCACCCTCCCAAGTAGCTGGGACTACAAGTGCACACCACCATGCCTGGCTAGTTTTTTTTGTATTTTTAGTAGAGACGGCGTTTCGCCATGTTAGCCAGGCTGGTCTCGAACTCCTGACCTCACATGATCCGCCTGCCTCAGCCTCCCAAAGTGCTGGGACTACAGGTGTGAGCTACCATGTCCGGCCTCATCTTTTAAAAAGATAAAAAGATTTCTATGCATTCACTGCAGATTAATAAATTTAAATAGATGGTATATTGTAAGTTAGCGTCAGTGTCTGGGACCTGGCCTATTGTGGAGTAATAATGTTCTCCTAGTTTAAATATCTAAAAAACTAATAGTAGACACACACATATAAATAATTGGAGTGGCTTGGTGCGGTGGCTCAGGCCTGTAATCTCAGTACTTTGGGAGACTGAGGTGGGCGGATTGCTGGAGCTCAGGAAGTCAAGGCTACAGTGAGCCATGATTGTGCCACTGCACTTCAGCCTGGGCAACAGAGCAAGACTCTGTCTCAAAAAATAAAATAAAATAAAATAAAATAAAATAAAATAAAATAAAATAAAATAAAATAAAATAAAATAAATTATTGGAGCACAAGGTTGAGATGTTTTAGTAGGTTTGGTATTAAAACTACATATTTTTCTGATTTGCAGAATACAGTATAGTGCTATAGAACAGTGGACAGTCATGGCAGTTGTCTGTGGCCATCCATACCCCAGTGTGTGTTGAGCAGATTGATGCTCCAACACTGCCATGATATGGAACCATTTTTGCAATTTGTTAGGTTATAGCAGTGAAGCAGATTGTTTTTAATTAATGTCAGTGATGTGATTTAGTGGAATAAAATAGGTGGTCATTAAAACAAAAACTTTAGTAACTGTTATTTTGTTGCTTGCTTGTTTTCCGGTAACTGCATAAATGAGCTTCTGTAATAGAAAAAAAAAAAATCTTTACAATGCTCAGATTCCTTCTCAGCCTGTACTGTTCCATGTTTGAAACAGTGTTAGAATGAGCTGTGTTACAAAGTGCACTATGTTAGAAGCTGTCCCAGGGGCCCGTCTTTTCAGGAAGTTCTTTTGCTATACTTGGAGGATTGTGAGAATACTGATTATTGTTTTCCTGAAGCTAAAACTGTTAGTTTGTGGTTAGCAAACAAGTAAACAAATATTAAAAACGTAACTAGAGAGTGGTGAAAGCTGTGAAGAAAGTAAAAGCAGGATAATACAAGTGATCTGAAGGAATCATGTGTTATTATAGTTAGAGTGGCTAGGAGCAGTCTTATACAGGAGATTATATTTGAGCAGAGATTTGAAAGATGAGGAGCCATTTAGGCAAAGATCAGAGGCTATCGCATTGCCGACAGAGGGAATAAATACGAAGACCCTGAGTTAGTATATAATTCACAAAATAAATAAACTTCATGGCTGGATGATAAAGGTCCTACTAAGAATTTCCTGGAGGGAACATCTTCAGGAATTTGAAAGTGTAGAGTCACATTTATTTACCATATAATATGTGTGATAGGAAGTACTTGACTCATTCAATAAGTACTTTTTGGTTACGGGATGTAGTAATGAGAAGACAGACCAAGCCCCTGCTTTCATGGAGCTACTATTTTAGTAGTAAAGTTGACCAGTAAACAATTAGACAAATTGTAACAATTGCAGGAAATGGTAAATGCTGTGAAAAAAATAAATTAGTAAGGAGCTACAAGGAGTGGAACAGGCTCTTTTCATAGGAGGCTTTCAGGGAAGGCCTGTCAACTGAGTTGATATTTGAACTGAGACCTAAATACCTGAAGGAACTGGCAGATGATCTGGAAAAAGAACATTCCAGGCAAAAGAAATAGTAAGCTTACTGGCTCTGATGTAAGAGGAGTTTGGTATGTTTCAGGAACTGAAAGAAGGCCACTGATTTTGGTAGTGAGCAAGATTGATATGGAGAGTGATAAGAGATCTGGTTGAGAAAAAGATTGTAGCCAAAGCAAGTGAAGCTCTATAAGCCAGATTTTATTGTGAATGTGCAAGGATGTCTCTGGAGGATTTTAAGGAGGACAATGAGTTGATCTGGTTTATTTTTTTTTCAGAATCATTAAATGCCATAATAATAATTTTGGTAAAATAGAAAAGCTTCCTTTTTCATGAATATCCGAGGCTTTTTTGTTGTTTGTTTTTTGAGATGGAGTCTCACTCTGTTGCCCAGGCTGGAGTGCAGTGGCGCAATCTCAGCTCACTGCAACCTCTGCCTTCCAGGTTCAAGCAGTTTTCCTGCCTCAGTCTCCCAAGTAGCTGGGACTACAGGCACACGCCACCACACCTGGCCAATTTTTGGATTTTTAGTAGAGATGAGGTTTCACCATGTTGACCCAGGCTGGTCTCGAACTCCTGACCTCAGGTGATCCACCCCCCTCGGCCTCCCAAAGTGCTGGGATTATGGGCATGAGCCACTGTGCCTGGCCAGAATGTTTGTATTTTAATGTAGTAACATTATAGTAAAACAAAATAATTTGGGAAAAGACTTGATGGCAAGTATATAACTTTAGTAAGTACAGAGTGCTATGCCAATATAAAATCACTGTTTCATCAAGGCAAAAGCTTTCAAGGATCTTTAAAAACAAAAAAAAAAAGAAAAGAAAAATCACTGTTTCTTGCATGGTGAAGTAGGGAGTCAACATGAGTAATAATCAGATAAGAACTTTCAGAAGCTTCTTTTTTATACCAAAACATTTTGCCAATCTTATTATTTTTTTAAAAATTTGTTTTTGGTGTTGAAAATGCATAGCTTTAGATGTTGTAATCATAGTATTTGGTCAGGGAGCTTGGAAACATTTTAATTGTTCTTCCATCCAGCCTTCAGGTTGCTTTGTGGAGAAATACTTGAGAGAACTAGGCACAGAAAAGGCAAAGCAAGACCAAGAAAACATTTTAGCATTAGCTCAGGTTAGGTTCCAACCCCTGATGCAGAAATCTGGTAGGTGAAACTGGACCAAGTAAAAGGGCTGTTTTTGTCCTGAGCCAGATTGGCCTAGAACCAAGTGTAGTCATAAATGTCCTTTATTTTCCTACGACAACCAAACATGGAACTCATTCTTCCAAAAATAGGGTCAATGTTCATCCTGCCTGTTTTAGAGGAAGAAGAACTTGAGGGTAAGAGAGAGAGAGAAACCTGGGCAGGCTTGTGCACAGGAAGGGCAGGAAAGAGAGTTGACTGGGTGTGTTGTTGGGTGCCTGTAATCCCAGTACTTGGGAGACGGAGGCAGGAGAACCACTTGAACCTGGGAGGTGGAGGTTGCAGTGAGCCGAGATTGTGCCACTGCACTCCAGCCTGGGCAACAGAGTGAGACTCCGTCTTAAAAAAACAAAACAAAACAACAACAACAAAAAACCCAGACATTCATGAAAAAGGAAGCTTTTTATTTTACCAAAATTATTATTATGGCATTTAATGCTTCTGAAAAAAAGTAAACCATTGGTGGAAGACTTGGGAGAAGAGTGAGAGAAAAGGAGGAAGGAGAGACAATGAGAAAGGAAGGAAAAGAAGGAGCTGGAATGGGGAGGAGACAGTTTCCAGACAGGTGCTTGCCTCAAGGCCCCTTATGTGGAAAATCTTCAAAGGAGAGAGAAGGACAAAACACCTTTCTCAGAGCTCCTCTTAATACCTTATTTAATAATCATAAGGAAGAGAGAATGAGAGAAGGATGACCAACCTTTCTCCTGAGGGAGTAGGTCCTGGGCTCATCAACACTGCAGCCATATGGGAAGAGGCAAAGAAAAGGCCATGA
The DNA here is from genome assembly GCF_000001405.40 of Homo sapiens. Lineage (NCBI taxonomy): Eukaryota > Metazoa > Chordata > Mammalia > Primates > Hominidae > Homo > Homo sapiens. The sequence continues at coordinate 200,777,154 of NC_000001.11, forward strand.
CTCAGTGCTGACCTTTGACTCCTTTGAATATACTAACCTACAAAATGTGGGGCCCAGTCTGTGTTTTGGAGTCATTTATTCTCTATCCTAGATATAGAATAAAGGGATGGGCCCCTTTATTCCTCATGGTGCTTTGAAGAGAGAAATTATTTCCTTCCCCTTGAGCCAACTTTGTAATGAAAAGGATTTAGACTTTTTCATTTTTTGTCTGTATAGTAAAGTTGCTTCAGAAAAACACAATGAGAAGAAGCATGGTAGAACATCTTGTGAATAACCTCAAAAGAAAGAATATTGCATGTATCTCTAATTGCCTTTTTTTCCTCCCTGATAAATGAGGAGAGATAAATCGTATTGAACAAAGTACTAAAAAGTGCTCAACAACACTTTTATCTCTTTAAGTTTGTCTTTTTCTAACTTCTAGGAGTCATTTTTAGGAAAGATGGATGCCTGTAGATTTCAGCTTATTTTTATATAATGGAGCCAAAGTGAAATTCTTCAAGTTCTTAATAGGAAAAAAAGGTATACTTTACAGTTGTGCCACCCAGCCAAGGCTAACATATATTCTCTATATATGCTATATGTGCATATATTCTGTAATATAATCTATATTAAAAAGTGTGATTTTGGAAATAAAAAATTAGCCGGGCATGGTGGCAAGTGCCTGTAGTCCCAGCTACTCGGGAGGCTGAGATGAGAGGATGGCTTGTGCCTGGGAGGTAAAGGCTGCAATGAGCTGTGATTATGCCACTGCACCCAGCCCAGGTTACAGAGCGAGAACCTGACTCCAGAAAAAAACTTGTGAGGCCAGGCACAGTGGCTCACACTTATAATCCCAGCACTTTGGGAGGCTAAGGCCAGAGGATCACTTGAGCTCAGGAGTTCGAGACCAGCCTGGGCAACATAGTGAGAACTTGTTAAAGTGTGCTTTTTACAGAATCAAAAAACAATTTTATATAGAATCTTTTTATACAGAATCAACTCCACAAAGAGGGGGCCATAATTGTCATCGTATTCCCAGTGCCTAGTCTAGAGAAGATGTTGAATCATTGAATAAATAAGAGGTATTAGCGAATGTTTTAATTAAGAATTAAATATATTTTTTAAGAAAAGAAAGTCATTCAGAATTATTACTAAGAGAGTGGTGGAGGTTCTTTGTTTTGTTCCTCCCCCTTGACATTTGAATAGAGTAAGCAGTAATTATTGAAATACGTATTTATTGAGTTGTGAGAATTAAGTGTTTTGGGGGAGGCTCCTGAATGCCTGGAGTTTATACGAGAATCTAACCAAGTGATTAGATGGTTTGTTTTCTGCTTTATCATTTTAATATAACAAGTACCTTTATAATTTCAAATACTCATAGGGAAAAGAGTGTTGACTTTTTGTTTCAGTTAACCAGTGATCATTTGACTTTCCTCTCTACCTTTGCTTTTTGTGTCTAGCTGTGTTGTTTAAAATTTAACAAATAATTAATCATGTTTAATATATAATACCTGCATTTTTACCAGTTTTTTTCATGAAGTGAAGCATGATTGAGATATAAATACTGTAGATCTATTTAATACCAATGATATATTTTAGAAACTAAATCCGGCTACAGTAGATTTAGGTTGTTCCTCATTTTTTTTCATTATATATTAATAGTTGGATTGTATTGATCTAGAAATCTTTTAATTATATGTTAATTTGGAATTTTATTGGGTTGGGTCCAAGCCATTTTTTTTGCAAGAGCAGATAAAATCCAAAGAATAGCTATGACCTACGGCTCTTGGCGTGGGGCCTGGCACAAGACAATGAATGAGGCCAATCAGATTCTTTGCCTCAGAGACCTGAACAAATCGTGGAAGGAATTTGCTTGTTAGCAAATTGGGAAATTAAGCAGAGTCATGAGGTAGAGTTAGGGCTGGAGGAGCTGTGAGAAACCATGGAGTTAACGCTGGGGAGGGTGCCTGGAAAAGCCTCATAACCATTTTTCCCTATTAATGAATATAGGTCTATACCATGATTTTTGAAGGCTGCACAATATTCTGTGGTATGAAAAGTACCACAATTTATTTGCCCCAATCCCTTGTTGATGAATGTGTAGGACCTCCCCACACCAAAGGGTTTTTAATCACAACAATGACACCATCAGAGTTCGATTTTTAAAAGATAGAAAAGACTATGTAACCTAGACTAAGCAAACTAGGTATATATTGTAGTGACTTTTACTGACATAGGAAAAAGAGGAGAGAAAGGAATTGGAGTGGGGGAAATGGCCATGGTAGAGTGCAGAGATAATACATTCAGTTTGGGACAGGTTTAGGATGCCTTCAGGACACCCAGGAAAAGATAACCAGGGAGATATGGGCTTGAGATAGAGATTTGGGAATCAGCTGAGAGTAGTGGTTATTGACGTCATGGAAATTGTGATGCCCAGGGAGGGCATGTTTCGAAGTGAAAAGAGAAGGTCAGAGATAGAACTGTTAGAAGACAAATATTCAACTAATGTGCAGAAAATACTGTGGAGGGTAGTCAAAGGTGTAGGATATAGAATTGAACAACTCTGGCTAACATCTGAATCTTCTTGTTCTATGAAATGCCTATTTTTTTTTCTGATTTTTTTTCCATTTTGCTGGTTGATCATGTTTTTGGTCTTATATCTCAGATTGGGAATTTTAACAATGTGTTTAATAACTATAGAATATCAGGATATGTTAAGAGTGATCTTATAGATTTTTCATAATTTTGAAATAAAAATGGAAAATTCTTTAAACTTTTTTTAAATAATGAGGCAGACAGGTTCAGAAATTATTTGGCTATTTTGACATTTTATCATTTGCAATAAATACTATGCATAGGTACCATGTGTCTATAATAAGCCTTTTCTTCTTATTAATAGAGTTTATGCCATACCATTAGTTTCCTTGTCACTAAAAGAATATAAGAATATTATTCAAGAAAGCCTGAAAACGCAAGGAAACTAGTTTTTTGTCTTTATTTTGTTAAAAAGCATTATTTATTGAATTGTTAATGTTTAGAATTTAGATTTAAGTAATGTCTGTGATTTATTACAAATTAGTGTTTTAAAGGATCCTTATGTGACATGGTCTACCAAAATTACAGAGGTCGATGTTTTATGTGGGCAGTACTTGTCAACTCTTTGAAAAGCTGATGCTGGTAAGGTGTTGTCAGCTGATACAGTTAAAAAAACTTAACAGTCTTTTGTAACCCTTTAGCAGTAAAGATTGACAATTTTATGTAGGTAGGAGCATTTAGTGAGAATTATGACACCCTGTCATTTTTGCTTAATTTGGGGGCAAGGAAATTCTAGCATACTTGTTCATATATTCAAACTTATTTCAAGTAAGTATAAGTTCTGGTACCCACCAGATCTACAATTCCTGATAGTTACACTTTCTGTGCTCTGGCCATATGTATTTGTAGAGGCAGTGAGGTGTGGGTTAGGTAATGTTTGGTCTCTTAGTTCCACCTCTAAGGCATGCTAATATGGTAGTTGCTTGCCAGCAGCATTGGTCTGGAAATGGGTGACTTCTAGATACCTGGTAGGTTGGAGGAAAGGTGTTACTACTTCTTACTGTGCTGTTTGAGTATCTGCCATAGATATTTATGTGCAAATCTTGTGAAACCCCCTGCTGTTTCTCAGCTGTAAGTTGTCTTTGTAGTTTATAAAAACCTGGGATGGCTACTTAACGAGGTGGATATCATGACTTTTTCTTTTCTGTTTCTCACAGTGCTTGGGAAGTGAAGCCTGACTGAGTGGTAGAGGTAAATTGGGGAACAGTTACGATTATGTCAAAACCTTGTGTGGTTCAGTTTCGTTTTCTTCTAATAAAACTAGCGCCATGAGGCACTTTTTTTATACACACCCAGCTGAAAGAAATGTGCTGACAAACTTTTTTTCAGGGAATTTTTTGAGTGTTAATTGGAGCTGTTACTGATGGTTATTTTTATATGATAAAGTGTATTTCAGTGAATTTAATGTAACTTGTTTTAGATTTTTAGATTTGAAGCACAGTTTTTGGCTCAGGACCAAATATGCCTGGAAAACTTTCAAATCTGGAAAGCTATAAAACACAAACATACTTTGAAGTACGGCATATGTGACTGTTTAAAATATACTAGGAATGTCTTTATTGGTTAGCAAATGAAAGAACATAGCTATCATTTTTATATTGTTGGCATAGGGTAGCAGCAATTATGTTGAGTGGTGGTGGACAGGCCTGAGCTGCCTTATATAAATTATCATAAAAATAAGTTTGCCCAGGTCACTATGGTTAGGACATTTGAAAAATACGTATGTTCTGTACTTAAATCTTGATTTATTGAATATAATCGTCTAGTGGGTTTTTTCATAAAGCCTATGTTGTATACTGTTTTTTTGTTGTATGTTTGTTTTTGTTTTTTTTGAGACAGGGTCTCCCTCTGTTGCTCAGCTTGAAGTGCAGTGGCATCATCTCGGCTCACTGTATCCTCAACCTCCCGGGCTCAGGTGATCCTCCTACCTCAGCCTCCCAAGTAGCTGGGATTACAGGGATGCTCACTATACCCGGCTAATTTTTTTTGTATTTTTTGTAGAGACAGGGTTTTGCCATGTTGCCCTGGCTGGTTTCGAACTCTTGGGCTCAAGCGATCCTCCTGCCTCGGCCTCCCAAATTAAGAGGATTACAGGTGTAAACCACTGCCTGTAATCTCATGATTACATCATGTGTACTCTTGATAGTTACTGTTTTTTTCCTGCTTACATGTCTTTGATGGCTCATTGGCAACTCCATTATTAGTGAACCAGGCACATGAAGAAATTTCCTAATTTATTTCCTTTAAGTGTTAATTGATATAACATTTTGGGGGGAAAACATAAAAATAAATGATTACAGTGAAGTTTGAAGATTATCTTCAGATTTTATTCATTATTGTAATAAAATGATTCTGTAGGCTAATCTGATGGCCATACAGTGACTGTATAATGCCTTAAGTAATAAAAACACTAAAAATCTTTAGAGCATTGGGAAATTTTTAGAGCAGTTTGATATACATCTCATTTGATGCCGTGTGTGGTAAGAAATGAAGTATTATCCCACATTTAACAGATGAAGAAGATGAGGCTGAGTGAAGTCCATTGATGTCCTAAGGTCAGAACTTACTTTTTAAAAAATCAACTTTACTAAGGCATAATTTACATAAAATGTACCCATTTAAAGTAATTTGAACAGTTTTGACAAAGGTATGCACTCTTGTAGATACCACTACAGTTGAGATATAGAACATAATAACCCCCCAAAATTCCCTTGTGCCTTTTTGCAGTCAGCCCGCAGCCCCACCCCACTTCAGGCATCCATTAATCTCAGTTCTGTCGTTGTAGATTAATTTTTGCCTGTTCTAGAATTTCATATAGATGAAAGCAAACTGCACGAACTCTTTTTTTACTAGATTCTTTTGCTCATATTTTTGAGATTCATCTATGTTGCTATGTGTAGTTTATTCCTTTTTATTGCTGAATATTCCATTCTGTGAATACCACAATTTGCTTATTCATTTACCTGCTGATGGACTTTGATGCTGTTTCCAGTTTTGATGTGTTAGAAATAACGCAGCTATGATTTGTATTTAGACATGTATTTTCATTTCTCTCTTTTTTTTTTTTTTTTTTTTTTTTTTGAGACAGGGTCTTACTCTGTCATCCAGGCTAGAGTACAGTGGCAGTGGCTTGATCACGGGCTCAACCTCCTGGGCTCAGGTGATTCTCCCACCTCTGCCTCCCAAGTAGCGTGCACTACCACACCCAGCTAATTTTTTGTAGACATAGGGTTTCACTGTGTTGCCCAGCCTGGTCTGGAACTATTGGAATCAAGCAATTCGCCTGCCTCGGCCTCCCAAAGTACTGGATTACAGGCCTGAGCCACTGCACCCGACCTTATTTTCATTTCTCTTGGTGGGCCATATGTATGTTTGACTATTAAGCTATCAAGCAATTTTCCAAAGTGGTTGTACTTTCTATTTCACCACCAGCAATGTCTGAGCGTTCCAGTTGCTCCACTTCTTTGCCAATACTTTTGGTATTGTCAGTCTTAATTGTAGACATTCTAGTGTAAATTAGATTCTCCTTGTGGTTTTATTTTGCATTTCCCTGAGGACTAATAGAATTTAATGTTTTTTGTATGCTTACTGGTCATTCATACATCTTTTATGAAATGTCTGTTCAAATCTTTTTCTCAGTGTCTTATTGGGGTTTTTATTTTCTTATTACTGTAGGAGTTATTTATACTGAATACAAGTCCTTTGACAAATACATGCATTGCAGATAGTTTCTCCTAATCTGTGGTTCACATTTTCTTTTCTTTTCTTCTTTTGAGACAAGGCCTTGCTCTGTTGTCCAGGCTGGAGTGCAGTGGCATGATCACGGCTCACTGCAGCCTCGACTTCCTAGCCTCTATCAATCCTCCCTCTTCAGCCTCCTAAGTAGCTGGGACTATAGGCGATTGCCACCATACCTGGCTAATTAAAAAAAAAATTTTTTTTTGTAGAAACAGGGCCTCACTGTGTTGCCCAGATAGTTTTGAACTCCTGGGCTCAAGTAGTCCTCCTGCCTTGGCCTCCCAAAGTGCCGGGATTACAGGAATGACCACCATGCCCAGCCTGCGTTTCATTTTCTTCGTGGTGTCTTTCAAGGAATTTTAAATTTTGATGAAGACCAGTTTACAATTTTTTTCTTTTTTAGTTAGTGCTTTTATGTCCTAAGAAATCTTTTCTTGCCTATATTATGGTTGTAAAGATTTTTTTCCCCTATGTTTTCTTCTCGAAGTTTACAGTTTTAGCTTTTTCATTTAGAACTATGATTCATTTTGGATCAGTTTTTTTGTATAGTGTGGTCGAGGTTCATTTTACCCTTTTTTTTTAACAAGATTATCTAGTTGTTCCAGTAGTATTTATTGAAGACTGTTGTCTCCTCATTGACTGACGTCGACACCTGTGTCTCTTCCATTGATTTAGATGTCTGTTAGGCTGTGCCACACAGTCTTGACTAATGTAGCTTCATAATAAGTCTTGAAACTTGTTAGTGTAAGCCATCCGGCTTTGTTGTTTTTTATCAAAATTGTTTTCGTTATTCTAGGTTCTTTGCATTTCCATATAAATTTTAGAATCAACTTGTCAATTTCTATTAAAAAAAAAGCTTGCTAGGATTTAGATTGGAATTGTGTTGAATCTATAGACCATTTTGGGAAGAATTAATAGTTTAACAATTTGTGTCTTCCAGTGAAAACATGGTTTCTCTTCTCATTTAAGTATTCTTTAATTTATTTCAGTAGTGTTTTATAGTTTTTAGCATATGAGATTCATATGCACTTTGTTGAATCTTTCATATTTTTGATTTGGAATTGCATTTCAGATTTAATTCTTAAATTATTTATTGCTAATATATAGAAATACAATTGAATTTTGAACATTTTTTTTATCCTGTGACCTTGCTATATACATTTATTCCTAGTATGTTTTTGTGGATTTGTCAGAACTTTCAACGTAAACAATCATGTTGTCTGTGAATAAACACAGTTTTACTTCTTCCTTTCCACTATGTATGTGGTCTGCTCCCCGCTTCTTATTGCACTGCCAAACACTAACAGTTAATGTTGAGTAAAAGTGGTGAGACCAGACATTTTTGTCTTATTCCTCATCTTATCAGGAATCTGTTGAGTTCCCATTGTTAAATGTGATATTATCTGTAGGATTTTTGAAGATGTTCTTTTTCGGGTTAAGGGAGTGCCTTTCTGTTCCACGTTTGCTAAGAAATATATGTATGTTTATGTTTTTAAAATCATGAATAACTGCTGTATTTTTCAAATGCTTTTTCTGCCTCTATTAAGATAATCATATGGCTGTTCTCATTTATCCTGTTAATAGGTGAGTTACGTTGATTTCAAATATTAAACTGGTCTTGAATTCCTGGAGTTAAACTCAGTTGGTCACGGTAAATTATCTCTTTTATATATTGTTAGGTTTAATTTGTTAATATTTTCTCAAGGGTGTTTACAGCCATGTTCGTGAGAGATATTTTTCTTCTCATTTCTTTGTCTTGTGTTAGCATCAGGGTAATACTGTTTTTATATAATGAGTTGCAAAGTGTTCCCTACTCCACTGTTTTCTGAAAGACTTCACTTAGGATTTCTGTAATTTCTTCCTTAAATGTGGGGCAGAATTCACTAGGTATGCCACCGGGGCTTGATGTTTTCTTTTTTTTTCTTTTGTTTTTTTTTTTTTTGAGGTGGAGTCTCACTCTGTGCCCAGGCTGGAGTGCAGTGGCCTGATCTTGGCTCACTGCAACCTCTGCCTCCCAGGTTCAAGCGATTCTCCTATCTCAGCCTCCGAAGTAGCTGGGATTACAGGTGTCCCCCCACCACACCTGGGTAATTTTTGTATTTTTAGTAGAGACAGGGTTTCGCCATGTTTGCCAGGCCGGTCTCGAACTCGTGACCTCAAGCAGTCCATCTGCCTTGGCCTCCCAAAGTGCTGGGATTATAGGCGTGAGCCATGTGCCTGGCTGATATTTTCTTTTTTTTGAGACAGAGTCTTGCTCCGTTGTCCAGGCTGGAGTGCAGTGGCGTGATCTTGGCTCACTGCAACCTCTGCCTCCCAGGTTCAAGTGATTCTTGTGCCTCAGCTTCCCAAGTAGCTGAGATTAAAGGCATGTGCCACTACTCCTGGCTAATTTTTTGTATTTTTAGTAGAGAAGGGGCTTCATCCATGTTGGTCAGGCTGGTCTCAAACTCCTGATCTCAAATGATCCACCTGCCTTGGCCTCCCAAAGTGCTGGGATTACAGGCGTGAGCCACGGCACCCAGCCAATTTTGGTTATTTTATATCTTTTAAGACATTTGTCCATTTCATCTAAATATGTCAATTTATTGTCATTAAGTTGGTTATAATACTCCCTTATTATCTTTTTAATATCTATAGAACCTGTGGTGATATCCCTTTTTACTTTCCTGGTGTTATTAATATATATGGAGGTTTATCAATTCTGTTAATCTTTTCTAAAAACCAGCTCTTTGTTTCAGTTTTTTAAACTAATTTTTGCTTGTTTTCTGTTTCATTGATTTCTGTTCTTTATTATTTCTTTTCTTTTTCTTATTTTGGCTTTTTAAAAAAATCTAGCTTCTTAAGATGTACTCTTAGGTCATTAATTTTAAAGCTTTCTTCTTTTCTGATACAAGCACTTAAAGCCATAAATTGCTTTCTTTTTTTTTTTTTTCTTTGAGATGGAGTCTTGCTCTGTCGCCCAGGCTGGAGTGCAGTGGCGCAATCTCAGCTCGCTGCAGCCTCCGCCTCCCGGGTTCAAGCGTTTCTCCATCCTCAGCCTCCTGAGTAGCTGGAATTATAGGCGCCCACCACCATGCCCAGCTAATGTTTGTATTTTTAGTAGAGACGAGGTTTTGCCATGTTGGCCAGGCTGGTCTGGAACTCGACCTCAGGTGATCCACCAACCTCAGCCTTTTAAAGTGCTGGGATTACAGGCATGAGCCACTGCACCCAGCCTAAGCAAGATTTTCGATGTAGATGAAATAGCCTTCCTTTAGAAGAGGATGCCATATAGGACTTGCATAGCTAGAGAGGAGAAGTCAGTGACTGGCTTCAGTGCTTCAAAGGACAGGTTGACTGTTTTGTTATGGGCTATGTGGGCTAATGTAGCTGGTGACTTTAGATCGAAGCCAGTGCTCATTTACCATTCTGAAAATCCTAGGGCACTTAAGAACTATGCTAAATTGACTATGCCTGTGCTCTATAAGTAGAAAAACAAAGCCTGGATGACAGCACATCTATTTATAGCATGGTTTACTGGATATTTTAAGCCCTTATTGAGACCTGCTCAGAAAAAAAAAAAAAAGATTCCTTTCAAAATATCACTGCTCGTTGACAATGCGCGTGGTCACCCAAGAGCTGTGATGGAGAGGGACAAGGGCATGAATGTTTTCATGCCTGCTAACACAGCTTCTGTTCTGTGGCCCATGGATCAGGGAGTAATATTGAATTTCAAGTCTTTTTATTTAAGAAATAACATTTTCTAAGTATATATCTGCTATAGATAGTGATTCCTCTGTTGGATCTGGGCAAAGTAAATTTAAAACCTTCTGAAAAGGATTTACCAATCTAGATGCCATTCATGATTCGTGGGAGGAGATCAAAATATCAACATGAACAGGAGTTGGGAAGAAGTTGATTTCCAACTTTTAGGGATGACTTTAAGGGGTTCAGTACTTCAGTGGCAGAAGTATCTGCAGATGTGGTAGAAATAGGAAGAGAACTATAATTAGAAGTGAAGCCCGGAGATAGGACTGAATTGCTGTAATCTCATTATCAAAATTGTCTGGATGAGGAGTTGCTTCTTACAGATGAGCAAAGTGGTTTCTTGTGATGGATCTATTCCTGGTGGGGATGCTGTGAACATTGTTGAAATGACAACAAACAATGGATTTACAGTATTATATATCAAGTTAGTTGGTGAAGCAGCGGCAGAGTTTGATAGGACTGACTCCACGTTTGAAAGAAGTTCTACTGTGGGTAAAATGCTATCAAATGGCATCACATATTATAGAGAAATTTTTGGTGAAAGAAGAGCCAATCAGCACGCAAGTTTTGTTGTCTCAAGAAATTGCCACAGCCATCCCCTCCTTCAGCAATCACCACTCTGATCGAACAACATGGAACCAAGACCCTCCACCATCAAAAATACTGTGTTTCATTGAAGGCTTGGGTGATTGTTAGCATTTTTTAGCAATACAATATTTTTAAATTAAGTTAGGTACATTGGTTTTTTAGACATAATGATATTGCACTCAATAGATTACAGTATAAGCATAACTTTTATATGCCTGGGGATATTAAAAAATTGTGTGACCCGGTTTATTATGCTACTTGCTTTATTGCAATGGAATGGAATGGAACCTGCAATATATCCAAGGAGTGCCTGTAGTTGGAATCATAAAGAATGTAGCCTTTTCACATTGACTTTTTATTTAATAATGTGCACTTAAATTTCCTCCCATGTATTTTTATAACTTGATTGCTCACATCTTTTTAGCACTGAGTAATATTTTGTTGTCTGAATGTGCTACAGTTTTAAAAATTCATATATCAACTGAAGAATGTCTTGGTTGCTTCCAAGTTTTGGCAATTATGAATAAAGCTTACATAATCATCTGTGTTTAGGTTTTTATGTGGACATAAGTTTTCAGCTCCTATAGGTATATACCATGGAGTGTGATTGCTGGATCATAGAGTAATAATATGTTTAGTTTTGTAAGAAATCACCAAACTCTCTTCCAAAGTGGCTGTATCATTTTGGATTCCCACTAGCAGTGAATGAAAGTTCCTGTTGTTCCACAGGAACTTTCCAGTCCAGTATTTGGTGTTGTCAGTGTTGTGGATTTAGACGTTCTAATAGGTTTTAATTTGCATTTCCCTGATAATATATGACTTAGAACATCTTTTCTTTTTTTCTTTTTTTTTTTTTTTGAGACGGAGTCTCACCCTGTTGCCCAGACTGGAAGTGCAATGGCACAATCTCGGCTCATTGCAACCTCCGCCTCCTGGGTTCAAGCAATTCTCCTGCCTCAGCTACCCAAGTAGCTGGGATTACAGGTGCCTGCCACCATGCCTGGCTGACTTTTGTATTTTTTTTTTTTTTTAGTAGAGACGGAGTTTCACTATGCTGGCCAGGCTGGTCTCGAAATCCTGACCTCGGGTGATCCGCCCACCTCAGCCTCCCAAAGTGCTGGAAATACAGTCATGAGCTACTGTGCCCGGCCAGAACATCTTTTCATATGCTTACTTGCCATCTTTATATCTTCTTTGGTGAGGTGTTTGTTAAGGTTGTTGGCCTGTTTTTTAATTGGGTTGTTTTCTGAGTTTTAAGAGTTTTTTGTATATTTTGGATAACAGTCCTTTATCAGAGATGTCTTTTGCAATTGTTTTCTCCCAGTCTGTGGCTTATGTTTTTCATTCTCTTGACACCCTTCCGCAGTGCAAAATTTTTTATTTTAATAAAGTCCAGCTTATCAATTATTTTTTCATGGATTGTGCATTTGGTTTTGTATCTAAGAAGTCATTGCCAAGCCCAATATTATCTAGTTTTTCTTCTGTTATCTTCTAGAAGTTTTATAGTTTTGTTGTACATTTAGGTCTGTGATTCATTTTGAGTTAATTTTTATGAAGGCTGTAAAGTCTGTCTAGAGTCTTTTTTTTTTCATGTGGATGTCTGGTTGTTCTAGCACCATTTGTTAAAAAGACTGTCTTTCTCCACTGCATTGCCTTATTTGCTTCTTTGTCAGAGATCAGTTGACTTTGTTCGTGTGCTCTATATTCTGTTCCGGTGATCTATTTGTTCTTTTGCCAGTACCACATTGTGTTGATTACTGAATCTCTGTAGTGAGCTTTGAAGGTGGGTAGCATCAGTTCTCTAACTTTATTCTTCTCCTTCAATATTATTTGCTATTCTAGGTCTTTTGCCTCTCCATGTAAACTTTAGATCAATTCATCAATATCTACAAAATAACTTGCTGGAATTTTTACTGGGATTGCATTGAATCTGTAGATCAAGTTGGGAAAAACCGGTATCTTGATGATACTGAGTCTTTTTATCCATGAACATGGACTCTCCATTTATTTAGTTCTTTGATTTTGTTAATCAGTTTTATAGCTTTCCTCACATAGATCTTATGCATTTTTTTAGATTTATACTTAGTATTTATAATTTGGGGGTGCTAATGAAAATGGTATTTTGTTTTTAATTTCAAATACCACTTGTTCATTGTTGGTATATAGGAATGTGTTTGGCTTTTGTATGTTAACCTTGTATCCTGCAACCTTGCTATAATATGGTGGTAAGGTGTGGGGGAGAGGAGAAGCATTCTATAGTCCTATAATTAGGTCTCAGGCTTTTAGTGAGCCTATGCCTCTGGACTGTGGACTTCATAAATGTTTCTCAGGTTTTTTTCTCCTTCTTTAGGTGGGTCAGGAAGGCTAGAGGGGACAGGATTTGAATGTTTCCCTCTCCCAGGTCAGTTAGGCTTTGATAGTACCTTAACAGATTAAGCTCTGGTTTAACCTAGTTTCTTCTGAGGGCAGGCCTTGTTAAGAAGAATGGAGTGCTCTAGTATATTTAGAAATTCTCTCTCCCCTCCCACTGGAACCATGGGGGCAGCGGGGCTGGGGGGAAGGGTTGGGGACAGTTTCTGATATTTATTGTGAGAACCTGTTCAAGCCAGAGCCTGGTTGAGCTCTTGAAGGTAAAGCTCCCTATAACTTGATCCCTTGGAGTTTTAACTCTCAGACTTGTTTACTCTGAACCTGCAACAATTCATCAGTTACAGTTTAGTTTTCCTTCTCCAGCACTGGTTCCCTTGGCTGTTTCTGTTTGTGAGTCTTTGCTCTGGTAATCTGTGACTTCCCTTTGCCTGTCTGTCTCTCCATCCTTTGGGCTGGTGGTTTGCCTTGTGTTCTCACCTTTCTTTCAGATCTACCTAGAATTGTTGATACTTCATTCTGTTCAGCTTTGTGCTTGTTGTTAGAACAGAGTGACTGCTAAGGTTTTTACATGCAGACCAGAAACTAAAGTCTTCTTTCTTTTACATTTTTTTGTAGTGCACATTTGCTAGTGACATCTTTAGATCAATAAACATTGAGAAAAGTTATCTTTATTTTACCTCCTTTTTTTTTTGAGACGGAGTTTTGCTCTTGTTGCCCAGGCTGGAGTGCAATGGTGCCATCTTGGCTCACTGTAACCTCCGCCTCTCAGGTTCAAGTGATTCTCCAGCCTCAGCCTCCCAAATAGCTGGGATTACAGGCACATGCCACCATGCCTGGCTAATTTTTGTATTTTTAGTAGGGATGGGGTTTCACCATGTTGGTCAGGCTGGTCTCGAATCCCTGACCTCAGGTGATCCACCTGCCTCGGCCTCCCAAAGTTCTGGGATTACAGGCGTGAGCCACTGCATCCGGCCTTTACCTCCATTTTTGTAGGTTATTTTTGCTGAGTAAGATGCATTCTGTGTCTTATGGCTTGCATTGTTTCTGAGAGAAGTCAGATGTTATTCTTATCAGATTTCCTCTGTATGTAATGTGTAATTTGATTTTCTTCAGCTGCTTTTAAGATTTCTTTCTTTTTTTTTCGGAATTTGGTTATGGTGTGCCTTAATGGATTTTTCTTTGTATTTACCCCGTTGGGGATTTTTAAAGCTACTCATATCCTTGAGTTTATAGTTTTCATCAAAATTGGAAAAATTTCAGCCATTATTTCTCTGAATATTATCCCCCACCATGTTTTTTAGACTCCATTTGTATAACTGCTTGCTATTGTCCCACACACAGGTCACCGATGAGGCTCTGAGGCTTTGTTCATTTTTTTAAGGCCTTTTTTCTTTTTATGCTTTAGTTGGATAGCTTGAAATATCACTGGAAGTTGAGAACAGGAAAATCTGTTATATTTACAGTCTTATTCCTGTGGTCCCTTTCAAAGATGTATTCTGTTGCAGTTAGCACCTGTGATTGTTATTCTTTTCCTTTAAGACCCTCTTAGAGATTTACTTTTTGTGCGAGCTAGTTAGATATGTTAAAAATTAAATAAATAGTAAGGCCAATATGGTGAAGCCCTGTCTCCACTAAAAATACAAAAATTAGCTGGATGTGGTGGCACGCGCCTGTAATCTCAGTTACTCAGGAGGCTGAGGCAGAAGAATCGCTTGAACCCAGGAGGCAGAGGTTGCAGTGAGCCAAGAACACGCCACTGCACTCCACCCTGAGTGACAAAGCAAGACCCTGTCTCCAAAAAAAAAAATACTTACCCAAAATAATTTTTTTATTTAACTATGCCATATGACCTGAGTTCTTCTTTTTAAGAATATGAACTTTAATTTCCTTAGAACTTTAAACATTCCTAAGAAAGGTAGGTTAAATTGGGAAAATTAGGCCACCCATAATAGTAAGATTAGTACTTCCATTTAATATATTTGAGGTAATCCTAAAAACATTAATGAGATAGTTTTGTTGAATGTTCAATGTGTAAGTCAAGCTGATGTATTTACATTTACAAAAGTGTTTATATTTCATAATCTGAAATAATTGTTGTCTTAAGTAGTTTACCGGAATACTACTCAGCAATAAAAAGAAATGAACTATTGATACATATAACAGCTTGTATGAATATGCATAGACATGCTAAGTTTAAAAAAGCCAATCCCAGCCGGGCGCAGTGGCTCAAGCCTGTAATCCCAGCACTTTGAGAGTTTGAGATCGGGAGTTTGAGACCAGCCTGGCCAACATGGTGAAACCCTGTCTCTACTAAAAATATAAAAATTAGCTGGTTGTGGTGGAAGGCACCTGTAATCCCAGCTACTCGGGAGGCTGAGGCAGGAAAATTGCTTGAACCCGGGAGGAGGAGGTTGCAGTGAGCCGAGATGGCACCACTGCGCTCCAGCCTGGATGACAAAGCAAGAGACTCCGTCTCGGGCAGTAGGGGTGGGGGAGAAGACAATCCCAAAAAGTTACATACTGTATAAATCCCATTTATATAAACATTCTTGAAATGACAAAATTATAGAAATGGAGAACAGATTAGTGATTGCCAGGGGTTGGAGAGAAGTAGATGTGACTGGGAAAGGGCAACATGAAGGATCCTGTGTTGTAGTGTTTTGTGGCTTAATTATATCCATATCAGTATCCTGGTTGTGATATTGTACTATGGTTTTGCAAGGTGTTACCATTGGGGGAAACTGGGTCTATGGTAAATGGGATGTTTCTGTGTTCTTTCTCACAGTTGTGTTTGAACTTACAATGAGCTCAAAATAAAAAGTTTAATAAAAAGATGTATGAGGAATGAATTTTTAAGATGAAAAGAAAATGCTACCATGTGGAGCAGAAATGGTTTCAGTGTCATTTCTCACTGGTAGTGAGAAAGTATGGAGTGATCGAGTACATTATCTCTGTAGTGGACAGACCCCAACAATGATCAGCAGTTTGACTTTATAACATTTCTAAAACTCTCTGAGCTTCAGTTTTCCTCATCTATAGTAAGCAATGATAATATTGTCTGCCTTATAAATAGGTGTGAGGATTAAATACAATAGTGGCTGTGAAGTATCTAATGTGGTGCTTGACCTATAGTAAGAAAGATCAGTAAACGTTAGCAATCATCGTTGGTTTTTATTGACCTACTTCTATTTCTAGGGTGTTTTTTTAATGGATATTAGTATATATGTTAATTTAAATAACATGTATAACTGAGTTACTAGGAAAAATGTTTACTTATATATGGGAAAACAAAATAGTAACAACTAAAAGAAATACAATTATTTTTCACTTTAGATCATAAAATTTCTTAAGAGTGGATTTGATTTTGGAAGGGTTGCTGCAGAGAAAGCTGCCTTGTTTGGATATTACTGATGGTAGGACAGTATTCTGAGCTTAAAACACTTGTATCCTGTTGCTCTGCATATTTATGGTATAATTAAAGTGGCTTATATTTGCTTTGAAAACCCACTTGAAGGCATTTTATTCTTAAGGCTTTTTTTTTTATTTTCATCTTTTATTTCTTTTTGGCTTATTGATCCCTCTTCAGTTTCTGTAACTAATTGTAGCAACTGGACTCACAAACGTTGTTTAATTAGCACTACATTAAGGTTGTAGACTTTCTTATAACCACCTGATGACGTGTGTATTAAACAAACAAACATTTTGAAGTGCATTCTTTATAAGGTAAGGCTTGGGA
Organism: Homo sapiens; assembly: GCF_000001405.40. NCBI lineage: Eukaryota > Metazoa > Chordata > Mammalia > Primates > Hominidae > Homo > Homo sapiens. The sequence goes on from NC_000001.11 coordinate 200,793,907, forward strand.
GGAAAGCTGCCCACAATTAACCTAGGAATTAAAAAGGTAAGCAGAAACAACTTATTCTGTGGATGTAGTAACAGCTCCTTTTTACTCCAGATATTACCCAAAGCTTACTTGTAAACATAGTTTTCTGGGACAAGAATATTGAGATCTGTAAATTCATCTTCAGACCTTAGCTGACTTAGCTATGACATATATAATGATGCATGTATAAGATGTGCTTACTGATTTCTGTGGAAAAAATACAAGCTTTGTTTGCTTCTAAATTATATTTTCTTCTATTCTTAATTTTGCCAAAAGTTTAAAAACTAAGATAAGATAAACATTTTGCCATACAGTTGACCCTTGAACAACATGAGTTTGAACTGAGCAGACCCACTTTATACACAGTTTTTTCAGTAAGTACAATAGACCCTGCAAATCAGCGGGTTTGGCATAACCAAATATGACATAACCAAATATTCCAGACTCACTTTCTTCTTTCCCTATCTCTGACCTGGAACCAGCTGTTTTCTGTGAAGCCTTGGGTTTATATTAATGGGGAATGTTATTTAGAAACCATGATCTGGGGATAGATGTATTTATTGCTGCTGTTTTAGTGTTACTGCTAGGCCCTTAACTCATGACAATGCCAGGAGAAATATGTAATCATGAGTTCTTACTGATATCTCCATAGGATTCTTCCATATTTGAATCTTAAAATGAGCATCTGCCCCAGGGCCCCTTCCCAGAGGTACGCATTCCCAGCACAATGCAGTTCTTGGCTAGGGTCAAGTTGTATTGCCTCCTGTGCCTGCCTTAATCTGGCTCTGCTGGCTGAGATCCATGTCTATCTGGATTCACCAGCAGCACTCACCATCCATGCTCTAATTAGAGTCCCATCTGCATTTCCACATTGTAGTTTTGTGCATTTTTCAGTATGGCAACCTCCAGCCATGTTGATGAGTCTGCCTGGGCAGTCCTCATTGCCTCCTGGTTATAAAGTTGTGTGACTTTTGAGTGATTCATCCTAACCCTATTCTTGACATAAACCATGTTATTTTTACAGCATGAAATGCCTTGTACTATTATTGTCACTCCATTTTATAGTTGAGGTATTGAAGCACAGAGAAGTTAAGGAATTTGCCAAAGATCACCTAGTTAGTAAGTGGCAGAGTTGGGATTAAACCTAGGTACTCTGCTTAAATGGTCTTTGCTAACCTATGCTGCTAGACTATAGGATTTATGTGGGGAAGTATTAGAAGACCTGAAAAGAGTGATTATTTTAAGATCTTGAAGAATTTTAATATTATTTAAATAATCCTGGACTTGTTGGGTAGGCCCTGGGAAGTCACTGAAGGCTTTTGACTGTAGAGTGATGTGATTGGCAATGTCCTGTAGAAAGGTTAATCACTTGTAGCTGTGAGGGACTGTGAAAGCAAGATTCCTGATAGTATGCTGTTCTTGGGCTTCTCTCTAGAGATCTAATGAGTCAGCCTCTAAGGTTTGATGCCAGGGAATTTATGATCTTTTTGATGATCATCCATATTTGGAACGACTGCTCTAAACTGTTTCCTTTGTTTACTATATTGGTTTGACTACTAGTATGCCATTCCTGTATGTGTCCATCCAGTACAGCCACATTTAAATGCCCTTAATTTGCCATTTGAAGCTACATATAGTCCAGATGAAGTCGATGAGTCTGCTCAGGAGACATATCTTTCATCTGTCTGGGCCTTGCGTTTCAATAGATATTTGAGCTATACTCTTTCTTATATATATTAAGTTTGCAATAAAGCTTAATATCAGCTTGTTTTAACATTATCTTGGAAACACTTCTTCATTGGGTAGTGTGATTATTACCAAATGTAAGTGACAAGATGTAAACCAGATACTCATCTACTTGTATATAAACAGATGAAAGAGAACTCTCAACTACTTCCTTGTCTCTAATATTTGCTTCCTAAAAATTTGGGCAGAATTAAATAGCAGTTAAATCAGTATCATTGTGCTGATAGTCGCATGCTAGTCATCATACTTTTTTGACTTGCTCTGCCTACTTCATTGACATATCTAACCAGGGAGGTCCAAATAAAATAAAAATAGCAGTTTTGTGCGATCAGTTGTTTAAGCATATGTCATATTGTTAAGATTTTGAAACTCTTCAGAGAGGTATTTTGAATCTCATGAAAGTCACCCCTCTTGCCAGGGCTGCCACATGCATAGTTCCACCTGGGTATAGCAGAGTAGCAGTGGCACCTTTGGTCCTGACTATGTTTAATACAGATTGGGTATAACAGCAGTACGTCTGGAACAACAATGCCATAATCCTCTTGTAGGTTACTACTTAACTATTTGCTGTTCAATAGTTAAACAAAATTTTTTGTGTTAAAAAAAATCAATTGACCATAGACATATGGGCTTATTTATGGACTCTGTTCCATTGATCTCTGTTTTTATACCAGTACCGTATTGTGTTGATTATTGTTGCTTTGTAGAAAGTTTTAAAATCAGGAAGTATAAGTCCTCCTACTTTGTTCCCTTTCACGATTGCTTTGGCTGTGGTGAGTCCCTTGAGCTTTAATATGAATTTTAGGATCAGTTTGTCAGTTTCTATAAAGAAGCTACCTGGGATTCTGATAGAGATCACATTACTTTGTATACCAATTTAGGAAAGTATTGCCATCCTAGGAGTATGTAGTCTTCCATCCATCAATATGGGATGTCTTTCTGTTTATCTTTAATTTCTTTCAACAATGTTTTGTAGTTTTCAGAGCATAAGTTTTTTTTTGTCTTTTTTTTTTTTTATACTTTAAGTTTTAGGGTACATGTGCACATTGTGAAGGTTAGTTACATATGTATACATGTGCCATGCTGGTGCACTGCACCCACTAACTCATCATCTAGCATTAGGTATATCTCCCAATGCTATCCCTCCCCTCTCCCCCCACCCCACAACAGTCCCCAGAGTGTGATATTCCCCTTCCTGTGTCCATGTGATCTCATTGTTCAATTCCCACCTATGAGTGAGAATATGCGGTGTTTGGTTTTTTGTTCTTGTGATAGTTTACTGAGAATGATGATTTCCAATTTCTTCCATGTCCCTACAAAGGACATGAACTCATCATTTTTATGGCTGCATAGTATTCCATGGCGTGTATGTGCCACATTTTCTTAATCCAGTCTATCATTGTTGGACATTTGGGTTGGTTCCAAGTCTTTGCTATTGTGAATAATGCCGCAATAAACATACGTGTGCATGTGTCTTTATAGCAGAATGATTTATAGTCCTTTGGGTATATACCCAGTAATGGGATGGCTGGGTCAAATGGTATTTCCAGTTCTAGATCCCTGAGGAATCGCCACACTGACTTCCACAATGGTTGAACTAGTTTACAGTCCCACCAACAGTGTAAAAGTGTTCCTATTTCTCCACATCCTCTCCAGCACCTGTTATTTCCTGACTTTTTAATGATTGCCATTCTAACTGGTGTGAGATGGTATCTCATTGTGGTTTTGATTTGCATTTCTCTGATGGCCAGCGATGGTGAGCATTTTTTCATGTGTTTTTTGGCTGCATAAATGTCTTCTTTTGAGAAGTGTCTGTTCATGTCCTTCGCCCACTTTTTGATGGGGTTGTTTGTTTTTTTCTTGTAAATTTGTTTGAGTTCATTGTAGATTCTGGATATTAGCCCTTTGTCAGATGAGTAGGTTGTGAAAATTTTCTCCCATTTTGTAGGTTGCCTGTTCACTCTGATGGTAGTTTCTTTTGCTGTGCAGAAGCTCTTTAGTTTAATTAGATCCCATTTGTCAATTTTGGCTTTTGTTGCCATTGCTTTTGGTGTTTTAGACATGAAGTCCTTGCCCATGCCTATGTCCTGAATGGTAATGCCTAGGTTTTCTTCTAGGGTTTTTATGGTTTTAGGTCTAACGTTTAAGTCTTTAATCCATCTTGAATTGATTTTTGTATAAGGTGTAAGGAAGGGATCCAGTTTCAGCTTTCTACATATGGCTAGCCAGTTTTCCCAGCACCATTTATTAAATAGGGAATCCTTTCCCCATTGCATGTTTTTGTCAGGTTTGTCAAAGATCAGATAGTTGTAGGTATGCGGCGTTATTTCTGAGGGCTCTGTCCTGTTCCATTGATCTATATCTCTGTTTTGGTACCAGTACCATGCTGTTTTGGTTACTGTAGCCTTGTAGTATAGTTTGAAGTCAGGTAGTGTGATGCCTCCAGCTTTGTTCTTTTGGCTTAGGATTGACTTGGCAATGCGGGCTCTTTTTTGGTTCCATATGAACTTTAGTTTTTTCCAATTCTGTGAAGAAAGTCATTGGTAGCTTGATGGGGATGGCATTGAATCTATAAATTACCTTGGGCAGTATGGCCATTTTCACGATATTGATTCTTCCCACCCATGAGCATGGAATGTTCTTCCATTTGTTTGTATCCTCTTTTATTTCCTTGAGCAGTGGTTTGTAGTTCTCCTTGAAGAGGTCCTTCACATCCCTTGTAAGTTGGATTCCTAGGTATTTTATTCTCTTTGAAGCAATTGTGAATGGGAGTTCACTCATGATTTGGCTCTCTGTTTGTCTGTTGCTGGTGTATAAGAATGCTTGTGATTTTTGTACATTGATTTTGTATCCTGAGACTTTGCTGAAGTTGCTTATCAGCTTAAGGAGATTTTGGGCTGAGACGATGGGGTTTTCTAGATATACAATCATGTCGTCTGCAAACAGGGACAATTTGACTTCCTCTTTTCCTAATTGAATACCTTTTATTTCCTTCTCCTGCCTAATTGCCCTGGCCAGAACTTCCAACACTATGTTGAATAGGAGTGGTGAGAGAGGGCATCCCTGTCTTGTGCCAGTTTTCAAAGGGAATGCTTCCAGTTTTTGCCCATTCAGTATGATATTGGCTGTGGGTTTGTCATAGATAGCTCTTATTATTTTGAGATACATCCCATCAATACCTAATTTATTGAGAGTTTTTAGCATGAAGCGTTGTTGAATTTTGTCAAAGGCCTTTTCTGCATCTATTGAGATAATCATGTGGTTTTTGTCTTTGGCTCTGTTTATATGCTGGATTACATTTATTGATTTGCGTATATTGAACCAGCCTTGCATCCCAGGGATGAAGCTGACTTGATCGTGGTGGATAAGCTTTTTGATGTGGTGCTGGATTCAGTTTGCCAGTGTTTTATTGAGGGTTTTCACATTGATGTTCATCAGGGATATTGGCCTGAAATTTTCTTTTTTTGTTGTGTCTTTGCCAGATTTTGGTATCAGGATGATGCTGGCCTCATAAAAAGAGTTATGGAGAAGTCCCTCTTTTTCTGTTGTTTGGAATAATTTCAGAAGGAATGGTACCAGCTCCTCTTTGTACCCCTGGTAGAATTTGGCTGTGAATCCGTCTAGTCCTGGGGTTTTTTTTTTGGTTGGTAGACTTTTAATTACTGCCTCAATTTCAGAACTTGTTATTGGTCTGTTCAGGGATTCGACTTCTTCCTGGTTTAGTCTTGGGAGGGAGTATGTGTCCAGGAATTTATCCATTTCTTCTAGATTTTCTAGTTTATTCGCATAGAGGTGTTTATAGTATTCTCTGATGGCAGTTTGTATTTCTGTGGTATCAGTGGTGATATCCTCTTTATCATTTTTTATTGTATCTATTTGATTCTTCTCTCTTTCCTTCTTTATTAGTCTGGCTAGCAGTCTATCTATTTTGTTAATCTTTTCAGAAAACCAGCTCCTGGATTCATTGATTTTTTTGAAGGCTTTTTCATGTCTCTTTCTCCTTCAGTTCTGCTCTGATCGTAGTTATTTCTTGTCTTCTGCTAAGTTTTGAATTTGTTTGTTCTTGCTTCTCTAGTTCTTTTAAATGTGATGTTAGGGTGTCGATTTTGGATCTTTCCTGCTTTCTCTTGTGGGTATTTAGCACTATAAATTTCACTCTAAACACTGCTTTAGCTGTGTTCCAGAGATTCTAGTACATGTGTCTTTGTTCTCATTGGTTTCAAAGAACTTATTTCTGCCTTAATTTTGTTATTTACCCAGTAGTCATTCAGGAGCAGGTTGTTCAGTTTCCATGTAGTTTAGCGGTTTTGAGTGAGTTTCTTAACCTTGAGTCCTAATTTGATTGCACTGTGGTCTGAGAGACTGTTTGTTATGATTTCCATTCTTTTGCATTTGCTGAGGAGTGTTTTACTTCCAATTATGTAATCAATTTTAGAATAAGTGCAATGTGGTTCTGAGAAGAATGTGTATTCTGTTGATTTGGGATGGCGAATTCTGTAGATGTCTATTAGGTCTGCTTGGTCCAGAGCTGAGTTCAAGTCCTGAATATCCTTGTTGATTTTCTATCTCGTTGATCTAATAGTGACAGTGGGGTGTTCAAGTCTCCCACTATTATTGTGTGGGAGTCTAAGTCTCTTTGTAGGCCTCTAAGAACTTGCTTTATGAATCTGGGTGCTCCTGTATTGGGTGCATATATATTTAGGATAGTTAGTTCTTCTTGTTGCATTGATCCCTTTACCATTATGGAATGCCCTTCTTTGTCTTTTTTTATCTTTGTTGGTTTGACATCTGTTTTATCAGAGACTAGGATTGCAACCCTTGCTTTTTTTTTGCTTTCCATTTGCTTGGTAAATCTTCCTCCATCCCTTTATTTTTAGCCTATGTGTGTCTTTGCACATGTGATGGGTCTTCTGAATAGAGCACACCAGTGGGTCTTGACTCTATCCAATTTGTCAATCTTTGTCTTTTAACTGGGGCATTTAGCCCATTTACATTTAAGGTTAATATTGTTATGTGTGAATTTTATCCTGTCATTATGATGCTAGCTGGTTATTTTGCCTGTTAGTTGATGCAGTTTCTTCATAGTGTCGATGGTCTTTACAATTTGGTATGTTTTTGCAGTGGCTGGTACTGGTTTTTCCTATCCACATTTAGTGCTTCCTTCAGGAGCTCTTGTAAGGCAGGCCTGGTGGTGACAAAAATCTCTCAGTATTTGGTTGTCTGTAAAGGATTTTATTTCTCCTTCGCTTATGAAGCTTAGTTTGACTGGATATGAAATTCTGGGATGAAAATTCTTTTCTTTAAGAAGGTTGAGGCCTGACGCAGTGGCTCACACCTGTAATTGCAGCACTTTGGGAGGCCAAGACGGGCGGATCACAGGGTCGAGAGATTGAGACCATCCTGGCCAACATTGTGAAACCCCTTCTCTACTAAAAATACAAAAATTAGCTGGGCATGGTGGTGTGTGCCTATAGTCCCAGCTACTTGGGAGGCTGAGGCAGGAGAATCTCTTGAACCCAGGAGGTGGAGGTTGCGGTGAGCTGAGATCGCGCCACTGCACTCCAGCCTGGAGACAGAGCAAGACTCCATCTCAAAGAAAAAAAAAAAAATAGAATGTTGAATATTGGCCCCCACTCTCTTCTGGCTTGTAGGGTTTCCACGTAGAGATCCGCTGTTAATCTGATGGGCTTCCCTTTGTGGGTAACCTGACCTTTTGGGTGAATCTGATGATTATGTGTCTTGGGGTTGCACTTCTCGAGGAGTATCTTTGTGGTGGTCTCTGTATTTCGTGAATTTGAATATTGGCCTGTCTTCCTAGGTTAGGAAGTTCTCCTGGAAAATATCCTGAAGAGTGTTTTCCAACTTGGTTCCATTCTCCCCATCACTTTCAGGTGTACCGATCAAACGTAGGTTTGGTCTTTTCACATAGTCCCATATTTCTTGGAGGCTTTGTTTGTTCCTTTTCGTTGTTTTTTCTCTAATCTTGCCTTCATGCTTTATTTTATTAAGTTGATTTTCAATCTCTGATATCCTTTCTAAATTATCTGAAGGTTATTAAAGCTTACACCATCTAAATTATATTTAGATGAGTTACCTATAAGCTAAAAGCTAGAGTCAGATGGCAGTATCTAAGATGAACTCTTAAGTGTAGGTGGTATCCTTGTTTTCTTTTTCATAATCTCTTTAACTCGTCTTAGTACCTTATTTATTTATTTGTTCTGGGAACCACATTTGAGCTTTGAGAGGCAGGAGGACAGTGCTTGATGTGTTGGCAGCTAGTAACCCCTAGTTTAACTGAGTTGAGGACAGTAGTAATACTATGGTGGCAATAGCAAGATTTTTATCTCTGCAGCCTTATAGTACAACTGTCTTGGTTTAAAACTGGATTTTATTTTAACTAAATTCTGTTTTAAACCAAGATAGTTCTATATAAGAATGTCTTTGGATTGGAAGCCTTGGTTTTAGTTTATTCTTGAATTGTCAATATCAGAAGTTTAGAAATAGTAATTCAATGGCAAAGTATTATTACATAATAACAAAAGATTTATTGTGAAATACTGGGGCCAACATGGAGGAATGGCAAGTATACGAGCTTTGACCATAGACAGACCAGGATTTTGAATCCTAGTTCTAACTCTTACTAACTCTGTGACCAAATGTAGATACTCATCCTGAGATTTCCTCATTGATAAAATGACATATCATCTCAGCGGAGTTGCAAGTGGTGTTTTACTTTTATCTCCATGTAAATTAAAGATAAATGAAACTTATGAAAAAGTGTTTATATAGATAAATGATATGTAAAATATTTTCTAAGTTGGAATAACTTTGAAAAACTATAGAGTTTAATATGAATATGCAGTATGTACCATTTTAGCAGAATAACTAGTACCTCATGTTTGTGATTGATTAAAGTATTTATTTCCTCTTAAATACCTGTGGGCGTACTTGGGCATAGTAGGCAGTCTAGCCACTTTATTAGTCCAAAAACTAAGTTCATTTTAGGATTTTTTTTTAAGTTCTATGTCTAAATCTGATACAAGAATAGTAAAAGCCATGCAGTAGTAGATCTTTTATCTTAATTTATGAGGCTAAAAATTTCTTATAACACTGAAACCCTTTCCTTTCTTTAATAGGTTTAACCTTCATTTCTAATACATAAATGTAATTTATTTTTGCTTAGACTCCACTGGTTGGAGATGATAAAAATATAACCCTTGTAACACAGATATAGAACCTAATGGTGGCCTTTGGATGATACTTCAGCTCTCACCCAGTAAAGTCCCTGGGATTCCACATTCCCCAAATCCTTTTCTTTTCATTGAAATGCCAAGTAGCCCTCCTGCTTTTTCTTCCATAACCAGCCTTCCTGCTGCTGCTCTTAGATGTCATGCTATGCTCTGCCACCTGGTGGTTGCAATGTACACTGCTGTTTCTGTTGCTGCCGCAGTTGCCTCCTACAAGGTGCAGAGGTTGGGATTTAAGTCTGCAGGTGTGATGTTCAGTGTTGTGGGCTCTGGAGGCAGATTTCTAAGTTTGAATCCCTACATCACTGCCTCCTTGCTGTGTAACCTTGGACAGGTTATACAGTTTTCTTATCTGTAAAATAGGTAGAGTAATAGTGCTTACCCTCACAGGGTTGTTTCATTAAATTAATACAAATGCTGAGAACATTACATACTGAAAACAGTACATGACAGAAAACAGTAAAATGCCAAAAACAGTATGTGACACTTAACAGTGTTAGTTATTGTTATTATTCTGATCTGAATGCTTTAGGTAAGCAATTAAACGTGTATATTTTATTTGGAGCTATCATAGCTCCAAACTGATTGATTTTAGCCTTGAGTTTATTTTTTAATGTTGATCTTTTCTAAATCCATTGTGTATATACTTTCTGTTATACATAATTTTTAATTATCACTATCATATTGTAAAGTTAAGAAGTAAAAAAAAAAAATCACACTAAAATGTAAGAGTTCTTAAAGTGAGTGAATATCATATGGAAATAACCACAGCACAGTAGTGGAATTTTTAGAAATTTGTTTTTTAATTTGGGAAGTTAATCAGTGAAATGAGCTTTGTTCTGAAAATGTATCCCAATTTTCGAAGTAAACTATAGATTTTATTTGTGTTTTTACATACTATAACAAGGTAATTTCTAAGTTTTACTTTTATTCATTCATTTTCCCTTTCTGTTGTGTGTGCGTGTGTGTCTGTGGTATTCAAACATTATTATGGTATGATGTTCTGTTTTTCTTTTTTTTTTTCTTTGAGACAGAGTCTTGCTCTGTTGCCCAGGCTGGAGTGCAGTGGTGCGACCTCGGCTCACTGCAACCTCCACCTCCCGGGTTCATGCCATTCTCCTGCCTCAGCCTCCTGAGTAGCTGAGACTACAGGTGTCCGCCACCACGCCTGGCTAATTTTTTGTATTTTTAGTAGAGACAGGGTTTCACCGTGTTAGCCAGGATGGTCTCGATCTCCTGACCTTGTGATCTGCCCACCTCGGCCTCCCAAAGTGCTGGGATTACAAGCGTGAGCCACCGCGCCTGGCCAGATGTTCTGTTTTTCTTGTTTCTTGTCTGTTTCCTTCCTTTTTCATATTTTTATGTATATATATAAAACAGTATTATAGTGTGGTATTCTGTTTTTTCCACTCAATTTTATATTGTACACATTTCCCTTATTTTTAAATAGTTTAATATATCATAAATTACTCATTTTGGTTGGATATTGTTTTCTTTCTGTTGTATAATATTATAATGGTTATTTTTTATTTATACAGCGTTTTTATCCTCTCTCATGTGTTTATAGAACAAACTGCCAAGAGGAGTCTTAAGAGTACATGAATGATTTTGTGGCTCTTGAAATATTTTCCCACATTTTAATCCAAAAATGCCATGCTTTTTAATGCTGTTAAACAGGAATTTACTTTCACCCATAAAACATTGTCTAGGAACAAAAGTGAAAAAGACAGGATCCCTGCTCTCCAGGGATGGAGTATAACGGAGAGGATACATACAGATGAATGACTAAGAGAAAGGCTGCAATATTCTGAGTGTGAAGGAAGAACTGGGATAGTTGGACAGTAGCAGTGTGGAAAATACTTCTTAGAGGAGATTGAATATGAAAATGCGGTTTTAATTTGAAATAATTATTGATCCTACTTTTTCTTTCTTGCATATTATGTTTGTCATTTCTGAAACATATTTTTTTGCTTTGCAACAAAATGACTTAACTCCTGCCAACTGCATGATATGGTAGAAAGAGCACACAGGTTTGGACAAATTGCATAATTGTCTAAACTTCAGTTTCTGCACATATAAAACATAAATGATACTTCCTTTAGAGACTTTTGAGGATTATAGAAAGTGTTTTTTATCTATTGTCTCCAGGCTTATTTCAAAAAATATTTGAAATGAAAGAGTTAATATACTAATAAAGTATTTAGCACAGTATATGGCACATAAGTTAGACTTAGTAAGTAGGAGCCACTGTTGGTTTTATGATTGCCAGTGTTAAGCATTCTGCTTCTTACAAAGCGTCAGCTTTCCTATAAATACTGCTCAGTTTTCTAGAAGCTGGAACTGCCACCTCCTAAACGATCAGAATTCACTTCCTCAACCTCCAGAGTAACCCAGCTCTTGAGTCTTTATAGTAACCAAAAGGCTAGCTTCTTTCTTTCCTTTCCTTTCTTTAGCCCCTGCTAGTTGCCAGATACCACGTTAGATGTAGGGAATAGGAAGATAACTGAGATAATATCCTACAACTGTCTATCTAGAGAAATAGAGTCATATGCAGGTGACTGTGCACATGTCAGAGAAATCAGTGGTTCTCAACCCTGGCTGCTCATTAGCATCACCTGGGGAAGCTGTTTAAAAATACCAGTGCTGATGCCGTACTTTAGATAATTTAGAAATTAATGCAAACAGAAACAATATTCTGTAGGAACCTGTACTCATTGATAGGTTGAGTGAGTCATTTTGATTGGAAAGAGAACTGGAAAAATCTTCACAATCAGAGTAACATTCAAACCAACGACAAAACTTAGTCTGTATTGTTAGGAGGACAACAAGCCAGGGCACAAAAGCTTGAAAACTGGTAGCAGATTGGAGAAGGAAATGGTAGATTCTAAGGCTAGACTAACAAAGCAGCTAATAAGAAAGAAAGAAAGAAACTTTACCTCTTTTAAGGAGTTTAGACTTCGTTATGTAGAAAATGAGGTAGACTTTATGAGAGAATGATATGATGCAATCTCCGATTTGGAAAAAACAGCCGCTAGTTTATAACATTGTCAAAAGTAAATTCCAGATGGAATTAAAGTTATGGAAAAAATAGAGAATAATATTTCTATATTTTGGGGTTGGAGAAGACCTTTATAAACATGTTATCAACTCCAAAGCCATAAAGGAAAACACTGAGATTAACAGATTTTACCAAGTAAATATTTAAAACTCTGCAACAAAAGGTACCCTAAAGTTGAAAGTCTGGAGAAAAACTAGGGGAAAGTATTTGCTACCTCAATGACAGAAGGTTAAAAAGTACTTAATATATAATGAGCTCTTACAAATCAGTTAAGAATAGGCAAAAGATTTGAGCAGGTAGCTTTCCAAAGAAGAAATGCAAATGGTTGCTAAAGCACATAAAAGGATGCTCATCTTCAGTGATAATCAGGATTGTAAAGTCAAACAAGAGTGGGGTCTTCTAAACTTTCATGTTGATACAGATTTTTAAAAGTGAATAATATCTAATGTTGTCAAAAATGTGGAGAAACAGGCAGGCTGATAACGTTGGTGGGAGATAAGTTGGTGTAACCTTTCTAGAGAGTAGATTAATGGTTATCTATCAAAACTTAAATTGTGGTTGCCCTTGGACCCAGTGGCCACAACTAAGAATTATCCCTGGAGAAATACAATGTTGTAACATTGTTGGTAATGCCAAGCAGTGTAAATGTGTACATATTTCATAGGCATTAAACTTTTTTGTAGGAATATATACCAGACTGAAGAAACTGGTGGAGGGAGGGGCACTTCATATACTACTGTAATGTTTTTTTTAGAACTTCCATATAATTGTGTGTGTGTGTGTGTGTGTGTATCTATCTATCTATCTATCTATCTATCTATCTATCTATCTATCTATCTATGCCAAATCTATCTATCTGTGCCAAAGGCTAGAAGTCCTGTTCTGGATGAATTAGATGAGGAAGAAGTTGGAGGCAGGAAAACCAGTTAAAGAATTTTTTACCTTGTTCAAGTGTGAGAAATGTTTGGGTCTGAATTGGAACTGTGACAATCAGAATGAGGAAGAGGGAAGATTTGAAAGATAGAGAATCTATAAACTTGTACTATGTGGGTGAGAAGAATGAGGAAAGACTGTCAAAGATGGTTCTGAAGTCGGTAAGTTATATTGCTGAGTAAATGACCATGACATTATAAAAAATAGGAAAAACAAGAAAAGAAGCATCTTTGGAGTAGAAGATAATGAGTATCTTAAATATAGATCCTCAATAAGTATTTGAACAATAAATTAGTTTGGGTCAGTTAGCTCATCTTTAGCATGTACAATTTATGCTTTCTTATTAAGGCTGGTCTTCTGTAGTTATTCTGCTGCTTGTTAGGAGATGTCATTAACATTTCAAAATATGTAAAAAGCAATTTCTAAATATAATTTTTAAACTATTTGTTCTTGTTTTATATTTTCAGAGTGCACATTTGGCCATGATCGATACCCTCATGATGGCTTATACTGTAGAAATGGTCAGTATAGAAAAAGTAATTGCGTGTGCTCAGCAGTATTCAGCTTTTTTTCAAGCCACAGATCTGCCCTATGATATTGAGGACGCTGTCATGTACTGGATAAATAAGGTAGGATTATACTCACTTGAGTAAATCGCATCTCATAGCCAGAAAACGTGAAATTCTAAATTATACATTGCCACTTCATTACTCTTTTTGTTTCAAATCAAAGTGCAAACTTAAGTTGTAAAATACACTTAAATTTTTTAGTAAAAAAGCTTAAAATGATGAAAATAGTTTTCTGTATACTTAGCAATATTTATGATTACTCTTTTTTTTTTTTTTTTTTTGAGAAGTAGTCTCGCTCTGTCACCCAGGCTGGAGTGAAGTGGCATGATCTCGGCTCACTGCAACCTCCGCCCTTCAGGTTCTAGCAATTCTCATGCCTCGGCCTCCCAAGTAGCTGGGATTACAGGCGTTTGCCACCACACCCGGCTAATTTTTGTGTTTTTAGTGGAGACGAGTTTTCGCCATGTTGGCCAGGCTGGTCTGGAACTCCTGGCCTCACGGTGATCTACCCACCTTGGCCTCCCAAAGTGCTGCAATTACAGGCGTGAGCCACCACGCCTGGCCAATATTTATAATTACTCTTAATGATTAATCTGGTTCATACCAGATTATGAAAAAATTCAGAACACTCCTAATAGTGAACTATACACAGTGGGTGTTCAGTAAATATTTTTTGAATTCATTTCAAGAATGAAATAATTTTCTTACATTTCCAGTTAGGGGATTCTTAGGTTTGCTTGACCAAGTTGCACAAGATCCTATTGATTGTGGATTCCTCTTCTTGGAAATTTTTATGGAGCTGTGATTTGTGCTTTGAAGATGCTTAATTTGTCAGCTTATCACTCCCTTTGCCAATTTGAGTAGTTAATTTGTCTTGATCCACTTTCATTTACAACTGCCAGCCAAAAGAAAATTAAACCTTATCTGAAGACAAGCACTAAACGGATTTAAAAGAAGTTATATCTCCAGGTATCCTTTCTTGAAAGCTGGCATGAAGCTCGTAATAAAAAGCTAAATGTAAAAAACACTATTACAGCTATCTTCATTATCCATAATATCAGTATCATTGTAGAAGGACTGCTTAATACTTTGCCTCTGGAGTTCCTTTATTTCTTCATCTTTAGTAATCTTTCCCTGACTCCTCCTCAGCTGTAGAAAATCACAGTTACATTCTAGACCTATTCATCTTGAGAAACTATGCAACCTTCACATCCCATTACAGACTTCCCATTCTTGAACAGTTTCTCCTATCTTCCTAACCCACTTGCTTTAAATAATAATTTTTAAAATGTTGAACCTCATTATGACTTATAAACTATTGAGCCTATTAATTTCTCACAATCTTATTGGACTTCATATTTGTCCATCTTGAACTTAGATTTTTATAAGTACTCTCAGTTCTTATGTCTCCCCTTCCCTCCCTGTTACTCATTTGGTAACAGCTCAGATGGTTTAGCTTAGTTACCCATTTTATTTCTAACCTGCATTTGCAGAGGCAAATATTGCTGGAGAAATTTACACAAGGAAGTTGGTTTCACTTTAAGTTCATAAGCACAAACTTCCACTGCCAGTCCAACAAATGTGTCCCTAAGTTTGCTTTCCCACGCTTCATGACAACTGTGTTACCCATTTTCCTCTAATTCTCGGACCTTCTGTAACCCTTTCCCTACTACTGTCAGCTAAATTTGCCTTATCTTTTCTTGAGACCAGAGATGGGAAGGCTTTAGGTGGGAATTATCTTCCCTTTATACTAGCAAATCTGTAAACAGTTTTGGATCGCACTCATTGCCTTTCTTTTGTCCTACTGTTACAATGAAGAATTTCCCCCTTCACATCAAACGTGAGTTTTCTACTACTTGCTCTAGAACTTTCTTCCCTTTTTTGTGGTCATTGGTCCTGTACTTCAGTTCTTACTTTTTAATGTACATAAGAATTACCTGGTGTATTAGTCCATTTTCTTCTTGTAACAGAATACCTGAGCCGGGCTCAGTGGCTCACGCCTGTAATCCCAGCACTTTGGGAGGCCAAGGCAGGTGGGAGGTCAGGAGTTCAAGACCAGCCTGGCCAACATGGCGAAACTCCGTCTCTACTAAAAATACAAACATTAGCTGAGCATGGTGGCAGATGCCAGTAATCCCAGCTACTCAGGAGGCTGAGGCAGGAGAATCACTTGAACCTGGGAGGCGGAGGTTGCAGTGAGCCGAGATCGCGCCAGTGCACTCCGGCCTGGGTGACAGAGCGAGATCCTCTCAAAATAATAATAATGATAATAATAATAACAGAATACCTGAAACTGGGTGATTTATAATGAAAAGGAATTTATTTCTTATAGCTATGGAGGCTAAGAGATCCCAGGTGAAGAGGCCACTGGTGAGAGCTTCCTGCTAAGTGGGGACTCTGCAGAGTCCTGAGGCAGCACAGGGCATCATCACATGTCTGAGCATGTTAGCTCAGGTCTGTCTTCCCCGTCTTACAAAGCTGCTAGTGATAGCCCGTTGATCCATTGATCTGTGAATTGGGTCTGCTCTCATAACCCAGTCACCTCTTAAAGGTCCCACCTTTCAGTACTGCCACAGTGGAGATTAAGTTTCAACATGAATTTCAGAGGGGGGCAAATATTCAAACCATAGAACCTGGGAACGTGTTAAAATGGCTGATCTGAATGAGGAGGTGTCTAGGGTGAAGCAGGAGAGTCTGCATTTCTAACAAGCTCCAGGTGATACTAATGCTGCTGGTTTGGGACCACACTGTTATTTGTTCACTCCCACATTGTCTGACTCTTCCGGTCTATTGGATCATTCTTATAAGAATACAGATTTGGGCCGGGCGTGGTGGCTCACACCTGTAATCCCAGCACTTTGGGAGGCCCAGGCAGGCGGATCACCTGAGGTTGAGAGTTCAAGACTAGCCTGGCCAACATGGTGAAACCCCGTTCTGAAAATATAGTAATTAGCTGGGTATGGTGGCGGGTGCCTGTAATCCCAGCTACTTGGGAGGCTGAGGCAGGAGAATTGCTTGAACCTGGGAGGCGGAGGTTGCTGTGTGCCGAGATGGCGCCACGGCACTCCAGCCTGGGTGACAGAGCGAGACTCCATCTCAAAAAAAAAAAAAAAAGAATACAGACTTGGAGACTGGGGGCGGTGACTCACGTCTGTAATCCCACTACTTTGGGAGGCTGAGGCTGATGGATCATTTCAGGTCAGGAGTCGGAGACCAGCCTGACCAACATGGCGAAACCCTGTCTCTACTAAAAATACAGAAATTAGCTGGGCGTGGTGGCACGCGCCTGTAGTCCCAGCTACTTGGGAGGCTGAGACAGGAGAACCACTTGAACCTGGTAGGTGGAGGTTGCAGCGACTCGAGATTGCACCACTGCACACCAGCCTGGGCAACAAAGCAAAACTCCATCTCAAAAAAAAACCAAAAAACAGACTTGCTCTAGTGTCTTCCATCCTAAGAAACAAAACTTCCCCATCCAAATACAACCCTATTTCTCCATACAACAGACTCTCTCAAGAGTTGTTTGCTATTTCGTTAGCCTGCTCTTCTCTCTCTCTCCCATACCCATTCCTAACCCGAAATTGTTCCTGAGTTGGTCAAAAAGGCAAATCCAATCAATATTTTTCTGTCCTTAATTTAAACTCAATCTTTACTTCTAAAGCATGAACCATCTTTTTGAAGTTTCAGTGGAAAACCCAAGGTGTTTACCAAGCCCTCCTCTACTTGGTGGGATTTGAACAACAAACTCTGTCTCCCCTGTGGTGGCAGTTTCTTTGGCTTCTCAGCAGTTTTTTCTCCCTGCACTTCTTAGAATCTTTCCTACACATGCACAGTCCAGGGCTCAGCCAAGAGTTGAGGGAAGTTTATATGCAGATTTTGGGCCTCCCCCATTACCCTTCCTAGAATATTCCTCCTCAGTATCCAGCTACTCTAGCAGTGCCAGATTTCCCTTGATTCCTCCTGCCAACCAGACTACAGTTTTCTCCTTGAGTTCTAGTCACAGTGCACTGTTGAATTGAGGGTAAGGCCATATAAACATGGATTTCACTCAGTGTGTTTCTTTCTTTCCAAAGTTGAATTCTTTCTTGCTTCTACTTGCTCTTGGTTGCTCACCAGTACCTCCAACAGATGCTTTATATATTTTGTCCAGAGTTTATAATTGCTCTCTGCGGGGATTAGTGTGATGCATGCTATTCCACTATTACCAGAACCAGAATTCTACAAGTATCTTTTTATAGTGCAGCTTGGATCATGCCATTCTTTTGCTCAAAACTCTTCAGTGACTTCACTTTACCCTTAAAATAAAATGTAAAATTTATCGTGGCCTGCAAGGTACCACCTAACCTGACCCTGTGTACTCCATTGTAGGCTCATGGCCACTGTTCCCCTTTCTCACTTCTTTGACTTCCTTCCCGCTATATGCCCTTTCTCACCTCTGAACCGTTGAACCTCATGTTTCCTATTCCTGGGCAGCTCAGCTCCCAGCTTTCTGCATGGCTTAGTGCTTCTGCTCTCCGTCAGCTTGGATAGCACTTTTTCCTGACAACCTTATCTAAATGAAGTGCCTCTATCAACCCCTTGTTTTCTATACCCTAACACTCTACTTTTTTTCTTTCATAGCACTTTTCAGACTAATTACTTTTCTTAATCATTTAATTTTTTAAAATCTGTCTTCCTCACTAGAATAGTCTATGTGAGGATAGGTACAATGAACTTTTTATTTCTAGTGCCTACGATGACCTTCTTCTTTTCAGTTTTAGTATCTAGACCAGCACAGTGTTTGACAAAGAGATTATATTTAATAAACACTAAACTAATAAAGAGAAGGATAGTTTAAGCCATTGAATTAAGCTAGGCACTTTAGAACTTTGGAAATCTACACAAAATTAAGGAAATCACTTAACTAGGAATGTTCAGCACCTTTATGCAGTCATATCCACCTCATTCCATTTTCAAATTAGGTTTAAAACAATTTGATTCAACCTGAACTGCAGTGTATTTTTTTTCCTTGATCCATTCTACCAGCCCCAGCATTATTTTTTATTCTCGCATTATGACTTTACCCTTGCCTCTCAGATTTAGTATATGTTTTCTCCTTCTGGCTCTTGTTTTGGCTCGTCCTAACCCAGTTGCCTTTTTTCCTGGATAATGCATCCACAAGTATAAAAAAACCTACCAAAGAAAAATGGCAATAACATGGCTAAAATAATTATCAGCATAGTGGCTAAAATGAGTTTAAACTTAAAAAAGCAAAATCACAGAAGACAAGATTATATTGAATGATTGAATCATGCAGAGGTACACAAAAATCATGAATATATTAACCTTATATTATTTGGCTCTACCTCTGTTTCCTATCTCATTTTGTGACTTCTTTGGGTTCACTATGTCATTCTGTTACTTAAACACGCAAGTATTTTTCCTACCACAGGGCTTTTGCTTATGTTTTTCATTCTCTCTCTGGAATGCTCTTTCCTCTACTTTTCCCATAGCCAGCTTGTTCTCTTTAAGATCTCAGCTTAAAGTTACTTCTTAAAGAAATTGTCTTAGTCTGTTTGGGTTGTTATAACAAAATGCCTTAGCCTAGGTAATTTATAAACAGCAGAAATTCATTGCTCATAGTTCTGAAAGCTGGGAATTCCCAGATCAAGGTGCCAGCAGATTCAGTTTTTGGTCAGGACTTGCTCTCTGCTTCAGAATGGCAGCTTCTTGTTGTGTCCTCACGTGGCCGAAAGGGCCACTGTGCTCCTTCAACCCCCTTTATAAAGGAACCAACCCCATATGCAAGGGCAGAGCCTCATGACTTAATCATGCCCCGAAAGGCTACACCTCTTAATATTAACACATTGGGGATTAAGTTTCAAATATGAACTCTGGGGGGCAAACATTTAGACCAAAGCGAAGGCCTTGTCTGATATAACCATCTTTTCTAAAATAGATCTTCCTGCTCCCATTATTTTCTACTCACATTTTAATGTATTTATAGCATTTACAAATGGTTTTTGTTGTTGTTCTATCTCCCCTGCTTCATGAGGACAGGAATCACTTTGGCTTTGTAGTCCATTGTATACCTAGCCTCTTAATACAGTATCTGGCACATAACTGGCATTCAGTAGATATCTGTTGAATGTGCACATACATGAGTGAATGGTGGTTTAAAATGTTAATTTGTGACCACTTTGCTTTTTGGACAGAATCAGATAAAAACCTCTTTAAAAATGAAGGTATTTCCTCAGTGGGGAAAAAAATAAAAACAAGGATATTTCCAAACTGGCAGATCAATTACGACTACCTGACAATGAATTAGAAAGTGTTTGTTTTTTAACTTAAAGGGAATGAGGCTGGGTCTGGTGGCTCATGTCTGTAATCCCAACACTTTCGGAGGCTGAGGCAGGTGGATTGCTTGAGTCCAGGAGTTTAAGACCAATCTGGGAAACAAGGTGAAACTTGTCTCTACCAAAAACAAAACAAAAAACAAAAATTAGCTAGGCATGGTGGTACACGCCTGTGGTCCCAGCTATTCGAGAGGCCGAGACAGGAGGATTGCTTGAGCCCAGGAGACAAAGGTTGTAGTAAGTCGAGATCACGCCACTGCACTCCAGCCTGGCTGACAGAGTGAGACTGTGTTTCCAAAAAAAAAAAAAAAAAGGTGGCGGGGGGAGGGGTGGGCGGGTGGGGAATGAAAATACTACAAAACAAACAAATAGAAAACATTATAAACTTTCCCAGGATTTGGTCCTGTCTTCTTCCCCTCCCCGAATTGGTAAAGAGACCAAAATGCTTAAAGATACATGGGTGTTATAAAACTGCTTTGTAACACAATGTATTACCATGATAGAAAATATGGGGCTGGGCATGGTGGCTCATGCCTTTAATCCCAGCACTTTGGGAGGCCGAGGTGGGTGGATCACCTGAGGTCAGGAGTTTGAGACCAGCCTGGTCAACATTGTGAAACCCCATCTCTACTAGAAATATTTAAAAAATTAGCCGGGCATGATGGCGGGCGCCTGTAATCCCAGTTACTCAGGAGGTTGAGGCAGGAGAATTGCTTGAACCCAGGAGACGGAGGCTGCAGTGAGCTGACACAGTGCCACTGCACTCCAGCCTGGGCGACAGTGTGAGATTGCATCCCAAAAAAAAAAAAAAAAAAAAAAAAACAAGAAGAAGATATGAATGATTTTGTCAACATGTCACACTAAAACTACAACTCTTCCTGTTAGGAACACCTAAAAATGCTTGATAAATATAATTAGAAAAGTTTATACTGCAGAGTTGAGTTTAAAGGAAGAAAAGGGAATTCTTAGGTGCCAGAAACAAAGTGGGGACTGAAAGTTTTGGTGGCTAATGGCATTAATATTTTCTACAGTGCCATGATTAATAAATTTGAACTTTTATTGATTGTTACTAGAGTGACCTTAAAATCATTAACTCAAAACCAAAAATTATCTAAAGTCTTCTCAAGAAATAATTTATGCACCATGTAGACTTTTTTTTTTTTAAACTGTTTTTGGATTATGGACTGCTTGAATAATCTGATGAGAAAGAAATTAAGCTCTCTCCTCAAAAAGTTTTCATATGCAGAAATTTTGCATGTGTTTTAACTGTGGCATTATGACTGCCCTAAACTCCCCCATGATCATGGATATGTCTGAAATCATACCTTAAGAACTTGATTCACAGTGTTATTTATTGATAACAACAACATTAATTTTAGGGAAAATAACTTTCATTTACTAGTTCTAAAATAGATTGTAAAATTTTTACTTGATATTAGTTTGCTTCCTAAGCATTAAAACTGACATTACCAAGTACCTTTTTTCCCTTAGCGCTCCAACCAGTTCCTGACATACAGTGTCTGCTCAACAACTATTTGATAAATTAATGAATTCTAGAATATCAAATAAGTACCCATAAACTATTTTTTTCTGATTGTGAAGCTGAAATTTTCTTTATTTGAGTGAGACTGATATTTGACATCAGGGCTCTGACTATAGGCATCTTAATGTGTGTTATTTTATTGTTATATTTGAATGTAAATTCAAAAAAAGAATAAAAATTCAAACTGATATTTTTATATTTTAAGGTAAATGAACATTTGAAAGACATAATGGAACAAGAACAAAAACTGAAAGAACATCACACAGTTGAAGCTCCAGGAGGTCAAAAGGTATTTATTTCAAAAACAAAAAGGTGCCTTTATGAGACTGTATATATGTTCACATATTTGTATTATTTTGGGAAATGTTAATTGTGTTTATTAAATTATTTTTTAGTGGTGTTAACTGTACCCTAGAAAGCCATACTGTAAACACTAAGTAAATAGAAGTACAAAATGAAGGTTAATTGGATGATGGTGTTTGTAAAAAAATATATTAATGACTAGAACTCAAGTTCTGAGGTTCTTTTGTCAAAAATAACAGTTTGCCTTTCTTTGGTAAAATGTGTAAAACAACAAGGAAACAATTTTAAATGTTCAGGCTTTATAATGACATGCAATGCAGCAAGACCAACATTTAAAACAAAATTCCCAGAATTTCACTGGGTGCGATGGCTCACGCCTGTAATACCAGCACTTTGGGAGGCCAAGGCAGGCAGATCATGAGGTTAGGAGTTCAAGACCAGCCTGACAAACATGATGAAGCCCCATCTCTGCTAAAAATACAAAAATTAGCTGGGCATAGTGGCGTGTACCTGTAATCCCAGCCACTCAGGAGGCAGGAGAATCGCTTAAACTCAGGAGGCAGAGGTTGCAGTGAGCCGAGATCATGCCACTGCACTCCAGCCTGGGGGACAGAGCGAGACTCCATC
Organism: Homo sapiens; assembly: GCF_000001405.40. Classification (NCBI taxonomy): domain Eukaryota; kingdom Metazoa; phylum Chordata; class Mammalia; order Primates; family Hominidae; genus Homo; species Homo sapiens. Next base: position 200,816,286 of record NC_000001.11, read on the forward strand.
TCAAACAAAAAAAATATATATATAGGGCCAGGCGTGGTGGCTCACACCTGTAATCCCAGCACTTTGGGAGGCTGAGACGGGCGGATCACCTGAGGTCAGGAGTTTGAGACCAGCCTGCCCAACATAGTAAAACCCCGTCTCTACTAAAACTACAAAAAATTAGCCAGGCGTGGTGGCCGGTGCTTGTAGTCCCAGCTACTCGGGAGACAGAGGCAGGAGAATCGCTTGAACCCAGGAGGCGGAGGTTGCAGTGAGCCAAGATCATGCCACTGCACTCCAGCCTGGGCAATAAGAGCAAAACTTCATCTCAAAAAAAAAAAATATATATATATATATATATGTATATATATACACACACATATATATGCACACACATACACATGTGTATATGTGTGTATATGTACATGCACACATATATGTGTATATATACACACGCACATATATGTGTGTACACACACACGCGTGTATATATGTGTGTACACACACACGCGTGTATATATGTGTGTACACACACACGCGTGTATATATGTGTGTACACACACACGCGTGTGTATGTGTGTACACACACACGCGTGTGTATGTGTGTACACACACACGCGTGTGTATGTGTGTACACACACACGCGTGTGTATGTGTGTACACACACACGCGTGTGTATGTGTGTACACACACACGCGTGTGTATGTGTATATATCTACACATATATACATATATGTGTACCCACATACACACGTATATATGTGTATACCCACATACACACGTGTATGTGTATACACACACGTATATATGTGTATACACACACACGTATATATGTATACACACACGTGTGTGTATATACACGTATATATGTGTATATATACACATACACACATACACACACGTGTGTGTATATACACACACACACATGTGTGTGTGTATACACACATACACACATATGTGTGTGTATATACACACATACACACATATGTGTGTGTATATACACACATATATATATATTTTCCCAGAATTCCAAAATGTACAGTATGGTTGTTCTGTGAAGAAAGAAGAAACATTAACATGGATTTATTCTTTTAAAAATCTCAAACAGACTTTTAGAATTTTCTTCTCTGAAAATTTAGTTGTGTGTTTGTCATATGCTAAGACCAAAAGCATATTTTCTATGATATAGTATATCTTACGTCTTTTAAAATGTATTGTAATTGGAACCCTTTAAACATGTTGTATAGTATTAGAATTGAGGTATAAGAAATTGTAATCATTCAGAAACTTTAATCTCCATTTGGTTTAAAGTTTCTTCATTATTACACAGTACTTCTATTATTTTGAGCTTATTCTTATTCCACTATTCACTGATCTCTCCATAAAAAGAGAAAGAAGGGAAAAAGGAAGGAAAAGCGAAGCTGTTCTGTCTCTTATCAACTTCAATAGAAAAATCTTGTGGAGGACCACGTACAATTTTGTCTGATTTTGATGTTTTGGGATCACAATGCTTTCCCCCATTTGGTTAACTGACTGGCTCCTGAAAATACGATTTGTGCTTAATCCTTCATTCTAACTCTGTTGAGGTCCTTTACCCTAAAGGTAGATTGGAATGGAATTCTCCTTTTTCCCCATCACCCCAGATTATGTTTCATTTCCCTGCTTCCAGCCAATTTCTGTCCTTGCCTCTTCCCTGTTACGTCCCACAGTCTTTTCTTGTCAGCTTCCTTCCCTTTCTCTTTTTCATAATCATAGGAGCTGAAACTTTTGCCTTGGAGATATGTGTAATCCTGCCCCTCAATTTTGCTCCTGGCTTTTTATCAGTAATAAGGTTGAAGTGGCATCATTCTAAATTATAACACTAATGAAATTTCTCTATAGAAATCTTGTGTATTATATATAATGGTTAAATTCTGTAGTATTGCATACACATTATGAACCAAATGGGGATTTTATATGATGACAGAGGGCCCAAGAAACATTTTTTTAATGAAAAAAATGCCATTTGTATTTCAAACAATCAAATAAAGTGATCTTGAAGAAAAACTGTATGGAATCTAGACATTGTTGTATTACATGGCTTTTACTTTTTCACAGCACTTAGCTCCATGCAGTTGCACGTATTAACTGTACAACTAGTATTTGGTGAATGGGTGACTGAGTGAATAAAGAAATGATTGTGCAATTCATTTTTAAATATTTGATTAGTATACACTTGTAGTTTAGCACATACATAGCATTTACCCCTTCATTTTCAAATGAATTTTATCCTTTTCCCCCCATTGTTTTTGAAAATTGAATCTTTGTGAAAATAAGGGTTAATTTAACATAATCTTACTGTAGGTTCAGGTGTTGTCATTATGAAGAAACACACAATCACAGAATAAACTAGGGAAAGGAATCTTGGTCTGTTACCTAACAATGGGATTTTTGGCATTTGAACTGTGTACTTGGTTTGACTGGAAATATTATCATTCCATTCTTGGTTTTTAATTCTGTAAAAGCAAAATTCATGCTCCTTTTCTTCTTTTACAAATGAGAGAGAAAATGACTTGCTCTTTTTATTGCTATACAGTTGGTAAGAAGTTGCCACTCTTTCCATCTACTTCAGTCAGCTTTTCTAGTGAGGCGTACTCAGGAGCCTAGCCCTGTTGCCTATTGCTTGTCCAGCTATAGACAGAGCCCGTGGTATTGAATAATAACATATCTTACCTTTTGTCCTTGCCCAACTACTCTTAACTCAGATGTCCAGTAGAATTTGTTTTATGAAATATCTTTTTATAACCATATTCTTGGTAAAATATATGCACATGTTGAAGGATACTTGTACTATATATTATTAGGGTTGGACTGAAATGAAAGATTTCAAAGGTATTTGTTTAGGGTATTAGATCCTCCAGTGATGTATTTCTGATCATTGGATTGGGTGGTGTCCTAAGAGAAAGGCATTTTAAATAGTGTCATGTCCTAGGAAAATGTTTTGTTTAAACAGTTTACTAATGTTATTTTCTCTTTTTTTTCCAAGTTGCTCATTTTGCTTCTAATACTTCTTTTGATTGTAAATTAGGGTGCCTAATTAAATTTGAATGCCAGAGAAACAACAAATAATTTTTTTATAAGTTGCACAGGTGTCTTGTATTGTGTGAGCATCTTGTATTTATTTGCTAAATCTGGAAGCCGTACTTGAACGATTTCTGAAGTTTATAGCCAAGATGACATTAAGTCCAACATTCATTCTCTTGAAGAGTTTGTATAAAGTACTATGGTAAAATGAGTATTGCACATAAAGTCAGGCTAGTTCTGCCACTAAATAGCTTCATGACCTTTACAAAGGCACTTGACCTCTCTGGGCCTTGGGTTTGTTTTTTTTTAATCTGTAAAAATTAGAAGGTTGGATTAAATGGTTTCTAAATTCTGTAATTAAAAAGATGCTCAGTTTTTCCCTTCTCGATATGTTAGTAAACATGAGACAAAAACAAAAGGTTGGCAAAAATAGTAAATAGTTATCATAGACTTTTCTATATGTATATTACTAGTAGATTTATGCTAACTGTATGCATGAAATATCTAGGAGTACCTTCTAGAGGATGTGGGACTTTAACAGGGCCTTAGTAGATTTCATGATACTAGGTCATAAGGAACAATATAAGTAGTGACACTAAGTCACAAGTGAAGTCACATGTGGGAATTACTGAGTGGATGAATTTGGCAGAATCAGTTTTGAAAGAGCTATGAATTCATGAGTTTGTATTCTAATACTAACTATATAGAGAATGAAGTTTAATGTTTCTCAAAAAATTTTTTTTTTTTTTTTGAGACGGAGTTTTGCTCCGTCACCCAGGCTGGAGGGCAGAGGCATGATCTCGGCTCATTGCAACTTTGGCCTCCTGGGTTCAAGCAATTCTCGTGCCTCAGCCTCCCTAGTAGCTGGGATTACAGGTGTGCACCGCCATGCCCACCTAATTTTTTGTGTATTTTTAGTGGAGATGGGGTTTCGCCATGTGCTGGTCTTGAGCTCCCGACTTCAGGTGATCCCCCAGTTTGGCCTCCCAAAGTGCTGGGATTATAGGTATGAGACACCACCCCAGCCAATGTTTCTCAAAGTATTAAAGATACATGTTTACTTAATGTGGCATTTGCTACTTTTTAAAAAGAAATATTTGTGAGGTATTTTGCAAGGGAGTAGGAATTAGGTGAAGGAATTACCTTTGGAGAAAAGACATCCACAGAGCTCTAATTGCTTTTCACTTTAAGGTGTATCTCAATATAGACTACACTTTCCCCCTGTGAGAGAGTAGGTAAATGCTTATACCTCTTTGCCTGATTACTTCAGCCCTTATGAATTTCTCCCTTGACTAAAATTCCTTAACAGTTACAAACTATAACCCACTTTTTTCTCCCTCAAATGCTGTTTCTTCAAATAGTACTATTTGAGAGAAGGGCTCCGAAGTAAAATACATTTGGGAAATGCTGCCTAGTCTATGCCCCTTTAAGAATGTTGCAATCCATTTCAGTACATTAAAGTCCCAGTCAAAGAGACTGTTTAGCCATTTTCCAAACATTTTTGATCTTTGAACTGTTTTATAAATGACTTTTACTAGCATCCCATAGAATTAGTGTTCTTCAGTGCACAATTTAGAAAACGGTAATTTTTAACGTATAATTTTGTACTTAAGTTGTCTATTTAATATGTATATAAATATATAAAACATTTAATGTTCAAATATAGCGCATCATTCTCAGATACATCATTTCATTTGACTCTTAGATTTACCTCGATTTCTTTTATACCATTATTTTAGTTAACTGTGAAGACATAGCCTGTCTAAATTAGATAATTTTTGTTTTGAATCCTACCCTTAAGATTCTGTTTTATAATTATAAATCTATCCATATGTAGCCTGCTTCTTCTTCTTCTTTTTTTTTTTTCCTTTTGGAGACAGGGTCTCACTCTATTGCCCAGGCTGGAATGAAGTAGCGAGATCATGGCTCACTGCAGCCTTGATCTCCTGGGCTCAAGCAATCTTCCCACCTCAGCCTCCCAACTACTTGGGACTACAGGCATGTGCCACCATGCCTATCTAATTTTTTTACTTTTTGTAGAGTCAGGGTCTCACCATGTTGCCCAGGCTGATCTCAAGCTCCTGAGCTCAAGCAGTCCGCCTGCCTTGACCTCCAAAGTGCTGGGATTACAGGCCTTTGGCCAATGTGTAGTCTTCTGTGGTCAATGCTAATTCATTTCTTCTTCTTCTTTTTTTTAAAATGTTTTTTACATTAATAGGGATGGGGTTTCGCCATGTTGGCCAGGCTGGTCTCAAACTCTTGGCCTCCAGCGATCCACCCGCCTCGGCCTCCCAGAGTGCTGGGATTACAGGCGTAAGCCACCACACGTGGCCATTTCTTTTTTTTATCCCTAATATCAACATACCTTTTCTCTTTCATAATAATTTACTTGCCCTTACAGGAAACACAACAACCTAGAGTACGTCCCTGTTCTATTATTAACTCATTTATTATAGTTAAGAGAACTTGGCATTTTAAACATTTTTTTGAATTCAGAGATGGTACCATGGTTTTAATCTTTACCTAAGAGTATGATAACCATTAGATTTCTCTAACAGTTTTATAAATTAATAATCTTGTGCATTTGGACACAAGACCCTATAAAGACTTGGATTGGTATAGATCTAATATAACTTTTAAAGAACTTTTATTTTATTTTGAAATAATTACACCCTTACAAAAAGTTGCAGGAATAGTAAAAAGAATTCTCAAACTCTGTTCAGATTCATCAGTTTTTCAACAGATTCATCAGTTTTTCAAACTGAAAATTTCCTTTATCATTCTGTCTCCCTCTCTCTCTCTCTCTCGCTCTACACACACACACACACACACACACACACACACACACGTAAATTGTTCTACCACATTTCAAAGAAGGTTGCATATATCATGCCCCTTTACCCCTTAATACTTCAATATATATTTCCTAAGAACAAGGCAATTCATTTCCATAACGACAGTACAGGTAATTTAATGTCAGTATAATACTGTATCATTTATGTTCCCATTTTATCATTAATTTATTTCGCTGTCATATCCCTAGTCTTCTTTAAACTGAAGCAGTTCTTTAGCTTTTCTTTTCTTTGTGGCCTTGACATTTTTAAAGAATCGGGCTATTTTAATAGAATACTTCTCAATTTGGCTTTTTCTAATATTTCCTCATTATTAGATGAAGGTTGTGCTTTTCAGGCTAGAATGCTTTGTAAATTGTGTCCTTATCACAATGTAATATCCAGAGGCACATGATATCCATTTACCCCTGCTAGATAATGTTCATTTTGATCAGTTGGTTAAGATATTCTCTGGTTTCTTGACTACAGGGTTACATTAGTCCTCTTTTATCCTCAGAGGATATGTTCCAAGACCCCCAGTGCATACCTGAAACCTCAGATAGTACTGTATCTACACTTTGTTTTTTCCTATACAGCAATGGGCAGGTAGCATATACAGCATGGAATGCTGGACAGAGGTATGATTCCCTTCCCAGACTGGATGGAATAGGACAGCATGTGGTTTCATCACACTCCTCAGAACAGCATGCAATTTAAAACTTATGAGTTGTTTATTTCTGGAATTTTTCATTCATTTTCAGACAGTGACTGTGAATAACTGCAGATACAAAACTATGGGTAAGGGGGGGACAGCTATATTATGTTTCCGTTTGTAATAGGTAATTTGAGAGGAGTTACTCTACCACTGTAAATAGCCTATCTTTCTTGAAAGCTTCCCCTCATCCTAGATTTAGCATTCATTGAATATACCTACCTGAATTAATTTTACTATGATAGTCACAAATTTATAATTTTCTAACCCCTTCATTTATTCCATATTTATTAGTTAGCATTCTGTTATAAGCAAGTTTTTCTTCTTCCACCCATCTACCTGTCTATATAATATTTCTCTACTATCTGAATGAGCTTATGGATATGTAATGGGTTATAATCAGTTTTTGTCCTTATGTATTTACTTTTAAAATTATTACAGAATTATTTTAGATTTACAGGAAAGTTTCAAAGATAGTACAACTTCACCCAGTTTTCTCTAATGTTAACATCTTACGTAATTGGAGCCCATTTGTGAACAGTAAGAAAGTAACATTGGTACATTATTATTGAGTACACTACAGACTTTATTTAGATTCTACTGGTTTTCCACTGATGTCCTTTTTAAATATTTGTCAGGTGTTTTGTAGTGTTCTTCAATTTGGGTTTGTCTGATATTTCTCATGGTTAGACTGGAGTTACAGGTTTTTTGAGAAGACTACCAGAGAGGTCATATATCATATCATATATTGTATCACGGGGTACATGATAAGAACATGATTTAACACTAGTGATATTAACCATGATCCCTTGGTTAAGGTAGTGTTTGTCAGGTTTCTCCATTATAAATTTACTGGTTTTCCCTTCTTATTTTTGGAAGTGGGTCACCACCTCCATCCTGCACTCCAAAGGAGGGAAATTAAGCTCACTCCCTGAAAGGGAGAATACTTGCATATACTATTGGGGATTCTTCTGTAAGGAAGATTTGTGTCTTCTTCCCCATTTATTTTTTATATTCAATCATTTATTTATATCAGTATGGACTCATGTATACTTAATATTTTATGCTTTGAGTTACAATCTAATACTGCGTTGTTTATTTTGTTGCTCAAAATTTTACAGCATCAGCCACTGAGAGCTTTTTGGGGTTGGCTTTGGTATCTCTTGGATATGCCCCAATCCTTTTGTTTTTTGAGCACTTCCTTACTTTCTGGCACTACAGAATGCTCCAGGCTCATCTTGTTCTTTCCTTGACCTAAAATTAGCTATTTCTTTATTTTGATGCTCAAATGGTCTTAGATTTGGCCAACGGGAGTCCCTTCAGACTGACTCCTGTGCTTTTGATATGCCCCCATTCATCCATCTCTTTTTTTTTTTTTTGCCCCTCCTTATTTAATTTCTAGCTCAACAAGATGTTTCAGATTCATTTTGTAGTTTCCTTGCCATAATCCTAAAATCAGCCATTTCTTCAGTAAGTCTTAATTCTTTTTTATGGAAAACAGTATTTAGCAACTGTAAAATCTGGGCACTAAGTGGCTCATTGCTACAGGAATATCATTACTTCTAGGCCCTATTTCAGTAGACAGAGTTCAGAAATAAAATTTTAAAAATACACAAACATGAGTTCATATATAAACCTCCAATTCCAATCAAACTCCACAGAGTTCTTCCTGGCTTCCCCTATTCCATGCAGGACTTCCCCTTCCACAGTGAGAACTCAGGCTTCCAACAGCATTAATATATTTTACTTATTTGCTCAGTCCTACAATACATATACAGTAGTTTCAGAATTGCTATACTCATACCAATATGAAAAATAAACCTACTGGCCGGGCATGGTGGCTCAAGCCTATAATCCCCGCACTTTGGGAGGCCGAGGCGGGTGGATCACTTGAGGTCAGAAGTTTGAGACCAGCCTGGCCAACATGGTGAAACCCCGTCTCTACCAAAAATACAAAAATTAGCCAGGTGTGTTGGCATGCGCCCGTAATCCCAGCTACTTGGGAGGCTGAGGCAGGAGAATTGCTTGAGCCCGGGAGGCGGAGGTTGCAGTGAGCCGAGATCGTGCCAGTGTACTCCAGCCTAGGTGACAGAGTGAGACTCTGTCTCAAATAAATAAATAAATAAATAAATTTAAAAACCTACTAAGAAGAATTTAAGATTTGTTTGCAATTTTTTTTTAGACTAATAGTATATAGTCAAAGTACAGTGTTCTTAAGTTGTTTCCCTCTGCCCCCGCCTTCACTGTGGTTATATTATTCCTTTGAAATACATTTGTGTTAATTGGTTTCTGTATTCTTTCCATTTTAGCGATCTTTTTTGACACCATCCTTGTTAACTTTTGTTTTTTGAATATGTAGAACATTGACATAATTCCAAAAATCAGAACTATATAAATGGTATACTCAGAGAAGTATCAATCCCTCCCCTATCTCTTCTACCCCTTACTTATTCCACATGTACTCCCTCCCAGCCCTTCTAAATGGACCAAGCACGTATGTGCATGTTTGTTTCTCCTCCTTTCTAGCACAAAACATAACATATTTATTCTTTTGCAGTTTGCTCTTTTCAGTAACTGTATATCCTGGAAATTACTCCATACGGTCCCTAGAGATCATTCTTTCTTTCTTTCTTTCTTCCTTTTTTTTTTTTTTTGAGACAGAGTCTTGCTCTGCCACCCAGGCTGGAGTGCAATGGTGCGATCTCGGCTCACTGCAACCTCTGCCTCCCAGGTTCAAGCGATTCTTCTGCCTCAGCCTCCCAAGTAACTGGTACTACAGGCGAGCGCCACCACACCTGGCTAATCTTTGCATTTTTTAGTAGACACGGGGTTTCGCCATGTTGGCCAGGCTGGTCTCGACCTCCTGACCTCGTGATCTACCCGCCTTGGCCTCCCAAAGTGCTGGGATTACAGGTGTGAGCTACTGTGCCCGGCCAATCATTATTTCTTAAAGCAGCATAGTGCTGCCTTGTGAATATGTGCCATAGTTTCTTCAACTATGTACCTATGTGTAGGCATTTAAGTAGTTTCCAGTATCTTGCTATTGCAAATTGTGCTGCACAGAATACTGTTATATGTGGCCTTTTGTATTTTGGATATGTATTTTCAAGGTAAATTTCCTAGAAGTTGGACTGCTAGATTGAAGGGTAAATGCATACTGTATGTAGTTTTGTTAAATGTTGACGAAATCCCCTCCAAAAGAGCTTGTACCATTTTATATTCCATCAGCGATTCGGCATAACTTTTGGATCTGCAACAGCTAGGAGATTAAGTCTAATGGCTGGGCGTGGTGGCTCACACTTGTAATCCCAGCACTTTGGGAGGCCTAGGTGGGAGGTTCACTTGAGGTCAGGAGCTCAAGACCAGCCTGGCCAACATGGTGAAACCCCGTCTCTACCAAAAAATACAAAAATTAGCCAAGCATGGTGGTGCATGCCTGTTGTCCCAGCTACTAGGGAGGCTGAGGTGGGAGAATTGCTTGAACCTGGGAGGCAGAGGTTGCAGTGAGCTGAGATAGCTCCGCTGCCCTCTACCCTGGGTGACAGAGGGAGACTGTCTCAAAAAAAAAAAAAAAGATTAAATCTAACAAGTTAACAAGTCATGCAGTAACAAGTCACAGCCATGATTAACTCCCTGAAGGACCCCAACTCTTTGAGGTCTCCAATAAAGACCACACCAAACCAATATCCTCCTGGAACGGCCTGAGAGCACCTAGAAGTAGTTCAGGAATTATCCTACCTTGCCAGAATGTTGTAGATACCCAGAGGAAGAGTATTATTTGGAGAGTATTAATGGCAAGTCCTAAAACAACTAGCCAAAATTCAGGGTGAGCCAAACATGTATTATAAAGACAATTGAAAGGAATATTTGAAATTAGAACTATTCCAGAAAATCTGGACTGCCTAGGTTGGCCCCTTTGTCGGTAGAAACTTAATAAAAGTTTTTTCACCTGTTATCCATGGGTTTTAAAAAACCCTTTGTTTCTTGCCTGGTGGTCCTGATAAAAAGAAAAAAAAAATCAAAAAACCTTTGTCCTCGTGGTTATTTACATCTTAAAACAGGATTTGATGTTGCAGTTTGCCTAATTCTTCCCTGAAAACCAAAAGGATAGTTGCTGATCACTTCAGAAATGGCGTTATTCTTCAGCAAGGAACTTATGCTATGTATTTGAGCTTTTTGAAGCATACGTATATAAGTATGCATAGTATATTTATTTGTTCTTTTAGTACATTTACTCTTTAGTTAAATTTCCTTCACACAGCCAATCTGTGGGTTTCCTTTTTCCGCCAAGAAGATTGCTGTTACCAGTTTAGATCAATGGAGGGCCAAGAGAAAGGCCAGAGCAGTCTGAATTAGTAACAAAATCCAATTATTGCATATTTTACAAGAAATATGGAATAACTTTAACCGTTAAGAGACTTCTTTGTACACCTGCTGTTAGGAATAGTCCACAATAATTTCTTGTTATCACCATTTTCTATTTAATGGGTTCTTCTAGTCTAGAAAACAAAAAAATCCTTGTTTTTAAAATTTCTGTTACAAATTGGAAACCCTGACACGTTTTCAGTGGCTTCCTGCTCTTTGGTCCTGCTCTTGTACTTTTTGTGGCTATTATAACTGCAGCTGCCAAAAACGTTCAGTTAAATGGGAGATTAAAATACATTCCACAAAATTATTGAGGCTATTCTTCCTGGTGCTATAAGAAAAATTTATTGGAAATGTTGTTTATATGTAGGAAGCTGGTATGTTTCTGATTCTTCAGGTGACATTTTTCTAATTCTTAAAGTTCTTGAAAATACCTTATTTATATTATTTTTCTGTTTATACGGAAAAACTTTCTACATAAAAATTTTGGATATGAATTTTAATTTTGGATATGAATTTTAACTCAGATTCTATTTACTTTGGTTCACTTCAACAAACATTTATTCAGAGCCAGAAGCTGTTTTAGCAGATACAAAGATAAACAAACACAAATGATTAATTCATGTTATCTGAAATTATGGGTTTATTATATTCATTTTTTTAAAGAAGAAAATTAGATTCTTTGGGACAGCCCTAGATAGTAAATTTAATAACATTTATATTCTCTTTGTGTGAGTAGTTACTTGCTTTAGACACTTACAAAAATCTTAACTGGTAACAATTGCCAACTAGGTTTTTTTCCATTAATTAAAAGAAACTTTTTATATAGTGAAGGAAATGATCATCTTGATATATTCTACTATATTATTATTTGCTTTATACTTGTTTTTATTGAAATTATCTTTCTACTTTGCTTTTTGGGGAATATTGCCTTGTCAGACACAGTCTACTAATACCTAAGAATTATGATTGCAAACCTAGCTGTAGAATATTTTTACTTCCCTTTTGTGATATAGATTTATTTTTTAATATGACATATGATTCCAAAACTCAGAAATAAAATTTTTTGCTGCTAAAGTATACAGCATATTCTAGGTATCCTACAATGAATATCTGTATGGGGAGAGGAGAGAGACAGGAGAAGATAGTGGTCTTTAGCATTAGGAACTTATGTATTTTTAACTAAAATATTTATTAACATATGAAATGTTATGAGAACTATAAACTTGGAACTCCACTATCAGAAGCTTTACTATAATTTGTTAATTGAAGATAATTCTGATGAATTTTCCCTTTACCTTTTGCTTTCCCCTTTTTTCCCGCTGCTTCCTCTGAAGTCTCCTTCCAAATGGTTTTGGAAACTGGTTCCAGTAAGTTTGCTCAGCTACTTCAGTTTGCTCTCCAGAATTGTAATTGTAGAATGGTATTGTTTATGTCTTGCTGTTAAAGTCATTTCATGTAATTCTGTTAGTCATTGAATAGAGATTGGATTTTAAGGTCATGTAAAATGGAAAGATAAAAGATACAGCCAAGGTTTAGATCAGAAGTTCTAAAAATAATTTAAAGGGTAAACATCCTGTTGCTAATCTTGTCAGTATTCACAGACTATCAGTAAGTAGGTTAAAAAAAAAAAACTTATGGGCCAGGTGCGGTGGCTCACACCTGTAATCCCAGCACTTTGGGAGGCCAAGGTGGGCAGATCATGAGGTCAGGAGGTCGAGACCAGCCTGACCAACATGGAAAAACCCCATCTCTACTAAAAATACAAAATTAGCTGGGCGTGGTGGCGCATGCCTGTAATCCCAGCTACTCGGGAGGCTGAGGCAGGAGAATCGCTTGAACCAGGGAGGCAGAGGTTGCAGTGAGCCGAGATCGCGCCATTGCACTCCAGCCTGGGCAACAAGAGTGAAACCGTCTCAAAAACAAAAACAAAAACAAAAATCTTACTATGTAGCTTCTCATTAATTTAAATAATTTTAGTAAATATTAATTTGAATTGCATGAATAAATTGCCTGCATTTAAAAATCATCTTTGTGGCTGAGCATGGTGGCTCACGCTTATAATCCTAGTACTTTGAGAGGCCAAGGTGGGAGGACTGCTTGAGCCCAGGAGTTCAAGACCATCTTGGACAACATATTGAACCCCCATCTCTATTTTTAAAAAATTATCTTTTTGACAGACCTAGTTCCTTTTCAGCTTGAATTATAGATGACACTTCACTTTTTGTGTGATTAAGAAAGCAGAAGGTTTTCTGTGACCTCACCAGTAGCGGACCAAAACCATATTAAATTCTGATTTGACTTAAAGATTGATCTTTCAGATTTAAATATGGGGATGGGTGTGTTAAACCACTTAAGAACTATTTTACATCCTCGATAATAAAACTCTAATTTAGAAATATACCATAATGGCCGGGTGCGGTGGCTCACGCGCATAATCCCACACTTTGAGAGGCCAAGGCAGGTGGATCCTTTGATCCCAGGAGTTTGAGACCAGCCTGGGCAACTTGGCAAAACCTCATCTCTACAAAAAATAGAAAAATGAGGCAGGCATAATGGTACACATTTGTGGTTTCACCTACTCAAAAGGCTGAGGTGGGAGAATCACCTGAGACCAGGAGGTCGAGGCTGCAGTGAGCCATGATTGTGCCACTGCACTCCAGCCTGGGTAACAGAGTGAGACGCTATCTCCAAAAAAAATAATAATAATAAAATAAAAATAAAACAAACAACAAAAAAAAGGAGAAGAAAATAAATATACCATAATGTTGAAATATAAAAATATAGGGGGTTCTTTCTAAATGCCAAACTTCTTAGTTTGCAGAAAGAAAGGGCATGTTTCCATGCAATAAGTTTATAAAGCAAATAGCATGTTCAAGTACAAAAGACTCTTTCATGAACTGCGGATGAACCTTCTGAGTGCTGGACATAATCTCAAGATTTAAAGTTGGTTTACTTAATATATCTTCTAGAATACAATCTTTAGGAAAATGTTTTGGCATCCCATTCATAATTCTCTGTCTAGTCTAAACCATAGATACTTATTGCTAATGTCATATAAAGCTGTGTGTGTGTGTGTGTGTGTGCACGTGCACATACATGTGCCTGTTTGCACATACCTTGTACAAAAGTGCTACTTTGCAGGAGGGAGTAGAACAAATCACATAATTCAATTCTTTGTTGCATGACCCTGGGTGCTTGGCTTAGTCCAATTCAGGTCATAGGCTGAAAACAAACTACTAGTCCCAGCCCAATTTTGAGGATGTCCAAGAGGCAGACTGTTTTTATCCCAGATAACCAAAGAAAAGCATGTAAGGATCTGGAACAGATACTAATTGTGAGAACGGTAGCTTAAGCCTAGAAGATACCGCTGTACTGGTTGATTTCTTTTTTCTTTCTTCCTTCCTCTTCCCTCCCCATGGTTGATTTTAAGCTGTTTCTTAGCTGCAAAGTGAGGAATTTTCTAAGAATTATGTTAAAATCAGAATCAATTAAAGAATCCATATAGTACCTGCAAGTAATTTTTTTCTGAATATAGTTACCCCCTGAATTAGGGATGTACTCTTAAATACGGAGTCTATTATGCACTAATTAACAAGAACCTTCAGAAATCTTTAAGAGGAAAACATGTTCCATGAATTTTGTCCTTGGGTAGCCAGTGAGAGAAATCCAGGAATAAGTATCTCCTTCTTCATTAATGCTGATGCTTTTCTGAGAGATAGCATTGAAAAGAAATCTAACTTCACTACCAAATGTTGTGTTCTCTTTCAGTAAATTTTTATTTTTCTATTTTTATTCTCACAAAAGTGTTTTATCTTATAATTATATTTTAATTCTAAACTATAGAGATGACCAATTTAGATGGAATTAGAAGAAAAAATAGTTTGATAACCTTAAAAAAACTACCAGTAATTTATGTTATATATTTTGCTAGCAAAATACTTTCGTGTGTACATTCACTAAATCTTCAGCATTATTTTACTTGGCTTTAGAAGAGTTAACAGCTAATAATAGCTAACCTTTATTGATTGCTTGCTGTGTGCCCAGCAGGATGCATAGCACTTTGTGTCCATCATCTTACTTAATCTTCCAGTGGTTCTATGAAGTGGGTACTATTATTACGCCAGTTTACAGATGGGAAAATGAGAAATGAGAGTTTAAGTAACTTGTCCAAGATCACAAAACTAGTAAGTGGCAGAACCAGGATCTGAACCAGGATCTGAATTTGTTCTCTTAACTATTACAGCATGTCTCATTTTTTAGAGATCTATTTTTAAAAATTCTATCTAGCCACACCAAACAATCTTTAGGAAACAAAGGTTTCTTCTCTTTTTCTGAGGGGGAGCAAGAACCCGTATACTTGCTCAATTATTAATGAAATCTAAGTTGGAAGGGTTTTTTTTTTTTTCACTTTCAAAGTTGTTAACTATTTGTGTTTCCTCAACATTCAGATAATAACCCAGAATGTCTTGGTGATACTATTCCAGTTCCTCAAATTTCTTTTAAGAATAGTATATTCTTTTACCTTCCCCCTCATTTTGATAACTCTTTCTGCTTGAATAGTATTCTTGCTCTTCCCGTATAAGAATTTTCAGTTTAAATTAAGTCTGAATTAAAGTAGATGAATTTTATTATCTTCAAAAGAGCAGAACTGATTATTTGGATACAAAGTGTTCAAAATCTGTTTTGTGATGCTTTTATACTTAAATATTTAAGCCAAATGTCAGTTAGTGTAAATTAGCAGTATGTTATATTAAGTATTGAGCTTCAAAACTATAGCTATTGTTGCCGTGTATTTAACTTTGGTAATACCTAGCGTTATTTAGAAAAAAAGAAATATTGGTGAGTGGTCTCATTTCTCATGATTTATTTTATTACTGGTACATTAGAATTTACAGTACTGATTTTTTTCCTATGCGTTATTTGGTACTTATTTATTTTCATGTATTTTTTTTATATCGTAGGCTCGTTATCGGAAAGAGCAAACATTGCTTAAGCAACTGCCTTGCATTCCATTGGTAGAAAATTTGTTGAAGGATGGGACAGATGGCTGTGCATTAGCTGCCCTTATTCATTTTTACTGTCCTGATGTTGTCAGATTAGAGGGTAAGTGTTCCATTGTAATACTTCTGAACTGTAGACAGATAGTAACCAATATTTAAGACAGTATTATTTTGCACTCCAGCCTAGGTGACTGAGTGGGACCCTGTCTCAAAAAAAAGACAATATTATTTAATAAGTACTGAAGACTTTTTTTTAAAAATAAAGAACATTTATATATAATTCTGAGGGAGGTAGTTCAAAAAAAAATAGTGCTCGGTTTCTAAGTCTTAATGTATAATGACTACTATATTTATAAATGTATGTTTGTTAACCAGAATTGTGTATTTGTACTAATTACAAGATGGATATGAAATATTTATTATCAAATTAATCCAAAGTCACCACCTTGCTCTTTTCTTATTTGAAGATATTTGTTTGAAAGAAACTATGTCTTTGGCTGATAGCCTGTATAATCTGCAGCTGATTCAAGAATTTTGCCAAGAATACTTGAACCAGTGTTGCCATTTCACTCTGGAAGATATGCTCTATGCTGCTTCATCCATAAAGGTAAATTAAATTATTCTTTTTTTCCCTTTGCTTTGTTAAAATATGTTTTTTTAAAAAACAAACAAAAACACCGGGAACAGTGGCTCATGCCTGTAATCCCAGTACTTTGGGAGGACAAGGTGGGAGGATTGCTTAAGCCTGGGAGGTTGAGGCTTCAGTGAGCGATGATCGTGCCACTGCACTCCAGCCTGGGCAACAGAGCAAGACCCTGTCTCACAAAATAAATAAATAAAATTTTAAAAATAAAAAATAAACCATAGAACAAGATATATAAATGACCTAGCAACTTTAAGCTTATAGATTAACTATATTAGTCAAAAGAACTTTTGAAGAAAGTTTTTAATTTTTTTCTCCTTATTTTGTTTTTTAATATACTATAAGCTACAAGTTTCTTTTATAGTGCAAAGCCAAACTTAAAGTCATGTACAAAATTGGCCAGTTGTAGTGACTCGTGCCTGTAATCCCAGCACTTTGGGAGGAGGAGGTGGGCAGATAGCTTGAGCTCAGGAGTTCAAGACCAGACTGGGCAACATGGTGAAACCCCATCCCTACAATAAATACAAAAATTAGCTGGGAGTGGTGGCATGTGCCTGTGTTCCCAGCTACTCGAAGGCTGAGGTAGGAGGATTGCTTGAGTCTGGAAGGCAGAGGTTGCGGTGAGCTGAGATCGCGCCACTGCACCCTAGCCTGGGCAGCAGAGCCAGGCCCTGTCTCAAAAAAAGAAAAAAAAAAGTCATGTACAAAATTGATCTATTGTCTTAATGTTTGCAAAATAGAGAATAAGCCATTAAATGTTTCTTACAAATAGCAATGCTTACAAATAGTAAGATTCTTTATAAATAATGAAGCTTTCTTTTTCTTAAAGAATTTTTAATTTTTGAATTAAAAAATTAATTGAAAAGTAACATTATGTACTATTTAACTACCATTATGCATAAATATATGATATGTATAGTTAAATGATATGGTATCCTTGCGTATTTTTATGTGTACAATGAGTCATTGAGCATTAAATTGAAATTTAGTTTGTTTATTCTCACTAGATTATATATAATTGTTCTGTAGTTACCAGACTGTTTGAAATTTGTCACGTTTATTGTCCTTTGACTGTAGGCTAATGTATGCTGTCAGATTGTGTTAAAATAATAAAATTTCACATGGGTAGTATTATTTTCTTAATTTTAAGTTGAATATATTTTATTTACATTGATGTTAAATGTTAAAAATAATAATCATGGCTGAGCATGGTGGCTCACACCTGTAATCTCAGCACTTTGGGAGGCTGAGGTGGGCAGATCACTGAGGCGAGGAGTTCGAGACCAGCCTGGCCAACATGGTGAAACCTCACGTTTACTAAAAATACAAACACTAGCCAGGCGTAGTGGCACGCACCTATAATCCCAGCTACTTGGGAGGCTGAGGCAGGAGAATCACTTGAACCTGGGAGGCAGAGGTTGCAGTGAGCTGAGATGGCACCACTGCATTCCAGCCTGGGTGACAGAATAAGACTATGTCTCAAAAAAAAAAAATCATTATTATCATCATCACGAATAGATTTTTGAAAATCATTCCATTCCATTCCCAAGTTTGAAAATTAAGTTGTGTTATGAATACTGTTATTTTTAATACTTCAAGAATTATGTCTTATCCTCCAGATGTTATTTTAGTAATGTTAGTGTTGTACTTTATGTGAGTCAATAATATAAAGTCAATTCAGAAATCAGAAATGTTTTCTAGTTGAGTCATATTAATTTATGAAATACTGAACTACAATATAAAAACTTCAGGCCTGGTGCGGTGGCTCATGCCTATAATCCCAGCACTTTGGGAGGACAAGGCAGGAGGATCGCTTCAGTCCAGGAGTTTGAGACCGGCCTGGGCAACATAGTGAGACCTTTGTCTTTACAGAAAATAAAGTTAGCCAGGCGTGATGGCACACATGTGTAGTACCAGCTACTCAGGAGGTTGATATTGGAGGATTGCTTGAACCTAGGAGGCTGAGACTGCAGTGAGCCCTGATTGCATGACTGCACTCCAAACTTAGTGACAAACCAAGACCCTGTCACCAAAAACAAAACAAAAACCATAGGGGCTTTCTCTTTTAATTTTTAAAGGTTAAAAAAGAGTGTTTAAAATAGTAATTATTTGAAGTTCAAGATTTGCTGTTGTTAAAAACATGGTGGGAATCATATACATGCTATATAAACACAGGCAACCCCCATGTATGCAGTTTTAGTTCTGGTAAACCATTTGGAAGCAGACTGGGGAAACGAACTGGGTACACCTTTGCTTTTGAAGAATTTTAGGATTTGTTTGCAGCTACTCTAGGTTACCAAGTGTCACATGTGCATCATTAGAACAAAGCCCTAATTTAAGACACTGAAGAACTACAGAATGCAAGTGTGTAAAAGTTATTAAGATGAAAAGAAAGGAGCGTTAAACAAGTTTGTCAGCAAAATGTAAAATGGCAAAATTTGGAGATTATTATAACTTTTAGAACATTGCAGGACCCACACTAATGTTTGAAAAATATTTTAGCGAGAGACTATTATATGCTAGACACTGTACTGAGCCTGGGGATTTGGTCATTTATTCATTCATCGGCAGATATTTACTGAGTATCTCCATGTGCCAGACACTATTCTTAGCTTTGGAGGTAAAGCAGAGAACGAAATGGCAGGGTAAACTATAAAGCCAGTGGTAAAGACATTTCTAAAATAAGCCACTGCTCCTGCTGACCCAAAGTTGTACCCAGTCTCTTGTGTCTGACACATCAAAAAAAATTTTTTTCTAATTGATGTTGAAGGTTTACACCCTTGCCATTCATATCAGAATGAAAGGTAATATCATTTCCATATATATCTTGTAATGCTTTTTCTGGTATTTTCAGGTAATAACAGAAATATTAATTTCTGTTAGTACCAGAAAAGGCATCAACATGATATCTACATTGTCAGCTAAAAATTTAAATGCTACTTCTGTAATCTCAAAGGAAAAAAACTGTCTCACTAAATACATGGAGATATAAGATTGCATTTGTTTAAGTTGGTATACCTTGGACTTCCAATACATAATATACAGTCCTGATGTTTATATCAACTTTGTCTGGGTACGACCCATATAAAGATATTTTCTTAAATTAGGTATATTTAAACTATGATTTTCTACAGAAAGGGCTTTGGTCACTTTCTATGTTCTTTACTTATTACTACCACAGCTTTGACTTCATTTGAATCTTTTTTTTTTTAATTCAATCTTATTTTAAACTTTTAGCTTAAGCTCAAGGGTACATATGCAGGTTTGTTACATAGGTAAACTTGTGTCATGGGAGTTTGTGGTACAGATTTTTATTTCGTCACCCAGGTATTAACCTTAATACCCATCAGTTATTTCTCCTGATCCTCTCCCTCCTTTCACCTTCCACTCGTGGATAGTTTGCAGTTTCTGTTGTTCTCTTTCTGTCCCTGTGTTTTCGTCACATAAGTGAGAGCATGTGGTGTGTGGTTTTGTTTCTGCATTAGTTTGCTAAGGATAATGACCTCCAGCTCCATCTGTGTTCCTACAAAGGACATGATCTTGTTCTTTTTTATGGCTGCATAGTATTCCATAGTGTATATGTACCCCATTTTCTTTATCCAGTCTAGCGTCAATGGGCATTTAGGATGATTCCATGTCTTGGCTATTGTTAATAGTGCTGCAGTGAACATACACATGCATGTGTCTTTTTGGTGGAATGATTTATGTTCCTTTGGGATATACCCAGTAATGGGATTGCTGGGTTCAGTAGTATTTCTGTTTTTAGGTCTTTGAGGAATTACCACACTGTTTTCCACATTGGTTGAACTAGTTTACACTCCTACCAACAGTGTGTAAATGTTCCTTTTTCTCTGCAACTTTGTCAACACCTATTATTTTTTGACTTTTTAGTAAGAGCCATTCTAACCGGTGTGAGATGGTATCTCATTGTGGTTTTGATTTGCATTTCTCTAATGATCAGTGATATTGGGCTTTTTTTCATATGCTTGTTGGCCGCGTGTATGTCTATGTCTTTTGAAAAGTGTCTGTTCATGTCCTTTGCCCACTTCTTAATGAGATTATTTTTATCTTGTAAATATGTTTAAGTCCCTTATAGATGCTGGATATGAGACCTTGGTCAGATGCATAGTCCGAAAAATTTTCTCCCATTCTATAAGCTCTCTGTTCACACTGTTGATAGTTTCTTTTGCTGTGCAGAAGCTTTGTAGTTTAATTAGATCCTATTTGTCAATTTTTGCTTTTGTTGCAACTTCTTTTGGCACCTTTGTCATGAAATCTTTGCCCATTCCTATGTCCAGAATGGTACTGCCTAGATTTTCTTCCAGGGTTTTTATAGTTTTGGGTTTATATTTAATTCTTTAATCCATCTTGAGTTAATTTTTTTATATAGTGTAAGGAAAGTGTCTGTTTTCCATCTTCTGAGTATGGCTAGACCGTTATCCCAGCACCATTTGTTGAATAGGGAGTCCTTCCCCATTGTTTGCTTTGGTCAGCTTTTTCAAAGATCAGATGGTTGTAGATATGTGGCCTTATTTCTGGGCTCTCTGTTCTGTTCCATTTTTGTACCAGTACCATGCTGTTTTGGTTACTGTAGCCCTGTAATATAGTTTGCAGTCAGGTAACATGATGCCTCCTGCTTTGTTCTTTTTGCTTAAGATTGCCTTGGGTATTCAGGTTCTTTTTTGGTTCAATATGATTTTTAAAATAGTTTTTTTTAGTTCTATGAAGAATATCATTGGTAGTTTAATAAGAATAGCATTGAATCTATACATTGATTTGGGCAGTATGGCTATTTTAACAATATTGATTCTTCCTGTCCATGAGCATGGAATGTTTTTCCATTTGTTTGTATCATCTCTGATTTCTTTGAGCAGTGTATTGTAGTTCTCCTTGTAGAGATCTTTCACTTCCCTGGTTAGCTGTATTCCTAGGTATTTTATTCTTTTTGTGCCAGTTGTGAATGGGATTGCATTCCTGATTTGGCTCTTGGCTTAACTGTTGTTGGTGTATAGGAATGTTAGTGATTTTTGTACATTAATTTTGTATCCTGAGACTTTGCTGAAGTTGTTTATCAGCTTAAGGAGCTTTTGGGACAAGAGTATGTAGCCTTATGACCATCTTAACTAAAAGAAGGAAAGAAGAAGCTTTTAAATGAATTAATCTGGCATCATTCCTGAAATATGGTGACAGATTTATTGCTGTTTAATCGTCATGAACTCAGAAAGACATAATCTTCATAAGTTTTAATTACTGGGAAAATTATTTCTTACTCTACTGACATCTTGTGGCCAAATAGTACAATTAATGTTATTAGGATGGCTATCTTACCAAAGTCCTTAAAATATTAACTTATTTTCTGTTCAACAGATAATTATTGAGCACTTAAGCAGTATTTTTTCAAAATATAATCAGCTTTCAGTTAACTAGGCTAGTAAAATGGAACCTAGCACCAGTACTTAAAAACCAATTTTATACTTTGGCTTTAGAAAGTATACCATAAAGATAAGTATAAAGAAGAAATATAAATCACAATAATCTTACTAATCAGAAATATTGTGTCAATGTTTTGATGTTTTACTGACTGTTTTTTTTAGTACGTAGATTCATTCATTTGTACATTCATTTAATAAATATTTATTGAGCACCTATCATGTGCCAGACACTGTTTTAAACACTGAAGATATAATGATGAGCATAAACTTTGTCTTTTTAGACTTTATCATCTGGAGGGTAAGATGAGGAAACTTGGAGAATGTAGTAATAGATAAATCTGGGAAGAGAAAAAGGGACTGTACCAAGTAGCCTCTTGTAAGCCATAGTAAGATTCCCTTTACCTCAAGAGCAATGGAAAGAGAGTTGCATTTTGAAAAGTTTGTTTTCTTAGCAAGCCAAAGAAAAAGCTATTGTGTTCCAAACAAGGCAAAAATGTTTGAATCAGAGCAGTTATGATGGAGAGAAGTTGGTGAATTCCAGAAATATTTAGGATGCAAAATCTGCATGCTTTGGTGATGAATTGGACATGGGAGAAAGAAGGTGTCAAGGATGACTCCTAGGTTTCTGGTTTGCACACTGGGATAGTGGTGCCATTCAGTGAGATAAGGACTGCAGTAAGATCACATTTGTAGGGAAGGTCACTATTTCAATTTTGGACATAGGCCTTTGAGATATCCAAAAGAAAATGCTCGGTAGGCCACTGCATATATAAGTGCAGTCAGTACATTTGAGAATCATTTAGTAGCTGATGGACGTAGGCATGGCAGTGTTTCAAAGAGGGGCGAGATCAGGAATATCAAATGCAGCTGAGAGGTCAAGTAAGATGGGAAATCTGTTTGATTTAGCAACATATGTACATCATTGGTGACTTGAGCAGTTGCTGTTAGGGGAATGATGTGACTCAGTGCCAAGACTGAAGTAGATTAGAGAGTAAAAGTGATGAAATGGAAAATGTCAGTAGAGGCCTGCTCCTAAAAGAAGTTTGTGAAGAGGTAAAAAGATGGTGGGAATGAGGAGAAACTAGAGAATAGTTATTGAGTAAAGGTTTTGTTTCATTTATTTTGATGGGAGGGATTTGAGCATGTTTAAAAGCCAAATAGGAAGGATTCTGTTGACAGGGGAAGGATACATATGTAGGAGAGAAAAGTAGGATTAAGAATATAATGGCATTCACAGCAATTTGGATGGAATTGGAGACCATTATTCTAAGTGAAGTAACTCAGGAATGGAAAACCAAACATCATATGTTCTCACTCATAAGTGGGAGCTAAGCCATAAGGATGCAAAGGCATAAGAATGATACAGTGGACTTTGGGGACTCAGGGAAAAAAGCAGGAGGGAGGTGAGGGATAAAAGACCACACATTGGGTACAGTGTACACTGCTTGGGTGATGGGTGCACCAGAATCTCAGAAATTACTTAAAGAACTTATTCATGTAACCAAACACCACCTGTTCCCCTAAACACCTATTAAAATAAGAAATAAATTTTTTAAAACTGTAAAGTTTCTGAGAAGTCAAGCAGGGATGAGAGCCACTGCATAGCCTTTACGGATTATAAGCATTCTTATTACTTTTTTTAGTCACAAATTTTAATGGCTGCTTCAATTAGTATGTATCTGTATATCAACATTCTAAAATTCTGAGAATTTACAGTAAAAGCAAACATGAAGGTAAAGTAGAAACCTACCAAATGCTCTTCACCACTGTGCATTATCTTCTGTAATACTCCAGACTCTTACACTCAGCCACCTACAAGACAGGTCCACTTAAATGTCCAGTGAACATCTCAAACAATGACTCTAGATTCCTTTCATTACCTGTTTCTCCCAGTCCTTTCTATCTCACTATTAGTTGCTCGAGACAAAAACCTAAGAGTCATCACTCTTGATTCTTCTCTTTTCATCACTTTCTTTTTATTTTTTTTTAGAGACAGGGTCTCACTCTGTCACCCAGGCTGGAGTGCAGTGGCACAATCAGCCAAATCCTGGGCTCAAGCTGTATTCCTGCCCTAGCCTCCCAAGCAGCTAGGATGACAGGCACGTGCCACCATGCATAGCTAATTTTTAAAATTTTTATAGAGGCAAGCTATGTTGCCCAGGCTGGTCTCAACCTCCAGGCCTCAAGCAGTCCTTCCTCCTCAGCCTCCTCAAGCACTGGGATTACAGGCATGAGCCACTGCGCCCAGCCTCTTTTCTTCACTTTCTACATACACGATAGCCTTCCAGAACTATCAGATGAGAGATGATATTTGAAAGTCACCAACTTAAATATGAGAAAACCAAGAGAACGCATGAGTTCTAGTGGAGAGCATATAGAGTTTAAGGATTATTCATAATTAGCAAGTAGGAAGAAGGCAAGACATTAGAAAATAACCATATCCAGGATAATCTTAAAAACTTTAATATGAAATAAGACCTTATTAAACATTAATAAATTTGATAGTAACTATTTTATTAAATGCCAAACACCCAAAATTTAGAAAACATATTATTTTAAATAGTTATGAAAACAGATTTTGTAGTTTTTAAAAATTTACCGAATGCCTAAAATTGAAATAATTCTTCATGCTTACAGCTTTTATTTTATATGCATTTTAAAATATAAACTTGTAGTAGAAATGTGCTTTTGAGGACCCTTAATCCTTTCTCTTAATTTTAAGCCATTTAAAAAATTATTTACATTTTAAAATAGTAATAATAAAAGGTAACATTGTTGACTTATTGATAACTTTTCAAAGTTAGGTAGATACATTCATTGTATAAATAATGTTTTGTACATTTCAAAATTATTAAAAATTAGCTATAAAAATTTAGTTTTGGTGTTATTTAGCACCTGTATTACTGGTGAGTTTAACATTACTGAGCACATACATATAACTTTTTTTGTTTAAGACGGAGTCTTGCCCTGTCACCCAGGCTGGAGTGCAATGGCATGATCTTGGCTCACTGCAACCTCTGTGTCTTGGGTTCAAGCTATTCTCCTACCTCAGCCTCTCAAGTAGCTAGGATTACAGGCACGCGCCACCACACCCGGCTAGTTTTTTGTATCTTTAGTAGAGACGGGGTTTCACCTTGTTGGCCAGGCTGGTCTCAAACTCCTGACCTCGTGATCTGCCCACCTTGGCCTCCCAAAGTGCTGGGGTTACAGGCGTGAGTCACCACGCCCGGCCAAATAAAGTATTTTTTTAACACTACATCCAGTTACGTTTTGGAGAAATTTCTAGGGATCTGAGTAGAGCTTAGTTATGTTTTGAAAGTGATAACCCCTCTTTAGAGTGTCAGATGATTGAATAACTTTTTAAGTTGCTTATATTTACTTTGGAATGAAAGTGCCTTATATATTATCTCAGTGTTCTACACAGTTAGAGGTATTCATGCCTGCTAGATCAATTGGACCACCATTTTAGAACTATAGAGCAAATGATCAGCAAGAGGTTTTGAATAGTTATAATTTTTACCCACAAGAGTTAATATTCCATCCCATGTTTAATAGCCTACTATAGTGAATATACTCCAGTGATGAATGAATGAGATTTAAACCTATATTTTAAAACAATAAAATTCTGTTTATCATGAAGTTTTACCTAATGTAGGCTTTCTCTTAAATTTCCTATATAGAGTAATTATTTGGTGTTCATGGCGGAACTGTTCTGGTGGTTTGAAGTGGTGAAGCCGTCTTTTGTACAGCCTCGTGTTGTTCGTCCACAAGGAGGTAATCAATCTTTTTAATTTTAAATGTTCCTATGAACAGAAAAAAATGGAATGTTGATATAACCTTACCTGGTTACATTTTTAGAAATCAGCCTATTATTTTTTTTTTAGATTTCAGCTATTACACTTGATAGATTCTCCTAACCTCTTAAAATGGTTAGAGGAGAAGAAAAAGAAAATGGAGGGAATGGCTTTGAATTTGAAGTCTTATGATGTGGAACTTTTAGCTTTAACTGTCCATTTCTTTTCTTTGCATCTTTTATCGTTATCCCAGCTTTTATTCCCTTTTAGATTCTTAGTTTTTAACATTGTGTTACCCAGAATCCCCACAAATTATTGTTTGGCCTTAACCCGCAACTCGAATTTGCCATTAAACTATAAAAAGGTTTGTATGGATTTTTAAACCTAGTGGATTTTATGACTATTATATCATGAACTATTGATTGTACATAATAAGAATAAAATTAGTAAGAAATAAGGGGGTTACTGTAAAGACCCCTAGATATAAGGAACAAAAAATCTTCCTAAATTTTCTGTAAAGCAAAATTTCACATAGCAAAACCAATTTTCTCTTGGCTCCCATTATAAAACTAGAGGTTTATTTCTAGGCTGGGTGCGGTGGCTCACGCCTGTAATCCTAGCACTTTGAGAGGCCTAGGCGGGTGGATTACCTGAGGTCAGGAGTTTGAAACCAGGCTGGGCAACATGGTGAAACCCTGTCTCTACTAAAAATACAAAAATTAGCCGGGCATGTTGGTGCATGCCTGTAATTCCAGCTACTCGGGAGGCTGAGACAGTAGAGTTACTTGAACCCAGGAGGCAGAGGTTGCAGTGAGCGAGATTGCATCACTGCACTCCAGCCTGGGTGACAGAGATGAGACACCATCTCAAAAAAAAAAGAAAAAAAAAAAAAACTAGAGGTTTATTTCTATAGGGGGAAAAATGATCTTAAATTATAAGCTTAGCCCACTAAAGAACTTTCTTCCAGCATAACTTATGGAAACATTTCTGTCTGCTACCAATAGCTGCCCTACCCAACGCAACACATGATCATTGTGCATCCCAACTACTTAGCAGCTTTCCTTGGCTCCAAAGTTTGTTATTTTTGTAACTGCTACCGTTACCTGCACCTCCCCGCTAAACCCCCAAAAAATAAAAGAAGAGAAAGTGATCAGGAAGGAGGAAAAACATATGTAGCCAAAGGGGAGGCATAGTCTAGTGAGTACAATGAGGTTACTTCAGGCAGCCCACCGCATCTCAGGCAAAAATCTGTGAAATAAGCAATAATTAGAGTATTGCTAAGCTTCTTAAGGCAGATTCTGAATATCGAGTCACTATATAACATTATATAACTTCTTTACATGCCTATAAAAAAATTGAGATGCTCCCCTAAGTCCATTGAATGAAGTCAGATATTCTTAGTAATTTTCATAACCAATATTTGTATAATTTTTAAAAATTATTAACAGGGTTTTCACTACATTGCTTTCTGTGATTTCACCTGTGAAGCTCACTATTCAAAATACCAACAGCTGTTGCATCAGATCTCAAAGTCAAAAAGTAAATTGAGTCTTCCTCCAGAGTTACTTACAAAAATAAAAGTATACCAGCAGGTTTAATTATTTTCTAAAGAAATTCTGTTTTTCTCTAATTGACCAAAATACCAGCTGTTTCATAAAGAAGCAGAGCTGACCATATGTATCTGAAGTTCTATGAAAGCTTTCACAAAACTAAACGCTCAAACTTATTTTTGTTTTTTTTTTGTTTGTTTGTTTTTGTTTTGTTTTGTTTTGTTTTGTTTTTGAGATGGAGTCTCGCTCTGTTGCCCAGGCTGGAGTGCAGTGGCACAATCTCGGCTCACTGCAGGCTCCATCTCCCAGGTTCACGCCATTCTCCTGCCTCAGCCTCCTGAGTAGCTGGGACAACAGGCGCCTGCCACCACGCCCGGCTAATTTTTTGTATTTTTAGTAGAGGTGGGGTTTCACCATGTTAGCCAGGATGGTCTCAATCTCCTGACCTCGTGATCCACCGGCCTCAGCCTCCCAGAGTACTGGGATTACAGGCGTGAACCACCACACCCAGCCACTTATTTTTGTTTTAAATACATGTATTTATTTTATGTTAGGCTTTTTCCCCCTAATTATCCTTAATCAGATGAATTTTTTAATTTAAGAAATTTTTGGCTGGGCGTGGTGGCTTACGCCTGTAATCCCAGCACTTTGGGAGGTTGAGGCGGGCAGATCACAAGGTCAAGAGTTCGAGACCAGCCTGGCCAATATGGTGAAACCCTGTCTCTACTAAAAATTCAAAAATTAGCTGAGCGTGGTGGCGGGTGCCTGTAGTCCCAGCTGCTTGGGAGGCTGAGGCAGGAGAATTGCTTGAACCCAAGAGGTGGAGGTTGCAGTGAGCTGAGATCGCGCCATTGCACTCCAGCCTGGGTGACAGAGCGAGACTCCGTCTAAAAAAAAAGAAAGAAAATTTTTTTTAATTTTGAAATTAAGTCTGAATACTTCAAAAAGATCTTAAAGAAACTTGACCCTTTGAAAATTATTTAAGAAGAAAACTTTATGCTATGATTTCTCAATACGTAGAAAGGGAAATAGAAGTTAAATTTTGTTATAAATTTGCTTATGGTCCAGAATTTTTCATAGAAATATGCTAATTTGAGGGTGTTTTTAAAAATCTTTTATTCCAGCTGAACCTGTAAAAGATATGCCTTCAATTCCTGTCTTGAATGCTGCCAAAAGAAATGTCTTAGATAGTAGTTCTGACTTCCCTTCAAGGTAAACTCCACAATGACTTTATTTTCACCATTTCTATTCTATTTACTAATTAAATTACATAATATTATATTACATTAAATAAGGTTTTTAAGAATTTCAGTTGGATTTTGAACTGTTATAATTAGCTTACCCTATTAAAGCCTGTTTTAACTTAAATATAAATTGAAATATACACTGAAATGAATGTTTATGTACCACACTGAAAAGATGGGACAATATATTCTAAGTTCCCAATAACCAACCTAAAACCAAACTTTTGATGCATAACTTGTTCATAATTGAGAACTGTCTAATAGGTAACTCTTAGGCCTTGGAGGGAAATTTTGAAATTCTATTAGGACTTTTACATATTTTATTATTTTAAAAATCTTTGAAGGTTTTTCCTGCTTTTTTTTTTTCTTGTTAGGATAGCTATTGAGAGATCACAGTGTTACCCACACAACGGGTGGGTTTGGTCTCTTGGCAGATGACAGTCCAAAGCCACAACCAAGGAGGATTTAACAAGACGAGGATTTTATTACTTGCAGCAAGTAAGGAGGACACCGGGAATAATTCCCCAAAGCAGTGCCTCCTCAAGCAGAGGTGAAAATAGGGCTTTTAGTAGGCTGGTTAACTGTATCATTGTGTGTAGAGGTGGAGTAAAGGCAGTAAAGGCACAGTCATCAGTCATGCTTCTGCATACTGGCATGTATAGAAAATGCGGAATAAGCTCCTCCTTGGATGGGATTTTTAGTGTGGTAATGGTAATACATTTCCGTCTCAGGCATCTCTACATCCACCCAGCTTGTGTAGTTTTTGTTTTGTAATGTGGGGTTGGGCTGCTTCCTGGAAATTTCTCAAACAATAAAAATTTCAAGGTGCAACAGTTACAAGCAGGTACCTTTTCACAGTGTGTACCTGAAAACCCAAGGACCCTGGGTTACAACAATAGAATATTTATTACAATATTAAATCTTTAATGTTTTAGTACATAGTATTAGGAACTAAACTGAAAGCAAAGTAAAAATGTCCTATCATATTAATACCTAGATAATCCTGACTTCTCACCCAGGTATATGATAGGGACATTAGTTTGTTTAAAAATGTATTTCAGCAGCTCCTATAAGCAGCTTTTTATTTGAATCTATTAGAACCTACAATTTATATTGACTTTGGACTCCCTAATCTATCTGATTTTTTACGTTAAAACTAATGTCTTTTGTGGGTTTTTGGAAATTCAGACACATTAAAAATACATTTCAAAAATTATGAGTAAAACATTCAAAGTAATTTCTGTATGAATTCTTGGCTTAACACAAAAATATGAAATTTAGCAGGCATGGTGGGTCAATAGTGACATTTCCTTCCTTGAAGATTTAGAAAACACTCAGTGTTCTAGGTCATCACTCTTGCTCTATTAAATCTTTAAATTCCACTTTCAAAGTGGAGGAAAGTAAAGCTTTCCACTCAAAGATTAGATTATTCCATAATTATTCTAGGAACCTAAATGGACAGTCTCCCACATTTCTGAAAAATGTTTTAATTCATGTCCTCTGGAAAACTCATCTCTTTTCTGTCTCTCAGACATCTCAGCAGCTCATTTTTCCTATTTTTCCCAGCAGAAACTCTTTTTATAATGCAGATGGATGTCTACATTCTTTTCCTTGAAAAGTTATTGTGTAGCCATTATTCTAGGCTATTCTGAGTTCCTAGTCATCCTCTCATTTCTATAAGTCTCCATATGGTCCATTGTAGTTCTCCAACACTGTGGAACTTTTGAGAAAGAATTGAAGTATTTTTACCCTTCCTGGGAATAATGTAGCCACATCTCAAATGTTAGTGAACCTAAATAATGATTTTATGAGAAAGAAAAAAACAAAGGACGAAGACAGACAAAGCAAAAGATGTTTTCAGCAGCTACTCCACACACTTGGCTACCAGCTGTTGGAGATATACAAACAGGTCCGTGAGCAGAGAGGCTGTCAAGGTATTTTACTAGGGTTTATTATACCTATAGTTTTTAGAGATTAGATTTGACCAAAGTATTTCAAATTGGTGAGTTTCATTTTACTTTTTTATATATCAGTTTTTATGTTTATAAAAATGAAAATAATTCATATCTCACAAAGACATTGAGATGTATATGAAAGTACTTCAAGTTGTTTGGCTAAAAGACATAAAATATATATAGATACATACTGTAATCACAGCCATTCTTTGGTTTAAACAATATGTTTCCATATTTTTAAAATTTAGGTTGTAGAATGAGAGGTGGTAGTGTTGTTTCTAACTTAAGACATTCTACCTAAATTTATATTAAACAGCTAAAATATAACATTTTAAATTTATTTTCCATTGCAGTGGGGAAGGAGCTACATTTACACAGTCTCATCATCATTTGCCTTCTAGGTATTCACGTCCCCAGGCTCATTCTTCAGCCTCAGGTAATATATTTGAAAAAGCCTAGGAAAATACTCTTTTAAGTAGGTTACCTGGGAAATGATTGACAGTAAATATAAATAAACAAATATCCAGGGTTTTTTTGTGTGTGTGTGTGTGTGTTTTTTTGTTTGTTTGTTTGTTTTCTGAAAAATGGCTATTATAACACACTAAAAGCATGGTCAGTTTCACTGTGGTTGCTTTTCTTGATAAAATTATCTCTAATTCTCCTTATGTACCTATTTAATTTGTATTGCTATTAATGAATCCTCAAATACATGAAATCTCCTAAGTTGCTATAAGTTAATTTTTTTACATGATTTCAATGGCTTTTTCTTTTTTGCATTTGAAGGAGGAATTAGAAGGTCTTCATCTATGTCTTATGTTGATGGCTTCATAGGGACATGGCCCAAAGAGAAAAGGTAAACAAAGAGAATTACTTTTAGTGTATTCAGATTATTAAGAAATGCAAATTGCATCTGTGTCTCTCTTTTATTGATAACCAAATTGCTAAAACTTTTAATTAGTTCCTAAATTTGAAAAAGGCAGTATAGGCAGATGATAGAGATGTAAAAGAGGCTAACTTTAAAAAGTAGCTAGATAGCCCTCCCCTTACCTTGAAGACAGTATGATTATGAGAACTGGGGAAAGAAAGGAAATGTAATTTCAAATAATTCTTGTTAAATGATACTAAAAATCATTTCTAGGATTTTTAAAGGATTTTTCTCTTTAACTTTTTTTTAGATCATCAGTGCAT
The DNA here is from genome assembly GCF_000001405.40 of Homo sapiens. Lineage (NCBI taxonomy): Eukaryota > Metazoa > Chordata > Mammalia > Primates > Hominidae > Homo > Homo sapiens. The sequence continues at coordinate 200,848,045 of NC_000001.11, forward strand.
GGCGTATCATTTGATATTTCTTTTGATAAAGAAGATAGTGTACAGAGATCCACTCCAAACCGAGGAATCACTCGTTCTATTAGTAATGAAGGACTTACTCTGAACAACAGTCATGTATCTAAACACATTAGGAAAAATTTGTCCTTCAAGCCAATAAATGGAGAAGAGGAAGCAGAGAGCATTGAAGAAGAACTTAATATAGATTCTCACAGTGACCTCAAATCTTGTGTGCCCCTTAACACAAATGAACTAAATTCTAATGAGAATATTCATTACAAGCTTCCAAATGGAGCTTTACAAAATAGAATACTTCTTGACGAGTTTGGCAATCAGATCGAGACACCAAGCATTGAAGAAGCATTACAAATAATTCATGATACTGAAAAATCTCCTCATACACCTCAGCCAGACCAAATTGCTAATGGCTTCTTTCTTCATAGTCAAGAAATGAGTATCTTAAATTCAAATATCAAGTTAAATCAATCTAGTCCTGATAATGTAACTGATACGAAAGGTGCCTTGAGTCCCATAACTGACAATACTGAAGTAGACACTGGAATTCACGTTCCTTCAGAAGATATTCCTGAAACTATGGACGAAGATTCTTCGTTGAGAGATTATACTGTAAGCTTGGACTCTGACATGGATGATGCATCTAAATTTCTTCAGGATTATGATATTCGAACTGGCAACACCAGGGAAGCTTTGAGTCCTTGTCCAAGTACTGTAAGTACCAAGTCTCAGCCAGGCAGCAGTGCTTCTTCTAGTTCTGGAGTTAAAATGACCAGCTTTGCTGAACAAAAATTCAGGAAACTGAATCATACCGATGGAAAAAGTAGTGGAAGCAGTTCTCAAAAAACTACACCAGAAGGCTCTGAACTTAATATTCCTCATGTGGTTGCTTGGGCACAAATTCCAGAAGAAACAGGGCTTCCACAGGGACGGGACACTACCCAGCTGTTGGCCTCTGAAATGGTGCATCTTAGGATGAAACTAGAAGAAAAGAGGCGTGCTATAGAAGCCCAGAAAAAGAAAATGGAAGCTGCTTTTACCAAACAGAGACAGAAAATGGGAAGGACAGCATTCCTTACTGTAGTGAAAAAGAAAGGGGATGGGATATCTCCTCTACGAGAGGAAGCGGCGGGTGCAGAAGATGAGAAAGTATATACTGATCGAGCAAAAGAAAAGGAATCACAAAAAACTGATGGACAAAGGAGCAAGTCACTGGCAGATATAAAAGAGAGCATGGAGAATCCTCAAGCCAAATGGCTAAAGTCTCCAACTACACCTATTGATCCTGAGAAGCAGTGGAACCTGGCAAGCCCCTCAGAAGAAACTTTAAATGAAGGAGAGATTTTAGAATATACCAAATCCATTGAAAAGTTAAATTCATCCCTGCATTTTCTACAACAAGAAATGCAACGCTTGTCACTTCAGCAGGAGATGTTAATGCAGATGAGAGAGCAACAATCTTGGGTGATTTCACCTCCACAACCCTCTCCACAGAAACAGATTCGAGATTTTAAGCCTTCTAAGCAGGCAGGCCTGTCATCAGCCATTGCACCATTCTCCTCAGACTCCCCTCGTCCTACTCACCCATCTCCACAGTCTTCTAACAGGAAAAGTGCATCTTTTTCTGTTAAAAGTCAAAGGACTCCTAGGCCAAATGAGTTAAAAATAACACCTTTGAATCGAACCTTGACACCTCCTCGGTCTGTGGATAGCCTTCCTCGGTTAAGGAGGTTTTCACCAAGTCAAGTTCCTATTCAAACTAGGTCATTTGTATGTTTTGGGGATGATGGAGAACCTCAGTTAAAGGAATCCAAACCTAAAGAGGAAGTTAAAAAGGAGGAATTGGAATCCAAAGGGACTTTGGAACAGCGTGGACATAATCCAGAAGAAAAGGAAATCAAACCTTTTGAGTCAACAGTCTCTGAAGTCCTATCACTGCCTGTCACAGAGACTGTATGTCTGACACCAAATGAGGACCAATTGAATCAACCCACAGAACCCCCTCCTAAACCCGTTTTCCCACCCACTGCTCCAAAAAATGTTAATCTGATTGAAGTTTCCCTCTCAGATTTGAAACCCCCTGAAAAGGCTGATGTACCTGTTGAAAAATATGATGGAGAAAGTGATAAAGAACAATTTGATGATGACCAGAAAGTATGCTGTGGATTCTTTTTTAAGGTGTAGTATTAATCTGCATAGTTTTGGGCATCTTCATTAGATGAGTGTGGTTGTGTTGGATATTTTTTTTTTCAGTTGACATGCTTGCTTCTTTCAGTAGCAGTCCCTTTTGATACAAGTTCATCCCCATTAACTATAGTAACATTCAAGCACACTGTGGTTTCCAGTATGGACTCAAAGCTGTAATAAATCCTTTTATCACATGTTTAGATGTATTCCTTGGTTTTGCTCCTCTACTGCTCTTTCTCACTCACAAAAGCCTTTTAAAAATTAAGCTACTCAGATCTCTTCAGAGAATGATTCCATTTTGTCTCTTAATCATGTAACACTGCCATTTTTTTTAACAGAATGCTACTGTAGACACTAATAGATATTAAAATTTACTGCCTAGAGACTCTGTTCCTTGCAGAGGAAGGGAAACAAAGGGGAAGAAAATCATTAGTATAAAACAGGCAGTACCTCTGTTGCTTCATTTCTATTCCATTTATTTACACATCTTCACCACCCCATTACTCATCTGTTGGACTATGGTTACAGCTTCTTGACTGGGCTGTCTGTCTCCAATCATGCCATTCCAGTCTTCATACTGCTACTAAAGGTGATAGTTCCAAGAGCATAGCTCCAATTGAGTCTCTTTCTAGTCAAAAATCTTGCCTGTTGAATAAAGTTCAAACCCTTTAGCACAACATTCAGGGACTTTCACAGATGAACCTAAATCTTTTTGTCTAGCTTCTTCCCCATAATTTTATTTTGTATTGTTCTTTAAGATTAACTTCAAGCTTCATCTAAAGCCTTTTATAATTCCTTCAGTCGAGGTCAAATGTTTCATCATTTGTGTATCTATTGTATCCTTAAATATACTCATACCTGTCCTGTGTCCCGGAGTTTTCAACTGTTTTGTATGATTTGCTTTGTCTCTTAGACCATGACCTCCTAGAGGTGCTGCATCTTTTTATTTTTATTTATTTATTTATTTATTTTTTGAGACAGAGCTTCGCTCTTGTTGCCCAGGCTGGAGTACAATGGCGCAATCTCGGCTTACCACAACCTCCGCCTCCTGGGTTCAGGCGATTCTCCTGCCACAGCCTCCCTAGTAGCTGGTATTACAGGCATGCACCACAAAATAAATTTTGTATTTTTAGTAGAGATGGGGTTTCTCCACGTTGGTCAGGCTGGTCTCGAACTCCCAACCTCAGGTGATCTACCCGCCTCAGCCTCCCAAAGTGCTGGGATTACAGGCATGAGCCCCCGTGCCCAGCCAAGGTACTGCATCTTTTTATCCCCATAGCATAATAAAGTGTCTGGCAAACTACAATATATGTAATTTGATAGATGAAGACATATGAATGTTTGAACTAATTGCTTGAATGGTATCTTCTGACTTTCTCCATTCAGAGTTAAATCTCTCTCTGGGTTTCCATACAAAGCCTGTTGTTTGTACCTCTTCTCCTTGTGATTTTTTAGGCTCCTTGACCTGAGGTACCATATATTTTAATATATGTAATATCTGACACTATGTTGTGAGTATGTTAGACACCAAAGAAATGTTTATTGAATTAAGCATTGGCAGGGACAGTTGACAAGGAGACATTAAGACAGTGAACCACTTCTACAACAGCTTGTTACTTTGCTGAATTCTGAAGCATTTTGGAAGCCCGCTGAGAACTAGGGCTGTCCCTAAGGATTCAGGTAGAAACTAGGGCAGGCCCAGGAGGCCTATAGATAATGAACTAGCTCTCAAATTAAAAGTACTGTAGAAGGGAAGTATAATCATCCCCATCTTTTCTTCAATGGAAAAATGTTCATTATAGTTCAGAACCTATCAAGCAGACTGTCAGTACCTCAACTTAAAATCATGCAGCAATAGTTTCATTTATGTGCTACAACATTGGGTGGCTAATTTTGGGATGTTTTTACTTGAGGTATTTTTACTGAGCTTATATTTTAAATAAAATTTAAATGCAATTTTAAAAATTGGTGGGGGAACTACCTACTGTAAGTTATTAAATTAGGGTTAAAAAAAATTTGTGCTTTTTTGTTTTGTTTTTATGGTTGTTCTTTGCAAATCTCATAGGTTTTGACAGAGTGTAATTAAATAAGTTTGCCTGTCCTCTTTTTTGATGGAACTGTTACCACTGTAGTTCCGTTCTTCCTTCATAATTTCTCAACCACACCCACATTCAGAAGGGTTGTAATAGTTCAAACTTTCAGTTATAGGACTAACCACAAAATGTGACTACAACAATTGAAAATGAGAATATTGGTACCTAAAATGTTTGATCGTTTTCAATGAAATTCGTTCTTAGGATGATCAAAAAGCAGAAAATGATATGGCAATGAAACGGGCAGCTTTGTTGGAGAAAAGATTAAGAAGGGAAAAGGAAACTCAGCTCCGGAAACAACAGTTGGAAGCAGAAATGGAGCATAAGAAGGAGGAAACAAGGTAAAGGAAATTGCTGGCCCAGTGCTAGATCTGAACTTTAATGATGCATGGGCATATTTAGAAAAAGTTGGTAAGTACTCAAAGAGGTGGTCTCTCATTAATTTTTATTAACAGATTTCTTTCAGAGAAGTTTGTAGTATAGATAGACAGCTGGATCAATGCTATTTTTTGGTGCTTTGTAGAAATCAATTTATTTTCCCAAAGTATTGCCTAATTTTATATTTTTATCTTAAGTTTAAGGCATCTCATGGGAAAGTTCTCTAGAAACATTAATTTAAATAATTATATGTTTAAAAAACATTAAAATAACTTTCCTGGGAGATACACACACACACACACACACACACACACACGACCTAAATTATCTCAAATACCTTTATTTTTATTTATTTATTTGACTCTTCCTTCCCTCCTTTATTTACTTATTTATGCTTAATCCCATGTCTCAGCAGAATCGTCAAGTACCTTTTAAATGAACCATTTATTCACCAAGGTGATGAAATAGAATTCTCCTTTCTCATATCAAATACATAACTCTCTCCTGTATGGTTTGTCTTTGGTATGCAGAATAAGAACTGTAACCATTTGATTTCTTAGGCGTAAAACTGAGGAAGAACGTCAGAAGAAAGAAGATGAGAGAGCACGCAGAGAATTTATTAGGCAAGAATATATGAGGCGGAAACAACTGAAACTAATGGAAGATATGGATACAGTAATTAAACCCCGTCCTCAAGTAGTAAAACAAAAAAAACAGCGACCAAAATCTATTCACAGAGATCATATTGAATCCCCCAAAACACCAATAAAGGGTCCTCCAGGTAACATAGCTTATTATGAAGAGTCTGTTCATAAAAAACACCAGCTTGATTGGTTTGTCATACTAACTTGGTTGTACTTTGATGTGCAAAATTGGATACACAGTTTGAGATTGTGCATGCTCCCTTTTGGAAAACCAAAATGAGCAAATGAAGTTTTTAATAAATTAAATGTATTATGTGTGCATGCATATATTCAGTAGAACAAATGTGAATGCTAAAAATCAAATCTAAATATTAATCTATTAGGGAACTGTGCCCTCAGATATAATCTCCTTGAACTATTAACTGCCCTTTACATACTTATAAATTTAAATAAATGTTATATGCATGAAATGTACAAGAAACATGTTGGTATAATAAGGAATGCAAGATCAAGAGTTCACAAGTCCCTCCTTCAAGATAGAAATGGTTGAAAATCCAAACTTATAATATCTGGAGTTGAGAGAATATATTTTCTTTAAAAGTCAGTATACATACTCATTATTACTATTATTATTTTTTGAAACGGGGTCTCAGTCTGTTGCCCAGGCTAGAGTGCAGTGGTGTGATCATGGCTCACTGCAGCCTCCACCTCCCTGGGTTCAGGTGATCCTCCCACCTCAGCCTCCTGGGTAGTTGGGACTACAGGTGAGTGCCACCATACCCAGCTAACTTTTTTGTATTTTTTGTACAGATGGGGTTTCTTCATGTTGTTCAGGCTGGTCTCGAACTCTTGGGCTCAAGTAATCTGCCTGCCTTGGCCTCCCAAAGTGTTAGGATTACAGGTGTGAGTCACTGCGCCTGGCCATACTCTTATTTTTAAAAAAATCTTGGGGGGCAGGGATAAATTCGTAAAAATAAAAGAAATCTTTATTAAAACCAAATGCCATGGAAATTTTTTAGAGAATTCTCATAGTTATACTAAACCTGAGGAAAAATAACATAATATTGACTGTTTAAAGAGAACTCTGTTTTCAAGCCTGTAAAACTAATTGATATAATTTTCTACCTAGAATTTAGATATTATGAAATTTTTTTTTGTTATTGTTTTTTTCTTTAGGATCACAGTATCACGTCTCATATTAACACTTTCCTTTTGGAACGCAAGTTAGTTTTATCATTGTTTCCTAAAAGTAGGTTCCTTGCTAATTTTAAATAAATTGTGTATATATGCATGCAAGCATATTATGTGTTTAAAAGTACAGAGAAAAGGAAAAGAAACTACAGAAGCTCAATTTTTATATGCTGGTGTTATCTAATGAACAGACTCTTTGCTAGTTGCTCCTTTTAAATTTCTGATTTTGTTTTTATTCAGGATCATGAATTTATCGTGTTTTTTCAGTCTCTAGCCTTTCTTTGGCATCGCTGAACACGGGTGATAACGAGAGTGTACATTCAGGCAAGAGGACGCCAAGGTAAATCTATAACGTATGAATATTTTTACAGAAAAGAATATAGTACCTGCAATTATACAAACTCTAAGTAAAAATTCTTCAGTGTTTTTACATTTTATAATGACCAAATCATAATCACAAATTTTACTAAGTTTTGCTGACTTAGGACTGTTAGAGTTTCTGTTAAAATAAATTATGTAAAGAGGTGTCTATTCATCTTTCAGTGCTTGTCTTTTAGAATTTAGAATTATTGACATTGATAACATACTTTTTATAAGCTATGAAACATTAACAGTAATTATACATCAGTAATTGCTAACATGATTATTAAATCACAGTCAGTAGAATGAGAGTACCAACTTCTCTAGTCTATTACCAACTAAGACAAAGGAGTTTTCCCCATTAGAATAATTCCAAAGTGGGTTGCCTATGACTTAGGAAGGATCTCTTTTGTATTTTCTTTCTCTAGGATTCTTTCTCTAGATTAGAAGCTAAAAGTCAGTATTTTATTACTTTATACTATAATATCATATCAGAAAAGAACATTTCTAGTGACAGTCATCATCTTAGAGTTCTTATCTTTGTATTACCATCCTTTGTGTTATTTGCCAGTTTTCACATTGAAAAACATTCACTCTTTCAACAGATATTTATAGAATGCTTACTATGTTCTAGGAACTTGGATGTGTAGCTGCGAATAAGACAAACAATGTTATATTATTTTTTATTATTAATTTTTTTTTTTTGAGACGGAGTCTTTCTCCATTGCCCAGGCTAGAGTGCAGTGACACGATCTCGGCTCACTGCAACCCCTGCCTCCTGGCTTCAAGTGATTCTTCTGCCTCAGCCTCCTGAGTAGCTGGGATTACAGGCGCGTACCACCATGCCCAGCTAATTTTTGTATTTTTGGTAGAGACGGGCTTTCACCATATTGGCCAGGCTGATCTCGAACTTCTGACCTTGTGATCTACCTGCCTCGGCCTCCCAAAGTGCTGGGATTACAGGCATGAGCCACCGCGCCCGGCCTTATCATATTATTTTTAGGCCTTTAGGTTGATTTTGATTGTTACTTTCACGTATACCCTCTGGGCCCCATTTTTTCTCTGTTTGAGACATAAAACATATTTTATTTTCTAATTAGATCAGAGTCTGTAGAAGGCTTCTTATCTCCAAGTCGTTGTGGCAGTCGAAATGGAGAAAAAGACTGGGAGAATGCATCAACAACTTCTTCAGTGGCTTCTGGAACAGAATATACAGGTTAGTGTCTATACATTTTTAGAGAAACATTTGAATTTAACACACTCATAAATGGAGGGTGTACTAAAGAAAATTTTATTGGCTCACCTTTGGGTCTTAAACATAGGCAACTAATAAACAGTGAATGCAGGTGGTCACTTTCAGGTAGTTCAGTAAGTTTCTAAACAAAATTAGTGATGCTACTTATATCTCATCCCTCTAACCAATGCTGGCCATTTCTGTGTGTAGTTTGGGTCCGAAGAAGTTTTAGAGAAGTTCTACATAGTTCCTCAGTACTGAGTAAAGGCTAGAATCCACCAAGTCCTCTCCCTAATACTGGGATTCCAGGTATCCAGAATTGTGCACCTTTAGCAAGTATTAAGAGGCTCTAAAAGATAAGAATGCATTGAATCTAGGAAGGTATCTAGCCTCACATATCGCCACCAAGTCCTCTTCTAGCTTCTAGGTAGGCATGATTGGAATAAAAGCAATGAAGAATAGAATGTGGGTTAAGGACACTTCTAAATAAATGAAGCAGGAGAGAAATCAGAAGAAATGTCAGCAGCACGTTGAGAGGTAAGATAGGAAGGCATGGGAGAACATGTATGGGGAAGAGCAGAGGGAAAAGGAGATGCCTCCATCTATCCATGATAGAGTGGAAGTGGAAACCCTAGAAAGGCCTAAGGAGGTTAGAACTTGCTAGAGACCCACTCTGTGGCTTTTAATACTACCTCCTACCGCCAGTCTGACAGCCTTTAAGGCCTGGGATTTGACAGTATTTCCATGTTACTCACTCTGCTTCTCTATGTTAGTTCAGTTGAACAATCTGAAAAAGAAAGCTTTTTTTTGCCTTTTGAAAAGACTTAAATTACTCATGGACCCATTCTACTCTAAGCTAACCAGTAACCGTATAGATTTAAGAAAGAAGGTTAAATAGGCAGTATGACAGTTATAGCAATATTTTATTTTTAGTACTGCTCTCACAGGGTACTCCAAAAGGCCATAGGAACATCCTCCATATCTCTGGGTGGATAAAACAATGTTTTGGTTGGATTGCAGCCAGTAAGAGGCCTTTAAGCACAGAATTTGGTCTTCTATTACAATATTTCAGCAGTGTAGGAACAATTACATCATTTTAAAATAGTAGTATTTCTGACTTAGGAATGTTATTTTTATTATTGTTGTTAAATCCCTACCATAGGACCAAAGCTCTACAAAGAACCCAGTGCAAAATCCAATAAGCACATAATACAAAATGCTTTAGCTCATTGCTGTTTGGCTGGAAAAGTAAATGAAGGTCAGAAGAAAAAAATACTGGAGGTAAGCATGTTTGCATGAAAATTAAATTTGGCAAACTGTAGAAGTCTTTTATCCATTCAAGAGAATGTACTCTCATGGGCCTAGACTTTCAACAGCATGTAAAAAGATCTGTAGCTAGATGTTTTAATTATCAGATTTAGTTTATTTTCACATTAGGTTCTGGAAGCCTGCAGATTTTATTAAAGACTAGCAATAGGCTTTAAGATTTGTCATTGAAATAATGTTATAAAATGTGACTAAGAAACGTAACATAATTATATAAACTTTATTCAGCAAAATAAAGGGTTTTTATTCGTGTTGTTATGTTGTTTTTGTTTTTTATTTTAAAGGAAATGGAGAAATCAGATGCCAACAACTTCTTAATCTTGTTCCGGGATTCAGGATGCCAGTTCAGATCTTTATACACTTATTGCCCAGAAACTGAAGAAATCAATAAACTGACTGGGATAGGCCCTAAATCTATCACTAAAAAAATGATTGAAGGACTTTACAAATATAATTCTGACAGGAAACAGTTTAGCCACATACCCGCTAAAACTTTATCTGCCAGTGTTGATGCAATTACCATTCATAGCCATTTATGGCAGACCAAAAGACCAGTAACACCCAAAAAACTTTTACCCACTAAGGCATAGAAGTTGGGAAATACTTGCTTCAGAACATTCATGGTAAATTTGCACTTCATCTTTCCTGCCTATAGAAAATCTTTCTAATTGCCAACAAGACTTTTATTAATTAAAACTGGACATTAAGCTCTGTTGTCATGAACAACTGGAATGTAAACCACAGTATTTTGGAGTGCAGAACATTCTCAATTAAGTGATAAGTCCAAATGATGAAGGAAATGTTTTAATTCACAAATGGAGATTTGTATGTGTTATCAGGTTCACCTGCTTGATATTAGATACATTAAAGCACTGAATTTTCATGGATATTAGTTGGATTTATCATTGAAATATGGTTAAGATTACAAATTATGTGTTTTATTTGTTGCTTTTTTTTAACCTTTTAATGTATATTCTTGTCTTCAGATGGTTTGCTATTTTTCTCTCCTGGGGGTTTATTCTAAGATACCTTTGTATTTTATTTCATGTGGAGATCATGAAAGTAGGAAATATACCTTTAGAAGTAACTCGCACCTTTCTTATGATGTTAAGAGAAACACTAGTGTTTAGTTTTACAGTAACCCTCATATTTTAATGGTGTTACAGCATTTGCAAAAATTATTCTGCTAAGTATTTACAACTCTATTTATTATTCACTCAAGTATTAACATTCTCTATTAAATAAGAGGAGGTGTTGTAAAGAGCTGCTAGTAGGTTCGCTTTAAACCACATGAGCTTAACCAAGAATATGTTATGAGAAGTTGCTGATTAAATCAGTGCTGTTTTTACACCACTTCTGGCCAACTCAGAATAATTTAGATTGTTCTTTTAACAAAAAAGGCTTTCTATCTCTTTTAAAGTAAGTCACTTTATAAGTTGGCAGAAGTGAATGACACTTTGAGAGTAGTCTTTCAATCTGAAGATGTAAGACTTCCTGAAACAAGTTCTCAAGAAGTCTTTACATTATATTTATAACTCATATAAAAATTATATTTAGAATTTTTAAACATGTACAAAGGGCTACATTTTAATTTTAAAATAGCTTCACATTATTTTACTTATATTGGGTTTTTCTTCATTTTAATCCTTTTCAAGTGGAATGGCTTAGAATAAGTATACACTTGAAATCTCCTCTACATGATCTTTGTTCTTTAACAGTGTATACCAGAGGGTTAGTTGGGGAAAAACTTCATTCTCAGGAAAAGACTTGAATGATTATGTGACCCTGTTATATTTCAGTGTTGTGACAAATGTGTAAACTAGCGGGGGAAGACAGTATTGTATCATAAATGAGATGCGTAGTTTGTTTTCTTTCATGGGAAGTAGAGATAAAAATATATACATTTCTCTAATTGAGTTGTTTAGAGAAAGAACTAATGTCTCATATGATGTATTTACTTATTTTAAAAAAAAGAATAGGAATGAGATGTCCCTGAGCTGTACTTTTCTATTATTATAAGGCCTTTAGGCATCAGTGCATCTGGGTTATCAACATTTTCTCAAATGCTGTCAATATTTTACTGTAATTTATGTTCTTATATTTATGTATATTTGTTAAAACTGTAAAAAAATTTCACAGATTTTTTTCCAATACCTGTGCAAGATACATGTGTAGCTCAAAACTATTTGTGATCTACTGTTTGCATGTAAGAGACCAGGATATGTAACTCTTATATTTTAAGTGTATACATATTGTGTATATAACATATGGATATTAAAAATGGGGAATTGCACATTTTACCTTTTGGACAGTAATTTCTATCACAGTTAGAAGGAAATGATAGTCAAATACACGTTTAGATTAAAACTAGTTTAAAAAATTATAAATGAATCTAATCAAAATGTGAATAGTAGTCAAAAGGATAATTTAATAAGCATTTTACGTTACTAAATTTGTTCATTTCAATATTAACTAAATTTCCCTCATCAAAGCAATCTTTGTGATATTACTTCGCTATTAAATAAAGAAAATTGGATGCAAGACAATGGAGAAACTTTAAAACTAAACAGGACCACCCTTTATTCTTAAATTTGTGTGTGTCCAACAGTTGAATTGAATGTCTATAAGGTCTAAAGGTAGAATGTGAATATTGCCACAGAGTTCATTGCTCTCAGTATAAGATTTTACTTTATTAATGCAGAAGGAATATGGATATATTTCTTTAAGTCTGCAGATTTTTTTATTATGGTGCAGCTTTTTTTTAATTATGTTTTTAAAATTATACAGTTGAAAAATATGCCATTTCATAAAGTCTGAGGATTTTCGTCAACCTTACTGAAACACACTGGTGCTTTCATCATCAGAGGTCAAATTATTATGATAACTATTCCATTAAGTTTGCCAAACATTTGTCGTGGTTACCAGTGCAGCCTGTCAAATTCTGCTATTTGACACAGCTTTGGAAAGATTTAGTTCTTGGTTTTTCCGTTTTGTATTAGAATGACTGTTACAGTTTTATTTGGCTGTTTAAAGCCAAATTCAGCTATTTAATTATGGTTTCATGGACACTGTTGAGCAATGTACAGTGTATGGTGTGCTTACCTGTCCACTCTAGAGCATTGCTTACAGGTTTTTTGTTTTTTAAGATGCTGTGCTGTAAAATACTGTCATACTTGCTATTTCCTGGTACAGTGTAGTTTTTCCCCTTTCATTTGAATAAAAGCATGGCACCAAATGACTCCTTTTCTGTTTCTTGAATAAAATGTAGTTTTTGGTAAAATTATTTGAACTTGAGATAACTCATACAGTTTTTCTATCCCCTAACCTATGTTTAAATTTAATAACTTGAATATTCATAACAGGCAACTTGAAATAATTAGCCTTTTAAAAATACTAACTTAGGGCAATGTTAAAAAGTCGGTAACTTTCTATGCTTAGCACAGACGGTCTACATAGTATGATTTATAAATGTGCTTATCTTATGTTAATCTTGCTCATACTAATTCACTATCTTTTGGTGAATTGATAGTTATATTGTACCAGAACTAGTGCTCTATGTCTTTGAAACTGAATGGCCAGTGAACTCACTGATCTGGAGTAGCCATGAGAAGCTAGTTCTTGACCATTATTTTGTAAGTTTCACTTTGATTTTGCTGATTCTACTTACTCAGAACAGAGTAAAGAAAAAGGTGTTTTTTAAGAAAAAAGAGATCTGATAACAAAACTATAAAATAATCGTCATGCCTAATTATATACCTGAAGAAATATCTGGTTAGTAGACATAAATGTGGTTTTCTAGCTTGGGACCTTTTTGATAGGTTCTGTAACTTCAGAGCACAGCTATATTTCCACAATATTTCCAGTACTTTAATTTTCAGAAATAAAAATATTTAACCCGGCCGGGCGCGGTGGCTCACGCCTGTAATCCCAGCACTTTGGGAGGCCGAAGTGGGCGGATCACGAGGTCAGGGGATCGAGACCATCCTGGCTAACATGGTGAAACCCCGTCTCTACTAAAAATACAAAAAAAATTAGCCAGGCCTGGTAGCGGGCACCTGTAGTCACAGCTACTTGGGAGGCTGAGACAGGAGAATGGCATGAACCCGGGAGGCAGAGCTTGCAGTGAGCCGAGATTGCACCACTGCACTCCAGCCTGGGCGACAGAGCGAGACTCCGTCTCAAAAAAAAAAAAAAAAAAAACCCTAAGACCCAGGCAACATTAGAAAAATGTACACAATGCCAGGTATGGTGGTGGCTCATGCCTATAATCCCAGCACTTCGGGAGGCCAAGGCAGGCAGATCACTTGAGGTCAGGAGTTTTGAGACCAGCCTGGCCAACACGGCGAAACCCTGTCTCTACTAAAAAATAAAAATTAGCCAGGCATGGTGGCATACGCCTGTAATCCCAGGTACTCAGGAACATGAGGCAGAAAAATTGCTTGAACCCAGGAGGCGGAGGTTGCTGTGAGCCAAGATCGCACCTCTGCAGTCCAGCCTGGGTGACAGAGTGAGGCTGTGTCTCAAAAAAAAAAAAAAAAAAAAAAAAAGTGTACACAAACCCTAGAGCCCCCACACAATAAGAATGTGTTGCCTTATGACTGAAATTGATACTTCTTAACTAGGGCAGAGGAAAATATTCTGTAGTGAATAGGAACAAACACCTTTATTTCATGATCTGTCTACACAGAAAGATGATAATAAAATTCAGCAAAGGAAATGTAGCTGTAATGTTATGACCTAGGAATTGGCTATTGGAGAAACACATCTATAAAATGAGTGTGAAATTCTGTCGTCCCTTAGAAGTATATAGATGCTTAAGAAATAGGTATCTTCTCAAAAGAAACAAATGAGATATTAATGATTTTGCCTAATTTGATGGGGGTGGGGGAAGTACACAGATTGGTATGTCAGAGTTGCTCTTCAAATAAGGAGATCTAGAATCTAGTTTCAGTCACTTCCTTTTTGCCCCTGTGGGCATGTAGGTCTTCTAGCAACTCAAGGCCACATGCTTAGACAACACAGATTAGTTTTGTACATGTGTTTAAATCACTGTGGTGATATGTGTCACAACAACAGCTAAAATCAGATAACTTTATTCCATCTACAGTGGCTTATTTATGTCAGGAAAATAGGGGGCAATTATTTTCCATCAAAGAGGTGAAAAGCAAATTAAGAAATGTTTTAAGACCCACTAAGGTTTTTTTTTTTTTTTTTTTTTGGGGACACATTAAGCAAAGCCACCATGGTACCTTAGGCTACTAATGCATTTGATTCTTCTTAACCCCAACCTGTTGTTTTAGGTGATTGAACCTGTGATTCAGCCTTCAGTAGGTGTTAGAGGCATCCAACACAGGTGGCAAGTATCGTCTACAGCACCTCTACTTCACAGTTACATTCAGCTGCTGTGATTCCTGGCCGACCCTATTATTCATACTTCAGGGTTTGTGTGTTTATATAGAAAAGGAAATGTGGCTCTCAACCCGAGATCGCGCTGCTGCACTTCAACCTGGGTGACAGAGTGAGACTCAGTCTCAAAAAAAAAAAAAATTGCTTTATAATTTAAAAGATTCTTTGCTTTGCTTTCTCTTTTAACTTACTGCTGCCTGGGAGGAGGTGAGCATTTACGTCTCCATTCTACAGATGAGGAAGATGAGGCTTTAAAAGGTTAGTAGCTGTCCCAGGGACTCAAAGCTAGTAAGTGACAGCATTACAAGTGGCACCTAAGCCTTCTGGTTTCAAATCCCCTTACTGTGCCATATGGTACAGTTTCCCACTGCGTTGTACATGTTGTGGAATAAGAATAAGGCTCACAGCTGTTACTAGTTAATAACGTATTCACCATTGGTAGAAAACTCAGAACTTGTGGTTAAAGTGGATTTTGTTCTCTTGCCCAAGACTGTTAACCATCATCAACACAACAGCTAAAATCAGCCTGTTACGCTCACCTGCTGTTTAATATCTAGATTCATAAAGATGAGAGAATGGAAAAACTGCAAAAGTGGTGAAAACAAATTCTGATAATAGGTTAATCAGAATTATCTAGGAAACAGTTATTAGATGAAAGGGGCTAGGTAGGTCACAAAGGTAAGTTCTCTTCCATCAAGGAACTCTTGAAGTGGATGCCATTAGACCTTTACAAACAACGGATATACCGTGTGCTGTATTAGAGGTATGGAACCGAAAGTAAAGGACAGATGCGCCCTTGTCTTGTCAACAGTAAGAGCCTCTTGTCCATCAAGAGAATTCATGTACTTTATAGGGTACTAACTCTACTAAAACTAACTCTATAAAGAACTTAAGACTGCTCTTCCTGGGGAACTTGTCTACAGGCACTCAGAATGGTCCAGCATTTGACATACTGTCATAGGCTTTCCTACAATACAGCCTCTAACAAAACTACGCGAACCCCTGGTAATAGAATTGTTTACCTTTATACCAAGAAGGTTGGGAAAGCATCAAAATCTGCGTGTGGCGTGTGCCCAGGCAGACTTTGAAGGGTTTGTGCTGTAAGACCTAAAGTTCTTATGAGGTTGTCCAAAACAAAGAAACATGTCAGCAGGGCCTATGTTGGTTCCATGTGTGCTAAATGTGTTTGTGACAGGATCAAGCGTGCTTTCCTTATCAAGGAGCAGAAAATTGTTGTGAAAGTGTTGAAGGCACAAGCAGAGTCAGAAAGCTAAATAAAAAATGAAGCTTTTTTGAGTAATAAAAATGAAAAGACTTGCTGTATGGAAAAAAAAAAAGACTATCTTACGTTGTCAGCCAACAGGATACCACATTAATTCTTTAAATACTGAATTTTGCCGGGCGCGGTGGCTCACGCCTGTAATCCCAGCACTTTGGGAGGCTGAGGCGGGCAGATCACGAGGTCAGGAGATCGAGACCATCCTGGTTAACACGGTGAAACCCCGTCTCTACTAAAAATACAAAACTTTAGCCGGGTGTGGTGGCGGGCTCCTGTAGTCCTAGCTACTCAGGAGGCTGAGGCAGAAGAATGGCGTCAACCCAGGAGGCGGAGCTTGCAGCTAGCTGAGATCGCTCTGCTGCACTCCAGCCTGGGCAACAGAGCGAGACTCCATCTCTAAAAAAATAAATAAATAGTGAATTTTGAATTGCAGAGACATCAGTTCTGTTGATAGGGCCTTGAGGTCCTCATTTATGATGAGAACAAAACTAACTAAACTGCATCCTCTTTCTTAGCCAGAGGCTAAGTACAGATATTTTTGTATACATTACGAAATGAGTTTGTACTTGGATTCTTTATCCTTATAGTCTCAACACAATCGGTATTCAATAAATATTCGTCAAATGAATACATGAAGGGAGGACTATGCAGTCCTGGCCCAAAATTCAAAATCAAATTCAAAACATGTTCTGATTTCTTCTAGGTCACCCTTCATTTCTTACTATAGATATTTTTGCCCCCAAAATACAAACCCAAAGTTGGCTTTTCTGCTCTGACTCCCCCTGGTTCATGCCATTTCAAAGGACCCAGGTGCAGCTTGAAAATCTGACCTATTGGTCACCGTGACACAATGATGTACTGTTCCTTTTTACCTCTCTCCAGCTCCTCTCACAAATTATGGGCCAGTCTCAAGGCTCAGTTATTCATGTTCTGCTGTCTCCACTCTTTCCAAGAAGGGCTTCAATATCAGCTTTGACTGACACCTCCATTCAGAATCTACATCTCCAGCCCTGAAAGCTTCCTCTGGGCCCACTCATGCATCTAACTGCCATCTCAACATTTTCACCTGGGAGTTCCAAAGTCATCCTCAACTTAATCTGTTTAAAAACCAAAAGTCAACCTGATTTTACAACTTCCTTATAAAAGCAACTCTCCTTCCTGAAAGCCAGCCACCAAGACTGAAAGGTCTTATCCCTTGTCTAACACAGAAGACAGCCTCATGCACAGACAGCCACCAAATCCTATCAAATATTTTTACTTTGAAACTGCTCCTCATCCCTGCTGCCACCAGCTTCAAGTCCAGGCACCAAAAGCTTATGCCTAACTGCAAGAACCTTCAAGTGGTCTTACCCTAATTCGATTTCACCCTCCAAAGTGTCTTGCAAAATCTAACTTTCTTAGACTTATCTTAAAAGTTCAACATTGTTTTTATTTTGAATTGCGGGGAGGATGGGGGTGGGGTGTTGAGGTGGTGGTAATCTGTTCAGTGCTTGGAACCACTAAAGGTCTTGATCCTGTTTTTCAGGCGGCTCCTATACACAGACCTTTTTCTTCAGAAAAGCTGACCTGCTTCAATCTTGATAGAAGTCAGGATATCACAATCTGCCTTATATCAAAGTTATTTGTACATTATAGCTAATCTCCAATAATGTGTAAGCTTCCTGTAAGGATGCACCATGTCACATTCTTTGTATCTGTTACATTACCCAATAACAGTGCTTGCCCCACAGTAAGAAGGGGCTGTTTACAAAGTCAACTGGAATCAAATGTGATATTAAGAATTGGTTTTGGCCCGGGCGCAGTGGCTCACGCCTATAATCCCAGCACTTTGGGAGGCTGAGGTGGACAGATCACTTGAGGTCAGGAGTTCAAGACCAGTCTGGCCAGCATGGTGAAGCCTTGTCTCTACTAAAAATACAAAAACTAGCTGGGCATGGTGTTGCACGCCTCTAATCCCAGCTATTCAGGAGGCTGATGCAGGAGAATCACTCGAACCCAGGAGGCAGAGGCTGCAATGAGCCGAGATTGCACCACTGCACCCTAGCCTGGGTGACAGAGCAGGACTCCATCTCAAAAAAAAAAAAGAATTGGTTTCACTGATCAGTAGCAGGATCACAGCACTGTAGAGGGACCCTCTACCAATGCCAAGGGAATGCTGCCAAATTCCTCCTGCAAATACTTGGAAATTTACACTAACTCTCTGTGAAATCACTGAAAAGTAATGGCAAATCATAGGTTAGAAGCTCCTGTGGGCAGAATAATTGCTACAAAGAGAAAACGTTACTTTCTTTCCAAACAAATTCTGGGGCCATTTTTATATTGGGGATGTCCCTATTGCTTGTCTTTTAAGTTTCTGATGGTTTTTTTTTTACCTTTAAAAAACGTTCGAGCTACAGGAACCTGCAGTGGAAGAAAGGAGTCTCACTTTCCTTGAAAGCTACACTCTTCTCCTCCAGCCTCCCCTCCCTTCCCTGACCCCCTCCCCCATGTCCCCTAAGAGGCATCAATGATGTCCGGGGTAGATGGGGGGCCCTGGGACAATCACACAGCTGCAGGCCACAAGGCTTTCACATTGAGTCATCTCCTTAGCAGTGTGGGCTGAAGCCGAGTCTCATGTCTAACTCAGATGATGCCCTTTCCCAGCTACCCCGTATTTAGTACCTGAAAGTTTCTGAAGTAAATGAACATCTGAAACATTCTGCAGGGCCTCTGGCATCCAGGGTGGGGCTCCTCATCTGGTGTGTGCCAGCCCTCCCTTAGATGTTGAGGGTGCAGGGTAGGGGCAAGAGCTATTACTGTCTTCTGTCCTCTAATACCCTGTCCCTACCACCCTCCCCGCCCCCCGCCCCCCACCCCACTCACACACACGGCCTCAGGGCTATGTGGTCTATGGGAAACCTCATCTTGGTAGCCAGTCAGTAATAGTGAATAAAATAGAGGACTCCCCATTCCCAGTTCAGTGTTTATCGAGAGAGGTTGTAAAAACAAAGAGATGTGGCTTTGCAAGATTTTCCTCACACTCAGGACTCAAGTTACTGTTAACCTCTCCGTCATCCGCAACTGACTTGGCATAAGGCCACCTGTCTGTGCTTGGGTCCTGTCAGCAGTTTCTCTGCAGCATCCAGACTGTCACCTTGTAGAAATCACCATTAGGATAATACCAGGCACCAGACACTGTGGTGGTCAAATCTTGAAGAGTCAAATCTTGGGAGTCTCTCTTTATAGATTCCCAATCCAATCCCCAAAACATTTACTTACCACCCACTATGTGGAAAGAAAGCACTGTGACCTGGAGGGTAGGAGAAGCAGCGCAAGCAGCTGAGTCTAGCAGCAGGACCACCAGAAACTAGAGCCATTCTTCACGATGCTGCCAGCCAGGGAACGGAGTGAGCCCATGAGCTCCGACCCAGCATGGGCAGCACCTTCCACAAAGGGTGCCTCATTTGATCTTCACAACACCCCTATCGGGTAGATACTATCATGCCTATTTTAAGATGTGGAAACTGGAGCCCAAGATCACACAGCTATCAAGTTATAAAGCTGACATTTAACCTGGACTCTGACCACTAATAATCTGATCTGCGTGTTCACTGATCAGAAACAGACAAAATGACATATAAGAAATTGATATTGGCCGGGCACAGTGGCTCACACTTGTAATCCCAGCATTTTGGGAGGCCAAGGTGAGAGGATCGCTTGAAGCCAGGAATTTGAGATCAGCCTGGGCAATATAATGAAACTGTGTCTCTACAAAAGGTAAAAAATAACATTAGCCAGGCATGGTGCTGTGCACCTGTAGTCCCAGCTTCTCAGGAGGCTGATGCAGGAGGATTGCCTGAGCTGAAGAATTTGAGGCTGCAGTGAGCTATGATCACACTGGGCTACACTGCAGCCTGGGCAACAGAACAAGCCCCTGTCTATTAAAAAAAAAAAAAAAGAAATGCATATAATAAAAAAAAGAAATGCATATAATAAATTCTATGTCACAACACAGAGCAAGGTTTTAAAAATATATATTTTAAATTTAATAAATGATGTTAGGAAAGCTGGATAGAAATATGAAAACATCGATTACACACCAGGTAAATTTTAAAATACTAATGAAAATTATTTTTTAATGACAGACTGAATCTTCTTACATTGTCAAAGAGAAAGTAACATTCTAAACTCTGAAATTGCTAATAGCAACAAATTTGACTATATGAAAATGTCAAACTAAAATAAATAATAGCTAAGAAAAGAATTTGGAAAAATATTTGAATCAAGTGGAATAAATCATGACTCATCCTAAATATATAGTTTGTACAAATTAATAAGAAATACATAGATTATAATAAATATGTGAAGGACATGATTAGAATGGTTCACTTAGGAAATAAATAGATTTTCCATCTTATTTATAAACAAGTGCAAATTGAAATGAGGTACCATTTTACCTCACTGCCTATTACAATGGAAAATATATGTTACCGATGAACATCTCTAAGAAGACTGTGTTGAACCTTATACTCTCATACAATGCCAGTGACATTCTAAACTGCTAATCACTGTAAACATTTGTATCAAGCAATAAAAATTTTCATTGCCTTTGTTACAAAATTTGTATTTATAACGTGTTTTACAACATATTTATATAAATGTTATATTTATACATATTTATATAAATATGTTATATTTGTACATATTTATATGTATATAAATACATATTTATATGTACTTATACAAGAGCATTTATGTTATAAAAACAATATAAAAAAGTCATAAGTGCAATTATTCATTACAAATTTCTATAACAGTTAAAAATACTAGAAACATCCTAAATATCCATATTTAAGGGTTTAGAAAATTAAGCAACATAGACTCATGTGGATTTATATGATATTAATTGAGAATACTGTGTACACTCTAATTACAGATACGACTTTGAAACACCTGTGTAAAAAATGTGAAGAATATCTGAAATGGAATATTTAAAAATAGAAAATCTAAAAATAATGAGATTACAAATAAATACTTTTGAAAATGTCCTTCACTGGCTAAGTTTGGTTGTGTAGGGGTAGCAGGTCCAAGATGACGACTACTTCTTTATTCTGTAATGTATTAGATGGCTTTTATGATTAAACATAAAAAGGCAAATACAATTTACTTAAAATGTTAAGATTCTTTGTACAGAAAAATTAAAATTAGAAAAAATAAGTTATAAGAACTTAAATATAACCTGTAAAGGGGCAGAAATAAACCTACTCTCGAAAACAATTTAGCCCGAAGCATTGGATATTTATTTAAAGTATCTCCTCTGTTTTCAGGCTTGTGCTAATCACCCTGATGAGTAGAAAGAAGCTCCCCCTCGCCCTGAGAAGTTCATAATCCCATGGGCAAGGCAAGACGGAGCCACGTAACAGTTGCCCTGGCTCCAGCAGTGCAGAGAGAGGAAGTCCTCTTAGGGATGGAGGTTAGAGAAGGCTCCCAGGGGTGGGATGGAGGAAGAGGGAAGACTTCTTCTGCTTTGTCCACACCTGTTAGAGAGCATGGCCAGGATTCCCAGCCTGTAAGGGTGAGTGTTTCTATTAGTTGACTTGTGTGTAATCCTGTGGGGAGTCCTCCTGAAGGGTGAAAGAGCAGTCTTGTGAAGTTGGCCTTGGTCACTGAAACCGGGCTGGGCACCCCAGGAGACCGGGCCTAAGGCAGTGTCCCTGGCTCTGACCTTTGCTGTTTCTTCTCATCCAGACAAGTTCAGTAAGGCCCATGGACAGCACCCAGGCCTCAGCAGAGAAAATTCAGCATATGCTCTGGGCCACAGACTTCCCTTGGGTATGAGATGATGGCCCAGGAAGCAAGTAGCTCTGTGATTTTTAAAATAACCTACTTCTACTTCCCCTCAACCCCCTTCCTATATTCCCCTCTTGGTCTGCTTGCCCCATTCTTTGTTTTCACCCGGCGGCTTCTCTGCTGTTCATCTCTAGCTTTCAGGATCACTCACACTCTCTGAGCCCGCAGACTGAGGTGTGCCTGAAGGGGTGAAGTCCAGCAACACTGGGTCTGTCTCTGATGGTCTCTGGGCTCTGGCAGGCAAGCACTGCCCCTGCTAGCCTTCTAGGGGAGGAGGCTGCAGCCCCCTACTCCACCCCGGATGTGGGCACCGCTCACCAGCAACCACATGCTCAGACATTAGAAAAGCGGCTCTGGGGTGGGTCTTCAGGGGAAAACCAAGCCCGGAGGCTGAAAAGCCAGTGAAGGGAAGGTCCAGACCATTCATTCCCTAGGCTCTTCTCTTCCCTGCCCATCTTGTAATTGGTGTGGGAGAAATTCTTGACAGGAGCAGCCTAAACACTGCATACCCAACCCTCTGTGAGCTCTAGGACCATTTTCTTTTTGAGATGGAGTCTCGCTCTTTCACCCAGGCTGGAGTGCAGTGGCTTGATCTCAGCTCACTGCAACCTTTGCTCCTGGGTTCAAGCGATTCTCCCACCTCAGCCTCCTGAGTAGCTGGGACTTGCGCGTACCGTGCCCGGCTAATTTTTGCATTTTTAGTAGAGACAGGGTTTCACCATGTTGGCCAGGCTGGTCTCGAGCTCCTGACTTGAAGTGATCTACCCACCTCGGCCTCCCAAAGTGCTGGGATTAGATGTGAGCCACTGCGCCCGGCCTCTAAGACCATTTTCCAAATCCTTCCTGGGGATCTCCGTGTGCCAGAGGGACCCTGAGCGAGGGTGACCTTATGTCCCAGTTTGCCCAAAATAGTCCTGGTTTACGGCCCAGGTTAATTCTGATAGTGCCCCTTTCACTCTCAGAAACATCCTGGTTAGATGATAAATTATTTCATGACCCCACTTCAACATCAAACTGAACACATACACACATGTGCCTCTCTGTGTTCTTGGCAGTTAAGGGGACAGCGTCCATATAGTCCCTAAGCAGAGAAACCCCAGGCTTATCTTTGACTCCTCTTTGTGAGACCTATGATGTTACAATTATCTCTTGAATATACCCTCCCATTTCTGTCCCCACTGCTCATGATCTATTTCAGACACAAATAATTACAACCTACTATGGGGTCTCCCTGGCTTGAGCCTCTCCCTTCTCCATAGTTCTGCCAGCGATCTTTTCAAAACACAGATCGATGCCTCCTGGCTCCCCATGACCTATAGATTGAAATCCAAATCCCCTCATGATCCTTTCCTGCTTCATCTCCTGCCCCCACCTTCCTACCCTGGGCTCTGGCAGACTGCTTGTCCCCTGAAAAGCCCACATTCCTACTCATTTTGGTATACTTGTTCCCTTTACTCCCTCCTCCGAGTCTGACCCTTTCTTCTCTTTTCTGCTGCTCTTATTTGACTTTCAGCTCCTTCCTGGGACTGATCTCAAGTGTCATCTCCTCGAAGGCCTTTTCTGATTCAGCCCTCCCGTCAAAAATAATCACTCCCCCTCCACTAAACCCTAAGAGGGCTTGGTTTTTAACATTTACTACAATTTGGCCCCTGCATAAGATTACATAAGATTCTGCTTATGTAACCATCTCTCCTGCCTATGCAACAAACTGCGAAGGCCAAGAATGGCATCTCTTGCAGTGCCTGAAACAGTGCCTGCTTCATGGAGGAGTTCATTGTTAACAAGTCTTAATCGAACAAAATTGATAATCCACCTCAAATTTTCCACACCGGGTTGCCCGGCACATCAGCCACTCATACCTGGGAACACTGGGGACAGACTCAGAGGGCACTGTGACATCAGTTCTACCACAATATCTTGTGGAAGGGATATCTGCTAAGAAGAATTCAGATGTAAGTGGCTGCATGCCTCCTTCAGGAGAAAGAGCAAGCTTTCCCTCACCCATCCTCTCCTCCTTAGGTCCCACTGCCTCCTCAGGGTCAGACTTCATTCCCCCTCGTCTTTATGAATCCTCCCCTTACTCTCAGTTTCTCAGTTCAGAAGGGATCTTGCTGCCTCCAAGCTCCTGACTCATAATTTAGGACAACTAATCTGGTGTTTCATTAGGTGTCATCTTTTGAACTGAGCTTACATCTGTGTCTGGCTTGACAGGTTTTTTAGGATAGGAGAAGACAGGGAAGAGGCAGATGTGAATCCCAGGTTTCACCCCTTTCCAGCAGGATGATCTGACTACACCCCTTCCTCGCTGCCTTAAAACCCTTTCGCGTGGCTTCATGAGGACCTGACTGGGTCAGAGAAGCCACTCATAGGGTGAAGACATGAGCCCCACATCTCAGGACGCTAACAACTGCTTGACTGCCCAGGGCGGGCTCCCCCACCCACCCAGATCTGCTGTGTCCCGGCAGTGGAGTCTTTCCTAGGGAACAGGTGGATTTGGGGTGGGGCGTGCCTTAGGCCCCATACTCATAAAATCCCGGGGCTCTGTCTTCTCACCTCTAAAACAGAGAAGACAGCAGCCGGTGGGTGCAGGTGGGAAGGGGTGAAGTGGAGGCTGAGAAGAGGTTAGGGCTCTCGGGCACCCACCACCTCTTGCAACGCGACCCTGAGACAGTGGGGCAAGTATCCCGATTTCACGAACAAAGAAACTGAGCAACTAATAGAGGAATGGGCCACGCTCCTACTGGGAGGCCGGGCAGGTCTCCCAGCCCTGAAGACTTTTCCTCCCAAGATTTAGATGTGAAGCCCCTTTTGCCTGTCCCTGCCCTTACCCCTCGGGTCAGCCCCAAATCGGAGGCCACCATCTCTCTCACAGAAGCCTGCCCCTCCCACCCCATCCCCTCCTCCCTCCCCTCTTTCCTGCCCACCCATTTGCCTCCGGCTTGGGTGGCAGGAAGGGAGGTGCAGGGCCGGGCGTGAAGAGCAAACCCCCTCCTGCTCAGAGCTGCTGCCGCCTGCGCCCAGGGCTGCACTCCGCGCAGGCCTCATAGCCAGGCCATGGCCCCCACAGAGCCCTGGAGCCCCAGCCCGGGGTCAGCGCCCTGGGACTACTCGGGGTTGGACGGCCTGGAGGAGCTGGAGCTGTGTCCGGCCGGGGACCTGCCCTACGGCTACGTCTACATCCCCGCGCTCTACCTGGCGGCCTTCGCCGTGGGCCTGCTGGGCAACGCCTTTGTGGTGTGGCTGCTGGCCGGGCGGCGGGGCCCGCGGCGGCTGGTGGATACCTTCGTGCTGCACCTGGCGGCAGCTGACCTGGGCTTCGTGCTCACGCTGCCGCTGTGGGCCGCGGCGGCGGCGCTAGGCGGCCGCTGGCCGTTCGGCGATGGCCTCTGCAAGCTCAGCAGCTTCGCGCTGGCGGGCACGCGCTGCGCGGGCGCGCTGCTGCTGGCGGGCATGAGCGTGGACCGCTACCTGGCCGTGGTGAAGCTGCTCGAGGCGAGGCCACTGCGCACCCCGCGCTGCGCGCTGGCCTCGTGCTGCGGCGTCTGGGCCGTGGCGCTGCTGGCCGGCCTGCCCTCCCTGGTCTACCGGGGGTTGCAGCCCCTGCCTGGGGGCCAGGACAGCCAGTGCGGCGAGGAGCCCTCCCACGCCTTCCAGGGCCTCAGCTTGCTGCTGCTGCTGCTGACCTTCGTGCTGCCCCTGGTCGTCACCCTCTTCTGCTACTGCCGCATCTCGCGCCGCCTGCGACGGCCGCCGCACGTGGGTCGGGCCCGGAGGAACTCGCTGCGCATCATCTTCGCCATCGAGAGCACGTTTGTGGGCTCCTGGCTGCCCTTCAGCGCCCTGCGGGCCGTCTTCCACCTGGCGCGTCTGGGGGCGCTGCCGCTGCCGTGCCCCCTGCTGCTGGCGCTGCGCTGGGGCCTCACCATTGCCACCTGCCTGGCCTTCGTCAACAGCTGCGCCAACCCGCTCATCTACCTCCTGCTGGACCGCTCATTCCGAGCCCGGGCGCTGGACGGGGCCTGCGGGCGCACCGGCCGCCTGGCGCGAAGGATCAGCTCAGCCTCCTCGCTCTCCAGGGACGACAGTTCCGTGTTCCGTTGCCGGGCCCAGGCCGCGAACACTGCCTCGGCCTCCTGGTAGCTGCCCCGGGCCGCTGGAGGTGGGCGGCAGCGGAGCATCGAGAGGAGGCCAGAGGTCCCGGAGGGGACTGAGCTCCCCAGACGCGCCTGTTCTGGCGGCAGCAAGCTGCTCGGGCCGGCATCGCATTTCCTCGCGCGCTGCCTGGACTCCCAAGGCCTCCTCCATCGGTTTCCCCGGAACCTCAGAACAATTGAACTCCCCTAAACCAGGCTCCTGTGACTAGCTGTTCCCTCTCAGCCTGCAGGGTACCTGAGCTAATTTTGTCCAGTCCAAGATAGGTGCTATGAGATGTAGCAGACAGCAACTCGGAGACCCGCAGATTCACCAAGTAGACAGAAGGGAAGTGGGTTTCCTTCTCTGTCCCATCGGGAAGAGAACCCACCAGAATATCTAACCCAGACCCCCAAATGCCATTCTGATTTCTGGCTGTGCTTTCTCCCGTCTCCCACAATAGCCGTTGCTTTCAGAGAAATACCTTCTCCAAGTCAGACCCCCTGCCCTTCTCACTCACAAAACCCTTGCATTGAATCTGGTGACACTTCTCCCCCTGTGAAGCGGCAGGACTCACCTGGAAGTTGTTCTGGTCTTTCCCTCTGGACAGAAGGTCCTGAAATCGCTCACCAGGCGTTTTTTGAGGTCTCCATCACTCAGCCAGGAACCTCAAAATCTCTGTGAATTCATCTTTCTCAATAAACACTCTTGCTAGCCCTGTCTTGACAACCGTCTTTGCTTGAGCAGTGGGAGTGAAATGCATATCAGGAGGCGGGTCGTACACTGGGTGAGACAAAACTCAACACAGTAGTTGAGGTTGATCTCAGGATGATGAGGATTTGGGGTGGTGTCTGGGAGCATGAGAGCTGGCTGCACTCTGCAGGTGCAGTAATCCCACAGGAGGAAGCAAGTCATTTATTCTTATTTTTAAGGACATTTCACATTTTGAAAATTACCGAAAGAAAATATATTTATATAAGGGCATCTGCCAGCCAAGTGTCACTTCCAAGAGAAGATGTGTCATTTTGGATTTTCAAATATATACCAGGCCCCCCCTTTTTTTTTCTATCTTTTTTCAGACCTTCCAGTACAAACTTGGAGGATTAGCCATTTTCTGACTCTGTCATTTCTCATTTGAGGTTTCTGTAGGGTTTGGAAATTCACTGTTTATACTTTTGATTTAAGAGGATTTGGCCTAAAGACATTTCAGTCAGTGCACATCCTAGCCAGATCCCCACAGGCCAGTCTTGATGTTGCAAGCTCTGGGGGAACGGGTGGGTGTGCACGCACATCAGCACCTCAGCACTAGGTTGGGTCTGAAGGCTGGCATTCTGTCGCAGGCTATCCATCCCATCCCCCCATCAAATACCCCTGTATTCTCTTCAGCATTTGGAGCTGCTTGGATTGAACATCGGCTCTCCTAGGTCAGCCTGCCAAAAAGTGCATCTCTGCATGTTCCTACCATATACTCCAAGAGAGGCAAGCCTTGCAGCCTGTGAGGTCACCTCTGCCAGCAGGACACATTTCAGGCACTTCGGTGTTTGAGAGTTCAGTTAAGTCTTGGCCCTTCCTATCCTCACGATTGCTCTCCGAGGCAAGAAATTATTTTTTCATGGGGCTGAGACCCCAGAATTTTCAGGGCAGGGAAGCTGATTCTCATCTGGGTTTGTGTGTGACAAGATCTCAGAGTACAGAGGAGGCACTTTTCTAGGCTATTGGGACTGAGCCCCCACCTCCACCCCTGCCAAGTTGCTGCTTCTGACTTACTGACTAGTTGAGTTCCCTGAAAACAGACAGGAAGAAAGAAGACTTCTCCATGCCCTGGTGGGTTTTCGTCTCCCCTCCTGCAGTAGCTATTGAAACTCAGCATTCCCCTCCTGCTGTGGAACTCTGCAATGTGGAGAGACAGTTTCCGCCCTTTGTTTGAGTAGATCACGGAACTGGTCTACCATGTGTCCTTTGGAAATTTTCCCTTAAATTCAGACAAAAATGAAAGAGGATCAGTGAGCTCCCATCTCCCACTGGGGAAGATGAGGCTCAGATTCATCGAGGAACTGGTTAAACGAGCATTCCCACATATGTGGCTGGTGAGAGTAGATTCCTTTAGAAAGCAATTGTCAATCTTCATCAAGAGCTTTAGAACTTTTCATATCCTGTTTATTTAAAATGTTTATACCCTTCGACCCTGTAGTTTTGCTTCTGCCACTCTCTTCTAATGCAACAGTACTAAATTTAAACGATTCTGCACTGAGTTATAGAAGTTTTTTTGTTTTGTTTTCGTTTTTTGTTTTTTTGAGATGGGATCTTGCTCTGTTGCCCAGGCTGGAGTGCAGTGGTGTGATCTCGGCTCACTGCAACCTCCACCTCCTGGGTTCAAGCGATTCTCCTGCCTCAGCCTCCCAAGTAGCTGGGAATACAGGTGTGCACCACCACGCCCGGCTAATTTTTTGTACTTTTAGTAGAGACAGGGTTTCACCATGTTAGCCAGAATGGTCTCAGTCTCTTGACCTCGTGATCCACCCACCTTGGCCTCCTGAAGTGCCGGGACTACAGGCATGAGGCAGTGCACCCTGCGGCTGAGTTAGAGAAGTTTTTAAAGAGTTAAACCTGAAAGGAAACAACAATGTCCAACAACAGTGTAATGTTTTTATTAAGATGAATGACTATTATGCAAATTTAAGATGCTCTTTAAAGAGAGACTGAAAAATGTTGACGGATAACTTAAAAGGGAAAAAAAGGTAAAATTGTGTCTGTTAAACACACCCACACACTTCAAGTCTGGAGGATGTAACATGGTTAGCACTGGTTTTGTTAAGTAAAACATAACATGCTTCATAGTCCTTTTGATGAAAACGATCTTTTGCTCTTTTATTTCTCATAGCTCAAGCTTTGAACACTATAGGTATATCTCTTTTATCTAGGTGCTAACTAATGGAATGCTGTCGATTTATTTCTTCGTTTCTTGCTTGTCCCTCCTGTCAGGATGCAAGCTCCATGCATGCAGACGGTTTTGTCTGTTGGTTCAAGGCTGTGTTCCCAGTGCCTGGAGCATGCCTGCACATCTCAGGCACTCACTAACTACCTGTT
This sequence comes from Homo sapiens, assembly GCF_000001405.40. Lineage (NCBI taxonomy): Eukaryota > Metazoa > Chordata > Mammalia > Primates > Hominidae > Homo > Homo sapiens. Next base: position 200,877,202 of record NC_000001.11, read on the forward strand.
GAATGAATGATCATCAGGACCATGTCATGATATGAAATAATGTCATAGAATGTGAAGAGTAAAAGGAAGGCTATTGCATTTTATGTGTAACAGCTATGGATTGTTAAAGGACTTGCAAAAAAAGGCTAGGAAGAAATACAATAATCATTAATGATAATGATTGTGTATGATTGTGTTAGAGTAAGTGGATTTTAGATCCTTTTTCCCCTCCATTTCTTTACTTTTAAATGTTCTATGAGCTTTTTTTTTTTTTTTAAAGAGACAGTCTTCCTGTGCAATCATAGCTTGCTGCAGCCTCCACCTCCTGGCCTCAAGTGATCCCCCCACCTTGGCCTCCCAAGGTTTGCTAGGATTACAGGCATGAACCACTGTGCCTGGGTTTATAAGCTTCTTTTTTTTTTTTGAGACAGAGTCATGCTCTGTCACCCAGGCTGGAGTACAATGATGGGATCTCAGCTCACTGCAACCTCCTCCTCCCTGGTTCAAACAATTCTCCTGCCTCAGCCTCCCAAGTAGCTGGGATTACAGGCTCCCGCCAATTTTTTAATATTTTTAGTAGAGATGGGGTTTCACCATGTTGGCCAGGCTGGTCTTGAACTCCTGACCTTAGGTGATCCACCCACCTTAGCCACCCAAAGTGCTGAGATTACAGGCGTGAGCCACCATGCCTGGCCCCTATAAGCTTCTTTTAAAGGGCAGTTAACAAATAGCAACGAAGCTACCAAAGCACTGGAGCTCATAACAAGCTGCCTGTCCTTGGCCACCTCGCTTACCTTTCTTGAGACTCACTTTCTTCATCTAAAGGATGAAGATGATAATATCTCCTCAGGCTGCCTCACAGATCAAAGGAAATAATCTTGAAAGTACTTTGTAAGCTGTGGTGTTTTAGACAAACATACTGCAGGAGTTTTAGACAACATACCCTCAGGATTAGCTTGTTCCAGGCCGGGCTACCCCATCCCAATCCTTGTAGCCATGGAGAGGAGATGGGGTGGAGCCACTCTGGGTTTTCAAAAGGTCAGCATCTAGGCTAAGGCTGGGCACACTGGCTGTGTGTGATTCTGATTTGCTTCTTGTGACTAATTCTGGGCTTCCTCCTCACCTCTCTCAACCCCTTGGGTGCTTTCTTGGGGCACAGTGTGGGAACCCAGGGCACTTGGGTTGATGAGTGATTTGGGGAGTTCAGCAGAATGGCAGAGCTCCAGGGGTGGCACTTGGTGATATGACTCAGCCCCACACCACTCTGAAGGCAGAGTGAGGACTCTGGACACTTGTGAGTACGTCTTGCTTGTTAGAGCTTACTGGGGCTAACTCCCTGTCCTACCTGGGCCGAGTGGCCACAAGACATACTTATCCCATCACCCCCAAATGATGGGGCAAAAGGTGCAAATGATGAAAAGACCAGGAAATGCTTGGGATGTGAGAGGAAAGGAGAAAGCAATGATGTGAAATCACCCCTCCTCTTCATCATCATGAACATCAAAAAGTATTTATTGAGTGTGTAAGTACATCTTCCATGAAAGTGGGCACTGCCTGAGATTCATATTTACATCCATCACAGTGCTTTAAGGACAGAAGCTCATTTTGTCCATTCTGAGAACGAGGAGACTGAGGGCCAGAAATGGGGGTCACTTAAGGTAATAATCACCACTTATACCTGTGTAGCATATTAAGAAAAAATTCTTTTTTTGAGACAGAGTCTCACTCTGTCACCCAGGCTGGAGTGCAGTGACACGATCTCAGCTTACTTCAACCTCCACCTCCTGGGTTCAAGTGATTCTCCTACCTCAGCCTTCCAAGTAGCTGGGATTACAGGCACGCGCCACCATGTCCAGCTAATTTTTGTATTTTTAGTAGAGACGGAGTTTCACCATGTTGGCCAGGCTGGTCTCAAACTCCTGAGCTCAAGTGATCCACCCACCTCGGTTTCCCAAAGTGTTGGGATTACAGGCATGAGCCACCACACCCAGCTGCAAATGTTTTAAAAGCAGCCTGGGCATGGGTAGCTCACATCTGTAATCCTAGCACTTTGGGAGGCCGAGGTGGGAAGATCGCTTGAGCCCAGCAGTTCGAGACTGGTCTGGGCATCATAGTGAGACTCTGTCTCTAAAAAAATTAAAAATGGCCAGGTGCAGTGGCTCATGCCTGTAATCCCAGCACTTTGGGAGGCCAAGGCAGGCAGATCACCTGAGGCCAGGAGTACAAGATCAGCCTGGCCAACATGGTGAAACCCCGACTCTACTAAAAATACAAAAAAATTAGCGGGGTGTGGTGTCGGGCACCTGTAATCCCAGCTACTTGGGAGGCTGAGGCAGGAGAATTGCTTGAGGCGGGGAGGCGGAGGTTGCAGTGAGCTGAGATCACACCACTGCACTCCAGCCTGGGCAACAAGAGCAAAACTCTGCCTGAAAAAAAAAAAAAGACAAAACAAAAAAAAATTTGTCAGTTTGGTGTCTGCCCAACTTAAAAAGAAAATATTTACTATCTTGTTATATTATTTCAAAGACAAAAGCCTTTTATACATAATATCTCATTACAATATCCCTCTGAAGTAGATGTCAAGATAATAGCTAATATTTACTGAGCGCAGTTGAGAGGCTCTGAGCTAAAGTTCTTACTTTATATATATATTTATATAATATTATTAATCCTCACAATAACTTTATGGGGTATATAATATTATTGTTTCTATTCTACAGATTAAAAAAATGAGTTCTGGAGAGTTTATATAACTTTCCCAAAGTATCTTGCCTAAAGAACCTGTGTTATTATCCCCATTTTAGATAGGAGAGTTAGAACTCCAAGAGCTCAGTTGACTTGCCAGGATCACACACACACAGGGCAGGGCTGAAAATTGTGGCTTCATGGGCCACAGCTCAACCCACCTTCCAACTTCCACCAGTTTTCTAGTGCCCGCTAACCCTGTTTCTCACTAATTGGTACTAAACCAAGTGTGCCAGAGTCAAGGCTGTTGCCCAGCATGGAAATTACCCCGCTTTTGTTCTCAAAAAAATCAGAATCCCTGTCCTACGGACATGGACAGTAAATTGTTGGGGCATTGGATTGAGAGAGAAATGGGGCTCTTCCCAGGGGTGATAGGGGCAGGACTGGGGAGAAACCCACAAACCCCAGGGTTGCCTGGTAGTCCCAGCAGTGAATGAGAGAGCTGGGGAAAGACGGGCAGGGCTTCAATGGGCTTCGATGGACCTCAGACAACAGCTGCCAGTGTCTGGATGGAGACTGTGGTTTGCCTCAGGGAGATGTGCTAGACAAGGGGTGATTAATTGCTGCCCTGCTCTGAAAATGACTGTCTTCATGCTGTGCATGCAACCATTTCTTTCTATTCATCATCTCTGCTTCTGAATAACCTTAAGCAAGCAGGTTGTGCCATGGGCTGCTCTTATTCTGGGTCCCACAAACACAGAGTGGCAGGATAAGGAAGGTCACAGGGCACTCTGAATTCCGTTTCTTTGTAGGCAAAGTCTTATTCTTTATATAGCCAATTGTCCCAAATCTTCGTAGGTTTCTTTTTCCTTTCTTTTCTTTTTCTAAGAAATGGGGTCTTGCTTTGTTGCCCAGGCTGGAGTGCAGTGGCACAATCATAGCTCACTGCAGCCTCGAAATCCCAGGCTTAAGCCATCCTCCTGCCTCAGCCCAAGTAGCTGGGACCACAGGCACACACACCATCACTCCTGGCTAATTATTTAAAAATTTGTTTTGTAGAGATGGGGTCTGTCCATTTTGCCCAGGCTGGTCTCAAACTCCGGGGCTCAAGCTATCCTCCCATCTTGGCCTCCCAAAGTGCTGGGATTACGGGTGTGAGCCACCGTGTCGAGCCTTCTCAGGTTTCAATTTCTAAAATTATTATTATCATAAAGAGAGAAAATATAATATCAAGAGTGAACTAACTCAAGATCCTGCACCCTAATTGCAATAATTTTCATTTTTGCCCATCCTCTTAACCCTTCTCCACATGGTCACATTTTACATTGCTGAGATCGTGTCGTGTCCAGCTTTATTATTTTGCAGAACATATTATAAACATTTTCCTGTGCCACTATATAGATTTCATAGTTGTCATTTTTAAAGGCGTCATTCAGTGTATAGACCACAGTATAACTAACCATTCTTCCATGATTAGACATTTATGTTGCTCAGGAGCCTCTGCTTTTATAAATATACCATAACAAACATCATTTCTATCTAATTTGGGACTAATTTTGAGTGTCTGTTTCAAACTGAAAAAATTCCCCTGCATCCATCACCCTCTTTTGGGTTCTTCCCCCTCACCACCCTGTGTGATTCTCTCGCCTGTTATGTTCTCCTTCAAAAGATTGAAACCTCCTCAAAAGCAGTAGCTGTGGACTTGTGGAAAACGCACTTTGAAAAGAAATAGAGCACACTAGGCCAGTTGCGGTGGCTCATGCCTGTAATCCCAGCACTTTGGGAGGCTGAGGCGGGCAGACCACAAGGTCAGGAGATCGAGACCATCCAGGCTAACATGGTAAAACCTCGTCTCTACTAAAAAAATACAAAAAATTAGCCAGGTGTGGTGGCAGGCGCCTGTAGTCCCAGCTACTCGGGAGGCTGAGGCAGGAGAATGGTGTGAACCCAGGAGGTGGAGTTTGCAGTGAGCTGAGATCGTGCCACTGCACTCCAGCCTGGGTGACAGAGCGAGACTCTGTCTCAAAAAAAAAAAAAAAAAAAAAGAGCATACTAATGAGTGTAAGTGCTTTTTAGTAACCATATATAGACGTTCAGGGCACAAACTCCAGTGCCACTAGCTGGGTTCAAGTTCCAGCTCTGCTTCTTACTGTCTTTGAGATCTTGGGTATGTTACTCACTTACTTTTCCCCTTGGGATCCTCCTCAGATCACAGGAGGAGGAGATGATACTTCTTAAGTCACAGAGTTTGTGAGAGGGTGAAATGTGTTGACTATGACTATCTGGCACATATTAAGCATTCTATGTTTGCTATAATTTTAAGAGTAAAATTGAATTCTACCATGGTTGTGGATTTCTCTTCTCTCTCTCTCTCTCTTTTTTTTTTTTTGAGACCGTGTCTCACTCTGTTGCCCAGGCTGGAGTGTAGTGGCACGATCTTAGCTCACTGCAACCTCTGCCTCCCAGGTTCAAGCAATTCTCCTGCCTCAGCCTCCTGAGAAGCTGGGATTATAGCCGCCCACCACCACGCCCGGCTAATTTTTTGTATTTTTAGTAGAGTCGGGGTTTCACTGTGTTGGCCAGGCTGGTCTTAAACTCCTGACCTCAGGTGATCCGCCTGCCTTGGCCTCCCAAAGTGCTGAGATTAAAGGTGTGAGTCACTGCACCTGGCCGGATTTCTCTTCTTAAATTCAATGTTTCAAGAAACTTTCATTTTGCATTACTACTGTGCCAGGTAGGATATGCAAGACTGTGGGGCTACAGAAATGAAAAAGACGGCCGGGCATGGTGGCTTACCCCTGTAATCCCAGCACTTTGGGAGGCTGAGGCGGGCGGATCACAAGGTCAGGAGTTCAAGACCAGCCTGACCAATATGGTGAAACCCCGTCTCTATTAAAAATACAAAAATTAGCCAGGTGTGGTGGTATGCGATTGTAGTCCCAGCTACTCAGGAGGCTGAGACAGGAGAATTGCTGGAACCCGGGATGTGGAGGTTGCAGTGAGCCGAGATCGTGCCACTGAACTCCAGCCTGGGTGACAGAGACAGCCTCCATCTCAAAAAAAAAAAAAAAAAAAAAAAAAAAAGAAAGAAAAAAAAGAAAAGAGAAAAGAAATGAAAAAGACTCCCAGCTCTCCTGCAGAGCAACCATGAATAATTTGTCTCCATCCCACACCAAAAAAGAAATGGAAAATGTGGGCTTGTGTGGATCTTTTGTTTTGGGTAAAATGTTATTTTTCCTTTCCTATCTCTTTTTCTTGAAATTAAAAACCATACAAAGAATTCCATGCTGTGAATCGGTTGCTTTTGTATATCTTTGATTTTTGGAGATCAGTTGGTCAGTGTGTCCCCACAGTGAAAGACTGTGAAAGACTTTGTCTCTCTGTCTGGGAATTTCCTGCCAGAGCCCAGAGTGGTCTCTGAAATGAGTGAGGCTGTGTGTTTAATCCACAGCGACAGTTTTGTAGCGGTGCCATCTATCTACAGACAAGGCCCCAGCACTGGGTGGGGATTGGATAAGGAGACCTCTCTGATCCCTGTCAGCCCTAAGATCCCCAAATCCTTTGACTGTAGGCCTAAGCCTGTTCTCTAGAGGCTTGTCTAGTTTATTGCTTAAAATTATTTTTTAACATTTAATAAAATGGACCCATCAAAAGGCTAGAAGCAGACAATCATCAATTAAAAATCAAATAATCAGATCAAACAATCAGGCAAAACAATTTTAAAAACCCATCCATTACTATGAACAACCCCATCAATAGGAGACCAAAGAAAGAGAAATAACTGACAGCACTTAGCGAGTAAAATACACTTATCAGCCCACTTAATACACACTTTGTGACATGTAAGAGCCTGATTCTATGTGGTCCTGTACCAAGAGAGATATGTGCACACATACTTTATGCATTCTCAGAGGTTATGGTCTAAGGAAGACAACAGAGCAGAGTTGGCAGAGGGCTCTCCAGAATGCGGTACTAACAAACAGGGAAGTTATTTTTAATACGTAATCAATCAATACGGGTGTCTTTATGGGATTCTCTTATATCACAAGCTGAATTTGGAAGCTAGATCGGTAAGAAGCTGATTGATCACATTTTATGAAGTTTATTGCTTTTTAACAGTAAAACTCATTTTAGTAGAAATAGCAAATCGCCTTTTGCAACCTCTAATAAAATAATTGATTCAGGCAAAAATCATCAATGGCTGCTAAAACCTTTGGGTGAGAGGCTTCTGGGGAGCTAGACTATTGCAAGATGTCAACATGTTGCCCCACAGATTCTCTCCCAGTGAGAAGGGGGAAAATGCAAGATGATGATGGAGGGGTCAGGCTGTCAACATCTGAACCCACTGATGTACTTAGCATTGCTAAAAGAGGACAAACAGACATGACATGCTTCAGAATAGGAGCAGGATGAAGCACCCAGCATTACCTGTGAGGTACTTGCCAGAAAATGATAAACCTGAATGTTTGCAAGCCTTTGGTGCTAATTTCCATGTTTTAGGAAATATAGGGGTTAGGAGGAGTTAAATGACAATGTGAGGACACAGACAGATAAAACAGAATTTAGGACATTTCATGAGACAACTGACCCGATTTCTTTAAACAAGTCACTGACATGATTTTAAAAGTTGGGGGATGCAGGGCAGGGAACAATACCAGATTAAAAGAGCCAAATGCCATGTGTAGATCTTACTGGATTTAGATACAAACAAACCAAAATTTTATTTTATTTTTTTGAGACAGGGCCTCACTCTGTTACACAGGCTGGAGTGCAGTGGTGGGATCTCAGCTCACTGTAACCTCGACCTCCCTGGGCTCAGGTGATCCTCCCACCTCAGTCTCCCAGGTAACTGGAATTATAGGAGTGTGGTACCACACCCGGCTAAGTTTTGTATTTTTCGTAGAGACAGGGTTTCTCCATATTGCCCAGGCTGGTCTTGAAGTCCTGAGCTCAAGCATGGAGGCCAGCCCAGGCCTCCCAAAGTGCTGGGATTACAGGTGTGAGCCACTGTTCCCGGGCTAACCAACTTTAAAAGACAGTATGAGGACAACTGGAGAACTTGGAATATAACTTGGTATTAGGTGAGATTAAGAAGTGATTGTGATAATGGTCAAGCGATCATATAAGAAAAATGTCCAATTATTTTCAGAGATACATTCTGAAACATTTATTAGTCATATGTCACCATGCCTGGGATTTTCTTTAAGATATTTCACTAAAGAAAAAAATAGTCCCGGTGCAGTGGCTCACACCTGTAATCCCAGCACTTTGGGAGGCCGAGGCAAATGGATTGCTTGAGCTCGGAAGTTCGAGAGCGGCCTAGGCAACAAAGTGAGACCCTATCTCTACAAAAAATATAAAAATTAGCCGGGCATGGTGGCGCATGCCTGTGGTCCTAGCTACTCAGGAGGCTGAGGTGGGAGGATGGCTTGAGCCTGGGAGGCAGAAGTTGAAGTGAGCTGAGATTGTGCCACTCTACTCTAGCCTGGGCAGCAGAGCCAGATCCTGTCTCAAAAAAAAAAAAAAAAAAAAAAAAAACCAAGAAAAATGAAAGGTAATAAAGAAAAAAAAACTATAAAAAAGAAAAAATCATATAGGGAAATGTTAATCTTTACTAAATATACTAGATGTAGGTGATGGGTAAATGGGAGTTCATTCCATAGAACTGACTTTCCTACTGAGCCCTGTCTCACCACTGCCCGAGCCCACAGGGCTGTGAGAGCACCCACAACGCTTTGGTGCACACATTTTTGAACAAACGAATGAAACTGCATTGACCTAAATGAACCAATTGCAGAGGGGTGTGGACGAGTGTGGGTTGGGGGCAGAGCTCTGAGGAGAGATGGGGAGGAGGTCACACGTAGCTGGGTTTATGGACCATTTCAATGGATTTAGACAGCATCTGACCTCAATTAAAACCCTCCTTTCTTCAAAAACACACTCCTTTCTCATCTCTTTGAGTATTTTAAGACAAGGCAAAGGTATAAGGTCCTAATTTGTTTTTATATAACCCATGCCAAGGCCATAGGCCCAGGCCTGATCACAGGGGGAGATTGGTCTTTTGAAGCCCCAAGTTGTTAAACCACAGGAAGTGGAACTTGGTCACCAGTAAACAGGTCTGGACCATTAAATTTGTAATTATCATGAGTAAATACTATCTTGTTTTTCCTGGGGGTTGGGTGTGAGGAAGAAGAAAAACTTTAAAAAAAAAAGATAATTTGGAAAACATCTTCTTTAAAAAACCCTGCCATTTTATTGGGTGCTTACTATGTGCAAAGCACAATGCTCAAAAGCATTTTATCTGCATGATTTCATTATCCTCACCACAGTCACGTGAGTGGGCCTTCTCATGCCCATTTTACAGATGAAGAAACTGAGGCGATCTGACTACAAAACACATATTTTAAAAGTTTCCCCCAAATTATGTACCTGAGCCACGCACTTAACATTCACAGGATAAATTGATAAAAAGCCCCAAATTGTTCAGGTGCTATTTATTTATTTATTTATTTATTTATATTTTTATTTTTAGATAGAGTCTTGCTCTGTCGCCCAGGCTGGAGTGCAGTGGCACAATCTTGGGCTCACTGCAACCTCCACCTCCCAGGTTCAGTGATTCTTGTGCTAATTTTTGTATTTTTAGTAGAGACGAGGTTTCACCATGTTGGCCAGGCTGGTCTCGAACTCCTGACCTCAGGTGATCTGCTCGCCTTGGCCTCCCAAAGTGCTGGGATTACAGGCGTGAGCCACTGTGCCCGGTCTGTCAGGTGCTATTTTAGAGGGCACCTCCAGCCCAAGGTCTTTGAAAAATGCAACTGCTATTAGTGGTATTAAACAAAATTTATTGGAGGTCATTGATTTGGACTGACCTCCTGCTCTAGGCTTAACAGAACAAACCAAAATGGTGTCACTTATGCTAAAGTTTGATGTCACCAAACTGAAACTAAGTTGTTTATCTGACCTTCCAAGAAAACAGGAGAGAGAGAAAGATAATAGCCAAATCCCCAGATAGGCCAGTTTTAGCCAGCATGATAAGAAGTCCCCTCTGCTTTAACCTTTACAAAGAAAGTTAACTGAAGTTACCTGATGCTAACTGGTTGCTTTTTGTTCTGATTCTGCTTTCTTCAGCCCTTTTCTGCCTGTAAAGCCAACCTCCTCTGCTCAGCTCATTGGAGCACTTTTTCTCAGTTTTTAGAGAAAAATGCTACCCAGCTTCATAAGTCACAAATAAAAGCCAATTACATCATTTAACTAAATTTGTCATAATTTTGTGTTTTGACAGAGGGGTAATAATCATCCAGCCCTCAGACCCCCGACACGGTGTCTTCACCTCCTGCCAGTGTTTCAGGCTTCCTGAGGTGCAGCCCAGCTGGGACGTGGAAATTCCCGACCCTACACACCACCGCCCGCGGGGAAGGAAACATGGACCTGCACCAAAGTGTCTTTACTGTGTGCCATCTGATTGCAAACAGAACTGGGCTTTCCAAGAGAAACTGAGGACAGTGGAGAGCTTTTATCTTGAACCCGGGAGGTGGAGGTTGTAGTGAGCCGAGATCGCGCCACTGCACTCCAGCCTGGCGACAGAGCGAGACTCTGTCTCAAAAAAAAAAAAAAGAGCGAGAGAATGGCCACAGAGGCCCGGGCATTAGGGCTTACTGGACCAGGGATGCTGCAGGGGGCTTGGGCTTGCGGTTAGAGAGGGGCCAGGTTTTGCTCTCCCCAAAGCAGGGGTCCAAGTCTCCCCAAAGCAGGGGTCCAAGTCTCCCCAAGTGGGGCCACAGAAAGCAGGGGGCTCCAGGTTAAATTAGAGCCTCCAGGCCACCCCACACCCCGCTCTCTACCCCCCAGCACTTTCACCCTTAGGTTTTCTTCCTCCAGGGCACACAGAAGAGCAGATTTCTGGCAACTGTCAGAAATCTGACCCCCCAGGGGTCCAGCCCAGGAGAGCGAGTTACAAGAAGGGCAGAGGTCGGGGAAAGCGTGTCAGGGGCCAGTGCTCTCCATGTGCAGTGCGAGGTCACTGTCCTGTGGTCCCTGAAATCTTCTGGGAGCCCAGGCAGCCAGGATAGAAGAGCTGTAGAGGAAGGGGGAGGAGGAAAGAGAGAGAACAAAGGGAAAAAAAAGTGAAGAAAGAGAGGAGGCGGGGAAGGTAGGAAGAGGACCCTAACTTCCTGGAGAGGACCTGGGAACATTGAGAAACCAGCCCAGGATTGCTGGCCAGGAGGATGCTGGTGTGTCTCTGGGGAGCAGGCTCCTTTCCCATCTCATGCAACTCAAGAGTCTGAGCCCCAGTGATGGGCTTGCCCCTCTCCTCCAAGCAGCTCTCTAGATTCAGTATCCTGGACCCATTTGGGGGTTTTTCTTCCTTTGAAGCACTTTGAAGCAGCTGAGTGAGGCCCCCTGGCTGGACCTCCTAAGTCAGCTGTATGCGTTTCGCATAGCTACTCACCCGCCTGCAGCCCAGCCTGCACCCGATCAGTTGAGAGGGATCTGGTCCACAGAGGCTGAGGCCAATAGAGGACAGTGCCCCTTCTGCACCTGCCTCTGGCTGTGAGCTGCAGGATGTGGTCAGGAGAGGAAGCGAGGCCTAGGCCCAAGTCATTCTGGGGTTTCCAGAGAGCTTCTCACCCAGGGCATTGACAGGGCACTGTCTGGGTCTAGGCACGCCTCCCTCTCCTCATCCGGCCCCTGGAGCAAGGGTCGGGGGAAAGGGAGAGTGGGGAAGTTCAGCCTCCTCCCCCTCTTCCTCTGCCTGGCCAGAGAGCCTGAGGATTGTGAAATTGGACCAGGATAGCTCCCTCCGGGCAGGGAGAGGACTCAGTGAGTCCCTCTACTGCGTATGGGGGAGGATGGTGCTTCAGGGTGCGAGCAGCTGCCCAGCTACCATGCAGCTTTTAGAAGCTCAGCTAAGGACATCCAACTTTGCTTCCCTTTCTCCTGCCTAGCAAGAACTCAAAGGTTTTCCCCACTTCCCTTCCACTTCCCAGAAAACCCCATCTGATGGAGAATGCTTGCCCCTTCAGCCAAAGTGGGAAGGAGAGAGAGCTGATGGGGGCTTAGCGACCTCTTCCAAATCGCACCTCCTTCCTTCCCCTACATGGGCTGAGCAGTCAGTTTCCAATGAGGACTCTGGTTTCTGCTTCCATGGTGCCTGCTTCTGAGGCCCTTGACCTCTTCCCTCTGCCTTTCACCCACTCTCTCCCCTCTGCCACAACAGGAGTCTAGGCGCCATCGCCCTCGCCTGCATTCCTGCCTGCCTATGCTTTCTCCCCACTCCAACCACTCACATGCCACTCATCTTCTAAAGGTCAGTTTGCCCAGTTCATCTCCTGGGTCAACGTTTTTCAGCAGTGTGATGGTTAATTTTACGTGTCAACTTGGCTAGGCCCAGTGCCCAGATATTTGGTTAAACATTTTTTCAGATGTTTCTAGACGGTGTTTTGTTGTTTTGTGTGTGTGTGTGTGTGTGTTTTTAGATGAGATTAACATTGAAATTAATAGACTTTGAGTAAAGCAGATTACCCTCCAATCTGTGGAAGTCCTGGTTGGAACAAAGTCTGATCTCCCTGGAGCAAGAATGAATCCTGCCAGCAGGTTGCTTCGAACTTGAACTCCAGCTCTTCCCTGGATCTCCAGCCTGAGAGTCTATCCTGCAGATTCTGGATATGCCAGCTTTCACAATCCAATGAGCCAGTTCCTTAAAATCAATCAATCTCTCTCTTGCATTCTCTCTCTCTAGATATAGCTATCTATACATACACATCTTACTGGTTCTGTTTCTCAGAGAGTGCTGATTAATTCAAGTAGCTTCTCTTCAACTTCAGTATAAAAATCTTAAATCCTCACCTAGCCCACAAGGCTCTTAGTCATCTTACCTCATATAATGCCTTTGTACAAATTAGAAAAAGCCACCCTCTCTAGGCAGATACAGCTCTGACCAAACATAGGGCGAGGTGGGTGGAGAATGGTGAACCTTCCCTCTTAGTATAGTGCACAACCTGGACAACCACATGGAGTTGCCTTACTTTTGTTTGTTTGTTTGTTGTGTGTGTGTGTTTTTAATTGAGACAGAGTCTCGCTCTGTCACCCAGGCTGGAGTGCAATGGAGTGATCTTGGCTCACTGCAACCTCTGCTGCATGGGTTCAAGTGATTCTCATGCCTCAGCCTCCTGAGTAACTGGGACTACAGGCTCCCAGCACCATGCTCGCTAATTTTTTTTGTATTTTAAGTAGAGATGGGGTTTTGCCATGTTGCCCAGGCCATTCTTGAACTCCCGACCTCAGGCGATCCGTCCGTATTGGCCTCCGAAAGTGCTGGGATTACAAGCGTGAGCCACCGCGCCTGGCCGTTCGTTGTGGGTTTTTTGTTGTTGTTGTTGTTTTGAGACAAGGTCTTGCCCTGTCTCCCAGGCCGGAGTGTAGTCTCGGGATATTGGCTCACTGCAACCTCCGCCTCCCTGCTCAAGTGATCTTCCCACCTCAGCCTCCCAAGTAGCTGGGACTACAGGTGCGTGCCACCACTCCTGGCCAATTTCTTTATTTTTTGGTAGAGACAGGTTTTCACAATGTTGCCCAGGCTGATCTCCAACTCCTGACCTCAGTCGATCCTCTGGCCTGGGCCTCCCAAAGTGCTGGGATTATAGGCGTGAGCCTCTGCGTCTGGCTGCCCTGCTTCTGGATGAGCCACTGACTGACGAATTAGCCTCGTCTCTCTTCCATGTTCTTTCCCTTTACTCCTTCCTCATCCCAAACCCTAACCTCCCTGCAGCTCCTGGAACCTGCTGTGCTCCCTTGCTGCTGTGCTTTTGTACACCTGTCACTGCTGTTTCAAGTCCCTCTCTTATTTTCTGGTATTGCTTCCTCTGGCCAAGTTTTGCCGAGGCTCAGCCTGGGTCAGCCTTCCCTCTTCTTGCCCGGGGTCCTAGCCCTTACTTCAGGTACTGTGCTGCTTCATCACTCGTCTAGATTGGAGAATCCTCCAGTGAATGGGGCTTGAGCTTTGATCCATCGTGCTGGGCACTAGTAGGTGCTCAATAAATGTTTATTGAACAACTGAAAACCGGGAAGTGAATGAATGGATGAACGGGGACACAGCAGCTCGCAGCGGGCAGCAGGAGGCGCTCGCCGGGAGGGTGCTCCTTCCCTTCAGCCAGCCGGAGTTCAGCCAGCGGGCCCGGCGGGAGGAGTGGGAGTGGGCCGGGGCCAGGGCCGGGGAGAGGGGCCATCCCCGCGCGACCCGCAGCGCCGCACAGCGAGGGGGAGGGCGCCTGCGGGGAGGACAGGGTCGGGGGAGCGCCCTTCCGCAGGCTCCTTTCATTCTTCCACTTAGGGGTCTCCAGGAATGAAAACTGGCCCCAGCCAGGCCAGAGCGCGCGAATGAAAGGCGGCACTGGGACCAAGAGAGAAGCTTCGTCCCGCCTGGGCTGCGGAAACTGGCGGCGCCAGGGGTGTCCCACCGCGCGGGCGTCCGAAAGCGGGGCAAAGGGGACAGCCTCGCCCCTCGAGCGGCTGCTCCCGCAGCTCGCTCACCCCTGCGGGTACGTCGTCACTCCCGCGTGCGGCCCCGTCCCGACTCTTGGATCGGACTCTTCAGTCCCTTCTTGCGTCTTCCCCTCTTTCCTCTGGGCCTTGGTATGCCCCAGGGGACAGATGTCTTGGGATCTTTAACATTTGGGATGCTGCAAATGCCGAAGTTAAATGAAATACCTCCGGGGAGGGCAGGCCGCAGGGAGGCTCGGGGGGAGGGAAGATGGCCTGGACAAACAGGTCCTGAAGCTGCGAGGCTGGAGTGGAGGGCGCAGGGGCAGGCGGGCGGCGCCAGAGCTCCATGGGACAGGTAAGCGGGAAAACTTCGGGGCACCCAGTGCGGGTGAACTGGGGCGGGGGATCGGGCCCCTGAACCCACGGTCTTCAGCCTTAGCGGAGGGTGCCCTACAGGGAATGGGGTAATTTTTTCAAAGGGGCAGGAATTCTGAGTTCCTACCAAAAATGCACATTTCCAGTCCCTCAACCTTTCTCCTTCGACCTTCTTCGTGCCTGTGGATCTTCCTGGCCAGGTTCCGGGAAGCCAGAAAGCAGCCAAACAAAAGGAGCAAAGTCTCGGGCCAGCCTGGATGTGGAGGGCGCAGTGGGGGAGGGGAGCAGGGTGGACAGGACAAAGGGGCTTTTTAGAGAAAGCCTAGAGGTCTCATTTCAGGGCGCATTCCAAGCTGGCTTGGAGTTCCCCTGTCCCAGCCCACTTCACCTTTGCTTAGTGGAGGCGAACACCTTTCCTAGTGAGCAGGGAGCAGACGCGAGTAAGAAAACAGTGAAGGAACCATCTCCTACCCCTCTTGCCTGGAGGGTCCCGGGCTATTTCACTTCTTCCTTTTTTCACTGTTGTCTCTAGCGCTGGCCATTGATTCCTTAATTCTTGAAGTAAGATTTTAGCAGTGCCTGAGACTACTTTGCTGGGGGCTGTTGGGGATGTGAAGATGGTAGGACGAGGCCCTTGCTTTAAAGAACTTCCAATCTGGTGTTATCAGAAGACCCTAAAAGAAGGAACTTTTTTTTAAAAAAAATGGAGAGTGGATGGCTACAGCGCTGGGGAAGAGTTTTCTGACTCGGGACTTTTCCTCAGGAAACGAAAACACTGAAGAGGTCCAGTTTCTCTTCCCTGGGGAAGGGCTCTTGTCTGCAAAGATCAGATTCCAAGTACTATAATGTTTTGCAAGGAAATACCACTTCCTCACCAACTGGTGGTCTGGACGGCACTCTGGGGTTTGGGGCTGGGGCATCAGTCCCCTGACTCCCCGGCCTGACTGGAGTGGGGAGCTGTTTCAGATTCCCAGCTGGCCTCTGGAGTGCCCACCTCCCCCATTGGTATTTTGAATTGAATGACATGGCCATCAGAGAGCTCCAAGGATGGCTCCCCGGGGTTCTTGGCAGGAGGTTTGGTTAGCCAGCTCCCTTCCAAACCTCAGATTCTGCAAGGTTGGGAAATATTGAGCGTGAATTTGGGGGAGCAAGGTGTTTTTGAGAATTCCAAAGGATCAATGCAAACAGTGAGATTGAGCATCTGTACTAACCTCCCCTGAAGTCAGAGATGGAGGATTACCTGAGGGCAGGGATTCTTAACTGGGTTCATTGGCATTAGGCATCTGTAGATGGAATTCAGAGGATGTGTAAACTAGGTGAGGCAAAAAAAGATATCATTGTTTTTCACCAACCTTTAACAGATTTTAACATCACCTTTAGTTATGAAGACAACAAATCACAGTAGCATTGGCAGTACCTGTGACTTTGCCATTAATAGAATTCATAGTTTCATATCACACTGCAGTCACAGCAGTCTTGAAATGTTGTTTACACTCAGCCCTTGTGTGAAATTACCCACTGCTAGACCCTGCTTAATGTTAATAAAGAAGCATATATATTGCTATGTTTTTATATTTTTAGAACTTTATTTCATATAATTGACTTTTTTAGTGATCTTCTTAATTTTATTTTATGCTCAAGAAATGTGAACTGTGAGCCAATTCACAGCTGGTAGAAACTTCCACCAACCCCCACCTGGAGCTGGAGATGGGCAAGGTGGAGGAAGGGCCGCTTATGCCCAGAGTCAACCCCTCTCTGTTTGACTTTGTAAGAAAGTGCCAAGCCTCTATGGGGAGGGACGGTGTGTCACGGAGGACTGGGGAAGGGCAGGGCTGCAGGCTCTTTGGGAGACCCAGAGAACAAGCTCCCAATGGGGCGGGGGGAGGAAGAACTGTCCCCTCTTAGGGCCCCTCAGCCTCAGCCTGGGCAGAAAATGAGGTGGTCAGCCTGGAGCACTCTGGGGCTAGCATTGTTTGGAAAAAGGGTGTGTACAGGAATGTGAAGGTGTGCTGGGTGTGTGTACCGGAGCAGTGGGGGATGCTGGGGGACTCCAGCCCCATGAGTTCCGCTCCACAGGAGATGCCTGGTGAAAGCAAACTTCCTCTGTCATCCCTGCACTTGGGGGTAGGGAGTGGGGACAGGACTTTTTAGGGGCTGGGGGAGGGGAAGCAATCCAGACATGTATTGAGGCACTGGAATCTGGGTCGGGGGAATGGTGGGAAGATCAGAGAGTGGGGGGAAAGGGAGGTGGTAAGATGAAGACTTGAGGGGTGCAGCCTGCTGGGGACAGGCCAGGCAACAGTCAGCGTTAGCTCTGCTTCCGCCTTGAAATAGGCTAGATTCCAGTTTCCCATTTGCTTGGGGGTCGGTGGGATGGGAGATCTTGAGGCTTATTTTTTATAGGAAATAAGTTCCATTTTGGTCTCTGGCTCCTTGCATTTGGGGAGTGGACTTAGGGTCTGGGGTCACAGTGGACCTCCTGTGGAGTAGGAAACAGGACTTGGGCTCAGGTCAGTGCCTGTCAGTGCCCCATGAACATGCGTTGCTGGGGGATGGATGTAAATAATCAACAGAGAAGTGATGGCCTCGATACCCTTGGGGGACAATGTCTGGGATAAAAAGAACAGCCTGATCCTCTCTCTCTAGGATTCTAGAACTTCTGCATATTGGAATTCCAGCTGCCTTGCCTGAGGTTTTAAAATCCTCACTCGGGAGAGATAAAACCCAGGCCTTGGTCTTCATTTCCATATGTGGGGAAGAGCAGTGACCCATCCCTGTCAGTTTGTAAATGTCCTGCTTGTTTTTTCCATGGACAGTGGACATTTCACCTTGCTTCCGGGGTGCTTAACAGGCCTCAATTTCTGGAAAGAGAAACTGAGGTCAAAGGAAGGCAGGGAGAGCCAGGGTCAGGACAGGAGGGCACGCAGGTACCTCACAGCTCAGAATGTTGTACTAGGGTCTCTTGAGGCCATGAAGACATGACTCTTGTTGTTGTCTTCTTTGGGGATTCCTCCATGGGAGCCCCTTTTTCCCTGCTACCCTCCTGCCCCCCGGAAGTGCAGAGGCCCAGGAGCTGCCTGCTGGCACCAGTTGCACGGGATTAGTTCAGGGAAGGACTTGCTCACCTGCTCCTCCCCTCTGACTCAAGTCATAACAAGTAACCTGGTTCCCCTGGCCCGGCAGCCTGGGAGGGACGGCAAGGTAGGCAGGTGAGCCGAGACGGACGGACGGCCAGCAGCTCCGTCAGCTGGAGAGAGAGCACAGGCCTGTGGCTTGGGAGACCCTGAGGCGACATGTGAGGGCCCTGAGCCCCCTGACTGGAAGCAGGGGCTGTTTTTCAACTCCTGGACTAAAGCCCAGAAGCAGGTGAGGGCGGGGGAGGTGGAATGGGTCTTTGGGGCTGAGAGCAGGCTGGCCTGGGAGTGGAGGAGCCCAAGCAGTGGCCATCACCCCCCTCCGACCCCCACCCCCGCCAGCCTATGTCTGGTGTGTAGGGATGACAGAGGGGTGCTGGTGGGCTTGGACGGGAGCCTGTTCTTGTGGTTGCCTAGGCCTTAGTTTCCACCAGAGGGAGAGCAAGCAGAGATGAGCTGGGACAGGCAGGCCTGAGACCTGGCTTTGGGGGACACACTTGGGATAGAGGAGGATCCCCCATGGCCCGGCCTGAGGGAAGGTGCTCTGGAGTTTCCCTCCCTCCCTCTGTGCCCCTTCTGGTCTCCTCTGCCTTTTTCTGGGGACATTGTTCAGCCGGGTGGGCTGCTTTTTAGGGCCCAGTACTGGAGCTTGAAGAGGCCCAGGAGGGATCCCTGTGTTAGGGAGGGGGTGGGGATGTTACCTGAACTGCCTTTATCTAAAAGCAATGCCTTAGACACTTAAGACTCATAGCCTCCTGGGTGGGGGTGGTGCCCTCGCTCTCACCTGTTGACTCTGGGGCAGGTTCCCTACAGCTGTGGAGGGCGGCCTCGGCAGAGGCAGATGTGAGGGTCCGCTATGTGGCTGTACGGGTTTCCTTCTTGGCCTGACATTGACCAAGAGGTCGAGATTCAGACCGGGGACCTGGAAAGGCTTTAGACACTGTGCAGTCTTTATTGTGCACAGGAGGAAAGGAAGCCCCGGGAGGCCTGGTGACTTCCCCAAGGTAGTACAGACCGCAGCAGAACCAAGCCTTGAGCCCACAGCCAGGGGCTCTGGGCATCTGACGCTGTTCTCTTTGCTCTACTTGGGGCAGCAAGTCATCCCAGAGAGGACCCAGCATCAGGCTGGGACCACTGGGAAGATCAGTGCCTCCCCTTTGATGCTGGCAGTCAGAGACTGGGCTGAGCTGGGAGAAGGGGAAGCTGGCGGAGACGGGAGGCGTGCTAAGGTACCCCTCTGTCCCTGTAAGTCCCCACTCCTCTGCAACAGTCTCAGAGCCCCTGAGAAGCAGGGGCTGAGTTGGCCCAACTTTCCAAGGCAACTACTTAGTGGTTAATAATTAATTAGCAAGCGTGACTAATTAATGGCTTCCCCTCCCACATTACTTCCTCCTCTGTGCAAAGCAGACACACTCAGCATGCTAGCTGAGACCACCTTGCTTCCTACCTCTGGCTGCACCCTGCTCTTGGCTTCTGGGGAGGGTGGGAGGATGGCTAGGGTGGGTGGGAAGGGGTGGGGGTGAGCTGCCTGCTCCTCTGTCCTGTTCTTATCTCTACGAGGGATAGAGTTTGGGACAGATGGACAGTGCAGAGCTAATAGTCATCCTAAGTATCCTGCGGGGTGGGGTTCCAGAATATATGGCCAATCTTTCAGAACTTTGGCATGTTTGCAAAGGCCTCCCATAAAGTTAAAAAAAATAATTCTCCCATGCATTCTCTAGACTTCCTTGAATAATTGAAATTCCAAAGTGCAAGGTACATGTTGCTTTCAGGGCTTTGTGTTTGATTGTTGCTGCCTGTGGTTGCTGTGTTGTTTATGTAGGTCTATAAAAGTTCTTGATCGTCCTGCTCTTATCATCTTGATGGGTGGAGAGGTATCACCAGGGACCTGGCTGACAGCAGTCCCCTCTCCCTGTTGGCCTTGCTTTGTTACCAGCTTTCCCAAGGCCGACTTTTCTGTCGTGTTGGCTGCCTGAGGAGGGGTGGAGCTCACCTCCCCCACCCTGCGGCCCCGCGCTCTGAGGAGGCAGGATAGGCTCCAGACAGAAACTCGGAAGGACTTTTGGACTCTTGCTCAATGGGCTGACTCAGTGAGGAGGTGGCTGAGCTCTCTTTCCAGACCCAACCACCTGCATGGGCTCCGCCCACCCCTCCCACCCCTGCTGCAGCCAGCAGCTGCCAGGCCCTGGCCAGCTGGGACCCCAACCAGGGGTGTGGGTTGGTGAGGAGGGAGAGGGGGTGGGCACAGGTGTTATCTGGGTGACTGGTCCCTAGCTGAGCCGACACAATGGGATGGCACCTGTACCACCCAAGTGTTCTCCACCCCGAAGCAGGCAGAGGAGCAGGTGATCTCCTTTCTGTCCTTGCACAGCTTCTGCTCTAGTCACTGCTTGCCCCTCTCCTGTCAACTCTTGGCAACCCTGATAGACACAGCCCTGGGTCTCCCCTGGCTGTGGGGTGTAGGGGATCTAGGCTGATTCCCCTTCAGTGGTCTCCCAGGAGTAATTGATGGCTTGAAAGTTGTTTGAGGGCTTTGGGACAGCTCTCTGGCATACAGTGGCTGCACATATCTGCAGATGATGTGAAGTTCAGAGTCCAGGGCGCCAATTCAGAGAGTGGGCGTCCTGGACTTCGGAGGCCCCAGACCAGGGCCTTGGCCATGTGCCTGCCCACTTCTTGAAGTGTCCTCAGCCACTGGGGCGTAGGACATGCCTCACACCTCCTGGGTTCTTGGGTTGAGGATAGCTGTGTCCCATAAAGATGTCTTCCCCTTCCTCCTTTCTTTTTTTTTTGGAGACGGGGTCTCTCTGTTGTCCAGGCTGGAGTGCAATGGCGTGAACATGGCTCACTGCAGCCTTGACTTCTCCAGGCTCAGGCAATCCTCCTGCCTCAGCCTCCTGAGTAGCTGGGACTACAGGTGCACACCACTATGCCCAGCTAAGTTTCATTTTGGAGAGATGGGGTCTAAGTTGTCCAGGCTGGTCTTGAACTCCTGGGCTCAAGCTATCCTTCTGCCTTGGTCTCCAGAAATGCTGGGATTACAGGCGTGAGCCACCATGCTGGGCTTCCTTCCTCCTTTCTTTGTTATCCCATCCCATTTTTTGTCCCCTTCCTTTTTATCCTGTCTCTGCTCTTTTCCTTCTTGCCCTTCTCCCCAGTCGAGCGGTTCTTGTGGCTACCACAGCTGTCGACCCCCTTAGGCCTAGAGGACTTTGGCCCAGAGGGGAGTTAGGCTGGGCCCCTGAGAGCCCACTGAGAACAGGGTTTGCTGGTGAGGCCCACAGCCCCTTCTCTAGGTCAGCACCCCCAGTGCCAGAATCTCCTGCCCCAGATGGTTCCTGAAGCACAGTCCTCCCTTCCACTCCCCTGCTCTCAAGCATCTATTCAGCTTTTTGTAACCAAGATGGTTCATATCTAGCTTTTTTGTTATTGTTCTCTTTTCTCTTTAAAGCTGGGGAAGCTCCAGGCTACCTACACAACCTGGCCCAGGCTGGTCACGGTGTCCCCCCTCCCTGCTCTGTGCCCTCTCCTTCCAGAAATCCACCATGGAGAGTAAGGATGAGGTCAGCGACACCGACAGTGGCATCATCCTGCAGTCTGGTGAGTGTTCAGGGAAATCCCCCTGCCCTAGTCCCTAGTCCCTGGTCCCTGGTCCCTGGCCCTGACTCCTGAGTCCTGAGCCCTCAGGCACTAGGGCTGGCTGGGCTGAGACTCCCAAGGGCTGAGAGGAAGGGGAGGGAGAGGCCTCTGCTGGGAGGAGGGGGAGGTTCTGGAAGGGCTGGAGCCTCAGGGACATGTGGAGTTTTCCTCCCTGGAGAAAACTGGCTTGGAGTTTTGGTTCTATCTGGAAGAGGGATCTGCAATGTTCAACTTTAGCCCCAGCTGAGAAGTTGAAAAATCTCAGGCAGGCACAGTGGCTCATGCCTGTAATCCCAGCACTTTGGGAGGCCAAGGTGGGCGGATCACAAGGTCAGGAGATCGAGACCATCCTGGCTACCACATAGTCCCAGCTATGTGGGAGGCTGAGGCAGAAGAATCGTTTGAACCTGGGAGGCGGAGGTTGCAGTGAGCCGAGATCGCGGCATTGCACTCCAGCCTGGGCGACAGGGCAAGACTCCGTCTCAAAAAAAATATATCATCTGGCCAATGTGAAGGTCTTGCCTCTCTGTTTGGCCAGACCTGTGGGCCTAGTCTGGCCTAGTCTTGACAGAGGACAAGAAAGAAGAGGCTTATGTGTGTGTGCAAGAGAGAGGGGTAGTGGGGAGAGGGAGAGAGAGAGACAGGAAGAAGAAGGAGAAGGAAAAGAGGAAGAAGAAGGGAGGAGGAGTGGGGGGAGGACTGCACCGGCAGAACTCCCTCCCCTGCACTCCCCCACCATAGGTCACCTGGTGGGACGACCCTCCCTTCTGAGTTGTAACATTTGTGCAGCCAAGAGACGTGGTGTTTTGTGGCTGTGACACAGGCCACAGCAGCCAGCCTGCAATTTGTGGGCAGGCATGAGATGTGTGTGTGTGTGTGCATGTGTGTGCATGTGCATTCCCCTAGGGGTGGTCAATAAGTAACGGAGGAGGCTTCCATCTTCAGCCTCCCTGAGCATGTGCCCCCCAACCCTTGCAGGCCCCGACAGCCCGGTCTCCCCAATGAAGGAGCTGACCCATGCAGTGCACAAGCAGCAGAGGGCCCTGGAAGCGAGGCTGGAGGCCTGCCTGGAGGAGCTGAGGAGACTCTGCCTTCGGGAAGCGGTGAGGCCCCAGCCAGCACACACAAGCATCGGGTTCATCTCAGGAGCTGTGGAGCCACGTGTGGGGATGCGGGAGCTGGGGAGAGGGAGCCCCATTCTTGAGGGAATTCTGGACATCAGGCTGGGGGCTGGGGCCCAGAGTCCCCATGATGCAGTGTTTGACCTTGTGCTGGATGGAGAAGAGTCAGACCCAGGCAGGGGCCCAGGCACAGAGAACAAAGTTCATCAGGGGCTGCAGAGGGACTGCACAGACATAAGTGCATATGAGTGCTGTAACCCGGGTCGGTGTAGCTCTGGAGGAAGTGATCAGAAAGAGGTCTGAAGGGAAAGGGGAGGAGTGCAGAGTGGGTCTGAAGACAGGAGAGACAGTGTGGAGGATGGGATGAGGTGGGGTGGAGGGTGGTCCCACCAGGGCTTCTATGGAAGGCAGGCACATGCAGTGCAGGGGCCAGTGAGCCAAGTCTGGGCAGGTGGAGAGGACCTGGCTGGTCTCTGCTTCCTCCCCAGGAGCTGACGGGCACCTTGCCAGCGGAGTATCCCCTCAAACCAGGGGAAAAGGCCCCCAAGGTTCGCCGCAGGATCGGAGCGGCTTACAAACTGGATGACTGGGCCTTGCACAGAGAGGTGAGGAACCTCAGGAAGCTGCCAGTACCCCTCGATCCCCAAAGCTGATCACTGAGACGCCACACCTCAGCTCAGTACCCTGGCAGGTTCCCTTCCACCCTTTCACACCCAGTGAGGGTGCTTGGCTGCCTGTTGGTGAGAGACACCATGAATATGTAGCCCAAATGGCTGTGGAGAAGGGGCGCCACTAAGGAACCGAGAGCTGGGAGCTCAAGGGAGGACACTGGGTTTGACCCCATTGGGCAGAAGATCAGTTAAGAGCACCAGCCACCAACCCAGCGGGCAATAGCCTGCTCAGACAGGTTACTCTGGCCCCTAGGGCTGTCCTCCTTTCTCAGGAGGAGGTGGGGGCAGTCAGGCCCTGGGTGCCCTTCCCCTGTGGCGTCAATGGCAGCAGTTTCCCATGGGCCAGCCTGCCCCACCCTTTGGGGTCAGGAGGGAAAGTGTCCCACTTGGGTTCCCACCCTGCCCGGTTCAGCAGGTGGGCTGGTGGGTGGGTGCCCATGCCAGCTTTTCAGGCTGACAAGTTTGCTTTTCGGCTCCTCCCACTCCTTCACCCTCTGCTCCACGTCCGTCCATTGGTGCTGCTGTCTGCCTCTCTTCTGTCCTCAGGGCTTAGGACTGGGACCTAGAGCACTGTGTCAGGGCTGCTGTCCACCCTCTGGGCCCCCAATCTCCCTGCCTCTCTCTAGCCTCACTCCTGCCCCCTCTCTCAGGACCCCCTAAGCAGCCTGGAGCGCCAGCTGGCCCTGCAGCTGCAGATCACAGAGGCAGCCCGTCGGCTGTGCCTGGAGGAGAACCTCAGCAGGCAGGCTCGGCGGCAGCGGAAGCACTCCATGCTGCAGGAGGAGAAGAAGCTGCAGGAGCTCCAGCGCTGCCTGGTCGAGCGGCGGCGCAATAGCGAGCCACCTCCGGCTGCTGCTCTCCCCCTGGGCCGAGGTGAGCCGGCTGCCCTGAGGGGGGCCATGCTCCTTAAATGAGCTTTTGAGGGATGGTGGGCGCACAGCCCCGTGCCACTGCCTTTGCATTTGGCTCCAGCTGGGTAAAGCTGATTCTTGGGTTCAGCTCCACCCCATCCTGATTCTCTCCAACTCCAGCAAGGCTTCCCCATCCTGTGAGGTCTTCTTCTCCGTCTCCTTAGAAAACACCCTACTCTCTCCTTCCGTATCCTCCTCAAAATACACTACCTTCAAGAGACTTCCTACACAGAGATATTTCTCAGCTGACCCTGAGCTGAATCCAAGGTGTATTCAACTGGGTAGCCCAGGCTGGCCCCGCTGCCCTCCAGGCCCACAGGGTGATGGCATCTCTGGGTCAGGGTAGTGTGAGGCTCCCGTGAGCCCAAGGCTCTGAGTTGATGTGTAGTCCCCTGGCCTGAGTTAGGCAGCAAAGGGTTTGACGATTGCTATGTGTTACTGATCACTGAATTGTTTCAGGGGCCCACAGCTACTTAGGAGATGTTCAGGTTGAAATCCAGCAGGACTGGTGCCACACCCCACAGCCCCTTAAGTATCTACAACCACCCTGGTCAAGGGTGGGATCCTTCCATGTCTGTTCTCTGCCCTCCTTGTGTCTGTAGTTCAATCCCTGAGCTCCTTGGCCCAGAGACTAGTGGCCGTGGGGGCACCTAGTGAGTTGTTGATGCCCAGGTGCTGCCACATCACATCAGTGTGTCCACCACAGGTTAGCTTCCAACAGGTGGTTCTGAGCCCTTAGGTGTGACTGTTTTCCTTTGTCCTGACCCAAGGCCAGCCTGTCAGGTCAGGACTTGCATCTCTCCATTCCAAACCCCACCGCAGCAGGCCCATGACTCAGCTCTGCCCCCCGTCTCTCACATGGGACCCAGACCTCCCTGGCTGCCTCAGAGGGAACCGGGAGGGAATGAGGCCGTGGCCCTGCAAAAAAAAATCCAGAATTGGATTCAGAGGTCTCGGCCTTCATTCACATTCTCAGGCTCCCATCCCTGCATATCGTGTTGGCTTTTTGCCAAGACTACTCCTCAGCCTGGGAGCAGTCATGGGGAAGCTGGAAAGCCCTTGCTAGTCCCTGTGCCCTGCAGCCTATGCCTCAGGCAGGGAGTTATCTCAGCACAGGTCTCAGAAGTCCCTGCTCCTATCCATGGCTTTTAATTTAGGGTAGAAAGTGCATGACCAGACACCACCCAGGTCACCTCCCGCAGCCAAGAGTAGGTGATAAAGGAGGAGGTGCCTCCATGTGACAGTTAACCCAGTAAACTCAGAAGACAGTGGGGCTGACCCAGGGAAAATGGCCAGACCTCTGTCCGGTTCCAGTGGTTCTGGCTTGGCCGCAGAACAACACTCCCAGTCTCTGAGGCTCTAATGGAAGACAAGTTCTACAACCTTACTCCACTCTCAACAGGGATCCCAGGACTTGACAGCAACCTTGAAAGGTAGCTGCTGAATTGGACATGGAAGCCCCTAAGGGCCAACTTGCTCTGTGCCTGCAGGGAGAGGTCAGGGTGGTGAGATATGCCCGTTGGTTGCAGCGCCTCCTGCTCCCCGGTCCAGCCTCACACTGCTCAGCAGCCTCCCCTGCCCACCGGGGCTGCCATTGCTGGGAGCTTCTGCCCATGATGGGTGGCAGGGGAGTGTCACCCTGATGCTGCCATTGTGACCCATAATGCTTCTTGTTGGGAGTCGGGAGCAGGCCAGGACTGGCCTGGGGCTCTGTGGAAGGCAGGAGGATGAGGTTCTGAAACCTTGGAGCCCTCAGTACAGGTGAAGACAGAGCTGTGGAGAGGAGACAACTGGTGTAGTTGCTGACTTTCCCACATCAGGAATCAAGATCCCACTGGCCAACTTCAGGCCCTGGGATCTAAAGTCCTGTTGTGAGAGCACAGAAGGGATCAGTTCTAGACAAGTAATTTCTGTTTTGTGGCTCCTCTGCCCAGCCGAGCCCTCCTAGAAAGGAGGAAGTAAAGCAGAATTATTAGTAGCTGAGGTGTTTTGAATTAAAAAGGGAAGGCCGGACACTGTGGCTCATGCCTGTAATCCCAATACTTTTGGAAGCCAAGGTGGGCGGATCATGAGGTTAGGAGTTCAAGACCAGCCTGGCCAACATAGTGAAACCCCATCTCTACTAAAAATACAAAAATTAGCCAGACATGGTGGTGCATGTCTGTAGTCCCAGCTACTCGGGAGGCTGAGCCAGGAGAATCCCTTGAACCTGGGAGGTGGAGCCCAGGATCAAGGGAGCCGAGATCGTGCCACTGCACTCCAGCCTGGCAACAGAGTGAGACTTTGTCTCAAAAACAAAAAACAAAACAAAACAAAAAAACAGGAGGCCAGGTGCAGTGGCTCACACCTGTAATCCCAGCACTTTGGGAGGCCGAGGCGGGTGGATCACTTGAGGTCGGGAGTTCAAGACCAGTCTGACCAACATGGAGAAACCCCATCTCTACTAAAAATACAAAATTAGCCAGGCATGGTGGCGCATGCCTGTAATCCCAGCTACTCGGGAGGCTAAGGCAGGATAATCACTTGAACCCAGGAGGCGGAGGTTGCGGTGAGCCGAGATTGCACCATTGCACTCCAGCCTGGTGACAAGAGCGAAACTCTGTCTCAAAAAAAAAAAAAAAAAAAAGGGAAAAAAGCAAACAACCCAAAAACCGAAATAAAAAACCACCCTGCCCCCTTGGGCTCCATACAAGGGTAATTTAGTTTGGGAAAGTAACTGCTAGGTGAGAGTCATCAGCCATACTTTGCAGTGGCAGGGAGCAGTCAGGTGTTGAGCTCATTTACTAGAGTGAACCGCATGAGGGCCACCCAGCACCCACCTGTGCAATGTAATAGGCACTCTGGATGCATCTGTTGATCAACAACACCAGCCATTAGCCACATCCTCATAACATTTTTTTTTTTTTTTTGAGACGGAGTCTTGCTCTCTCATCCAGGCTGGAGTGCAGTGGAGCCATCTCAGCTCACTGCAACCTCCACCTACCGGGTTTAAGCGATTCTCCTGCCTCAGCCTCCTGAGTAGCTGGGACTGCAGATGCGTGCTGCCACGCCCAGCTAATTTTTGTATTTTTAGTAGAGATGGGGTTTCACCAAATTGTCCAAGCTAGTCTCGAACTCCTGACCTCAAGGGATCCTCCCGCCTTGGCCTCCCAAGTGGTGGGATTACAGGCGTGAGCCACTGCGCCTGGCCGCTCATAGCATTTCTGAGATGGTGGAAGTGTTCTGTATCTGTGCTGTCCAATACAGTAGCCACTCGCTGCATGTGGCTATGGAGCATTTGAACTGTGCCTAGTGTGACTGAGGAACTGACTTTATTTAGTTTTAATGAAAATAGCCACATGCGGCTAGTGGCAACTGTGTTGGACAGCATAGCCTTGGGGGAAGCTCAGCATTTGTGAGTAAAATCTCCACCGTTACCCCTCTGTCTGGGGTGTCCTGCGATGCTGCTGCGGGGCAGGGGAACGCTGAGCTAGGGCAGGGTTGGGACAGTTGCTGAGATAGTGAGCAGCTCTCAGAAACCTGAATCTTTTTTTTTTTTTTTCCAATCTTTTTAGAGACAGGGTCTTGTTCTGTTGCTCAGGCTGGAGTGCAGTAGTGTGATCATACCTCACTGCAGCCTTGAACTCCTGGGCTCAAGTGATCTTCCTTCCTCAGCCTCTAGTAGCTGGGACTACAGTCATGTGCCACCACACCCAGCAAATTAAAACAAAACAAAACAAAAAAACTATTTTAGAGATGGGATCTTGCTATATTGCCCAGGCTGGTCTCAAACTCCTGGTCTTAAGCAAACCTCCTGCCTCAGCCTCTGGAGTAACTAAGATTATAGGTGTGCCTGGCCCAATGAAAATCTTTATTCCTAAGGTTTTTATAAAAGATCAAAGGCAGGAGACCAGAATTCAGTAAGAGGGGGTCTCTTTAATTGAACCCTAAAGCAAAGGCTACTTGTGAGCCAAGCAAAGCATGGGCTGGCTGGCTACTCAGGAGTCAAGCCCAGCTCCTGGTACCGTATGTCCTAGAAATCTACTGCCTGCTCTGGGTAAAGATTTTTTCATTAAATTGCGGAGCAGGCTGAGCATGTTGGCTCAAGCTTGTAATCCCAGCACTTTGGGAGGCCAAGGCAGGAGGATCTCTTGGGCCCAGGAGTATGAGACCTGCCTGGACCACACAGGGAGACCCTGTCTCTACAAATAACTAAAATAAAAAAATTGGATAGGCATGGTTGTGGACACCTATAGTCCCAGCTACTCAGGAGTCTGAGGTGGGAGATTGATTGAGCTCAGGAGGTCAAGGCTGCAGTGAGCTGTGATCGGGCCACTGCACTCCAGCCTAGGCAACATTGTAACAACCCATCTTTAAAAAGATGGGTTAAACCTTTGTGGAGCAAAGGTTAACAAACTTTTCCATAAAGAGCCAGACAGTACATATTTTAGTCTTTGTAGGCTCTTTGGTCTTTATCACAACTGTTCAACTCTGCTACTTCAGTGCTAAAACAGCCAGACATTACATAAACAAATTCATAGCCGTGTTCCAATAAACATTTATTTACAAAAGCAGCTATTGAACTGGATTTGACCCCTGGGCCATAGTTTGCTAACCTCTGTTGTAAGGGATTTCAAGATGGTTGGAACTTTTTACTTTTTTTGAAACTTCCTGGGCAATGCCCATGCATTTGAGATGCAAGCTCACAGGGGAGAGCCCATAAAGGGTTGTGGTTAAGAGCAGACTCCAGTCAGACTGTCTGGGTGTGAATTCTGACTCAACCACCTTTGTTGAATGTATAACCTAAACCACGTTACTCAACTCCTCTGAGACGTGGTTTCCTCAACTGTCACTTGCAGGTGATAATATCTACCTTACGTGGTTGTTATGAGAATTACCTGAATTAATATATATAAAGTGCTGTATTTAGAAATGTATTGGCACAGTAGAAACATTAGCAATTATTACTTTTTCCTCATCTTCATTCTCAAACACAGTTGAAAATGTTTCGTGAGTTCCATCCAGGTCACTTTAGGCTTATTCTCAAGATCTGAAGGCCTGGCCGGGTGTGGTGGCTCACGCCTGTGATCCCAGCACTTTGGGAAGCCGAGGTGGGTGGATCACCTGAGGTCAGGAGTTCAAGACCAGCCTGGCCAACCTGGCAAAACCCCGTCTCTACTAAAAATACAAAAATTAGCCAGGCATAGTGGTGTGTGCCTGTAATCCCAGCTACTCGGGAGGCTGAGGCAGGAGAATCGCTTGAACCTGGGAGGTGGAGGTTGCAGTGAGTCGAGATCACACCACTGCTCTCCAGCCTGGGTAAGAGAATGAGACTCCATCTCAAAAAAAAAAAAAAAAAAAATCTGAAGGCTTAAGTTTCTTCAAAAGCAATAGCACAAATGAGTTCCCTCTGATTTCTTAGGTAAAAAGTGCTGCTATACCATGAAGTAAAGTCACACTGAATTTCCTTCAGGTGACTTGCCAGATCACCAACTGAAGAAACTTCCCTGGGGCCAGCTGGCCAGACCTTATCTTAAATTCAAATTCCTACCTTGCGTTCCTCTTGTTGTTGGTAACACAGGAGGTCTCACATTGGGATCTTTGAATTGTGTTTGTGATGTGAGATGATTATACAAAAGTTAGAGTGAAATTCCCTTTTTTTTATTTGAGACAGGGTCTCACTCTGTTGCCCAGGCTGGAGTGCGGTGGTGTGATCACGGCTCACTGCAGCCTCGACCTCCCAGGCTCAAGTGATCTTCCCATCTCAGGTTCCCAAGTAGCTGGGACTACAGGCATGCACCATCATGCCTGGCTAATTTTCGTATTTTTTGTAGAGACCAGATTTCACCATCTTGCCCAGGTGGGTCTTGAACTCCTGGGCTTAAGCCATCTGCTGCCTTGGCCTCCTAAAATGCTGGGATTACAGGCATGAACCACCGCGCCTGGCCATGAAATTCTTTTTATCCTAAGGGCCTTCCAAAATGACCCTTTGTCTTTCCTTTCCACTACCAAGAAGCCCTGCCAGAGGACACCCTTTTTCTTTTTTTTTGACAGGTGGGGAAACTGAGGTCTAGAGCATTGAAATGGTTTATTCAAGGTTGCATAGCTAGTATCAGAGTCAGGATTAAAATCAGGTTTCCTGTCTCCTAGCTCTGCCTTCTATTTTTTTCTACTTCCATGTAGTAAGTTTACAGCCAGGCCAGGCACAGTGGCTCATGCCTATAATCCCAGCACTTTGGGAGGCCAAGGTGGGATGATCACTTGAGCCTAGGAGTTCAAGATCAGCCTGGGCAAGACAGCAAGACCTCTTCTCTACAAAAAAAATAAAATAATTTAGCTGGGTGTGCTGGCATGCCCCTGTGGTCTCAGCTACTTGTGAGGCTGAGGTGGGAGGATCCCTTGAGCCTGGGAGGTCAAGGCTGCAGTGAGCCATGATCACACCACTGCACTCCAGCCTGGGCCACAGGGTAAGACCCTGTCTCTTAAAAAAAAAAAAAATCACTCCCAATGTGTATTTAGCACACAGAGGGTATTTCCTCATAACTGATGCTGTCCTGGGGGAGTGATCAGGCCTGAGCTGCTCAGCACTGCTGGTTACTCATATCTGTTTGTTCATTTCTTCACTTCCTTCTCTTCTCTCCCCTTTGTCTTTCGCAGAGCTCAGTGCCTCTGATGACAGCTCCCTGTCAGATGGGCTCCTCCTGGAGGAAGGTGAGAAGGACGTTTGGGGGACTATTGTCAAGGCTGGACTCCTACTGCAAGACCATGGGGTTTGGGCAGTTTGCTGGTGTGGAATTTAAGTGGGAGTGAAGGCTAGGGTGCCAGGCTTAGGGTTTCCGCTTGGACTTCATGTCAATTTCCGCATGTCCTTGCACATGCTCAGTTGAAGATGGGGAATGTGCGATCATCTCCCATTCTGGAAGCTCATTATTTTTACAGGGAAAGGAAAGGTGAACTCCAAGAGAGCTGATCAACCCCAGATGTCCCTCCTTCACCCTTGGGTGTGATTTCAAGATGCACCAGTCAGAGCCAAAGAGCAATCTGCCCACAATCATTGCTGTTTTTTAAAAGAAGGGAGCAGGAAGGAAACACAAGTCTATAGATTAAGAACCCTGTGTACAAACCATGAGGATGCCAGGGTCAAGGTGGATCGAGAAGCTGTTGCAGTCCTGCCCAGGGGAGTGCCCAAGCCAATAAGGAAATAAATAGGCCATATGGGCATGGCAGGAACAAGAAAAATAGGTAAACAAAAGATAACTGCAGACATGGTACCAGGAACAAAGGTTAGAAAGTGGAGCACTGTAAGCCCAAGAGAGTCAATCTGGGAGGCTTCTTGAAGGAGGAAGGCATAAAATAGGGCTGTGTGGGAAGAAGTAAGTCCCAAAGGAGAAGAAAACATGTTTGAGCATCTAGGGCTGGAGCCATGGCCTGCAGCAGCTGCACAAGCCAGCATGGGAGGGAGAGCGGCGAGGCATGGGCTGTGGTTTGTGGAGGTTCTTGTTGGGCCGGTTCCCCCAGCCTCTGGCCTTACCAGGTTTCTTTTACTCCTGCAGAGGAATCCCAAGTGCCAAAACCTCCTCCAGAGTCTCCAGCCCCACCTTCTCGGCCTCTCCCACCCCAAACCCTTGAGGGTCTGCAGCCAACAGGACCTGAGGCTGGGAGCCCAGAACGGGCTCCAGTCCAGAACAGCCCCTGGAAGGAAACCAGCCTGGACCACCCCTATGAGAAGCCCAGGAAGTCTTCTGAGCCCTGGAGCGAGTCCAGGTCAGGATCAGGGGGAAGGGAGAAGGGCAGGGCAGGGCAGGGAGTCGGTGGGAGCTATGCTGGGGATGGCTATAGGCTGGGCAGATGGAAAAGTGGAAAGGTGGAGGAGAGAGCTCCTGCAGTCGTGGGATGGAGGTGTGAGCCTTGATAGTTCCCCAAGGGTGCTGGCAGTTTGCCCTACTAACTTTGGGAGCCCCTTCCACTGCATCCCCATTCTTCTGCACCTCTTGAGCCCCTGAATGGAGGCATTCCTGCCACTGACCTGTCTCTAATCCTTTTGCAGCAGCCCAGCCACCACACCACAGGATGGGCCCAGTGCCTCCAGCCTGTGGCTTCTGGAGCCTGCCTCCTACCACGTGGTTCCCATCCGTGGTGTTCCTGGCCAGTGGCAGGGCCGCACCAGTGCCCCAGCCACCCCTGAGATACAGGGGAGGAGGGGCCAGTCGCAGTCTCTGAGGTAAGAGACAGCTTCCCCAGAGAGATGGGGGACCCACTTAGAGCTTATCGTTGGAGGGTGGGAGCTCCCAGGACACAGGTGGGACAACCCTGGGTGACACATGGCTAGTGCCTTGACTTCTCTTAGGATCTCTTCTTGGGGCGCCTCTTGACAGAGAATGCACTGCACCCCACTAAGCCAAAGGCCATCCATGAAGCAAGTGGTTTTCTTCCAAAGACTCTAGTTTTGTCTTTTTGCATAACTTGATTCAAATTTTCTACCCTTGCCATGTTTCCTTGTGCTGGTAGATTATTATTGGTCACTGACAATAGGCAACTCACTTTTTCAATTGATGCACAGTTGATTCTCATTATCTGTGGTAGTTATGTTCTATAAAGTAAAATTGACGCAAATCCTGAATTAGCAAATACTGAACCCTTGCCCCTGGGGAAATATAGGGTTAGGTTCCCGTGAGCCTTTGGTCACGACATTTTGCATCAACTGATTAATATATAACCTTATGTTATGTGAGTTTCTGCTTAAGGACACCTTACTTAATATGGGTTGTTGATTCATTAACTCATGGCCAACAGCACTGTAACTCATACCCAGATGAAGCTTACCTAGCACACATATTTTCTCCACAAGGCACACCACAGCCTTTTCCCAGTATGCCTTAGGGAGGAACAGTAGACAGCACTTTGGCACTGTATTTGGGGGCATTTTAAACAGCAGAATCACTAATCAAAGCAAAAACACACACAGTACATAAATATGCCACAAAAAGGACACTGTGCACTTACAGCATGAGAACTGAAACATGAGGGCAGAACATGGCCTCGTTTAACCTCAGAACTTAAAGAGACTCAAATTTGTCACTTTTCTGCAGTGTCCAAGAATGACCATGAAAGCACTGTGTATATTGCTTTGGGGATTAAAAATAAAGTTTAGCAACTAGGAAAATTACAAATACTGAATCTGCAAATAATGAGAATTGACTGTATGTTACTTTCTAAGTCATCTGCTACTTGGTAATAGTTTAAATGGCTAAGCGTTGACAGGCAGTATTGGCCATACCATATGGGGACTGGGGCACCATGAAAGCACTGCTGAATTCTCCATCAGCTTAAATTGGCTGGTCAGGCAGCACTGAACTGGGGGCAGCTTGGGACAACTGCTCTCAAGTAAAGCAATGGATTTTGTTTAATTTTTAAATTTTTTTTGAGGCAGAGTCTTGCTCTGTCATCCAGCCTAGAGTATAGTGGCGCAATCTTTGCTCACTGCAACCTCCGCCTCTCAGGTTCAAGCGATTCTCCTGCCTCAGCCTCCTGAGTAGCTAGGATTACAGGCGTCCGCCACCACACAGCAATAGATTTTATATTTTACATGCTACGAGGGCCATTTTACAAACCATGCCTTTGTGCAAATTAGGAAAAGGCAGACACAGCCCCATACCTGGGTGCATTAGTAGAGTGAAGTGAAGGCTGGATTTCAGCCCCTGCCGGTCTTGGGCTGCAGGTAACTGCTCTGGGTACCACATGACAGCTTTTACACGTTCAAGTAAGGTACCTGGCAGTGCCTACCGAACAGATGCTGTGGATGATCTGCCACTGGACACGGTGTACCTAAGCTGAAAGTACTTAATGTAGTACTTTAAAAAAAGTAGTTAATGTAGTACTTTAAAAAAAGTAGTTAATGTAGTACTTTAAAAAAAGTACTTAATGTAGTACTTTAAAAAAGTACTTAATGTAGTACTTTAAAAAAAGTACTTAATGTAGTACTTTAAAAAAAGTACTTAATGTGCTACTTGATGTAGCACACTTTACACGAATCACAAGCTTGTGAATGCAGCAGGAACACTTTTGCACACAGGGAAGGAATGCGTTGGCACCCACGCAGCCCGGCAGAGGGTTTGTTGGTTTGCTTTGGGAGACTTGACCTAAGACCCTTGCACGAGGGCCATGCTTGGGCCTTGAGGTAGAGCAGGACTCACCTGTTTTAACTCCACCTCCCGCCCCAACCCCAGTGTGGAGTTTCTGCCCCCCACACTCAGAATGCCTCTCTTTCCCTCTTCAGGGTGGATTCCTTCCGGGCGGGTCCTGAGGGCCGAGGTCGCAGCGCCTTTCCCCGCCGCCGCCCCACTCACTACACGGTGACAGTGCCAGATTCCTGCTTTCCCGCGACCAAGCCCCCGCTGCCCCACGCCGCCTGCCACTCCTGCTCAGAAGACAGTGGCTCTGACGTCTCCAGCATCTCCCACCCCACTTCGCCGGGCAGCAGCAGCCCCGACATCTCCTTTCTGCAGCCTCTCTCCCCTCCCAAGACCCATCGTCACCGCGGGGCCTGGGTCCCAGCCGGCAGCAGAGAGCTGGTCGCCCACCACCCCAAGCTACTGCTGCCGCCTGGCTATTTCCCGGCGGGGCGGTACGTGGTGGTGGCTGAGAGCCCCCTGCCGCCTGGCGAGTGGGAGCTGCGCCGCGCAGCCCCGGGCCCTGCTTACGAGGAGGAGGGCACTCCCCTGCGCTACCAGCGTCTGGTGCCCTCCCGCAGCCGCATCGTGCGGACGCCCTCCCTGAAGGACAGCCCGGCAGGCCGGGGGCTCAGCAAGGCCGCCGTGTCCGAGGAGCTCAAGTGGTGGCACGAGCGTGCACGCCTCCGGAGCACCCGCCCCCACTCACTGGACCGCCAAGGAGCTTTCCGGGTCAGGAGCCTGCCCCTTGGGAGAGAGGGCTTCGGACGAGCCCTGGGACCCCGGGCACAGGTACGGCTGCTCTGGAGGGACCCCGGGGCCAGGCAGGAGGGCTGTTTTGTTGGGGAGGGGCTGCAATTCTAGTATGTCCAAGGGTACAGAGGCATCAAAGCAGCAACCTAGTGGCCGGGTAATCCCCGTCTAGGAAGAACAGGCCAAAAAATCATTTCCTCTTGGCTTTGGAAGGCACTCTTGGCTTCCCTGGGGCACCTCCTAATTTTGCCTGCCATGTCTAGCTCAAGAGCATATACACTGGTGGAGATGATCCCCGAAGATAGCTGAGACTTTTTCTCTCCCTAAATGATGATGCACAAAGCAGATAAGCCTCTTCATAATCAAAAGTCCAGTCCAAATCAGCCCCTCAGATTTCCATTTGAAGGTCTAGGACAAAGGGAGAGTAGGAAATGAGTTGCAGAAGCCAGAACCTGTGATTTTCTGGGCATCAGCATCCTCCCTGACACCCCTCCTCACCACCAAGCCGAGAAGAAGGGTGGCATCAGAGTTAAGAGCACCCACCCTCAAGCTAGACCACCAGGTTCAAATCCCAGTTCTGCCACTTACGAGCTGTATGATTGGGCAAGTTACTTAACCCCTTTGGACCTAGTGTTTCCTCCCCTGTGAAATGAGAGTAGTAGAGTACCTATCTCATAGGGCTGCCAAGAGGCTGAAATGATTAGAGCAATGCATGGTAAGCGCTAGATATGTGATATTATTATCATCTGGGGCCACAGAGGCCAGGGAGCAGGCTGGAGGGTAGTATATAGGATAGAGCACCCTGACACTGGGTAGGGTGGCAGCCTTGGTTTCCTTGGCCCCTATTTCTTCATTCTGGAAGTGGGGAGCCACACACAGGAATCCTTTCTTTATTCTTTCTCCCTGGTACGGAGGGCTCTGCAGGTGATGTGCTCCAGAAGTTACCAACAAGCTGCTTCTTTGAGACCCCAGATTCCCAGCAGACCCAGCTGCGTGTCCCTCCCCCACCCACGGTTCTTTGGACTGCAGCTGGCATCCTGGGCCTGGCAGCACCCTGGCCCCGGTCCGAGGCCGCGCCCTCCAGCTGACGTGCTTTTCCCTTTCTGCGCGCTTGGGCCTGTCCTTGGCTGGATAGACCCAGCCCATCCCAACGTGCCAGACAGGGAGGGTGATGAGAAGTGAGCCCAGGAAAGGTGGGGGAGGAGGAGGTCAGGGCGCCTGTCACACCCCAAAAGAACATGGAGGAAAATGTGTAAAGGGGGTCCCTGAAGAACAGAGAGCATCCTGGGAGGAAGGGGCTGAGTGCCAGGGCCTGCTGCTGCTGCTGCTTCTGCTGGTCAGTGTCCCTAAGGGATAAGGATGGTGTAACTGTGCCTGCTGTCCCCGCTTTTCTGCCTGGTTCATTTACCCACCTGTCCTTTCTTCCTGACCCTGGCAGGTGCCCACAGTTTGTGTGCTGCGGAGATCGCCTGATGGGGCCCCTGTGCAAGTCTTTGTACCTGAAAAAGGAGAGATCATCAGCCAGGTGTAACTCTGCGCCCCACGCTGGAAAAAACTGTTTCATAGAGGGGCTGGGCTGAGACCCCCCCACCCCTGAGTGCCTCTTTCAGCTCCCCCATCCCCATCGCAGGCCGATGACCTGGAGCTGAGACCTTTTATTATTTTTTTTTTACACGACTTTTTTCAGAAGCCCTGACCTAAGGATTTATATATGTGGATTGTCCTCAATACCCCTGTGATATGATTATGTTTTATCCCCCAGAGTTTGGCCTACTGGACTTAAGGCCTTGCCTGTCTGACTGACAGCCTCTATCTCCTTATATAAGACAAGTGGCAGGGGACGAGTGAAGCAGAGTGAGCCACCTTGGGAGTTCTCCAACGCTCTGTGCTCTGGTTCTAAGAAATTCCCTGGGGAACTGCCCCTGGCCCTCCTGTCCCACTATTGCTGGAGGCTGGACATGGTACATACTCATGCACATGACTCTCCCCCATTTCCCAGGTCTCTGGGTACCCCAGCCTGGGCTGGGGGAGAATCTCTTCCCCCTTTTCTAATGTGCTCTGTGATGCACACACCAAGTGGTAGGTCAAAGGTCAGTATATCCCGGTGGTGTATTGTCTTGCTAGACCCTGCTATTTTCCTGACCCCCTAAATCCTCTTTAGGGACCCAGTCACTATACCCTGTCTATGCCCTGTGGGCTCCCAGACCCCTGAGCTTTGAGTCAGTGGCATCACAGTTTGTAGCCTCAGGGGGTCTGGCTGGGGGCTGGTCCATGCTTGTGGTTAGTGGACAGCAGCCACCCTTTGACAGCTACCTCTGGGCATCTCAAGGGCTTGCAGCCCCACTGCTCCTTCTAACATTTTGTTTGTTTTTGAGATGGAGTCTCGCTCTGTCGCCCAGGCTGGAATGCTGTAGCAAGATTTCGGCTCACTGCAACCCCCGTCTCCCGGGTTCAAGCGAATCTCCTGCCTCAGCCTTCCGAGTAGCTGGGATTACAGGCAAGCACCACCATGCCTGCTAATTTTTTATTTTTAGTAGAGATGGGGTTTCATCATGTTGGCCAGGCTGGTCTCGAACTCCTGACCTCAAGTGATCCACCTGCCTTGGCCTTTCAAAGTGCTGGGATTACAGGCATGAGCCACCGCACCTGGCCCTTCTAACGTTTTTTCATCATAGTCCCAAAAACCAATACTTTACAAGTGGTTTTGGAAAGGCACCACTTTTGTGGCATGTTCTGGTTGGGAGAGGGAGTCACAGTTCCTACTCCCCCCACCAGCTATGCTTCTGCTCTGAGAAGGTGGTTATTTATACAAACATGGACATACTCACTCCCAAGGGCTGATGAGATGCTGAATTTTCTTTGGGGGCATTCATTAATTGTCCCAGCTGCAGCGACTGGAGCAAGTCTGGAAGCTGCCTGTGCTAAGACCACCCAGCTGTCCCTGGGTTCTCATCCTAGGGCCTTCTTTGCTTCCAGGTCAGGGGACCTGCTTCAATGAGAAAGCAACTGAATTGAGGCTAGGAGAGGTAGGGAGAGCTGAGTTCTGACTTCACCTGTGCAGAACTCTCTGCCCCCATGTTACCTGGACTGGAACAGACTGTGAATATAGCAGAAGGTTCCAAGAACTCTGGTGTCTGACCTAGAAGAGGCACAGTTCTCTCTACTGGAAAGAAAACGATGTAGCCGATTGCACAAGGGTGCCAAGGGAAGACCCAGGATGGCCCATCAAAGGAACCTGGGGGAGGATGCAGGAGGCTGAAGGGATGCACCTGGCATTTCTCTCACTGTGCTCTTACCGCATCAGCAACCCCCAACTTTTGGGCCTACTCTGCCCCCCATGCGTGAATACCCTGCTTGGATGCTGTGCTTTTCCGGTTTGTCTCTAAGCCCCTTTCTCCAGGGCATGTTGGTTTCCCTGGCCTCTCAGTGTCCTAACTGGAGCCCAGAGTGCCTTGTTCTGAGCCAGGAGACGGCTGAGCACTGGCCCTCCACACCTAAGCGTCCTTTACATTAACTTATTGGTCTTGTATAACACCTGGTGCCATTGCCAAGTGGCTGTGTCCTCAGCTACAGAGCTGGAATTGTGTGGGGTTTAGTGCTAAATACTTCAATAAAGTCTGTTTTTTGTGATTGGCTGAGCTGGGGATGAGGGATTTTTTATTTTTATTTATTTTTATTTTTTGGTGTGTGTGTGTGTGTGTGTGTGTGTGTGTGTGCGCGCGCGCGCGCGCCAGGTTTCCCCGAGCAGAGGCTGAGCCCGGCCCCCTGGGCTGCCCGCCAAGGTGGCCAAGTTGCCCGGCCCCTCCAGCTGGTCTGGCCAGGTCCCTGGGGAGCTGGTGTGATGGGTTGGGTGGTAGAGGGAGGCTCTCAGATTCTCTGCTTCCGGGGCAGGGTGGAAGCCAGCACAACCCCTGTCAAGGCTCCTTACAGCCTCTTCAGCTTGAGGAGCTGGCCTGTGGGAGTCACTTCCCCAAGGACAGGGCACTGGCCAGGCAGAGGGTAGAGATGGGTGGCTCAGCGCCTCCAAGCCATTCCTGGAGCTTTGACTGCCCGGAGCCCAGGCTCATGAGAAACAGCCCCTTCCCCATACCTGGAAGACTGGGACCCCTCCTTGGGGTGGTGAGGAGGCGGGGCTCTCCGCAGGCCCCTCCCCCATCGGCAAGAGTGCCCACAGCCCCTCCGCTGCCTGGGGTCCCACTGAGGCCAGGGGCGGGGAGCGCCACCTTGGACACTTCCGTGCTTGCCCTGCAGGGACCGCTCCAGGGCCCCGGAGCACAGCGCCCCCTGGAGAGGCTGTGCCCGGACCTGAGGCGCCGGCGTGTCAGGTAAAGGGGTCCCCCTTCCCGCCAGTTCCCTCCACAGCCAAGGAAGGGGCGGGGAAGGGCCCCGGCCCTCGCTGCCCAAGGGGCGCCTCCAGCCTTGCCTGGGTGCGGCCCTGGGGGCCGCGGGGATCTGTGGGCCTCAGGGGTCTGGGGCACTCCATTCTTGGGGAAGGTAGGGGAGGGGAGACGGCTCCAGGGTCTCTGGAGAAGTTGTGGGGTATCCTGATCTCAGACCTGAGCGCTTCGACCTATTATTTGTGGGGAATGGGGCGCTGGATTCTGTATTTTAGACGATGGTGAGTTAGGCCCGGGGAAAACAGGGTGAGCAAGTTCCCAGGGGATGACCTGTCCAAGGGGCAGCTCCCAACAACAGGACAGAGACCAGCTAAGAGGGGGGATACAAAAGAGACGGACACAGGGGCAGAGCAAGGCCCTTTAAGGCAGTGAGCGATGGGACGCGCCCGTTTGGGGACCCGAAGTGCAGGGCGGTGAGAGAACCAGGTTGCACAGCAGTTTCTTCCTGGTCCACCAGCAGGCTTCCCTGGGCCATGTCTGGGAGGGGCAGACATGTGGGGGCTCTTAGCTCCCCTACCATAGGGCAGAAGTAAGGTTATGAATTAGGGGGTGGGGACAGAAGCCTCTGGGAAGAGGGGACCTCGGGATTTTAGCAGCAAGACTCCCAGAGGCAATTTGGCCTGGAGGCAGAGGGATGGCCACTGTGACCTAGGAGCCCACCTGTGAGTCTGAGATTCTCTATGCTGGAAGATCCCAGAATGGAAGACTACTAGGCAAATCAGGAGGGACCAGGGCCCTTCAGAGGGTCCCGAATCTTCCCATGGGGAAGAAATGGGAAGCTGACCCTGGAACCCGGCACTGGCCCTACTCAACCAATTCCTTTTGTGGTAAATGGGCAGGGTCTGCCTCCTGCAGCTTCCCCCTGGAGTGAGTGCAGAGGCTGTATCCCTAGGAAGGAGTATCTTACACCAGGCCTGCCCACTGTTCTCATCGCAAGCTGCAGGCTGCTGCCCCAAGTGTACAGATGAATCCGAGTTCTAACAAGCGAAAACCAAACAGAGTAACCTTTGAACCATCGACATTACAAATCTCTTGGAAGTCCAGCTTACCGGGTGAGCAGTTGGTTCTGTCTCTCAATTAACTGTGGGTGCTCAGAAGTGGTGGTGATTGCACAAGCCCTCGCTTGAGGTGTACCTAATGGGCACACATCTGCCCACTTCTGGCTACCCCTGTCACAGCTCTAGTCTCTGCATGCCTGTGCTTTTTCAGGCCTGCCTCCCTGAGAAGCCTGGAGCTGAGCCAGGAACAAGACATTGCCTGAGACTTTCAGTGACACCTCCTCTAGCTGACAGCTGTTCAGGAGAGCCAGAACGCTCTCTCTCTCTCTCTCTCTCTCTCTCTCTCTCTCTCTCTATATATATATATATATATATATATATATATAATTTTTTTTTCTTTTGAGACATGGTCGCATTCTGTCACCCAGGCTAGAACGCAGTGGCACCATCATACCTCTCTGCAGAGGTATGACCTGGGCTCAAGCAGTCCTCCCACCTCAGCCTCCCAAGTAGCTGGGAGTACAGGTGCGTGCCACCATGTCCAGCTAATTTTTGGTTATTTGTAGAGATGAGGTCTCACTATGTTGCCCAGGCTGTTCTCGAACTCCTGGGCTTAAGTGATTCTCCTACTTTGGCCTACCAAAGTGCTAGGATTACAGGCATGAGCCACTGCACCCAGGCAGAGAAATCTTTAGATAACATCTACATGCCAACAATTCCCAAATTGGTATCTGCAGTCCAGATCTGCAGTTCTGGAATTCCAGGCTCTTACATCCGACTGCCTATTGATATCTCCACTTTGATGCCTAGTAGACATCTCAAAATTAATATATTCCAAACTGAACTCTTAACTTTATTCCCAACTGCAAATTTGTTCTGTTCCCCACATCAGTTAATGGGAACTCAATCTTTCCAGTGTCTCAAGGCCAAAATTCTTGACTTCTCTCTCTCATACTCACATCTAGCCATCAACTATTCCTATTGGTTCTACCCTCAACATGGATACAGAATCTGATCATTTGCATCTAACCACCTCCCTTGGTGTGAACCACCGTCTCACCTCTGTATTATTGTCATAACCTCCCAGTTGGTCTCTTGCTTCTGCCCACACCCCATGCCATTCTCCACCTCTACTCCTGATCTATTCTCAGCTGAACAGCCAGAGTGCTGTTGTTAATCAAAGTCAGACCACTTTTATTCAAAACCTGCCCAGGGCTCCTGTCCCCAGAGCCAATTGTCTTTACAATAAGCTACGAGTCCCTCATGATCTGCCCCATTACTGCTTTACCTTCACCTCCCACCACTCTTCCCTGCTCCTCCCATTCCAGACACCCAGGCTTCCTTGCTGTTCCTTGAGCTTTCCAGGCACGATCCTGCCTCTGGGCCTTCACACTTGCTGTTGCCTTGGCTTAGAATGCTTTCTTACCAGATATATAAATGGCTTGCCATTCACGTTCTTCAAGCCCACTTAAATTCAATGAGATTTTCTTTGACCTCTGTGTATATACAAACCCAAATGGGCAAATACAAAATAAAAATTCTTTTAGAAGGGTAGTTCCTATGAAGGAACTCCCTGGTGTGTAAGAAGCTCTGTGACAGCAAAGATTATTGTCTCTTTTGTTCCCTGATGTGTCTAGGAGAGTCCTTTTACATAGTAGGTGCTCAATAAATGTATGCTAAAGAATGCACTCATTGATTTCCTACTATATGCCAGGAAGCATTCTAATTTTTTTTCACATATTAATTTATTTAAATCCACAACAATAATAGATACTGTGATGATCATCCCCAGGTTAAGATGTCAGAACTGAAGCTTGGGGGATTTTAGTTTGCTCAAGGTCACTTCTTACATGTATTAAGACTCATTGTTCATTTAATCCTCAAATAATAACAGATAGTATCATCTTCCCTGTCATACAGATGGGGAAGGTAAAGTTGACAGAGTTTAATTTGCTGGAGATCACAGAGCTGATGAAGCAGAGGAGCTGAACTTGGAACTCATGCAGTTTGGTGCCAGGGTCATTGTGTGCAGCTCCCGTGCTTTGGGTCCAAGTCCTATTCTGAGAGGCTTTTCTTGCAGGGCAGTGTGAGAGGGCAGCAGCAACTTGAACTCAGGCCTGTGTCCCATGCTGCTTTGGAGCCCAGTGGTGTCACCAGCTCCTTCCTCTTGCTTTACCTTCTCCCGACTTCACTTGGGGCAAACAGGCTGTATTCCTGGCCTCAACCCTCAGGCTCAGAGAGGCATGCCCTGAAGGCTGTGCCAGTCTAGTTGGCAAAGAAGCCTCCCAGGCTGACTTGGGGTTTCAAGTCCATTCGCAATCAAAACTTTCAAAGTCAGTCTAGGACAGCCCTAGAAATTTGTGGCCACTGGGAGTGACTTAAAGGTCTCCTCCCAATTGTTTTTCCATCCCGGGCCATTGGGCCATACCTGATGCAGAAAGTCTTTTTTTTCTTTTCTTTCTTTCTTTCTTTTTTTTTTGGAGATGGAGTCTCACTCTGTTGCCCAGGCTGGAGTGCAGTAGTGCGATCTTGGCTCACTGCAACCTCTGCTTCCTGGGTTCAAGCGATTCTCCTGTTCTCCTGCCTCAGCCTCCTGAGTAGCTAGGACTACAGGTGCATGCCACCACACTCGGCTAATTTTTTATTTTTAGTAGAGATGGGGTTTAACCATGTTGGCCAGGCTGGTCTCGAACTCCTGACCTTGGGTGATCCACCCACCTCGGCCTCCCAAAGTGCTGGGATTACAGGCATGAGCCACTGCACCCGGCTGAAAATCTCTTATCTAATCCCCACATGATGGCCTTTCCACTTTGGCTTCCATTGGCCTAGAGAAGCTGGTTCTGGGGACCCTGGTAGCTTCTGGGCCTTCTTGGTGGGCAGGAAGGGAGGGGGAGGATGACTCTGGCTTCCTGTTCCATCTGGTGGAATCAGCTAAACTCCCCCAACTACATCCCTTTTCAGGATTGCGCCAATCAGAAAGAGAAGCCTATGAGTTCATAGTGGACTTTCTAGAAGAAGAACATATGGTAAGAAAGTTCTCTGGACCTTTGTGTGAACTGAGGCGGAAAGTAGAAAAAAATAAGAGGGCTTATGCCTCCTTGGGTTTTGAGTACCAGCCCTGGCTTGGAAGCCACCAGATACT
Source organism: Homo sapiens (assembly GCF_000001405.40). Classification (NCBI taxonomy): domain Eukaryota; kingdom Metazoa; phylum Chordata; class Mammalia; order Primates; family Hominidae; genus Homo; species Homo sapiens. The sequence continues at coordinate 200,920,636 of NC_000001.11, forward strand.
CAGCCCATTGTTGCCTCGTGACTGGGCAGATCTTTGGTGGCTAGGCCACTGGACAGGGTGTCTAGGGCTTAGATCTTGCAGTTCCCTTCCTGTAGGAAGGATCTTTGTCAGAGATCCTTAGCCCCACTGTCCTCCAGAGCCCTACACAGGTGGCCAGACATTGGTGAGCAGCAGTCCTGGGGACAGGGACATTGCACTGAGAAAATCAAGTGAGCAATCCATCCTTTGGCCTAGTTGATGGGAATCTGGGCTGGGTGTGAGGAGCAGGGGTGGGGTGTAGGTCTCAGGTGCTGCCTGTGGGCAGAGCCTAAGGGCTGAAGCCCAGCTTATGGGCAGCAATCTGTGTATTGTGTCCTAGTCTGAGTTCACCAAGCTGAAGTTCCTGAGAGCTGTGGAAACCTTGAGTAGTGCTGTGCATGGCCAAGCAGACGGCAATATGGACGATTACTATCCCAAAGCCATCCTGGCCAAGAAAATTGAGGTGAGAAAGACCCAAGCTCTTCTGGGAGTTGGTCATTCAGGGATGAGGATGACAAGTCCCGGACCTGAGGGCTGGCATCTCTCTCTGAGGGGGGTTCTTGTTTTTTTTGTTGTTGTTGTTTGTTTGTTTCCTGGCCTTTCTAGATACTAATTCTTGAAGAATCCACTGAGATTTTGATGGGCAACATGCGTCAGCAAGCCATGCTCTGCATCGTGGCGCTGAGGTGCCTTTCCTGCTCTTACCCCCTCAGAGCGCCTGGGTCTCTTGTGCTCAGAACATTTGGGTTGGGAGGAAGGGCAAGGTTTGGGGACTTAAATTTTGGCCTGTGGGTGGCATAGCCCCCGTGTCTGCCACTTTATCTGCCTGCATCCTTGGGTGGAGGGGGTGTTCTCCAATTGTACTTTTGGAAGCCTATTAAGACGTCCAGTGAGGGAAGCTTCCCTAGCAACCCAGGCCCTCCTTCCCTGGAGGAGAGGCTATTAGAAAGTGTTTGGGGGCTCAGATCCCCACTGTTTCCTGCATCTCAGAAACAGCAGCAGAGCACATTCTCCCAGAGGGTCCCAGTCTCTCCCAGGGACCCCAAAGCCGCTTGTCATTCCCTGCCTCTCCCTGCAGTCAGGTGAATCCACCATTCCACTTGTCCCAGAAACTGGATCTGGTAAATGTGGGCGTCTCCAGCCTGTTCTCTCTGCCGCCTATCGTGCCCAGCCTGTACCGAAGAGACAATGCGAGTCTCTACCTCCAGGTAATCCCCACCTCTTCATGGAGAGCTCCACGGGGAGGTTTTGTCTTTGGAGTCACCTCTTGCCCTTTAACTCTCCCTCCTTTCTCCTGCTCTGACCTCTCTGCAGAGCTCTTGGCCCCATGTTCCTGGGGCTGCTAAGAAGCACTCCAGCTGTCGTACCCTCACCTGTCTTTCCAGGGATTGGCCCATGCTCCCACCCTATCCATGTCCTTGTTCACTAAGGCTCACAGCAGCCTCAGTCACGGGAGGAGACAGTCTGATAATAAAACCCACAGATACTGTGGAGCAACTGACCAGTAGACTGCCAAATCTTCCCAGGGGCCTCTAATTTTTTATTTCATTTTTAATTTTTAAATTTTGAGACGGGGTCTCACTCTGTTGCCCAGGCTGGAGTATAGTGGTGCAATCATAGCTCACTGCAGCCTCAACCTCCGGGGCTCAAGCTATCTTCCCACCTCAGCCTTTGTAGTTTTAAAAATAGATGTGTCCTGGACCTAGCGGAATGAATCTAATGCGGAGAGTCCCACGGGATCTGGCTTTCTTGGGGAGAATGGCCCAATGCCTACATTTCACCAATGGGCTCACAATTTGGGCTGGACCTGGTCCAGTCTTCATTGAGACCAAGAAAAGTCAGCACCAAGGAAGATCAGAGTGTGGCTGGCCATGAGAGAGAGACTGCCGGGGGTGGCAGAGCCAGGCTGGCCCCACTTCCTTCCTCCAGAGGTAGGGGACAAGGAGATGGAGTGCCCCCAGGGAGCCGAGCTGGCACTGTGGCAGTCTGTTCTGGACACTCCCTGTCTCTTCACTTGTCAGAGGGTCCAGGCCTTAGACAACATGTTGCAGGCTCTTGTGATGGACAGGATGAACCCTAACATGCTCATACTACAAAACTTCCTGGAGGTAAGTGGCTGTGGAAATCAAGGAAACTGAAAGTCCATATTAATTCTAGTATGTTTGGGAGGAAAGGAAAAGAATATCAGGATAGCCTAGGTGTCATTCTAGTCCAAAGACCATCGGTTCTCAAGCCTCAGCATGCATAAACATCACTTGAAGACAAATTTCTGTATCTCCCACGAAATACCATTTTGAGGATCACAGTTTTGGAAACATAGCCCACTAAGCTGAGGACCCATTTCTGCCCAGGACTTGGACATATTGGGGCTTCGATGGTAATAACATTTATATCTGTGCCAGACTTTAATCTTCAAAGTATTTTCCCCTTTTGCAGCATCTGCCATTGCTCTGTGATAAAGAAGACCTCAGTGCTTAACCACAGGCTACTCTTATATCCCTTAATGTAATCCCCACCAGAGACTCATTGTACTTCTTTAACTGTCTTTAGAGCTTCAGAGCGTTTCAAATATTCTTAGTTATGACAAATTGTTATCTCCTGAGGGTAGTTGAGTTGGGGAAACAGCCAAGAATCACTTGAAACCGACTTTCATGAACACGATGGTAATCAATTACGGTAATAAAATTTTGCATAAAGCATTAGGTGTGACTACAAAGAAGGAGACAAGATTGCCCAGGCATCTTATAAAAAGACCTTGACAAGGCCAGGTGCAGTGGCTCACGCCTGTAATCCCAGCACTTTGGGAGGCCGAGGCGGGTGGATCACTTGAGGTCAGGTGTTTGTGACCAGCCTGGCCAACATGGTGAAACCCCGTCTCTACTAAAAATACAAAAAAATTAGCTGGGCGTGGTGGTGGGCACCTGTAATCCCAGCTACTCGGGAGGCTGAGGCAGGAGAATCTCTTGAACCCAGGAAGAGGAGGTTGCAGTGAGCTGAGATCAGGCCATTGCACTCCAGCCTGGGCAACAAGAGTGAAACTCCGTCTCAAAAAAAACCCCCCAAAAACCCAAAAAGACCTTGACAAGGGCTTTAGCTAGAGGGAAATTTGTCCACATTTGGATGAGTGACATAGTTCTTTTGGAATGTATCATCTCTGGTATGTTTGTTGAGAAGGATTTTTGTGCTTTTTAGGCAACCTTGCTATAAATGTAAGAACAAATGTTCTGTTGTTCTTGGAGTCTGTGGGGGAACAGAGATGCAAAACTTTGGTCCTGGTCAGGGTACAGTCTTCAAGAGATCCATTACTGGGGTTCTCATTATCCAAAGATAAATGATGCCCTGCAAAATTACCACCTGAAACAGGTTCCAACATTTTGTATAAAATAGTGGAGGAATCAATTTATCTTGATAAATAAAATTAAAAGTATAAAAATAAGTTATTTTTATGCGAACAAAATGTATTTTTGCTACTTTGAGGTAATTCTCAGTCAAGTGTGTATATATTTTAGACATATTTTTCCTACAAAATGACATGATAGCATAATACAACATCATTTATTTCACATTTGACTTTGCAGAGCTGGATCAGAAAGGTCGAATTTGAGGGCTATATGGTTTTCTTAAGGGCCCTCCTTTTTCTTTTGTCTTCTTTTTTTCCGTTTTAAAATTAAGGTATAATTTACATATAGTATAATTCAGCTTTTAGTGTGTAGATCTGTGGGTTTTGACAAATGCATGCAGTCCTGTAACTACAGCCACAATTAAGCTATAGAACAGTTCTATCACCCCCCCAATTCCCCCATGACTCTATGGTCAACCCCTTCCCCATTCCCCATCCCTGGCAATGGCTGATTTGTTTCCTGTCCCTATAGTTTTGCCTTTTCTAAAATGTCATCTAGGTGCAGTGGTTCATGCCTATAGTCCCAGCACTTCAGGAGGGCGAGGTAGGGGGATCACCTAAGCCAAGGAGTTTGAGACCAGCCTGGGCAACATATGAGACCCCATCTCTACTAAAAATAAAAGAAATATATTAGCTGGGCATGTGGTGTGTGCCTGTTGTCTCAGCTACTTGGGAGGCTGTGGTGAGGGGATCGCCTGAAGCCTAGAGGTTGAGGCTGCAGTGAGCTGTGATCATGCTACCGCACTCCAGACTGGGCAACAAAGCTAGACCCTGTCTCGAAAATAATTAATTCATTAATTAAGATAATTAAAAATGTTATCTAAGGCTGAGTACTCCAGCCTGGGGAACAAAGTGAGACCCTATCTCAAAACTAAATAAATAAAATAATTAAAATGTTATCTAAGGCTGAGTACAGTGGCTCATGCCTGTAATTCCAGCACTTTGGGAGGATCACTTGAGCCCAGGAGATCAAGACCAGCCTGGGCAACAGTGAGACCCCCATCTCTACAAATAATAAAAAAATTATCCAGGCGTGGTGGTATGTACCTGTGGTCCCAGCTACTTGGGAGGCTGAGGTGGGAAGATCACCTGAGCCCAGGAGGTCGAGGCTGCAGTAAGCTGTGACAGTGCCACTGCACTCCAGCCTGGGCAATATACAGGGAGACCTTGTCTCAAAAAAAAAAAAAAAAAAAAAAAAAAAGACATCTAAGTAGAATTATCCAGTAGGCAGTCTCTGGAGTCTGTCTTCTTTCATTTAGCATAATGCATTTGAGATTTATTCATGTTGTTATGTGTATCAGTATTTTGTTTCTTTTTATTTTTTAATTGAGTAGATGGATCACAGTTTGTGCATTAATTTTCCAGTTGAGGAACTTTGGGGTTGTTTCCAGACTGGGATGATTACAAATGAATCTTCTATAAATCTTTGTGTGCAGGCTTTTGTATGAACATAGGTTTGTATTTCACTTGAGTAAATTTCTTGGAGTGGGACTGCTGTGTTTTATGGCATGTGGATGTTTCACTTTATAAGATACTTCCCAGCCCAGCGTGGTGGCTCACGCCTGTAATCCCAGCCCTTGGGGAGGCCGAGGAGGGTGGATCACCTGAGGTTGGGAGTTTGAGACCAGCCTGACCAACATGAAGAAACCCCATCTCTACTGAAAATACAAAATTAGCCGGGCGTGGTGGCACATGCCTGTAATCCCAGCTATTTGGGAGGCTGAGGCAGGAGAATCGCTGGAACCTAGGAGGCGGAGATTGCTGTGAGCCGAGATTGCGCCATTGCACCTTAGCCTGGGCAACAAGAGCAAAACTCCCTCTCAAAAAAAAAAAAGGAGGGGGGATACTTCCAAAGTGTTTTCCCAAGTGGCCATTTTCCACTTCCACTAGCAATGTGTAAGAGTCCCAGTTGCTCTGCATCCCTGCCAGCATGTGGTATTGCTAGTGTTTCCTTTTAGTCATTCTTATAGATGTGTAGTGGTATCTCTTTGTGGTTTTAACTTGCGTTTCCTAGTGACTAATGTTGGGCACGTTTTCATAGTCTTATTTGCCATCTACATATCTGCTTTGATGAAGCGTCTATTTAAATCTTTTGCCCATTTTTTTATTGGGTTGTTTTCTTATTTGGGGGTTTGAGGGTTATTTTATTTTATTTTATTTTATTTTATTTTATTTTATTTTATTTTATTTTATTTTATTTGAGATAGAATCTCACTCTGTTGCCCAGGCTGGAGAGCAGTGACACCATCACTACTCACTGCAGCCTCGAACCTCCCCGAGAGACCTTCCCACCTCAGGCTCCTGAGTAGCTAGGACCATAGGTGTGCGCCACCATGCTCCACTAATTTTTGAATGTTATGGGCCAGGCACAGTGGCTCATGCCTGCAGTCCCAGCACTTTGAGAGGCTGAGGCGGGTGGATCACTTGAGGTCAGGAGTTCAAGATCAGCCTGGCCAATGTGGCAGAACCCCATCTCTACTAAAAATACAAAACTTAGCCAGGTGTGGTGGCATATGCCTGTAATCCCAGCTACTGAGGTGGCTGAGGCAGGATAATCTCTTGAACCTGGGGGGAGAAGGTTGCGGTGAGCCAAGATCATGCCACTGCACTCCAGCCTGGGCGACAGAGCGAGAATCCGTCTCAAAAAAAAAAAAAAGAAAAAGTTTATGTAGAGCTATGGTCTCCCTATGTTGCCCATACTGGTCTCGAGCTCCAGGGTGCAAGCAATCCTCCTGCCTTGGCCTCCCAAAGTGCTGGTATTACAAGTGTGTGAGCCACCACGCCCAGCCTTGAGAGCTCTTTGTATATTCTGGATATAAATATTTTGTCAGATATGTGATTTGCAGACATTTTCTCCCATTTTGTGGCCTGATTTTATACAGTGTCTTTTTTTTTTTTTTTTTTTTTTTTGAGACGGAGTCTCACTCTGTCGCCCAGGCTGGAGTGCAGTGGCATGATCTCAGCTCACTAAACCTCTGCCTCCCCGGTTCAAGCAATTCTCCTGCCTCAGCTTCCTGAATAACAGGGATTACAGGCATGTGCCACCACACCCAGCTAATTTTCGTATTTTTAGCAGAGACAGGATTTCACCATATTGGCTGGGCATTCATTGAATGCCCACATCGTGTTGAACTCCTAACCTCAGGTGACGCACCCACCTCAGCCGCCGAAAGTGTTGGGATTACAGGCGTGAGCCACTGCACCCAGCCCTGGCCACTCTTAACAGTATCTTTTGAAGAGCAGGTAGTTATTCATTTTGATGAAGTCCAAGTCATTATTTTTTTTTATGGTTATAGGAATTTTTGCCTCCCTTAAGTATTTTCTCATTTTCTTCTAGAATCTTATCATTCTAGATTTTAAGTCTGTGGTCAATTCTGAATTAACTTGTGTATTGGACGGTCAGGTACACGTTGTAGTTCATTTTTCTTTTTTTGGCACATGGATGTCCATGATGGGGTTCAATGCTCTGGGAGAAAGGCTACCCTGAAGGACACCTGTCCAGCAGCTATGATACGGGACACACTTTCCCAAAAGTTTGTAGCAAGCAGGACACAGGCCTGTCTTCCCTGGTGGGATCTCAACCTAGTGTGGTAATAATAACACTTACAGGGAAGTGTTGTTATGGGAGGATAGAGTGCATTATTCTATTCAGAATACTTACCTGTGTCACTATGATTATTAACCTCCAGAAATGAATGGCTCTGAATCTCATCCTTCAGAGACCACTTTACCCCTTCCCCTGGCCTAGCAGGTAGGGGTTTGCATGGATATGCCACCAAGAGAGCCCTGTCTCCCCATCTTATCCCATTCCTGCTTACCCACTGCTTTGTAATTCTACATCTAAGGCACAGCACTGTCTTTAAACATTCCTGTCAGAAGAGACCCAGAAGGTAGCAGGTGAAGCCCCGGAGACTTTTTTTTTTGAGACAGAATCTCACTCTGTTGCCCAGGCTGGAGCGCAGTAGTGCGATCTCAGCTCACCGCAACCTCCGCCTCCCAGGTTCAAGCCATTCTGCTGCCTCAGTCTCCCGAGTAGCTGGGACCACAGGCATGTACCACCACACCCAGCTAATTTTTTGTATAGCCCCGGAGACTCCTAAACCCACCTTTGCTTTGCCAAGTTCATGGGGCCGTGTGCTCTGGTGCCTGGCACAACTCCCTCCTTTTTGTCTTTTTAGCAGTCAGAGATGTGGAATTGAGAAGGAAGGGAGCAGCACTCCCACAGAAGGGGTTCACAAGGTCTCTTTACTCCTTTTCCGGATCATCATACCTTGGTCATTACTGTCAGACAAAGTGTATGAACAGATGCGGGCCTTGGGCACTATTTCCTGGCTGCTGAGGTTTATTTGCAATTTTCCCGAACTGTCAGTGAGTGCTTGGAGTGGGGGGAAAGGCTGACCCAGTGGGCCCTGCTTCTCTGCACATGGGGTACCTGAGAGTCTGTGGTTCTGCAGGGGGTTACTGGGGGGTGGGTGGTCAGAGTGTCCCTCTTTTTTTGCATTAGTGCCTTTTCTGTTCCTATGGGGGAAGAGGCTTAACTTGTTTGCTTGGTTTGCCCTTGGCCAAGTGAGTTTCAATTGGCTGGACACATCTCAGCCTTGTTGGGGGACCTTGGCCTAAACAGCTGGGTTGGGTCCACAGCTTCCCACTGGCTAACATATTTTAGGGATCTGGCTGCCCCATTTCCCTGGGTGCTGCTTTGAAAGGTTTTCTTGGGCAGGGAAAGAGTGTGGAGCTGGTGTGGTGAGGGGATACCTGCAGGCAAATGATTTAGTGGTGTAGAGGGGTGGGGAGGTTGGAGAGGGATGGTGGCCACAGTATGGGGAATTTCCTTTTGGGGTGATGGGGAGTTAACCAGTTTCCTCTTCTGGGCAGCACATGGAGGAATTCTCAATGAGTGGGAAACTGATGAGCATCTTCGGCCTGTTCGTCATGGGCTGCAACCACGAGATCAGCATAGAGGCATCAGAGGCGTTGCATTACCTGTTCAAAATCCTTGTGTTTCAGAGAAGTAAGCAACATGAGCCTGAGTGGCCACTGGGCTACAGCCGTGGGGACCCATGAATAACAAGAGCATATAAGCACCATTCACTGAATGCCCACATTGTGTCAGGCACACGATGAAGGGCAGTTCCTTCTCATGAGGGCAATGGAGTAAATATGCTATGATGCCCCAAGATGAGGGATCCCCATTACAAGTAGATCTGGAAACTTTATCTGGATGAGCTCCAACCCCATTGCTGATGCAATGCCCTCTTGTAAGAGATTCTAAGAGATTCTCGGGGAAAAGGGGAGCTAGGCTTGCAGCCACCTGTGGAATCAACTTGGATACTCAATATTTCTCAGTGGTCTCAGCCTTACTGCTAGGCCTAAGACTGGGAAAATGAACATCTTTTCTTAGGGAACAAATTTGGGAGTGCCAGATTGAGACCCTCTTTGCTCAAGGAAAACAAAAAATACAAAGAGTCACACACGCTTACAGAGGTGCCAGAAGGATTTGCAAATATCCCTAAAAGGAGTTTCAGAAACTCTGACTTCTCATGGTTCAACAGGGCATACTTCTTATAAGGGCATTTGCTCAGCACCCACGGGTAGAACAGTCCACATTCTGGCACGGCGCAGGAACAGCTGCAAGGACCAGACTGAGTCCCCAGCCACATTCTCCCTCCACCCATTGGCCTGGTGCTGGGGAACTCTTCCCATTCTGTTGAGCAAATGTTATTTCACCCATTTCACTCTGTTGATCTTCTCTGAGGTTTGGAGGGGAAATAAAGAAGGGTGTGTTCCTATTTCCCTGTTAAGGCCCTGCCCCTTAATTGTTGTTTTTGGATTGAAGGTGTGAAACAAAAGACAGAGACTATCCTGAAGGATTTGCAGAAGCATTTCCATGGAGCATGGCTTGCCAGCCTCCAGGATCTAACACTGGTAACCCTCACTCTCCACAGTGCATGAAATGCCCAGATGGGGAGCCATGACAGGGAAGAAAGAGAGCTGGGGTGGGGAGATTGTAGAGGGCCTGGGTGGGGCCACAGAGGAGTACTCCTTCACCCAGGGGAGTGTCTCCAAAGCTCAAGGTCTCATGGACAGCAGGCTGGAGGGGTAAGACTCATTCCCTAGCTGCACTTGAGTTGACTGAGGCTTGAGGTCACTGAGAGAGTTCTTTTTTTTTTGAAATAGAGTCTTTCTCTGTCACCCAGGCTGGAGTGGCACGATCTCAGCTTACTGCAACCTCTGACTCCTGGGTTCAAATGATTCTGTAGCCTCAGCCTCCCGAGTAGCTGGGATTACAGGTGCGTGCCACCACGCCCAGCTAATTTTTGTATTTTTTAGTAGAGATGGGGTTTCACCATGTTGGCCAGGCTGGTCTCAGACTCCTGACTTCAGGTGATCCACCCGCGCTGGCCTCCCAAAGTGCTAGGATTACAGGCATGAGCCACTGCACCTGGCCAAGAGAGTTCTTTAAAAGACGTATAGTCAACCCTATTCTCCTCCTACAGATTGTGCCCTTGTACCTTATTTGTAGCCTAGCCTTAATTTTTTTAATTCAGTAAAGATGTATTGGTTGTCTTAGCCGGGTGTGGTGGCTCATGCCTGTAATCCCAGCATTTTGGGAGGCCGAGGCAGGTGGATCACGAGGTCAGGAGATCGAGACCATCCTGGCTAACATGGTGAAACCCCATCTCCACTAAAAATACAAAAAAAAAATTAGCCGGGCATGGTGGTGGGCGCCTGTAGTCCCAGCTACTTGGGAGGCTGAGGCAGGGGAATGGCGTGAACCTGGGAGATGGAGCTTGCAGTGAGCCGAGATCGAGTCACTGCACTCCAGCCTGGGCGACAGGGCGAGACTCCATCTCAAAAAACACAAAAAGATATATTGGTTGTCTTAGATATGGTGTCTCCAGGCTCAATCAACTCAAATCACTACAGTCAGAAATCCAGGAGTCATCCCTTGCTCTTTCCTCTCCCTCACTCTTCACATCCAATTCAACACCAGGTTTGTTCATTCTGCCTCCTGGATAGCTCTTGAATTTGTCCACTCTGCTCCAGCCCCACTGTGGGGCCCCCAGCATCTCTTGCCTGGGTCACTCCAGCAGCCCCTTACTGAGCATCCTGTTTCCAACTGTGCTTCTTGTCACATCACTTTCTATGCTACAGTCAGAGAACTGCATTTCTAAAATGCAAATGCTGAGATGTATTATTCCCTTTCAGACTGCATTGAATCCCCACTGTCCTCATTCTAAAGTCCAAACTTGTTCACTTGACCCACAAGACCCTTCATGATCTGGTCCCTGCTGTAACTGTCCTGCCTCATCTTGTCTTAGTCTCCTTTTTCCATCTGGCCCAGGTCTCCCTTGCAGGACACAGTAGTTAGGCTGAACTTCCTTCCACTCCAGGCCTTTGCATATTCTGTTCCCTCTGCCTGGAACTCTGTCCTTCTTTTTCCTTGGGTCTGAATCATGGCAGTAGGGGAACCAAACACATCCTTCTTCACATGGCAGTAGGAAGGAGAAGTGCTGAGCAAAGGAGAAAACATCCCTTATAAAACCATCAGATCTTGTGAGAGCTCACTCACTATCACAAGAACAGCATGAGGGTAACCACCTTGACACATGAGGATTATGGGAACTACAATTCAAGATGAGATTTGGGTGGGAATACAGCCAAACTGTATCACTGACATTGCACTATAACTGCCTGTTTACTTGCCCTGACTTGATGGTAAATTCCTTGAGGGTAAAGGCATTGTATGTCTTAGTCACAGTTGTCCTGAGCTCCCAGCAATAGAACCAGGCACAGAGCTGGGCCTCAATATTGTTTGAGTGAATGAGCTTCACGTGGATATGCAGGTGCAGGCTCAGAGGCATGAGGCATGTCTGCTGTACATAATAGCACTCCTACTTGCTTTGGAATGCTGCAAGCTCACTAAACATCAGAACTAATTTCCAATGGACTCACTTGCTTGCATTCCACATGGAAGTAGAAATGCCTTTTGCATTGTCTTCTGTATCAAGTTGTCAGGACCATTGCTCCTTCCTGGAGACTTCAGAGCTGGTGGCACTCTGAGGCTTGGCTTACACCACGGAATAGCCAGATGCTGACCAGGGGCTGCCTCCACTGGCCCCTGGTTGATTAGTCTCTTTGGAAGCCAGAGGCTTTGGGGCAGACCCAAGTTGGGATGCTGACATTGTGGAGACAGCTGTTCTTCTTTCTTCAGTTCTTCAAGAAATACCTGAACCCTGAGAAGAGAGCAGATATGATCATGGTGAGCATGGAGGCCATGACCAACACCAGCAGGCGTGACATCTCTGCAGCTTCCAAGATGTTAAAGATGATCCTGAAGTACACGATTCCAGAGATCGGGAAGGTAGCAGCTCTGGGCAACCTAATGGTTCAAGGTCAATTTAAGGATTCTTCCTTTCTGTTCTGTTTTGGGTCTTGTTCTATCTCCTACCAGTTTGAGTTTAAAGAATCACATGCTTCAACCCAGAGGAGAAAAGGCTAAATGAGGAGTTGTGATTGTGGAAAAGACTCTTCTTTGGGAAGGGTTGACCATCTGGCTTCCATCTCCACCAGGATGGGAAGAAGAATTGAGTCAAAGCTATAGCAGACTACTAGGACCTGCTAGGACCAGGAAAGACCACAGTCATTCTTCCTGCTTCCAGACAGTATTTGATATGTTAGATCTATAGGTGCCTTCTTGTTTATTCAGGAGGGATAATTCAGGGGTGTGTGTGTATATAAATATAAATATAATATATATCCATAAACTTGTGACACACTAACATAAATAGAGATGAAATACAGAGACTCCTTTATGAGACCTGGGACTGGTTCTCAGTAAAATTAAGACAGCGTAGGGCTGGGCGTAGTGGCTTACACCTGTAATCCTAGCACTTTGGGAGGCTGAGGTAGGGGGATCACTTGAGCCTAGGAGTTTGAAACCAGCCTGGGCAATATAGCAAGACCCCATCTCTTAAAAACATTAATAAAAAAATTAAGACAGCACAGTTTAGCTGTCCTTTTTATTATAGTATTTTAAAATATCTGATGGACTGATGGAGTCCCTCTTCTTTTAATGGCCTAACCCACTTCTCTAACTCACTTATGACCTCTCCACTATAGGTCCTATGAGCAGTTCCAGGATCTTACATTTTCCACTTCTCTGGCCTGGATTGCCTTTTGATTGAATGCCTCAGAGCAGACCACTGATAAGTTGAAGGGGACCCCAAAGGTCAACTACTCTAACTCCCCACTTGATGCTTGTAATCTCTTTTTAAGGTTTTAAATCTATTTTGTATGGAATGCTTCACGAATTTACATGTCATCCTTGTGCAGGGGCCATGCTAATCTTCTCTGTGTTATTCCAATTTTAGTATCTGTGAAGCGAGCACAATGCTCGTAATCTCTTCGAGAGCACCCCAGACCACTGGACACCCAGACGGTGCTGAAAGCAATCTTGAGGCCCTCGCTACCTTAAACCATAGCTCATTTGTATTTGTAAATGACTTTCTTTTTTAAAAAAAATAATTTTTAATTTACCAAAAGGATATATATTTATGGCATACAACATGATATTTTGAAATATGTATACATTGTGGAATGGCTAAACCAAGCTAATTAACATATCGATTAACTCACATACTTTTTTTTTGTAGTGAGAACATTGAAAATCTACTGTCTTAGCAAATTTCAAGTATAGAATAGTCACCATGTTGTACAATAGATCTGAACTTATTTCTCCTGTTTAAATGGAATTTTGTATCCTTTGACCAATATCTCCCCAATCCTCCTCACCTCCAGCCCCTGGTAACCACCATTGTACTCTCTGCTTCTATGAGTTTGACTTTTTTAGATTCCACATCTAAGTGAGATCACCCAGTATTTGTTTTTCTATACCTGGCTTGTTTTGTTTTTCAAAACAAAACAGGTTCATGTATACTGTTAAATGACAGGGTTTCCTTCATTTTTAAGGGTGAATAGCATTCCATTGTGTATATGCCACATTTTCTTTATCCATTTATCTGTTGTTGGAAGCTTAGGTTCTTTCCCTATCATGGCTATTACAAAAAACGCTGCAATGAACAGGGGAGTGCAGATATCTCTTCCAGACACTGGCTTCATTTTCTTTGGCTATATACCCTTAAGTGGTATTGGTAGTTTTACTTTTAGTTTTTTGAATAACCTCCATAATGTTGGAATTTTCCATAATGGTTGTGCTAATTTACATTCTACCAACAGTGTATAAGGGTGAACCACTTTCCTTATCTAAAAGTTCTAACTTACAGCACACTGAAGTCTGCATCCCCATAGTTTCTAGTCCCTGGCCCAAGTTTACCTTCTTGGGTTATGCAGAATTCAATTAATATTCAAGTGTTACTAATGCTAGGTGCTATATACTGTGCTAGTTTCTTTTACATATTCTTGTATTGAATTCTTACAACATATCTGTTGTAAGAATTATTTTCTCTTTAGAAACGAGAAGGCCAGGTGCAGTGGCTCACACCTGTAATCCCAGCACTTTGGGAGGCCTAGGAAGGAGGATCGCTTGAGTTTGGGAGTTCAAGACCAGCCTGGGCAATATAGTGAGACCTCATTTCTACTAAAAATCAAAAGCATTAGTTGCGCATGGTGGCACACACTTGTAGTCCCAACTACTAGGGAGGTTGAGATGAGAGGATAGCTTGAACTCACGGGATGGAGGCTGCAGGGAGCTATAATTGCGCCACTGCACCCCAGCTAGGACACCAGAGCTAGACCCTGTCTCGAAAGAAAAACAAAACGAGAAAAGGCTCAAAGACGCCATGAGCCTTAATTACTGAAGTTTCGCCAGCAGTTACTAGGTAACAGACACTGTTCCAACCAATTCAGATGCATTAACTCAGAACTGTTGATGTGGGTAAAATCGTCCTCATATTTTGCGTGAGGAAATAGAGCGCAGAGGATGAAAAGCTTTCCCAAGCTCACACAGTTGGCAAGTGGGGAGGTGAAATTCACATCCAGGTAGTATGACTTTAGAGTTCATGCGGACCACTACCTGTTGCCTCCACCCCACATGGCCAGTAAACAGCAAGGACTGACTCTTCTCTCCCTCCATAATAGTCTTGAGACCATTTGGAGGCAGCAATCGTATGCCCTCCGGCTTCCTCTCTCTAAGTTACTCATCCTTAGATTCTTCCTTCATTCTTCATGACATGGTTTCCAGACATGGTTCTGGTCTCCCCTGGCTGCTCTCTATTTTGTCCCTCTTAAAATATGGGGTCTGTTCCGTGGTGGGCAGGTCTGTATAAAGCTACCCTTAAAATCCAAGGAAGCTGAGAGGTCAAAGAAAGAGGTTGATGAATCCAGTTTCTGAGAAAGAAACTACTCCGGAGGCAGAGGCAGGAGAATTGCTTGAACCCAGGAGGCGGAGGTTGCAGTGAGCCCAGATTGCGCCACCGCACTCCAGCCTGGGAGGCAGAAGGAAACTCCGTCTCAAAAAAAAAAAAGACCCGGCGTGGTGGCTCACGCCTGTTATCCCAGCACTTTGGGGGGCTGAGGGAGGTGGATCACCTGAGGTCAGGAGTTTGAGATCAGCCTGACCAACATGGCAAAACCACATCTCTACTAAAGATACAAAAATTAGCCGGGCGTGGTGGCATGTGCCTGTAGTCCCAGCTACTTGGGAGGCTGAGGAAGGAGGATCAAACCGGGGGGTGGAGGTTGCAGTAAGCTGAGATTGCGCCACTGCATTCCAGCCTGGGCGACCGAGCCAGACTCCGTCTGAAACAAAACAAAAAACAAAACAGAAGCCATGTCCCAGGAGGCTGCGAGATGAGATGGTGGACCCCCCAGCCATCACCCACCATGGCCCAGGGCTTCTATACAATAGGAGTCGGACATGGTGGGTGTGCCTCTAGTCCCAGCTACTGGGAGGCTGAGGTGGGAGAATCACTGGAGCCCAGGACATCAAGTCTGCAGTGAGCTATGAGCATGCCACTACCCTGTCTCTAAGAAACTAACAAATATACCTTAGAGAAGGAATGTGTTGGGCAATTAAAATCAACCCCTCAGGAAAAAGCAAGAATGCTACGCAAATCTGCCCTAAGGGCAGGATTTATGGTAAGGGTTGTTTCGACCTAAGGACTGGATTTACAGCAACAATAGATAAAGTAAGTCCGGGCACGGTGGCTCACGCCTGTAATCCCAGCACTTTGGGAGGCCGAGGCGAGTGGATCAGGAGGTCAGGAGATCGAGACCATCCTGGCCAACATAGTGAAACCCTGTCTCTACTAAAAATACAAAAATTAGCTGGGCGTGGTGGTGAGTGCCTATAGTCCCAGCAATTCGGGAGACTGAAGCAGGAGAATCTCTTGAACTCAGAAGGTGGAGGTTGCAGTGAGCTGAGATGGTGCTACTGCACTCCAGCCTGGCGATAGAGCAAGACTCTGTCTAAAAAAAAAAAAAAAAAAAAATAGATCAAGTAGAAATCTTAGAGGTATTCTGGGAACCGAGATTAATCAGAAGTCAATATGGTGACCAAAACGAAAAGAAAAGGAAAAAATTAAACAAAAAGAAAAAAAAGAAGTCAATATTGTAGGCCAGGCGCTGTGGCTCATGCCTGTGACCCTAGCACTTTGGGAGGCCGAGGTGGGCAGACTGCCTGAGCCCAGGAGTTCAAGACCAGCGTGGGCAACATGGTAAAATCCTGTCTCCAATAAAAACACAAAAAAAATCAGCCGGGAGAGGTGATGTGCACCTGTAATCCCAGCTACTCGGGAGGCTGAGGCACGATAAAACCCAGGAGGTGGAGGTTGCAGTGAGCTGAGATCTCACCACTGCACTCCAGTTGCATGGGCGACACAGCGAGACTCTGTCTCAAAAAAAAAAAAAAAACAAAAAAAAGTCAATATGGTGGATTAGCATCCAACATGGGGTTGCTTCAGGCCCCATAGGGTCCAAAACAGTCCACAGTCCTGAGGGTATGGCCTGACCAGAGCAGAGTGCAGTGGGACGGTGACTTTTTTGGTCTGGGCATGCTATGTATGCATCATGTGCAGCTCTACAGGTGAAGTGGGTGCCTAGTTATGTGGATGCTGGTGATCTGGTGTTGAATGTCTGGAAAGAACCTCCTTTTCCCTCATTTCAGGTGCTGGAAATCATCCAGTACATTCACTACCACATGAACAGCATTACAGAAACCACAGCCCAAAAGACCATTAAGAAGATCCTGTATCTGCTGTCCCAGTACTACACTGAAGTTATCCTGACAGTATTGAAGATAGAAGATCAGTCACAAAAGTAGGTGACTTTCGATCCCACAAGTACATGCCCCCAATAGTCTGTTTGCTTCTTCTTAAAACATATTCAGGACCTGAGCAGGGGCTCACTTCTGTAATCCCAGCACTTTGGGAGGCCCAGGTGGACAGATCACCTGGGAGTCAGGAGTTCGAGACTAGCCTGGCTGACATGGTGAAACCCCGCCTCTACTAAAAATACAAAAAATTAGCCAGGCGTGGTGGCGGGTGCCTGTAATCCCAGCTATTCAGGAGGCTGAGTCAGGAGAATTGCTTGAACTTGGGAGGCAGAGGTTGCAGTGAGCCGAGATCACGCCATTGAACTCCAGCCTGGGCAACAAGAACGAAACTCCATCTCCAAAAAAAAAAGGAAAAAAGTAGCGGCTGGGCACGGTGACTCACGCCTGTAATTTCAGCACTTTGGGAGGCCGAGGTCGGTGGATCATCTGGGGTCAGGAGTTCAAGACCATCCTGGCCAATATGGTGAAACCCCATCTCTACTAAAAATACAAAAATTAGCCAGGCGTGGTGGCGGGGGCCTGTAATCCCAGCTACTCAGGAGGCTGAGGCAGGAGAATCGCTTGAACCTGGGAGGCGGAGGTTGCAGTGAGCCGAGATCGTGCCACTGCACTCCCGCCTGGGAGATAGAGTGAGATGCTGTCTAATATATATATATAGATATAGATAGATAGGTAGCTGTTCTAACAAGTGTGTGGTAGCCTCTCATTGTGGTTTTAATTTGCATTTCCCTAATTCAATTGCAACTAATGATGATGGGCATCGTTTCATGTCTTTCTTTGCCATTCATATATCTTCTTTAGTCAAGTATCCAAATCTTTAACCCATTTCATTGTTGGGTCGTTTGTTTTCTTATTGGTGAGTTTTGAGAGTTCTTTATATATTCTGTATACAAGTCTTTTGTCAGATATACAATTTTCATGTATATCTCCCATTTTGTGGATTGTCTTTTCATTCTCTTAAGAGTTCAAAAGTTTGTAATTTGATGAAATCCAGTGTTTTGTTTCTTATGGATCATATTTAGAGTCATAGGTATTTCTTTCCATGATTTCTTCTAGAAGTTTTAACTTTTGTGTTTTATATTTATATTTCACTTTTACTTTTTAGAAAGCGTGAGGAATGGGACTAGGTTCAGTTTGTTGCATATAGAAGTCTAATTGTTCCAGCACCATTTGTTGCAGAGATTATCATTTCTCCACTGAATTGTCTTTGCACATTTATCAAAAATCAATTGACGGCTGGGCGTGGTGGCTCACGCCTGTAATCCTAGCACTTTTGGAAGCCAAGGTGGGCAGATCACTTGAGGTCAGGAGTTCGAGACCAGTCTGGCCAACATGGCAAAACCCCATCTCTACTAAAAATACAAAAATTAGCCGGGGATGGTTGCTTGCACCTGTTATCCCAGCTACTTGGGAGGCTAAGGCATGAGAATCACTTGAACTGGGGAGGTGGAGGTTGCAGTGAGCCAAGATCGCGCCACTGCACTCCAGCCAGGGTGACAGAGTGAGACCCTGCCTAAAAAAAAAAAAAAAAAAAAAAAAAAAAAAAATCAGTTGACAGTATTTGTGTGCCTCTAATTATGGGCTGTCTTCTGATCCATTAAGCTATATGTCAGTTCTTTCATCAATACCGTACTGTCTCTAATAGTGTAGTTTTATTTTAAGTATTAAATCAGGTAGGATGAGTTCTTCAATTTTATTACTTTTTTTTTTTTTTTTTTTTTTGAGATAGAGTCTGACTGTCACCCAGGCTGGAGTGCAGTGGTGCAATCATAGCTCACTGCAGCGTTGAACTTTTGGGCTGAAGCAATCCTCCCACTTCCACTTCCTGAGTAGCTGGAACCACAGGCACATGCCACCTCACCCAGCCTTTTTTTTTTTTTTTTTTTGGTAGAAACGGGGTCTCACCATGTTGCATGGCTGGTCTCAAAACTCCTGAGCTCAAATGATTCTCCCGCCTCAGCCCAAGTGCTGGGATTACAGGGTGTGAGCAGTTGCACCTGGCCTATAACTCTTTCTCAAAATTGTTTTGACTATTTTATTTTGCTTTTCCATATAATTTTTTTTTTTTGAGACAGAGTCTCACTCTGTCACCCAGGCTGGAGTGCAATGGCATGGTCTTGGCTCACTGCAAACTGCATATCCCAGGTTCAAGTGATTCTCTCACCTCAGCCTCCCAAGTAGCTGGGAATACAGGTGTGTGAGCAGTTGCACCTGGCCTATAACTCTTTCTCAAAATTGTTTTGACTATTTTATTTTGCTTTTCCATATAATTTTTTTTTTTTTGAGACAGAGTCTCACTCTGTCACCCAGGCTGGAGTGCAATGGCATGGTCTTGGCTCACTGCAAACTGCACATCCCAGGTTCAAGTGATTCTCTCACCTCAGCCTCCCAAGTAGCTGGGACTACAGGTGTGTGCCACCACACCCGGCTAATTTTTGTGTTTTTAGTGAAGATGGGGTTTCACTATGTTGGCCAGGCTGGTCTCAAACTCCTGATCTCATGATTTGCCTGTGTCGGCCTCCCAAAGTGCTGGGATTACAGGCATGAGCCGCCACGCCTGGCCTGCTTTTCCGTATAAATTTTATAATTTAAATAGAATATTTATTTATTTAAAAATATGCTGGTGATATTTTTATTGGGATTATGTTGCATCTATAGATAAGTATAAGGAGAATTGACAACTTCACAATATTGAGTTTCTGGTCCATGAACATAGCGTATCTCATTTATTTAGGTCTTTAATTTCTTTCATCAGTCTTTTGTATTTTTCAACACACAGATCTTGTGAATATTTTGTTAGTTTTATACCTAAGTATTTTTGTGCAATTGTAAATGGTACATAAATCTTTTTTAAATTTTTAATTGTTTACTACTGCTACATAGAAATAACATCAATTTTTGTATATTGACTTTCATTGACTTTATATCCTGCAATAAGTGAGGTTTCACTTATTAGTTCTTGGAGCTTTTTAATAGATTCACTGGAGTTTTCTACATAAACCATCATATCATCTGTAAATAGAAGCAGTTTATAGTGTTTCTTTTTCTTCCAAATTTGTGTTTCTTTTTCTTGCTTTATTACACTGGCTGGGACTCCTAGCATAATGCTGAGTATGGGTGATGACAGTGGACATCTTTGCTTTATTCCCAATCTTAGAGGAAAAACTTTCAGTCTTTCACCATTAAGTATGGTGCTAGATGGTAGGGTTTTGTTGTTGTTGATGTTAGATGTCCTTTATCAAGTTTAGAAAGTTTCCTTCTATTTCTAGTTTGTTGCGAGTGTTTACCACTAATGGAGATTATCACAAATGTTTTAACTACATCTATTGAGATAATTGTGTGGTTTTTCTTTTGTATTCTGTTAATATAATAAATTGCATTTTTGACTGTGGAGGCAGTCTTGCATTCCCAGGATAAACCCCATTTGGTTGTGATGTATTATCTTTTTAACATATTGCTGGATTCGATTTGCTAATATTTTGTTGAGGACTTTTGTGTCTATTTGGTTGAGGATTTTTTTCATGGGAGATATTTGGTCTGTAGTTTTTTCTTTCATTCATTTATTCTTTCTCTTTTTTCTTGTACTGTCTTGGGTTTTTGTGCCAAGATAATGCTGAACTCAAAAGATTGTTTTGGGAGTATTTTCTTTTTCTTTATCTTTTTTTTGTTTTTTTTTGAGAGACAGTCTTGCTCTGTCGCCCAGGCAGGAGTGCAGTGGGACGATCTTGGCTCACTGCAACCTCCACCTCCCAGGTTCCAGTGATTCTCCTGCCTTAGCCTCCTGAGTAGCTGGGACTACAGGCATGTGCCACCACACCCAGCTAATTTTTGTATTTTTTAGTAGACAAGGTTTTCACCATATTGGCCAGGCTGTCATCAAACTCCTGACATCATGATCTGTCTACTTCGGCCTCCCAAAGTGCTGGGATTAATGGAGTGAGCCACCGTGTCCAGCCTATTTTCTTATTTTCTATTTTTTGGAGGAAATTGTGTAAAATTGGTATTACTTTTTTTCTAAACATTTAGTGGAATTCAATACTGAAACCATCTGGATCTAGAGTTGTATTTGTTGGAAGTTTTAAAACTATGGATTGAATTTATTTATTAGTTAGGGTCATTCAGATTATCTATTAATTTGCTCATCTTCTAGTCACTTAAGGTGGAAATGTAAATTACTAATTTGAGAACTTTCTTCTTTTTTAAAATAAGCATTTTTATGCTATGAATGTTCCCCTAAGCATAGTTTTACCTGCATCTAACAAATTTTGATATATTGTATTTTCATTTTCATTTAGTTCAAAAATTTTTTCTAATTTTCCTTGAGTCTTTTTCTCTCACCCATGAATTACTTAGAAGTATTGTTAATTTCCAAATATTTGTGGATTGTCCAGGTATATTTCTGTTACTGATTTCTAGTTTAAATTTATTAAGGCCAGATAACATACTTTATGGGATTCCTTTTCTATAAAATTTGCTCAGGTTTGTTTTGTAGCCCAGAATGTGGTATATTATGGGGAATGCTCATGTGCACCTACAAAGCATGTGTATTCTGGCCAGGCGCAGTGGCTCATGGCTGTAATCCCAGAACTTTGGGAGGTCAAGGTGGCTGCATCACCTGAGTCCAGGAGTTCAAGACCAGCCTGGCCAACATGGTGAAAACCTGTCTCTACTAAATATACAAAAATTAACGAGGGACGGTGGTGCGCGCCTGTATACCCAGCTACTCAGGAGGTTGAGGCAGGAGAATCACTTGAACCTAGGGGGTGGAGGTTGCAGTGAGCTGAGATCCTACCACTGCACTCCAGCCTGGTGACAAAGTGAGAGCCTGTCTCAAAAAAAAAAAAAAAAAAGAATGTGTATTCTGCTGTTGTTGCCTGGAGTGTTCTGTAAGTTAGGTTATAGAACAACACAGTGTTGTTCAGGACTTTTATAACCTTGCTGAATTTCTGTCTACATATTCTGTCAATTACTGAGAGAGGAGTGTTGAAGTCTCCCAATATGCTTATGGATTTATCTATTTGTTCCTTCGGTTTTATCATTTTTTGCTTCATGTATTTCATTAGGTGTATATACATTTAAGATTGCTACATCTTCTTGATGAATTGACTGTTCTACCATTAATTAATGTCCCTCTTTGTCCCTGGTAATACTCTTTGTTCTGAAGTTCCCTTTGTCTGATGTTAGTATGGCCATTTTTGCTTTTCAAACAGTTTGTATTTGTGTGGTATATCTTTTTCCATTCTTTTAACTAATATGTATAATTATATTTAAAATGTTTTTTTAATATAGCATATGGTTGGACTTGTGTTTTTATCTAACCTAACAATCTCTACCTTTTAGTTTGCGTATTTAAATCATTTATAATTAAAGTAATTAATAATATGTTTGGATTTAAGTCTACCATTTTATGATTTATTTTGTTTTTCCCCTTTGTTTTTTATTCCTGTGTTCCCCTTTCCTGCATTCTTTCAAATTGTTTGAATTTTTTTAAGCATTCTATTTTAACTTGTCTATTAGATTTTGATTCTTTGTACCAATTTTTAGTGGATTCCTGGGCATTTATATGCCTAAAGTTTTATAGTCTACTTACATACCTAAATTTCCATAGTCTGCTTAGAGTTAGTATTTCACAATTTTGAGAAAATGTAGAAGCTTTCACTATACAGCTTCTTTTACCTTACTTTTTTTTGAGACAGAGTCTTGTAGGCTGGAGCACAGTGGCACGATCTCGGTCACTGCAACTTCCGCCTCCTGGGTTCAAGCGATTCTCCTGCCTCAGCCTCCCAAGTAGCTGGGATTACAGGCGCACGTCACCATACCCAGCTAATTTTTCTATTTTTAGTAGAGATGGGGTTTCACTATGTTGGCCATGCTGGTCTTGAACTCCTTGAACCTCAAGTGATCCGCCCGCCTCAGCCTCCCAAAGTGCTGGGATTACAGGTGTAAGCCACCTTGCCCGGCCTAATTTTTGCTTTCGATAGTCATACATATTTTTAAACTTAAGAGGAGAAGAACGGTCTGTTACATTTACTCATATATTTGCCATTCCTGTTGCTTTATCTTCATTGTTAAAATTTCAACTTTCACTCTGATACAATTTCTTTTCTGCTTGAAGAACTTCATTAGCATTTAATTTAGAGCATGTCTTTGAGTGATAAATTCTTAGTTTTCTTCCATATGAGAATGTTTCAATTTTACCTTCTTTTTTTTTTTTTTTTGAGGCAGAGTTTCGCTCTTGTCACCAGCTCTTGGCACCCAGGCTGGAGTGCAATGGCGTGATCTCTGCTCACTCCAACCTCTGCCTCCTGGGTTCAAGTGATTCTCCTGTCTCAGCCTCCTGAGTAGCTGGGATTACAGGAGCCCACCACCATACCCAGCTAATTTTTTTGTATTTTTAGTAGAGACGGGGTTTTGCCATGTTGGCCAGGCTGGTCTCGAACTCTGGGCCTCAAGTGATCTGCCTGCCTTGGCCTCCCAAAGTGCTGGGATTACAGGCGTGAGCCACTGTGCCCAGCCAATAAATTTCTGTTTATTATAAATTACCCAGTCTATGAGATTTTGTGATAGCAGCACAATACAAACTGAGACAATGGCAAAGGGGCTTTTTCAGCTAAGAATCTTGAGAAAGGGAGATTATTGTGAATTACTCAAGTGGGCTCTTAATGTAATCACAATGTGTCTTGTGATTGATGTATCTTGTTCGAACTTCACTGCACTTCTTGAATCTGTAAATGTATGTCTCTCACCAAATTTGGGAAGTTTTAGGTCATTATTTCTTCAGATATTTTTTTCTGTACAAGTCTCTTTTTCTTTTTATAAGATTTCAATGACATGAATATTCGACTTTTTAATGGTGTCCTATAAGTCCCTGAAGCTCTGTTAATTTTTTTCTAATTTCTTAGTTCTTCAGATTGGTATAATTTTTATTGATTCATCTGCAAGTTCATGAACCCTTCTCTCTGCAATCTCCATTTTCCTCTTGATCTCATCCAGTGAATTTTTGTTTCAGATATTGTGTTTTTCAGTTCTAAAATTTCCATTTGGTTTTTTTAAAAAATAGCTTATTCCTCAGCTAAGAACATGAGAAAATCCGTCTTTCCACTTCTTTCTTTGTTTCTTTGCTTCTCTCTCTCTCTCTCTTTCTTTAGTTCTTTTTTGAGACAGAGTCTTTCTCTGTTGCCCCAGGTAGGGTGCAGTGGCATGATCATAGCTTATTGCAGACTCAACCTCCGAGGTTAAAGCTATCCTCCCATCTCAGCCTCCTGAGTAGCTGGGATCACAGGGATATGGCACCATACCCAGCTAATTTTTTAAACTTTTTGTAGAGACAGGGTCTCTCTATGTTGCCCAGGCTAGTCTTGAACTCCTGGGCTCAAGTGATCTCCCGCCTCAGCCTCGCAAAGTGCTGGGATTACAAGTGTGATCCACCACTCCAGACCTTTCCATTTATTTCAGTTATGTACATCTTTACCTCATGCAGCATGATTAAAATGTCTACTTAAAGTATAATTATTATTATTTTTAGACAGGGTCGTGCTCTGTTACTCGGGCTAGAGTGCAGTGACGTGATCATAGCTCACTGCAACCTAGAACTCCTGGGCTCAAGTGATCCTCCTGCCTCAGCCCTCAAGTAGCTAGGACTACAGGCATGTGCCACCATGCCCGCTATTTTTTAAATTCATTTTTTAGAGAATGGATCTCACTATGTTGCTCAGGCTGGTCTTGAACTCCTGGCCTCAAGGGGTCCTTCTGCCTTGGCCTTCCAAAGTGTTGGGATTATGGGTGTGAGCCAGTGCACCCGGCCATCTCTCAGAGTTTTAGCTGCCTGTGCTGCTACAGCTGCACAACTGGATCTGGCTTCAGGGTGATGAAATGAGAAAAAAGAGAGAGAGAGAAAAAAATAGCGCTTCCCCCACCCCTACACTCAGTGGGCCACAGTGCCCTGTGTTAGGTGCTTTTGTTGCTGCCCCAACTGCTTCCACTGTGCAGCTCTGCATCTGGACTCACTCTCGGGACAGAGCTTGGGAGAGGAAAGAGACAAAGAAAGAAAGAAACAAAGATTCCACCCATACTTCTCCAACTCACAAGGACCCATTTTCCCAGTCCTCTGGCCAGAGAGACAGAGTTTTACTAAGAGATTTTGTTGCCTGTGCCTGCTGCATAGTTCAGCACTCGGGTCACCTTCGGGTCAAAGCTGGAAGATAATAGAGAAAAAAGAATTCTGGGAAACTCACTCAAATGTTGTTTTTCCAGTGTTGGGAGGTAGTTGCTTTTTGTATTTGTCCAGTGTTTTTAGTTTTAACTGGTGCGAGAGCTGGGCTGGAGTGGACTTGCTCTGTCCTAGCAGATTGTGTAGACTCTCTTACTAGGGAAATTAGGATTGCTTGTTGTTAATTTCCTTTATCATGAGAAGGAAGTGTCTTTCTAGTCTATATCTGCTGAGTATTTTTTTTCCACTCATGTGGAATTGTTTAATAAAAGGTTGATATCATATAATTAGAGTGTTTTCTTTTGGGTCGGGGGTGGTTTGAGACAGAGTCTCGCTCGGTAGCCCAGGCTGGAGTGCAGTGGTGCAATCTTGGTTCACTGCAACCTCTGTCTCCCGGGTTCAAGCGATTTGCCTGCCTCCCGAGGAGTTGGGATTACAAGCCTGTACCACCATGCATGGCTAATTTTTGAATTTTCAGTAGAGATGAGATTTCATCATGTTGGCCAGGCCGGTCTCAAACTCCTGACCTCAGGTGATCTGCCTGCCTTGGCCTCCCGAAGTGCTGGGATTACAGGGTGAGCCACTGCACCCGGCTGGACAAAGTTATAATCTGATAGGAAGAAAAAGTTCTGGCATAGTAGAGTGACTGTGGTCAACAGTAAGGTATCATATATTACAAAACAGCCAGAGGAGAGGCTTTTGAATGCTTTCAACACAAAGAAATGGTAAAATCTGCTGAGTTTTTTTGAAAAATAAAAATTAGGCTTTGAAATACCAAATGCCCTTACAACATCTAATGACATATTTATACAAATGTATACAGGTTTCTTTCTTTAACCTTTTAATTTCCAAGTGGTTAGATATTTTGATCATCTTTTTCTAGTTTTATTGGATGATAACTGGAAAACATGATCTAAATGTCTTCTCCTTTTGAGAATGTGTTGAGGGGTTCTTTTGTGTGTATAGACCAGGAAGATTAATGTTATCAATTTTACTATATGTTTAATGGCTATTTGAAATAAATTTATATTCTCTACTGCATGCAAAGTCATCTATTAGACCAGGCTTGTTTATTTATTTATTTTCCTTTTTTGTATATTTTTAAAGTACAGATGGGTCTCACCATGTCACCCAGGCTGGTCTTGAGCTCCTGGGCTCAAGCAATCCTCCCTCCTCGGCCTCCCAAAGTGCTGGGATTGCAGGTGTGAGCCACCTCACTCAGCCAGACCAAGCTTATTTAATTGTTTTATAATATCTCATTGTACAATAACTACAAACTTATTTTACCCATTTTTTTAATGACTATTTGTTGTTTCCAGCTTCTTGCTATTATTAACAGTGCTGTTATGCTCATTCTTACTCTAATATTGTGTTTGATTTATAGGCATATTTACCATTTTATTTGCTCACCATCCCTTGCACCTCAAACTTTCCTTAGGAAATTATTTTTCTTTTCCCTAAATGGGAAAGAGAAAACAATACCTCTAAAGGTATTATTTAGGAGTTTATCCTCTAGCGAGGCTCTATTGATCAAACCATCTATTTTTGTTTATCTACAAATAAAGCAAATCTGCATTAAATGATAGATTTGCTGGGAACTTGTGGGTTGATGTTTATTTTTGTTCCACACTTGGAAGGTTTATCCCACTGTCTTCTGCTCTCCACTGTTTCTGTGGAGAAGTTGGCTGTCAGTCTCATTGCCATTCTTTCACTGACGACTCATTTTTTCTCTCTTGTTTTTGTCCCCAGAGCATGCGTGTATTGTTTGCCAGCTGTGAAAGTCTGTCTTCACCTTTTATCTCACCTTCATTTCCTCAATGCTTTCTCCTCCTGTTTCAAAAAGGCCATGACTTCTTGAGGACATTAAGCACATTTTCTTAAAATTTTATGTTATTTGTAGCAAATGCTTTTCAGATATGTACTTTTCTTCTGAGTGTGATTTTTCCAGGTAAAAATGAGAGGGGAGACATGGTAGGCAAAGGGAAAGGCATGTGCCCAATGATAGAGGAGAGAGAGCTTGTGTATGGGGTGAGGCTGGGGGTGCTGTGCGGGGCTGGTGATCAGACCTGGCCTGAAGAGGGGTGTGGTCATGCTGGGTATTAAGGATGACAGGGGAAAGCCTGGAAGACAGATGCAGTGGTCTGAGGGTGGGTGGGTAGTGAAAGCTTGGACAGGCCAGAGAGAAGGGACCCACAGGGAGGCTCTTCTCACTGATCTGACACATTCAAGTGTGGTCAACAAGCTTTGGCCTCAGATATTTTCTCAAACCAGGTTCATAGACCAAGTGAACATTTCCAGATTTGTGTGAGATGACAGAGAACAGGGAGGTCTGGAGGTGATGGCAAGATGAAAGAAATAGAAGGAAAAAGAGAGAGGGGATAATGAAGAGAGAGACAAGAAAGGAGGAAGAAACCAGGGGAGCTAGGGGCCTGGGCAAAGGAGCCTAGAGTCGCCTCCCCTGGAAGCACTGTGGAGCCTGTGGAGAGTGGGTTACCTGGAGTGGGTAACTGTGTCCGTGGGTTTCTGACTCTGCAGGGGGGTTTGCAAACCCTGGGAAATCCTGGCATCCTTCCCCAAAGGCTACGAAATGATCGTGGACTACCTGCTTCAGAGGCTGACTCCACACTGGAGGCCAAAGGACCAGGAGCCCAGCCACAGAACAGAGATCTCACCATTGATTGTATGGAAAGGCCAGAAGAGGGGGGCCGGGGTGGGGAAGGGGACTCCCTGCTGTCCTGTTCTCGGCTGCCTTGGGCTCTTTGGCCTTGACCTTTTAGGTATCGGTGTTTGGTAGAACAGTATAATGGCAGTCTTGGAGTTGGGTTGCAGGGAGGGTTTTCCAGTTAACTTTGCTTTGTCAGGGAGATAGAAGAACTGGATTTCCCAGCTGCTCTTTAACTCTCAAAGATGGTAAGAGACTAAAACAACCACCATGATTAGAAGAGCGCTTTAAAACAATGACATTCTAGAAATTGCCCTTTATTTGTCTGGCTCACACTAACTTAGTCTTCACTTGCTCTAGCAGCACGGGTTTTACTGGGCAAGTCTGTCATGGTGATGGGTTGTGGAAAGAGATTTCCTGGTGACAGGACCTATGAGTCGAAGATACGATAATGCTTCACTCTCCTCCTCCCTCCAAGGCCACCAGGGCCATCCATGAGCTCCTGCTGGAACCCAGTCGGCAGATGGAGGTGCAGTCCTTCTTCTCCTCCTTGTTCATGGCCCTGCTGTTCCAGATCTCCTTTTTGGTGGTTGAAGGGGACGCTGAAACAAGCCGGGATCAGCAACACATAGCTGAATGGATGGACCCCATAAGGTACTTTGGTGTTTGCTAGTGATTATGCTCCAGGGACCATCAGCTTAGCACCTTTGCCTGACTTGGTGTCAGCCTACTGAGCCTGAATACCCTCTGTACACCCTCCTGCCAGGGCATTTAACATGTTCCCCATGCATCATTTCAAGAAGTGTCCCTGGGCTTAAAAAAATTATATTTTATTATTTTATTTATTTAGAGACAGGGTCTTGCTATTTTGCCCAAGCTGGTCTTGAACTCCTGGCCTCAAGCCATCCTCTTCTCTCAGCCTGCTGTGTTGCTGGGATTACTGGTGCGAGTCCAGCTGTCTGGACTTTTTAGAAAAGACTCCTTCTTTAAACCTGGCCTACTAGGCTGATGCAGAGATTCTGCACCAAAATGAGATCAATACTGTGGATAAAACACACATCTGGATCCACAGACCTGGATTGCATTCCTACCCTTCTGCTGGCTCGCTGTGTCACCTTGCAGATGCCACATCTCTCTTGGCCTCAGTTGCCTCACTTGTAAAATATTAGCCTGGGTCTCTGGAGGCTGTCCCACCACCAGCAGTTCATGATCCTGAGAAAGCTTTGGGAGTCGGGCAGGTGGCCAGTGAGGGAGAGGAGCGCAGATGGTGAATGACTTCGTATCTGTTTTCGGCCCTTTCTCCAGTTCTACCATGGAGGCCCTGAAGACCTTGATTCAAAGTTCTGGATATGGGGACTGTGTGTCTTCTATTCAGAGACATGGGGTCTGGGGGCTGCTTGTCAATCCTGAAAGACACTATGGCGGAGTCACTCTGCCGGCCAGGTGAGCTGCACCTGGGTCCATGGCTGGAGGGCTGTCCATTCACTTGGCCCTCTCCTGCGGCCCAGGCCTCACCTGAACACTGTGCTCTTGTTGATAGGTCCGTTGTCATCAATAACTGTTGGCACAACCGCCCCCTCTTCAGCTCCATCATCAGGTTCCTCCAGGACCCAGACCTG
Source organism: Homo sapiens (assembly GCF_000001405.40). Lineage (NCBI taxonomy): Eukaryota > Metazoa > Chordata > Mammalia > Primates > Hominidae > Homo > Homo sapiens. Next base: position 200,949,838 of record NC_000001.11, read on the forward strand.
CAAGAATCACTTAACGGCCCTTGTGTTCCTGACAGAGGTGACTGGCTCTTGGCGGGAGGGGGCAGGTGAGGGTGATCCCTCTGTGAGACAGCCACGTCCAACAGACACCTCCTGGGAAGGCCACTGATTCACTGCTAGGAAGGGTTGGGGGACATGGCTAATGGCACTTGATTTGGTTACCTTGAGCCGGGGGCTTTGGTGCCTCCTTGAATCTCATGGCAGTTTGACTCTGCCCTGACTTTACAGAAGAACACAGCTCTCTCCTTCAACCACCTCAGCCTTGAGCAGCCTTTTAAAATTAATCCTTGCTTAGCGTCCCTGATTGACTCAATATAATTCAGCCACCTGACAGAAAAAAAATAGGAAATTTAGAAAATATGGAAAAGTATATCAAAAATTATAAAGCCATCACTAAGCATAATCCCCAGAGGAAACCATATTCATTCAGGTTTTTGCCTGTATACAGGTGTGTGTGTGTGCGTGTGTGCTAGTTGAAATCATTTTCTACTAATATTCTGTATCCTGCTCTATTCAAATATCTGTATATGTCATTACATGTTCTTTGTAACATACATTTTTAAATTTTGTTTTATTTTATTTTTTGAGACAGGGTCTCACTCTCTTGGCCAAGCTGGAGTGCAGTGGTGTGATCATGGCTCACTGCAGCCTCCATCTCCTGTTCTCAAGTGATTCTCCCACCTCAGCCTTCTGAGTAGCGAGATCTACAGGCATGTAGCACCGCGCTTGGCTAATTAAAAAAAAATTTTTTTTTTAATATGGAGAAGTGGTCTCACTATACTTCCCAGGCTGGTCTTGAACTCCTGGGCTCAAGTGATCCTCTCATCTCGGCCTCCCAAAGTGCTGGGATTACAGTTGTGAGCCACCATGCCTGGCCTATAAACATAAATGTTAATGGTGATATAATGTTTCATCACAAAGATGATCTGTAATTTATTCGACATTCTGTTTCCAATTTTACACAATTATAAATAACAGTTTAATGAACATCTCTGCGAAAGTTTTTGCCCATATTACAGATTATTTCCTTAACTATTGAATATAATAAGTGGAACTATTGGTTCAAAAAATATGAATGTCTTCTATAACTTTTAACAATAATGCCAAATTGCTTTCCAGTAGAGCTGTACCAATTTAGACTTCCACCAACAGTGTTTGGGAGAATTTCAGAGTTTCTGACCCACTACAGCTTTAAATGGGATCCTTTTAAAATTCAAGCCACCTGATTTTTTTTTTTAACAGAGGCTGGACTACTTTTGAACATAACCACAGAGATAGAAGATAATGCATTACTAATACTAGGATGTACACTGATGTTATCCCAGTGTGTCATCGTGTGCCCTTATGTGGATTACAGGACACTGGTGTCTTGTTGGAAGGTGTCCACTGCTAGAGGCTGATCTGTACATGTTGGTATGGGGTGCTGAGATACACATTCAAGGATATATGTCATGTTGGCAGAACTTTTGCTCAGGGTATGGGAATGAGACATGTAGGATTCAGAACCCTGACTGGAAGGGGATGGCTCAGTCCAGTGGATCTCGATAATTTATGAACTTCATATCTCAGGGAAGCTGTTTAAAATGCAGATTCCTGGGCCCTGTCCCCAGAGACTTGGATTCAGGAAGTCTGGGGTAAGGCCAAGAAGCCTTTTTTGCTGGTGGTGGTTTTTTTTTTTTTTTGAGATGGAGTCTCTCTGTCACCCAGGCTGGAGTGCAGTGGCATGATCTCGGCTCACTGCAACTTTTGCTTCCCAGGTTAAGCAATTCTCCTGCCTCAGACTCCTGAGTAGCTGGGACTACAGGCACGCACCATTACGCCCAGCTAATTTTTGTATTTTTAGTAGAGAGGGGGTTTCACTATGTTGGCCAGGCTGGTCTCGAACTCCTGGTCTCAAGGGATCCGCCTGCCTTTGTGCCCACCCTCCAGAAGTCTTCATTTTCTTTTTTTCTTTTTTTTTTTTTTTGTTGAGACAGAGTCTTGTTCTGTTGCCCAGGCTGGAGTACAATGGCACGAACTTGGCTCACTGCAGCCTCCATCTCCTGGGTTCATGTGACTCTCCTGCCTCAGCCTCCCGAGAAGCTGGGACTACAGGCATGTGCCACCAGGCCCGACTAATTTTTGTACTTTTAATAGAGACAGGGTTTCACCATGTTGGCCAGGCTGGTCTCGAACTCCTGACCTCAGGTGATCCGCCTACCTTGGCCTCCCAAAGTGCTGGGATTACAGACGTGAGCCACCACATCCAGACGAAGTCTTAATTTTCTAAAAGTACTCCAGTGGTGGCTGTGCCACAGGAAATGCTTGGACCCAGCTTTGGGAAACAGTACAAGGCACAAACCCGTGTGGACAGGAGGCCACCATGAGATAGCTGCCACTCTCTTTAGAGCAGTAATTGGGAACCCTGGCTGCGTATCAGTATCCTCCCTGGAGGTTTCAAAAATGCTAATGCCAAGCCCCCACCCCGCCCCTCACTCTCTGTCAAATTTTTCTATTTGAATCGATCTGGGATGGGGTCTAGGCATCAGTTTGTTTTAGAAGCTCCCAGGTTTAAAGGGATGCTCTAAAATACAGCTAGGATTGAGAATCACTCTAGAAGTTCCCCCAAGTGTCTGATACCCAGCTGAAACAAGGGGACACACGATAGAGCGTTTGCTCATCTGCCACTCTGATTGGGGTTTCGGGCTGATAACGGGGAGGGGAGGTCAGCATGCTTGGGAAGAGGCTGGAAGGAGCACCCCAGTAGCGAGATGGGTGAACCCCATTCTTAGCAATCAGAGAGAGAAGCAGTAGATTCTAAAGTGGAAAGCCAATGGGGTTTTAGGTACCAGCTAAGTAAGTAAGTCAAGATCTGTTAAGTGAGAGACCATGGCTAAGAAAGCTTTCTAATATTTCACAGCCTTTGTCACTCCCTGTTTGTTGCTTCATTATCTTTATTCATTTCCTTGAGATGATCACAAGTAGAAACGTTTAAAACAGAAAAGGTCGTATGCTTTTCTTCAGTGTACTCAAGAAACAGCAGAGCTCTGTTATTTTAATTCTCTCTAATTCTGTGAAAAGGGTGTTATTTACCTCTATTTTGTAGAGCACGAAAGTGAGGCTCAGAGAATTTAAGAAGTTACTTACTCAACTAGAGGGTAAATTAGGGTGGTGGATCTGCCTGACTGCCAATCAAAGACAGATGAAAACTGCTGAGATGTTAATGAAGACTTCTTTGCCAAATGTACATTCATATGTGCATGCATACATGCACACTAAAGCAAGTACATATATTTTAAATGTATCTGATTGAATTTTGCCTTTTTAAATGTTATTTTATTATTTAAAAGATATTTTCTATATCACAAGTCATCAAGCAATAAATGTTATTTAAAATAATCTATATACACATATAATACGAATAAGTAAATTAAACCATGCAAACTGATTATTTTTTTATTTTATTTTATTTTTTGAGATGGAGTTTTGCTCTTGTTGCCCAAGTTGGAGTGTAATGGCGCAACCTCAGCTCACTGCGACCTCCACCTCCCGGGTTCAAGCAATTCTCCTGCCACAGCCTCCTGAGTAGCTGGGATTGCAGGCGCCTGCCACCACACCCAGCTAATTTTTTGTATTTTTAGTAAAGACGGGGTTTCACTGTTGGCCAGGCTGGTCTCAAACTCCTGACCTCAGGTGATCCACCCGCCTCAGCCTCCCAAAGTGTTGGGATTACAGGTGTGAGCCACTATGCCCAGCCTATTTATTTATTATTTATTTTTGAGAAGGAGTATTGCTCTGTTGCCCAGGCTGGAGTGCAGTGGCATGATCTTGGCTCACTGCAACTTCCACCTTCCGGGTTCAAGTGATTCTCCTTTCTCAGCCTCCTGAGCAGCTGGGATTACAGATGCCTGCCACCACGCCTGGCTAATTTTTGTATTTTTAGTAGAGACAGGGTTTTGCCATGTTGACCAGGCTGGTCTCAACTTCTGACCTCAAGTGGTCCACAAACTGAGTTTTGAAGTGCAGTCTTTTTTTTTCTCTTCTACTTTTGCCTTCTCCCCTCCTACCACATTACGTCTACACCTCCACCTCTTCATCTCCCAAGTATCTCAGATGCAAGCAACCAAGTACGTACCCTTCTGCATGCTCAAATAATCACACACACATAATAGATGTTGACAGATTGTTTTCCAAAGAAGCACTAACAATTCACATTTATCTCAGGGAAGTGTGAGAGAACGGTGTCTCTATCTCTTCCAACAACAAAGCTTAACTCTTTTTAGATGTTTGTCCTCCTGGCAGGTATAAAGCAGGGGTGTCCAATCTTTTGGCTTCCCTGGGCCATATTGGAAGAAGAATTGTCTTGGGCCACGCATAAAATACACTAACACTAATGGTAGGTGATGAGCTAAAAAAAAAAAAAATCGCGAAAACCTCATAATGTTTTAAGAAAGTTTACAAATTTGTGTTGGGCCACATTCAAAGCTGTCCAGGGCTGCGTGGGGCCTGTGGGCCGTGCGTTGGACAGACTTGGTGTAAAGCAGTATCTCATTGCTGCTCTGGTTTGCATATCCCTGGCTTCTACTGATTTTGAACATTCCGCATATAATTCTGTGATTTGGATTCGCCTTTCTGTGAATTCCTTCCCATGTCCTTTGCCCATTGTCCTATTGAATTGTTTGGCTTTTTCTTGTCTACAAGACTAATTTAACTTCTGATTTTCCATTTGCATGACTACATGTGTTTTTCCATTGCAATGTTTTCCATCACGTGCATGCTAGTCTATTTTTAAACAGAGTGCATGCCAGGCTGGTTTATCCAGGTGAATGTACTGATATGTGTAAGTCTGAGCCAGCCTACCTGTGCAGACTCAAGGTGTCCATCTGGCATGTTCATTCCAAAGCATGTGCACTTAGAGCAGGAGTTCTCAACCCTGGATGCATATTCATATCTCCAGGAGAACTTACACTAATACTTGGGTGCCAACTCAGTACAATTAACTCAGAATCTTGGGGGTGACGTGGGGTCCAAGAATCAGCATTTTTAATAGCTTTGCAAGTGACACTAACATGCAGCCAAGGCTGACTGCCTAGGAGTCAGCATCGCTTTTCGATATCACCCAGCAGAGCCTGGAGTCCCCAGTGCTGTTGAATGATCATTACAAGGATTTCTTTCTTTTTCTTTTTTCTTTCTTTCTTTTGTTTTTTGTTTTTTGTTGAGGCAGAGTTTCGCTCTTGGTGCCCAGGCTGGAGTGCAATGACACGATCTCAGCTCACTGCAACCTCCACCTCCTGGGTTCAAGCGATCCTCCTGCCTCAGCCTCCTGAGTAGCTGGGATTACAGGCATGTGCCACCACACCCGGCTAATTTTGTATTTTTAGTAGAGATGGGGTTTCTCTATGGTGGTCAGGCTGGTCTCGAACTCCCGACCTCAGGTGATCCGTCTGCCTCGGCCTCCCAAAGTGCTAGGATTACAGGCGTGAGCCACTGCGCCTGGCCGACAATGATTTCTTAATAATTCTCCTTTTTCCCCCTCCCTTTAAAAAAGTTACTATTCTAGGGGACTGTCTTTGACTTTTCTCTTTTGCTTTTTCAGCACGTCAGTAAATCTGACTAATACGTGCTTTGCAGTGTTCTTCAGGGTCATCCTTTCTCCATTCCCACTACCCTGGCCTAGTCCAGACCCTTATTACCTGTGCTTGAAGCAATTATTTTAACTTTTTTTTAGAGACAGGGAGTCTCGCTATGTTGCCCAGGCTGGTCCCCAACTCCTGGCTTTAAGTGATTGTCCTGCCTCAACCTCCAGAGTAGTTGGGATTACAGGTGTGAGCCGCCACAGTTGACTAGAGCAACTCCAAAAGATAACATGCTGATCTCTCTCCTCCTAGGACCTTCTGTCAACCCAACACATTTCCCACGCCCAACATTTCTTGCCAATGGGATCCTCCTCTGGAGTCGGGCCAGCACCCAGTTGCCCTTCCCTCAACTACATTACGCTTAGCTTATCCCTACATTTCGCCCTTGTTTTGCTATACCCACCTTTTCCCGTTAAACACACACATGTTTACGTTCCCCTCCCATCTGCTCATTGAAGTTCTCTTTATTCAAGTTCAGCTCAAGTTTTACCTTTCTTTTTTTTTTTTTTTAAATTTTTTTTGGAGACAAAGTTTCGCTCTTGTCCCCCAGGTTGGAGTACAATGGCATGATCTTGGCTCACTGCAACCTCCGCCTCCCGGGTTCAAGCGATTCTCCTGCCTCAACCTCCCGAGTAGTTGGGATTACAGGTGCCTGCCACCATGCCCAGCTAATTTTTTTATTTTTAGTAGAGACGGGCTTTCACCATATTGGCCATGCTGGTCTCGAACTCCTGACCTCAGGTGATCCGCCCACCTCGGCCTCCCAAAGTGCTGGGATTACAGGCATGAGCCACCACACCTGGCCAAGTTCTACCTCTTTCACAATCTTTTCCTAGATGAATCAACACCTGTTTATAATAATTTTTTACTTGCTTTTAATTTGTGTAGTATTGTTATTGCCTTGAAATGTTCACTAGGTCGTTCATGTACCTAAGTCTTGACTCTCCAGCTGAATTGCTAGGATCTTTGAGGGCAGAGTGCATTTCTTACTTTTATCTCCTGCAGTTTCCCTTATCAAAAATGCTTAATGCGGCTGGACGTGGTGGCTCACACCTGTAATCCCAGCACTTTGGGAGGTTAGGCGGGTGAATCACCTGAGGTCAGGAGTTCGAGACCAGCCTGGCCAACATGGTGACACCCCCCTCTCTACAAAAAATACAAAATTAGCCAGGTATGGTGACACATGCCTGTGGTCCCAGCTGCTCGGGAGGCTGAGGCAGGAGAATCGCTTGAACCCGGGAGGTGGAGGTTGCAGTGAGCCGAGATCGTGCCACTGCACTCCAGCCTGGGCGACAGAGTGAGACTCCATCTGGAAAAAAAAAAAATGCTTAAGGGGCCAGGTTTGTGGTGGCTCATGCCTGTAATCCCAGCACTTTGGGAGGCTAAGGCGGGTGGATCACCTGAGGTCAGGAGTTCAAGATCAGACTGGTCAACATTCTGAAACCCCATCTCAACTAAAAAATACAAAAATTAGGTGGGCATGGTGGCACATGCCTGTAGTCCCAGCTACTCAGGAGGCTGAGGCAAGAGAATTGCTTGAACCCGGGAGGTGGAGGTTGCAGTGAGCCGAGATCATACCACTGCACTCCGGCCTGGGCGACAGAGCAAGACTCCATCTCAAAAAAAGAAAATGCTTAAGGAAAACTTGGAGAATGAATAAATGACTTCTGGGATGACAGGTGCAAATTCATCCTTAAAGCTTTGGCCTCTCTACCAATTCTAAACCCTTAAGAACATTTCCCTACTAGTGAGTAGGAACCTAGTCCAAAGTCATTGAGGATTTTTTTTTCTCCTTGCCCACCTGTCTTTCTTGGTCTCCCTTCCCCAGCTGCTTCAGTGCCCAGATGTGGCAGCCTTAGTGGATGACTTCACCACCTGCATTCTGGCAAACTGGTTCAAGAGTGAGGAGCCAGCCACAGTGAAGCCATTGCTGCAGATGCTAGAGGTCTTTGCGAAGCATGAAAACATGGTAAAATGGGGCAGGGGCTAAGGGTGTGCGCTCAGGAGATGTAACCAGGAGAAGGAACATCTGGTGTGTCCAGTTATAGATAGGGTGGGACACACTCTTGGGATCAAAGAGAGCAAATCCTCATGAGGCCAGTACAGCACAGACAGGAGTTGGGGCTTGAGCCATTCATGATTTCTCCCTCCCAGGAAAGGTCTCCTGAGGAAGTTTTTTCATGGGTCATTTCAGAGAATAGACCAAGCTAACCCCAGGATCTCACACGTCATCCAGGTCCCTTGGAGATTGCTGTCATCATCAGGGATGAGAAGCGCAGTGGCGATGGAAACTTACAGTGTAGTGGGAGGAGGGGGCCTCCTCTGTTTTCTCCCCTTCCCTCATGATGGACACAAGGTACCTCCCCAAATGCCCTCCTGGGCAGCTCACTCCGATGGCCACCCAGATGCTGGGCCAGTCCCAGCTCTGGAATGAAAAAGCAGTAGAGTGTGGCTCTCAATTGTGGGGCTGAATTGACTTGAAATGAGAATTCCTTGGCTTGGCAGGAGTTATTTCCCCAGCTCCCCATTCCCTGAGCCACTGTCTCCCGCAGGTGAGGCGGCTCCGAATCCTCCAGCCCTATGTGCTGAACTGCTGCTACTCCTCGAACAGCGACATCGTACTGGAGACTTTGCTGGTGCTGAAGAATCTCCTGAGCCACCTCACCTGGCAGCACTCCTCCTCCTTCCTGACCCAGCTCACCTTCACGCTGGTGCCCTTCTTTGAGGAGGTGAAGGCCTCTCTGGGGTCATTTTCTTTCTTTAGGCATCTGTAAAATAAGGGAGTTGGCCGCGTGTGGTGGCTCACACCTGTAATCCCAGCACATTGGGAGGCCGAGGCAGTGGATCACATGAGGCCAGGAGTTCAAGATCAACCTGGGCAACATAGTGAGGCCTCATTCTAACAACAACAACAAAACAACAACAACAACAAATTAGCTGAGTCCGGTGGTATGCGCTTGTGGCCCCAGCTATTTGGGAGGCTGAGGCAGGAGGATTGCTTGAGCCCAGGAGGTCAAGGCTGCAGTGAGCTGTGATCGTGCCATGCACTCCAGCCTGGGCGACAGAGCGAGATCCTGTCTCAAACAAAACAAAAAACAAAACCCCTCACAGAGTTGGCAGAATGATTCAAGGTCGTTCACCTTGAATACGATACTGTTCTGTAGGGACTTGATTGCTCCTGCCCTCCTTGTATCTTTCTGAAGGGGTGAGATGGAGCAAGAGAACAGAGCACAGCAGGCGGGGGTCAGAGCAGGTCATTTGAGGGAGCGAATGGACACAGGAGTGTGGGGTTGGCGGGGGTGGAGCTCAGGGACGTGATGGCTTCTGCTTCCCCACGCATGCGTGTCTTCTCTCCCAGGTGTCAGAGCATCTGCGGTTGGCAGCCTTTGAGATCTATGGGAGTCTCTTGACCAAGGTCAAGAAGAGGGGCCTTGTCTTCCCCTTGAAACACCAGATCCTCAACTTGCTAGTCCCCCTGGTGCTCCACCTGAGGGACGTGAATACCGATGTGTCTCTGGTGAGAGGCCAGGCCTTGGAGCCTGGCCTTCAGTCCCCGTTTTCATGGGAGGTAAATGCTAAACATGTTGAGTGCTTAGGCAGGGCTGTGGCAGTACTGGATGGTGCTGAAGGAGTCAACTAGTCTCTGACCTTGCAGAGTTTTAGTGAGAGACTAGAGATGAACAGACGCTTGCACTAAAGTTTTTTTTTTTATTTTTATACTTTAAGTTTTGGGGTACATGTGCACAACATGCAGGTTTGTTACATACGTATACATGTGCCATGTTGGTGTGCTGCACCCATTAACTCGTCGTTTAACATTAGGTATATCTCCTAATGCTATCCCTCCCCCCTCCCCCGACCCCACAACAGGCCCCGGTGTGTGATGTTCCCCTTCCTGTGTCCATGGCTTGCACTAAAGTTTTCTCCAGCTTCTGGCTCCATCTGGTTGGCCACTGACTCCCAGTGGAATACTGTGGGTGTTTCTCCTGGGAGGAAAGTCTCATCGACGGGCAGCAGTCCCTCTCTCTGCCTCCCTGCCTGTGGCTCCAGGGGGCCCCTCTCCATGCTGCTCTCTGCATACTCTCTGCCTGTGAATAGAGACAGAGTTCCCTGGGTCGGGAAGACCCCGTGGGAGGCAGTGTGGTGGGCAGAATAGAGACGGCCTGGAACTGGCCTACATTTCGGAATGAATGAGTCCAGCTTTGAGCCCAGGAGACCCAGGAACGTGAACTGCAGCTTGAACACTTGAAGACTGGCTGACTTACTCTGTGACAGGACACCTTGTTTCCACAGAGCAGGCTACTCTGCCGTCACTGAGGCCTCTTAGGCGCATCTGAGGCCGGCTGGGCAAGCGATTGAATGGGGATATTATCTTTGCGCGGGGGTGTCCCACCGGTGAACTCAGCCGTGGTATTCCTGACAGAGCCAGCCCTGATTTAGAACAGTGACCACCCAGTTGGGGGATTAAGACTTCGGGGAAATTTGTTTTCAGAGAGACTGTTTTGTGGGGCAGGGAGGATGGGGGGGCGGCGGCGTGGGAAGCCATGTCTCTGGTGAATAAGGCTCTGAGCTGGATAGTTCCAGTGCTCCGGGTCGCAGTGTCACACCACAACAATTGGGAAAATTGTTAGAACTGTAATTTTTAAACTTCTTATTAGTGGGAAAAGGGGGTTGTAAGTAGAGCCAAGCTGCCTGGACCCCTGCCTTTTTCCTAAGCCCTGGATCCCTGTCGATTCACCAGTGAGATTTCCATCCCATCGAGGCTGAATGTGATGCCGCTTGTCTCCGTTTTTTGCACCCCTCTGTGTCCCTGCCCAGTGCCACTCCCCAGCTCCTCATGCTGAGCCTCCTTGTCTCCCAGATCTGCCGGTCTGCCCTCTGCCACACTGCTGCCGTGCTGGGCTGGTCAAAGCTGAAAGCAGTATTTGCAGAGAAAGATGTGTGGAACATTCTTGGAGCCCTGGTAAGCCAGCAGCTTGCTCACTGTCTGCCCCTATGCGAGGGAGGGTGGCATCCCCAGCGGTCTAGGTCCTTTTCCTGCAGCTCTGGGGTTTGCAGCAGTAGTGGCAGCGGGCAGCAGCAACAGTTCAACGATGAGAGACTCATTAAGCACCTACTTTATGCTCAGCACCTAGATATGGTTCCTGCCCTCCCCTTGTTTCCTGTCTGAATTGGGGAGCTAGGCACACAAGTAGACAATCCCAGAATACTTTGGGAAAGGCAAAGGAGGGGTACCCAGCACAGTCTGGGAGTTGAAGGAAGGCTTCCTGGAGGAGGTGTCATCTTCAGAAGGAGAAATAGAAGGCAGGGTAACACTTAGGCAAAGGGACGGAATCAAGAGTGCAGGCCAAGGTGATGCTGTACACAGGGGTGTGGAGCAAAGCACTCACTCTGTTCCAGGGACTTTGCACACATTATCTGGTATGATTTGATCCTCACAACCATCCTGAGAAATAAGGGCAGAAGGGCCTGGTGTGTGGGGAGCTATTAATATAAGTGCCTTGGAATCATTAGAGCAGGGGCAGAAAAGGCAAATGCTTACAAGGCCATGTGGGAAACACTAACCAGAGGTCAGACTGGGTGGGCCCGGAGGAGAGATGTAGGCCCCAAGGCCCAGCACAGGCAGCCTCCTCAGCATGGCCAGAAACCACACACCGTTGTCACAGCACACATTTAGTGACACCAACTTTACTCTCCTAAAGTGAAATTCGTAAATAATATCCTCTACCTTTGCATATTTCCAAAATAAGTAATATAATGCCCTAACGCCAAAGGAGAAGTGAAAGTAATCTACAACAAAATAATCTGTGTGAATATATGGAACACAATACAGCATAACACAATATAATAATAGAAAATAAATACTATATGTAAATGCTTGGGCCAAGTTACTTTTTATTTATTTATTTATTTATTTGAGACAGAGTCTCACTCTGAAGCCCAGGTTGGAGTGCAGTGGTGCGATCTCAGATCACTGCAACCTCTGCCTCCCGGGTTCAAGCGATTCTCCTGTCTCAGGCTCCCGAGTAGCTGGGATTACAGGTGCTTGCCACCAGGCCCGGCTAATTTTTGTATTTTTAGTAGAGACGGGGTTTCTTTTTATTTTTGAGACGGAGTTTCATCATGTTGACCAGGCTGGTCTCAAACTCCTGACCTCAGGTGACCCGCCCACCTCAGCCTCCCAAAGGGCTGGGATTATAGGTATGAGCCACTACGCCCTGCCAGGGCCCAGTTACTTTAGAAGAAAATGATGTGCATGAATCCTTGCCCCTCTCCATAGAATCAATGTGAATGGATCTGCTACAAATGCAGAATGTTATAGGAGTTGGAGACTCATACCACAAGAAGGGTCACCGTTGGTGATGGGACTTCCAAAATGATTATATTAATAGCTCCCCCCACACCAGGGAAGTCTGATTAGACCAGAAAGTCTGATGACTTTCTGAACAAGATGAAGTATAGTCTTTGATGTCTATTGCAGATGCATTCCTAGAAAATCCAGTATGTAGTTGAACTGTGAAAAAGTTCTCTGTTATCTAAAAAAGCCAATTTCTAGGCATGGATTATTATAAGTAGGTTTTTGAGAGACATAAATGTGTAATGGGATATTAGAAATAGGTGTACCCCCACTCATCATTTTGAAAACCATAAACATCCCCCAGTTCCATAATTCCCTCCACACAGTACAGTCCCCAGTTGAGAACCCACCAATTGTTTCTAGGAAAGTGGCTCAGGGTTGTTAAGAGAAGCAGGAAATCGATGCCAGGTGCGGTGGCTCACGTCTGTGATCCCAGCACTTGGAGAGGCCAAGGTGGCTGGATCACCTGGGAACAGGAGTTTGAAACAGCCTGGCCAACATGGGGAAACCCTGACTCTACTAAAAATACAAAAATTATCCAGGCGAGGTGGTGGACGCCTGTAATCCCAGTTACTCGGGAGGCTGAGGCGGGAGAATCGCTTGAACCCAGGAGGCGGAGGTTGCAGTGAGCTGAGATCGCGCCACTGCACTACAGCCTGGGTGATAGAGCAAGACTCTGTCTCAAAAAAAAAAAAAAATTAAAAAAGAAAGCAGGAAATCCTGATTGGGGTGAAATTTCCCCCATTAATGTTGGCAAATAATTTAAAATGTAAAATGCTGCGTAGATCAAACAAAAAAAAATATCTTCAGGCTGGCTTTGCTCATGGACTGTCAGTGTGCAGTCCGGTCTGGGCAGGAGACACCAAGCAGGAAGCAGGAGGCTGGGCCACACTGTGCTGTGGAGGTTTGGGCCCAGTGAGGAGCAGGACTTGAGGCTGTAGGCAAGGGGAGTTGTTGAAGCGTTTTAAGCAAGTGGGTAGCATGGTTACAGAGCTGTGCATTTCACACAAATCACCCAAGCTACAGATCAGAGAAACATTCCCAAGGGACGGAATTGGAGCCTGTGCTGGAGAGTGTCTGGGGAGAAATGATGAAGTCAAGAAGACAAAGGCATGGGCGGGATTAGCTAGTTGTGGAGATTGATTTGATGTGAACTGTGGAAGTAAAAGTTGCCTCTTGGCTTCTGACATGGGTGAATGCTGGTGTCCTGGACTGAGGTCAGAAATACAGAGGGAGGAACAGGTGTGGAGGGGAAGGTGGTGGCTTGATTTTGGGCATGTTGAGCTTGTAAAATCTGTGAGAATGCTAGTACATCTATTCCATTGGAAGTTAGATATGTATCACTGAAGCTTGGAGAACAGGGCTGTGTTTGGTGAACGCTGAGCATACCATTGGGTGGTAGATGGAGATTGCAACCCTAAGCCCAGACATGCTCTCCTAAGGTAATTGTGTGGTGGGAGGAGTATATGAGTCAACACTGAGATTCCAGGAGACATCAGTTCCAAGGATCCCACAGAGGAGACTAGAAAAGGAAACCAGGCAGAAAGTCAAAGGAGGACAACAAGAGAGGAGAGTCATGGTCACCTAGGAAGGACCATGACCAGTTTCAGGAAGCAGTCAAGGGTACAAAAACCCAAGGGTTTCTCGGGTAACTTCAAAAGATGGGAGAGATGAGCAGGCAGGCTAGGCTCAGCCTCCCCACCTCCTTCAACCCAAGCAGCCCCACTTCTCCTTCTCTTTCTCCTTCTCCTTCTTTTTTTTGTAGAGACAGGGTCTTGCCATGTTGCCCAGGCTGGTCTCCAACTCCTGAGCTCAAGTGATCCTCCTGCCTTGGCTTTCCAAAGTGCTGGGATTACAGGCGTGGGCCACCACACCTGCCCCCCCACCCCTTCTGTTAGTTTGGGATATTGGGTTTCCAGTTAAGATTTCTTTTTGAAGAAAAGATCCTGTCAAAAGAAGTTGGGAAAAACCATGGATGTAGCCTTCTGTTTTAAGAACTTAGACTGCAGAGTGAAAGAGGAGAGTTAGGATCAGAGCTAGGAAGGAGATGCAGGAGATGGGGTTTGGGTTAGTGGTTGTTGCAAAGGGAAGGACACATCATCCTTTGAACCTTCAAGGATGGAAGTCTGATGAATGCAGAAGGGGCTGCATTCCTAGGCAGGCGATGGAGGATATGAAAACACGTAATTACATGCAGCACTGCTAGGCTCTGTTATTTTTATTTATTTATTTTAAATATTTTATTTTATTTTATTTTATTTATTTATTTATTTATTTATTTATTTATTTATTTATTTATTTATTTTTTGAGACGGAGTCTCGCTCTGTCGCCCAGGCCGGACTGCGGACTGCAGTGGCGCAATCTCGGCTCACTGCAACCTCCGCCTCCTGGGTTCAAGTGATTCTCCTTCCTCAGCCTCCTGAGTAGCTGGGTCTACAGGCACACACCACCACACCCGTCTAATTTTTTGTATTTTAGTAGACATGGGTTTCACCATGTTGCCCAGGCTGGTGTTGAACTCCTGAGTTCAGGCGAGCTGCCTGCCTTGGCCCTCCAAAAATGCTGGGATTACAGGTGTGAGCCACTGTACCCGGCCTATTTTAAGAACTTTAGATTCGGGGGTGTGGGTGCTGGCTTGTTACATTGGTATATTGTGTGATGCTGAGGTTTGTGCTTCTAATGTTCCCATCCCCAAGGAGTGAACATAGGCCATAGGTAGTTTTTCAACTCTTGCCCTGTTCCCTTCCTCCTCTTTTTTGGGATTCTCAGTGTTTATTGTTCCCATCTTTGTGTTGATGTGACTAAGGCTCTGCTTAAACAGAATGCTGTAGGCATGATCTTTTGCAACCTAAAGCATATGACTTTGAGATTGAAGATTTAAACTAAGATAGAAATAAACAGGATTTAAGCAACAGGGTTCACTCTATTGTTGGGAGTAGGAGAAAAAAATGTATGAGCCAAACAGTGGGGCCAACCTCTTATGAGTTTCATGCTCAAACTGCGTCAAGGCCAGGGAGTATGATCTCTGTGGCATGTTCAGTCCAGGAAGGCTTCATGAAAGAAAGAAGATTTCAGGAGCCGGGGTAGGAGGGGATGGAGAAGGAGACGGTTTTGACAGATTTTTGCCCTCAGGGGATGGCTCCAGTGTAATCTCAAAACTGTCTGAGGGTCCCTGCCATAATCTGACACCTTTTCTTACAGCTGGATCAGGAGACAAACAAAGCCCTCTGGTTTCTGAAGCAGTGTGTGGCTCTCTTCAAGAGCCCATAGGTTCCCATCCGCTGGGCAGCTGTGTGGTTTGCAGGTATGGCCTTTTGTCTTCTTGGAGCCACTGTGTCCTTGTTGTAGGGTCCCTTAAACAGACTGGGCACCCAGGACATGAGGACATACAGAACCCATGGGAATTATGTTGGGTGGTGGGACTGGAGGTGGGAGTGCCTACCTGTGCCTACCTGCTCCCTCCCCTGCAGGAAACTCCTGGTCGGGTTGGGTGGTAATCTTCCTACAGCAGAATGTGCCAAGTCCTACGAGCCAGCAGAGAGACAAAGGGTGGGGCATCCGGGGTCTGGGAGCTGCTCAGTGGGGGAAGTTCAGAGATAGGCGGGGGACTGCCTCAGATCACCCCAGGGAAGAGCTCTTCAGGGCAGAGGAAGATCCACTCCTTCACCCAGCCCTATTTGCTTAGAATCCTTCAGAGAAGCAAGGGACACAAGTTTGACTTTATGGGAAAAGTCCAAACCTGAGGCTGGTGGCCAAGGGAGGGAAAGACAGGAAAAAGGAGGGAATAGTGAGTGTCTGGGAAGGGGGCCAAGAGTACTTGCAGCCAGGGCCCCACTGATTCCTTGTGGGGCCTCTGAGGTGCTTTTGTGTGCTCCTGTAGGTCAGATTATCCAAACCCTAGACTTGGAAGAGATCGATGAAATTGAGGAGGCATACACAGGTGAGTGGCAGCCCAGTCGCCCCCTCCTTGCATCTTTTAGTGGCACCGGTGTTGGTGGGGAATGCTCAGAAGTTAGGAAAAGTGAGCGGATGGACTCACAAAAATGATCATCCAGACGTGTGAAAAGGCAGGCTCATCCCCAAGGTGCTTAGGTTTTGAGGTGCTGGTCAGAGCCCTCCTGCCCCATGTTCACTCACACCCTCACCACCACGGAGCCCATTCATCAGCCAGGAGGGTCCCTTGGGTTTCTTGTAGGAGAGACAGTTTTGGGCTCCCATGTGTGGTCGAGTCCCTGGCTGCAGCTCTTTTTGAAGTCAGAGAACTTCACACACAGCTATTCTATGGGAAAGAGAGGACGCAGGGCCAGGGAGGGGCAGTGGAGAGGAGTGAGTGGGTTGGTAATGGGTGTAGGGTCAGGAGCAGGTGGGCCTCGCATCTCCCTGTGCTCATGGCAGCTATGTGGTCTTGCTTGTAATGGAGCATTGTGGACTCCTAGAAGAAACTCTTGCTCATAGTTTAAAATCCACCAGTCCCGACCCCATTGCCCGGTACATGTCTGCACCACAGGGCCTAGGCCCTCCTACCCAGCCCACTAGGACTTTCTCTGTGTTTCAGCCCTACGGCACATGCAGAGAGACTCCAACCCCACGGTCAGCTGCCTCACCACGCAGACTTTCCATATCCTGGAAGCCAAGAAGAAGCTGCTACTGGCCAAGCCCCCAACCTCCTGCTTCTGCAGGAGGAGGCCCCAAAGGCACTACTTCTGAGCCTGCATCCTTGAGTCTCAGATGTAGGCCTGGCCATTAGACCCTGTGACAATGGGGCCAGATTCCTGGGTCCTGCACTAGAAATGGAGGTGTATCCCTGCAGAATCTTTGTAATAAAAGGAAAAAGTATGCACCTTTGTGAAAATAGCTATTATGTTGTCTTTCCAGTCAATTCTTGGCCTTCTGGGGTAGAGCCACTTGTAAGCCGCCTTCTTGCCTATGCACATCTGGGTTAGGCTGACCTCTCCCTGCTCTGCCCCTCTGTTCCCTTCTCCCATTCAGCCATGGGTCTGAGGCCAGAGCCAGCCATTTCTTTTGAACCAACTTCAACTATGAGCCGAGGGAGAAGTAATGTTGGCACACATGAGGTGTTCTAGAATGCAGTTGTAAGCAACAGAGTCCACTCCAGTTGGCTTAAGAAGGAAAGTGATTTATTAAAGGATTGTTAGTGAAAAACATCCCAGAAGATCAGAGAGTTTGGGTACCACAGAGCCAGGGACAGCGCTGCTCTATAGAAACACCACCATGGCTGGCCCTTGGCACAGCCCAAACCACACCCCAAGCATCAACACTCAGGCCTGGATACTTGCCCTGCAGTGCCCTGCCTCTGCCAGGGCAGTTTTGCTTTGTTACAAGCAATGATAAAAGATAGATCTTATTAAAAATCTATTAACCGGTCAAGTGCATTGGGATGAGACCCACTTTAAAGACTGTTCTGACACCCCCACAAGTCACCCCCTCACTTTGGTCAAGCATAAAATAATGAATACAAGGTAATGAATGCATGGAAAGTAATGGATTCTAGGGCCATCTCTGTCCCAGGATGATTTTGGCCAACTCTGTTGGCTTCTCTGGGCCTCAATTCTGTAGAATGTAAATTTATAAACAGAGAGTTGGAAAACATTATCTTTGTTTTTAAAACTCAACTTCAGAGGCTGAGGAAAAGATACCTTTAAGATGCCACCTAGTTCTGACAATTGAATGGCTCTTACCAAATTCTGAGAGGTGCCATTCCCTTGTGCCTGGGAAAGCTGCCCCATAGCTTATATCCTAAACGGGATTTTTCTTGACACTCTTGCTTTCCAAATTTTCTAAAGTAAGCAGATATTATTCATGTAATCTGGAAACAAAACAACACCCCACATTAAAAGAAGAAAAGAGTCTCTTAACCCAGTGTTCCTGTCCCCCACTGCACCCTGCAGGAGCCTTGGCATCCTCGAGAGACAGGGTGAACTACATTTGGAAAAATTACCTTGTGCTGCAAACTTTCTGGAGGGTGCAGGGAGGAGCGCAGTGGCAAGAAGGAACCAGATGGCTGGAGTCCACTCCAGGTCTGGCCCGTGACCAGTTCCCCAGTGGCCGGTCTCTGGGTCTTGCCCACACACCCTGCCCAGTCTGCAGCTGGCCATGCCCAGGTGTCACTTCCTGCAGTTCACAGTGGGCTCTTCTGTCCCACTGTCAGGCAGGATCCTATGCAAAATATGGACCTGTGGGGAGCGAGGGTGGGGCGGGGAGTGGCATGGGTGATGCCGGGTCAGCCAGCCAAAAACAACTGTCCGCAAGAAGCCACCCTGCTCCTGGGGCAGGAGGCTCTGTGCCTGCCAGCGGGGCTGGCATGTCAGGGCAACTCTGCCCACTTGTGTCTCCCTCCATGGC
Source organism: Homo sapiens (assembly GCF_000001405.40). Taxonomy (NCBI): domain Eukaryota; kingdom Metazoa; phylum Chordata; class Mammalia; order Primates; family Hominidae; genus Homo; species Homo sapiens. Next base: position 200,968,193 of record NC_000001.11, read on the forward strand.
TCAGGGTCCCTCTCTCACTCACCAAGGCCTTTCTGTTTGAGGACCAGAAGCCTCTCTAGAGGAAACCTTCCCCAGGAAGCTTCACCCTCCCACCCACGGTGACTTCTGCCTCCTACAGACTCCAGGAATTCCCTGGCCAGAGCACCTGTCACATCCATAAGTCTGGACAAACAGCAGGGGACCTGCGCAGGCTGAGGAAGCAATTTGGTTTTATATTTGGGAAACAAAGCAAAGAGAAACCCTATTATATTCCTGATACAAATATCAGGAAGTTAAGCTTTTTAATCAGTTGTGGCTGGTGATGAAGATGTGGATTCTCCCCGAGGGGCCTCTCTGCCCAGGGGATGGGCCGGAATCTCCAGGAGTTGGTGAAACAATTCATGGTTATCAAAAGGGAATATGGGTTCTTAAAGACTGAAAAGCACTGATCTAGGACAAAAATCATGGTGAGGCACAGTGACTCACGCTTGTAATCCCAGCACTTTGGGAGACTGAGATGGGAGGTAAGGCTTAAGCCCAGGAGTTCGAGACCAGCCTGGGAAACATAGTGAGATCCCATCTCTATTTAAAAAGAAAAGAAAAGACCTTTGTAGAGCTCTTTTCTTGTATGATCTTTTTATAGTCTTGCCTTCTTTCCATAAGTGGCAAGGGACCGAGATGCGTTTGGCGTGCACCACGCACAGCGTAGTCCAGGCCCTAGAGAGGTACGTGTTACGTTAGCAAAAGGCAAAGGCTGCTGTGGTTGGGGAGGTCTAGATGCAGATCCTGGCTCTGTCCTTACTAGCTGTGATCCTGGGAAAGTCACATCCATCCCGAGACCTTTCTCATTTCATAAAATGAGAATGTCACCTGTCACACAGGGCAGTGAAGACACAATGAAAAATGCTCTGAACAGTGCCTAGGATATAGCAGTTGGTCCACAAATGCTGCTGCCCACTCTTCCAGCAACTGCACCTGCCTCTGGAGACAACATATGGAGTCTGGAGGAGAATGTGACGCTCTCAAAGCTCTCTGCTTTCTAACTGGTGAAGCCCCAAACTCACAGCTCAGGAAGTTCTCATCAGGCTGGGCCCAGCCCCAGAGGCCTGCTGCACCCATTCACCCACCCACCCACCACCACCACCAACTCCCTCTCCAAAGGCCCCAGCCAAAAGTCAGCAGCCCCCTGGAAGGGGACAGGGGACACCTCCACAGACATTGGTCATTCAGGTTTTATTTATGACAACTTCTTAGAACACACACATCCAATCTAGGAACAGAAATGTACAACATGGGGCTTAAATAACTTTCATACACTATGTACAGCCATCGGCAGAGGTACAAAACATATATACACCTTGTGCTAGTCACATCATGGAGGACAGCAGGAGCCTAATGAAGCCTGCAGCCTGGGCAGGACATGATTGCTAGAAAAGAGTTGGTGGGCAGGGCAGGGCCCTGATTCATCTCAGGGGTCTTCTCTGATCCTCGGCTCTTTGTGGAGGAGTTTCTATTTCCTACTTCCCTGCAAGGCCCTCAGGACATGGTTCACAGGACTGAACTAGAGTGTGATAGGGGCTTCAAGATCATGAGTGCTGGGGATGGGGCAGGGGACAGAACAAAGGTATCAAAGAAGAAACAGAACTTTCCCTGCAAAATCTGTCCTTGCACACAAGAGGGCAGGGAAGGATCTGGGAGTCAGGAGAGGAGGGCCAGGCCCAGGAAGGCCTGTGGGGCATTGGCCACTGACCAGGAGGCTATGCCAAGCAAGGAGAGCAGCAAGCAGTTGCCTGTTTGGGATGGCAAAGGGACACATACCACAGGTCCGGGACACACAGTGGGAAGAAAGTCACTGCTCCTGCAGGGCAGGCTCTGCCCACACAAACACGATGGTGAACAGACCAGGCACAGGCAACAACCAGGGGATATGCCTGCTCCCAGCCCAGACCACATCGGGGGATGCCCCCCAGAGCTGAGAGCTAGCAGGGCAAAGAAGTGTTATGTTCCCTAACGTCACTGCAGCCACCTGCTGGTGTCTCCCTCCACCACATCAGGCACATGAGAAAGTCCCCGCAACCTTGTGTTTTCCCCATGTGGTTTTGTGCTTTAAACTGCCCTCTGCCCAGGCCACACATCCCCAGACAGGCAGCAGGGCTGGACAGCTGAGGGTGAAGAGATTCCTAGGCTGAATCCAGGGTGAGGCCACTCCCAGACCCACCGCTGTCCCTTCCCAAGGGGCTGAAGGTGGCACTCTGACCACCTCAAAGGCTTGGGTGTGCCAGGCTCCGCCTGTTAATCTTTCCTCCTTCCTTGGAAATCTCGCAAGGCAACTCCATGCGCTGCCTTTGAGAGTTCTGGCTGCTTCAGAAGAGTCCGCCACTCACGTGAAAGCAAATACTGAACTGACTGATAGTGAGGACAGGGCCCTGGCACAGGACTATGCTGAAGAGGCCCAAGGGCAGTGGGGATGGAAGACTCCTTCTATCCAGGGAACCCGCTCATAAGCTTCGAAAGCACAAAGTGGGGCTTGACCCAGGAGACTGGGAATCAGTCCAAGCTCTTCAGGCTCACTAGGGCTAGGACTCAGCCTGAACTCAGGCGTTTAGAGATTTGGGGTGCGGGGTTTAGAGAGCGCTTTACTCCTGGTCCCATGGCGTAAAGATGTGGCTGGGCCTGACAAGGCTCAGCCTCCAGTCTTAAGATGGGCACAGAAGGGCAAGAAGTAAGATGACGAGTCCCAGAATTAGGACAAGCCATGAGCCAAGGCCTGGTCTGAGCAAGGGCAGCCCCCTGTCCCAGACACAGGCACCCCCAATCTCACTTTGGACAGAGCCAACGTGGGGGGATCCTCCCGGGCCTGGGCCTGTCAAGTCTGCCTGCGGGACCCTGCCATTGTGCTCAAATCACAACCATTTTGTGCTTCCAACATTTAGGGTGCTTGTGCAGTGAGTGGAGCTGGGGGCCTGCCCCCTAACATGGACCTTGGACATCCCTGAAAGAGTGGGCAGAGAATCCAACTCTCATGAAGCACAACTCGGGGTGTCTCATGGATGTTGGGCTCAGGGCTCCTGAAGGACTTCAAGTTTAGAGAGTCAATGACACTTGCCAGGACAGCAGAGCTGGCCCCGCCGTGAGGTAGCTGACCCATCAGAAACAGCAGAAAATGGGCATGATGATGAGCACCTCTCGCAGGGCCATAAGATCACACTTCGTGCAAGAACACGCCTTGCAGCTACAGTGCAGTCACCCCAGGTGGGGCATCCCCGGCCCGGGGGTGGGAGCTCAAGGGGACAGAGTCTTACGTGTTTCTATCGCTTGTAAACAGTCATGCGGACGGATTCTTTCTTACAGGTTGCAAGGTCAAAACTTTCTGTTCAGGTTGGCGGGGAGGAGTGGGAAGAGATTTGTGGCCACATCTTAGAGCTAAGGGGGTTGCCCGGCACCCCCGGGGTGGCCAGAGGAAGAAGGATTTCCAGCCATTGCTGACAGACTGTTCAGGTCCCAGGAGACCAGCATCCAAGGGGGTCTCCTTCCTGCTATCAGCTGCCCCAGACTTCAATACCACATCCAGCAGGGCCAGCACCAGCAGGACAGCCGTCTTAGCCTCTGTGGCAGCTCCGAGGAGGGCACGGGGAAGGGACCAGGCCTCACTCAGCCTCCACTGGAGCCTGCCTCCCCCCAACACTGGGCGCCACATGGAGAGGGCTCCAAGTGCCCCAGCCCAAGACGGAGAGGAGCCAAGGGCAGAAACACAGAACCACCTCTGGAAAGTCCAAAAGTCACTGCGTCCTCTGAAGGGAGGTGGGGCTGGCTCTTGGCTCCCAGACTGAAGCGGGAAGCACAAGACCAGCGATGCAACGGAAAAACAGGGTGGGCAACTTTGGGTGGGGGTGGGGCGGGGGAGAGGGATGGAGCTCAGTCCCCCCCAAGGCCCACTCCTGTAATTCCAGAGTTCCCCCAACAGGGGGCGCCAGAACACTGATTTAACAATTTCCCCGGAGCTCCGCGTCCCCAGCCCCGGGGCAGAGAAACTCTGCCAACTCCCTCTTCCTTGATAATTTTCTGCAAGGGAGGGCCTGCGCTCCATGCCAGTTTTAAGGCCGAAAATGTGTCTCCTGAATAACCAGAGAGAGAGAAGCTGGAGAGACTCCCCGGCCCAGTGGGGGACTGCAGGGCTGGGGAGGGGCGGGGGTCAGGGTGCCGGGCTGTCCTCCCCATCCAAGCCACCTCCCAGCAGACACAGCCCCCATGCTGCTTCCTACGTGGCCCACGCAGGACTGTGGGGCAGAACCCCGGGGCCTGGGCTGTGGGGTGAGCGCCCCCGCCTTCCCGGGGGCGCTGGGCACAAGACCTCGCGAGTGAGAAGACACATGTGGTGCCGCGGGCATGGCTGGTGTAAGGCTGCCCGGCACGGGTGCCAGGCCCCGGAACGGAGGAAGGCACTGAGCGTCAGGCGGCCTAGAGGCCAGGGGTAGCTAGAAGACTCCCTGGGGGCTGTGTCGGGGACAGGCCTGAGCTGCAGAGTCGAAGGAGCAGTTCCCTCCTCTGCAAAGCAAACAGAGGAGGCGGCCCTGGAGGGCCGGGGCAGCGGACTCCCTTTGGGATTTCTGGCCCCCAAGAGCTGAGGGAAAGAATATAGGGGAAGAAACTTCAAGTCCGTTTCCAGGAGGCAACAGCAAAAAATAAAAATAACAAAATAATAAATAACTGAAGTATTTCTGACCATCTCCCCAAAGGAATCTTTCTAGCAGCTCCACCTTGGCCCCATCCAAAAGGGACCCCAGGGAACTGTTGGGGCCAGTTGGGGCTATCTGCGGGTTGCCAGAGGGTTAAGGGTTAGCTGCAAGGCCCAGCCGCCCACACCTGGTTTCCTTAGCTACCTGAGGACTTATCTTTTTGGGCTCAGAGGCAGGTGCAGTGGCTCTAGAGGCTGGGCTGGGAGAAGCGGGGAGGCCAGCTCCTCGGAAGGGTGGGATGGGGCCAGGCTGCTGCACCTCCCCACAGGGCTCCACCACTGGGCCAAAGGCCTGAGAAAGGGGCAGAGCCGGTTCAGCAGGAGACAATGTGGCCACGACTGCCAGGAGGGGAACAAGAAGGGATAATGCCCTTTGGCTTCACAGCTTAATTTCCTCCCCAGCCTCTCTCTCACCCAGAGGCTCCTGAGAGGCAGGGGAGGGATGAGGGAACAGTGTCCTGTGGGAAGGCCAAGGGAGAGGGAGGAGGGCAGGAGAGGGGGCCACGCCCTCTGTCCCCAGAGCAGCTGGCCCCATCGGCCGGGTCACAGCTTCCCTTCCATGGTGTCCAGGCTGCTGGGGTCGAGGGTCCGGGGGCATCCCTCTGACCTCACTCCTAGGGTGGGCCGCTGTGGGGTAACCGCCGGACACTCCAGAACTTCACCGTCAGGTCACTGGGGTGGAGGACAAAGTGGAGGGGTGCCGGTCAGCTCTTGCAGTGGGCTTGGCTGGCTGCCCCCAAAAGTAGAGGATGAACTGGATTCCCCAAACTCCCCAAATGTGGTTGGGGCTGGGAGGCAAGCATGGCTTACGGGGAGGTGGACTGCAGGTGGTGGGGTGCTGGGCAGATGGAGAGGCCTGTGCACTCAGAGGCCCCCAGGGGAGCTTTGTCATGGGTTTTCTTTTTTTGGGGGGGTGTTTCGTTTTGTCCAGGCCTGAAGGCTCCCCCTTCTGCTCCCTGGCACCCATCTCCTGGGGCCTGTCCCACTGTTCATGCTTGGAAAAGGACGGTGGGTGCAGGAGGGACAGGCAGGGCACCTCTCTAGGCCAGGCAGGACAGGAAGGGAAAGGAAGAAGAAGGAGTAAAATAATCTCATACCGTTAAGAAGCAGCTCAGATCGAAGTGGGGAAAGAGAGGGAAAAGGAAAGAGGGGAAGAATGAAAGAGGAGACAGGGAGAGTTGGGGAGGGTCAGGGCAGGGTGGTGGCGCGGCCCTTTATGGCCAGGACTCGGCGAGGAAGGCAGGGGGTGAGTCCAGGGACGTAATTCCACAACTTTACCCGGCAGTCACTGTGTGGGGAGAGAGGCGAGGACAGAGAGGAGAGGTGGGAGGAGATGGGAAGGGGAGGGGAGAGAAGGGACAAAGTCGGAACAAGAAAGAAAGCCATCTGAGTCGCACCCCATGGGACAGAGGGCCTGGCTGCTCCCCACACAGGGGGCCAGAGCGGGTGGGTGGGGTGTAAGAGGCGTGGTCTGGGGCTGGCAGGGCTGCTCTGTGCTCTGAGAGATACCTGCACGGGGGAAGACAGCCAGGGCAGGGGAGGGTAGGAAGGGCTTGGAGACAAGCGGGCGAGGCTTGGCCCAGGGCCCAGTACCTTCCTCCTCCCCTGCCTAGCGCAGTGCCCAGCACATGGTGGGCACTCACTGAAGGCTGGCACAGGCTAGGTATGCAAAGGAGGCCACCATGGAATCTGCTCTGTGAACCGAGCCTGCGGGGACAACTGCAGGGCCCTGAGCCTCCCAGCCTCCCCTGCCCACACCAGGAAGGAGATGAGGGAGCAGAGGCAGACCTCTCTGACCAGCACCCACCTGGAGGCTGTGAAGATATGCTTGGCATTGGTGCAGATGGCATTGATGGGACTGTCGTGGCCCTTGATCTCACCGATGGGTGTGAAGTTGTCCACGTTCCAGACCTTGATGACACCCGCACGGCAGGCGCTGAGCAGCATGGGGCGGCCCGGGATGAAGGCCAGGGCGCACACCCAGTCCTTGTGCGCATTGGGGATTTGCTGTGAGAGGATCAGGGCTGGTGAGGGCTGGGGGAGGTGATGAGGGAGAGAACCTGCCCCAGGGCCCCTCTTGCTAGTAGTGGAGCTACTTCCAGGCTCCCCTGGCCTCTAGAGCTGCCACACGGGCGGGTGACACTGGTTCCAGGAGCCATGCTGGGGTGGCCTGTGCTGTGGGCTTTAGGGGACCAGAGATGGGTCCCTCTGCTCTACTTCCCAGGTTCAAGCCTAAGATCCTGCCCTGGCAGAGAACCCTTCAGCCCTCACACGGGTCAGGCTAAAACACAAATGCTCCCAGGAAAGGAATTGGGTAACTGAGCTTCACATGCAAACCCAAGAGCTGAGAGCAAAGGCTTTGCTGAGAGCAGGTTGCCTAAGAGGGAGATGTGGCATCAGGAGAGGCCGCGGGTAGGGAAGAAGGGAGGATGGAGACAGAGGAGGAAGAGGGAGAACAGGAGGGCTTGGGGAGCTGTGAAAACCATCTGGCCTGGGGCCCGCGAGTCCAGGTCCCAGGGTCTCCAAGGCCCTGCGTGGGCTATGGAAACCACCCTACCCGAGTCTACCCTCTCCCTTTCCTCCTGACCCCACCTGGATGAGCTCCTGCTGGTCTAGGTCCCACTTCTTGATGCCGTTATCTCGGGAGCCACTGAACAGGATGTCTCCCTGGATGGCGAGACACTCGATGCCATCGTAGTGCGGGGGCTCGAAGTTGTGAGTGGGGCCGATGGTGCCCGTCACACACTCGCCCAGCTCGAACATCTGTGGGAGGAGGGGCCAGTAGGGAGAGGCCAAGTGGGAGGATGGAAGGCAGGGCCTACAGCACTGTGGACCCAGAGGCCTGAAGACCCAGGAGTCTGGCTAGGGTGACAGCCACTGCCCTCTGGGGAGAGGAGCTTCCCAGCAGGCGAGGGTTCCTGGAGGTGGGGCTGCTCCTTCTAAGGGACTGGGAACACGGAAGGTTCAGATCTTGACCCTTCCTGTGGATACTGGGGCAGGGGTGGGAGGAGACCAACTCAAGTAATGCAGGGGTGAATCAGCTCATCACGCCGAGACCCCACAGCTCAACAGGCAGCTGCTAAGGAGAAGGGTGGGTTTAGGGTGTGAGCCTCCCTCTAGAATTCTTTTGATTTTTACTAAATATTCACCATAATCCCACCACCCCTGAAAACCCTACTTCTTTCCAGTTTCTTTTTTGTTGGAGACTGAGTCTCACTCTGTTGCCCAGGCTGGAGTGCCGTGGTGCAAACTCGGCTCACTGCAACCTCTGCCTCCCGGGTTCAAGCGATTCTCCTCCCTCAACCTCCCAAGTAGCTGGGACTACAGGCGCCCGACACCATGCCTGGTTAATGTTTTGTATTTTTAGTAGAGACAGAGTTTCACCATGTTGGCCAGGCTGGTCTCAAACTCCTGACCTCAAGTGATCCTCCCACCTCAGCCTCCCAAAGTGCTAGGATTACAGATGTCAGCCACCACGCCTGGCCTGCTTCCTTTCAGTTTCTGACTGTGTATGGACAGTTTTCAATGGCATAATCAGAGAGCAAACAAATTAGTGTTTGTATACTTCATGTTTGGTTTGCTATTTATCATTTTAATAGCTGCAATGCATCCCATTTAGTGGATTTTCCATAATTTGATTGTTATTCTACCCTTCAACATTTAAGTTATTATGAATTTTTCACCAGTTACAAAATAATGCTGCAATCTATAACTTTCTGCACATAAATTCTTGCCTTCTTTGGGGTGATTTCTTCAGCAGACATCCCCAGAAGTCTTATAATTTTTCATGGGTACTCCCAGGGCAACAGAGGGCAAAGATTGGGGAGAGTGGAAGACCAGCCCCGACCCAGGCCTCATAGCTGAGGTACCTTAACGTAGTGGTCCTTGGAGCCAGTCACCACGAGGTCATGCTGGCTGGCCGTCTGGGTGACCGTCAGGCACATCACAGGGCCGATGTGGCCAGTCAGCTTGCCGACAGGCTGGAACCTGCAGTGGGAAGAGGCCCAGCCAGGGGTAGGTGAATTAGAGGGGACCCTGGGTTGGGGTGGGGTGTCTGCCCCAAAACAAATAGGCCTGGTCAGGGTACTCACCCTCCCCTCTCGCTCAAGGCAAGATCAAGAATCTAGACATGAGCTACCCTGCATCCCAGCAGTCTCACTGGAGAGGGCACAGGCCCAGCAGCATGGGGGGAATAAAGGTGTTGCTGAGGTCCTACCCACCCTGGGGTGGGTCCCCCTGAACCAAGACCTGGGGACCTTGCCTGGGAATGCCAAACCCTCCTCCCTCCCCAGGTATCACGCTGACCTGCTAAGCTCCCAGATGCGGACGGCATTGCCCGAGGCGGCGTACAGCATGGTGCCCGAAGGGCTGAGGGCGATCTGGTTGATCTGATGCTCGCCCTGAGCACTGGTGATGGCACGGGTGGATGTGGCGGCACAGGCATCCCCTGAGATCACCTGGCCCGAGGACCTGCCCATCGGAGAAAGGCAAGGCCAGAGGTCAAAACAATCCATGTGCACAGTGCAGGAAACCAATAAAACGTCACTAAGACCAGCCCAAATAACCTACTTCTTCCAGGAAGTCTTCCTTGACTGACAGAGAAGAGCAATAGCTTCTCCCATAAGTGAGACCCAGGGGAGAGCTCCACTCTAGTCCCCTATGAGTCAACTCCCCATGTGGCCTGCCCATGTGCCTGGTCACTGGCTTGGAAAGATGGTAAGGCTCAGTCATGAGAGTGGGTGTGAACATGGATCTTCCGGAAATCAACCTCTCTGAGTCTCGGTTTCCTCATCTGTTAAAAGAGGTGATTATATCCATTCTGTTTACTATTTTTTTTTTTTTTTCTGAATGGAGTTTCGCTCTTGTTGCCCAGGCTGGAGCGCAATGGCATGATCTCGGCTCACTGCAACCTCTGCCTCCCGGGTTCAAGCGATTCTCCTGCCTCACCCTCCCGAGTAGCTGGGATTATAGGCATGCGCCACCATCCCAAGCTGATTTTGTATTTTTAGTAGAGACGGGGTTTCTTCATATTGGTCGGGCTGGTCTCGAACTCCCGACCTCAGGTGATTTGCCTGCCTCAGCCTCCCAAAGTGCTGGGATTACAGGCGTGAGCCACTGCACCCAGCCTGTTTACATTTATTTATGTTTGTTTGTTTGTTTGAGATGGAGTTTCACTCTTGTTGCCCAGGCTGGAGTGCAATGGTGTGATCTCGGCTCACTGCAATCTCTGCCTCCCAGGTTCAAGCAATTCTCCTGCCTCAGCCTCCTGAGTAGCTGGGATTACAGGCATGCGCCACCATGCCTGGCTAATTTTGTATTTTTAGTAGAGACGGGGTTTCATCATGTTGGTTAGGCTGGTCTTGAACTACCGACCTCAGGTGATCTGCCCGCCTCGGCCTCACAAAGTGCTGCGATTACAGGTGTGAGCCACTGCGCCCAGCCTTGTTTACTTTTTTTTTTTAAGACTTTATTTTTTTTTTTAAGGCCAGTTTTAGGCTCACAAGAAAACTAAGCACAAGATAGAGATTTCTCACATGCCCCTGCTCCCACACAGGCACAGTCTCCCCCATTATCAACACCCCCCACCAGAAAGCTGCCTGTGTTTCGATTATGAACCCATGTTGACATATTGTTATTGCCCAAGTCCATAGTTTATGTTAGAGTTCACTCTTGGTGTTGCACATTCTAAGGGTTTGAACAAATGTATAATGGCATGCATCTACCATTACAGCATCATACAGAATAATTTTACTGCCCTAAAAACCCTCTGTTTACTTTATTCATTATTATTATTTTTTGAAACAGGGTCTTGCTCTGTCACCCAGATTGGAGTGCAGTGGCACAAACATGGCTCACTACAGTCTCGACCTCCTGGGCTCAAGCAACCCTCCCACCTCAGCCTCCTGAGTAGCTGGGACTACAGGCATGCACCACCATGCTCAGCTAACTAAAAATTTTTTTTTTGTAGAGACAGGGTCTCCCTGTGTTGCCCAGGCTGGTCTTGAACTCCTGGTCTCAAGTGATCCTCCTGCTTCAGCCTCCAAAATACCTAGGATTATAGGCATGAGCCACTGTGCCCAGCCTGTTTACTTCTTAAGGATCAAATTAATAGACTGTAGCTTACAGTGTTAATGTAAGGATGTAGCATGACTTCTGCTAAAAAAAACCACTTTATTTTGCAAGGCTCTTGGTCTCAGTTCTGCCTCCCCTGCCCTATGCCTGTGTGTCTGAGACTGTCGGGGCAGGGCTCAGGGCCATGACTGGGTGGTCGCCTACACAGGCAGTGGCCAGCATGGCTTTGGAGGCTCACCCTGTTTCCTAGCTCCTCTTTCAGACTCATAGGATGATATCTAACACACCTCAAGGGGCAGGGCTTGGGGGACTGGGCTGTGGGTGGAGGCCAGGCAGGCCAAAAATTCCTCTAGTGGTGCTGCCCCAGACACTGTCTCCCAAACCAAGAGATCTCACCTTGTACCCCAGGGTCAAGCCAAGTTCATAGGCTGGTAATGGTCTCTGTGCCCATGTAGCCGGGCTGTGCTGTGCTGAGTGGGTCACTTGGGCTGGGAGCATCTGTACCCAACACAGCCTGCTGCAGCCGACCACTGTGAGGCAGGCGGGGGTTACTCACGTGAGAGTCCGAATGCACTTGGCTGAGTCCCGGATGTCCCACACCTTGATGTAGGAGGTGGACACGGAGAACACAAGCCCCGAGTGGCTGCAGTACTTGATGGAGACCACGTTGTTGGGGTGGCCCTTTAGAGCTGCGATCTCCTGTCCCGTAACCAAGTTCCACATCTTGCAGCTTCGGTCTGTGAGAGATGGGAGGAAGCCACAGGGAGGGGAGGGATGTCAGCCACTAGGGGGCGCAGCTCCACCTCTGCAGGGGCTGCCCAGGATAGGGGAAAGGGATCCACAGGGCTCCAGAGGACGGAGCTCCAGGTCTGAAGAGGAAAAAAACACATACACATGTGCTCACTGGCATGTGTGTGCTAGTAAAAAACTCAGGGAAGAGAGAATTCCCTCAGAACTTCAGACCAGGGTTCCTCAAGCAAACTTTCCACTAACACCAGAGTTTTGTGAGCCATACTGCTAAGGTGTCCAGGGCTAAAATAAAATTCTTAAGCTTTTATGGTGCCTGTTCCTCCAAACACTAATTGCTGACAAAGCAAATGAACCAGTGCAAGCAAATGTTATGGGAAAACTTGGAATCAATCAATCACACCTAGATTGACAGCTATCCCCCTACTGCCGTGGAGAGCTATATTTATGCTTGTGTTATAGTATGCGTGTCTATTACAGACTAGTTCTTTCTGTCGGTAAAATGAATGAATGAAAGAGTAAATAAAGAATTTTGTATTTGCTTATTGAGATAGGGTCTTGCTCTGTTGCCCAGGCTGGAGTGTAATTGCACAAACACAGCTCACTGCAGCCTTGACCTCCCGGACTCAAACGATCCTCCCACCTCAGCCTCCTGAGTAGCTGGGGCTACAGGCACATGTCATTGTGACTAATTTTTTATTTTTTGTAGAGACAGGATCTCACTATTTGCCCACGCAGGTAGTCTCAAACTCCTGGGCTTAAGCAATTCTCTTGCCTCATGCTTCCAAAGTGCTGCAATTACAGGTATGAGCCACTGTGCCCAGCCTATCTGCTGGTAAAATGTTTGACTTTGTTGCTGTAATCAGGTGAGCGTGACTTTGTAAAGTGCTGCTGCTGAGATCATAGGGAGTGCCTAGATGTATGAGCTGGGGTGATGTTGGGCAGTGCAAGTACAGGTGGGGCACCCAAGAAGCTTCCTGAAGTTTCCCTGGAAGGTCTGGAAGGAAGTGCTGGATGGAGCCACCAGGTCAGGTATGAGGGAAGGCTTGGCCAAGGATGCATGGGATGGGGGCCTTGAGCCAAGGTAAGAAACAAGGGTAGTAAGCAAATAGACCCCATATCCTCAACTCCTGGGGGCTCTATGTTCTTTTCTCCTTCACAGACCACTCTGACAAAGGAAGCAGGGGTGAGTAGGAGACCCCAACCCTACCTGGCTAGTTGGCGTTCCACATACCTTTGGACCCTGTGAATAGCAACTCATCTGTGGCATCCAGGCAGAGGATGGGCTTGGTGTGGCCTTCGGCCATGGAGACACACTGCAGTGGGGCCGTCCGTGCACCCTTGGCTCCTCCAACCGGGGAGATGATGCCCCTTCCCGGGAGAGAGGGAGAGAAGGCATGCTCGTCAGCCAGGGAGACTGTGGCCAGGCTGATCAAGGCACGTGTGTGGGATGGGGACAGGGCAGGGAGGGGATGAGGACCAAATAACAGAGACTTTAAGGACTCCAGCCAAATTCCACCAAGGTCTGAGAGCCGGGAACGGGCTACACAGAGTGGAGATAGCCTGTCTTAATCAGCAATCATCAGTTGCCATCCTGAGCACTTCTGGGGAAGCAAACCCGGTGTTAGGCACAGCTAGAAGGTGCAGGAGGTGTGGGCTCTGTCCACAGAGAGTTCCTATCTGACAATGTCTGACCCAGATCCTGAGATGTGAATGCGCCCGGGTCCAGCTGGGCAGGGCAGAGGCCCAGGGGCTGGAACTGGGCCCTGTAGCTTCCACCAGAAGCTGCATGCTGCTTCAGTTAACCGAGTGTGAGGGAGGGGTGCTGAGAGGGAGGGTTGCTCAGGCCATCACCCCCATGCACCCTGATCCCAGTAAACCCTTCTGCTGGTAACTGCCTCTGAGGCTAGCATCTTCCAAGCAGAGAGCCATGTGTACACATACACACTCCTTTTGGACCAGCGGGGTCAAACTTGTGACTGGCATTTACGAAGGGCTAAATCCCTTTGGGGCTGGCTTGGCTTTGGGTAGGAGGTTTGGGGCTCTCTGGAATGGGGCTGTATGGACCTGGAACAACACCTCCTCGCTCCCATGATGCTAGGGGAGCGAGAAGGAGGCTGGCCCAAGTGAGCGTGAGGGTTTTGCCACATCCAGCTTCCTGAGGTTCTGAAGATGATTTTTTTCTCAGTGAGGGTCTTTTGGGATGAGACCCTGGCTGAGTCATGTCTGAAAATATATCCTAGCTTTGTTTCTTTTCCCAAGAGAAAGCTGCTCCTGACAGTGACTCTGGCCAAGGGTCTACTGAAATGATCAAGGTTTTGCCTGTGGCGCTTCTGGCACAGCTCCCCCCAGACTCTGCCAGGCCCACCCTTGAGGATGGTGGTCGGATACGTCCAGCTGCCAGCCAGGTGCCACACATGCACAAATAGCTCCCCAAGCTGCTCCAGCACCCTGCTTCTGACAATGGTTTGGCTTCACTGCATGGCCACAGAACTATGTCAAAGGGATCATGCTCCCCCCGATGACAGCCTGGCCAGCTGGCTAACATCTTGTGGTGGCAAAGCCTCATGATTCACAGTAAACCAGTTGTCGACACTCAGGGCTGGAGGCTCGAGGAGCTGAGACAGCCCACCAGGAGAGCCGAGGAAGCTCTCAGCCCACGAGGGGCCCTTGGCTTGTCAGGGGCTCGGGACCCCAGGTCCTGAGTCTTGCTCCTCGTTGTGCGGTGTCATGCTCGGCTGGCTGGGAGAACCAGCCTCCAGCCATCCCACAGGCTGCGGGAAGGGGAGGTACCCACACATCTGTGTGCTAACAGGTGTGGGCAAGGGGCGCTGCCCCCATGGTGCCCCTCCCCCCATGGTGCCCCTCCCAGAGCCAACGTCTGAAAAGCTCACCCCCAGCACAAGCTGAGGGAATCAAAGGACCCAGAGCACACCACCGGCACCCCCAAAAGGAGCAGCCTTCAGCATTTCCCCTGCCTTCCAGTCGTGGAGAACTCAGCCCCAGCCCAGCATCCCCTAGGCCTCCATGCTGCGCCCCTCCCTGCCCAGGTGAGGAGGGAGAAGAGAACAGGGCCTGCGACAAGCAACTGTGCACCCTCCCCAAGCCCCCAGCTCTAGCTGGCGCAGTCCAAGGCCTTGTGGCCACCCTGAGAGAGAGGAACCATGGGGGCAGGAACAGGTCTGGAGAGGGGGGCAGCAGGAAGGGGAGTGGAGGGGCCGCATGCTGAGGACACGGGTGTCAGGCGGGAGGGATGCAGCAAGAGACAGAGAAGAGAGGGTGCCGAGAGTGAGAGTGGGGAACCAAACACGAGAGACATTCTGTGTGTACCTCAGGACCTCCGACAAAGAGGAGTCGCTGTCATCAGACCTGGGGAGGGCAGAAAATTAGCTGGATTAGGGGGTGAGAGGAGACACACACAGAGGGACGCAGAGGCGGCAGCAGTGTGTGGGGTGGTCAGAGGGCAGGTTATTCTCTTCCAGCGGAGCAGAGACAGGCAGAGGAATGAGGGCCTCGGGAGAGCAGGGGAGGAGGTGGGTGGGCTGGTCTGGGAGCTGGGACTCTCCCCCAGGAGTGGGCTGCCAGGGTCTCTCGGCTGGCAAGGGAGGAGCGAGGAGGGGGCCACGGGGAGATGTGGGAGCACCAGCCCCACACATGGGGAGACGTTTCCAGGGCTGTTTGCTGGTTCCAAGCTCTCTGGCTGCCCCATCGCACAAGCTGGGGGCACCTGCCCCACCCCAGCAATGCTCATACCTGCCCAAGGCTGAAGGAAGCCATGCCTGATCCTACCCCTCCCTGGGAGCTGGCTTCTTCCAGCAATTCCTCAGGGGCTCACTTATTTACAAAGCCCACTATCCCTAGGGGGCCCACTGGGACAGTGCCTAGAAGTTGGCTGTGCACCATGCACAGGCTCCAAGACCTGGACCATTGGACAAGACCAAGGCCTCCAGAAGACCATCAGGCTGGGATGGGCACAGCCCTGCCCCAATCCTTCCAAAAAGGGGACCTGTTGATTGTAACAACATGGAGATGGGCTAGGAGTGATCCATGGCTCCCCCCACAGCAGCCTGAGCCAAGATAGGTTTGGGGAAGGAGGTGTCTGGGGTGCCAGGTCTGCAGGGCTCTGACTCCTGGGCTCAGCATTCATCAAGTAGTATTTTGACCCAGGAAGGGGCATTTCTGTGGAGAGGTGGGGAGGGTGGACATCAGGCACTAGGTACAAGGACAAGTATTTTCTAGTGTGAGACTCCCCTGAAGGCCACAGCACTGTCACCCCTGGGGCAGGGAAGCCTTCAGGGAGCTAAGAGAGGAGCCCTCTTGAGGGCTGCAGAGAGCAAAACAGGACCAGGGTGGGCCCAGCAATGCTGGGGAGCCCAGAGCAGCACATGGAGGATAGGGTCCTCCCCTTTCCTGAGGCACAGCAGGCAGGGGCTGGAAGTCCCAGGCTCTGGGTGCAATTCTGCCACTTTCTAGGTGAACATCCCTGGCTCCCTCTTTGAGCCTCATTTCCTCTTATGTGAAATAGGGAAGACAATTCTCGTGGTTGTTTCATAGCCTAATGAAATCACATATATGAAAGCAGGTTGTAAAGCACAGGGAGAAAGCCTGAATGCAGGGGAGGCTGTTAACATAAACCACACCATTAGGCAGTAGAGTCTTGCATCAGGAGCTGTGAATATAGGTGGACCTGAACCTGCCTGAGGAAGGCAATTTGGGGGTCTGGTCTCTTTCTGCTGGGAGAATGCACAGAGAGTGGAGTGGTTGAAGCTGAAGGAAGGGGCTTCAGAGCAGACTCAAAGCAGCAGCAGAGGTGGATTAAAGGGCAGCTCTGGAGAGCCCTCAGGCACCGGCCCCATGCGACCAGCCCACCTGACTGCCCGGCCCCAATCCCTGTGGCCTCCTTCTTGCCCTCTCCTGAGGTCCTGGCATTCTCAGGGGAGGAGAAGGGCCCATGGTTAGTACAGGAAGGAGAGAAATGCCAGGAGAGGGCATCAGGGCCTCAGCTCTTGGAGGGGCTGGAACTTCAGGCTGGGGTTGGCTTGGCCACCTGAGCCCTCCTCCAGCAAGGACCATCCACAGGCTCCCCATTGCCACCTCAGTGCCCTCCCCCACTTGCCCTCCAGCCCTGCTTACTTGTCCAGCGCTGACCCCTGGCTCTGATTACTGGTGAGACGAGAGAAGACATTGCGGTCATTGCGGGGCCGAGTGGGAGGGGATGATGGGGGTGTGAATCCCACATCTGTGGACCTGGTGAGTCGGGACAGAGGGCAGCCTGTTAGTGACCACCCCTGCCCACAGGCCCCTACTTGGTGCTGGGCTTCCACCTTCTGCCTTGTGAGGCCCGCAGGACAGGGTCTGCTGTGCAGTATTCTCAGAGCTCAACACCCAATGAAACTCCTGGATGCTGTCTTTAAACATCAATCCTCATCATTCACAGATTCCATATTTGGGAATTCACCTATTTATTAAAATGTATTTGTGGCCAGGTGCAGTGGCTCACATCTGTAATCTCAGTAAATTGAAAGGCCGAGGTGGGAGGATTGCTTGAACTTAGGAGTTTGAGACCAGCCTGGGCAACGTGGTGAGGCCTCAACTCTACAAAAAGTAAAAAAATTAGGCGGGCATGGTGGTGCATGCCTGTAGTCCCAGCTACTTGAGAGTCTAAGGTGGGAGGATCGCTTGAGCCTGGGAGGTGGAGATTGCAGTGAACCCTGATTGTGCCACTATACTCCAGCCTGGGTGATGAAGTAAGACCCTATCTCTAAAAAGAAAAAAATCCTCCTGCCTCCCAGCAAGGCAGGTGGCAAGAGGCCATCTTGAGCCCCTGCTTTCCCACTATTTAGCTGTGTGCCACCAAACCTCTTAATTAAGTGCATGGACCAGAAAACCCTGAAAGTCATCCTTCGATCTACAGAAGCTCTGTGGGCCTGGCCCACATGTGGGTGACCAGCTGGGGACTTCCCTGCCATTCTGCATTGATCTCTTTTTTCCTTTGAATTTCTTTCTTCTTTCTTTTCCTTCCTTCCTTCCTTTTCCCTCCCCCACTCCCCTCCCCTTCCCCCTCCCCTCCCCTCCCCTCCCCTCCCTTCCTTTCCCTTCCCTTCCCTTTTTTTTTTTTTCCTTTTCTTTTCTTTCTGAGACAGTGAGTCTCACACTGTCACCCAGGCTGGACTGCAATGGCGTGATCTCGGCCCACTGCAATCTCCACCTCCCAGGTTCATGCAATTCTCCTGCCTCAGCCTCCCAAGTAACTGGGATTACAGGTGCACACCACCACGCCCAGCCAATTTTTTTGTATTTCAGTAGAGACTGGGTTTCACTGTATTGCCCAGGCTGGTCTTGAACTCCTGAGCTCAGACAATCCACCTGCCTCAGCCTCCCAAAGTGCTAGGATTACTGGCGCCCGGCCTTTCCTTTAAATTTCTAATCTTCTCTCACACCATAAGGCCTTAAAAAGACCTGAAAGCTCCCCAGAACCTATGGTCATGAAAAGGGGCTGAAGCACATCAGTGCAATGACTAATCCAAGCCACTACAAAGCCACTTGTGTTGGGTGCACATCAGCAAACAGTTTCCAGCATCTGGCTCGGCTATGCAGTTTAAGGTGCGTTACAGAAATTACATTTCCTTTTTTTTTTCTTTTTTTTTTTTGAGACAGAGTCTCTCTCTGTTACCCAGGCTGCAGCGTAGTGGCACGATCTCAGCTCACTGCAATCTCTGCCTCCCAGGTTCGAACCATTCTAATGCCTCAGCCTCCCGAGTAGCTGGGAATACAGGCATGTGCCACTATGCCTGGCTAATTTTTATATTTTTAGTAGAGATGATGTTTCACCATATTGGCCAGGCTGGTCTCAAACTCCTGGGCTCAAGTGATCTGGCCATCTCAGCCTCCCAAAGTGCTGGGATTACAGGTGTGAGCCATCACGCCTGGCCCATTTCTTCAGTCCACACCTGACAGGGTGGGGAAGGGACCACTGGGTGAACCTGAATGGCTCAGTCAAGCTGGCCCAGGTTACACTGTGTACAAGATGATCAACAGAGCAGAACATCATAGCCACTCATGTAACCAAGAACTAGACTGGTGGTGACTCTGGAGCAGATTCTAGAACATGATCTCACCTAATGGGCTGCCCTCGGTCGTAGGACTTCCTTCTCGTCAGCGGGGACGTCTCTGTGGCTCGAGATTGCCTAGGGCTACAACAGAAGAGTCCAGTGAGGCCCAGACCCAACTCCACCTCCACTCCAACCCACATTCCTGCTCCCATCCTTACAAAGTGCTGCCCCGGGTAGGCAGACTGACGGTGCGCGAGACCCTGTCCCGGTAATAGGGGTCTCGGACAGAGAAGCCCACTCCGTCCTCTTTGATCTCAACGAGGGAGGCCAGGGACTTGGTGATGTTCTTGGTGGAGATATCCAGTGGGGGGCCCAGGCACTCAGCCGACACAGCTTTCATTTGGGCAGACAGTTTGGGCTCGCTCTGGGAAAAGAAGAACAGGGTGGATCAACTTGCCCAAATTGCATGGCACATAAAGGGGAGCCAGGGGAAATTCTATTTTTTTTTTTTTGAGACAGTGGTGCAAACATGGCTCACTGCAGCCTCAACTTCCTAGGCTCATGCGATCCCCTCACCTCAGCCTCCTCGAGCAGCTGAGACTACAGGCACGTGCCACCATAGCCGGATAATTAAAAATTTTTTTTCTGTAGAGATAGGGTCTCGCCATGTTGTCCAGGCTGGTCTTGAACTCCTGGGCTCACAAAATCCTCTTGCCTCAGACTCCCAAAGTGCTGGGATTACAGGCATGAGCCACCACACCCAGCCCGCCCGGAAATTCTAACAAGAGAAATGATGCCGTCTTGGCCTAAGGTAGAGGACCTGATGGAAGGACCCAGACAGACATCACCTGTGCTCCACAGCTAAACTCTTATGGTTTCTGGAGAATCCAGAGCAACTGAAATGGTTTCACGGCCCTTAGTTGGACTATGTAAACACAGAATGCCCAGCCTGACTTCTTTGCTGGTCACCAGCTAATCAGTTTACCTCAAAACTATGCATAATTTGCTATTCCCAGTCTGAAGCTTTTTCCCTCCTTGTCTCCTTAATAAACCCTGCATCTTGCTTCAGTCTAATGAAACTGATCCCTCATTATTAGGTAAACTTCCTTATTTTTGACTCCCATATGGTTGAATTGACTGTGTGCACGTAAGATAACCAGACATTTAGAGGTAGGTTTTGACTTAGAGTGTGAGGCAGAATCATGGGTGGGGGAAAGGGGATATTTTTGAAAGCAGGGCCCCTGGTTATGGTGCTGTTGCTAGCAGGGTGGCAACAGAGGCTAGCGGTGGCTCCAGCCACTTCTCCCACCTTCCACCCACCTCAGAAGGAATGGGCTGCAACAGGTTACATATCTGGACAACCCCCAATTCCAGACTAAATTTTCTTGGCACCTCCCTCCCAGCTGGGGACAACATTGTGTTGTGGCTGAGGGTGGAGCAGAGCCACAGTAAGCGGTGAACAGGCTGTGTGGAGGCTGGCCCTGCTGCACCCACTGCCTGACTTCCGGCGGGGCTCACCTTGAACTTGAAATCGTCATGGCTGGTGGAGCCTTTCATGGTGAATGACTGGGAGAAGCTGAGGAAGAAGCAGAGAGAGTTCAGGATCCTGAGGAGCCCCCAAATTCAGGCTCAGCCCTGGGACCTATGGCAACTCCTCCCACCAGCCCCAGGTACATGCTGTGAGCCAGCCTCTCACTCCCAGCTTGCAAACTCACCTGCCCTCAGAGAACTCTGAGATCTCCTCATCTGTGCTGGCGTAGCCATTCTCTGTGGGAGGGCGGGAGGGAGGGAAAGGGGTTGAGAAGCCCTGTCCAAGTGTCGGGGGAGGGATGATGGTCTCCCTCCTATATCTCACCCACTGGAATCAGACCAGGGCTCCTGGTGGGGGTTAGGGGTGGTTCTGGGGAAGTGAGGGCCTTGTGGGGGTCTGAGCCCAAGAGCACTGGAATGCCAAGGAGCTGGCAGCTTCCAACCGCCCCTACCCGTACCCTGCTGCACATTGTAGATGAGGGCCTGCAGCTCGGGGTGAGCTTCAGCCTTCTCACGCAGGGCGTCCAGGAGCAGATGGTTCTGGGAGGAGCCTGCCATATCCGTCTGCCTCAGTCGGCCCTCCAACAGCCGGATCTGGGCTTCCTTTTGTGCCACTTGCAGCCCCTGGGGGCAGGGAACAAAGCCTGGAGTTACCCCTCCTGGGGGTTGGGAGTCACCCATATCACACAACCTGCACCCCTCAAGACACCTTGGAGTGCTCCTTTCCAGCTCCCAACATCACCCTTGTACCTGGCACAGACCTGAGAGCACCGCCAGCCCCCTTAGCTCCCACATACACACATTAAGTGAAGGTCACCTTAGGACATACCCTATTATGGGCTAGGTTATGTCCCCCCAAAACTCATATTCATCTACAGCCAAGGAGAGAGGCCCCAGAAGAAACCAGCCCTGCCAACACCTTGACCTTGGACTTCCTGCCCTCTCTTGTTTGAGGCTCCCAGACTGGTACTTGGTTATGGCAGCCCTAGCAAACTCATAAAGTCCCCAGACACAAAGCGGAGCTGAGAGGAGCTCAGTGGGGCCCAGAGGAGGGGTCAGGCGGCAGAGTCTCCTGCCTCCTTCCAGAGTTACACAGATGCACACCATGTAGGGTCTGTCCCCAGAGACCACAGGCCCCAGGAGGGAAGGAGGCACATCCTCTGCTTAGCTCTCTGTCAAGGAGAGAGAAGAGGAGCCCAAGAAATGTCGAGGGACACCTGATGTTCTGGTGTAAACCCTCCTGGGTGGAATGTGGTCTGTCTGTAGTTCCCCTACCCCCACATACACACACTTCTCCCTCCACCTCCAGCAGACTCAAGCCTAGCACTGCTTTGGATAGGCTTGGGCCAGACACCCAGAGTCAACTTTAACAGAGGCCCTGTTGTGTGCCAGGTGCCAGGCCACGTCCCTTACACACAGCATCTCGTTAAAGCCATGCAACAAGCTACAAGCTTGGTATGGTCGTCCTCTCAGCTTTACAGCTGTGGCATGGGAGGTGCAGAGGTTAGGCGGCTTGTCCTAGCCTGTGAGTGACGCAGGTGAGGAGGCGCCAGGCCCCTGGGCTTCACACTAGGGTATATCACAGAGGCATCTGTGCCCATAGAGCCCCCTGCCCATGTACGCTCCCAGCTTACCTTGTCAATGGATGCCTTGAGGAAGTTGTCTAGCAGGAGGCGGGCTTCAGCCAGGGAGCAGGAGCTGATGACCACGGATGTGTCTGTGGAGTCCAGCTCCTCCTAGGACCGGGAGGCAGAGAGCCCCGTCACCTGGGGCTACCCCTGCCACCCATCTCTCCCGCCTCCGCCCCAGCAGGCCCAGCCCTGCGGATACCTTGGTCTCCTCCAGCTGCACGATGGTGGCCTGGCAGTCGGTGATGCCGTCATTGATGTAGTCAATGTTGGCTGCCAGCACCTCGATCTCCTCAGCCAGCTCCTGCAGCCCCTTCTCTTCCTCGGGGCTCTCAGCCTGCAGCCGCTCCCGCTTCCTCCGCAGTGCCTCCTGCAGGAGGAACAGCTCCTCCCTTTTCTGGGGTCAGAGGGGAGGGTGGTGATTGTGATGAAGGAGAGGCCTCAGGTAGCTGCCAAGCCCTGCCCATAGCTTCCACCACAGGCTGGCCTGTGAGGTCCCCCCAGCACCTCTGGATTCCAGAGCAGGCAAAAGGAGCAGAGGGAAGTGGGGCAGGGAAAGGTCTGAAGAGCCAGAGAAGTTGGAGGTGTCAGAGGACAGGCAGAGGGGTGGAATGGAAGAGAAGGGGGAGGCAGGGCTCACCTTGATGAGCCGCTCCATGTCAGCCTCCAGGTTGACAATGGTCATTCTCTGCATGACGATGTCAATGATCCGTCGCTCCAGGGACTGCCACTTGAGCCTTGCCGCCTTACTGAAGCTCTGGCTGGCCCCCTTCTTCTGGAACTTCTTTCTGGGAGACATAGGCAAAGGGGATTGGATGGGACTCCTTTTAACCTCTGCAGCTCCACTGAGCCCCCATCTGGAGCTGACAGCCACGGGGACCCGGAGCACTCCCCAGAGCTTCCCTCTTCCTCACCCTGGCCCTGCCCCATATTCCCACCCCCTCTGCCTGCACAGGCCAGGGGACTGCCAGTCCACCTTACCGGGCAGGACGGGTGCCATTGACAGTGGGCGCAGGATGGTCCCCCAAGAAGTGGTTGATTTTGCGGTTCCACTGGCGCACGATGCTGGAGACAGAGCGGGCCCCTGATTCAGCCTCAGATGAGGTAGTGCTGGCCGACACCTCAGCCCCAGAGTCCAGCATGGGTGGCTTTAGTCCTGCACGCCCTGCCACCCGCTCAGACATGGGCTTGGCCAGGCGCCTCAGTGCAGAAACCTGGGGCAGCAGGGAGAAAAGAGGGAGCCGGTGAGCAGGGTGGCCTGGAGCCACACAGAAGGGCCCAGGTTGGGGTGCCGGGCAGCAGGAACACAGAGGCTGCTCTGTGCTGGCCTGGGCTTGGGCTGCAAAAGGGCCAAGGGGTCTCTGTTTGATGTGACATGCACACAAAAGAGGCTGCCACCTTCTTTTTTTAACGCACAGCTCAGGCATTTGGGAACTGGCCTGCAGTCTGCCCTGCAGCCTGAGCTCTTGTTGAGAAAGGCCCTTCTAATAGGTTGGACACAATTTGGACACCAAATATGCTTGCTGAATGGAAGGAGGGAGAGCCAGGGCCACAGGCAGGGCTTGCTTCCCCTCCCTGCCGGCTCTGGCAGAACTGGGAAATACCGCCTTTATTCCACCGCCAGGAAGTTGGAGGCCCAAAAGAGAAGGCAAGCAATGCACACATGCACGCACACATGTGCAGCAGGGCCAGGGCCTCGCCAGCCCCTCGAGTGAGCTCACCTCCTGGGTCTTCCTCCTCAGGACCATCTCCTGCTGCCGCTTCTGGGACTCCAGAGCTCGGATCTGAAACTGTGGGAGACAGAAGAGGGCTGGGCTCCACACTCAGGCACCTTAGCCCTCTCTGTCTGTGTACAGGCTGGCTAGCCCTGTAGTTGAAAGCCTGGGCTTCAGGGTGATTCTCATGCAGCCAAACTCTTGATAAAGTGGGACCCAGGGTTGAGCTCCCCTCCCCAGAGGTTGCAGTGAAAACTGCTTTCTCCACAAGGGCAATTTCCTTAGCCTCTTCTTCCCTCCAGTGAGGAGGAATCCTGGAGCGGAGGGCTCAGCCCTACTGGGGCTTCTCTGCAGGGCCTGAAGCTGCACATTTCCAGCTTGCTGGTCACCTTGGGCAAGTTCCTTCCCCTCTCCAGGGCTCAAGTCCCTCCTCTTAACATGTGGGGGCTGGACCAGAAGCCACAGGGTCTCATCTTGCTCTGACAGGCTGTACTGTCCTCCAAGCATGACCATTACCACTTAGGACAGTGGAGACTGAGGCCCGCTTGGTCAGGAGGGGCAGCCAGGTGCACCAGGAGGCTGGGAGTGCTAGGGCCAAAGGCTCCTGGGAGGCTCAAGGGCCACCCCTCACCTCCTGTCGCCGCTGCTCCTTCTTGAGCTGTGCGATCTCCCGGTTCCTCTTGGTCTCCACTAGCCGCCGCCGCTGTTGCTCCTCACGCATCTGCTTCATCAGGGCCACCTGGGATGGGCAGAGATTATGGTGGTGAGACAGGGCTGGGAGGCAGGTGGCCCACACTCTCCAGGGAGGGGCCAGCTCTGAGGGCATGGGGCAGGGATAGTGGCTAGCCAGGCAACACTGGCTCAGGGCCTGGGGGTCTGAAGTGAGGGGTTCTACCTCCCACTCCTCCATAGGAGCTTAAGCCGCCTGGGCAAGCTGCCAAAAGGAGTGGCCTCACAGCCAGCCCAGCAGTGCAGGTGCCCCACTCTGCAGGGCCCAACTGTGGCCCTTGCTGCTTGGAATGCCACAGCCCCTGGTGGCCCTCACCCACAGCCACTGTCCTGTGTCTGGCCATTCCAGAAACAGTCTGGGTTGCTGGAGGCAGGTAATCCTCTCCCCTGCTGAAGGCTGAGCTGCAGACAGGGCTGAGGTGAAGATCAGGGCCCTCATGGCCAGGCTCACAGTGACAGCAATAAAAACCACCATTATTTACTGAGACCCAGCTGTATGCCAGGCACCCTCCTCATGACAATCATGAGAGAGGCATTATCGTTCCTGTTTTACAAACAAGGAAATGAGCCTCAGAGAGACAAAAGGACTTAAAGTCATAAAACTAGTAATGGATGGCCATATTCCGAAAACAAATCATCGCCTCCCAGTCAGCTCTTCCTGCAGCCCCAGGGATGGCTCCGTGGTAGGTCAGCAAAGCTAAGGACCAAGCACAGAGAACCTGGACCCCAGAGTTGTTGGAAATGTAGCCAAAGGCACAGAAAGCACCATTAGTGCGGCCGGAGGCGACCCAATGTGCTGGGAAGCCACTGACCTCGGGCCCTGCGGCATCTGCCTCCCTATTCCTGGTGCCCAGAACATAGAAGTGTAATGTACACAGGGCTTTGGACACCTTCCAAGTGACAGGGGCATAAGGAACACATGACAGTTGATCCTTCCTCTGGTCACCTTGGGCAAGTTCCTTCCCCTCTCCAGGGCTCAAGTCCCTCCTCTTAACATGTGGGGGCTGGACCAGAAGCCTCGAACATCACCAGGAATGTCATCAACCTGTCCTGCCCTCAAAACAGTCAAGAAAGGAAACAGGCCGAGCGCGGTGGCTCACACCTGTAATCCCAGCACTGGCACTTTGGAGGCTAAGGTGGAAGGAATGCTTGATTCTAGGAGTTCAAGATCAGCCTGGGCAACATAGTGAGACTCTGTCTCCAACAAAAATAATACAAAAACTAGCCCGGTGTGGTGGTGTGTGCCCATAGTCCCACCTACTCAGGAGGCTGAGGTAGGAGGATTACTTAAGCCCAGGAGGTTGAGGCTGCAATGAGCTGTGTTAGCGCCACTGCACTCCAGCCAGGGCAACAGAGCAAGACTCTGCCTTTAAAACAAAACAAAACAAAAAAAAAAAAAAAGAGAGAGAAAGAAAAACGAAATGGCATGAGGGAGTGGGCTAATGGCCAGCAGGGTCAGCTTCTTTCTGGGAGGGTGGGAGGGCAGGCAGGCTCTGTTGGGGTGAATCTGCAGAGAAGAGGAGGGATTGCTTGCTGCTGGGGCTTTGGGGTCCAGAATGAGTGTTCTCCCAAAGGACTGGAAGAACAAGTCAGACCCTCGGCTAAAAGTGGACCTGAAAACTCCAGCATCCCAGGAGCTGTGTGCAAACCCAAGGTGTCAGGTGTCTTCCGGGGTCAGGGGCTTAAGGCTTCCTGGGGAGGTGCTATGTCTTCCTGGTCAAAGACTCATCCACCCGACTTTGCATGTGTAGCCAAGCACCATGGTGGCTACCACAGAGGCAAAGGTCTCAGAACAGGTGAGCACATTCCAGGCACATGACAAGCGGAAACATGCCACGGTACCCGAGACCAGCATCACTTCGCAGGTTTAAGGTAGAAGGCATTGTGGCCTCTCCCTGGGAGACCCCGTGGCTGCAGGCCCCACCCCAGTTCCATTCTGTGAATCGCTGGGGCCCTGTAGCTGAACAGCCATGGGAGGATTCTGGGGCACTGGCTCTCACAGTGTCTGATTTGAATCCTCGGCTGCTGCACCTTCTGTCCCTCCAACAGAAAACCTAGGCCCCTCCTGGGATGACCCAAGGGTGTTCCTCTCTGCTTCTAGCTCTGGGTTCATAAGAACACTGTCAATGTGGACAGAGCCAGGCACGTGGCTGAAGGAGCTCAGCAATCCAGAGACTGAAACACAGGTCTACACATGAGCCTTCTGTCAGATGCATCTTGGCGTTACATTATTTGCCAGGCTTCAGAGCCATACAAGGATCTTCCCTCATGAGGCTCTCCAGGGCCTCCGCAGCTGAGATGTGAGCTGGCCAGGACACGATGGGGTACCCTGCAATGGCATCAGCTGGGAACTCCCAGGGAGACAGAGTGGGGACGCACATAAGCGCACCCCAGAAGCTGCAACAGCATGTGCAGGCCCCTGTTGGGAGTGCTGCTCCACCCCAGAGATAATGAAGGCCCACCAGCCCCTCCCTCTAAACCATCAGTGGGTGCAGGGGCCCTTGGGTGATCTGGGTACTTGAGTCCACACTTGAGTCTCAACACCCCACAGGGTGAACGCACTGAAGGAGATGGTGCAAACAGGGCTCCTTGGGGCCAGCCCAGGCCAAGCAGGTCTGAGCACAGCAAGGCAGGGACTTCTCCACTCTAGTCAGGTTGATGAAGCCTCCGGACCTGCAGCCCAGGCTTGGGCACAGAGCCTGCCCAGGTGAGGTGGCTGGGCCTCAATGACAGCTATGGGTCCACCACCTCTTCTCAGAATCTACATCAGCCACCACTGCATTGCCTCTCTCCTCTGCACATTGAGTCGGCTGTGAGCATGTAGCTACCAATGGCTGCTAGATGCCCCATCAGCCCCAGGCACTGGGGAGCTCCCCTTTCCTATGTCTCTGTCCCCAAGGCCAGCCCTTCACAGCTTACTGGGGCTGCCACCAGTGCCCAGGGCCTAGCCCAGGGCTGTGGGGATCTGGGCTCCACTGAGGGCTGAGGATCAGAGCAGGCAGGAATGTAGGACTTGGAAGGTCCAAGGGGAGGGAGGACTGAAAGGGAGCATGGATCTGCTGAGCCCCAGACAGGAGCCAGAACACACCAGACACTGGAAACACAAGACTTGAGCCCTGAAGTCAGAAGCACAGGGGCAGGCCCCAGGCCCCAGAGACTAGAGCACTCTGAGTGGTGGCAAAGTAGAAAAGGGAGGCATTGTGCCACCTGGAACACACAGTGGCTTGGGAGCCAGAGAACTGAGTTCAAATCCCAGTGCTACCTCTTGGAAGCTGGAATTAACTTCTCTGAGCCTCACTTTCTCATACATAAAAGAATAATAATAGACTTCTTTCAAGAGGTTCTTCTAAGGACTGAATGTGATCATGCGTGTGAGATGACTAGCCTGGAGCCTGGCCATAGTAAATGTTCAAACGATGGTAACTGTTACTATTATCACTCAGGGCCAGGTTGCACCAAATGAGAGGCCTCATGTGCACTTTGCGCAGACCCGAAGCGAGTATGCTGCAGCCTCCCCAACAGGAGGCAGCACCAAGTGGGGTCCCCTGAAATCCTCACCTGCCCTGAACACGACCCCTGTGCACCCCAGCATCCCCGCACACTGGCCCCACTACTGGGCAGGGTGTTTCACCTTGGACGATGCACTCAGCTAAGAGGACCGTGTCAAGGGCCAAGACAGGGTCAAACTAGGTTAATGCTGTGTGTTGAGAAGAGAATCCACACTTGACAGCAATGATTATTTTTACGATGGTGAGTGGATTCTAAGAAGATGTCACAGGCACTCCAGGCCCCACTCCTCACACCCTCGGCCCCTACCTTGGCCTTCTTCATCTCAGCCACCTCGGCCTGTAGCTTCTTCAGCTCCCTCTCGTAGCGCGACTGGTTCTTAAGCAGCCGGGCGTGCTCTTTCTGGGCGGCCTGCAGCTTCTGCAGGTCCCGGTTCATCTCCCGCAGCCTCTTCTCATAGTCTGCCTTGATCTTGTTGGCCTTCTCCTCAGTATAGCACTCCATGGTGCCTGAGAGCAAGGAGACGCAGCTGTCGGTGCTGGGTCCCTAAGGGCTCCCACTAAATACAGGGTCATCAAGGGGGAACGCAGGAACCCTCTGTTCCAGTCTCATTGTATGACCTTGGGCAAGTCACACCCCTCTCTGAGCCTGTTTCATCATTTGAATGAGGGGGTCAGACTAGTTGATGCCCAAGGCCCCTTCCTGCTCTGACATCCTATTGTAATGGGCAGGGGTGTTTTCATCTTAAGATCTCTGAACCCCTGGTCCCCAACTTCCCACGAGGGTCCTGTAACTCACTCATGCTGGCTGGGTTCTGACCCATGATCCAGTGTTGGAGGAAAGAGCTGGGGCCTGTGGGAAGGGGAAGAGTTTGCAAGAGAAGACAGAATGGTGTGGGCCAGGGCAGAAGGAATAAGCTGATTCTCCACTCTTGGCCTCTCCTACCAGAACTACCAACAGACATCTCCAACTTAACAGGTACAAAACCCAACTCCTCATTTCTACCCCTCTCCCATCTCAGTACACAGCATCACGCTCCTTCCAGAAGCTCACACCCTGAGGCATCCTTGGCTCCCCTCTCCCTCACATCTACCTCCCAGCAAGCAATCAACAAAGCCTTCTGGCTCAACCTGAAAAACATATCCAGAATCTGACTTCTCACCACCTCCTAAGCCACCTCTCCTGGGATCTTTAGAACAGTTTCCTAAGTGGTCTCCAGCTTCCACTTTCACTCCCCCATGCAGCAGCCAGAGTAGTCTTTTAAAAATGCTTTTAAATTTGGTATCACGTAGCTCTCTTGAAACTCCACACATCCCGTCTCCCTCAGAGTATAAGGCAATGTCCTTACAATGACATTTCTTCTCCGACCTGTCCCCTCTCACTGTGCTCTAACCATCCTGGTCCCCTTATCGTTCTGCCAAAATGCCAGGCACATGGCACCCTTATGGCCTTGGCATCTCCTGTTCCCTCTGTCTGGGACGCTCTTCCCCTGGTTGGTGCTGCTCTAGCACTATCAACTCCTTCAAGTCTTTGCTCAGTGAAGTCTTCACGACCATCCTTTAAAAAACTCCAATTCGGCCAGGCACGGTGGCTCATGCCTGTAATCCCAGCACTTTGGGAGGCCAAGGAAGGCGGATCACAAGGTCAGGAGTTCAAGACCAGCCTGGCCAATATAGTGAAACCCTGTCTCTACTAAAAATACAAAAATTAGCCGGGCGTGGTGGCGGGCGCTTGTAGTCCCAGCTACTCAGGAGGCTGAGGCAGGAGAATCGATTGAACCGGGGGTCAGAGGTTGCAGTTAGCCGAGATCACGCCACTGCACTCCAGCCTGGACAACAGAGAGAGATTTTTGATTTGTTTTGTCTCAAAACAAAACAAAACAAAACTCCAACTCACTCTTCAGTAGTTCCTGTTCCCCTTCCTGGCTATACTTATCACCATTTGACACACTATAGTTTCTGCTCTTTCGTTTATGTTTGTCTTTCCCCACTAGAATGTATGCTGCACGAGAGCAGGGATTCTGTCCACTCCAATATCTCTAGCACTAGAACAATGTCTGCTCTGTAAGACATATTCAACATGTGTTTGCTGAATAAGTAAATCAATGAATGAATAAAAAATGGAATGAATGGGCTGAAGAGCAGCATAATGAAGATAGAATGTAAGAACGGTTACAAACAGGTCCAAAGGAAAAGACCCAAGGAACTGAGTGCAGGAGGAAAGGCTGGGAGTGTCATGTTCGCGTGCCTAGGTATATAAAGAATTCTAATACATGACGTGATAGCAAAGAAAAAAAATCAATTTACAATGTTTCATAGGAACTAGGGTTAGACGTAAGAACCTTTAACTGTGGGTCAAAGGACCACAGTCAAAGGTTGGGAAGTCCCTTGCCTAGAAGGCCAGGATAACCCCAACACACCAGCTGCTTTTGACAGAGGAGGGGCTCAGGGAAAAGGGAGGGTCCGGATGGGGTGGAGGGGCATGGCGGTGGCCTCACTGAGGTTCTGCAGCACACGGTCGCGCTCCAGCTGTGTGTCTCGGATCTTGTTCTGCAGCAGAATCAGCTTTTCCTCATACTGGTGCTTGAGCGTCTGCAACCGCCGCTGGCTGTTCTCCAGCTCGTCGATCAGCTTCTGCTTGATTTCGATCTCACAAGTCAGGTCGGCCAGGTCCGCCTGGAAGTTCACCTCTATGGGGGCACAATCAGGCTCAGCCCAGCGTTAGGGCGAGGGGCAAATTGGGGAGCAGATGTGCCAGTGCTGGGGAGCTGGGACCCTCCTTTGGTCAGCCATGACCAATCAGTGACCAGAGACTGGGCAAAATGATAAATCCTAATGCAGGTAGAATGCGGCCAGAAGGAGGAACACATTTAAAGAGCAGTTCCAGAAAGGCAAGGTAGGGCTCAGGAGCTGGCAGGGGGGATCTACACGTCCTTCCCAGCCATTCGAGGCCAGCATCCACCTGTTCCAGATGACATGGGACCAGCTTCAGTGGAGGAGGGTGAGATGGCTGAGAGCAACTTACAGGGCTAGGGCCAGGGCTGGCAGCAGGCAGGGCTGAAGGGGCAGGCATCTCCATTTAGAGGAGAGGGCTTTGGCACCAGTCAGGCCTACATTCATGTTTGCTCTGCATGGACCACACTGGGGAAGGTCACTAAACCCCTGTGAGCTTGTTCCTCTGTGGTGATATAGGGAAGCTCACCACCCCTATGCATACAGTTGCAGTGAAGACTGAAAGAACCTAGCCGCTCAAAGGGTTAAGGTAAGCACAGTGCCTGGCACCTAATGAACGACCAGGAAGTGTTTGCCATCATTCTCATCATGACTGCCTGTTGTCATTGGTTTCACGTCTGGGAGTGCTGGGGCCTGGACACCATTATCTTTGAGCAGGGCCCGACCCCACACTTGGGCACTGGCAGCCAGGCATTGCATCCCCCACAGCCCACAGCTCAGGCCCACGCACCCTTCTCCTCGGGGTCTGAGTCTGAGTCCACCAGGCTCTCTTCACTGCCCGAGTCCTCATCTTCATCCTCGCGCCCTTCCTCCTCCTCACAGCCACTCTCGTCTCGCTCTTCCTCCTCCTGGGCACCAGGCACCATTGGGGTGGGCCTGGCCTCAGAGAGGGGAGCCCAGAAGCAGAGGTGCATCCCGACACAATGCCTCAGGTGTGTCAGGAGGGTGGGGATTGGGGCAGGCCACAGCTGAGCCCCCCTGCCCACCCCCTACTCCTGGAAGAGTGCCGCCTCCCCCAACACCACCGCAGAACCCCTCTAGGAGGGCCTCCCCACCTGCATCATCCGTTTGGGATGAGGTGGGGTCCTAGGGGATGGAGATCACCATGGTAACCAGTCAGAGATATAAGGAAGTACAAGGATCAACTGGATGCAGACCCAACCGCCTCCTTCACTCCATACAAGGATGCGGATGGGGCCCCCGCCAACCCCAGCAGGGACACAAGGCATGCATGTGGTGAGGTGGGGCGGCCCGTGCTCCTCACCTCCTCCGCCTCGTTCTCATCCGTCTCCTCGCTGTTCTCCTGTTGGAGT
Organism: Homo sapiens; assembly: GCF_000001405.40. Taxonomy (NCBI): domain Eukaryota; kingdom Metazoa; phylum Chordata; class Mammalia; order Primates; family Hominidae; genus Homo; species Homo sapiens. The sequence goes on from NC_000001.11 coordinate 200,999,932, forward strand.
TTTGCCCTCTTTTTGAAGGCTTCCTTCTCGGGGCTGCTCAGGGAGGACAGGGAAGCTGGATTAGGAAGGCTGCCCCTGCCCTGAGCACATGGGCAGGACGGCGGCAGCGGCAGAAAAGGAAGGCTCTCACCAGAGGCCGGGGAGAGCACTGGCTCCTACTCTGCAGAGAACCCCACTGCTCTTCCCTAGGGCCACCCAGAGCTGACCTTGGCTCAGCTCAGTCCTTCCTCTCCTTGGGGGAAAGCAGATGGCATAGGAGAACGTGGGGGAGGGAGGTTGCCCAAAAGGCTGAGCAAATCTGCGCCATGAATTCCCAAGCAATACTGAGGCAGCCCCTGGGGCTGGGGGCGTGGAGGTTCCCTCCTAAACACTGGTGGGCAGCAGTCCTCCTTGGGGACGGGCAGGGTCCACTGGGGCGGTCTGAGGGCTCTCAGGGGCGGGGACGACACTCCACTCACCTCTTCCTCCGCTGCCTGACCTCCTTCTTCTTTAGCCGCTCCAGGTCCTGCTTGGCCCTGCGGATCACCTCCGAGGCATCCTCCATGGAGCTGGCAGGGCTGCCCCCGAAGGCCGGGGCGGCTGGAGAAGCACCCAGGGAGTAGGGGCTCCTAGCCGAGGCCCGTGAGAGGCTGCGGCGCAGGGACTCGTTCATGGCTTCACTCTCTAGAAGCTTAGTCCTGCACAGGAAGAACGAGTGGACGGGGCCGAGTGAGCTGCCACAGCCCTTGGCGTCACCTGGCCGAGGCCCCCAGCCCGCGCACACCTGCCGGAGCTCACTCACTCACCGTAGCTCCTCGATCTCCCGGATGTAGTTCTGGATCAGCGCACCAATGGCCTCATTGCCATCGCCTGGAGTGGGACGGCGGGAAGAAGGGTGCGATAAAGAAGATAAATAGGCCAGCGCGGTGGCTCAGACCTATAATTCCAGCACTTTGGGAGGCCAAGGCGGGCGGATCACCTGAGGCTGGGAGTTCGAGACTAGCCTGACCAACATGGAGAAACCCCGTCTCTACTAAAAATACAAAATTAGCCGGGCGTGGTGGCGCATGCCTCTAATCCCAGCTACTCGGGACGCTGAGGCAGGAGAATCGCTTGAACCTGGGAGGTGGAGGTTGCGGTGAGCCAAGATCACACCATTGCACTCCAGCCTGGGCAACAAGAGCGAAACTCCGTCTCAGAAAAAAAAAAAAAAAAAAGATAAATAGCAGCAAGGGTCTTCAACACCACTGATACTACTGCTCTTATATCTGTGCCTCTAATAGGGCAGCTCATATGGGCCTTTTCCAAAAAGAAATCTATAGAAAAAATACTTTGCACAGAGGTATACAAGCACTGTTGGCAATAGCAAGAAACTGGAAACAACCTAAATGCCCATCACTAGAAGGCTACTATAATAAATTTATTCATCATTGTCACATATGGGACACCATGGCAGAAGATGAAGAGAAGTAGGTTTTTTTAAATTTTTATTTTTTGGTTAGAGCCAAGGTCTTGCTCTGTCGCCCAGGCTAGAGTCACAGCTGACTGCAGCCTCAGCCTCCCGGGCTCAGGCAATCCTTCCATCTCAGCCTCCCAAGTAACATGAACTACAGGCATGTGCCACCACATCTGGCTAATTTTTGTATTTTTTGTAGAGACTAGGCGTCCCTATGTTGCCCAGGCTGGTCTCAAACTCCTGGGTTCAAGTGATTCTCCTGCCGTGGCCTCCCAAAGTGCTGGGATTACAGGCGTGAACCAGAAGTAGGTTTAATATGGAAAGATTTATAAAACATAATGCTAAATGAAAAAGGGAAGTCTTAGAGCAATATATATAATCTCATACATAGAAAAAGTAGTCTATATCATACACACATTTAAGAATGTATATGAATACATATTCATACTTGAAACAAATACTGAGAAAGGTGTGGGAAAATACACACCAAGCTGCTCATAGAGGTTCCTTCTGAGAAGTAGAGAGGGCTTGGGGTGGAGGGTTCAGGGAGAGGCGATTTTAATCTTTCACTTCATATAGTGATGTATTGTTTGCATGTTGAACAAGAAGGATGTGTTCATGTATTACTTGTGCCATACAAAAATGTTTTAAAATCAAGTGAAAAAAAATGCATAAATGAGTTGAACTATGAATTGACTGGCTGGCTTAGTCCACCTGATACTCTGGGGTGGATGTCGGGGGAGGGAGTCCTAGCCCGTTGGTGCTCTGACCTGGCCTGGCACAGCCCAACTCACCGGCCTTGGCTAGCAGCAGGTTGGCCTCCTGGCTCATGAGCTGGGTGACGCGGTTGTTGATGGCATCGATGGCCTCCTGCATGGCTTTCACCCGCAGCCGCAGGGCCCCATTCTCCTTCTGTAGCATGGCATTCTCTCGGAACAGATCACTATAGCCCTCAGCGCCATCCTCTCCTATCACTCGCTTGCCCTGGGAGCAGGGGCAAAGGGGAGCAGTCAGGCAGCAGAGCTCGCGGTTGGGGGGGTAAGGGGCTGATGATGCCCCTCCCTCTGCCAGCGCCCTGGCCTTCCCCTGGATATGGCGCATCACCAGTCTCCCCTGCCCCAGGTTTCCTAAAACACAGCTACTGGCCCCCAGTGATCAAAAACCTTACACAGTTCTCCTTGACAATAAAAAGTCCAAATTTTGTAACCAGCCACTGAAGGCCTCTCACAATCTTACTTGACCTAACTTTCCACAGTGTATTTTCATATCTCCATAAAGTCTAGTCCAAGGGTCAAAACCCTCTCTGCCAGGCAGTTGGCATAAATGAGTCAGGCTGGTTGTAAGACAATAGGGAGTGGTAGAGACTGGAACTAAGAGAGTCCCAGACTCAGTCTAGAAGGGGCAGCCCCTATGCCTCTCCAGCCAACTTGGTACCATGAGTTGTTAGATCTTGAAAATTTTCTAGCAAAACTGAAACTCCCTGATTTTCAGAAAGGTTGACAACTACGTTGTATTCTTTTAAAACAAGTGCAAGCCAAACCTAAACTCATCCATGTGCCAGATTTGGGCCATGGGCTACCAATTGGTGACTTCTGTCTTAGTCACATAGAATTAGACATTTACCCCAAAGGACCCATTTTTTCCCACTCTGTTCCTTTGTGCATGGCTTGTTCTTTACCTAGAATGGCTGTCCCATCTCATTTTGCTGTTACCTCATTCATTCTTCAAAATCCATATAAAAGGCCCCTTTTTCCATGAGGCCCTCTCTGACCATCCATGCAAGTAAGGCCAACTCTCTCCTCTGCCCCTCTGCAGCACACTGGATACTCCTGTGGGCCCCTCTATCAACGATTCTGTGCCAGTCTAGCAGTCTTACCTGTTCCAACACAACACATTCAGCAGATATGAAAACACCCTGGAGAGTGTCTGCCCTGTGCACAAGATCTATGCAACAAAAGCTGGGGAGCCCTTCTTTCTTGGACTTAGTATTCTAAAATCTTGAGGGCTCAGACTATGCTTGATTCACATGGGTGAGTCCCTAATAGTAAGCAGCATGCCTGGCACACAACTGATGCTCAAGAGTCATGTCCAAAGTGGATGATGGTAATAGGGAGGTGGGAGGGATGCTGAGGAAGTTAGGGTGAGGCTGCAGGGCAGAGGGTGCATATGGAGCACTAGCTCCAAGGGGAGTGCTGGGCAATGCCCAGGAGCATGCTCACCGCCTTATACTCCATCAGCTCCATCTGCAGCCGAGCAATCTCAGCCCGCAGTGCACTGATTTGCTGGCTGGTCTTGTCCTGGTTCACTACCACCTTGTTCTTGATGTTGCGGGCCCGATTGGCATATTTGAGTGTGTTGAGGGTCTCCATGAAATCTCGGTCTGAGGGGCTCACACAGGCGATCATGATGGTCTGGCTGGGGGTGCAGAAAGGCTGTTGTGAGGGTGAGGGACACAGCCAGCCCCCAGAAGCATTGCCTCAGGGTAGAGGTCCTGCTCCCATCCCATTCCCCCACTACCTTAATGCCCAAAGCACGTGGGCATTCAGGACAGAACCTGGGATGTGGGGAGCTGGACCATCTGGCCAGGAGTTTTCACTGCAACAGCAGGTAACCATAGTAAAGGCAGCTACCAAGGCTGGGGAGGTGGTGATGCATAATTGCCAGAGTCCTTTGCTTGGTGATGAGGATGAGTTACAGCCCTGCATTTTCTAGCATTTCCCATCTATCATCTCGTCTGGGTCATATGACTTCCCTTAGAATGTCTCTCTCTGTTTTACTGATAAGGAAACTGAGTCTGGCCATAGCTGCCTGAAGGTCATAAAGCACCTCAAGGTTCCTACCTCCTAAACCTGCAGCCTAGGATGGGAAGGCCTCCTCCTCCTGGGGCAGGCTTGCGCCATACCCACACAGCACTATTTTCCAGGAACCTCCCTGCCTCCCCTGTCCCTTCCCTGGGTGTTGGTCACCAGATACCTGTTGCCCCCCAGCGAATCCTGGAGGAGCCGAGTGAGCTTGGAGTCCCTGTAGGGAACGTGCACCACCTTCTTGCTCTGGTCCCCTAAGGCGCTGATCACATTGCCCAAGGCCAGCTGTGGGAGACAGACCCTGGCACTCAGCAGTCACTCAGGGAGCGAAGGGTAGGGAGGGACAAGAAAATCCCCAACCCATCTGTACCTGCCTCTTTGGCCCCAGCAGCCCTCTTGCTCCTTGGGTGGGTTTATAGGCACATGGATAAGTTGGTGAAATGGGGAAGCTGGGGACAGGGGTGACGCCTGAGAGTGAAGGGCTAATTGGCAAGATGTCCAAGGAGGACTCAGCAGGTGTAGGACTGCAGGGCCTTGGAGGGGTCTGAGACTGAGCTGTGTGGGTGCTGGGGCTGATGACCCACCATGTGCCTACCAGGCCACAGTTGATGGAGATGCCCTCCTTGGCCCGCTCGCCAGTAGCCCCTGTCCGCTTCAGCCGCTCTGAGCCGGCCAGGTCCACAAAGTGAAACTTAGCAGTGAGTGTCTCATACTCACTCGAGGGAGGTGTACCATCAGGAAGCCCAGTCACCGCCTCATTCACCTGCAGCAGAAGTCAGCTCTGACTCACCCAGCCCTCGCCCACCTCACTGGCTCCCCTGATCACAGTACTGCCATCCGGGAGAGGCACGGTGGACGGCCAAGCGCCTTGCCCTTCGCACATGCAGAGCATCTGACAATGTGCACAGTATTTGCACAAGCCTGATTTCCATTTAATCCTCACAACACCACGATACAGAGATCATTAAGCCATTTTACAAATTGGGCAACAAGGCTCAAGAAAAATATAAAAATCAACAAATGGCAGAGGCCAGCCTCAATCTGGTTTGCTATTTCTGAATCTGTGGCTCCTCATCTTGCCCTTCCCGGGATACCCCTGCAGCAAGCTGGCTCCTGGGCCCCCTGCAGGCTCCTCACCAGGTCGGGCTGGGTGCACATGCGCATCTGGCACAGGTGGATGGTGAAGATGGCGTGGGAGCGTGAGCTCTGCACGTTCATCTGGGTGCTGGCTGTGGTGCGGGACAGGGCCCCCTGCTTCAGGCACTGGATCAGCTGGAAACAGAAGCAGAAGTGAGGGCTTGGGACTACCGTGGTGCCAGCCCCTGCCCTTTCAGGATGCCCTGGACCTGCTCCAGACCTCCAGCAGAGGCTCACCTCCTCCTGGGAGTGGATGAGGCGAGAAGTGACGCCAGTGGTGTAGATGCCACCGTTTGCGTCCTCGTGGATCTTGATGTTGGACCTGCGGTGGCGGGTGTCAGGGTCACGGGTGCTGTCAAACAGGTCAAGGATCTCCTCGTTGTAGAGCTGTGCAGGAAGGAAACAGCTGAATTCATAGGGCATTCACTGGGGCCCCAGGTGGCTGCCACATGCCTATAAACCATATCTGTTTTACAGATGTGGAAACTGAGGCTGTGGGTCCCCTCTGGGTTTTGAATCCCATGACCTTTCTGCAGGACAGGGGCAGGAGACAGCTGGGCCCTGGGCAGAACTAGCTGGAGGCTGCACACTGTTCCTCATTCCCTAAGGAACCAGCAGCCAGCAGCTCGGTCCCAGCATGGGCTGAGGACCAAAAGAGGACAAAGGGACACGGGTCCCAGATGTAGGAGATAAGGAAGATGTGGCCACAATTTGAGAAGATCCTGTCGTATTCCTGGACTTGGAAAGAGTAGATGGGGATGTGATTCCAGATGAGGCAGGGCAGAGACAGAGCTCAGTGGAGACCAGGGGAGCTGTGCCCTAGCCCTGACTGTCTCTGAGGTGACGACAAGCTCTCGAAGGGGAGGAACACGCCTGTGTGCCTTGCCCTATGCTTGGCAGCGGGTGGGCATGGAGAGCACGCCACTGTGGCCTAGTGTCCTGGAGAGGGCCTGGTGAGACCATCGTGGGGAGGGGGCCTGGCCAGGAGCAGTCACCCCATTTCAGGTGGTCTCAGCCAAGGAGATTCCTGTGTTTGGAACTGCTGGCATGGAAAGTGTCACCTGCTGAAGAGCTGGGATGTTCAACAGGCAGGGAACTAGGGCTGGGGAGTGGAATAAGGGATGGGGGCAGCTAGGGCAGCAGCCAAGAAAATGCTGTGGGACTAAGGGGGAGACTGCAGCCCTCTGACATCTGGGGCTTTGACAGCCCTAAAGGGACAGAAATACCCCACATGAATGGGGAAGAGGAGATGGAAAGGATGGTGCAGATGGGGGCCTACAATATCTGTCTGTCTGTCTGTGTTGGGGTAGACACACACTATCATTTGACCTCTTGTGGTTCACCCTATGGAACTGATTTTCTAGGAACCTGCTCTTCCGGGCTTCTCCATGGCAACAGGATAGGGAAGGGACAAAAACAAAGAGATGTGAGAGAGAAGCTTATTGAGATCACAAGCAGCAGGACACAGACACAGACACGAACACAGACACACACACAGAGACACCCACATAAAGACACAGAGATACACAGACACAGACACAGAGACACACAGACACACACACACACAGACACAGAGACACATAGACACACACACACAGAGACAGACACACACAGACACACACACACAGAGACAGACACACACAGACACACACACACAGACACCCACTCACAGACACAGAGATACACAGACACGGACACAGAGACACACAGACACACACACACACAGACACAGAGACACATAGACACACACACACACAGACACACACAGACACACACACACAGAGACAGACACACACAGACACACACACGCAGACACCCACACACAGACACAGAGATACACAGACACGGACACAGAGACACACAGACACACACACAGACACAGAGACACACAGACACACACACACACAGAGACAGACACACACAGACACACACACACAGAGACAGACACACACAGACACACACACGCAGACACCCACACACAGACACAGAGATACACAGACACGGACACAGAGACACACAGACACACACACAGACACAGAGACACATAGACACACACACACACACAGAGACAGAGACACACAGACACACACACGCAGACACCCACACACACAGAGATACACAGACACGGACACAGAGACACACAAACATACACACACACAGACACAGAGACACATAGACACACACACAGAGACAGACACAGACATACACACACAGAGACACACAGACACACACACAGACACCCACACACAAACACAGAGACACACACACAGACACACACATAGACACAGAGACACACACAGAGATACACACACACAGACACAGACAGGCACACACACACACACACAGACGCGCACACAGAGACACATAGACACACGCACAGACACACACAGACAGATGCGCACACAGACACATAGACACACATACACACACACACATACACAGATGCACTCACACAGATGCACACATACAAAGATGCGCACACAGACACATAGACACACACATAGACACACAAGACACAGAGCCACACACAGACATACAGACAGATGACACACACACACAGATACAAACACACAGTCATACACACATAGGCAGTCCATTTATCAGAAGCGAAAGTCCAGAGGGGCAAAGAAAACCTCCAAATTCTAAAATGCAGGATACCCTGCAGGGCAAGCCACCACCTGTGTGCCCAGGAGGGAGTAGCTGTGTTGTGGTAGGCAGGGGCTGGGGTTGGGGAAGGCCTGGAGAGGGCCAAAGCCACATGCTTCCCTCAGAAGGCAACCTGGACACAATCAGAGCAGCAGGGTTTATGGGATAAGTGCCCTTACTGAGTGGGGGCTCAGCATAGGCCCAATGGTCAAGAGCACAGAGACCCCCTGCTCCCCACTAAAAGCCCCTCCCTGGCTGCCACAGTCTGGGCCTGATATTCTCCCAGAGACAGGAAGGGCCAGGTGCACAGAAAGACCTTTCCTAGAGGACCTTTCTGCCCTGGGGTCAGAGAAGACTCAGGGGGCCAGGAAGCATCTGAGCCAGAAAGGGGCAGGATAGGATGCCCTGAGGCTGAGGGGGAACCCAGAGAAGGCCAGAAGGAAGGGAGAGAGCCAGGGTTCTCACAAAACCCTAAGGAAACAGGTACCACCCCATTTTGCAGATGAGGCTCAGTGTGGTAAATGACTAGCCCAAGGTCACAAGGCTAATCAGTGTCAGAGCTAGAACACGTCAGGGTGTGAAGGGATCATACAGTCATCAACTCAAGCTCCATCTGATGCAGGAACCCCTTTTGAGTGTCCCACCAAGTAGTCCTCCAGCCCTTGCTTGGATTCTTTCAATAGCAGGGAACTCATCACCTGGAGATGCCCCCATGGTTCCCAGGACTCATTCCACTGCACTGGAGGAAGGCCCGGCTTCCATGGTCCTGTTGTCCACCAAGCCTCCCACCTGCCCACCCTATGGGGCCACAGTACCTCCAGAAACTGGGCGCTGACTTTGAACTCAGGTCCAGCCACGCCCTGCTCCTGTGCCCGGCGCTTGCGCTCGGCAATGCCCCCAAAGAGGTGTGCGATGGCCCTCGGGATGATGCCCTGCTCCTCCTCCGACGTTGCCATGTCAAAGCCAGTGCCCATGGTGTACGTCTTCCCGGCCCCCGTCTGCATTGGCAAAGATAGGAGGGTGTAACCCTGCACCCTTTGGGGGCACCAGCAAGCCCTGTACCTGGGCCAAATCCCCTTAGCTCATCTACCTCCCAGCCCGGTTCCCCTGCTGCTTTCTTGGTCCTGAAGCCACACTCTGGGGAAATCACTGACAGCCCTCCCTCTGCTAACCAGCGGTGCAACGGCCTCCTTAGACAATAGACAAAACCCTGAGGCTATGTTTCAGCTGCTCTGAAGGTGGAGCTTTCTCTCCATTGGATGCAGGGAGACCAAGGCTGGAGCCGCCATAGGTGGGCGTGAAGATGGCTTACCTGCCCATAGGCCAGCACCGTGGCATTATAGCCCTCGAAGCAGCCCTCGATGAGCTTGCTCACACAGGTGGAATAGATCTGTTCTTGCCAGGTGTCCAGGTCGAAGACAAAGTCATAGGTGAAGGCCTTGTCCTTCCCCAGCAGGACCTGGGGCTCTCCCGGGGTAACAGAGGTACAGATGTGACAGCCCTCAATCTTCTCCTTCGACAGCTGGGGCCGGATCCTGCCCATGATGGAGAGAGCCCTGGGTCAGGCCCAGCTAGAAGGGGGCTGCCACAGGCCCCTCCCTCACACTGCCTGCCAAGCTGCCACTTCCCCCATGAGCCAGAGGAAAAGGAAGGAAGCTTAGGTGACCCCAGAGGACATGGGCAACTTTTGTAATACAATAGTAATAACAGTATCAACATCATCAAAACAGCAGTTGTTAACATTTATTGAGCATTCAGTATATATCAGATCTGTGTTCAGAGTACTTTCCTTAAATTAATTCACGCATTCTTCACTATAAACTTGTGAGGTACCTATTATTTGCCTAATTTTACAGATGAGAAAACTGAAGCTGAGAGAGTTTAAATGACCCTGCCCAAGGGTGTATAATGGAAAGTGATGGCGCCATGTCCAGGTCTGTCTGACATAAAAGCACGTACTCCTGATTGGACCAGAAGCCCTAGAAATCAGCATCTCGTCAGGGGAGAGAAGGCGGCTTGTCCACTGCTGGGGAGGCAAAGCACAGGGCCAGGGCGGGGAAGAGAAGGAACTGGATGCTCCCACAGCTCTGGGCCACATTCCCAGAGCCAGGACTAAGTTCTAGAGGAGGCCAGAGCCTCTGCCAATGCCCATGGGGGCTGCAAGCAGGAGGCCGGGAGCTCCCCTCCCTGACGCCAGACCAGGAGCCCCCTTCCCAGATGCCAGAGCCTGGTAGACATTCTCAGGCTGGAGCTCTGCTTCCTTTCCAGGAGTTGGGCGGGGGAGGGCAGACCTGCATAGCTGGGGCTGACCAGGTCAAGTCCCAAGTTCCCTTGTGAAGGGCAGGGACCTCTAGAAAGGACGCCAGGCCAGCCTGGGGTGCGCTCCCAACCCAGATTCTGGCAGGCTTCCCTGTAAAGAGGAAGAAAAGCGGCATCAGGACTGAGAAGCCAGCCATGGACACAACTATCTCCATCCAGCCACCCCTTCCTTTCTCTCCCAAGCAGCCATCACCACGACATGGTTCCCATGGCAACCAAGCAGGAGTCAGCAAGCATGCGTGTACAGGGATTGGCGGAAAGCACCACCCCCACCCCAACTCCCTAAAGTAAAAGGGGCTGGGGGTTAGGCTCTCATGCCCATGGGCTCACACAAGCCAGCCCATCAGCAGGCACTTACAATGAGCTGCTTGTCAGGCCTCCTCTCCCTAAGCCAACACTCACCAAGAGAAGAAACAATGCCAGGGGCCAGGCCAGCACCCATCCTGGGCCCAGAGGCGCCTGGTCACAGAGTCTAGGGCCTCCAAGTCGCCACCCTGTCTCTGTCCCCAGCTGCCCCAGCCCCCAAGGCCCACTCAGAGCTGTAGGCTGGGAAAGGTGCTCACCTGAGCCTATTGCCTGCACTTCCACGGCAAGGGAGTTAAAGGGGAGTTAAAGGGGACTGGGGAGGTGGGGAAAGCCCAGCGGGGAGGGGTTGGGGGTGAGCAACACCAGGCTCAGTTCCTACCCACAGATGGGAGTCTGGGCCTTCTTCAGAAGTGTTTCCGGGGTGTGAACAGGTTCTTATAGGTCAGTGGTTCTCCCCTAAAAGGGATGGAAGCCCAAAGGAGGTCACCACATTTATCCAGCTGTCTCGCCCAAATTGGAATGGCAGCCCAGCTTCTTCGTCTCCCAACTGAATTGGCTTCTGCCTGGGAAGAGAATGGCTGATTCTTGCTCATCCTTCTGGACCTCCAGACCAGAAACTTGAGTCTCCAGTAAGAGCTCAGGGTCAGCAAGGCTCCTACCTCTACTTCTACCTCTACTGCTAATAAGGGCAGCAGACATGCACTGAGCACTCACTCTATGCCAGGCAGCATCTAAACACTACCATGGATTAACTCTTGGTCCTCACAACACTGGGAGGTGACGATTATGACCCTCGTGTATGGATGAAGAAGCTGAGATGGCACACAGCCAGAGTCACAGGTCACAGACAGTCAGGAGCAGAGCCAGGGCTTGAACCTATGCAGTCTGCATGCACTGCCCTTTCAATGGTCTTATGCTACACCGTCTCTAAAGACCAGGGTTCAGAGTGCCAGGGGGAAAGAACATCTCATATATGCAGGGAGAGAGAGCAAGAGCAACCTTAGAAGGAGGAGCGTGGCATTGCACACAGGTACTGAACAGGAAACTGTCTTTTAGACCTGGCTCTGCCCCTGGGCTCTTGGGACCCAAGGCTAAGCACTTCCTCTCAGAGCATCCAGGTATTCCTAGGTAAACCAAGTGCCTGGCCTGGGCAGCCTCTGAGGACCCTCCAGCTCTGCTGGCTAGCACCAGTTCCTGAAGACAGCTTCCCTACCACGTGGCTGCCTGAAGTGGGATTTCTGGATTCAGTTCAAATACCATTTAATTACTGTAGGCAGATGGCAATGCTGATGATTGGAGAAAATCGAATCATCATCCCTGGAGACAGTGGAGCAGGGGAGGGGGAGCAACAGCCCTGCTTGTCAGAGCCCTTCAATGAGAGGGGCAGCTTCTGCTTCAGCAATCAGCCCCCGGACCACCTGGGGAGCCTGCCTTCCAGGATCAAGACAGTGGGCAGAACAGTCTGGGGGAGAGGATATAGAGGAGGAGACCCCAGGGTTTTAGGGTCCAGGAGTTGCGTGGTCAGTTGGGCATTCACCCTGGGGCCCTTTTTTGGCCCAACACATCCTGAGATGAGGGTCTTTGTGGTCAGAAAGAGACGTCCAGCCCAATGCTGGTCCACTCTTAGCACCAGACTGCTTTGCCAGGGTGCAGGTGAGCATGCCTGAGCAGTGTCACCCAGAGAAACTGATACTGGCTGGGAGACAGGGGGGCATGGACCCTGGTTGAGTCACCAATTCCCCAAGCAACTTACCTGGAAGAGGGAGAGACTGTTGGACTGACTGAATGAATAAATGGAAATGGAAGCAAAGGAAAGCTAAGATGTCAGGGACGCTCTCCATGTGCTAGCGCTGGCTCAGGCACCTCCACAGGTTACCTTGCTTAAGTGATGCTATGACCTAGGGATTTAAATCCCCATTCTTCAGCAAGGAAGGTTGAGGCTTGAAGTGGTTAAGCCACACACACAGTAAATACAGTGAAGTTGGGTATCAACTCCTGATCTGGCTGACTGAATGCCCTTCCATTCCTCAAGCTGCTTTCTGTCAGAAAACTCTATGTATGTATGTATGTATGTATGTTTTTGAGACAAAGTCTCACCTTGTTGCCCCAGGGTGGAATCCAGTGGTGCAATCATGGCTCAATGCAGCCTCAGCCTCCTGGACTCAGGTGATCCTCCCACCTCAGCCTCCCAAGTAGCTGGGACAACAGGCACGCACCATCATGCCCATCTAATTTTTATATTTTTTGTAGAGACAACGTTTTGCCATGTTGCCCAGGCCTGTCTCGAACTCCTGAGCTCAAGCGATTCTCCCACCTCGGCCTCCCAAAATGGCATTATAGGTGTGAGCTACCACGCCCAGCTGAAAACTCTTAATCCTAAAATCACTAAATAAAATTCATCCCACACCACCTCCATCAGAGCCATGGGGGCTCTCTAGAAGGAGTCCTGCATGTCTGTTCACATATGCTCAGGGCTGGGCATCAGGCTTGCCCTGCCTTTGAGGGCTCACAGTTTGGCGGTGGCAGACACTGTCTCAGTCATCCTGGGCTCACTCTTTACCACACCCTGCCTAGTGGCAAATTCAAACTGACGCCCCACAGGTAGGAGACAAGAGGGCTGGGAGACATGAGACCAGGGTCCTTGCCAAGCCTCTGCCCTGGCTCTCTTGTGGTTTACGAGCCACTGCTTCCTTCTAGGTTACCTAGAAGGTCTGTTCCTGCTTTCAACTTTCTAAGAACTCCATTGCCCATCCCTCCAGCAGCCTCTTCTCCCGGCCCCACCCTTGGTGAGGTCACTTCTGTGGGCTGCCCTCAAAGTGACAGTGGCCTACTTGGCCCCAGATAAGCAGAAGGAAGAAGCAGTGTGGCAAGGATGGGCACCATCTAACAGTCCTTTTCCTCCCTGGGGGCATGGGAGGGGGGTCAAGGATCTCTAAGGTCTTCCTTTTTAAAACGTTTTTGCAGAGACAGGGTCTCACTATGTTGCCCAGGCTTGTCTCAAACTCCTGGGCTTAAGTGATCCTCCTGCCTTGGCCTCACAAAGTGCTGGGATTACAGGCATGAGCCACTGCATGTGGCCTCTAGGGTCTTCCAACTAAAATACAGGTCCTAGAGGCTGTGGACCAGAGCCAGGACTAGGGTGAGGCATTGACCCTCAGTACAAAATTTAAGGAGGCAAGGAAAAACCTCAGTAATCAAGATAAATTACAACTTAGTGCAATATTTTAAAAGTCAAATTAGCAAATTGTGGCCCACGGGCCAGCTGCCTGTTTCTGTCAGTAAAGTTTTGCGGCCCAAACATCTAGTGTCATTTCTGTCCAGGGTACCTGGAGGTCATCTCACTCCAGGCCCCACCCCTCCAATCTTCCGTCCATCCCTTCTCAAGGTTCTGCCAGGAGGGAGGGCCGGCTGGACAGCCCCACTCAGAAAGGCCCCCGGAATCTCCCAGAACAGAGCCGGGCCTATTTGCCACTTGGCAACCCGGAGGCTGAGCGGCGGGTAGAGCGGGCGCGAGAGCGAGGAGAAAGGGCCCGGAGCTTTTCAGAGTCAGGATCTGGCACAGGCAGCGAAGTTGCTGAGCTTCCTCTGTTCACAATTGAGCAGGAGCGGGTGTGATGTGGGAAGCCGTCCTCCACCCCCGGAGAAACGCGCACGCGGAGGCCAGGGACATGCGGGCGGCTGGGGAGCCCCTATCCTCCCAGGCTGACCCCACCCCCTGCCCCTGACCCGCTGGGTGCCTGCGGTGGCAGCGGGACAAAGGCTGCGAGCCTGGAGCACAGAGCTGCAGGAAGAGCTGAGCTCAGCGGATCCTCGGCTCTTAGGGGAGCCAGGAGGACAGGGCGGAAGGGGAGGACAGAGGAGACAGGGAGGAGGCAGCCCAGGGGTATGCTGAGAGACTGCCAAGGAGAGAAAACTGCAAAGGGTACCGACTGGGCACATCTGGGCACGTGCTGGGAGCCCGCACCCTCTCCCGCGGGCTTAGGAGGGGGAGGATGGCCCTAGCCGGGCCTCATCCCCAACCTGGTCCTTAATGACATCACACAAAGCCCACCAATCAGCCCTCCCAGGAGCTCTGCCCAGTGACCTTGGACTCCTAGGGGTTGGCTCAGCTTCTTAGGTGAAGTCAGTCCCACCCAATCAGCTGGCTAGGGTCCCTCCCTTAGTTCCTAACTAAGCTGCCTCCAAATCTTTACACTGAGGTCCCCATTGGTGCAGTCCCAGGCTCTTTCCACTTGAAGGGTCTGTCTTCTCACTGACGAGAGGTCACAGGCTATGGTATTAAAACAGCTAACCAGAATCCAAGAATTTCTTACAAATATGGTGCATGATCTGTGATTCCTGATGCCTTTTCCTTGCTAGTAATGGTAACACCATCACACTTGGCTTACTAAACTTCCTCAATTAGTCACCACCAACACATTTATAGAGCCAAGACTGCCTCTCATAGACACTATCTAGGGTGCTTTGCACATGTTAGGTCATTACATTATATCATTTAGTTCTAAGGTGGGTGTTTTTGCCCTTAATTTACAAATGAGAGCTCAGAGAGAAACCGATAACTCGGCTCAAGGTCACATAGCTAATATGCAAAAAGGTTTTCACCTTTATTAGCCATCAGCCCTGAAGATTCAATCCAGGGGAAATCTGGGGAGAACTGGCATGCTCGCAGCTGCCCACTTGTGTGTAATTTGCACTTTAGGGATTTTAGGCTGGCAGACACCCTCTTCCCTACCTCAAAGGCTTTGAGAAGAACCAGACAGCTGGACTAGAATCGCCTTTCAGATGGCCAAAATGTTAGTCCCTTCAGAAAAAGCCCCAGGGGGGCTAAAAGCATATCTGCTCTTTTCTGCTATAAGACCCCTGATGCCTTTCTGGAATCTTGAAAAGGAGCTCCTAGAAGCTGGTGAGACAGCCTAGGGAGGGACTGCAAAGTCAGCAAGCCTAAGGGGAAAAGCAATGTCTGCCCTGATTCCATGATCTCTGCTTGTGCCCAGCCTCCAATTGGCATGCCTGGCTCAGCCTGGGCAGTGGGGCAGAGCAGAGCCAGGCTGCTGTATCCTCTGTGGCGGATGAGTGAGTGTATGGAGGGGACACAGAGATAAGCCCGGTGATGGCTAGTCTGCCTGGCACACAGGGGTCACTTAGCCATGTGGTGACTTACCAGGCACCAGCTCTTCCTCATCAGTGAGAGGGCAAGATCAAAAGGGAACTCAGCTGTAGCAGGAGGGATTTAGATAAGCTAGCAAAAAGAACTTCCTGCCTGCAAAGATGATTAAGCCTGGGAGAGGAGAGGCTGGAGGGGTCTGTGCAGACTTCTTTCTCAGAAATCATTCGTCATTGATATCCCTCTTGCCTTGTTCTACGTGTTCTTCACCACCTAGGACTTATCTGATGAGGACACATACTACCTAGTACTTTTTAAGAGCCTATGTGCCAAGCTCCTTTATGTACACGAACACATGAAATGTGTTAAGACAACCCTGTGAAGCTGGGGATATGTGCCCCATGTTACTAAGGCTCAGCAGGTGAAATTTAACAAGCTCAAAGTCACACAATTTGTAATGGTGGAGATGAAATTCAAACCAAACCTGCCTGTGCCCAATCCTGAAGCATTCACCAAGCAGCTCTGCACCAGGGTGGGAAATAGCTTGGCTTGGAGAAAAACGATCCCTTCAGAGAATCTCCCGGACTGATCCTACGGACAGCTGCCAGCAGTGCCACAAGCTGTCTGCTGGGAAAGCGTTTTCCCTGTCTCATGCTTAAGAAAGCTGAAGCCTGGAGCAGGGAGAAGTACGGAGTCGGGAACCCAGGAGGCTGCTTCCCTGTCAGAGGAAGGCGGCTTTCCTCTGTGGCAGAAAGAGGACGTCTACACCCCCACTTTAATGAGCCTCCTCTCCTCCTCCCCATGGCAGCCTGCCAGCTCTGGGGAAGGCGGCTGGAAGCAAAATCCCTGCTCTCAGGGGAGTCTGGCTCCCAGACACCCGGGGGCTTTTAGCTGACAGCCCAGACAAAGCATCTTCCCATAGAGACCAGTCTTCTATAAAACAGGGTGGCAAGATCCAATTTGGGGTGCTTGCCCTTTTAGCTGCAGGGGTAAGGTGTGGGGAGAGCCCAGTATTATTGGGGGCAGTGCCATCAGAGCTCTGTGACAGCCAGAGGGTCTTGTTGCCCTCCCATTTGTCCCTCTCCTGGCCTCTCAGACCCTTCCCCAGGCCAGCCCTCCTGAGACTGCCCTCAGGACTCTGAACCCCCAAACAAGAAGGCTTTGTATTATGGAGCCAAAGAGCATGGGTTTAGGAGGCCTTGGCCGGCATGGTGCAAGCAGTCTGTCAATTCTCTCTGCCTGATTTTTGCCCCTAATCACTTTCCTGTCCTGGGTGTGATACTCCAGGAAAACCTACAGGAGGCCTTGGGGTGTCAGCTTGGGATGCTTGGGGTTCAGGACTCTGACCCCACCCCCTCCTCTTGAGTGTCCTTGACCTTACTAGGGTCTTGGCCACTGGCTTCTGAGTAACGCTAAGGGTCAGGCAGGCTAACAGGGGAGGGGGTGCCTGCCATGAGGCACCTTGAGAGTCCTGTTGTCTATGGCCCTCCAGGGCATCAGGATCTCAGCCGTGCAGAGGAATCGGGCCAGCAAGGAGAGTGGGGTGAAATGCCAGGGAGCAGGGATGTGCAGGAGGAGCTGAAAGAAGGGGCCAGTCCCTGTCCTGAGTTGGATATATCCCCAGCCTGCCATTGGCCACACAAGCCTGGCTGTGAGCAGGAGCCAGGAACTTCCTGGGCCAGGGTCGGACTCCTCCATCTCTGGGGCCTGGGAAGAGGGTAAACCCAGCCCAGGGAAGTACTGCTCAGCTGTGCTGCAGCGCCACTCTCCCTGTCCCACCCCCATCTCAGGGCATCTGGCAGGGGTTTCCCATGACCTCCCCAGAGACAGGAGACGCTGCAGAGTCAGGCTTCGCCCAGAGCCCAGAGCTGTGACGGTATTGGCATCTGCATCTGGTGGGGAATGGCCAGTGGGGACTGGGCCCTGGGGATGCTCCCCTGCTGAGGAATGCAGAGCAACAGAAGGCTGGCTGTGGAGGGCAGCAAGCCTCTCCCCACCACACCGGCCCTGGCCCCCTGCCCACACTGCATGCAGGACAGCTCTCCAGGGTGCACCTTAAGTCAGCCTCAGGTGGGACCAGCCCAGCCTTCATAAAGGACAGGGGGCTTCACCTCAGGAAAGCAGAGGGATAGACACTCAGGCATTTGGGGATGGGATGGCAGCATGACCTCCTTTCCACACCCCAGAGCAGCTGGAGGTGAAAGAGAAAGTCCTCCAGAAACAGGGTACTGCAGCCAACACTGCTGCCGCCTGCCCTGGAGCTTCACATAGGGATTGAGGTGGGTGGATCTCTGGGGCCAAGGAAGAGCCGTTCCAGTCCAGCTTCCCTCATGGCAGGGAAGCAACCTCTGACCCCCACCCAGCCCAGGGCCCTCTCAGTGCCCCTCTGGCTGTTCTAAGAGGGAGGGGCACAGAAGACATTGCTTTCCTCCTCAATGTTCTCAATACTTTCTAGAGGGTAAAATGAAAGGCTAGGAGACCTAGCACACATGGGGTTCCGCCCTTTGGTGTGTGTGAGGTGGGGGGCCAGCAAAAGACTTGGCTGCCCCCAGAATATCCTTCCTGAGAGAGTGCCAAGGTGGAATTCAGGCAGGAAGACACATGCCAGGGATGGCTGCAGTGATCTAAGAAAGGGAGAATGTGGCTGGAGAAGCTCCCCAAACACAAACGATGACAGCACGGATTTAGGAGCTAGGACCATGGTGGTGCCAGGCAGCCCCATGCTGCTAAGCAATCCCATACAGGAGAATCTGGACAGCCTCAGCCCTGCCACACATCTGCACAGCACCATGTGCCTTTCCATTTTCACTTTCCCACATTCATGTTCACGGCCACTGTGTGTAGTAAAGCATTTGAAGAAACTGAGGCATAGAGACTTCAAGAACACAGCTAATTAGCACCTCAATTAGGAGGCAGCTTAGAGTTGCATGAAGAGCATGTGTTCACAACTGAGAATACCCTGGGTTCAAATCCAGCCTCCTCCATTTGCCACCTGTGTTTGTGCATCTATATGATGGGAATAACATCAATCACCTAGCCAGCTGAATGGGATGCTGTAGGCACAGAGTAAGTGTTCAATACATTATAGTGCTTAGCCACCTCCTGGTTCATACTCCTCTCCACCACACCATGCATTCTGCTCTAAATTAATATATTAATCAAAGGACTGGAGGTGAATTCAATTTACTAAATAGTTCACTAAAGCTTAAACTACAGAGACATCTCTTAGGTACACTTACATTAGGGCCCATTTTATTTTATTTTATTTTTGAGAAAGATTCTTGCTTAGTCACCCAGGCTGGAGTGCAGTGGTGCGATCTCAGCTCACTGCAACCTCCGCCTCCCAGGTTCAAGTGATTCTCCTGTCTCAGCCTCCTGAGTAGCTGGGACTACAGGCATGCGCCACCATGTCCGTCTAATTTTTGTATTTTTAGTAGAGATGGAGCTTCACCATATTGGTCAGGCTGGTCTTGAACTCCTGACCTTGTGATCCACCTGCCTCAGCCTCCCAAAGTGCTGGGATCACAGTCATGAGCCACTGCGCCTGGCCTAGGACCCATTTTTTTTAAAAAAACATTTTATTTATATTCAATTCCTCAGGAATCTACTCTGCATTTTGTTCCCTCCAAAGATTTTATGTCCGTCTTCCTCCAAGCCACTGCTCTTCACAAATGAACAAACCAGAACACAGCAGTTCCCATTTTCCAGTGGGTAAAACTGAGGCCCACAAAAGACAAACAGGGAAGGTGCCCCATGACGAAGCCAGTGGATGAATTGCATCAGTTCCTGCCCTGCCCTTTGCCCCCAGGGTTGCAAAAATAAGCATGCCAGGCACATATCACCTCTGCCACCTCCCTGGCCCAGGCCTGGGCCCCGCCTCACCTCCACTTGGAGGTTTTCAAAAGCTGAGATCCAATCAGGCAGGCAGGCTGGGTGGTGGAGGGGGAGGTTTCCGGGGCCTGTGGTTACTACACTCCACTTCCTTATGATGACATAAACCCTATTTCTGCAGCAGGAGGCCACCACCAAGATTCTCAGGTCTCCACACAGCCCACATGAGGCCCTGTATGGGCCTCAGTTTCTGAGATCTGTAAACTGGACACAGGTGGCATTGATTGGCATTGACTGGCTTTGGGACTCGGAAGGCACCCCAAATACCCATTCCCCCACAGTTTCTTCTGTCTTCTTCAGTCTTTCTCTCCCAAGCCACCACTGCTCTTGGTTCAAAATTCAGACAGTCATTGACCAAGATTTCAGAGTAGCCTAGAACTAGGGAAATAACTGCAGCTAGAGAACCCAAATGGGAGAGGGCTGGGGTGCAATCTAACATTGTCCCTTGGGTCCCTTGGATCCCCCCCAAACCCCTACCTATCCCCTACTTAACCCTGTAGTATCAACAGATGGATGCTGGGCTGGCCAAGCACCGCCAAGCAGACTAAAGGAAGGAAGCTTAGGGAAGCCAGGCAGAGATAAGAGGGGAGGGGGCTAGGCAACACTGAGGTCTCCCCTCATGGTGGGGGCTCAGAGCTGGGGACTTGAAAGGGTCTTAAACAAATTTGCCATGTGACTTAGCTTCCTTCCCCAATTTCAACTTTGCCAACTTGCATTTCTTAACAGCTACCCCTTTCTCGCCCCATTTGTCAGGCCTATATCTCTGCAGCCTGGGGCAGGTCACAGCTCCGCCCCACCTCTCTCTAGCCTTGCTACACACCTCCTCCCCCAGGTGACTGCCAGTTCTAGTCCAGCCCAGGAAGCTGAGAATCTTTACAGTACAAGGGGATTAATGGATAAAGGGATCACAGGGCAGGCTGGAGAGGCCAGCCTGGGAATCCCTTGGTGCAAAGCCGACTAGCCTGGGTTCAGGGACAGATGGGCCAGATTCCATCTAGCTGGGGAGGCCACAAGGTGGGGCTTTTGGGGTCTGCTCACCCCTGAACTTTCTTCCCTTACCCTGAGCCCCAGGTCCTGAAAGTTTCCTCCTCCGGCTCTCCAGGAGCCCAGGCCTTCACTGAAGCGTTTCACAGCCAGCCAGCTTCGATCTCTTCATCCCAAACAGATTGCAGGGCCAAGAGCCTTAGGCCTGGCACTTCTCACCTAGTCTAATAGCCCTGGGACCTCTCTCCTCTACACACACACACACACACACACACACACACACACAATCAGACCACACCTGTCTCATTCCTGGCCTTCCCTGTCTGAAGAGCTGGACTCCAGGCTCGCTATGTTATTCTCATGGAAATTCAGAAGGCACTTCAGTTGGATTCAAGAAAGGACTTCCAGAAAGTCAGAAAGACAGCTGAACCTGGCAGGAGGTAGTGAGCCCTGGGGCTGGACTAGGCCCTGGACAAGCCTTGCCCTTCCCATAAATGGTCTACTGTAGTGCAGCCCACCACCCAGTCTTTCAGGTGAGAGAAGTGATTTCTGGGGGTGCTGCGGGGGAGGATGGGTAGAAGAGGATCTAAAAACAAGGAAAACTCCCCCTACAGCCCATCACTGGTACCATCTGCTCTCCTTCCCAGCCCAGCCCAGCCCCAGCTCAGTCCTAAGCTCTCTGATTAGAAACTGGGTTCTGTCCAGGCATTGTCTGCTGTACACGGCCGGCTGCCCATTGAGGTCTGGCGTGTGCCGGGGCTGGGCGCTCATGCTGGGGTGGGAGGGGAGGAGTGGGCGGGGCCCTTACCTTCCCGGAGACCCTGAAAGCCTGACTTCTGATGCTCAAATGCCCCACCCCCAATCCAGATCAGCAACTGAAAGGCAAGGCGTGGGGGCACCCAGACCCCACTTAGGGCAATCTGACTGGGAACCAGAGATGACACACATGGTCCTGAACTGGGTGCAGAGGGCAGGCATGATCCCTTCTCTGCAGAAAGGGTCCCGGGAAGCTTCTAGAGGTGGCAGTGGGAAGAGAACATCAGCTTCTCCTCACTGTGCCAATCCCATGAGGCTCCCCGGGTGGGAGTCCCACATCTTTTCAGCCCCAGTCCAGCCTGGAGACCTGAACAGAGGTAGGGGGCCTTTGTTTAGCTCTCTCCAGCAAGATGGAATCTAAAGGAAACCCCCTGTGGAAAGGGCACCCCCAAGCCCCTTCCTTCCCAGCCCTCATTCACAATGGGTGGGGGCCAGAGCTTCATTTCCCTTTTATGGTGTTCTCGGACTCTCCCAATCTGCTGCAGATGCCATATTTACATTTCTCACTCCCACCCCCCAGCCATGCACCCCTCCCTCGACCTCCACAAGATCCTGCTGCAATGTCAGCCCCAGCAGCAGCCTGGCCCCGCCCCAGTCAGCCCACCAGGCACCTGCAGGGCTCCTCTTTGTCTCTGGCTGCTCAGGGCCAGGAAAGCTGTGCTCAAGTGATTCTTGAGTGCTGCCTAGGGTGCATGGGTGGGGGTGCCTCAATCTCCTTCCCTTCACCCAAGCACTGATCAGTGTCAGCTCCTCTTTGGGCTGCAGAGGCCTGGCCAGGTGGCCGTGGCAAGGGGCATCTGCCCTGGGGCAGGAAGAAGAAAGCTTTTTCATTGCCATCTCTGACTCTGTCTAGGAGCAACCTCCTAGGACCCCTGGAATCTGGGTCACATATGACCCAAGGGATCTAGAGACCTGAGAGACCTACCCTAGACCTGGACAATCCCCCGCCCCCTCCATCATACAGGGCTGGGGCAGAGATAGATGTTCTTGCCACATCCCTACCTTGGTGAGCAGCTCCAGATTGGCACTCTGCCGCCAAGACACCCCTCTCAAAGAGAAAAACCCAAAGCAAAAACTGGGAGAAGTGGTGAGGTGTGAAGCATCTCCACCCAGCACAAAGAACACAGATGGCTCAATTTCACAGCATTTCCTGCTCCTGCACCTTTGTGTACCCCTCCCAATAGAACCCACCCAGCCATGTCCTCTCCCTGTCTCATTTCTGCCGGCTCAAGTCCCGGAGCTGTTGAGAATGGAACCCCAGATAAGTCTAGGCAACCCTCCCCTGCTCAATTTTATCTGAGTGCCTGAGGATGGGGCATCTGCATCACACCCTCCTGCCCTCTCAGAGAGAAGCACCTCAGATACACCTCTTCCTCCCTTCCTAGGCCCATCTCCTCTTGGGACAGGACTGGTAGGATTCTCCCCCAAAGCCATTGACTTCCCACAGAAGGCCAAGGCATCATCCCAGCTTTTCCGTTGGTCCCCGCACCCGATCTTTGTCTGCAGATCTGGCTCCCAGGGTGGGTGTGCTGCCTTTGCTAGCTGGACCAAGAGCACATAACTAGCTGACTCGCATGGATGAGGGGAAATTTCCCTCTCTGGTATCCCCGTATGAGACAGCAGCCTCGTGGGGAGGCGAAGAGGAAACGCACAGACGCTCCGGCCTGGGCCAGAGCTGGGTGTGAAATACCGGATTTCCTTGTTTATTCGATTTTCTGATCATTAAGGGCTCCCAAGAGGGGCCCAAAATTACCACCCAAACAAAGCCACCTTCCAGTAGTCGGCGGGGTCGCCGCTCCCCTGCGGCAGACTGGCCAGCGCGCGGCGCCCTCCATCCCGTCCCACGCCGGCCCCTCCTCCGGGAGTGCAGGCTCCAGCCCAAGCGGTGCTCGCGCCCCCCGCCCAAAGCCCACGCGAGACAAAGCCCGAGGCTTCTCCGCGCGCCCCCTTCCCCGCCCCGGGTCCCTACCTGACGGCCACCTTGACGCAGCAGTCCCCCTGGCCGGCCATGGCCCTCTGGAGCTAGGGTCTGGGCGTGGATCAGAGGCGGGGGTCTGGGGGCCAATGCCCGAGGCAGCGGCTGCGGCTGCGGGAGGCGGGGGCGCGGGCGCGGCTGGCGGAGGCTGCGGCGGCGGCGGCTGGAGGTGACATGCTCGCGGGCGGCAGGCCGAGGGGCTCACCCGCGGCCGGCCCCCCGGGGCTGGGCCCGCGCGCCTCCTCGCGCCATCGGGCGGCGGCGCGGAGCTAGCTGACAGCCGGCGGCGCGACCCGCCGCTCCCTACGGCGCGGCACACGCGCACACACCTCCCACCCGGCAGCCACCTCCCGCCGCAGCGCGAACAAAGGGGGCGGGGGCCGATCCGGCCCCGAGCCCGCCCCGAGCCAGCCCCGAGCCCAGGCCGGGCCCCGCCCCGCCCAGGAGCCGCCAATCGAAAGCCCTAATGAGCAGTGGGGGCGGGACTCGCGCCTTTAAAGGGACCTCTTGGCTCGCGGCCACGGGGTGGCTGGGGGTAGGGGGCGGGATTGAAGGGTGGGGGTGGGGGTAGGGGTGGGAGTAGGGGTGGGGGCGCTGGACGCAGACCACGTTAGAACCTCGGCTCCTGGAGTAGCAGAACCTCGGCTTCAATGGGACCCTCATTTCATAAATGAAGAAACTGAGATTCAAAGAGGGGAACTACCGAAGGTTACAGAGCGAGTTCGTGGGTAAGCATGGTAAGAACCCTGGTCTCCCGGGGATCCCACAGCGATTGACGGTTTATAGTTCAAAAGAGCCAGGAAAGCTTCCCTTCTGCATTTATTCCAGTAAATTCGCCAACCCTTCTCGAAGGGAGTTCTTGCTAGCCCCTAACTAAAATTTCCCCCACCTCCACCCTGCAGCATCTTAAAGCTCATGTTTTAGTTGATTCCTGGCCAGGCTCCTAGCCCAAGACTAGCCCCTCCCTACTGCTAGACGACTGTCCCATTGACCTTTATGACCCACAGATGACCCCACTGGGCCTGGCTCACACTCTGCTTGTTGTGGCTGTGGGGCCAGAGGGTCAGTGTGGGAGGCCTGAGCTGCCCTGGGGGAAAGGAGGGAACAAAGGGGGCCCTCAGTTCCGAGCACCTGGGTAGAGAGGCTGGGCGGTGAAGTGGGTGGGGAAGGGAAGGAGGGCAGCTGCCTGCAGGAATGGGTATAAAGGACAAGGAGGACCATGGAGACTTTAACGCTGGGCCTGGATGGAGGAGGAGACCAGTGCTGCAAAGTCACAATTCCCTTCCCAGTCCATCTCCCTCCCTCTGAGCCCAGACGCCTCTTCCCTGCCCCCTGCCTCCCAACATTGGGGCCATTCACAGGGCCCCTCACCAGCTGCCCTCACTTCACCCAGCTCCCTCCCCTGGAAAGGGCCCAAGAGGAGGACCCAGCTGCAGCCCCAGATGTGGATGGGGATCTCTGGGGGAGGGGAGGAAGGGGAGTCTGACTCCAGGCCTCTTACATTACCCTCAGATGATGAAACCATGTCAGAGATTTTGGCAAGGGTGTGGACTGGGGTCTGAGGATGCATCTGTTGGTACCATCTTCCTCCCCTTCCCTCCTCCACTCACACCCCCCTCCCCGCCAATAACTGCTTCATGCAGTAGCTCAGATCCCTGTTTGGCTTGACCTATTAAGGTCAAATCAAAACCAAAGATAATTTCAAGGGCAAATTTCAAGGGCCAATCAACACATCCTTTTCATCCCCATGGCAAACAGGAGGAGCACCGCCAGCAGTGCCCCCATGATGGGGGCTGGAGAAGAGGTCTTGGTGGTATCCTGGACCTTTTATTAGCATTTGAATCTAGAGGAAGCTCTCCCTGGGGCCAGGGGATCACCTCTCCTGGACCAGGAGGTTAGCAGAATGTTGCAGTCATATCCTGCAACATTCCTCCCCATCTTCCAACCAAAATAATTCGTGGGGAGGAGACTAACACATATGGACCACCTACACAAGGTATTTTATGCACATATTCTCATTTTTTCCCTATAACCTTGTAAGCTAGGCTTTTTTATTCTTTTTAAATTTTGCAGATGGGGAAACTGAGCCTCACATGTATGAATTCCAGCATATAAGCAACAGACTCCAGATTTGGACATGTATATCTTATTCCAGGCTTCCCAGATGACCACCAAGGTGGAAGGGATGATGATGTCCAGGCAGAAGGGAGCTAGGCCGGCCCAGGCTTTTCCTCTAGGCACAGCGGACTCCAGGTTCAGCCTTCCCGGATGGTAATGTTGCATTCTGAAGAGCTACTTTCCCGCCAACTCATCTCTGGACTTCTCTGGGGCCCAACTCTGGTTTCCTGCCTGCAGGAGGTCCCCTCTGACTTCCGACAGTAGATGACCCTTCTGACTCACAGTTCTACTGCTGGGAAATGCCTCCAGAGCTGCTGCCCACCCTCTCTGCATCCCTCCAGGTCACTGGGTGTTGAGTCAGGGGAAGCAGGGATACACACGGGCGGGAAACTCAGGTCTCCTAAATGTCAGAGCCTCAGGACTTCGGCTACTCAGAAGTAGCTCCCTCCTGGGCCACCAGGGAGCAGCAGGGCAGCCAGCATCCAGACATCCCCCCTGGGTTCTGCTGCTCAGAGGCTAGATGGAGAACCAAGGTGGGAAAAAGGCTTAAACCACAGCGTGGGGAGATTTAGGTTAGATGGGTCAGAGGAAGTTTAGGACAAGCCTTGCCCTTTTCAGTTTCTGTCCAGCTTCAGCACAGCCACTGCTTCCTCTCTTTGGTTTTTACCCATCCCCCTCTCTCCCATCACCTCTATCCCCTTCCAGCTTTCCTTTCCTTCCCTCCTTCCCAAACCCCAGAGTTTCTCAGGATTAGCTGCCCGTGTGCCTATCTCCCCCACCCCCATGCTTTCCTCACTGTCTCACAGAAACAGGCAAACACACACACATGCATACAACCATGAGCTGGCCCTGAGAGTTCTCTGACTGGACTGGGGTTGGAGCCCCAGCTCTTGTCCTGAGCTGAGGCCCTTCCCCCAGGTATCTTGGGGCTTCCATCATTTCTCTTGACAGGAGCTGTGGGCGTCTGGGCAGATGGGAACCTGGGGGAGGTGTGGGGAGCCCTCTCTGAGGCAGGAAGCTCCCACGCTACTGTAGTTAAAATAATCCGGCAGCAACTTGGGGCAGCCATCTGGGATGCCCAGATCTTCCAGGACACCCAGCTCTCAACAACAACCCTATAGGAACAAATCAAAAACCTAAGAGATACTTATAGGCCCTGGAAATGTCTCCCAAAAGTGGCCTGAACTTGAGCCCTGTTTCCTTTTATCTTCTTCAGGTTAGCACTGGGCATTGGCATTTGCAAAAAAACTCTAAGCATTAAGCAAAACTTGTAGGAGTGGAAGATACAGCGTTCTGGACCTCCAGTCCTAATACCCAGCCACACCCCAGCAGCTATGCATGGTTCCATGGGAGAGCAGGCATAGCCCATCCTGCTGGCATATAGTCCAGCCATATCTTCCAATGCCCACCTGGAGACTAAGCCGAGTTCTGCCCAGCAACAGGAGCTCAGAGCTCCAGAGAGCCTCTCCTGGGGTGCAGACTCAGGAGATCTTAGCTCAGGAGCAGACTTAGCCTGACTTCCTCTTTTATAGGAGGAGACAGACTTAGTTACAGAGGAAACCAGAGTTGTTATAAATAGCAAGGAAGGGAGAAACCTGCTATGGATTACAAACACGCCATCAATCTTAAAACAAACTATTTTTAGTTTCAAATAATAACGAGAGTCTAATTAATGCTCTGTATAACTTCAAATGTGGGATCTTTATCTGCCTTTCTACTTTGTGATGCTTTCTAATACAGTATTAGGGCCAAAGGCAGGAAGAGATGTGGGCAATTCTCAATGTTACCAAATCCTAGATATGGAAAGAACCTGAGAAATTTAGTCCAGCCCTTTCATTTTCAGTGAAGAAACTCAGGCCCAGAGAGGTAAAAGGACTTGTCCAAAGTTGCATAGTAAGGTAGGGACTGAGCAGTGACTAAAAGCCTAGTCCCTGTACTCCAGAAGCAGGACAGTTTCCACAGCAGCACAATAGAACCCAAAGGCTAAACATCTGTGGTTGGGCAGTTGGTGAGTTTATAGCCTGGATAAAAGTCAGGTCTAAGCCAGGTGTGGAGGCTCACGCCTGTAATCCCAGCACTTTGGGAGGCTAAGGCAGGTGAATCACTTGAGGCCAGGAGTTTGAGACCAACCTGGCCAACATGGCAAAACCTCATCTCTACTAAAAAGTACAAAAATTAGCCAGATGTGACGGCACATGCCTGTAATCCCAGCTACTCAGGAGGCTGAGGCACGAGAATCGGTTGAACCCGGGAGGTGGAGATTTCAGTGAGCCGAGATCGCACTACTGCACTTCAACCTGGGGGACAAAGCAAGACTCTGTCTCAAAAAAAAAAAAAAAAAAAAAAAAATTCTGAATGAAATAGCAAAAGACAGCCCAGAAGCTGAAGTGTGGTCTTCTGAGTCACCGAGTTTTGGGTTCACATCCCAGCTCTGCAACTGACTAGCTTTGTAACCCTGGGCCTGTGTGTAACTACTCCAAGCATCAGCTCCCACATCTCAAAATGAGAATAATCACACTCACTTCATTACAGGACTATTATGAGGTTTAAATGAGGTAACGTGGGTCAAGCATCCAGCACAGTGCTCAGCAAAAAATAGATGTTAATTTCCTTCCCATTTCCCTCGGATTCTCTACCCCTTCTTCAATGGATTCTTATCCTCTAACTGGACAGAAGGGCAGATTTGTCATAAAGCAGTCACGTGAGGGATAAGAAGTCTCACATGAGTGTGAATGAGGCTGGGGGTGGGGGCGTAGTTTATGGCAATGAAGTTTGCATGGCACAAGTGGTCAGTGTCAGATCCAGAGGGCGGGAGAAGACAGATTTGCAGAAAATTATCCATCCTCTGCTAACCACTCAGTGACGGGCCTCGGGGTTCAGGGTCAGTGTTTACAGGGGAGGAGGGAGGCTGGGCATGCTGGGTCCTCATTGTACACAAATACCCCGGGCCTCAACCTCACCCATGTGCCACACTGTGCCAAGGGTGTTACATAACATTTCTCTTTTAATCCTCACAACAATCTATGAGGCAAATACTGTTCTCGTCCCCATTTTGCAGAAGAGGAAATGAGCTCAAAGGTCACTTGGCTAGTGTATAGTCATTAGTGCTGTCTCCAAATATTTCCGGCTCTCTGCCTTCTGGCACAAGGTAGGACTGCATGTTCTCACTCTTTGATGCTAGCTGTGGACATGTGACCAACTTTAACCAATAAAACGTGGCGGAACTGATGTGCGTCAGCTCTAGTGGAAGCATTAAGACTCTGGCACCCTCACACCTATGTTGTTCATAGAGTGTAAATGAGAAATAAACTTTTATTGTTAAACCACTGAACTTACAAGTTGTGTGTTGCCACGGCAAGCCTGGCCTACCCTGACACAGTTAGGAAGAGGCAGAGCCAGAGTTCGGAGGCCTGGTCTGTAAAGATGCCAGATGGCGTAAGTACCTTCCAGAGACTGACCTGCTTGCCTAAGACACACAGGAGCCCCTTTTTGGGCTACTTAGAGCCCTGTGGGGCAGGGGAGGAGGGTAGGCAGCCTCCCTACCCTTATCTCTTTCCCCCCGATTTGACTGTGATTTTGCGGGGTTTCCAG
Organism: Homo sapiens; assembly: GCF_000001405.40. Lineage (NCBI taxonomy): Eukaryota > Metazoa > Chordata > Mammalia > Primates > Hominidae > Homo > Homo sapiens. The sequence continues at coordinate 201,029,058 of NC_000001.11, forward strand.
GTTGCTGAGCCGGGGGGACTGAATAAATGAGTGTGGTTTTGTATGAACCCTTAGGGGCTCATAGTCTTCTGGTTGGCTGTGCTGAGCTACTTATCAGGACTCTCTAGGAGACACTCTGAGAAGTAATTGGAAAATTCCGACTTCCTCTCTGCCCATCACCCAACTAGGAAATAGTTGGGTATCAGGACACGCCTGCATTCACTCCCAAATCAAAGATCGACCCTGTCAAGTCACTCTTTGCTTTGGGACTCAGTAACTCCTCTGTGAAATGGAGCCACTTCAAAGGGTTAGGGTAACTGCTCGGAGATTCTAGAGGAAGCCCATTTCGGATTGTATAGATCTTCTCAGAGGTGCCTGCAAAATAAGAACAGCTACTATTTCTGAACATTGTGCTGGGCGTTGCACTAAATGCTTCAGATCCATACAGTCATGGAATGCTCACACAACCCATGGAGGTAGGAACATAAAGAAAACCAGGACACCAAGAGGGGCACAAGGTCACACTGCAAGTGGTGGGCAGGGTTCAAACTCAAGCATGCTGCCTGCCAGTTTCGTCCTCTGCTGAATTACAGGGACGGAAAAGGATGAATCTTGTCTTGGCAGCTGCTGAGCTGCCAAGAAAGTGAGCACAGCTCCCTAAGGAATTATGTGCTTCACGTGTCTACATAAAGACTTGCCCATGAAAGACCCCAGCAGCTTTGTCATAGGCCCAAACTGGAAACACAACAAATGTCCATCGACAGGGGAATGGATTAAGAATCTGTGGTGTATCATATGGTGGGATACTATTTAGCAATAAAAAGGAATGAACTATTGATACATGATACAATATGGATGAATCCCCAAATTAATTATGCTCAGTGAAAGAAGCCAGACCAAAAAGAGCACATGCTGTACAATTCCACTGATATACAAATTCTAAAAAATGTAAACTATAGTGTCAGAAAGCAGATCATTGGTTGCCTGGCAAGGGGAGGGAACTGGGAGGGGTAGGAGGGCATGAGGGCATGAGGAATGTTTTGAGGTGGTGGGTATATTTATTCTTTTTTTTTTTTTTTTTTTGAGACGAGGTCTTGCTCTGTCACCTAGGCTGGAGTACAGTGGTGCGATCATGGTTCACTGCAGCCTTGAGCTCCCTGGGCTCAAGGGATCCTCCCATCTTGGACTCCTGAGTAGCTGGGACCACAGGTGTGCACTGCACCACCATGCCTGACTCATTTTTGTATGTTTGTAGAGACGGTTTCACCATGTTGCCCAGGCTGGTCTTGAACTCCTTGGCTCAAGCAATCTGTCAGCCTCAGCCTCCCAAAGTGCTGGGATTACAGGCGTGAGCCATTGTGCCTGGCATATTTATTGTCTTGATGGTGGTGATGCTTCCATGGGTGTATGCTAATACATTTGTCAGACTAATCAAATTACACACTTTGAATATGTGCAGATTATTATACATTAATCATATTAAATACCTCAATAAAGCTGTTGAAAAGTAACTTGTCCCAACTTCTTCTTTGTTCAAACAGAGGTGCAGAGTGGTTGGTGACTTCTCCTGGGCCATGAGGACAGTCAGTTAAAGTCCTGGCTACCTATCCCTGAGCCCACATATCCTATGGCTTCACGGAAGGTCCCACCTCCCAAGAAGGGGCTAGTGGCAGGGAAGTTGAGAAACAGAGAGACGGAAAGGTGGCATAAAACCAAAGAGGGGGACACTGGAGAGGAGCCAGCAAGAGGCCAGGCTGGGGATGTCAGAGAAGAGGAAAACAGAGATGAAGCCACAGGCCTGGGGACAAGGGAAGATGAGAGACAGGAGATGGAACCCCTTCCCAGACCTGGTGATGAGGAGGAGGCTCTGAGCAGTCCTAGCCAGGCCCCAGAGAAGCCATTCCCTTCCTTTGACAGATGCCACCTGTGTACGCCCCTGCCCGCGAAGAAGTTAACAAATCACCACCACCACCCTGCCCTGGCCTGGTTGCTGTTGACGTTCAGTCTCCAGGATGCATCATTTTCTTGGATTTTAATAGATAATTGCCTCGGCCAGACCCTGCAGAGCAAATTGCCAGCAAATGTTCATTGAACACTTTAAAAATCGAGGGGAAGAGGAGAGGGCTTGGAGGCAGCATGTGGGGAGAGGTCAACCTCTAAAGTGCCAGCTCTCCAGAAATGCAGCCGGAATGAAGGTTTGAAGGGATGGTAGTGAATGGAGCACTCCAGGCAGTGTGTGTGCTGAATCTCAGGGCGGTTTTAGGAGCACTTCAAAGGCCTTTTTGACCAAGATATTCACGTTGGCCTGAGGTGAAACAACTCTTAAAAAGTTAGTCTGTGTCCTCCCTGCAACCCTTGTATTTCCTGACACTTGTATCCGTAGACAGAGGAGACCCTTTGCCTTAAGGAGAATTTGGGAATTAGGATCTAGTGAGGATGCGGAGAAGTAGGAAAAGGTCCTTTTTTCTCTTTAACTTCTAAACTCGGAGGATCCAAATAGCAGGCCAGGACTGGGTGGAGCAAAGACTTTAAGTCATAACCAAAATTAAAAAGAACGTAGAGGAAGAGGCCCTTTTCTCCTACCCTCTAGTGATGAGGGTCCCTTGGCCTGGAAAAGGGGAAGGAGGAGATAGGGGGCTAGGCCTTGAAGGAAGTCAAACCCTAAGACAAGAGGATCAGATTTGGGGTGCTGTAAGAGGCGAGGGAGGTCTTCCTGGAGAGACAGTCAAGCTCTGACAGTGGCTGGTGCTAGAGTGGCTGGGCCCCCACCTGCAGACCACTCCACATTATCACTGAGTCAGCTTTCGCCTCCCCGCTCAGAGGGGACTCAGAGGGGGACCTCTCAAGGTGGTCTCAATGAGAAGAGGTACAGAAAGCCCCCATCAATTTTGGTCTGTATACTGCCTAAGAACCACCCTCCTTGGTAAGCCCCCATCCTAACCCTTTTGTGTGGTAAAGACACATGTAAACTGTCCCAAAACAAAAGACAGAGAGCAGAGACTACCAGAGGGTGAGTGGAGGTACTTGGGTGGGTCTGGCTAGTGGGGAAACACCCTCATTATACCAGGTGAAATATAAAGTTACCATTTTGTAGACAAGAAGGCATAGAATATTGGCAATTTCAAATGATCCCATCTAATATGTTCTATGTAGCAGTCTTTTGCATTTGCCCACCTTTCCTCCCTCTCTCCCTCCCTTCCTGCTTTCCTTTTTCCCTTCCTTCCATTTTTTCCTTGCTAGGAATACAAAGTTGATAAAGATTCAATGCCCGCCCTTGAGAAACTCACAGTATGCTTGGAAAAAACAAAATACAAACCCCTAATTAGGATATAGTGTAATAAATGCCAGAATGAGAGTTATCAGGTGCTCTAAGAGCACTAAGGAAGCAGCAAGTAAGTTTACTTGGGTGATCAGAAAAGACTTGCAGGAGGCACTGTCAGGCTGAGACCCAAGGAGGAGTTTGTTGGGTTCAGAGACACTGTCAGTAGAAGCCTGAGAGTGTGTGGCCTGTGCAAGAGGGAGTTGTTGAGTTGTGTGTGGTTGGGCTGGTGCTTGGCAGGGTGTGCAAAGGGTTTCAGGCCAGATTAGTGGAGGTTGAGTGGGGATTGGAGGGTAGGGGTGGATTGTCATGTGAGCCTCACAAGAATACAAGAAGTAAGAGGCTTAAGAATAGTGGCCAAGCTCCTGCTAGACACCTGGCTTCACCATTTCAGGGCCAAGTGACTGCAACTAATTCACTCCTCCTTTCTGAACCTCCGTTTTCTCATCATAAAATGAGATTAATAGTAATACCTATTTTATAGGTGTTGCAATGATTACATGATATGAAAGGCAAAATGCTTAATGAATCAGGCTTAATGTATGTTATAGCCATTATTGTTCTACAGATGAGGAAACCAAAGGGCAGAAACATTTTTAGGAGAACATACAAGAGGGAATGGGAATTTGTATTCTCCAAGTCCAGGGCCTCACTCTGCTGCACCCTGCACGTTTCAGGACAGCCTTTCTGAAGCTTGGTTGAGGGAGCCTGGGGTCTCTTCCTGGTTCTTCTCATGAACTTAGTGATGTGAGGTACATGGAGTTCTTTCCTTCCCCAGGTCTTCATTTACCTTCTTCCCACCATGGAGTCTCCTCTTTCTTCATTTGACTTTTTTTATTTATTTGTTGAGATGGGGTCTCACTCTGTTGGCCAGGCAGGAGTGTGATGGTGCAACCATGGCTGACTGCAGCCTCGACCTCCCAGGCTCAAGGGATCCTCGCACCTCAGCCTCCCAGGTAGCTGAGATGACAGGCACACACCACCATGCCTGGCTAATTTTCTTTGTTTCTTTTTCTTTTTCTTTTTTTGTTTTGTTTTGTTTTGTTTTGTTTTGTTTTTGAGACAGAGACTCACTTTGTCACCCAGGCTGGAGCGCAGTGGTGTGATCTGGCTCACTGCAACCTCTGCCTCCTGGGTTGGAGCAGTTCTCCTGCCTCAGCCTCCCGAGTAGCTGGGATTACAGGTGTGCACCACCACGCCTGGCTAATTTTTGTATTTTTAGTAGAGATGAGGTTTCACCATGTTGGCTAGGCTGGTCTTGAACTCCTGACCTCAGGTGATCCACCCACCTCGGCCTCCCAGAGTGCTAGGATTACAGGCATGGGCCACCGCACCCAGCCTCCTCTGAACCTTTCAAACCTTAGTGTCTGTCTCACCAAGGTATGTGACACCATCACGTTTTCAGCTGACACTCAATACCAGAATCATCGCTTGCCCCTTGTATTTGTGGCCAGTTTATTTTAAAAATGCTTCTGTGCTTTGGTTTCCTCAACTGGACTTTAAGTTCCATTGAGACACACAGTTATGGACCACAGGGGAAAGTAGCCATGGAATTAGAAGGCTGGAGGGCACATCCCAGATCTGCCACTTACCAGTTGTAGGACCTTGCCTGTCAGTGGCCTCATCAGGAAAATGACAGGAGGATGACCTGTGGTGAGGTTGGCACTGTGAACTGTCAGCCCCAAGGCTGGGGTGACATGGTACTAGGGATCAGATGCCAGAAGAATGGGGGCAAGACCTTGTGAAATAGGAGTTGGGGTTAAGGTCAGCCTTGTGTTGGCAGTGTCTCCTCTAGCAGTCTGGGGCAGGAGCCGGCCTCTACATCCACGCCAGTTGGTGAGAGCTGGCAGGGCCTCTAGGAGGACGAGGCCTGGTGCTGAGGTGTGTGGGCTGCCCGTTGCTGCTGCACCGTGTCCCCTAAAGTGCCCGGGAACCCCCAAGGTTGGCTTCCTCCTGTCTTACAGGTCTGACCCCATCACTAGCTAGCATCAGACAGAATCAAAACAACAGCTTCCTTCCCTACCTGTGCCAGGCCCTTCCCCTGTGACATTCGTATCTCACAACCACCCTGGGAGTAGGAATGACTTTCCCATTAGGTAGAGTGAGGAGCAGAGACTTCAAAAGGTTATATGAACTGCCTGACCATCACTCAACATGGACACAGGGGAAGGGGATTCGGGCTTCCAAGGCTTTGCTCGGAAACACCTTGCAGACAACAGCCACCTCCCTGCCTTAAGAGCCCAGGAGAGGCAACTTGGCAGGAGTCCCTCAGGGCCAGGGAGCTCCTCCCCATTCTGAAGACATACGGGAACTGGGGCCCACCATCTTCCACCTTTCCAGAGACCCTCCAGCTGAGCTCCGTGCCCCCTAGATGGAGGGCTCCCCCAGCCCCCACAGCCCCAGCATGCAGCTTTGTGTCTATCCCTCCTGCCAGCCACACCCCGCCCCTTCTGGCAGATCCCCCCACCCAGCAGCTGGGTCCCATGTCTGCAGGGAACTGTCAGGGAGAAGACAGGGATCTGGCACACACTGTCCCTGGCCAGTGCCCCCAGGTAACAGAAGGGAGCCCACCTGCTCCTACGGGTACACTGTCTCTGTCAGGGGGTCCTGCTGAGGGGCGTCTGTCTTCTCTGTATTTGCCCACTTCCCCTCCCTCCCACTTCAGCCCTCATCCTGCCACAATTTGTTCCTTTTAGGCTTTATTTGAGGAGCCTGGCAGTCCTATAAGGGGAAACCCACCTATTACTTCAAGCAAAGCTGATGCAGAGGTAGGATTTTGCACATTCTGATAAATTACAACATCTTATATGTTGCAAAGGAAAATGCCTGAACTTTTCCATAGGGTGAAGACCTAATAGGAAAGTTTCTCAGAGCCTGTGTTTATGCATGTTATCTGTTAGTTAGGCAGGGAGGGACGGCATGGATTTGACAAATGGTGTACAGTTAAGGACGTGGAATTGGATGCTAAACTGCCTGGGTTTGATTCCCACCTTGGCTCTCTTATGAGTTGTGTGGTTAGGCAAGTTACGTTTGTTCTCTCTGTGTCTTTTTTTTTCTTTTCTTTTAAGAAGGAGTTTCACAGTTGTCGCCCAGGCTGGAGTGCAGTGGTGTGATCTCAGCTCAATGCAACCTCTGTCTCCTGGGTTCAAGCAATTCTCCTACCTCGGCCTTCCAAGTAGCTGGGATTACTGGTGTACATCACCATGCTAGGTTAATTTTTTGTATTTTTAGTAGAGATGGGGTTTCACCATGTTGGCCAGGCTGGTCTTGAACTCCTGACCTCATGTGATCCACTCACCTCAGCCTCCCAAAGTGCTTCGATTACAGACGTGAGCCACTGCACCTGGCCCTCTCTGTGTCATTTTTGCAAAGTGAGGATGATGATACCTTTCTTAATTGTTAAGAGGATTAAATAAATTAATATATGCAAAACCTTTGGAAGAGGGCCTGCCATATAGTTAGCTTTTTTTTTTTTTTTTTTTTTTTTTTTTTTTTTTAGAGACGGGGTCTTATTTTGTCACTCAGGCTGGAGTACAGTGGTGCAATCATAGCTCACCTTGAACACTTGGGCTCAAGCAGCTCTCTCACCTCAGCCTCCCAAGTAGCTAGGTCTATCAGATCGTGCTACCATGTATGGCTAATTTTTAATTGTGTGTGTGTGTGTGTGTGTGTGTGTGTTTGTGTGTGTGTGAAGACAGGGATCTTGCTACATTTCCCAGGCTGGTCTCGAACTCCTGGCCTCAAGCAATCCTCCCACCTTGGCCTCCCAAAGTGCTGGGATTACAGGTGTGAGTCACTGCGTCCAGCCCTAGTTGGCACTCTGTATGTGGTAGGCATTACTATAAGATGTTCAGATCCCTCATAAATAAGAGTGTCCTTTTATAAAACTTTACAGCATAGACTTATGTTCCATTTTATCTTGTCTTCCCTAGAGATGAGCCAATTGAGCAGGAGACAATGTAAGCAGCTGTGGGGGTGTCGAGTACTCCCTCCTGCCTGTGGGAGCTGCACCGTGGAGTCTAGCTTGTCACCCTCCGGAGGCAGAGCCCCTCCTCCCTGCCTCCTCTTGGTCTAGATGGACAGCCATGGCAGCGGAGGCTGCAGAGCTGAGCAGGTGATACTGGGCAGCGACCCTGCTGCGGGCAGCGTCCACACCCCACAGCTCTTTACTGCATTTATTTAACAAGCGACATTGAGCCAGCAATCTCTGCTGAAAAGTGCTCAGCCCTGGAGAGAGAACTGTGAACAACGTGGACACAGCTCCTGCTTTGTGGAGCTTGGTGTCTGACTGGGGTAAAAATAAACAAGCAGTTACAACACAGCTACGATCCCTACTGTAACGGAGGAGAGAGGGCGGCCACATTTCTGGGCCAGGCTACAGAGAGTTTGGGGGTGTTCAGGGAAAGCCTTTTGCAGGAAGCAATAGCAAAGCTGAGGTTTGAAGGGTGACTAGAGCTCAGTCAGGTAGAGGGCTCAGAACATTTCCAGAGAGAACAGTACATGTGAGCTCAGAGGTGAGAGCTCCCTCTGGGTGGGGCGAGTAGGAGACTTGGGCAGGGTCTGATCTGGGAGAGGCTTGTGAACCCAGGCAAGGGTTTTGCTCACTATTCAGAGGGCTTTGGGGGTGCCTTTAAAAGTTTTCAGCAAGGAGACAAGATGAGTGGTTCTTCCTTTTAGAAATATCAAAGACAGATGGGAAGGAAGAGAAAAGAGGAGATTGGAGGCCCGTTCAAAGGCTGTCACAATAGATAAAGCATGAGATGATGGTTGAACGAATCAAGAAAGTGACCGTGAGGATGAAGGGAAGGGAGACAGATGTGAGAGATACTTAGGAGGGCAAATGTGCGGGGCATGGTGGGAGGGGGAGGTAGGCATCCAGGACAACACCCAGACTTCTGGTTTGAATAAGGATTGGGTTTCCCCGAGACCAGCAATACCAGAGGAGTAGCAGGCTTTGGGGAAAGGATAAGAGGCCACCACTGGACAAGGTGAGCATTAGGCACAAGTGAGATGTCTATGCAGAGTTGTCTGGGAGGAACAGGATACAGAGTCCTGGAGTTTAGGGGAGATTTTGACTAGAAATATGGATTTTGGAATTACTGGCACATACATGCAACTAAGATATGAACGTGTACTACATGAGAAGAAAGGGTCAAGGAGACAGAGTCTACCTGAGAAGTAGGCAGGCCAAGGGGGAACTCCCAAGGAAGCTTCAAGTTGGAACACTCGAGGGGTAAGAGGAAATTCAGGAGATCTGACACTCGGGGGATTTTCAGGCAGGGAGCGGGCTAAATTGTATCTCATGCTGCCTAGAAGTCAAGTAATGTAAAGATGTGAGAGTCCACTGGGTTAGCAACCAGATAGTTGGTGACATTGGTGAGCGTGTTTCCAGAGAAGCGATGGGGCAGAGGAGGATTGCCTAGAGAGGAGAAATGAGAATGGAAGGAGAAATAGAAATGTGGACAAGGAGACCACCCAGGTAAGAAGTTTGGTCCTCAGTCAGCAGTGGTGGCTCACGCCTGTAATCCCAGCACTTTGGGAGGCTGAGGTGGGTGGATCACTTGAGGTCAGGAGTTCAAGACTAGCCTGGCCAACATGGCAAAACACAGTTTCTACTAAAAATACAAAAATTAGCTGGGCATGGTGGCACACACCTGTAGTCCCAGCTACTCGGGAGGCTGAGGGAGGAGAATCACTTGAACCCAGGAGATGAAGGTTGCAGTGAGCTGAGTTCATGCCACTGCACTCTAGCCTGGGTACCAGAGTGAGACTCTGTCTAAAAAAAAAAAAAAAAGATAGATCATAGATGATGGATGGATGGATGATGGATGGATGGGTGGATGGATGAATGGAAAAACAGAGAGGGAGACAGAAATAGGGAAATAGGATGGCTGCAGGGTCAGGCTGCTAGGAGGGAGGCACCTGGAATGTGTTCCATGCAGCTAGAAGGGGCCTGTGGAGAGGCAGAGAGAGGGGATAAGGGCTGGGGTAGAATCCGAGCAGCTGGCAGGAGAGAACTGGCTTCCACTGGGTCAGAAGGGAAGGAGGAGAATGAGACAGCAGAAACAGGTGGGTTCATCAGTGTGGAGACAGGAGCTGAGGGAGGAACCTTCTGGTAGCTTCTATATATTTTTTTGTGTGTGTGAAGGGAGCAAAGCTAGCTGCTGGTGTTGGGGTTTCAGGAGAGAAGGGCGTTGAGATTGCTGCACTGACAGGGACTAGGAAGCATTGGGGCCCTGTTGAGACTGGGGGAAGGGACGTATAGTGCATTAAGAGTGCGAGCGTCCCTGCCCTGCATGACTGATACCCTAGGCCCAGCTGAGAAGCCCAGAAGCCGACTGGGGGTTCGCTAGGAGGCTGCATGGGGAGGCCAGCTTGGTTTCCATAGCAACAGCCACAGAGCAGGCGCTTGGCACAGGCTTAATGATGGAATGGCGAGAAGAGCAAAGAGTCCAGTGAAGGGGGAAGGATGCTGTGGGGACATGGAGGGCCCGGTGCAGAGTCCTGACCTTGCCTCTGGCTGTGCACCCCAGGGCTGTCCCATCACCTCTGCATGCCTCCATTCCTTCATTTTTAACGTGGAATTCACATGTACTTTGCATGGTTGTGGTGGCAATAAAATGAATATTGTACATGAAGGTGCTTTGTAAACAACGTATTGCAGCCCCTGGCATGAGAGCAGGTGTGTAGGTGGCACGCAGGAGGCACTTGGTAAATAGTAGCTACTGTTACTCATAGTTACTTGGTGTGGCTAAGAGGAGCCCTGGAGAATGTAGATCTTTGATATTCAAGGCAATAAACAGGGGGCAGTTGAGGGCTCTGAGAGCCTGTGTTGGCAGTGGACTCTGGCCAATGCAACATGGTCGTAGCTTCGAAGATGTTTGGCCATGGTGTGACCTGGGGTGTGCAGCTGCTTCTGAGACCACCAGTCCTTTCTGGGGCTGCTTGGTCCCAGTCAGTGGACTTGGCTGTGGACTTCAGGAGAACCCACAACAGGTCCCTCTCTGCCTCATGCAGAAAAATAATCCAGATGGCCCCTCTGTCTTTCTCCACAGCCCAGTCTCCCAAGCCCATGGGCAGGGTTCCTGGGGAAGGGACTGGGGAGGGGGAAACACAGGTGTAGAAGAGTCCAAAAAACTGGACAAGCAGAGGCCAGTTGCCAGTGTCACAGGCCTGGAGATTTTAATGTCCTGCAGGTGGGAGTGGCCCTAGGCCAGACAGGCACTGACCAGGCCTTTTTGAATGACATTAGAAGCTCCATCCAATCATGCCTCTTGCTGGTGAGGGGCAGGGCCTGTCCAGCTACTTCCTCCGCACTTTTTGAGGTGGTTCCTGACCACCCTGCCTCAGGCCATGCATCTAGCTGCTGAGAGGGAGGGAGGCTGCTGCGGTGGGCTAGCCCTTCTCCACCCCAGCAACTTCCCCACCCCCATTGGTCATGCCAGCTCTAAGCCCATGCTGATGCTGTGTGGGCATCACAGCCTTGGAGGAATAAGGGTCTCCTGGGAGCCCTGGTGTTGGTCGAGGCTGCCCAGGGAGGACCCGAGGTTCAGGCATCCCAGGGAGCTGGCCATGCCCTCTGGGGCCTCTCGTCCTTTCAGTAGCTCTGTTGCCATGATCTCCACTTCCTCTGGTTCCATTTGGCAGGCATCTGCCAGGGCCTGGCCTGTTGCCATGATGAAGTTTGCATCAGCTGCCAAGGTGCCCAGGCCCCCTCGAACCAGAGCCTGCAGGGAGGAGAGTAGGCTGAGTGGGGTCTTCCTGGGGAGCCACATTTGGGGACCTGCCTCTGTTGGCCCTACCCTCTCTCCACGCCAGGCCATCACAGGGCCACCACTCAATGCAGCCACTGCTGTGACCCAGCCCCTGGCTCACCTTTTGGATCAGCAGGGCTGTAGCTGGTGCTGAGCACCTGGAAGTATTCTCCCTGGTGCTCCTGCTGTGGGGTGTCTCCTCATGAAGAGACCCTGGTGTGGAGCTCTTTCTGTCCTCAGGCATGGAGGACTCCACCCTGGGGCACTGTTCCAAAGGTACAAAAGCAAAGACCCCGACAGGGGTGCTGGAGCCCACCAATGAGCAAAATTCCAGATCATCTGAGGGCAACTCAACCAAGATCCACAGAAAGGGGAGGATGGAGGGATCCCGTCCCTTCTGTACTGTTGGACACATTGCTGCCACAGCCTTCCCCTGCCATGATCCCACTCCAAGTATCAGGCCAGGCAGGGTCTCTGTATGGAGTTTGCTCCCAGGCCTCTGCCACTGTTACCTGGCAGGGGGCAGGAGGTGCCTGGCCTCTGGGCATTGCCCTCTGGGTCAGCAGTCCCTTCAGCATCTCCACACAGGGTTTGCTGTGGGGTCCTGTATGCAAGAAGGGGCAAGGATAAGAGGGGCTGCTGACTCCTGCCAGGAGCCCTGAGTCAACAGAGGCTCGCTTGGCTGGCTAGCCACACTCTGTGAGAGCTCTGAGATTCTCAGGGCTGCAGAAGGTGTCTTAGAGGGTGGACACATGATGAGGCCCAATCAACTCCAGGCCAGGCAGGGCTGCCCCAACTTTACTGGCCCTGGTCGCTGTTCTTGAAGGTTTGGGAGAGGGGATAAGGGCCAGAGTCTCTGGCCAAGCTGGTCCTCTGTGGTCCCTGGGTGTGTGCACATTAAAGTGAAAGTGTGTTGGGGAACACAGCAGTATCCTTATTGCCACTAGCCCCCAGCATCCTTGGGGCTCCTACTGTCACACAGCAGTCTAGGACATACTAGACTACAAGATCATTTGCAGAAGGGCCCCAGAGTCAAGACGTCAGTGTGTCCAGGGGCTGCCCTTCCAGGGACCTGGGGCGGTGTGGGGACTCCTGTGCTGGGGATGGTGTAGGGGGCTGTGTGAGTTTCCTGGGAGGCCTGCAGAGGGCCCTTTAGCATGAATGGGCTTTCCCCCTTCCACCTCACTCAGCCACCTAGATGGTGCCCTGCTTCCCCCCTGGACAAGTAGCTGGTCCTGATGGTTTTCCCATTCCAGGGCCCAGATGACTGCCATTGTAACAGGCTCCCAAGCCAGCCCTCCCAGCCAAGTTCCCAGACTCTAAGAAAAGAGTGGGGCTTCCCGGACTCCTCTGGGAGAAGACTCAAGCTTCTTAGATGCACAGAAGGGACTGACCCAGGACCCTGCAGGGTTGGCCAAGGGCTCGTCCTCTGGTAGCAGGCGTCTCTGTCTCTTCTGGGAACTCCCTTTCATAGTGGACACTGAAATGGAAGCAAGGCTGGGTGAACCAGAGAAGGCTGCTAGCTCTCTCGGCATCCCTGCCTCTCTGGCCCCAAACATCCTTTTCCCTCAGAGCCTGTACAAGGCCAACCTAGTGTAGCAGCCGTGACTCTAGGGCTGACGTTTCCACCACTGTGCCCCAGCCAGCCCTGACTCTCTAGGAGGAAGGAGTCCAGAGCATTCCTGACTCCACTCCTTTGCTCAGTTGCTCCCTCTACCCTTTCTACATTCTGTTCATCTTCCAAGGCCCAGCTGCAGCCTCCCAGCCTTTGGAACCCTGCTTCTCCATCTTGGCCACACATAGGATCACCTGAGGAGCTCAAAGGTGAGTGGTGGCTGAGTCCCACACCCAGCATCTGTGGTGAGGCCCAGGCATTGGGATTTGCAGAAGCTCCCTGGATTATCTAATGCACAGCCAAGGCTGAGAACCATTCTAGGTCTTTCCAGCCCATGGTGATCCATACCCCCTCTGCACTCTCAGGACACTAAATATCTGTTATTATTTGGTGTTTTTTGTTTATTTGTTTTGTTTTGTTTTGTTTTTTTGAGACGGAGTCTTGTTCTCTCACCCAGGCTGGAGTGCAGTGGCACAATCAGCTCACTGCAACCTCCACTTCTTGAGTTCAAGAGATTCTTCTGCCTCAGCCTCCCGAGTAGCTGAGATTTCAGGCATGCGCCACCACACCTGACTAATTTTTTGTGTGTTTTTAGTAGAGACACGGTTTCTCCATGTTGGCCAGGCAGGTCTCGAACTCCTGACCTCAAGTGATCCACCTGCCTAGGCCTCCCAAAGTGCTGGGATTACAGGCATGAGCCACCACTCCTGGCCTCTGTGATTATTTGGTCCCAATCATATCACATAACATATCACCCAACAAGACGACAACCCCCTTCAGGGCAGGGCCCAGGGCTGATGCTTCTGTATTTCCACGTTACCTTGCACCATGGTGACCCAAAAAGGTACATGCACCCTTCAAGGCTTGTGGGCTGAATTTAAGGGGTCTCTGTGACTGGAAGGGGTGCAGGCAGCCCTGGCCATGAAAAGGGGCTGGCTGCTGCCTTGTTCTGCTTATTCCTGAGGCCTGGGGCTAAGCCTTTCCAGGCCGAAGAGGCCTCCAATCAGCTGACCTCCTGTCTAGAACAGAAGCTTTGCCTGAGCCTAGCCCCTAAGTTATGATTGCTGAGAAGTTCTCCCCCTCATCCTGCTGTTTTTTATGACACTTACGTAATCACAGATTATATTTAGTCTACAGCCCAAGGTTGGTGAGATGGGAACCACCCAGCACAGCGGGATCTCCTTGGAACCTAAATCCAGTGATGGAATCTTATTGTCCACAGTCTTTTGTGGTATGTGCTACCACCGAAGATCCTCTCCTAACCTATCATGTGTTCAATACGTCTCAGCTCCTAGACTTGCTGAAGCCGACGGAATAAAAGAACCTCTCAACACTGGGGCCAATACTGACATGATGTGAGGCTTCCCCCTGCTGGCCAAAGAAGCCTCTGCCATCGAGGTCGGCCTCTTACATTAAGGTTCAGGATGGATTGGGGCACAAAGGCAAGCAAAAGACACCCTACAAATTTGGGGTACCCTCTTCCAATCCAACCTGGAACCTGCTGACATTGTCCTCCCAGTACCTCTACACCCAGGGATGGCAGTGGCCGCCACTACCTGGAAAACACATGGCTGTTGCTATGGTTGCTGTTGCCATAGGCGACATTGGCGTTGGCATTGTTGGTATTGGCACGAGCCAGGGGGTTGGTGCGTGGATCTTGTGGGAAGTCCTCCAAGAAGACAGGTGACTCCATCTCTTCCATCTCTATCTCAGCAAACTGGAGGGGTCTCTGATTGGCCATGACGGGGGGCAGGGAGTTGGTCCTTTCCAGGAAGTTGTCCACCTGGCCAAACAGGCCTCCAGTCCTCTAGGGGCAAGGAGAAGAGCAGTGACTGGGGGTGAGGGCAGGGAGGGCATGGGGGGCTGTCACTCTGGGACAGTGGTATTGGGAACAAGCAATAGTATTGGGAGACAAATCTTATAAGGCCAAAGGAGGATGGACTGAGTGGTGAGATCAAAAGAAGAAAATTCCCACCCTTAGAAAGTTCTTTGTTTGATGGGGTAGACAGCACACACCTAAGGAGGTATATAGGGGACACAGGCACACAGAAGAGAAGTGTGGTGTAGGGGAGAGAGGGCTGAATCGGGAGTCTGCAGCACTGGGTTCTAGTCCCCGCTCTGAAACTGATTTACTAGGTGATATTGGACATCTCACATGATCTCTGTGGGCCACTATTTCCTCATGAATAACCCAAAAAGACCTAACTAGGTGTCATTAAAGACCTTCCAGCAATAAAGTGTTATAAGAAACATGAGACAGAGCTAAGGATGGAGGACTGGCCTCAGTGGAGGCAGGCAGGGCATTTGATCCTGGAGGGCCTCTGGGAGATGGGTCGTTGCCTAGGGTTTGTGGGGAGGAAAGGGAAGGGGTGAGATTTGGTAGGGAAATGTGGGAAAGAGTGTGTTGCATTTGACACCTCTAGTAGATCAGGTCATTGATTCTGAGTCCCAGGAGAGGTGGGTGGTGAAGTGGAGAGACGGAGTGGGGTATCTTCAGCTCCCATGTCCCCCTCTCGTGTGGCTGGGCTCCCAGCCCTCCTCTCTGTGAGACACTGCCACTCATGGTGTCTAGACCACTAGGGGTGCTCCTGGCTCTCCCTCACCCGGAATATTCCCTCCTCCATCGCAGCCTCCACCATGGCTCTCTCCAGCTCCTCCTCAGCAGCCAGGTCTCCTGAGACCGTGCGACAGATCTCGGGGGCTGCCTCTTCCTCAATGGTCCGCAGCCCTGCCTGGGGATGACGAAGGGACTCAGTTATCTCTCCAGCCCAGGAGAGGAGACCAGAACCACTTTTTCTTTTTTTGAGACAGAGTCTCACTCTGTTGCCCAGGCTGGAGTGCAGTGGCACAATCTGAGCTCACTGTAACCTCTGCTTCCCGGGTTCAAGTGATTCTCCTGCCTCAGCCTCCTGAGTAGCTGGGATTATAGGCATGTGCCACCACTCCCTGCTAATGCTTGTATTTTTAGTAGAGATGGGGTTTCACCATGTTGGCTAGGCTGGTCTCAAACTCCTGACCTTGTGATCCACCCACTTGGCCTCCCAAAGTGCTGGGATTACAGGCATGAGCCACCGTGCCTGGCTAGAACCGCTTCGTATGGCTTACTTGTTTCTTATCACTGTACCCAGGGCTCTCCCAAAGCCCCAGCCTAGGCCCCACTCTCCCTCTTGGGTTATTGAATATCTCAGGTACCTGAGAGGCCACCAGGTCCTGCTCTGGCCTCTGGGATAGCCCACACCTTAATTGTTCCAATTGAGTCATCTCTTGACCCCATGGGTGGAAATTTCATGCCCTTCCCAGGCTTCCAGGTTGAGAAGTGTTCTTACTCAGTACAGTCTTCTAGATTGGTGATCTTTATTGATTGGATATGTCATATATATATAGTTGAGCAAAGTTAATATCACCAGTAATGGGACAAGTCAAGACTGGTGTCACCTAATAGCTTGTAATGAGAACACAGAATCATTTCTGTGGCATTCTTATCCAAGATGCATATCCTAGTAATCAGACAAACCCCAACTGAGGGACATACTGACCTGCAGTCTTCAAGTGTCAAGATCGTGTCAAGGAAAGACTGATGAACTCTTCCAGATGGAAGAGATGAAAGAGATAAGGCAACTCAATGCACTGTCTGATTCTGGATTGGATCCTTTTGCTATAAAGGACATTTACTGGGACAGCAAATGAAATTTGAATGGGGTCTGAGGATTAGAATGTAGTAATGTATTAGCCTGGCATGGTGACTCACGTCTGTAATCCCAGCACTTTGAGAAGCTGAGGCAGGCAGATCACTTGAGGTCAGGAGTTTGAGACCAGTCTGGCCAGCATAGCGAAACCCCATCTCTACTAAAAATACAAAAAGTAGCCTGGCATGGTGGTGTGTGCCTGTGATCCCAGCTACTCAGGAAGCTGAGGCATGAGAATGGCTTGAACCCGGGAGGCAGAGGTCGCAGTGAGCCAAGATCATGCCTCTGCACTCCAGCCTGGGCGACAGCGAGACTCTTGTCTCCAAAAAAAAAAAAAAAAAAAAAAAAGCATCAGTGTTAATTTCCTGATTTTGTGGTTATGTTGTGGTTACATAGAAGAATTATGCAGGATAACGCCCTTGTAATACACATTTTGCCTTGAATACACACAATGCCTTGAAATATGCATTAAAGTGTTTTTGGATGATGGAACATCATTTTGGAGTTACTCTCAAATGGTTCAGAAAAAAAGGTTTTATATTATACTTGCAACTTTTTAAAAGTATGAGATTATTTCAAAATAAAAATAGCCATTGAAATAAATTTTTGAGCACAGCTCAAATGCATGTGTATTTGGGGGTTTTATAAATTATGTGCATTACAGTGAACCCAAAAATAGAAATAAAACCAGATAAGATAAAACAAAAAGTTCTAAAGTTTTCTTTTCACACCCAATGGGACATATTTATTTATTTATTTATTTATTATTTATTTATTTATCTATCTTTTGAGATGGAGTCTTACTCTGTCACCCTTGCTAGAGTGCAGTGGTGCAATCTCACCTCACTGCAACCTCTGCCTCCCAGGTTCCAGTGATGCTCCCGCCTCAACCTCCCAAATAGCTGGGATTACAAGCGTATGCCACCATGCCCAGCTAATTTTGTAATTTTAGTAGAGATGGGGTTCTACCATCTTGCCCAGGCTGGTCTCAAACTCCTGACCTCAAGTGATCCGCCCTTCTTGGCCTCCCAAAGCGCTGGGATTACAGGTGTGAGCCACCGCACCTGGACCCATACCCAGTGGAACATTTTAAGAGCCCTTCATGGATCACCTTTCTTTAGAGAGAACTGTTCTTTTTTTTTTTTCTTTTGAGACACAGTCTCACTCTGTCGCCCAGGCTGAGGTTCAGTGTCTCAATCTCGGTTCACTGCAACCTCCGCTTCCAGGGTCAAGTGATTCTCACGCCTCAGCCTCCTGAGTAGCTGGGCACATGCCGCCACACCTGACTAATTTTTGTATTTTTGGTAGAGATGGGGTTTCGCCGTGTTGGCCAGGCTGGTCTTGAACTCCTGACCTCAAGTAACCTGCCAACCTTGGCCTCCCATAGTGCTGGGATTATAGGTGTGAGCCACTGCGCCTGGCCTAGAGACCACTGTTCTTATCTAACTTGTCTCTCCCTTGAACAAATCCTATTTTCTTTGGTCCTATCATCCAGAGATGAAGCGCCCTGGTTCTTTTTTTGAGGTTGAAACATCTTCAATCATGGACTACCCAGAACTGTCTTGACATTTTTTCACTCTTCTGGGCTTCCTTTTTCCCTCTATGTCTCCATCATTGGCCCCTCAAGGACATGGAAGGATAACTAGAGTCTGGAGACCTGGCTCAGTGGGGGAGCCCCTTGGAACATACCTGGATTGGGCTTACCTGGATCTGTACAATGTCCTTCTTGGGCCGATAGCCATAATACTCCTCTTGGCGTTTCATGAACTTCCGGAAGTGCTCCTGGATGAGGAATGTGGCGTAGAACTTCCCCACTGTCACCTCATCATCTGCAGAGGAGCCAACAAGAGATGCCCTGAAGGCTAGTGGGAATCTGACACTGGATTCAGAGTGGGAGCCAGCTGTAGCCAGGCCCGGGCATGCAAGCAATCCTTTGTCTTGCTGACTTGGTCACTGGGCACTTTCCATCCTGAGGTTGGATGCCCGTGGGATCTACCTAAGGCATTTATGGAGGATCTGGTCCGTTCTCAGATTCCCATGGGGCTCCTTGGAGAAGCTCCCCACTCCCATTCCTTGGCTGCTTCTGGACTCTGGTCCCCCAAAGTAGCACCTACCTCCTATTGGAGGGATGACCTGGTCCAAGAGCTTCATGCTGGTTCTCTTCCAGATCTTCTTGATGATGGCCCTCAGCTCCTCGTTGGCCTGCTCAAAGTTACCTGGAGCAGGAGAAAGGCAAAAGTTACCCAGATCACACCAACTGCACTTGACAAGGCCACCCAGTTCTTTCTGAACCTTTCAGACAGCCAGTCATTTACTAAGAAACATTGGCTGAGTTTTGTGGCAGCTGCCTTGCTGGGTACTGGCAATGGTGGGAGGGCATCACTGTCCCCCTGGGGCAGCCCAACTCTTGGGTCATGTACTTTCTCCCCACAGGCCTTGGCTTCCAGTGCCCAGAGTGGTTGGTTTTACAGGCTGTCATCTCCTGCTCTTCTTCCAAAATCTTTCAATTCCCCAGGCACTGTGGTCTGGCCCAAATACCCCCAGGCAGACTTGCTGCAGCTCTAACCTGCTCCTTCCTGACTTCTGGTCTTCCTCATCTTGCCCTGCTAATGAAGCTCACCCTGAGGTTGTCTCAGACTCCTGGAGTGGTCCCCATGTGGGGATGGACCTGATACAGCTGGAGACTTGAGCTTGATACAGTGTGAGCCCTGAGCAAGGGCTCAGAGACAATACTGAGACCCCACCCTGACTCCTTCCCCTGCTCCCACCATGCTTGTCTTCCCAGTAGGTGAGGACCTGCAGATTTAGTGGAGTCGAATGTGGACTCCCGTCAGCCTGCCCAGTGCTGCCTGAGAACCTCCTCTGCTCCTGCTCACAGCCAAACTGCAGGGCACCCCTGACCCCTGTGCCAGCACTGGCCCTTCTCTGGCCCCCAGACACAGCTGAGGAGTGTGGGAACAGACCCTTGATGATCTTTGCCCTGCAGAAAACCCTCAGGCTCCCTCTGAGCCCTGAGGGGCATGAGGACTTTGTGCCCATGGCCTGGGGTCCTCCCTCTACTTCTTCCCACAGTTCTTAAGAGCAATCTTGAGCTCTGAGAATCTGGCAGAATCTGTGCCAGAAACAGCCTCTGGGAGAAAGGAGGGGGCTCACATTGGAAGGCACTCTCACCTTCCGTCTTGATCTTGAGTGCCGTGCGGACCAGGGCAAAGAGTGTGGCATTGAAGGTGACTGTGCCGTCGCTGTTCAGGGGCATGTTCATGCCCACCAGCCGCTGTACAGGGAGACGCAGTGGCCTGCCGCTGAGCTGGGACCAGGCCAAGCTTGGCAAGTCATCCTCACCCGGTCTGTGGACCGGGAGGGGACGGGACACGAGGGCTGGGGGTGTCAGCTGACCAGGACATCCTTTGTGAGGGGACAGAATGATGAGTTGGGTGACATTGCTGAGACTTCAGGCCCTTTGGGAGGAACTTGGGGACCCAGGAGATCCCGGCTCTACAATGCTTCACTCCATCAGGTCCTCACCAGTTTCCCTCTGCCTCAGTGACTCTTCCCCTCCCTGGGGCCACCCATCCCTGGCAGCTCTGGTTACCTTACAAGCTACCCGATGTGGGCAGAACTTCCCAAAGCCCAGAGGGGGCTGAATCCTTCTCAGCAGGGTCACCACGTCCAGGTGTTTGATTCTCCCCCTGCGGGAGGACACACAGACTTGTGTACCTGCTACCCTCCTCCGCTGCCAGAACCTTTCTGCTCAGAGGATGGGCAATGGGAAAGAAAGCCAGGAAACAGGGGAGCATTTCCTTATTTTCCAACTGTGTTTAGGAAGTGGGAGCCCAGCTCCCTTTTAAAAGAAGAGACAATGTTAGGATTAACTGTTGTCTACAAAATGGGTACCCCAAAATAGGCTCTCTCCTTTGGCGCATTCCCTCAGATATGGGATAACCAGGTCTGGAATCCAGACCTCATTTTCCCTATCAGTATCTTTCTTAGGTTTTGGTCAAGTTAATAGGGGCCCTTGGGCTATATTAATAGAAGTAGTGGGTGTAGATCAAAGGAGGTGGAAGCCCACTTCCAGAGGCTGGTCCAGAGCTGGAAACCACATTTTCATTGGCACCGTGACTCCCAGAATAGACATAAAACAGAACAACCAGGGAGGTCAGATCAAAAGACAAGCATGGCAAGAGCAGCTTGTGAGTGTTGCCTGAGAAAAATCATTTTGGAAAGTCCTACTGGCTTCCTCTTTTCTTTGATGGGCAGGCTGCGAAAAAGAGATGAAACATTCCCCGCCTGTCTCCAGAGGGCTGAATGAGGACCTGTGGGTGGCTGGTAGAGGCAAGTAGGTTTGGCTCCTGCTGATGGAGGCACTTTAAAGCACGGTTGCTATAGGCACCAAACAGACCTGCACTGTATCTTGGCACCATCTCTTACCAGTTACATGGACTGGGGCAACTTACTTAACCTCTCTGAACCTCAGTTTCCTCATCTGAGACTGAGACCATCGGGAGATGCCTATTTCCTATCGGGAAGGAAAGTAAGAGAGCCGTGCTCTCCAAGCTTTAAATGCATACGAATGTCCCAAGGCTCAGGTTCAGAGCAATGCAAGAGTTAGATTCAGTCAGCCTGGGAGGGGCCTGCGACTCTGCATTTTAATCAAGCTCAGCTTCTGCTGGTCAGAGGACCGCACTTTGATTTGGGGTCTAGAGTGTCTGGTGAGGTATATAGCTTCCTACTCCTAGGAGTGTTCAAGCAGGAGCTGGATGACAATTTCTCAATAAAGTCAAGGGTGTTTCCACCCCGGAAAGCTGTAGGATTCCCTCCAACCTGGAGATACTCTGATTCTCTGATCTGAGACCTCAGATAAATGAAGGGGGAAGGAGAAGCCCACTCATACTGAATAAACTGGAGAGTGACTCCCTGTGAGACGGTAGGAAGGGTCTAGGATGGAGGGCCCAGCACAGAGCCTACAGATTGGACTCACTTAGCCTCTGGGTCATACTCTGCCCAGATGGCCTTGAACTCATCCAGGTGATGAGGGCCCAGGATGGACCAGTCCCGGGTGAGGTAGTCAAAATTGTCCATGATGACAGCCACAAAGAGGTTGATGACCTGCAAGAGAAGAACCAAGGGGTCCCAACACAGAAAGGCAGGTGGTACAGGGTTAGGGTGGGGGAGCTGGGAGGTGTCCACTGGCCCACAACTTCTCGCTTCCTGTGCCCTTGATTCTAGCCCTTCTGAACCACCCACATCACACACACAGCAATGCTCTGTCATGTCTCTGTGCTCTTGCACAGACAGTGCTCTCTGGCCTTGCTAAATTCCTTTTGATGAGTGCTAACCAAAACAAAAAAAAAAAGTAAGAACTTTTGGCAGCCTCTCTGGAGTATGAAAAAGCACCCAGGAAACAAAGCCACACTCAGGATGACCAGAATGGGGGACAACCTAACTAGAGCCTCCTGCGTCCCCGAGATGAATCCCAGGAGAGGTGGAAACTGGCCAGGAAGGGGCAGGCAGGCTCCCCCATGCCTCAGCTTATCAAAGCCCTCTCCCTGCCCCGCAGGCCCTCAGCATCTCACCAGGAAGGCACAGAGCATGTAGAAGCTGATGAAGTAGTAGTATGCAAAGTTGGTGCCACATGTGTACTCCTCCCCTGGGGCATAGTCCGACTCTGGGTCACACAGCTTCCCATAGCTGCAGGCCAGTAGGATCTCCTGCCAGGCCTCACCTGTTGCACACCTAGAGGACAGAAGAGGCTCCTGTCACCTATCTGCTCCTGCCTGGCCCCTCAGAAGGCTGGCAGTCAGGTGGCAGCAGGGTGTGGACAGATGAGCAAACTGGGGCTGTTGTCCAATGGTAAGGAGGTCAGATCTTCATGTTCACTGTGTAGCTCAGTGTGAGCTGGGCCTCAGTTTCCCCTCTGTGCTGCAGCCCTCATGGGGTGTTACAAGCAGGAGCTAAACTTTAGAGAAGAGGGCAAAATCAATCTGATTCAAGTTACTAGAGGGATGCACTGTTCTGACCAAAGCAAGGCAGGGTCATATGTCACAGAGGCCTCAAAGAGATTAACTGACTCCACTCTCTGAGGTAACCCCACAGTTGAACCCAACTGGCTGAATTCAACTGCCACCCACTCTGGCTGAGTCACAAAAGCAGCCCTTAGATTTCACACCTTGTGGATGTGTCGCTGTTGAATGAAGAATCTCAATGCATCCGAGGTGCATATGCATGACATGTTTGCATTTTTCCAGTAACTGCTACAACCTGCTCTGTAGATAACCTCCCTCCACCTCTCCAGCTGGGAAGAAGTGTCTCCTCTAGTCACATTCAGCCAGACTACATAACTTCCCACTCCTTTGTGTCTAATAACTGTCTCATTTCAGCTAGCTCCCTTCCTTCCTAGAGCAGGCAGTGCAGGGTGGCCTCGGGTTTGGAGTTGAGGTGCAGAGCTGGGGCGAGGTGGGAATCTCTGCCTGCACACGGTGAGGTGCCGGTCTCCTTTTCACAGGCCATAAGGGCTGCAGGCTGCTGTGACCTCATGGAGCCTTTGACACGCTGTGCCAAGAAGGGGCCCTGGGTGTGGGTGTCCCTAGGCCTTGTCTGGTCTCAGTAGAGCATTCCACTGTGGGCCAGGAAGCTCACCTCTCCCACCTGGCTCCTGCACGCCCAGCAGGCCTGCAGCCCAGGATCCTCGGTTGCAATCCAAGCTCTAGCTCCTGTGCCCTGGCCAAGCATAGGCCCCTGCGCCCTACCTGTGGCAGCGCCCCCCACCCCATCTGGAGCTTTGCTCTGCCTTTCCCTGCATTCCTGCTCATGCTCTGGGAGCGACGAGGGCAAATGTCCGGGAGAAGATATCTGACCTCTGTCTCTTGCTTCATGGGGATGAGATGGGAGGAAAATGCAGCACTTCACTCAGTGGAGGAGCCCAGTGCAAAATAAAGCTGTGGGACCACTTGTTCAAAATGATGAATATCTTCAAGGCAGTGACGGCAGAGCATGCAACCAAGCAGGGGACCCTTCTGAGTATAGGACCCTGTGTGGCTGCACAGGTCACACACCCATGAAGCCAGCCCTGGCTCCAGTGCACATTAGAACAGAGCAAAGGCTGGACTGGTCAGCGGGGTAGGGGTGGGGGTGGCGGGAGACGCGTGCCTGAAGAGCAGTAGCACAGCTTGTGGGAAGGTCTGGAAGTTGTTGTTCCGGTTTATTTGGGTCCCATCCACCAAGGCGATCTTCCCAAACATCTGCAAGTCACAAAGGGCCCTGACTGTGGAACCTAGATTAAAGTGTCCCCTCAGCTTATCCCCCACTGCCTTCTCCTGCCTGACCCCTACCTTCGCCCCTACTTCCCCAAAATTCCCTTCATTGCGGGCCACATCAGACCTGAAGCCAAAAAAAACGGGATTATTTTCTAGATCAGGTAAAGTTCTTCTTAGCAAGCCAAAGAAAAGAGGGAGGGTAGACCCGTTTTCCCAGCAGCAAGCAGACCCGGTAAGTCAATGTGTGGGGGAAGTGCTCTCAGGGGAGGGTAGACAGAGGCCACCCAGGGCTCCAGTCAGGCCTTAGAGAGACAGCCTGGCCCCTGCTGTCCACCCACATGCCCAGGTTTCTCCTGGCTGGCATCCAAGCATCTGACACTCCAGCCATCCACGATCAGGGAGGTTGTCCCTCCTTCTTTCTCACGAGCAAGGCAGGGAGGGCGGAGGGTCCAGCCCGTGTGCTGCTCAGGCTCCTCAGGGTCCACTGATGCCCCCTCTAACTTGGCCAAGATCCATGCTTTGGCCTGGGCCCGCCTGCCTCTCACCTGCATGCCGATGACAGCGTAGATGAAGAAGAGCATGACGATGAGCAGAGCCACGTAGGGTAGGGCCTGCAGGGCGGGCGGGAGCGCCAGTCAGTGTCTTAGGGCTCCACTGTGTGTCTGCAGCCCTGCCCTCTGTTAGCTCCCCAGGGCTCTGCCTTGCCCAGGGCTCCCCTGGGGCCCACCCTGGGCTGAGGCAGATGTCCCTAGTGGCCTCCCCAGGTACGTGCAGTTTCCAGGGTCCCTGTTGCACCTGGAAGGACTTGATGAACGTCCACAGGAGGGTTCGCACTCCTTCTGCCCGGCTCAGCAGCTTGATCAGCCTCATGACACGGAACAGGCGGAAGAAGGCGCTGGAGATGCGGGCACTCTCATCTGGGTCCTGCGGGGCAGCAGCCCCAGAGGTCAGTCTGGGGGCAGAACCTCAGAGGGGTAAGGGGCAGGGCGGGGAGGGAGGTGCACTGTGTGTTTTGGGGAGATGTTTGTGGCATGGAGGAACTCCAGCCCCGCCTCTGGCCCCTGCTGTCCACTAGTTCGGGACCATCCTTGGGCACAGGGCTCTGGGGCTGTTCAGCTGGGAGGCAGGGAAGAGGACGTGGGGCACCAGGCAGCGTGGTGAAGCCCACACTTGGGAGCAGTGGCAGGGATTTGCCCTGGGGTGTGGCTGCACCCAGGCCCACTGCCTGCCCTCTGGGACCTGCTGCACATCTCACAATCTCCTCAAGCTGCCACTGAGTCGAGGACCCTGGTGGCCCTCCTAGGGCTCCTCCCCTGGCGTCCTCCCAGTGCAAAGATTTCCCAAAGCTTGGCTGCTCTATTGCCACAAACTCAATGTGGCTACTCCCCATCACTCCCACCCTGCACACGGCTGTTCTAAGCCAGGCAAGCCTCTAATCTTGTGCCAGCCTTAGATACACGAAATACTCTGGAAGGGGAGAGCTGCCCCTGCTCTGCTTCCTGTGTCCTCAAAGGCCTTGTGCCCAATGAACTGTCACTAAGGTCCTTTGCCAGCGATCACAGTTCTCTCTGGACTGTGTTTCCATCTGCATAGAGGGTGCCAGAGAGAACCCGCACTCCATCTCCCAGGGCTCTGAGGAAGCCGCTATATCCATGCACACTTGACTGCAGAGCCTCTGCCCCCACCCGAGCCTAGCCTGGGTCCTCAGCAGGGCCTGCCCTGGGGAGGGAGCCCTGAGTGCTGATCCACCCCATGCAATCCACGCAGCCAGGCCCATGCATGCAAGTGGCAGGGCAGGAGCTGGTGAGCGTGCCAGGCAGGCTCGTGCAGCCTGAAATTACAACGTTCCCGCAGCCTCCACCCAGGCAATACAGTCCCCCGCTGGAGGCCAGGAAAGTCTGTGGAGAAAAGAGACGAAGGGAGGGGAAGGAGAGGAGAGAGAGGAGGAGGGACATGTGGGAGGGAGGTGAAGAGACGTGTCAGAAAGGACAGACACACAGAAGAGTTAAAGAGAAAAAGAGGCAGGGGCTAAAGACCCCACATGGCTGCCAATCAGGGGCGGGGTGGGTGGGAGTGAGGACTGAAGCTCTGTGGGAACTGTGAGGCAAGAGGTGGGGGACAAGGAAATAAGAAGGGGAGGGAAGGCTGGACACAGACAGATCCCTTCTCATTTTGGAGATGCAGCTACGGGTGGCAAGGGTTTGGGTTTTTCTTATGTGTTTGGGTTATGTGATGCTGGGGACGTCCCTAATGAAGGCGCATTGGAAGATGCCTGCTCATTGTAAATGGATTCACATCCATAGTGCCCTGAGGCCAGGGTCCGGGCCCCTGTGGAAGTCCCATCTCCCAGGGGCACAGCTCCTCTGGGGGAGTCTGAAATCCCCACAGCAGATGTTTCTCTGTCCAGGACTGGACCTGGGACCAAGGCTTCTATCTCAGTATTCGGGCTCTTGAAGAGCAGGTGGGTAGGTGTGTGGGAGCAATTTCTTCCTGTTTACTCCCTTGGGCCACACTTCATGAGAAGCCCTTGTTCTGCAGCCCTGGGTCAAAAGAAGTCATTGTTTTATCTTCCAATTATCCACAGGTAGACTGATCCCTGGCATACTGGTCTTCTCATTAAACAACAGATTTTCCCTGGGGCAGATTTTCCCTGGACCACTGGTTCTCCACCCTGGCTGTATGTCAGAATCACCTGAAGAACTCGAAAAACACATATACCTTTGCTGGGTCTGCACTTAGGTCAATTAAGTCAGCTTCTAGGGGATGGGGCCTGGCTTCAGAAGTTTAAATGCACCCCAGGTGATTCTCATATGCAAGCAAGGATGACGACCAGTGTTCTATACCTGTGCTATCCAATATGGTAGCCATTAGCCACATGTGACTATTTGAATTACAATGAAAATTGAATAAAACCAGAAATTTGGTTCCTCAGTTCCTCTAGCCACCTTTCCAGTGACAAGTAGACATGTGTGGCTAGTGGCTACTCTATTGGACAGGGCAGACCATTTCTGTCCTTGCAGAAAGTTCTAACCAATGTGCTCCCCTAGTCCTTTCCCTGGTTTGTACATCAGGTATGTAAATCAATCTTCACGTGACTTTAAGCAAACACTACTGGTAAGGGACATCTGCTAAAAATCAAATAAAAACCAGTGACACCCTCCTGGCCTCCACCACCAAAGACACTGTTTTGATATATCCAGGCTTCCGCTACACAGACCTCAGATTTTAAGAAGTAACTATTTTTAGTTTGGGCTGTTTATTTTGGCTGTTTAGATTTCTCTGTTCTGGCTGTGCTGGTGAGAAGTGCTGCTGTCAAACCATGGAGGCTTTTGGGATACTATTTCCCAGCAAAAACTGAGTGTGGATGGAAATACACAACACACACACACAGACAGACAGACAGACAGACACACACACACACACACACACACACACACACACACTGGTTTTGCTCAGAGCCCACCCTGCCCCTCGCTAGCTCAGCGCCCCCAGGGGATCTGAGCAGATGGGGTTGTCTGTCACCGTCTGTTCTGTGCATGGAGGGTGAACAGGGTTCCCACCCTGGCCCTCCCCTAGCACATCAGACAGACGATGTGACAGCCAAGTCCCTACTCCCTGCCAGAGCTCAGCCTCAGCTGAGGGCTCCTTCCTCAGAGACTCCAGACTTTTCCTCAGCCATTCCTCTCACCCACACCCCACCTCAGGCATCCCCAGTGCTGATCCTTCCACCCCTATACCCAACTCACCCTAAGGTTCACCCCACAGGCTGGCACAGCCTAAGGGCTTTCTGTTGAGCAGTGGGCAGTTCAGAAGAAAGCCCTATGCATGGGTGAGCCCCTAGCTTTGGGACCAGTCCCCTGCTGGGATCCCTCGTGGTCAGATCAGCCAGCCCTTGGGTGACATCCCACCATGGCTCAGAAAGAAGAATGCTCATCTTTCTCTCTTTTCCACTGTGTCCCTCCCAGGATGCCACTTGGGCAACTGTTTTTTGATTTTGGCCTCTGACTCTCGGATCTTCTCCACCCTCCTTCGTTGCAGCAACCTTCAGCTACAGACCCCTGGCAAGGCAGCCTCTGGAGGGATCGGCTTCTAAGGTCTTGAATGTGGACCTCTCTGGCTGGAACTGCCTCCCTGCTCCTTTCATCCCCTTCATAAGGCAGGTCCTGCTGCTGTTTCTCATTCCACCTCCAAACCCTCATCCCCTTGGTCCAGATTCTGGGAGCCTTCCTGTCAGCTCAACCTTCAAAATAGATCCAGACACTGATCCCTTCTCACAGCCTCCACAGCCAGCCCCGGCCCCCATCGCCTCTCACCTGGATCACTGCGGGAACCCCCTGACTGCTCTCGCTGGGTCAGCCCTCTTGTCCCCTACAGTTTAGTTTGTTCGCAACACAGCAGCCACAGTGATTGTTTTAGAACTAAAGTCTGTTCACACTTAAACCCTCCAAAGGGTTCTCATCTCCCTCAGAATAAAATCCAAGATCATAACCATGGCCTTCAAGGGCCTAGATGATCTGGCCCCTGCCTTCTCTCTCTTACCTCATCTCCACCACTCTCTCCTCCAGCTACAAGGGCCTCCTGCTCTTCCTCAAACTCAGCAAGCACCATCCTGCTGCAGGGCCTTTGCACTGCTGTCGTGTTCTGCCAACACTCTGGCCCCCGTTCTGGCATGGCTCATGCCCTTGCTTTCTTCAGGCCTCTGCTCCAGTGTCATATGGACACCACCCTCCCATTCTCTTCCACTCTAAGCCTCTAACTCCCTTTATGTTTCTGTATAATACTATGTACTTGTCATACCTGTCATATTAGAGATTGATTTATTTATTGCCAGTTTGTTCCACAATTTTGTTCACTGCTGTATCTCAGGCAGCAAGAATCATGCCTGGCACATGGGAGGTACTCAGTACATATTTGAGAAATAAATGAGTGAGTCTTCTAACTGGGTCTCTTAATTTTAGTCATCCTCACTTCCTGTTGCTCATCTCCAGGTTAGCTTTTTAGAAGCAGGGCTCTAAGGGCTCAGCGCGGTGGCTCACACCTGTAATCCCAGCACTTTGGGAGGCTGAGGCAGGTGGATCACTTGAGCCCAGGACTTGGAGACCAGCCTGGGCAACACGAGGAGACTCCATCTCTATATTTCAAAAACATATTTTTTAAAAAAGAAGTAGGACTCTAATCCTCCCACTGCCCTGTTTAAAAACCTTTAGTGACTTCCCACTGCCTGCTCCATAAAGCTGAAGCCCACTCTCACCGCTTAGCTCTCCAGCCTTGCCCTCTCTGTTCTCTTCTCTGCATGTTCTTATGCTTCCAATAAACTGGACCACTCAGCATGCCCTGAACCTTCTTTGCATTTCCTGCGCTGTGCCTCTCCTACAGTAGCCCTGCCTGAGGTGCTTGCTCTCCTCTCCAGCTCCAGTCACCACCTCCCTTTCCTTCAGGCAGATGGCACCACCTCCATGAAGCCTTCTCTGACCACCCCACCCAGAGACGACTTTCCTTTCCGTTACAGCTCTTGCCTTTGATAGTGTAGTAGGTACACCCATTGTGTCCCCCTGGTATCTGAGTTACCTCTCTGCCCAGCAGGATGATAGTTCCTTGAGGGCAGAAGCCGTGACTTGTCATTCCATCTTTTTAACCCCTGGGGTTCCATGTTGTACACACAGTGGGCACCCCACAAATATCTGTGGATTGAACACATGCTCTTGGGCCCACCCTAGTGATGGCTCTGCCTGCCTGATACTCACGTCGATCTCACTGAGGATGACATCAATGATGCTGCCAATGACAATCAGGAAGTCAAACACATTCCAGGGGTCTCCAAAGTAGCCCTGGGAAGGAAAAGGATGGGAAAGCGAGGGGGTGAGCTTTGGGAGGAAGGAGCTCTGGCTGCTGGCAGAGGACAGTGTCCCACCCGAGCTAATGCGGAGCTGCGGGTTAGGCCAAGGTGGGGTGCCCATGACTCCACCTCCCACTGGTGCTCCAGTGGGCTCCCCCAACTCCAACACTCCTCTCCCCTTTGCTCTTTAGTTCCCTTCCTCCAGAGCAGAAAGTAGTGGTGGGGGGGAGGGGAGAATTGTTGGGAACTCAGGATTTGGGGTCCTGGTCCAGATAGAGATCTCTTTCATCCCCTGAACCCCACTGAACATCCTATCTGGGGCTTGACAGTGCGGAACTGACAGGGCTGTGCTGGGAACCATGGCAATGGACTTGAGAACGAAAGAGACAAGGCAAGATTTTCCCCCAGCCCTGGGACTGTTCTTCAGAAACTTCAGAGCAGGCGAGAATGTAAGAGAAGCTCCAAGGAAGAGGCGCCCAGAGTCTTTCTGTCATTGTCAATTCTGGCTGCATGAAGATCTGCCTGCCCTGTGTCTGAAGGTGGAAGTGGGCAAAGGGGTGAGCAAGTTGGGAGCAGAAGTGCTGGGCAAAGGAGCCCTGATAGGATGAGGGATGGGGGTGGATGTTCCACTGGAAGGTCCCACCCACCAGCCCCAGCTTCTCATCTGGCCCGGTGGCCCCCACACTCACCCTGGCCTTGAAGGCCATGAGCTTGAGGATCATCTCCAGGGTGAAGATGATAGTGAAGGCCACATTGAGGATGTCTGAGATGTGGTTCATCTGCTCCGACTGGTTGTAGTGCTGTGGAGGGGACACAGGAGCAGTGGGTCAGGGGGGCCGGGTTTGCCCACCCTGTAGATTGCATTCCCAGAGCCCCTGCCTCTTCCTGGGAAGCCCCCAACCCTTTCTTGGGCCCCCTGCTCACTTTGTTTTAGCTCAGAAAACTAGAAGCTGCTTTAGCAATCCCCTGAGTTCCGCCAAATTTTATGAACACCCTCCCCCTACCCCACCACCACAAAAGAGATAACACAGAAGGGGAGGGGCTCCAATTCCAAGTCCTGCTGAGTGCGTTCATTTACATGCAGGGCTGCAAGGCCAAAGCTCATTTACATATCTGCTTTGGGAGGACCAGGATGGCAGGTCGTCCAGGCAGGGCTCTGTAACAGGTTCTGTTTAGTCATTTGGGTACAGGACTGGGAAAGAAGACCCCTGGATTCCATAGTCCATGTTATCACTGGCTACTAGTGGGAAACTGAGAGCTCACCAAGCTTACTGTGTCTGCACACCACCCCCAGTGATTATGAGGCATGATGGTGAGGCCCCTGTCACCTACCACTATGACCCTCCTTAAATCTACTTCCTTGTAAGTTTTCCCAGGGATCTCTTACCCTTTTATTAGAAAGTGGATGAAATTCTACCTCTTCCACAAAACCTTCCAGGTAGTTTGGGAGGATCTGATGGCTGCCTCCACCCTGCCCTGCCTTGGCAGGACTGCCCAATTCTGCTGCCTGACTCAGCCCCAAACACAAGCCAGTGCTGATGATCCTCTGCGACCTGGGCCTCCTGGCTCAGTGATTGTCTTTCCATATCACCATGACCTAGCAGTGTGTGTTCTTATCATTGGGTGTGTCTTGGGCTTCTAGGAGCAGGGAGCCTAGTTACACCATCCTATTTATACAGGGCTTAAGGAATCAGATGCTTAATCGAGGCTTGATAACGATGCTGCTAATTATGATATTGTCTATAAAGGGTGCTCAACTCCCAAGAGAGACATCTGTTTTGCAAATACTAAACCCATTTTTCTTGGGACCAGAGCCAAGATTCCAGCCAACTCAACCATCCAGATTTGCAACAGCAGAAGAAAAACAGAGAAAGCACTTTCTACTTCCCACACTTTCTCCTCCTTCTGTGGTAGCTATCTCCTGTTTGCAGAATTACCGTACTATTTTTATGCTTGAATTACCTCCTTAATAAACCATAAGTGCCTGGTGACAAGGCCTGTGCGCAGTTCACTTCTGTATTCCATGTAGCACCTCAGCACACAGTGCACAAGAAATGTCTACTGGGGGGAATCCTGGCTATCCTGCCCTACTCATCCTGCCCTACCCAAGGCCCAGGTCCCAGTCTGATCAGACATTTTTCTCCTGGGGAGCCCTTACCTGCATGCCGAGGCAGATGGTGTTGAGCATGATGAGGGCAAACATCAGGTATTCAAAGTAGGAGGAGGTGACAATGTACCACACCTGGTACTGGTATGGGTTTTTGGGAATGTAGCACCTCAGTGGGCGGGCCTTCAGGGCATACTGTACACATTGGCGCTGTGACACATACAACAGGACAGGTCAGCACCAAGAGGCCCCTCCCTCCCTCTCCACACCCACATCCATGGGATTGACGGGCAAGTCAGGAGCAGCTGTGGCCAGGGGCTGTGGCTGAGGACTGTGAACTGTTTAGGGGAATAATCCTGTTGGGCTTTGGGTTCCCCTTGAGTTATCACAGCCCATTCCCATGGGTGCTATAGACTAGACTGTGGGTCTGAAGGGCTTCCTTTCTCTGGGCATCATGAGGTTCCACAAGAAGACCCACTCTACCAACTTGTATTGCTTCAGTTTGGAGATAGGGTAGGGTGCATGGAGGCTAGGGCTTGGCATCAAATGCAGGTTCTGGGGTCACCCTTAGGCCTCTCTTCCCTGGCTGAACCTAGGGCTTGGGCCAGCAGGAGGCCTGCTGGAGCTCTGCCCTCCACCTCTGGCAGGCAGCCCAGGCACCTGGTTCTTGTCCAGCTCACAGTTCTTGTACTCAGTCTCTCCCTGCTCCTGGAAGGTGACAATGACGAAGCCCACAAAGATGTTCATCATGAAGAAGGCAATGAGGATGATGTAGATGATGAAGAAGATGGCCATCTCCACACGGTTGTTGTAGATGGGACCCACGTCCTCCGCATTGGAGTCTATGGCCTTGTACAGCAGCCTGGGGGTGGGCAGAGAAGAGAGGACAGACTGGGTGGGGTGACAAGGCAGAGAGTCAGGCTGGGAAGGATGGGCTTTATCCCACTGGCTGTGGAGAGCCAAGAGAGCCTTCTCAACAATCAAGTTACGGGACAGGAGTTAGGTCGGCGCCAGGAAAGACCAGACCCAATCCTGGAATGGCCCTGCCTTTCAAGAGGTTGCCCCATCTATCCCTAATCAATCAGTATTAACAATCTGCCCTGTGGGCAGAGAGGCATACACCTATGGGGGACTGCGTGCATTTTGTCAGAGACCCCTGGTCAGGCCTACTTTGGAGTGACCAGTCAACATACCATCAAACCATCAGAGAGTTGGTGGGTTTGTTGGACGCCTGCCACAGGTAGCAGTAGCACCGTGGGGGCTGCAGAAGGGCAGGCTGGCTGCCTGGTCCTACCTGACCATGTCCATGAGGGACCTAGGCCCCAGCCATCACTCACTGAGGCCATCCCTCGAAGGTGGAGACCGTGAAGAGGGACATCATGGCTGAGAGCACATTGTCGAAGTGGAAGTCGCTGTGTACCCACTCGCGGTGACGCAGCTCTATCTGCATGGGGTCCCCGTCCTTGTACACGTAGTAGTAGCCCCTGTGGCAGGGAGGCCCAGTCACTCCACAGGGCATGGCTGGGCTGCCTTGCCCCACCCACATCCTCTGGGCCCTGGGTGGGGAGTGTGAAGGAGAAATGAAGTTCCAGATCTGGGACCCAAGGGGACACCGCTGGGCGAGTCCGAGGAAAGGGGCCTCTGTGAGTGTCCCTCCTAAGCCTAAAGGCTGAGCTTCCCCAGTTTCCAGCTTGAAGGGCCGTCATCCACCAACACACAGTCCCCTGCCCTGTGATCGTCCTGCCACACTCCCTGCCCCGTGACCGTAACCCTCCCACAGTGCTCCCTGCCCCGTGACTGTCCCACCATGCTCCCTGCCCCGTGACCGTCCCACTGTGCTCCCTGCCCCATGTACCTGCACTCCTCCTCTGTCATCTTGGACAAGTCGGTGCACCTGAAGAACTTCCCCTGCAGCCAGGAAGAGGGAGGGAGGGAGGGAGGCATGTTGTCATGGAAACAGGATAGAAAAGTGGGCTCTGGGAGTGAACAGTGGAAGGGGGGAGGGAAGGCAGGCATCTGAAAAAAGGAGCCCAAGCCCATCTCTTCCTCTCAGAGGCGTGAACTCGCCCTTGGGGCAGGGCCCCAGAGCAGCCTCCTTTCTTCACCATCGTTCATTCCCACAGCTCCCCCAGGGCTTCCCCACCCAGCCTAGATGCTGCCAAGACCGAGAAGGCAGTGCCTCAGAGGGGCATTTACTGAGTGCCCCCTGATGGGCTGAGGGGATGGACATGAGTGCAGCTTGGCCCCTGCCCCTCCCTCGGGGAGCTGAGCCTCTGAGCCCCTTACCTCCCGCACTGCTGCAGGAGGCCTTCTGTGGTCTCCCATTATGGAACAAGGAGGAGGGGCTGCCCACCTCCCACCTCCATCCTCCTGCCAGTGGGGCGGGAGCAGCAGAGTTGGAGCCCAGCTGGGCTCTGATGACTCAACTTGTCTCAGAGTCAAGCGGGGTCCCATGTCCCAGCCCAAGGCCCAGGTAGGGGGGCTCTGTGCTCCTCTGCACTGACTTTGGCCAGAGCAGTTAATCCTTTTTTTTTTTTTTCAAGGCTTTGCAGATTATTTATTATAGAATTTTTTTTAAATTATACTTTAAGTTTTAGGGTACATGTGCACATTGTGGCAGTTACTCCTTTTATCTGTGTCTCAGATTGGGTCCCTGAGCAACATGTTTGAAGGAAAGTAGTGGATGGCTAGGTCTTTTTTTTTTTTGTTTGCTCACTCTGTCGCTTAGGCAAGAGTACAGTGGTGTGATCTCGGCTCACTGCAATCTCCGCCTCCCCGGTTCAAGCAACTCTCTGGCCTCAGCCTCCTGAGTACCTAGGATTACAGGTATGTGCCATCATGCCCAGCTAATTTTTGTATTTTTAGTGAGAAGGGGTTTCACCATGTTGGTCAGGCTGGTTTTGAACTCCCAACCTCAAGTGATCCGCCCGCCTCGGCTTCCCAAATTGCCGGGATTACAGGCATGAGCCACCGCGTCCAGCAGGATGGCTAGGTCTTAAAGAGGCTAAATCAGGCTTGAGATCCACGGATTCTGGTGCAGTTCCTTCAAAGACCCAGATAGGGAAACTGCCTCGGCCAAGGACACAGCACTAGTTGAAGACACAGCTGGCCCTTGCCCCCCGCTGCCCCTGCCACACAGATCTGTGCTGTTCCTATCACATGCCCTTTTTATGGTTGCTGGAGCAGAAGGTGAAGGTGAGGCGGGTGGTACTGGGGGTAAGCAGAGAGTGGATAGAGCTGCCACTGGGCAGGGTCTGGGCACTTAACACCAAATGCCCAGTTTACTATGGAAAGCAAAGCTTGACTCTGCTATAATGTGGAATGCACGTGGTGTTTCCACAGAGTCAAAAGCGACATCAAATGCCAACTGGAACTGTTATGCTTCTAGAACCTCCTGGAAGGCAGGAGCTGGGGGTCTTTTAATGAGAGACAAAAGCATGGCGAGAGTTGGGTGTTGACAAGCAATTGCTCTTGCTTGTCTGGAAGGGACGTGGAAGCCAAAGGGAGGGCAGCGGCTCATTCATTCCTTCAGGGAGCGTGTCTGGTGGGCCTCCTCTGCACCAGGCCCTGGGCAGGGGGCCAGGCAAAGGGATGAGGCAGACACAGACACTGCCCTCAGGGGATTCTGGGGACCCAAGCTTGGCAGAGGAGGGGGCTGGGGAGCAGGAGGTGGACAGCCCTCAGTTGGGCCAGGGGGAGAAGGCTGCACGCAGCTGGCAGAGTGGCCAGACACAATAAACACTCCCATCCCTCCCGTCCCTCCAGGACAGGGACCAACAAGACCTATTCCCCGCGAAGATTCTCTAGGGGCTCCACGCTGCTGCTTCTCTCAGAGCCTGTTCCCTGCCCTCAGCGAGGATTTGGCTTGTAAGGCCCTCAGCTCTAGCAGAGGCCCTGGCTCAAGTATGGAAAACATACTCCATACATGTTTGTTGAATGAATGAATGATTGTAAGATGATGCCATTTCATGTCTAAGACTGACTGGGGTTATGTAATTATGACTTTGAAAGATCGTGCTTTGGTGATAGGAGGAGCAGCTGGGTCATGCAGGAAGTATCAAGGGTGTTGGTGTATACTTAGGAATCAATTTCTCTGTCCTGCAAATGATCTGAGAGCCAGAGACATCTGGAAATCAGGGTTTGTGTGAGGGACATCTTTGTAGGGCTAATTCCTAGAGAGGAACTGAATAGCTGTGTTCTCCTAGGAAAATGAGAAAAGTATAAGGTTGGCTCCGGATGTGAGATGATGAACTCCCAGCCTTAGAGGCTCCTGGTAGATGTGGATGATGCCAGACATACCAGCCAGGAAGATGGGCTGCCGCAGCCCAGCTGCACTGACGGAGGCGGAGTGTGGGGCTGGGATAGGGCGTATGCTTGGCACAGGCCTGGCAGGATGGGAGGAAGCGGGCAAGGGTGGGAAGGGAGAAGAATGGCTGTGGGGCCCTGGGAGGAGGGGCCTCCCTCCCCAAGGAAAAGCCACGTGGGGTAGGGAGAGAGCAGATACAATGGCAACAGTGGTCAGCAGTCAACCAAGAGGCCCGGGATGGATGTCACTGAGGAAACTGGATCTGGACTTGCCACATATTAGCCTTAAAACTCTGTGCATTCAGTTGAAGCAAATTCACTTTGAGTCTCAATAATGTGTTGTGTTGCTTGTGTATTTAATTTTTAAAAGAGCTTAAGATAGTTGCTGTCAGGTTTTCATTTTAGCTTATTAGATCTCTTAAAGCTATTAACCATCATTGAAAGATGGCTGTCTCTTAAAAGTTTGATTTAGGAGAGTTGTATTTATAGATTGAAGTTTCATAGTCATATTTAAAAGATGGACATCAAACTAACCGTTTTCTTGTTTTGTTTGATAGAATTCTAAGTGCATGACAATAGCTTTAAGAGATGGGGCTTGAATTGTATTTAAATTTCAACTCAGTAGACACATGACCCTCTGCTACCATTTCAGTAGTGTTAGAAGCCCATTGACTGTTTCTGAGATTATCATTGGGCTGCTTTTGTGGAACTCAAGGTGCTATTTAAATGTAACGATGTCTTACTGGCTTTCTGCAAACTTATGTGTTTGGTGTGGTGAAGACCTATTTTTCAAAATAAAATATTCTCATATGGAAATCTGTGCATTCGAAGACATCTGTTTTCACAATGTGGGGCTCCTTGTGCTTGAGAGTGGGCACCAGGGCTGGGAGCGGGAGGGGGAGCTGCTCGCGCAGGCTGGGGCTCACCTTGAAGAGCTGGACGCCGATGCAGGCAAACATGAACTGTAGGAGGGTAGTGACCAGCACGATGTTCCCGATGGTGCTGATGGCCACGAACATGCACTGCACCACGTGCTGGGGACAGAGGGGCCAATGGGGACTGGGGGTGCACCCACAGTAACCCTGCTAGCCCAGTTGAGGAAACCCCAGGAGTGCAAGACTTGCTGCCTCCTGATGAGTTGGAGGTGGGGAAAGGCTGGTGGGGAAGCATAGCTACCCCAGCCTCATCCTTACCCCTATCTGCCCAGGGAGATGGGACAGGGGTCCCAGCCATGGCTGGGCTGAGGTTTCTGGAGCGAGGAGGCCCCTGTAACCCCTCCCATTCCTCTCTGGGGCTCCTGCCCGGGCCCTCTCTCACCTTCAACCCCTTGGCTCTGTTGATGGCTCTGAGTGGTCGGAGCACCCTCAGCACCCTCAGGATCTTCACCACGGAGATGGCACTGGACCTGGGGGGCGGCAATGGTGAGGGGGCTGAGGGCAGCCTGCTCCAGCCAGCCCAGTCTGCGGTGGAGCCTCCAGCCATATCCTGCCCTCCACACCAGCTGCCTTTCTGCCTGAAAACACTCCCACCTTCCCCTTCCCTTTCCTCCAGCCGTGAGAGTGTGCCCGACTCCAGGGCACAGCCACCCCTGCTATCTGGACCATGCTCTCATGGGTGTGTCATGAAGCAGAAGACAGCCTTCCCCTGTGGGTGGCTAGAAGCTCCGTCCCTCCCGTCAGACGGTGAGCACCCCAAAGGCAGGGGCTGTGCTCCCCACAGGGTCGGGGAGGGAGGGACCACTTCCTCCTCTCTGCATCTCCTGCCAGTCTCTAGAACAGAGCGCTGCCCACTTCACTGGTGGCAACCCACATTCCAGCTGGTGACAACCCACAGGACCCCCTGCCTCCATCGGAGGCCCCGAGAGACCCTCCTCTTGTGGCAGGGGCCCACCAACATGGGTGGGACTCCCACTACAAAGCCCTGGCACAGAGCAGAGGGTGGTCTGTGCCCAGGGCTGGCCCTTGCCGCTGCTCACTCAAGTCCCATGGAGATGAGGGACACGGCCACCACCAGCAGGTCCAGCATGTTGAAGTAATTGCGGCAGAAGGAACCCTTGTGCAGGAAGGCTCCGTAGGTCGTCATCTGGGGAGAAAGAGGCAGCAGCCTGGATGGAGGAGCTTGGAGAACAGGCCTGTCTCCCACAGACAAGGGCTTCTCGCCTCTGCTCAGGAGAGCACTTACTGAGGCAATAGCCTTCCAGAAATCTCTATATTTCACTCAACTCCTTGCAGTGGCCTAAATGCATTTCCTATCTCTGCTCGCAGTTGTTGAAATGTGAGGACTTCTCACGGGCAGCTGGGCCAGAAGTCTCTTTCTTTACATGCCATAGGGAACCCTGGGTCTCCTTTCCCATGGGGCCACAGAGTGGGGGAGCCCTGGCCCTACTGTCTCCTGTGGGACATAAAACTTCTCCTTCCTGGAAAGCTTCTTGGGCAATCCCCTCTGCCTTGTGGTTTGCTAAGTCAGGCTGAACAAGCCCTCCAGGACTCTAGGGGTCCTAGGCCCTCTCTCCTCCCTCTCCACCTCCTTCCCATCACCTGCCTTCTTGCTCCCCTCTCAGCTTCTTTGATATATTCTCTAATAATCTCCCATGCCTTTGCACAAATGCATTTTGCCCTTAAAATCGAACAGGGTTGAAACCTTTCCCAGCATTCAGGGACCTATATGATTTTGTCTTAATTTGCCTTCCCAGACTCGGCACCCAGGCCTCCTGTATGTGCAATATATCCCAGCCCAAAGGGGCCACTTTATCCTCTCTGGCAATGTCCCCAGATCTCCTTATAATGCACTTGCTACTGTCTGTCCTAGGCCGCCCTAGCTATCTCTACCCAGTGAAGGCCTGTCCAACTTCAAGTTCTGGCTCTCGTGCCCCAAACTCCACAAACTTCTTGACCTCGAGGAAGCCACCATCTCCCTCTACTCAATTCCTTCAATAGTTGAGGCCCCGAAATAAGGTACTGTCCTGATTTCACACCACAGCCTGCTCTGAGCCTGTTCCTGGGGCTCGGCTAGCTTCTCCTCTCTTAGTTTGTGAATGTGCACGCGGGGGCTACTGGGTTTCAGTTATAGATGGGTTCTCCTTCTGCCCCCAGAGCCCACCACCCCCAGGATGGCTGGAACCCCGTGCATCTGTGTTGGGAATGGGTGAGCAGTGACGTGCTGTGGATAAGGTGTGGAAAAGGCGTGATAGGGCAGAGCTGCCAGGAACCCAGCTCAGGGCAGCAGTCACTTCTCTGGGGACTCTTGGAGGAAAAGGCCTTTCCAGTCACTGTTAACAGAGGTCTAGGGATGACAAATCACACAGCTCCCCGGCTCTGCTCTTTTTTTTTTTTTTTTTTTTTTTTTTTTTTGAGATGGAGTCTCTCTCGTCACCCAGGCTGGAGTGCAGTGGCATGATCTCAGCTCACTGCAACCTCTGCCTCCCAGGTTCAAGCAATTCTCCTGCCTCAGCCTCCTGAGTAGTTGGGATTACAGGTGCCTGCCGCCATGCCTGCCTAATTTTTGTACTTTTAGTAGAGACAGGGTTTCATCATGTTGGCCAGGCTGGTCTGAAACTCTTGACCTCAGGTGATCCGCCCGCCTCGGCCTCCCAAAGTGCTGGGATTACAGGCGTGAGCCACTGCGCCCGGCCACCAGGTCTGCTCTTAAGCTAACTGTATGGAAGAAAAATGCGAGAGTTCGCTGGGCGAGGTGGCTCATGCCTGTAATCCCAGCACTTTGGGAGGCTGAGGTGGGCGGATCACAAGGTCAGCATATCAAGACCATCCCAGCCAACATGGTGAAACCCTGTCTCTGTTAAAAATACAAAAAATTAGCTGGGTGTGGTGGCAGACGCCTGTAATCCCAGCTACTTGAGAGGCTGAGGCAGGAGAATCGCTTGAACCTGGGAGGTGGAGGTTGCAGTGAGCTGAGATAGTGCCATTGCACTCCAGCCTGGTGACAGAGTGAGACGACATCTAAAAAGAAAAAATAAAAAGAAAAATGCCTGAGGCTTCAAGACATGGGCTGTACTCTGTGGATGGGGGAGCCACAGGCTGGCTGGGCTTTACTTTCCAGCCCTCCATCCAGATACTTGTGGGCCTGCCGGTGTGCTGGGTCCCATGAGTCTTTCCTGCCAGTCTCCACCTCTTTTCTGCTTCTCTCCAGCCCCTGAGTTCAGTGTGTGTAAACTGGAGCCACATCAGGGAAACTCCCTCCCCAGGGCTGCCCCACAGCCTTCACTCACCTTGAGGACAATCTCCACAGTGAAGACAGAGGTGAACCCGATGTCAAAGTGTTTAAGGATCTGGGGACAGGGCAGGGGCGGGAGCAGCCAGTGAGAGGAGGAGGGGGCAACAGTATCAGCAGCAGCAGCAGCATAAAGCAGGCAGTCAGAGCCATTCTGTGCCCCAGCCTGTGCCGTTCAGAAGGAGTGGAGTGGGCAGTCCTATCCCTGAGGAACTGAACTCTAAGAAACTCTGATGCTTGTAGCCACATAGAGGATACAGCTGAACCCTGGGCACCAGACTGAGGCTGGAGGGGGCAGGGGTGCTGAGTGGCAGAGAGGGTGAAGCCCGTCACCTGATTTCTCATGGAATCAGCCCGGATGGGGTCTTCCGCAGCCAGTGCAGCGCTGCTGAGCAGGATGAAGAGCAGGATGAAGTTGGTAAACCAGGTGGCATTGACGATGCGGTGACACAGGACACGGATCCTGGTGGGGCGAGGTAGGGAGGGCAGGGGAGCTGTGAGCTGCTGGAGGCTCAGGCCTCATCAGCCTCCATCCTGCGGACGAACATGGAATACACCTCCTGCTCCTCCCTGGCCAGGAGAGAAGTGCAGCCCTGCACCTGCAGGGTCCTCTGGCTGGACACACAGGGGGCCCTGACCTCTCACTCTGTTTCTAAAGCCTTAGTTCCTCCTCCCAGCCAAGCCCCTCCCACCACCTGCCCCTTCCTGCAATTATGGCACCACCCTGAGGTTTCCCATCAAATGAAAATGGGACAGGCTGGTCTCTATCCATGAGGCAGACAGATGAAACTCCACAGAGACTATGGCCTGTGTATAGTTTAAAGGTGTAAAATTATGAAGCCGATAAAAACTATAGCTTCCCTTGCTCTCTCCCCCTTGACCTGTCTAAAGCTCTTCTCTCAGAAAGGAACCAATAAACAGGTCCCTCTTAGGTGTAAATAACTGATAAGGTTTAAAGCATTACTTTTCCCAGATATACTAGCATTTTAAACAGGGCACAAGATCTTAAGCTAAAACACTGAGTTTCTCATAGTATAACTGTAGGCATGGAGAGTCAGACAGGGTTTTTTCTAGGGCAGGGAAGCAGATGAGAGCCGCATCAATCACCCCCACAGCAGCCAAGGGGCACCCACTTATTGGTGGGGCTGAAGATGAAGAAGGAGCTGGCTTCTGGAATGGGCACGGCCTTCTCTTTCAGCTGCAGCTCAGCCAGGGGACGTGGTCGGGG
Source organism: Homo sapiens (assembly GCF_000001405.40). Classification (NCBI taxonomy): domain Eukaryota; kingdom Metazoa; phylum Chordata; class Mammalia; order Primates; family Hominidae; genus Homo; species Homo sapiens. The sequence goes on from NC_000001.11 coordinate 201,070,367, forward strand.
GCTCAGCGGGATCTCAGGCTCATCTTCCTCGTCATCCCCTGTGGGGAGAGAGAGAGGAATTAGGGGTGTCTTCCCATGCTTTGCTATGCCCATGGCTTCTGTGCTCAGAGCCCTCCTAGGAGCCCCTGCAGCCAGTAAGCAAGGGACCACCAGGCTGACTTGGGACCCTAGGGCTTTGGCAGAGTCCAGCCCGGGCATCTCCTTCTCTTCACAGTGAGCAGATTTGAGCGTCAAGGGTAGGTAAGGGAAGCCCACAACCTTCCAGAAGTGGGGCAAGGAGCAAGCCCAAGTAACTTTGTGGCTGCATGTTGTGTCTCAAGGCTCGATCCACACAGCCTCAAATATCCATAGGCTGGGGGATGGAGTGGGAAACGCTGCTTCAGAAGAAGAGACCTGGGTCCTAGTCCCAGGTCTGCGTCTAACTTGCTGTGCAGTGCTGGGAAGGTCTGTGCCCTTCCTTAGCGTCAGTTTCCAATTTGTGAAACCGACAAGGGGCAGGAGGGTTGTTGAAATAAAAGGACCCTGTGATCCTCTCCTGGGCTAGGATTTTAAAAATAGTAACTTCACAGAGAAGCTTCTTCCAGCATGGAAAAAAGCAATCAGAATTTCTTGAGCTTCACCCAGTCCCCAGGATGCAGGCAGGGGATAGGGGATGAAGAGACGGACATTCCAAGCACATTCACTGAGTCTCATGACCTCAAGAGGAAGCTGAGTACCCGAAATCCTCAGCTCCCAGGGTGGGAGAATCCCGTGATCAGACGGTGGGGGCACTATTCAAAGCTGGGGTTTCTCTTGGTTCCCTCCCCTGACAGCTACCTCCTCCCTAACCCTCCTGGCCCCTGGCAGAGGCCTTGAGGGAAGCCAAGAGCTACTGGATTCTACTGTCTCCATCATGGCCACCTGTAGGGGTTCTCAAATCCACCAAGTCACATTCCAATTTTTCTGTTCCCCCGAGAAGCTAGAACTCTTATTCCTTGGAATGAGTGTCCTAACGTGACACTTTCTGTCTTGCCCAGCCTGCCACAGACCCCAGAGACACATTTCACGCTTAATCGCAGAGACCATTAATTCTTCGAGTTAGCATATTTGCATCTTTCCCCCGCCTTCTTACTTCCTCCACCTATGCCCAGTTTGTTAATTTCATTGCACATATCTTTTGCTGTAAGCCATTTCAAACTATTTTTAGAAAGAAGCAGGATATAAACACATTCAGTCCCCTTGGTAAGACTCTCTTCCTGCTGTCCAGCCCACACCCCCTCTACCCCTCCTCTCCTTACTTCTTTCCAGCCCCTTCCTTGTCCCTGACCTCAGATTTCCTGTCAGCCACCATCTCACCTGCACACAAGTCACTGCCATCTAAGAGGTGATAACTGTTAGATGAAACAACTCAAAATGAGTTATTCTAAAACACAAATATTCATTGCTGGTAGATATTTGAAGAAATTTCATTATTCTTATTTGTACCAGCTCCATTCTCCCCATACTTCACTTTGCAAAATTCTTTCATGCATTCATTCATTCAATTTATTGAGTGCCTCCTCTGAGCCAAACACTGTGCTGTGTGGAACACAAAAGTCCCCCTGGAGCTTAGAGTCACTGGGGCAAACAGATGCTAATCAGCTGATTCCATAAGTAGACATACAAGTAGCTGATCAGCTGATGGGACAAGTAGATCTAAAATTGCCCCACTGACCCGGTGATCCGAAGGACCCAGGACCCAGAGAGTTCTTGGGCCCCAGGGCTCTGTCAGGTGGCCTGGTAAGATTAATTCAGCCTGGTTCTGCTTGTCCTCTTCTTGGTCCAGATAAATGGGATTTCTGCAGCAGTCACTGGCTATTTGCATTTATGAGATGTTTGTGGTTTATCCACGGTTGTTTCTTATCCATGCTCCCCCTACCCCACCATTGTTTCCTCCTCTTGGACTTTCCCACATTGCCTGCCATGGTTCTATCCATCCCTGTATCCTTCCGGCCCCCAGCCCTACCAGACACTGGATAGTGAGTAATCTGCCTCATCACGACATATATGGGCGTGTCCTCATTTATGATCCATTCTGCATGACTGGCAGGGAAGACTTGTATACCCACGTGTCCCTGTGCTTCTTGAAAACTGAGTCCTTGGCAGTGAGGCACATAGCTGGCACTCAATAAATACTTGCTGAGTTACATGAAAGTAAAATGTATGGGTTTTTCTGTTGTGTGCATTGTTGAGAGAGACAAGCTGGCAGATGGCTTATTTGCACAGAAGGGATGTCTCCGGTGTTCTGATCTCCACATGGAGGGGTACAGGTAGGGACACACAAGAGACTGCCCATGGGGAGAATTCAGGACCGGCACACCCCTACTTCACCCCAGCACCCTGCTCCAGTCCAGTCTCCAGCATCCTCACCTGGGAAGTCGGCTGAGGGGTAGGGATCCTTCACCTCATTGACATTAGATTCAAACTCATCGATTTTCAGCTGTAGGAAGGAACACAATGACTATAACAATGAAAAAGAAGTTGCGGTTTCCCCTCAATGAGCATATACTGGAGAGCCTGTTAGCGTTCAGCTCACTTAATCATCCCTACAGCCTAAGGAACAGGGAATATTATGATCATCCCCATTTTACAAATGAGAGGCCAGGCCCAGCAAGGCCAGACAACTTGCAAAAGCTCCCACGGGGCAAGGCCTGAGCCCGCCCTAGCCTGTCTGACTCTATCTTCACATACCCACTGCTTGGTTCTCCAGAAGGGAGTTGAGCTTCCCCAGGCCAGGACCTCGAGCCTCTCTGGGCCCAGTTCCCTGACTTTTTGAACTCCACTTCCTCAGTTTTCAGGAATGGTGAGCAGAGTCAGATGGGAATGAGCAGGGCAGGGCTAGCAATGGTGGAAGCCGGTCTGGGCCTCTCAGTGGAACAGCGGGTGTCAGGGAGAGGAAATACCTCCTTGGTCTGGAGTGGGAAGCTGCTACGCTGGAGAAGTCTGGTTCCCAGATTGGGAGGTCTGCTGTGCCTCTCAGTGCAGGAGTCCCTGGAGATGGATTCGCTGGCTCTCCCTCCAGTCGTACGCAGGGAGATGCCCTCACCTGGCTGATAACTCTCCTACCTCCCCACCCTACCCCACCTGTACCCTGTGGTATGAAGGGAACCATGGATTGGAAGAGCCCCTAGACTGCCTCTAACATCCCCACCTGAGGTGCTCACCTTGGCAGTGGTGGGGATGCCCTCACCCTTGGGTTTCTGCTCCAGCTTCTTGGCCATCGTTGACTTCTCCTCTTCTGACTTGTCTGGGAGACCCCTGAGTTAGAAAACCCAAAGTGGAAGCCAAACCAGAAAGTTCTCAGGGATCTGCTGAACCTGACAACACCTTCAGGAGGATCCCACACCAAGGGCTCCAGGGGATCTGTAGGAGGAGTGGCATCAGCCCCCAAATGGGAAGGGCAGTGGGCTCAGGCAAGTCCCTTCTCTGTGGTGAGAGGGCCCGACACACAGCATGGGCCCATGGCTACCGGTGGCTCACTGGTCAGCCATGTTTAACGTTGGTTGATAGTGAATGGGTGGAGTGTGGCTTTGTACTGGGTTTATACGAGATTCATAGAGTGGAAGCATGGTTTGCCCAAGATGGCTCCAACTCTTTAGAAATGTCTGAACTCCATTGCTGGTCCCTCTTTTTCCATCTTGCCTCCACAGGAATGGGTGTCCCATTCCTGTAGGCATGGGCATTGGAAGAAGCAGAACTCTGTCTAGAACCTAGGTACTTGAAGCATAATCCTCCAACCAGCAGCATGGGCACCACCGGGGAGCCTGTTCGATGTAGAACTCCAACCCCGCCCAGAGGCATAGCGACTCAGTGACAGGGTTGGGAGGGGAATTCCCAGGATCCCTCCGCAGGGGAGCCCTGCCCAACTGGCCAGGCTCTGAGGCTCTGGCATTCTACATCCTGAGGCCTGTCTGTCCAGAAGGCCAACTTGTCTCTGTTCTTGCCCCCAGGGAAGGATCTCAGCCACCCCCATGTGCAGGTTACAGAAGTTTGCCCACTGAGGTGGGTGTCACCATGTCAGGGACCCTGATCATTGGGTTACAGGGAGGCCCTGTCCAGAGCTGGAAGGCCATGGCCACGACTGAGCACTCCAGGTCCCTTCCTGCTAAGGAAGCACTCACTTGGACATCTTCCTGCGTTTTTTCTCCTCAGCCTTGGCCTTCTGGGCAGAAGTCAGGCTCTCCGCCTCGGCCAGGTTGTCCACGGCAATGGCCAGGAAGACATTGAGCAGGATGTCTGAGCGGGTTTAGCTAAGGAGCCTTTGGTTGTAGGTGGAAGGGAGCCTGCAGGGCAGGAGTTCTGTCTGCCTGCATGTGGGCAGGACCTAACCCCACTCTCCCAGAGCTACCCATGGGAAGGTGTGGATCCAGGGACATAGTGGAAGGCCCTCAGGGAAGCCTGCCTGCTGAGAGTACCCAGGAAGGAGCCTGAATCCTGTGGCCTTGAATCCCATCCGTTTCCTGTCCAGACTGGTCCCAGCTCCCACACTGAGCTGCGTGGAGAGCCAGTGAGGCAAAACAAGTGAGACCCATGCGAGGCACACATGAGTTGGGGAACAACGGTGCCCTTCCTCCCCACTCCCCATAGTATCACATTCCAAGGTGCAGGCACCAGGACGGCTCAGGCACTGCCAGTAACTCTCCGGCCCCATCCACCTTACCCTCATATCTGCTCCTCTCATCTCTCAGCCTGTTCTGGCTCCGTCCTTCTGGTCCCAGCGCTCAGACTGATCATCCCGGCCACAGGGTCCTGGTGGCTCCCTGCCTGCCTCTGAACCTTTGGAGAAGGCTGTCCCACCATCTTCATGTTCCTCAGCAAAGCTCTGTCCTTCCTCCCCACTGCTCTAGGCTCACTGACCTTACTGGGCTTTTAATTCCTCCCAGCTGTAGCCAAACAACCCTGTGAGTCTCTAATCTTTTTGGCACAAAGAATTATCCTACAGCTGTACCTGCATTTGCTATGTCCTACCCCCTACCGCATGGGCCTGGGAGCTCCCCTCCAGCCAGAGGGCCTGGCTACCTAGAAACTGGACACCCTTGACCCCCATTTTAAGCCCTTTCCCCCACCCCCTCCCTAAGCTCTTTTCTGCACCCTGCTCCCGAGAGGATACAGTTGCCACAGACGAAAAGGATGATGAAGTAAATGCACACAAGCATGCCAGGGTAGGACGGCCCGCCGTAGGCCATGATCCCATTGTACATCATTGAGGTCCAGTCTTCCCCTGTCAGTACCTGTATGGAGGGAGGATAGAGGGCTCGGGAACACAGAGGGGCCTGAGAGTCTTCTATTGGGACCGCATTGACCGAAGTTCTCCTCCAACTCTGTGGTTCTCTCAGACCTTCCCTCTTTTCATTCCACAGTCTGGGTGGCCAGCCCCTGCTATCCCCAAAACCCCTATTCCAGCTGGGGAATAGTGGCTCACGCCTGTTACTTATCACTTTGGGAGGCCGAGATGGGTGGATCATTCGAGGTCAGGAATTCGAGACCAGCTTGGCCAACATGGTGAGACCCCATCACTACTAAAAATGCAAAAATTAGCCAGGCATGGTGGTGGGCACCTGTAATCCCAGCTATTTGGGAGGCTGAGGTAGGAGAATTGCTTGAACCCAGGAGGTGGAGGTTGCAGTGAGCTGAGATTGTGCCACTACACTCCAGTCTGGGTGACAGAGCGAGACTCCATCTCGAAAAACAAAACAAAACCCCTATCCCAGTGATCTAGAAGCTTATTGCTGCTCTCTATGGACAAGAAATTGGACTGTGGGCTCACCATTTCCCTGTTCTCTTCCTAACCCCCGGGCTTCACTGTGCTTCACCCACCCAGGCCTCCTGTTATTCTGGCCTTAGAAGTCCTGTGAAATGTCGAGTCTCTTGAAAGGCCGGAGGCCTGACCAGCCAGTGGGGCTAATGGAAGAAAGAGAGGATCGACGGACGATCACACACTGCCTTTCTCACTGGTACAAAAGGGAGGTGTCACTCATGAAATATGGGCCACTCCAGAGAGGAATGTTTCCACGTCTACACTAAGAAAACTCCTCCAGGAGGCCAGGGACCCTGAAAGCTTCTCACTGGGCCACAGCCATGCTCCCTTGGGTGGCTGATAGTGAATCGGCTGTGCCGCCCCTGCAGAGTGAGAAATGGTTTGCGTTTCTCTGGGGCTTTCTCAGCCTTCGGGAGAAAAAGCTCCCCTTATCTGACTTTGCCCTGAGACCTGAGTGGCACATGAAAGCACGCATCCGGACTCCCAGGCCATCCCTAACCCAGTCATATTATCCTGCAGTAGGCCAGCACTGTGCTGGGCACCAGAAACAAAGACTAATCAGACAAAGTAGGTGCAGCTGCAGTGAAGGAGACCCATAAGCAAGTGTTACAATGGAGAGAAGCACAGGTGATAGGGGAGCCCAGAGAAGGACATTGCACTCAACCAGCAGATCAGACAAGGCTTCCTGGAGAAGGTGATGCCCACCTTGATCTTGAAGGACAAGAAGCAGGATTCAGCAACCGTTCAGAAGGAGGGACACGCAGAGGGAGAGCCTACCTGGAAGACGCTGATGAGGGCTTGGGGAAAGTTGTCAAAGTTGCTGCGCCGTACTTCTGTGTCTTCAAAGTCATACCTCCCCCCAAAGAGCTGCATGCCCAGGAGGGCGAAGATGACGATGAAGAGGAAGAGCAGCAGCAGCAGGGAGGCGATGGAGCGGATGGAGTTGAGCAGGGATGCCACCAGGTTGCTCAGCGACGTCCAATATCTGAAGGAAGAGGAGGCACAAGGTGGGAGGAGACAGACCCTCTCACTGGGGCCCACGAGGTGTGGACAGGCTTGGGGGAAAGACTCAGGACTGATGTGACACAGAGGGAGGGGGCTGCCTCACTGCTGGAAGACCCTGGATTCATGGCTGCATGCCCACTCTCTCCTTCCTGCAGAGCACTTGTCTGTTTGTAATTTCACGCTGGTTAATATGACTATTGATTAACTTTAGGTCCCATCACTGGACGAGAAACCCCGTGAGAATAAGGACAGCTTTTCTCCTGTGCACCCTCGATGCCCTGTGCTTAGCACAGTACCCAGCTCATGCAAGTGACGGATAAATAGTGCAAGCAGATGAACCTCTCTCCACTTCCCTCACCACCTCACAAAGGCCCTGATAGTCTGTGTTCCTCCTTCTTTCTTATTTCCACCCCTTTCCCTACAGCTCTTCCTGTCCTCCTTCCCTCTTCCCATCTTTCCTTTTCTTTTCTTCCTTTCTCTTTTCCACCACCCCCACTCCCTGCCCTGCCATAGACTATGGTAAGAAAAAAAACAGAGAAATGAGTTCAAAGTGGGGAAGTGATTCTTTTTTCACAGAAGGAGGTTATTTCAAGGAGGGAGGGAAGTCTGGGCAAGGGACCAGTGGTGAACCTGCACAGATCCCAGACCTCAGGAAATGAGATGGGTGTAGACCAGACCAGCCCGTGGTGCCTGCCGGGGACCCGGGAGTGCCAGCCGACCCCGGCACTCACTTGGTGATCTTGAAGATCCTCAGGAGGCGGATGCAGCGGAGCACGGAGATGCCCAGGGGTGTCATGGCACCCGACTCCACCAGCAGGATCTCCAGGATACCGCTACACACCACGAAGCAGTCGAAGCGGTTGAAGATAGACATGAAGTACTGGCGCAGGCCCAGCCCGTACATCTTCATCAGCATCTCAGTGGTGAAGAGGGACAGCAGCACCCGGTTGGCAATGTCTGTAGGGTTGGTGGCACAGCCCCGGCATCACTCTCCTTCCCTTCTCCTGACTCCCAGCCTTGGCTGTGGCTGGGCCTCAACCCAGGACGCCCCTTCCCTTGTTTCCAAGGCACCATGGATGTTTTTTGGGGGTGCAGGGGGCAGGGCCTCACTCTGCCCAGACTGGAGTGAAGTGGCACAATTATGGCACACTGCAGCCTCGACTTCCCAGGATCAAGTGATCCTCCCCACTACCGGCATGCACCACCACATCCAGCTAGTTTTTTGTATTTTTAATAGAGACAGGGTTTCGTCATGTTGCCCAGGCTGGTCTTGAACTCCTGGGCTCAAGCAATCCACTGGCCTCAGCCTCCCAAAATGCTGGGATTACAGGTGTGAGCCACTATGCCCAGCGAATTTTTAAATTAGCTTCAAAAAAAAAAAAAAAAAAAAAACCCGGTAAATTTTGCCCATTGATTTCTTGCAAGCTAACTCATATCATATTTAACAGGAAGAGGATTTTATTACTCTTAATTCTACTGAAGTTCATTAAGTCTGCTACTCTCTCATTCCTATACACCTCCCTCCTGGTAGAGAAGGGTCCTGCCACCTACCTGAAGCCAATCCATCCTCCCACGCTTTGCCCCCTCCCCCTTTTCGGGAAGCTCCCTGTCCGTGATTCTTTTTCTTTCCTATATATTTAACTTCTTTCTTTCAAATGGACCCTCACTTTGCCATTCTTAAAGCCAAAGTCTAGGCCGAGCGCAGTGACTCACACCTGTAATCCCAGCACTTTGGGAGGTCGAGGCGGGTGGATCACAAGGTCAAGAGATCGAGACCAGCCTGACCAACATGGTAAAACCCCCTCTCTACTAAAAATACAAAAAGTAGCTGGGTGTGGTGGCATGAGCCTGTAGTCCCAGCTACTCGGGAGGCTGAGGCAAGAGAATCGCTTGAACCTGGGAGGCGGAGGTTGCAGTGAGCCGAGATCAAGCCACTGCACTCTGGCCTGGTGACAGAGTGAGACTCCATCTCAAAAAAAAAAAAACAAAAAAACCCAAGACTCTCCCATTTTCCCTCTATCTTCTATCCTAGCTCTCTCCTCCCTGTCACCGTCAAACTCCCGAAAGTTGTCTATATTGCTCTCTTCACTTCTTCACCCCCTGCCCTGCCACATTTGCTCTTCACCTCATCCCTACCTGGATGCACCCTCACTACTTCACCAACACTACTCTCTCCAGGGGCATCGATCTGCCACATCCAATGCTAATCTAACCCTCCTGCTCCTGACCTCCCAGCAGCACTGGGCACTGTTGACCATTCTCTTGCTTTTTCAAGCATTCTGTCCTTGGTTTCTGTGGTGCCACATCCTTCTGGGTTTCCTCTACTTCTCTGTATTTTCCTAAGCCTCCTCTGCAGATGCATTCTTTACATCAGCAAGTATAGGGTCTTCCAGTTCTCCCCACCCCTACCCCTCCACTTTCTTTCTGTGTCCTGACTGAAAATCGCAGAGCGCTTTGACCGCTCTGGGACCCGCAGCTACAGGTTTTCCTCAGCAGGCTTGACCTCAAACTGGGGCCTTGAACATTCCTAGGCACTAATAAAGGTAATAGGTGTTGCCCCAAACATTGAAAGGAACTGGCCACAGCCCTGAGCCAGATTCCTTAAACCCTTATCTAAAGTCCATGCCCTGACCCCATTGCTGCGGATAAGTCTGGGTAGAACACCCCTTTTCTCTTGCTGTCCATCATGAGAATTGCTGCAACATTCTGTATAGTAAGTTTCCCCAACAAAAGCTTTGGACTGATCACCCTGGCATTTAGTGCTTCTTTCTTTGGAATCGCAACCAACCCTATCTCAAGACTGTTTGGGGTAGTCCTTTGTGAGAATTCCCCTACCACAGCTTTTGGGGCAATTCCAGCTGAAGGTTCAGCAGGATGAAACAGCGAGTCATTGAATGCTTGATTTGAGTGATACCCTTGAGTATACACTCTCCCCTGGAGATCTGGTGTTATCTAAGACCACAGCTTCAGACCATCCCCTCCAATGCGTCCCAGATTTAGTTCTTCAGCTGAGACTGCTCTGCTGAGTTCCAGACCTATTTTTCTGTCTGCTACCTTGACATATCCATTGGGATGTCTCAAAGGCACATCAAACTCACCATGCCCAAGACAAAGCTCAGGGATACTGCTCATCCTCCCCCACTACCCCAAATACTTGGTCATTAACCATTTTCTCAGTAGGTGGCACTACTAGCCATTTATCTGCATAGGTCACAAACCTCAAAATCACCCCTGACTCCTCTTGGTGGGCACTGTTCACATCATCTCCACATTTGGTCATTGACAGTGTTTTGACAACGATTGGCACATTCACGGTGCTCTCGAGAAGATTGGTTGAGATGAATGAATGAATGAATTCATCTGACCTGTAGCTAGTAATTTAAAACTAGCTTTGTTTCCTATTTCATTCCCATAGAAAAAGATAATCTTGTTTTCTATTTATTTTCCTTCTTTTACCTCTTTCATCATTTTAAACAGTCTCCTTTGTACTGTTCTATCATCTCAGGTTTTTGGGGCTGCCAGCTTCCATTGATTGTACCTGATGACTCTTTCTCAGGGTGGCTCTGTTCCTTATTTGGTTTGCAGTTTTTTTTTGTTGTTGTTTGTTTGTTTGTTTTTTTAATTGTGATCTCATCTTCAGGAAACACTTTTCCCTTCAGAAATTCTATATGCCTTAGATTAAGAAGCATCCTTAAAGAATGGTTTATGTTTGCTTCTGTTGAGTACCCCAGGGATTTTACTTGTTTGCAACTTGATTTTTATGTTACTATCTTAGTTTAGAATCCTTGGACCATGAGAGGTAGTGTATATTGGACCCCATACCTATATAAGGCACTGATAGGATTTTGATTTTTCACTTGAGACATTTTTCCTTTCTCCCAGGGCCTCTAGCAGGAATAAACTTCCAAGCTCATTTCCTGGCCCAGTGAGATTTTGGCTTCCCTTCCATGGGGGCAGACTTTCCAGGGCCCTGGCTCTATGTAGGTATGACAGTGCCAGTTCCCACCTCATGCAGGTCCAGGGCCCTGTCTCCAGCCCTGCACAGGCCTTAGGAACCCAGCTGCTACCCATTAGGGTTTAGGCCTAGGCCTAAAATGTCCTTGGAAGTCAGTTCACAAGCTCGCTGCTCTGGCTTTGGGTCACTTCTTTGTTTCTGCCACTAAAAGACTTCCTTTTCATTCCAGGAAACATCATTCTTATGCCTTATGCAGCAGTGTTACTTGTTTGTAGTGGGGAGGGCACTGAGTTTGTCCACCGTGTTGTTGGAACTGGTCAGTCTTTTCTCGTATCCTACTCGTCTCACGGTCCAGAGCTTCACACCCAGGTGAACATCTACCATGTGGACGAGGCCGACTCACTGACCTTCCACCAAGACTGATCTTTCCAAGACTCAAGTCTGATCACATTATATTCTTGCTTTTAACTTCTCACTGGCTTTCCATTGCCTAAAGTGTAAAGTCCAACACTTTATTCACATATAAGGCCTGATATCGTTTGGATAGACAGCCCTGCCCAAATCTCATGTGGAAATGTAATTCCCAATGCTGGAGCTGGGGCCTGGTGGGGGGTGTTTGGATTGTGGGGACAGATTCCTCATGAATGGCTTGGGCCATTTCTTTGGTGTTAAGTCAGCTCACTCTGAGTTCACCACAAAACCTGTCATTTAAAAGTGTGTGGCACCTCCCCTCCCACTCTTTCTCTCTCTTGCTCCTGCTTTCGCCATGTGACATGCCTGCCCTCCCTTTGCCTTCCATCACGATTGTAGGCTTTCCAAGACCTCCTCAGAAGCTGAGCAGATGCCAGCCCATGTTTTCTGTAAAGCCTGCAGAACTGTGAGCCAACCAAACCTCTTTTCTTTATAAATTACCCAGTCTCAGGTGCATTTTTTTTTTTTTTTTTTGAGACAGAGTCTCGCTCTGTCACCAGGCTGGAGTGCAGTGGTGCAATCTCGGCTCACTGCAATCTCCACCTTCCAGGTTCAAGCGATTCTCCTGCCTCAGCCTCCTGAGTAGCTGGGACTACGGGTGCATGCCACCACGCCCAGCTAATTTTTGTATTTTTAGTAGAGATGGGGTTTCACCATGTTGGCCAGGATGGTCTCGATCTCTTGACCTTGTGATCCACCCACCTCAGCCTCCCAAACTGCTGGGATTACAGGCGTGAGCCACCGCGCCCGGCCTCAGGTATTTTTTTTATAGCAACACAAGAATGGCCTAACACAAGGCCCCCATGAGCAAACACATGTGTTGCCACTCTCTTAGTCACATGCAAAGTTCTTACGGCTTCCTGAATTTACTAAACTGTTTAACGTCTTCATATCTTTGCACACACTGTTCCTTCTCCAGGATCCCCTCCTCCCTTTGACTGCCTAGGGCTTGTTTACCTATCCTTTAAGATCCACAGAGTTTCAGCATCTCTTCTGTGATTCTCCTCTTGCTGCTACCTTGTATTTACCTCTATCATTGCCCTCCTTCTATTGACTTGGAATTATTTATTAAGATCAGTCTTCCCCTCTGGCTAAGTAAGCTCCTTGAAGCCAGGAGTGGTGTATTAGTGTTCTCTGTATCCTGAGTTCTTTTCCTGTGCCTTACATGTAGGATGCACTCAATAAATAGTTGGTGAAAGACTGTTGTTTTTGTAGAATTTGAACTTGGGTGCTTAGAGTTCCAAATTACTAGCAATTTTATGTCCAGTGATCTGTGATTGGAATAATCTGCCCGGACACCTGGGCAAGCACCTGTCCCAGCCTATTGCTTTTACTGACCTTGGTAAGTAACAAAGCCATGAAGAGGAAAATTGGGTATGTTGCTTTGCCACTTGAGGTCTCCGTTTTACCCCCGTGAAAGGAGCTGATTAGGTCATATAATCCAGCACTCATGGTCCATAATTTTTAGAAAAATGATGTCAATATCTAATTGACCTCTTCTGCACAACCTGTGGTGCCATTGGCTGATTTTGACATCAAGCCACAGCCACATGTGCCCTCCTCCCGGCTTCACTCCGTTCCGCCTCACCTTGCAAACGGGTCAGCCAGAGAGGCTGGTTGTGGTGCTCTGAGGCGATAGACAGGGTGTTGAGGGCAACGATGAGAATCACCAGCCAATAGAAGACCTTGGACTTCACGATGTCATGGCACTTCCAGCGAAAGATGCGGTTCCACTGCCTCCAATGTCGGCTGAGGGAGGGGACAGAGGATGGTCTACAGTGCTGTGCTGTTCTACGCCCCACCTGTCCAAGCTACCTTCAGACAAACTCCAGGCATGCGTAGCCTGACCACCCCACTTCCGCCAGCCACATGAGAGAAGCTCAGGGCATGAGCTAGGGAGCCAGACTGAGTAAAATCCTCCATCTTTCACAGAAGAGCGATAATGACACAAACCTCCGAGGCAATGGAATGAGAGGATGCACGCAAAATGCTTAGCACAAGTGCCTGGCAAGGAGCAGACGCTCCGTGTGGTTTAATTTTAGTTAAAGCAACTCTGAGATGCCACGTTTTGCCCCTTATCAAAGGCCACTCTTCAACAAATTAATAATATCTGGGGAGGGTGAGGGGAAATGAGCTTTGACAGTACAATCTTTTTGGGATGAATTGGCAGCACTTACCAAAATTTAAAGTCTATATGCTCTGTTTATTAATGTTTTATTATTTATTTATTTAGACAGGTCTTGCTAGGTTGCCCAGACTGGACTTGAACTCTTGTGCTCAAGTGACCCTCCCACCTCAGACTTCCGAGGAGCTGGGAGTAGCTATACCCTTTGACCCAGCAAGTCTATTTCTAGAGTTCCTTTGGCAGAAGTGGTCATACTCATCCACAACTGTTCCCTGCAGCACTGTTTGTATCGCCAAAGAGGGGAAAAATTAACTACATTATGGCATATTCATCCTGTGGAATGTTTTACATCCAAAGATACAAGAAGGAAAGTGAATCTGCTCCGAAAATTGCTCTCAATAGATAATTTTAAGTAAAAAAAGGTAAGTAACTAGATAATCCTTTATTGGATTATCCTTTAGTGTGTATTATATTCATTTATTTGACAAATATTTGGCAACACCTCATATGTGCTAGGCACTCTTCTAGTCCCTGTGGTGACAGTAGTTAACATAAACAACCCCATTATGTAAAAAATCAAAACAAAAACAAAAAAATCCTGGCACGTGTGTGTGTGTGCAAGACGGATGAAAGCACAGAAAAGATCTTAGAGGCTGCACATCTGTTACCATGGTTACCTCTTTGAAGGGCACTGGAGACCTTCATCTTTTCTTTGATGTATAGCTCTATTGTTTGATCTTTCAAAATCATAATTAAGTATGAATTTGTAAAAGGAAACAGCCAACCAAATAAACAAACCCTCCTCTTAAGACAATGGCGAGAGAGCGTGGAGTGTGCTCTTGCCTCCAGCCTCCTTCCTGAGGGGCTCCCGGTTTGTGCAGCCTCTGCTGTGTACACTTTCCCTCTTCCCTCGCAGAGGTTTCCAACATGAATGACCTCACCCAGCTCTGCCCTGATCAGGGTGAAGTAGCAGCAAGCATGCTCACTGCTCCTGGAGGCTCCCAGTGTCCTTCTTATGTGCTATATAAATAGGTCATCTGCTCAGGACCCCTCTGATCACACATTCCCCGAGGATCTGGTCCCTGCGGAGTCCCTCAGAGCAGGAACTGGCCCTATTTTCTTAAAAAGGCTGCCTTTCTAAAGGATTAGACAAGTGACTCTGAAACCACTGAGGGGAAGTAACTGGACTCTACCCTCATGTCTCAGGGAGCTGGGGGTTGGGGGTTCCTGGGGCAGTGGGCAGATACTCACATGAACTGGATGATTTTGTTCAAGCCTGCAATTTCATACAGGCTCTCTGTGTCAGAGCCACCTTCATCCAAAGACAGTTTTCCTGGAGACAGGAGAGAAAGAGTCAGCCAGCCTTCGGGGCCCCTCTGGGCTGGACACACCTGGACTGGGCACCCGAGACAAGGGCCCATTGACCAGAGACATCTGCAACAATGGGTCCTAGGTAGGCCTGGATTGCTTCGTGCTTTCCAGAGACTGAGAGTTCCAAGAGCTAAAGAGCCCACTTTATCTGCAGGGGAGGCGCTATGAGGATGGGCAGCAAGTACCTTTGGGAAGAGCTCTGGTCACACCTGGATCTTACCATTTTGAGCCATTTTGCTTTAGGCAAGTCACTCACCCTCAAAGGACTAATGTTGGACTTGCTCAGTGGGCCTGATTGCAAGGTATGACTCAGAGGTGGGAGTGAGAGAGTGGGGTGAGTGCTGACCACAGCCTTTGGGCCCAAACCTTCTCTGAAGTCCTCAACATCCATGACCTCGCCCTGCGTGATCCAGCTCATGTAGCCCCGAAGGTCCTCATCTAGTTGCTGCTTCTCCCGGAGCTTCTGGAAGGTTCCCCTGGACTTGGCCTTCTCCCGCTCCTTGGTGAATTCCCTGAAATGAGATGGGGGAGCCAGGAGAGGAGGAGAAGAGGGAACAGTGTCAAGGAAAGACTGAGCTTCCTGAGGACAGACAAGCCCATTCTGTGACTGGAGCGCTCCTTTTTCTGGCCCCGGGGTGTTGCCTGGGGTCCAGGTGCCCCTCAAGGTGGCTGAGAGACAGCCCCTCTCACTTCCTGCTCACCCGTCCCCACCCTCCAGGAACATCCTGGAGTACTCCTTGCCCCTTCCTCATTTCTTTCTTCTCATCCATCTCATTGTCTCCTGCCTTGTTTTGGGGTTCCCCTTGCACATTAGGGGTTAATGACAAGGCAGTCCATTGCCTAACTGAATCAGCCACGGAGCCTCAAATTGGCCATACTGCCCCAACCCTTCAAACTACCTTAGAAATTTAGTTTTGTACAGACCAAAGGCCTGGGGAAAATTCTCCTTGGACTCCAAGGAACCAGTTGGCATGGCTGGAAGAAAAGGACCCAAGGCTCCATGAGGGATCTTCAGGCCAGCAGAGGGCAGCCCTGGGCTATGACCACCTGCCCCGCAGGGCAGGAGGAAGAAGACAGCACAGGGGTAGTCTCTGAGGAGCTGCGCCTGGCAGCCAGGAGGGGTTGGCCCACAGGGCAGGTCGAGTTGCCCTGGTCAGGTGGGGTCCAGGGAGGGGCTCTTGACCAGTTTGTGCCATGGACCCTTTGAAAGTCCAGTTAAGCCTATGGATCTCTCTTCAGAATAATGTGAAATGCACAAAATAAAACCATAGCATGACAAAGAAGCCAGTTACAGCTAGGCTTCACTTAATGACTGGGATGCGTTCTGAGAAAGGCATTGTTAGGTGACTTCATCTCTGTGCAGACATCAAGAGCGTACTTGCACAAACCTAGATGGGAGAGCCGACTACACATCTAGGCTACATGGCATAGCCTATTGCTCCTAGCCTACAAACCTGGACAGCGTGTTACCATACTGCATACCGTAGGCGATTGTATCTGTGGATCTAAACATAGCTAAACATAGAGAAGGTACAGTAAAGATACAATCTTAGCGCACCACTGTTGTGGATGCAGCCCGTCATTGACTGAAATGTCATCATGCAGCACATGACTGTATGTTAAAATATAGTTATCCATACAAAAAAATTGTGATCAAGTAATACATTTGCTTTTTCATTAACTCATTAGCAAGATCTAGCTGCAGGTTTTATATCTATCATAATTTCAAAGTATGGAGTAGTTAGTGTAAATACTATTCGCAACAACTGTAATGTGACATGATTTCTATTAGGACAAGTCATAGGCCCTGCTAATAGCACTGTGGTTTGTTGCCTATGTTCATTACTAAAGGAAACACTAAATTTCAGTTACAATTGTGAAAAATAAAGATAAATGTTTCCTATGCAAGTTTACAGACTCCCAGAATTCTATCTATAGACTGCCTGGAAGGAAGCTTCTGGAATGGGATGATACCAATGGGGAAGAAGGCTGATGGTGACTTCTAGCCTCTCTGCTGTGCTGGGGTGGGTGGAGGGATGACAGCAGGACTGGTCTCAAAGAGAACAGCTCTCATTAATAATGACCATTAGTATTTAGTGCTTATTTTGTGCTGGACTCTGTTCTAAGTACTTTATATGTATTAACTTATTTAATCCTGACAACAACCCTATGAGATAGATACTGAAATAATTCTTAGGTGGCAGATGTGGAAATTAAGGCACAGAGAAGTTAGGTAATTAGGTAAAGCTCACACAGCCACCAAGCAGTAGTGCAGGGATTTAAATGTGGGCATTCTAGCTCCAGAGTCTGTGTGCTTAACCGAAAGCCCCACCGCCTCTTAGTGCTAAGGCTCCACTTAGGCACCCCCGGGGCCAGGAGGCTGGAGTTTCAGGGGCTTCACTGAGGAGTGTCAAAACAGAGGGACGGGAGGGGTGAGAATGGGGGAAGACTTGAGGAGGAGGAAAAAGGCAAATTAAAAATTGAAGGGCTCCTGTGTGCCTCTCCTCTCTTCCTGCTCACCAGGAAGGAAGCGCTCTTGGCCCAACTGAGATGACAGGGAACCCAGGGATGAGCCGAGGGCCTGACTCACAGCCCCCTGCCCTGCTCCACTCCTTCCTCCTCCTCCCTTCTCTCCTCCTCCTCTCCACTCGCCCCCCACCCCTCCTGTTTCTTTTCCCTCCGTTCCTTTTCCTTCCTCCTCCTTCTCCCCTCCTCCTCTTTCTCTTTTCTCCCCTGGCTACCTTTGAATTTCTTACCCACTCAGGACACCCAGCACCAGGTTGAGGATGAAGAAGGATCCCAGCAAAATGAGGGTGACAAAATAGATCCAGGGCCACTCATTCCCGATGGCATCATTGACCTGGTCAGGACAGAAGTGTGATCCTCTGAGTTGAGGGCTTGGTTCCTCTTCCCCAAGTCTGCTCATTAAGACTCCACCCAACCCTGGGGGACAAGGAGAGAAGCCACGCTGGGATATTGAGGGGACATTTTTCCTAACCTGAGGACTAGTCTGGAAGAACTTTTCCAGCCTGAGGACTAGGATCTGGTCTGGAAGGATCTCCCTAGGGAGACCTTGCTGACTGCCTACCTGGCCCGGGCAAGACTGACCTAATTTCCCTCCAACCAAGAGTGTCTCCTATCTGCCTCCCTCACTTGATCTCCCTCATAGACTCTATCTCCAGTTGATTTATTTAAAGCCAAGATTTTTCAAATGAACAACGTCTGTGACCCCGGACAAGTCACCTAACATCTCTGAGCATTATTCCCAACCATCTAATGGCGATAATGACATGGGCTGTCTCTCCTCACAGGCTTGATACAGAGGTGAAATCATACATGTGACAGTCCTTTGACATTTTAAATAATTTGCTCTCCTAATACACACTTACAATAAATATTTGTACTAATCCTTGGTATTTGCAAAGCATTTGACAGTTTTACAATCCCCCCACCCCCACAATAGGCGGCGTCATATTGTGGTTAATTCTGGATTGGAGCCAGGGGGATCAGAGTTCGATTCTTGGCTCTGTTGCTCACTAAGTTCTTAACCATGGGCAAGTTACTTTAATCTCTCTGAGCCTCAGTTTCTTTATCTGTAAAATGGGAGCAATGCCTTCCATCATTGAAGGATGAAATAAGAAATCTAGCTCTTAACAAACACCAAATAAATAATATACTCCAACAAAGAAACTCTTACTGGAGTGTTGACTGTGTGCCGGGCACTGTTGTAATTCTCCCACTAACTCTGATATAGACAGTATTATTATCCTTATTTTATAGGTGAGGAAACTAATATCTAATAATAGTTATATGGGAAAGCAGTCTTGCAGAGGCAAGGAAAAAGACTCAAAGGGCCCTTCGTTCCTCAAAAAGTGTGAAATTCTAAGCCATCAGAATTGAGTCACTCACAGCCAGGTTTTTCCTGGTTTCCATTCTTCACCCGCCCCTTGGATCCTGCACAGACATATTGTATCATGGGGATTTCCCCATAGGATGCTGGGGCACATACCTGGGAACCAGAAAGGGACACACATCCTGTATAGATTCCCCAGGGAGGAGCAAGAGGGAGCTGTGGTCACGCAAGTCAGAGACTGGCCTCCTGTGTGGACTGGCAAGCCCTCCCTCCCCACTCCCTTGCAAGCCTGTGGATGAAGGGAGATGGTTCTGCAGGCGCGGGCCCAGACCCACCCAGTAAAGGACGTCAGTCCATCCCTCCATGGTAATGCACTGGTACACGGTGAGCATGGAGAAGCCGAAGTTGTCGAAGTGGGTGATGCCATGGTTGGGCCCTGGCCAGCCGCCCCGGCACTCACTGCCATTGATGGTGCACCGGCGCCCTGAGCCCGTCCTGGCGCAGGGCGATGGCTCTTCATTCTCCACCGTGGCCACGATATCTGGAGGCAGAAGGCAAAGGGAACATCAGACAACAGTAGTAGGTGGACAACGACAGGAGGAAAGGTGTATAAGAGCAATTTAAGAGAATTGAGCAGTAAGTCTAAAGACACTCTGCTGAAAATGCAAAAGACAGCTTCACATGGAGCAGACGGTGACAGTGAAGAGGAATGCCTTGGGCTGAGGATGGCTACAGGCAGCGGGAATTATGTCTTGGGCCCCTGGGCCTCATGGCAGGGTCGGCTTCTAGGATTAATTGTCCTAAGCAGTGCAACCCATGAAAGAGGAGTAATCTGAGTGTCATTTGTCCCCACAGAACTTTAAAAAAGAAGGCAGCTGCCTGGCTGGAGCAGGGCTGGAGGTGGAGGGCTCACATGTTCTGACTTGAGAGTTCTGTCTGGGAGGTGAAATTGGAGAAGCTCCAAAAGCACTGGGCTGAGCTTTACAAGATACCCAGCTGACGGGGCAGGGGTCTGCACTCAGGGGAAGTTCCCACCAGGCCCGAGCCTGCACTCTCCTTTGTTCCCCTGGATGATGCTTTCTTGTCTCTAAAATCCTGTACTTCTGATGACATCCTGCATCTCCTTTTATCTTAGGATGTTTTACAGTCTCCTTTTGTGTTCAGAGATTAGATTGGCTCATCAGAACTGGAACACCCTGCCTTACCCATATTTATCTATTTACCATGTAGGCTCAATGCTCTGAAGATGGAAAGGAGAGGACATTGATGGGTCTGTAGGGGCCCTGACCCCATGAAGTCAGAAGCCCCGATCCGAGAGGGGCTTTTGAGCACTGCTGCTCAGCATTCCTCAAGATCTCATGAGAACACCAGTGAGACCTCCAAATTTGGGTTGAAGGTGTGATCAAAGGTCACCTCCTATCCATCCTGATAATGCTTATGATAGGATGTAGATTGTGGTGGTGATGGGAGGAGGCTGAAATGGGAGGGGTCTAGGAATATAATCCCTGAAAGCTGGACCAGAGTTTACTCTTGTGAGTTGGGTTTAGGACTGGTGTTGACTGTCCCTTTGTTGTCAGCGGTCATGAGGAGGTGAGTAGAGTCTTCTGAGACACTGAAGGCCTAGAACAGTTATTCTGGTGAGTTCAATGCCAGGGCTTATGGAGGAGGCTAAGTCCCAGTGAGCTGCTGGCAGGGTAGAGCAGCCAGTCTCAGAGTGGGACCCGAGATTCTTTCAGAGTGTCGGCCTGACCAAAATGATTTTCACAATACTGCTGAGACGTTAGTTGCCCATCTGTCTCTCATTCTCTCAACAATGTAGACTGGAATTTTCCAGAGGCTACATGAGTTGTGATTTGGCAGCACACACACACAGAAGTTGATGTGAGAGTCCAGCAGCCTCTATCAAGCCAGGCAGTGAAGAGATTTACAAAAAGTGTAAAATAGCGTCACCACTCTTCTCACCAAATATTACTGGTTTTGGAAAAATCTAGTTATTTTTTATTAGAAATATACTATTTATGTTCTCATGTCATGGGTTTCTTACTGTTCTTTAAAAGTGAATTAATAAATTAATATTGTGACATGTTCCTCGGTTTTCATTTCTCATACCATGAATATCAACAGATCAAAACCTATATAAACAAAAGCTCTCTGAGGTCCTCAGTAATTTATATGAGAGAAAAGGGGTCCTGAGGCCAAAAAGTTTGAGAACTGCTGCTTCAGCTCAAATATATCTGGGCTTCAATGTAGGTTATTTCTGGAAACTCAAAAAATGACTCCATTTGGCTCTTGGGTGTTTTTTCTGAGGTCCCATTCAGACCCTATTCTGGGTGCCTGCTCTGAGGGTCAGCTCAGACTAAAGCTAAAACTATGCGACAGGAAATGTACACATAGAAATTCAAGCTTATCCCATGCCTATGTCTCCATCTACCACAGGTCCAGAGAGCCTGGAACATACCACATTGTATGTGGGGCAGGGGGGTGACGGTGTTTCAGAACCAGCCATGGCCCAGGCCCCTGCTCACTTTCTTGGCTCACTGACTCCAGTAGAGCTGCCCTTCCTCCAAGTCCCCCTTATCCAGGAGAAACCCATTCTCAAGGTCAACAGATGTGGGCGGCAATGGCTGAGCTCCGGGCTCCTTCACCAGGTAGGGTGGCTCCCCCTTCTGAGCCATCCTAGGCCCTGCCCCACAGCCCCACTTTCCCTGGGAGCTCACCTGTACCAATGAAGTAGCAGGTCTTGTGCATCTTGCCCTTGAAGAGCTCCAGCCCGATGATGGCATAGATGATGACCATAAAGAGGACCAGCAGGGCGATGTGAAAGAGGGGGAGCATGGCCTTGAAGATGGAGTTCAGGACCACCTGCAGGCCTGCAGAGGCAGGCAGGGAAGGGAAAAGAGGAGTCGCCTCTGCTTGGTCTCTTGGCCCTCCCTCCCTATAAATCCTGGGAAGCCCCTGAGATGTCAAGGTAGGAAGGGGACCCAGAACTGGGGGACAAGGGAACAGGAAGGGAGAGGAGAAAGGGGTCTGCAGGGACACTGCCACCCACTAGGCACCCCCGACACCAGCCGGAGGGGTCTGAGCACTCGGAAGGCTCTGAGGGCCTTGACATCCAAGCCGGCTCCTTTGCTGCTCATTGGGGCTGTGTGGCTTTGGATGACGTTAACCTGTTCCAGAATCACGGTGAAGACCCTAGAATGGAGAAGAGGGAGAGAGGGGGTCCAGGGGTTGGAAAAGCCACTGCCCCAGTGGTCTGAGGCCCTGTGTCCTGTCCATGCTTGAGCACCTGTGGAAAGGCCTAGGGGAGAGACGGCAAATACGGGTGCATCAACTAACAAATGATCTGATCATGCTTATCTGGGGAATTTCACTTAAAAGGATTCTGACATCAAGTTCATACTCAGTGAAAAGAGTATGGTGCTCCACTTGTGAGGTCTACTTTGGGTGCTGAACGGGGGTGAGGTATGTGTGCCACAGGGACAGTCCCTGGCCCTGGGGCTGAGTACCCCCAACACGGGCTGGAGGTTACCTGTACATAGTCAGTGGTGACCCAGAGAAGAAACTCCACAGCAAGTTCTCCCTCTGTGCTTTTCCTCCTGGCTGCACTTTTTGATAATGCCCTTTATTTTCTTTCCTACTGGCCTCCTCTTCCTCTCTTAATTTACTCAAATTTCCATTATCCTTTGAAGTCTACCTCAAATTCCTTTGCCTCCAAATACTTCTAACGGCAGAACTCCCTGGGACACATTGCGTATGAAACAACAATGCGCTGTGAGGTACTGCTTTCTGCACTCTATTATTCTGTACGCATTTGTCTTGGCTTCCAACCAGGGCAGTTTGTAAAAGGCAGAGGCAGATTCACAGAATTCTTCTATTTTCTCTACTGAGCCAAAAGTAGCACTGGATGGTTAGCAGGTAACCAACACCATCCTTACGGAACTGAAGGACAGCATACTGGTTGAGCATGCAGCCTCTGGAGCCGAGACTGCTTTGGCTTGAATCCCAGCACTGCCACCAGCTAGCTGTGTGACCTTGGGCAAGTTGCTTGACTTTTCTGTTCTTTAGCCTCCTTATTTATAAAATGAGGGAAAACAGGATTGTGGCAAGAATTAAGTGAGAGGGTACATGTAAGCACATATTAAGTGCTTGATAAATGCTATTGTTATCATTACGTGGTAGTTACTCATGGTAATGCTATGGGTAGAGATATGTTCCTTCTAAATTCATATGCTGAAGCCCTAACCCCTAGCACCTCAGAATGTGGTTGTATTTGGAGACAGGGTCTTTAAAGAGGTGGTTAAGATGAAACGAAGTTGTTAGGGTGGGCCCTCATCCAATTTGACTGGTGTCCTTATAAGAAGAGGAACTCTGGACACACAAAGAGACACCAAGGATGCACAGGCACAGAGGAGAGACTGTGTGAACCCAAACCTGCCAGCATCTTGACCTTGAATTTCCAGACTCCAGAACTGTGAGAAATAGATTCCTGTTGTTTCAGCTTCCCAATCTGTGGAATGTTATTATGGCAGCCCTAGCAAACTAATACAGGTTAATAAATGTCCGTTTTTGTGAACCCAAATAACAGGTACTCAATACAGGTCTGTGGAATAAACTAATAAATGACAGAGGCTGAGAAACTTATGAACATCCAGAAACTGCTGGCCAGTGGAAACATCCATATCATTTCCAAATTTGTGTGATGTGAGGAGGATAATGGAATTTATAGCATCTAGCAGGGGAAGGAGATTTGACCTGCGGGCAGGGTCGGGGGCAATGATCCACTCTCCACCAACATGGACAGCTCCCTTGCTGGGCCGGCCTCTAACAGAGGCTGCTCCATGCAGTGGTTAGCACAATGCTGGAGTCCCACCCCACCTCTAAGATGCTGGTGGTGGTGGCAGTGGGCACACAGTCCTCAGCGAGGGTCTGACCTTCAGTCTCCCCACACCCAGCTCTCACCCCAGGAAGACAATGGTGAAGTCCAGCACATTCCAGCCACTGCGCAGGTAAGCGTCCTGGTGGAATAAGAAGCCGTAGGCAATGATCTTCATGGCGGCTTCAATCGAGAAGACAATGAGGAAGAAATACTCCAGCTTCTCCTGTGGGAGCAAACGTGGTCACAGCATGCCTCTGTGCTCTCTGAGTGCACCCTTGCTCTCTTCCCTGCAGCCGTGCTGGGTTCCCTGCTGTTGCTCAGGCACGCCCACCTCAGGACGTTTGCACTTGCTGATGGAATGCCTACCCCCCCACTCCACACCTACATGCCCCCACACTGCCACTCCCTCACTTTCCACAGGTCTTTACTCCAAATTCCTTCACTGAGGCCTTTTCTGGCCACTAAGTGTAATGCGAGCCATCTCCAGCATTTCATGTTCCTCTCCTCTGCTTAATTTGGTCTTCTTAGCACTTATCCTTAGCTTAAATACCATATCTATATATATATTATACATATAAAATCTTGTTCATTATCTATCTTCTCCACTAGAATATAAACTCCATGAAGCATGGGGATTTTTGTCCATTTTTTTTTCATTACTCGACTTCCAGATATTAGAATGGGTTGAATAAATGAAGGATCTGAGGTACCCAAAATGAAAGTCCCCAGGTGGTTTCTGGCTTTGGCACCTTTATTCTCTCACCATGCAGGGGATGGATGGTAGGAGACGGGGGTGGATTACTCAGAACTCCAGATGCCTTCCCTTGCTGGGCAGTGTTGCTCTTTAATTCATTTTCCTTTAGGGTCCCCTGCCCGTCCCACCTGCCCTCACATTGGCTTCCTTTAGGCAGCCCCTTAAAGGCCGTGACACTATTACGCAGGGTGAGTGGAGTGTGGGGTACACTGTGTGTGGGGAACACAGGTAAGAAGCTGAGGTTTCAGCTCAGCCCCACCCTGCAGAAGGCCCGGCCGACACTCCAGGACCTGTCCCCGTAGCCTGATCCTCTGGGTTACCCTATCCTTGGCCCCATCACCTTTCCCCCTCTTCTGGGCCCAGGTGAGAGCTATTTCTAACTGAGGAAGCAAGTCTCTCTTGTCAGGACTCCAGGCTGAAACTGCTCTCCTTGCAGCCATCTGAACCCTGGCTTGGCAGCTTCTAAGAGCTCTGGCCTCCAGGCCTTCCCAGATTAGCACAGCCTCCCGAGGGGGTGCTGACCCAGCCTGCAGTCTAGGCCAGCCTGCAGCACGGCACAGCTCCAGGAGGTGTGTGTGTGTGTGTGTGTGTATACATATATATACATATATATATATACACACATACATATGTACGTGTGTATATATATACACACACATACAGATCTATCCTGATTGGTGCTCTCTGGAGTTACACAAGGGGGTCTGTACCCCCACAACCCAGCCCCCATCACCATTAGTCTGCAACACTCACACCCATGGAAGCATCTCCTGGGACCAGGGGCCCACCCCATCAGCACACTGCGGAGGCGTCATTCATATTCACAGTTCCTTAACTGCGGAGCCAGACTGGGGAACTGGGCACTCCATTAATGATATGGAAGATAATTTATTTTTACTTCCAAGTGAGTAGGTATGGGAGGCAAGGGAAGAGGTCCCCAAATGGCTCACTATTGTGGATATGGCTCCAGAAACCTCCAAACTTGTCATTCAGAGAATTTTCCTGAAAGCATGATTTTCCCCTTCCAGATAGAAGGGAAGACTGCAACATACAAGGACTAGACTTGCTTTTCTTAATTTTGCCCTTCATTCCTTCTATTAATTTGTGATCCCAAAGCTTTCCCCTTCTTCCAGAAAATGGTAATGTGATGATTAAAATGCAAAGCCATGCCATTCTGTGAAAGGGCCTGTTGATGGAGACTGTGCTTGGCACTCTTGGGGAATCGTGGGGCAGCTGCTCCAAGGAGGAGAGCTGCAAAGGGAGGTCTTGGCACCCTCCCTGGCAAGAGGAGCGGGCTGGAGCAACTATGGAGGGATCTCCCTGGAATTGGGTGAGTGGTCTCCCCTCCTCTGTAGGACAGGTTTCCTGGGAGTCAGGCACACCATTAAGGAAAAAGTGTAAGGGAGGAGAGTGAAGTCAAGGCAGCATTTACAATTTCAGGTTGCTGCAACCCCAGAGGGATAGACAGAAGTGGGGTTGAGGCAAGGAAAAACAGGACCTGAAATAGTTTCAGTGCTCACAGGCTGGGCGGCCAGCCATGAACACCGGAGAACTGCCTGCACCTGCCACTGCCTGTCTGGCTGCGGCCTGGCTCAGAGAGAGCTTGTCAGGGGCTGTGGGCTTCAGATGAGGTCACTCAGTTTCCTCAGCCTGTTAGCTCCAAGGCCTGCCTCTTTCCACCATACTCCCTCCAGCCCAACCCTGGAGTGCCTGGAATTAAAACTCAGTACCATACAATCCCTGTGTGTGCACACAGTGTGAGCCCCCGTTCCGGAGGAGAGGGAAAAGGGATGTGTCCCCTCTTGCATCATAGGAACAGTGTCATCAATGTCACACTGGGTTGGCTGACAGCCTCTGCAGCCTGGGCTCAGTCTTCCATGGAAAAATGAGGGATAGTCATTCCACAGATATTTATTAAGCTCTGGACTGGATGCCCTGGGTAAGACCTGGCTGTCTCCCCAAGATCAAAGTCACCAACCTTCCTAAAACATCCTAATTTCCTGTGACACCCCCAAGCATCCATCGTGGGCAGGTGGGAGGCAGAAGATGTATGGTGTGACGGTTTTCACCAGCTCTGCTGCTTTGGGCAAGTTCCTAAGCTTCTGTGAACCTCAGTTTCCTCATTTGTAAATCTGAAATAATGAGAGCTACCTTGAAGAGTCATGGTGAGGATTAAATGGCACCTTGTAAGTGTCTACCCCTGCCTGGCATGCACCAAATGCTGAATACATCACAGCTATTCTTATGAGACACGTGGGCCCTTGGTGAAGGTCTGTTTTCTGCCTACACTGTGTTCTATTGGTTTCCATTATGTTCTATTGGTTTTCACAGAGCTGTTGTTTGATGTCATGTCTGTGGGTGGTCACCAGGGCTTGGCTTCGACCCACCTCACACTCAGTATGTTTGAAACGGAACTCCTTCTCCTGATAAACCTGCTCTTTTTCATGTGTCGCTGTCTCAGCCAAAGGCACTCAGTGGCCCAAGCCAGAAACCTCCAGGGTCTTTCTGGACTCCTCCTCCCTCTTGCTCTCCCCGGGTCCCAGTGTCCAGCAGGTCCGGGCCATTCCACCCCTACCGTCTCCTGCATCCAGCTCCTCCTCTTCAACTGCCCCTGCCATTGATTGCTCTCCCCTGCCTGCAGTGGTCCACCGCCACCCACGTCTCCTCCCCCGAGCCCTTCTCCATACAGACCCGGCTACTGCCTTGCTTGCAAGTCTGCAATGGCTCCACAACACCTACCAGAAAAATCCAAATGCGTTTCCGTGGCATGCAAGATCCTCCATAACATGACCCTTGCTGACCCCTCTGGCCTCGTCACCAGCCTGCTGGCCACCCCGTCAATCATGTGGAATGACTTTCAGGTCCCCTAGCTCTCTAGCTGCCCCAGCCTCCACCTTTGCTCATCCCGGCCCCTCTGCCCAGAGTGTCCCTGAGGCCCACTGTCCAAGTAGACCTCTTGCCTCTTACAACCCTCTGACCCCCCACAGGGAGCACCAGCTCTGTGTCCTCACTGTCCCCTATAACCCTGTGCTTCTCTTTGCTGCCTCCTGACAGACCGCAGCTTCCTTGAGGCCACGTCATCCTCACATGTGTTTCTAACTGTGGGGATTCTCCATGGCTTCTCTGCCCCAAGAACAGGTGACATTCCCCCATCAGTAATAGCATTTGGGCTTGGGGGCCAGGGTCACTCTCCAAAGAAGCCCTCTCGGAGTTGCTGCTGGTGGTGGGTGAGGGGAGGTTTTATGGCTTGAGAAGGCACCGCCAACTGGTGATTCTGATGCCCTTCCCTTAGTGACATATGGTCCCCCGACACAGATGAAAATATTTTGGGCTCAGGGCTTCTGCCCTTGCTGTTCTCTCTGCCTGCAATGTTCTTCCCCAGATATCCTCATGACTCACTTTTTTCTTTCTTTCAGGGCCCAACTTGAAGGTCACTTTATCACTGAGACCTTCCTGGCTCTCACCCCCCAACTGTCTATCTTCTTAGCCTGATTTGTTTTTGTTTTTAGCTGTTGTCAAAACTTGACTCGCTATATATTTGTTAATTTATTTGACCCATCTCTCCTGACCTGAATATAACATCATTGAGAGCAGGGACTTAGCTCTGTTCACTGCTGTGTCAACTGCATCTAGAACAGTGCCTGAAAGTCTGTGATGGAATAAATGAACCAGTGTCCCGGGGCACTGCTGCTAGAGGTGCAGGCTGTGGGCAGGTGCGGCTGCACACCGTCGATATCACTCTGAGATGAGGTCAGTGTAGGCATTGAGTAAGCATTTGGAAAATTCTATGGCAATCTGCAGCCACTTCCATGCATGTGGGTGGACTATAGACCATTCTGGGTTTGTCAAAGTCACATGGCAAATCCCAGCTGGCACACACACACGAAGAGAACAGTGTCATCAATGCAGTACACCCATGCAGTAGGACCATGTATCAGGCCATGATGGAGTAGAAATTAAAAACGACGAACTGTGGTCTTTCCCTACAGATCATCTGAGAAGCTCTGCTATAGAATGCGTCATCCTGCCCAGCACACAGGAGGCTCTCAGGCTATGTTTGTTGAATAAATGAACAATGGAAAGTCACAATTTCTGCTCACCTTCGAACCAGGTGCAGCCTTGGGATCTGCATTCCTAAGAAGAGACACTGGACCTCAGGCTCTGACCCCAGAGCAGGAGGGCAGTGGCTGTCCCTGACCCCCTGATCTCTGAGCTCAGGGGAGGACAGTGAGCCCGTCCAACTTCGTGAGGTGAGAGCTCCCTTACCTCACCCCCCAACAAGGGCCTTTATTATTAAATGTCCCCTTCAAGGAAATTCTCATCCTTCCATAGACAAGCCTCTAACTGGTGCTCCCTGGGGCCAAACTTAGCTGGAGGTTGGCGTGGTGTGTGACCCCTGATGCACAGGCCTTGCACCTGCTCCCAGGGGCATTGGAGCCAGGTACTTCCAGAGTCTTGGGTTGAAAAAAGCAGGGCTGGGACCGCACATCCCCTCACCCTCCCACTGCCTCTATTTTCAGGCTGAGTCTGCTATTTCCAAGGGTCAGCCAGTCCTGAATACTTCTCCTCCCCTGGCCCGCATGGGGCTTTGTGGGAAGATGATGAGAGCTGGTTGGGTTTTCCTCCAAAGGGATCTGCCCAGCTCTAGTCTCCCTATCTGGGACCACAGAGGCAGCAGATACCACACCTTCTTCCCCTGCAATCCTACCCCTAGCACAGTGGCCTGGTCAGGACTCCAGGCTCCCAGGCTCCCCATGTGCCCCGCTGGAGGGTTCTGGGATCTACAGAGCTCACTGAAAGGACCTTACTGGGCTGGCCTGGGAAGGGGCTGGCAGAGGCAGCAAAGTGGCTGCAGTTGAAGGGCTCCCTGGGAATGTGCACTGCCACCACATGACTGCCTGTCACCTGGGCCTGAAAATCTCCTTCTTTAGGTTCAAGGCATGGTGACCTGCTCAGGCATAAATCTCACTGGGACAGGGAGGCAATGGACTCATATTCGTTGTTAACTCTTTAAGGCACGTGTGCTGCATGGAGGCAAGGTGGATTTGGCTGAGGAGGAGGAAGCCCAGGGTGCTTGCAGGGAGCTCAGGCTGGGGTGGAGGACAGACATCCTCAAATGTCCCCTCCCTCTTAGGAACCTTACAGGAAGCTCTCCACACAGGCTTGGCAGGTGCTACTATTAGAAGACAGTTTTACAATATTCCTGATTGCTTTCCTCCCGGATTCCCTCACTTTCTTGTTCCCTTAAGCTGACAGCTGGACTGGGCCCCCTTGCCTCAGGATGGGTTTGTGGCAGGGCCCCAGGCTTTTGTTTTTCAAAGCCTGAGAATCACTGCAGCTTTGGGAAGTCTCAGGGGTAGAGCTCACAGTTTGAAGGTGTGGCAGGATCTGGGAGGAGGCCCTGGGACCCCCAAGAAAGCAGGACCCAGCCTCGATTCCTGCCTTAAGAAGGGTGCAGAGGACCTATAACCCTGTCACCTGCACACTGCCTGAGACCCAGGGCCTGGGCACATTCCCCAGGCAGGCGGGATAACTGAAAGCACCAGAATAGCTGCAGTGATCCCTCTCCATCCCAGAGGGATATGTGCTCAGGATCCATGGAAAGTTGGTTCACAGGAAAAAATAAGTCATTTC
Organism: Homo sapiens; assembly: GCF_000001405.40. Taxonomy (NCBI): domain Eukaryota; kingdom Metazoa; phylum Chordata; class Mammalia; order Primates; family Hominidae; genus Homo; species Homo sapiens. Next base: position 201,100,187 of record NC_000001.11, read on the forward strand.
TTGCACACCTCAGTTGTGGACGGAGGTTTGCTCCGGCTGTGCTGTTTTTCCTGTTTCACAGAGGTTGGAAGTGAGACTTAGAGGGGAATGAGGTGTCTGCTAAAGGCAAGGAGGCGTTGCCTGCTGTGACTGAAGCAACAGCGTTTCTGGTAGGCCGGCCTGATGTGCTGGCCTCTATGGCCACGCCGCACACTGGGTGTCCAGGGCCCTGGCATCTCCACAAACACCTCAGCCTCCAGGTTTGGAAGATGACCTGCTGAGGAGTGAGGGAAGTGGCTATGTTTAGCCCAACGAACGCTCACCCAAATAGACGTAACTGGAATGGGTATCCCTTGCCATCCTACCTCTGTCTCAGGGGTCTCATTTCCCTCTTCCAGTTCCCTCTTCCCCTCCCTGTACAGCACTTCCCTTACCAGGGAACCAAGCTCCCTCAGGTCTGGGTGGGCCAGACACACCAGGGCTGACTAGACAGAGGGACAATGGGGCTGAGGGTCCCAGTAGGGCTCTGCATGCTCAGGGTGAAGGGGGCTGGGAGAGAAAGGGAGACCAGTGCTGTCTTGGGTAATGAGGATAATAATAGCTAAGCTTTAGTAAGCACCCGCTTATGAGCCCGGCCCTATTCTGGCCACATGCATACATTTAATCCTCACTGAAACTTTATAAGGTAAGTACTTTTTTTTTTTTGCCTTTTCAAGTTTTTATTTGTATACATTTTTGTATTAAAAAGAAAAATAATCATCACAGATTACAAAGGGCTAACGCAGTAATAGAAGAATGAATGAATCTCTTTAGCCTAGAAAGCGGATACTCTCAATAGTATTAATGTCATAATACAAGCTCATCCAAGCGTTTTACATTTCTTTATTTTAATGTCCTTTTAAATGTGATGTCCTAGCATGTAGTAAAGATCATGTACTATGAGTGTAAGATGGAAATTTCTCCACAAAGCCAGATAAGTTTTCCTCTCTAGTGAGAAATGGGCTATAATAAGTTCTTAAAAATTCTTATCTTCTCTGCCATGAATGAACATGGCTGAAGGTGGAGAGGCTGCGGGCTGGGGAAAATCCAGGGACCTTTCCACACAGGAGGTTCTCTGGGGTTCCATCCCGGAGGGTGTCACATAACCCAGATAACTCTACTCAGGCTTTTGACAAAAAACAACCCTCACCCTCCATAACTAGTCATCTTCCTTGCCCCTCCTTCTCACTTCCAGGGCCTTCTGAGATGTATCTTTCATAAAATCAATAATCAGGGAAGAGGAAAAAAGAGCTAGGATGGAACAAAAGTAAAACGTTTAGCAACTTTGACACAGGGGCTCGGCACCTCTACCTGAGCTGCAGGGGTCCCGGCTGGGGCAGGGCCGGGTGGCCCTCCTCTACTGGCAATGCATCTGCTCCCAGATGCAGGAGAGGGTGAGAGAGACTCGCACCTTTCAGGGCCGAGGCACACACACCTTCTGGTGTCTGATGCCCAAAGTTTGTGCTGGCATGGACCAACCTTGGGAGCATGCAGGATGAACAGGGGGATCTGGGCAGGCTGCTGCCTTGTGTCTCAGGTCTTGGAGCCCCATGGGAGGATGGTGGGTGTGAGGTGGCCAGCCCCGATGGCCCTTGCCATGACAGCTACATTGGTCCTCAATTCAAGTGTCTTCAGAAAGTGAAGATGTAAGCTACTCTTTGCAACATTAACTCCTAACAAGTCCAAAAAAAAAAAAGTACAAGAAGAAAAGAAAAAGCATCCCCCCTCCTCCATCAGCATATGTTGAGATGAAGCCCTCACCTCTCTGCCCCAAAGGGGCTTTCTCTTTCAAGGATGTGTGTGAAGAAGACGGTAGTCCCCTGGCCTGGGAGTAAACTCTAGATAAGAACAGTCTTTCACCACACCCCAAGGCTTCCTTGTGCCTCCGAGCCCAGTGGAGGACGAACACTGAGGTTTCTGTGGTGCTGGATACAGCACAGGGTGGCGTGACCTGAAGACAAGAAAGGGGGAGGAGGGGGTCCTCCTGGAGTCCAGTGCCTGGTGAAGTGTGGGGCAGGCTCCAGACTGGGCAGGGAAAGGCCTCGGATCCCAGTGTCACAGCAGAGGCCAGACACTCTTCCTTGGTTCAAGGTGAATAGGTCACAGGAACTGAGACGGGCTTCCCACATACAACCACTGGGAGGGCAAAGGTAGGGAAGGGTACAGGCCGGAAACAACGAGGTGCCCAAGGTAAGAGGCAGGCCCTCGTCAGCCTCGGATACTGTCTCCTACTCCCAACCCTTGGGCCCAATAGAGGAACCAGTTGAAAAGGAAGGCCCGACATATTTCCATCAGCAAGCAACAGGACCACCAACTCCTCCGTGTTGCCCAGCTCCCACTGAGAGTGGACATACAGTCATACCCATACCCAACACGCATCCCAGTCTGTGCGGAGCAGTCCATCATCATCCTCCCTAGCTTCGGACGACAGCCGACTAAGGTAGGTACTCTTATCCCATTTTACAGATGAGGAAGCCAAAGCACAGAGGGATTAATTTCTCCAGGATCACATAGCTACCAAGAGGCAGAGCCATGATATGTATAGACAGTTTGATTCCAGACTCCATGGTCTCAACCACTATGCCAGGCAGAGGGGAGAGAAAGATACAGTATGCCTGGGACACCTGGGTACATTTGTCAGATCCCGCCCTCAATCCACCCCAGGTCTGTCTTTGCCCCCCGAGGCTTGGGTTCAGTGTGACTTCAGCTGTGGGCTGTTAGTGCTGGGAGGTCAGAGAAGGAAGGGAATGAACATTTATTGAGCAACTCTTGTGTGCCAGGTCAGACACGAGGTTGTTGCACTCATGGATATAACAGTCCTGAAAAGAAAGATATTGTGGACCAGCCTGACCAACATGGTGAAACCCTGTCTCTACTAAAAACAAAAAAAAATTAGCCAGGTGTGGTGACGTGTGCCTGTAGTTCCAGCTATGCGGGAGGCTGAGACAGGAGAATTGCTTGAACCTGGGAAGTGGAGGTTGTAGTGAGGTGAAGTCGTGCCACTGCACTCCAGTCTGGGTGACAGAGGAGACTTGGTCTCAAAAAAAAAAAAAAAAGAAAGAAAGATATTGTGGTCCTCTGTTCACAGATGAGGTAATGGAGGTTCAGAGAGTTTAGGAAGCTGCCAACCAGTCTAGATTGGAGGCAGGTTGGTTTGACTTGAGAGGCCGTCCTTTCCTGCGACTCCCCAGGGAGCTAGCAAAGCTTGGGCAAAGGCTTTCCTCCAAGGCTTTCCTCCAAGGCTTCTGTTGTTCAGCTATTACAGTGTCTGCAGCCCCTGTGCCTGGTGTGAAGGGGCATGGGTTGGGATGGGCGGGGGAGAATCTAAGTGCCCTGAAAGGGGACCTGAGTTCTTGCAGTGGTGGGAGGGCAGGCTCCCAGGTGGGTCTAAAATCCAGGCTTTCATTCATTTCCACAGACCCTTTTGGAGCACCATCACTTCTCTGTACAGTGGCCCAGGCTCAAACCACCCTGTGCTCTGCAGGTCCTGGATCTCTAAGGGGTGAGGCCAGAGCTGCGGTCCTTCTGAGGCCCCAGCCTCCCCAGATGGCGAGGGGAATGGGCTGCTGGCCACAAGAGTTGGCGAGCGCATTCCAGACCCTATAAAAAGACAAACGCCCTGGCTGCCAGAGGCTTAGGCTCCAGCCTCGTGGAGGACGCTGCAGCAACTTGAACCCCAGGAATGCGACAGGGGCCTGGTGGAGCCTGCTGATGCCTGAGGGGTGGGAAGCCACCCTGCAGCCCAGGAGGGGCCAAATGGGCAGCCATCTTGCAGAGCTTGCCAGGCCCTGCCCTGCCCTGCCCTGCCCTCGAGGAGAGCAGGCACCATCTACTTAAGAAAAATCTAAATTATCCAGAACTTGGAAATAAAGCAAAGAAAGGATGCCATATCTTTGTAATATCATGTTGGAGCATTTTATAACAGGCCTGGCCAAGGATTATCTAATTATCCAGGTCAGGGTTTCTCAACCTCAGCCCTAATGATATTTTGGTCTGGATACTTCTTTGTTGGTGGGAGGGGGCTGTCCTGTGCATTGCAGGGCCCCTGCCTCTACCCCACTAGATGCTAGTAGGACACATCTCCGCCCCTGCCCCTCCCCCTCACAATTCCAGTTGTTGCCAAATGTCCTCTGGGGCAGAACTACTTCCCCTCCCCAATCCCTTGAAAACCACTGACCTAGGAGGGAATGTAACTTTGTTTAGCTCTCACTATTCTGTCCTCTAGAGATGCAAATGAATTCTGCCTGATAGGAAGATAACCCCAATGGTTAGAGTTTTATTGCCCTGTAGGACATTAACCAGCTTGGTATCTAACCTAGCAATCCTATTCCATCATTCTCTCTCCGGTGTCATAACTTCTGCTGCTCTAATTCCCTTTAACTCAGCTTCACACGCCTGCTTGTTCTCTTTTGAGTTGAACTAATCTTTGATATGTGTTCCTTGGATATTTTACTCACAGTTGTGTTTTCACTTTTTGAACATCATACTTTGACATAGGATTGCTTTGAGGGTGAAATGAGATAATGTAGCAAAAGCAATCAGTTTATCATGTCTGCCCAACAATTAGGAAGTCTGATAATTGTTTTTGCTTTTCCACATTGGTCCCCTCAGCCTGGCCTAGGCTGGAATGGTAACCCTGCCCAATAAAGGATGTAGGCCTGCCCACAGAGCCACCTGGGCATGTGCAGTGATCTAACCTCTCTGCGCTGTGGTTTACTCCTCTGTACAAATGAGAAAAATAAAAGTACCTGCCTCATGGGCATTCAGTGTGATAACACATATAAGGCATTAGAACAGTGACTGACAATATGCAAGTAATCGATAAATATTGAATGTCATTGTTGCTGCTGCTGCTGCTGATTTGCTGGAGGACTGGGGAGGGGTGATCAGGAAAGCCATTAAGAAAAGTTAGGGGTTTCAAGGAGAGAAGACACAGAGTTAAAGAGAAATCAGGGACAAACGATGGGCAGGGTGAAGAGGAATTCTTTACCTGAAATAATCCTTTGGCATAACTGTTGGGGGTTAGACCCTTTGAATCTAGAACAACCTGGGGGTCTCTGTGACTATAGGCTTTTTGGCTGGTGAGCCTGCTCTGTGGGGCCTGCATGATCAAAGTTCCTTCTGTTGATAGATAAAGCACTACAACTTAGAAGGTCTTCACTCATCCAGTTACCTCTCTCAAGTATACAATATCATCCCCATTTTATAAAGGAGGAAACTGAGGGAACAGAAAGGTTACATAACTTGTCTAAGATCACACAGCTAGTAGGTGAGTGGGCCTGGGCTCAAAAGCAGATTCTAGCTCCAGAACCCATTTTTATAACCACCATGCCATAATGGGCTGATTTCAGAGGCCCGTGCCACTGTGACATCCCACAGTTGGCCAGGATGTCAGCATCCTGGATCCTCCTCTTGCCACCCTCTGATCAGCTGCATATTCATTCCCAGGACTCCTTGCTCTCTCTGGGCCTCAGTTTCCTCTTCTATTCAGGGAAGATCCTGGGATTTCCCACAGACACAGAGCAGGCAGAGTCAGAGGTGTACCTCTAGCCCCAGGAAACCCGGGCCCCAAGTCTATTACCCTCAGCCAGTGCTGGCAGAAGGGATATGGAGGGACACTGCCAAGGGAGCCTATTCCCACAGACAGCAGTCACACCCCCGGCCCTGCTCGCACACACGGCAACTGAGGGAAGCCCTTCTTGCCCACAACCATCCCCGCCCCTGCCCCACCCAGCCAGTTTGGCATGTGCCAAAGTGAGGAAACCTCTGTCATAAAATGCTTGGACCTGCAAATCCAATTACCCATCAGTGGACACAGGCACCTGTATCACCACACATCTGAAGTTGAACTCACCACCTTCCTCCTCCCTACCCCCATCTGCAGTCTTGGTAAGTGATACTGCCATCTGCTCTGTCCACTTCTGACCCCCAAGTGTCATCCTCCCCCTCCCCCACACCTCCATCCCCACCTCCAGTCCTCACCATGGATTCCACCTGGCAGGTCTTTCTTAAGGCCACCTCACAGCCATCTTTACCATCACCAGTGCCTTGGCCCAGCCTCCCCTGTTTCCTGCCTGGATGACTTCCCTGGGCTCCCTGCCCCCTTCCCTGCTTCCCATCTCACCCCACGTCACCCCAATCCATGCTCCACATGGGGCCTGAGAGATTTTTCTAAATCCCCCCCTGACCTCTCTGTCTCTTGCCTCCAGCCCTTTGCCCACGTGGCTTCCTCTGCCCAGAATCCCCTCTCCCGCTTGGCCTTCTACAATGCGCTCCTTCACAGCCAGGCTACATAATGGGGGGCCCAGTACAAGTGAAAATGTGGGCCCCCACGTTCAAACAGTAGGAAATGAGTGCTGATGAAGGTACTAAATATAAAGCTTTTCCCTTTCTTTCAGCCCCTTTCTCAGCCTACTGTGGTGTCTTTTGATTGCTGTTCAGTGTTGTGCAGGGCAAGTGCAGATTGCCACAAGCGCCTCCTCCTAATCTTCCCCCTCCACCCTCACCATCCCACAGCCCGACATCCTGTGCCCTGGCCAGAGGTGGAGGTGTGGAGCCAGGCATCTCCCCTTCACTCAGACCCACCACCTCAACCCATAGTGGACATCCGGCACCCAAGGGTGTTGCAATCTCTGCTTCCTGGGAAACAGTAAGTACCCAGAATCGGGGAGGGCCTTGGAGGCTCAACCTCATAGGTCATTTACTGAATGGACTGCAGCAATGTCAGCCCAGGGTAGAGACAACCAGAGCCATGTCCTTCCCTGAGACACGGCCCTTCCCATTCTCCCACTCAGGCCTCTGCCAAGTGGCCCAGGACCCCAGAGGGCAAAACATCAAGCTGAGAGCCCCTCCTTAGAGGCAGGGAGATGGCAGAAGTCAGGACCTTTTGTGAGCCAAGGTTCCAAGCTTGAGGTGCATGTGCCATTGTCCCAATGGACTTCACTTACAAATCATAAATTCAAAGATAAAATTAATTAAAATCTCAATACTTTGACCACAGAGCATTCAACCCCAAATGTGGGGCCCTTCTGAGTGGGAGTCCTCTGGGACTGCATAGGTGGCACTTGTGTGAGCTGTCCCTGTCCTCAACCTTTAGGTCTCAGGTTAAACATCCCATACTTGGGGAAGCCTTCCTGATCTCAAGACTAGCTTAGGTTCTCTGTCAATATGCTACCATAATATCCCCAAATCTTGAACCTTTCCCATTTCATTTTAACTACCTGTTTAATTGGTTTTATTATATTTACTTGTTTAATCCATGTAATGAAGCTCTGTGAAGATGGGAAATGTGTCTATTTGGTTCACAGTGATATCCCCAGTATGTGCCAGGGATGTGATAGACACTAAAGATGCATTCGTTAAATGAATGAGAAAGGTCATGAATAATTAAACCTTAGGCCTCCTTTCTTGAAAGCTACGGGTTATTCTGGATGACTGGAAAGACCCCAACCCTTCTCTGCTACCTACAAAGCAGCCAATAGGGCAAGAGAGAGAGTGCCTACTGCCCTTTTCTACTCTGACTCCTCTCATCTCCCTCTTGCTGGGTTTTGTGGACATGAACAGTGAGGACCCCTGAGCTCGAAGGTGGCTGAGCGACCTTGGGTATCACCGACTTTCTCTGGGCTTCACAATTAAGGGGTCAGGTTAGGAGTCCTCACTGAGCATTCATTTCCCATAGAGCTCTGACATGCCAGGTGGCATTTGCTGCTTTGGAAACATTTCTGATTAGGTTTCCGACTTGCAGGGAACTCATAATACTGTCTCTATGAACTCTAGGCCTAACCCAAGGTTTTGCAACTCCAGCCCACAAACTAAAGAAAAACATACACAGGACCACGTGAAACAGTTAAGGGAGCCAATTTTGTTTCAGGATGGAAGATGACATAACCATTAAGATGTAATTTTTTTTTTTTTTTTTTGAGACAGGGTCTCACTGTGTCACTCGGGCTGGAGTGCAGTGGCATGATCTTGGCTCACTGCAGCCTCGACCTCCCAGGCTCAAGCAATCCTCCCACTTCAGCCTCCCGAGTAGATGGAACAAGAGGCATGCACCACCAGGCCCCGCTAATTCAATTTTTGTAGAGACGGGAGTCTCTCTATGTTGCCCAGGCTGGTCTTGAACTATTGGATGCAAGATTTCTTCACGTCTCAGCCTCTCAAAGTGCTGGGATTACAGGCATGAGTCACTGCATCCAGCAGAGGTAAAATTTAATATCCTCCAAGGTGGGGCAGAGTTTTTTTACAAAAGTAGTCAATGTCACAGGGAACTGAGGCCCAAAAATATGAAATCCTGAAGGGTGGGGTAGACCTAGAGCTCTCCCTGCATTCAGGGACATGGAGACTAACCCTATGGTGTAGAATGCCCAGAGTTTAAGAAATGCCTTCCTTGCCGGCAAAGGTGGCATTGGCCCTGCCAACATTTAATCCCACTCTCCTTCCACACTCAGGAGCTCAGAGTGTTTTCCCCTCATAGCAAGCACACATTTAGAATCCCAGCTTCCCATCAGCTCAAGATAGATTCCCATGGAAACCAGCATAAAGGAAAGGCAGAGATGTGTCAGGCCCTGGACACATGCAAATATGCCTCCTCCCTCCCAGGCCCTGCAGTTTCAGTGCAGGAAAAAAGCCCTGTTGAAAAGGTGGTTCCATTGTTCTGTCCCCTAGGGAGCCTGAGGCCACTGTTTATAAGAGGGCTTCCCCTAGAAGTCTTTCTGCCGTCACCCATCACCTTGGCAACACAGCCTGTACAAGAGCAGGTTCTGGCTAGGTGTGGTGGCTCACACCTATAATCACAGCACTTTGGAAGGCTGAGACTGGTGGATCACCTGAGGTCAGGAGTTCGAGGCCAGCCTGGCCAACATGGCGAAACCCCATCTCAACTAAAAATATGAAAATTATCTGGGCATGGTGGCAGGCGCCTGTAATCCCAGCTACTTGGGAGGCTGAGGCAGGAGCATCACTTGAACCCAGGAGGCGGAGGTTGCAGTGAGCCGAGAGCCGAGATCACACAGCCTGGGCAACAGAGTGAGACTCTGTCTCAAAAAAAAAAAAAAAAAGAGGTTCTAAAATCAGAGAGACCAAGCTGGAGGCCCTACCACAAGATATAGATGTGGGTGACCCTGGGTAATGTGCCTAAACTCTCTGAATATCAGTCTCCTTTGTCTTTTAAATGGGTCTAATAATGTTACTTACCCCACAGGAGTAGTTATAGGGATTAAATAATACAATAATGTAAAATATTTAGCACAAATCCTGGCATTTAATAAGCACTTACTAAATGCTAGCCATTTTTATTATTAATTAGCTATTGAGTAAGTAAGTCCCTGAACCTCTCTAGGTCTCAGTTTTCTCATCCATAAAACAGAATGAGGTGGGGAGGAGGTAGGACAGCTTAATTTTTGAATATTCCTTCCAGCCCTGGCATTTTATGGTTCCAGGTATGTGTTACTGATGAAGGGGTGAAGAGATAGTGGTATTATAAAACTCTAAAACATGTCCTTGCTTCAGATTCCTGGATAAAACTCTCCCATGAAGGCAAACTTAGTGGACACAAGTTTCTTATGAATTACATTTGGGGAAGAGAAATTAGCATTCAACCTCTGTGGCTCACTAGCTGACCTTACTAAGCCTCAGTTTCCACATCTGTCAAATGGAACCACTTTATGAGTTGGTTGTGAGGATTAAATGAATTTACTCTCATCAGGTATTAGCACAGTGCCTGGGACCAATGAGTGCGTGCTTAGTGCTGGCTGACAGTATCAGAATCTGGAATAAGCAGGTTGACCCTGGAAACCCATTGAGCCACTCAGCCAGCCCTGCAGGTGGCTGGGGATGCAGGGCCTGCATCGTCAGGGAGTTGAACCACCGGCACCATCCCCCAGAACAGAGTCCACCAAGGGGGCCTCCCCAAGCCTGGGGCTGCAGGCTCGCAGGAAGGGAGATGGAAGGGCCAATCTTACCAGGCCGAGGTTCAGAGAGTTGTTGTCATCTTCCGGCATGGGCAGGTACACGGCCAGGGCCACACAATTGGCAAAGATGGTGAGCAAGATGATCGTCTCGAAGGGCCTGGAGCCAGGGTTAAGGAGAGCCCTCGAGTGAGGCAAGGGACTTACAGGGTTAAGGGGATGAGGGCGCTGAGGGTCAGTCTGGACTGTGACTCTGATGCCAGGCTGCTGGACAGGCTCATGGACGCTCGCCCACGCTGCTCCTTCCCTGAGCCCCTGCAGGGTACAGTGAGGACCAGGTTCCTGCCTTGACCTCTGGCTCCCTCTCCTCAGGAACAAGTCACTTTCATGTAGACTCCTTGGAATGGCAAAGGTCTGGTCCCTGGCTGAGGGCTCCTCAGCTTTAAGGCCTAGGGGGTCTTCACACCGCTCCACTCTCAGCGCCTGTCCATGCCCTTGCCTGCTCCCAAGGAGCCATGACTTTGGCAGATTCTGGCCAATCCACAGAGGCTTACCCAGATAAATGGCATGGGAGGGTAAGGGTTGATGCAGGGTAAGGTTGAGAACTCACTGAGTAGGACTGGGAAGGAGAGATGGAGAGATGAATGCTGAATTTCCAGAGCCATGTGCACATGCTGGTGTGCACGTGCTCACACCCATCACACCTCACCCCTCCCAGACACACCCACCCCGCCACAGCCATTTCCAGAGGGTACCCCAGGCCCATGGCTTTCTCGACTTTCTGGCCCATTAGGCAGCAAGTCTGGAAAGAGCTAGAGAAAGCAAGGGAGGAAGCGAGGGAGTTGTTTGGGGGTGGATGGGGAGGCATATTACGTAGTTGGGCTTGACAGAAAAATCCCATTCTCTTCCCAGTAACCTCCAGTGTTTGAGAAAAGAGGAGGGCCACAGGGGCAGGGCGCAGAGGAGCAGAGGATGGAGGAGAGGGAGAACCCACAGAGTAAACCTGATTGCAGAAGAGAGGCAAGGAGGGAGGGCCTAGGAGGGTTTGATGTGGGCGATATACCGCCTGGCCGAGAGCGGGTCAGGGGAACAGGGCTGACCCTGACCCCAAACTATCTCTACTTGCCCCACGTTTCTCTTGTCCTTCCAGTTATCCCTCATTCTCCTTCCTTCTAGGGAACAGCTGGTAGGAGCCCAGCCTTCCAGAACTCTTCAGAAATATTTCAAATATGCCCCACCCTCGCTCTCAGAACCCACTTGACACAGCCCTCCCCTTCTCTCTGTCACTCCTTCCTCCCTTCCCCAAATAACCCAGATATTTTCATCATTCTCCCCACCAGAGCAAATGCAAACATAGCATGAGTTTCAAAGTCCCTGTCCCCAGGGTGGCACGTCTGAGCTAGAACAACCAGGCTTGTTTGGCCTGTGTCTTGGAGCCACTGAGACCAGGTGTCTTTCAGATCCATTTCTCCCCTTGGCTCTGTCCTCAGCTGGGACCTGCCCCCAGAGGAAGCCTTCCTTCAGCTCACCTCTGTCCACTGTCACCCCCCACCCAACCCAAACAAGGGAGAGTTTTCTCAAAGAGGCCATCGCATCTTTTTTTGGTCCCTATCCTATTCTAAAATGAGGCTGGTGCTTCAAAAACCTAGTGGCACCCCATGATAATGTGGATTTGGGCACACATGGGAACAGTCCCCATGAAACAGGCCCCACCCATAGGTGGTCAGTAGGCATCTCTGGTTGTCATCCAGGACTTGGGTGGCCCACTCAGGCCCAGGAAGCCCCACCAAGTCCTCCTTCTCTTCCTCTTCCTCCTCCTCCTCTTCCTCCTCCTCCCCCACCCTCCTCCTCTTCCTCCTCCTCCCCCACCCTCCTCGTCTTCCTCCTCTTCCTCCTCCTCCTCTCCTGCTTAGCCGAGGGCTCCTTCCCCCAGCTCCTCACTCAATTCTGTGAGTTCACCCCATGTCTAAGTGCCAGGCCTCCCTGGCCCTCCTGTAGGAAGTTTGTGCTCTGTGATCACCCCGAATCCCTCCCTCATGACGCACACCCCCCCCCACGGCCCGGGCCCTGAAGGATACTTCCATTCTACAATGCTGATGCAGGCCTTCCTCAGGGGGTTCTCCAGGGTCAGGCAGAACAAGGCCCGGGGTGGCCTTGGCAGAATCTCAGGAACTGGCTTCTTGGGCTGTTTCTTCCTCAGGCCTTCATCCTGGGGTGAGGATGGCTCCATGGCTTCCCTGGGAATCTGGCTTTCTCCTGCTCCCCCACCCCAGTGCTTTCCCTTCCCTGTGTCCCCAATGCCCCCGCCTTGGGGACTAGGCTGGCTGAGGCTGTCGGCTGAGCCTGCCCTGCTGAGCCAGCCAGGGGGCGGGGGCAGGAGTGGGGGCAGGAGGATTACTCTCCTCGCTCCCAGCAAGTAAAATTAGCCTCCACTCGGCTCCCCGCTGCCGGGCCTGAGCTTCTGAGGCCAGGCAGCTGTCATTCCACCCAGCCCAGCCAGTGACTTCCCAATCTGTCCCCTGAGGAGGGTGGGGTGGGTCGGGGGAAGAACTTACACACAGGCCTGGGATGGGGCAGGGGCAGTGGGAGAGGGAGACAGGATGGAAGGTTTCAAGCCTGGGGCAACAGAGGTCAGGAATAGGTAGCCTTGGATATGGAACCTCAAACTGCAGAGTGGCCCCCTCATGCCAAAATTAGGCTTACCCCTCCTCAGCCCCATGACATTGTCTGGAGAAGGCACTGGGCAGCCTAAGTCAGGACAGCTCCACAGCAGCCCCTACCCATCTCAGTATCTGCACCATCAGCCAAAACTCCCCAAGCATACCCTCAACCCACCCCCACAAGCAATCCCATGTCAGAGAAACAGTAAACCCCTCTCCAGTGGGCTAGAAGGCTCCCAGAACAACCCTGAGTGTGCACACCTCTGGCATAGCACCTGCCTCACTGTGGAGCATCTGCTGTGTATCTTTCTTCCCCATCTCCTCCCATCCCTACAGGTGTAAAGGTTGTGTGCATTATCTCTGGGACTCTGGCCCCTTCTCTGCACAGTCCCCCTATGTACTATGCTCCCTGTAAATGTTCACTGAGGCCAGGCATGGTGGCTCACGCCTGTAATCCCAACACTTTGGGAGGCTGAGGTGGGAGAATGGCTTGAGCTCAGGACTTCAAGACCAGTCGGGGCAACGTAGTGAAACTCTGTCTCTACAAAAAATACAAAAATTAGCAGGGTATGGTGGTGTGTGTTTGTAGTCCCAGCTACTAGGGGGGCCAAGGTGGGAGGATCAGTTGAGCCTGGGAGGTTGAGGCTGCAATGAGCCAAGATCTGGCCACTGCACTCCAGCCTGGATGACAGAGTGAGACAGAGTGAGACCTTGTCTCAAAAAGAAAAGTTCATTGAGGATAGCCACGGTAATCCCAGCACTTTGGGAAACCAAGGTAGGTAGATAACTTGAGGTGAGGAATTCGAGACCAGCATGGCCAACATGGTGAAACCCGCATTCTACTAAAAATACCAAAGATTAGCGGGCGTGGTGGTGTGCACCTATAATCCCAGCTACTCTGGAGGCTGAGGCAGGAGAATTGCTCAAACCCAGGAGAAGGAGGTTGCAGTGAGCAGGGATTGAATCACTGCACTCCAGTCTGGGCAACAGAGCAAAACCTGTCTCAAAAAAAAAAAAAAAAAAAAAAAAATTCATTGAACGCCTGAGCTAACAACACTGAATCTTAAATGTGCTGAGCTAACAGCGAACCCCACATATCCTCCCAGCAAGTACTCTGGGCTGGGAGTGAGAATAAGAAAGGGGCACCAGGAAGGGTGAGGGTAGACAATGATCTAGGAATGAGAAAATTCAACAATCCTTTTATTTAGCTCTTTGGTGCCGACGCAGTGCCTATGTACCTATATGCACGCCCCCCTCCCCCAAGGCTTACAGTCTGAGGGAAAAAAACCACAGTCCCCACCCAACCTGGGACAAAACTAGACGACCTCATGGGGGGGATGCGGGGAGGGAGTAACCCCCCCTCCCAACCCAGGAAGCCAGAGAACGCCACCGGGGCACACAGGTCGCCTCTGCTGAGTCTGTAGGTTCGGTCTGGGCTGAGCGCCAGCAGCAATCTGGCCTCCCATCCCTTCCTCTGGGTTCCTTTCTCGAGGAGTAAGCGTGCTCCCAAAGAAGTCGCTAGTATCTGAGGCCATCTGGTGGAGAGCAGTGGCATGGTAACCGAGGGCTCAAAGTCGGGCTCGCATCCCGGGGACTCGCAGAGACTGGACTGCGCCTGCGGCAAGGAAGGACGGAGCAGAGCCACCTGAGGCCGAGCGGGAGCCAGACCCAGGGATGACCGTCCTGGGGAGCCCCTCTGCACCCCGGAGGGGACGCAGGACGCCCGGAGCAGTCCCAGGCCCTGCCCCTCGCTTCACCCACGGAGCTCCTAGGTCTCTATCGTGCCCATCGTACCCGCTGCCCTGCACTTCCGCCCCAAGCTGGTGGAGGAGGGAGGGTGTCGCAGACACGGGAGCGCCGCGGACCTCCTACAGTCACCGTCCTGCGGCGCATCGCGGGTGACCCAACAGCCTCCCGCTGCTCCCGAAAGTGGGACGGGGCCGGCGGATCATCCTCCAAGCCGGGGGCGGCCACAGGCCCGATCAATGCCAGGATTCCTCCGACTCCAAGAAAGGCGACGGGGAGAAGCAGGAGGACTCGGATGACTCCGGCACCAGGGAGGAGGGCGCCCGGGCCTCGCCGTCGCCAGGGCGGTCGGGACGGGGGGTGGCGGGCGGCGCGGGGCAGGGCCCGGTGCCCGGGAGGCCGCGGGAAGCGGGGGGCGTCGAGCCGTCGGGGGCCGAGCTCAGCAGCTCTTGCAGGTACTTTATGTAGCGGATGGCGGCGCGCAGCGTCTCCACCTTGCTGAGTCGCTTCTCAGCCAGGGCGCCGGGGAGGTGGCCGCGGAGGCGAGCGTAGCCCTCGTTGACGCACTTGACTCGCTGCCTCTCGCGCTCGTTGCGCTTCTGGATGAAGGCTGGCTCGAAGGGGTATTCGTAGACCCCGAAGGCGCCGGGGAAGGGCACGTAGGGGAACACCCCCGCATAGGCGTCGTAGTAGGGCGGCTCTGCTGGGCCCGGGTACAGCAGGAAGGGCACGTTGCCCAGGGGCTCGGCGGGGGGCAGGGGCGCCTGCCGGGGAGGGGGCATGACGCCCAGCTGCATGCAGCTGGGGGGCCCCAGAGGCCTCCGGTCCACCAGAGCCCGGCAGAAGTTATTGTTCATGGTGCCGCGTGGAGCTGGACCCAGAGCGAGGCCTCCACCGAATGGCCCCGGCTTGGGGTCTGCACCGTCTCCACCAGTGGGGCAAGTCACATCGCTAGCAGCAGCTCTTGGGTACCAGGACTTGCTAGGGCCTCTTTTCGCCCTTTAGGGTGGCTTCCAATGACTCCCTAACAAGAGCCATCGCCCTAGACAAGTGTGGCCCCTCTCAGGAGGTCGGTGCACGCCTTCTCAGAGCCAGCCCATGGCGCCGCGGAACTCTGAGGGCCCGCACCCCGTTCCGCAGCACCCATGGGCATGGCCACAGACCCGCCCACCCTGCCTCTTGCTGCCACCCAACATGGGCACCTCAGGCCTAAACCACGGGCTCCATGTCCTCCACACCCACCCCAGCGCCTGGTCCTTGGTCCTCGCGGCCTTCGGGATCCCCGGGCTGTCCGGGGTCCCCAAACTGATGGCTGCTGTTAGGAGTGCGCCAGCTCAGTGGAGGGAGTCCCCGGGAACATTTCTAAAGAAGAGGAGAGGAGAGTGAACATATCAGTTAGGAAAGACCTGTATTATGGGCTTCTTTGTATCATCCCCACCCGCAAACGGGATTGTAAGCCTCATGAGGAGAGGCGGTTGGCTACTGAAGGGGCACAGATCTGGGTTAAAATCTTGTGTCCACTCCTTAATAGTCGGGTGACCACTCTGAGTCGTGGTTTCCATAACGGAAGGGCAAGGGAAACATCCTTGACAGGAAATTAATAAGATATGAGAATCAAATGTGAAAAAATATATGCAAAAAACACCTCCTAAAGGTCATAGCTTATAAAAATGCCCAGTTTTGTCATGTCCCTTGAGACTGGGGGATTAAGTCTCATCACTGATCCCTTCCGGGGTCTTACATCTAGAAGCGGGTCTGAGACTGCTTATTGGATTAGCAGCAGCAGCCATCAGCCAATGAGGGAAGCCAACTCTTTATGGAAAGGAATGCCTCTTTGATAACAAGGTAGGTGTTGCTGGTCCATTCAAAGCCCTCTGCCTGGCAGAGACAGTCATCAAAGCCTTCCCTGCCCCAGTCCCTGTGGTCTGGGATACACCCTCTCACCCCACCCTGGGTTTCTCCATGGCACCTAATGGAGCTGTCTATTCTTTCACCTGTATGCCCTGAGCCTAGCCCAGCCCCTGTTGAGTATTAGATGCTCCACAAATACATGTGGAATAACAGAGAGAGGATTAGGCAGAAAGCTGGGTTTGTCAGGGTGGGACTGATTACACGTAGCCTTTCATAGGCTTTAGGAAGTTGTTATTTCAGAAATAATTGGTGTGTGTTGAGTTTAGGTGCCACCAAGCTTCATTGCATGTGGTTATCAGATCCAAGTTAGGTGCCATTTTGTCTAGGAAGCCTCTCTGATCGCACTCCCCCCTCTTGTGTGTGTCTACAGTGTTCCATAAGTGCCATCTTAGCACTTATCACACTACTCTATTATTTTTTCCCTCTTCATAAAAGATGATCAGGACTTAGCGAGTGAGTGAGTGATGGGCAGCATGACACCTTGGCCACTGGGCACGGCCTCTCCAAGAGACAGAAAGGAGCTAGCTCTCTCCCTGACAGGAGGAGGTGGTGGCAAACTCAGATTCCCGAGAATGTCTCCTTCTGCACCCTCTCACCTCTGTCCTTTTTGCAGGCCCTGAGTCTGTTTCCAGCTAGCTTTGTCCTCCACACTAAATGAGGACCAAGAAAAATCAACAATGATTCTAAGCGTCATGGAGACTTAGGTATGCTCTCAAAAGTGAAACCAGGCCGGGCATGGTGGCTCACGCCTGTAGTCCCAGCACTTTGGGAGGCTGAGGTGGGCAGATCACTTGAGGACAGGAGTTCGAGACCAGCCTGGCCAACATGATGAAACCCTGTCTCTACTAAAAATACAAAAACTAGCTGGGTGGAATGGTGGGTGCCTGTAATCCCAGCTAATTGGGAGGCTGAGACAGAAGAATCGCCTGAACCTGGGAGGTGGAGGGTGCAGTGAACCAAGATCATGCCACTGCATTCCAGCCTGGATGACAGAGCAAGACTCCATTAAAAAAAAAAGAGTGAAACCAAATGTCTGAGAATTCAGGACAAATTCACATATCCCTCCCCTTCTCAGTGGCCTTCAAAGCCTCCCCGTTGCTTTCAAGAGAAGGTTCTAGAAAATGTCTCCCAAACAGACCTTCAGATCTCTCAGGTCAATCTTCTCTGGAACTCTTTGCTTTCCGGATCTCACACTTGGCTTGTGCTGGCTCCGGTCCTGGGGGCCCTCTCTACATCTCTCTGCTTTACCCAGAGTCCTGCCATCCTTGATTCCAGCTCCTGCCCATCCTGACTGCCTGAGCGCTCCGGCTTCCAACATGGGTTGTGCATTCTAAGATGGCACATTCTCTTTAAGGTTGTGCATTCTATGTCTTCAACCAGAATGTAAGCAGTCGGAAGGCAGGGGCTAGGGCTTTTATTTCTCAGGTAACACCTATCAGTCCCTTGCTCAAAATGATTTTCTAGCGGTTCTCTTTTATTGTACAAATTTGGGATCCAGACTACACTCTCCCATATGATCCCTGTCTATTCATATTTGACTTAATTATTTAAATTTAATTTGATAGGGGTCAGAAGTTTATGACAATTTTAACAAGTACAACTTACTATTTGTTCATGTTGATTTAATATTCATAACTTATTTATTTTCCTCATATACTATTTACCTTTTTTCATACAACAATTCAGAAAGGTGATTCAAACAAGAAACTTCACAGCAGGACTATGTATTTCTTAAGCCAATTCTGTCTTTACTGTTAGAAAAGAACTGATAAGCCAGGCGAGGTGGCTCATGCCTGTAATCCCGGCACTTTGTGAGGCCAAGGAGGGAGGATCACTTGAGCCCAGGAGTTTGAGACCAGCCTGAGCAACATGGCAAAACCCTGTCTCTACAAAAAATTAAAAAAATTAGCAGGGTTTGGTGGCATGTGCCTGTGGTCTCAGCTACTCAGGGGGAGGCTGAGTAGGGGAGGATGGCTTAAGCCCAGGAGGCAGATGTTGCAGTGAGCTGAGGCTGCACCACTGCACTCCAGCCTGGGCAACAGAGCAAGACCCTGTCTCAAGAAAAAAAAAAAAAAAGAGAACTCATAACCTATCTGCAAGATACCATAGGGGGGTACACAGCTGCAAGGGAATTGTGTTCTGCATCTATCACTGAATACCAGAAGCTGAGGAACACAGTGTAGCATATGACCATTAAGCGGCGTGATTTTCATTCAGTAAATATGTACAGAGGGTCCTGGATATCCTGGGACTGCTCTAGGTACTAGGATAGAACAGCAAACAAACATTGTAGTGAAATAATAATAATAATGATAATCATAGCTACACTTATTATTCATGATGTGCAAGACCTCATGCTAAGAGCCTGATGTGAATCATCTCATTTAATTTTCACGCCATCCTTGAGAGGTAGGTGCTAATATTGTCTGGTTTTACGGGTGAGAAACTTGAGGCACATGAAGGGTAAGTCACTTTTTAAAGGCCCACTGTTAGGAATTCATGAACTAATAAAGGTTAATCCACCACCTCAGTTTCCCACCTCTTCCCTCAGTATTTCTACTAGTGGCTTCTCATCTGATCAAAGGAACAGAGAGGTTTACACTGACCTAACAAAAGGATCTTAGTAAATTATTCCTGCTGGAGAGGAATTACAATTATAATGATAATTCCTGGAGGGGATGTCCCGCTGAAGATTCCAATTATAATGCTGTTATTTAGCTTCTGCTAAGAGAAGAACTAAAGGTCACCCCGGTCATCTTTTGGGAGGGTAGCACCCCCTTGAAGATGTGTTTGGAGGGTGGCCCATGGAGTTCTGCTGCTGGGAAGATACAGACTGGAGTATCATCAGACTGAGTCAAGCAGCAGGAGCCCCCTTGCCTGAGCTTAGAAAACCTGAGCAAAGGCCCCAGGAGGATCTATCAGTAGCAGGGAACCTACTCATCGGCTAAGTTCATGGGACTGGGCAGAACCAGCTATCAATAGCGCCACGGTGTGGTGGTGAGACGCAGTGGCGGCAACAGATTGATGAAATTCGCATCCCGACCCCACGGGTGTCGAAGTCATCACTTCCTGTGACAGCTCCCTTTGGGGACTGTGGGTCCCTAGGTCTCCTGGAAAATTCAGGGTAAGAGAAGACCCCTTAGGAAAAGCTACTGAGTTTTCTGTCAACATCTACTAATTTTCTCCCTGTGTTTGTGAAGCAATTCGTATCACTTAAACTTTCACTATGTACACATACATAAAATATGTATTAATACAATTAGATGTATTTTGTTGTTTTGAATTAAAAATAGCAGTTGCATCAGCATTAGGCAACTTACTAGATAAAAATGTGACTCTGAAACAGTGGAAGAGCTTTTCCTCTACTCTTAGCCCCCATGGTGACTGCTGAAAGAGCTAGTTGAGTGAACCCATTGATTGCATTGAGTAGGCACAGACTATTAGTTGCAGGCAATGCTGTCCACCTTTTTAAGGGGCCCTGGTTCCTCTCTGGGACCAGAGCCACTCCTTGCCCTCAGCAACCCCATTCATTACCAGCTGTACTCTAGTTTACTTTGCCCTGGGAAGCAGCCGAGCAGATGTGCTTGGCAGGAAGTAACTGCTGTTCCTCCCCAGAGCTTTCTTCGTGGTGCAAGCTACACTGAGCTGTTAGGCCTGCAGTCTACGCTCAGTTGTACCATGTACAGTTAGTTTGTTTAGGGCCAGCTATCATCAATTATTGTGCAAAGAACTTTCTAATCCTCAAATCTGACTTGCACCAGAGAGGGCGTATTGTCAGCGGGGGTCTCCTGGGCCTCCTTTGCAATACCTTGCCAATTCTAATTGTGTAGCACTAGTGTTTGCCCCACCAATATTAGCCCCTTGTTGTCCCTATTGCCAGAGGATCTCACTGTCCACACCCCTGGGGATGGCACATTATCATAACTTGCTGTTAATGGTTTCATACTCATCCCCTGCCCATCTCTCCCAGGCCTCTCCCTGGTGCTCAATGTTCACCAGGGCCCTGTCTCCCCACCCTCCTCAGCCTTATACTCTGCATGGGCAACAGGCAACCTGAGGGCCCTCTCCCCAGGGCTCTTCCTGTCACTGCCCCCAACCCAGGCTGTAAACTGTGAGCCCAAGAACTCTGGTCTTATCCTTCTTTGAGACACACAGTACACGCTCAGTTAAGTGTTTGTTGATTGACACTGGTGGGAAGCCCTGGGGAGGCAAAGGCAGATGTGAACTTTGAAGAAGCAGACAACATAATTCTACCTTTCAGGCTTTCCTCATTGTCTTTAGCAGGACTGGAACCAGAGTTGGGGGTCTGAGGTCAGGAATTGGCTGAACATGTCTCTTTCAACAGGGAACCCATGGCTCTGAAGGAAGTATTGGGGAAAGTGATTCCATAGTCTTCTTCTTCTCCTACCACTCTGAGAGATTTCTGAGAGTTGACCAGTCCATAATGCTGCTTTTGGGCAGCAACAGGGAGACTGCTTCCATAGCCTCCCCTCTACCCACTGCCGCCAAAAACTGGGAACATTTGTAAGGAAGCCCCAAGGACTCAGAATGACAGAACTCATTAGCTTTGTGGAATCCTCACTCATTCCCCTGCCTCCAGGCAAGGTGGTTGCTAAAACCTTTCCCCTAAGGGCTGCATAATTTGAGAAATGCAGCTCCCCGCATTTCCCTCCTTGGATACCCACATTAGCGTTGGCCCTTGGAGGGCATGTTAGCATCAGAGGCCCTGGGAAGCCCTGCAGGTAAAGAAACCTGTTTGTATTTAACCCCCAAATTCCCAATGGAACCACAGAACACTTAAAAAATGGTCTTAAGCCCACTAACATCAAATAGAATACACTTCAGGAAATTCTGCCTTTAAATCTTCAGGGTAAATGTATTTTTTTAAGAAACAAATAGGGGCTGGTGTGTGGCTCACACCTGTAATCCCAGCACTTTCGGAGGCCGAGGTGGGGGGATCGCTTGAGCCCAGGAATTTGTGACCAGCTTGGGAACCTTGTGCTTCTAGTCTTGTTTAAGTCTTACTCACCGCTACATTTTCCTTTAGGAATTCAGTTTTGTGTGTGGTTTCCAATAGGGTTCTGTTTTAATTTTGTAGACCAATAATTAGCAGTGTCGATTTATTTAGCATTCATTAAGCAGGCCATCTTTTTATCACTAACTTGAAAAAAATCTCTCATTAAATATTGTATTCATCTTTCATTAGGTTCTGCATACTTTAGTAGAGACCCTATCTCTACTAAAAATAAAAACGGTTAACTGGATGTGGTGATGCATGCCTGTAGTCCCGGCTACTCAGGAGGCTGAGGTGGGAGGATCAGTTGAGCTCAGGAGGTGGAGGCTGCAGTGAGCTGTGATTGCAGCACTGCACCCAGCTGGGTGACAGACTCAGACCCTGTCTCAAAAAAAAAAACCCCAAAACAACAACAAAAACCCAAATAGGAAATCTTACAATCTCCCTTGGGGGGTCTGTCACATAACCTGTACATATTTCTAGAAGGATAACCTCACCACCCCCACCATATACATAGTGAACACTCCAGACCACATATTCAACATAAGCAATCCTTTCAGAATCTTGACGGGTATAGTTTCAACACTGATGGGAGAAGGGGCAGCCAGGCCCTGTGACCATGAGCCCACATGGCACCTTGCTGGGTTAGAAAATGATGCTTCATGCTCTGGGTGGGTGTTGTGCAGGCGGGATTCCAGCCCCACTTGCCCCCTTAGCCTGCACTGAATGAGGAAGTACTATCCATGGGCCCCAGAGCCTGCTTAGCCCCTCACGCTGCCCTCCACGCCATCCTCCCTGCCTCAGGTTTGGAAACCTCTGTTGCTCCGCAGCAACCTGGCTGCATCCAGTTTCACAAAGAGAAAAGCTCACAGAGCTTTGACATGGGCTGACCAAGCCAAGTCCTCAATGTGGCATCACTTTGCTGAGAGTCTTAAAGAAGAGAAACAGGGTGGAGAAGGATGGGCTCGCGTGGATTAGGTGCCCTCTGATGCTTGGTGCTTTGCGGCGTGCTCTGCTTTCCTTATCCCATGCTATCCTCACACCTGAGAGAAGGTATTACTGTTCCTGTTTACAAAAGAGGAAACAGGCTCAGAGAGGCTAAGAGAGCTGCTCAGGGTCACACAGCCGATTGAATTTACCAGGGTCTCATTGGGTTGATATGAGGACTTTCTTGGCCGGGCAGCGGTCCCCACCTTTTTTATGAGTAATGATTGTTACAGGATCTCCTGGGGGTGGAGCTGGGTGAGGAATTTAGTCCTTCCCAGTTCCCTGAATATAACCAGGCATTTGCAATGCTGTGGAGTTATGGGAAGATGTTCCCAGAGGCAACCACCCCACTGCTAAACCCTGAGCACGGGCTTTAGATTAAACTGGCCGGGATGAATCCTGGCGCTGCTCTTACTGGCTAAGTAGCTTTAGGCCAGTTACTGACTTCTATAAGCCTGTTGCCTCATCTGAAAAGTGAAGGTAATAATACCTACCTTAGAGGTTACTGTAAAGACAAAGGTAATGTATGTGAGCCACGTGGCACCTAAAAGCAATTGAATTAATGGTAGCTCTTATTGCCGTTAAGGGACGGGTGACCTTCAGAAAAGCTCCCAGAAGCTCTAGGACCCTTGGATGTGGCTAAGAGAAGCCCAGGACGGCAGGTGCCCCACCAATATTGTTCCACCAATGCTTACACCCAGTAGCTTCCCACAGTCACATCTGTCCTGAGTCTAAAAGGAAAATTCTATGCATTAAATGTCCGATTTTTCCCCTCCAATCTTTGAATGAAAAGGGTAACTGAATTCAAATAATTCTAATAAATTGAATTTATTCAACCGTGTGTTCTATCGCCTGTCAATCCACCTACCAAATAACATCTCCTGAGCTCCTTCAAGGAATCCTTCTGTGGGCTGGGGACCCAGCAGAGGACAACCTCAACTGCTGCCCTCAGTTTAGTAGAAGAAAAAAGGACTGCATCTTAGTGCCCACACATGCCTAGCACTTACCTATATGCCAGCCGCTGTTCTAAGTGTGCTACAAAACTCTCATTACAGCCTTATGATGTCAGGACTGATGGTATCCCCAACTTACAGATGAGAAGAACAAGGCAAAGAGTGGTTAAGCAAATTGCCGCAGGTCACACAGCTGATAAATGTTGACCTGGGATTCAAGGGATCCTTTCTACACTCTGGGACTGGGGCATCGTCATCCTGTCCAGGAATGAGTCTTTCTTAGCCCAGAAGAATAAGACTCAGATTCAGAAGAAAGTCCATTCCCTACATTACTCCTACTACCCCACCCCACCCAAGGGGAGGAGGAAGAGTCTATGGCTCAGGAGCCCGACACCTGGACTCTTGTCCCAAAGCCACCAATAAGTGCTAATGTGACTCTTCACAAATCTTACCATCAGATAAAACTGCTCCGTACTTTGCCTTTCGGGGAGTAGAAATACCTTCTGAGGAGTCCAACAACCTCATTGGGGGTGGGTTTTGGGGTTGCAGAAGGGAAAGGTGAGACCCTGGCCAAAATTGTGACTAGGAACCCAGTATTTAACTTGCTCTCTCTGGCTGAAGTGACTCACACTGCTGTGCAAATGCAAGTTACTGCAATTCCTGTTCTCATCATTGGTTACACACATAGGTGCTCAAGAGTGTTTCTGAATGCTTATGATTAATCAATGTTAATTTCAAAGAAGACAAAGAGGAAGGAAAATCATCCTATAGACACAGTGAAGTCATGGTCAGAATGAACCAGGCGGTTCTGCAGATGAAATCAGTTTGAATCCCAGAAATTCAAGCTGTGCCTGAGCCTCCCTTGATGAGGAACAGTCAGCCTCAGAGCTGGGTTCACAGGCTAGGAAGCTAGGGAGGCTGGGGTTGAGGGGTGGGTACCATGGAAGCTGCCCCCAAGGGTGCTGCCTGCCAGCCTCTGCCCTCTGAACCACACACCCATCGTCATTGTTGTCTCCTCCCTGGCCCTACTGCCCTAGGCTCCAGTGCCAAGCTCAAGCAGAGTCATGCCCTGGGGCCCATATTATTGCCAACTCAGGGGAACAGAGGAAAAAGGATTCTCACTCCTTTCTCTACAAAAAGGAGTATCCCTTGTAGGTGACGGCTATTTCATGGGGGAAAAAAAGCCCTTAGGGGCCACAGAACAAAAGTTTGAGGGTTCCCAAGGAAGATGGGTCTGGTGGCCTCTGCAGATCATATTAATAGATCCAGAGAATTCGTAGGTGGGAAGTGACTGCAGCTGCAGGGCTGGAGGGGAGACGGTGCCCGTAATGAGGGAAGGAGATTCATGAACCAACATTGTTCAGCACTTGTGATACTTCACACTCTGGATCTCATTCGAGCCTCAGGGTGTCCTTGTGAAGTGGGTGTCTGCAGCCCCCACTCCACAGGAGGGACCGAGGCCAGGAGAGCCTGGACCTGTGGCCAGGGTAGACCATGGCCCTGGTTCTCCACTGCCCCCACCCCAGTTTCCCCTCCTGGTGGCTGAGGCCCTCGCAGCTCCCTCTGTGTGCAGGCTGTCACTGGGATTCTCCAACCTGTCTCATGCATGCGGTTACCTGTATTTTAGAGGGAACTGGGGCTCTCTGAACTTGTCATACGTTGGCTTACGACCAGGGACTCTGGAGCCAGCCAGATGTGTCTGAGAATCCTGGCTTTGCCACTTCCCAGCTATATGACTTTGAGCAGGCCTATTCCATTTCCTCTTCTGTAGGCTGGGGAGAGTAACAGCACTCACTTCCTAAGGTTACTGTGAAGTTCAAGGAGATCGTGCATGAAAACACGCTGGCACGCTTCGTGGCTGGGAAGTGCTCAGTAATCAACAGCTGTTCACACTCCCAGGCCCGGCATCTAGGTTCCCAGCAGTCTGCCATCCTTCTCTCCAACATTCTTTTCCCCCATATCCCCAAATCAGCCCTCAGCTTCAGCGTGAACATAACTCTCTTCTCTCAAGCAGCCTCTGCGTTCTCCCCTCTAGCCCATGTTCACAGAGTTGCTCCTTTCCGGGAGAATTAGCCCCTTGCCTTTCCACTCATCCAACTCCTACTTCTGGAAGCTGTTTGGGTCTTTCTTTGTCCACAGAGCTTTACTACCCTCTCCTGTTTCTGCTCTTTCTCCTTCTCCCTGAATCCTAAAGCCTTGGTGCGTTGCTCTCAGTGGTCATAGTTCATTGGCGTGCCCTCGCCTTGCTGTTCACCTTGCTGTGCATTTGTGTCTTGCTCTTTCAAGGAGCAGGAGTTCCTTGAAGGGCAGGAACCTCATGCTCCCTCTGTATCCTGCGGGCCCAGCCCTGCCCCTGACACATAGGAGGTGTCCAAGAAGTAGCCTGATGTGGAGGGGTAATTGAATTGCTGCTGGATGAATGGCAATTGAATGGGCACAGGTGAGTGTCACCAGTCCATGACTGTTATAGCAAAGCAGGTGGTCTCACGAGCCGTGTCACCTTCCTTTAATGTCTGTGGTAGAGCAGCGATGCAGAGGTCTGAGCCTGAAAATACAAAACTCATCCATCCAAACTGCCTCCTCGGGGAGCAGGATAAAAAGCACAGGCACTGAGTGGGAGGAAATGCTGTGTTCTAACGGGGACAGAATCTTGGCTCACACCGTAGGGAAGGAGACTGTTATTTACTAGGCACCTTACCATGTGCTAGCAATTTATTTATTTAATCTCTTCAAGTTCCCTTAGCTCTTTTAAAGTTAATTTTTTTTTTTTTAAGTAACAGGATCTCACCTTGTCATGTGGGCTGGAGAGCAGTGGGACGATCATAGCTCACTGTAAACTTGAACTCCTGGGTCCAAGTAATCCTCCTGCCTCAGCCTCCTGATTATAGCTACACACCACCATGCTGGGTTGTTAAAAATTTTTTTGTAGAGACAGAATCTTGAACTTCTGGCTTCAAGTGATCCTCCCGCCTCAGCCTGCTGAGTGGCTGAGATTACAGGCATGAGCCACTGTGTCCCGCCCTCCCTTAAATCACTTTCTATTCCCATTTTACAGATGGGGAAACTGAGGCTCAGCAAGCTTAAGTGAGTTTAAGGGGGATCATATTTTTAGTAAATAGCATGATTAAAAACAACAAAAATATTTATATAACATTTATTCTATGCCAAGTACTAGTCTAAGCACTTTACCCATTTGATTCTCACATAGTGCTGTGAGCCATATACTATTATTAACCCACTTAACAGGTGAAGGGACAGAGACCTAGATATGCAAATGGCCTGTGGTCCCACAACAATTAAGTAATGGAGCTAGGGTGTGAGCCCGGGCCATCTCTCCTGTGGCCAGGCCCTTCACCACTGCTCTGCACCTCCTGAGCCTGCTCCCAAGTTCAGACCCAGGCCTAGCTCTCCTCCTGCCTAGACCCTTCACGACGAGCAAGTCCATGGGAAAATGCCCGCTCAGTGGCAATGTCCTTGGCAGCACAGCTGATCTCGCCTTCTCCCAGCACTGGTGGGTGCCGTAACCCCAGCCAGCAGGTGGCTTGGCTCTGTTTTCCTTTCCTTTGGGTAGGAAAGCCATCAGGGGTGACTAAGCCCTGAGTAAACAGTGTTCCTGGCCTCCCTCCTCCAGGCCGGGTGGGGCTATCACTATTTCAGGATCAAACTCGGGCACATCCCTCAGCCACCACCTTCGCACGGTTACCTCTCTGGGTTTGTTCCTCCGGCAGCGCTTATCCTGATCAGTGGCTCTTGAACCTCCTGGGGGGACTGCGGAATCTCCGGGGCTGCCCGCCTGCCCAGCAGCACCTTCAGCAGCCTCTGGCCGGGCTTTCCTGCCACAGCACCGGGAGCCAGGTACACTTTACCTGATTCAACTTCAAACGGCAACACACCCAGAAGGGGAGGGAGGAGGGGCGGCAGGGGGTGGGGGCTCCTCTGATCTGGGATCAGCTCCCAAGAAGGAGAGAGGGCCACTCCTGGCCTCCTGTGATTGGCTGCCCTGAGTCTGGGCAAGTGACATGCAGCTCTGGGCTGGAGCCTAGGAGGAGTGGGGATGCTGTCCTCTAGGGCGCTGCCCTGCTGAGAGCCAAGGGAGGGGGATGCATCTGGCCCAGCTGGCAGGGAGCCTCAGATAGCCTCTGGATGGAAGTCCATACAGCAGGAGGGACTTGAATTAGCGCGTAGGAAATGCGTCGTGAGCGTGAAGGGCAAGAGACCAGGAACACGCAGGGAGTCTCTTTTTATGGGGGAAGTCCTTATGGTCAGGAGAAGACAACACTCTCTCTGGAGTGGCTTTCATGATACCAGTTTGGGGGTGGGGACTGTCAGGTGATCACTGGGCACTCCAGGGGTTGAACCGGGGACTAGGAGGGCTGCAGTGGCTCTCCAGGGACACAGTGCAGGGCTGGGGGGCACTCGCACCGCCAGCCTCCACCAGGGACTGCAGGGTAGCTGCACCGCACATGCACAAAGCTGCCTGAAGCCAGAGCTGGAGGGGCCCGTGGAGGTCACCAAGGCCATCCTCCCCAGTGGCCAGCTGAGGAAAGTGGCACCCAGAGAGGAAAGAGGTGTGCCCAGGGATACGCGGCCCACTAGATGAGCCTCCGGCAAGGCGAAGGCCCAGCTCTGTGTGGTGAGGCCTGCGGCTCTAGGGAGGAGGCCTGTGCTGGGAGCTGGGAGGCCTGTGCTGGGAGCTGGGAGACCTGCGTTCTAGCTTCTGCTTCCCCACCCTCCCACCCTCACTCCACATCGAACTCTACATTGTTTCTCTGCAGACAGAAAAAGCCTAGGGACTAGGCTGAGGTGCCAACAGGGACCTCTCTCGGTAGCCGTGGGGAGGCCCTCCTTTCCGCCACACAGTCACGTATTAGGAATGACAGACAACCACAGCCACTCAGCACTCACTACATGCCAGGCCCTGCTCCCTACACACTCACACACACTTATCCCTCGTCACACCCCATGAGAGAAGTTACTATTCTCATGTTTTAGTTGGGGAAATGGAGACAGATTGATTTGCCCAAGGTCACACAGCTAGGAAAAGTCAGGGCTGGGAATGAACCCTTGCGGTCTAGCCTCCCGGCCGACACTCCTGGCCACTGCACCACAGTGTCCTTCCCTGTGTGGATCCATTCAGGACCTGGTCTGAGCTGCCCTCTCACCACTGCAGCAGCAGAGCCTTGGGCAAACCCTCTCTTCACGCTTTTCAGCCCCAGTCGGTCAACACGCAGAGTGACATCTAGAGATTCTGTAGTGTACAGATGCAAGATCTGAAGGTCCCTTAGAGAGCGATTGGTTCAGGGCACCCAAACTGGCATCGTCAGCACACAGCTGCTTCCGTGGTTTCTGCCATTTATAGCATCATTTGTACTCGCTGTTTTCCTAATGATTTTCTTTATATATGCTCACTCCCCGACCCCTTTTTACTTGTCGTTAGCATTAATATCCACAAAATTGTGAGATGTATGTGCCAATTATGTTTTTTTCTAATACACATTAACGTAATTACATAACTACTACAGTAAAAAGTGTACTTCTGGGTACCACCTAAAATCGCCTCGCGTGTGTACACCGTGCTTTGCGAGACCACGGGCTAGTTTAATGTGCTCTATCCGGAGAGGATATCTGGAGAGGCTGAGGCTCAGAGAGGAGGCCTGCCCTGCCCGAGGTCACACAGCGAATAGCAGCGGAGCCAGGGTCAGGGGTCCCGACTCCCAGCCTGGAGCCTTGGCCTCCGTGTCCACCTGGAGGCAGGAATCAGAGGAGCCCCCAAACCTTCAAGAGCTCAGGCGCCCTCAGAGCCAGCACTGCCTGCAGCCTTGGCTCCATGCTCAGTTCCACGCCTCAGGGCAGGGGAGCCGGAGGAGAAGTCGCCCCACCTGGAAGTGTGGAGTTGGACCTCAACAAGGGTGGGATCTAGCTGAGGGGTCAGGGTTTTCTGGAGCCTAAAGCGCCCCTGGTAACACTGAGTAGGAAGTCCCTGTTGAATCTGCAGAACCTTGACTTGATGGCTGGAGGTTATGTGGTGATAGTAATAATAGTGACGTGACCAAGAACAGCCGACACTTGCTGAGCGCTTACACTGCAGAACTCTTCTAAGTGCTTTATACACATTCACAATGCACTCCCTCCGACAACCCAACACAGTCAGTAGTTGTAGCCTCATTTTGCAGTGAGGAAACAGAGCATATAGAGTTTGAATATTTACTCTAAGCTGCCTACCTAGTAAGTGGCAGTTAGGATTTATGCCCAGGGTACTGGGCTCAGTGTTCGTGCTCTTAGCCACGCCACTTAATTTACTCGGTGGAAGATTGGTCATTTAGGGAGCTTTAGGCCCCAGCACCTCATTTGTTGAGGATTTACTACAGGCTAGGCCCTGAGGCCTGGTATTATTAGAGATGAGGAAACCGGCTCAAAAGGGGTTCAGGCATTGCCAAGGGGCAGAGCTGGGTTGAGAACCCAGGTGGCTTCCGGCTTTCGGACCAC
Organism: Homo sapiens; assembly: GCF_000001405.40. Lineage (NCBI taxonomy): Eukaryota > Metazoa > Chordata > Mammalia > Primates > Hominidae > Homo > Homo sapiens. The sequence goes on from NC_000001.11 coordinate 201,129,867, forward strand.
ACTCTGTCCACGGCACCTACTGACTCCCTGCAGCCACACAGGCACTGCCTGTGCAGTGGGAAACACATGCTCCAGTGTTAGACAGTAAATGTTGGCTTGGGGCATCCCCCCTCTACCGCTTCCATCACTTCTTCAAGCTCAGCTCCCGCCTCATCCCCTAGGGCAGGGCCTGAGCTGTGGGAGCTGGTGGGGAGATGAGGCAGCTCCTACCAAGGACACAGAGCCTCATGGGGCAGCCTGGGATTCACTGCCTGCCTGGTACTCAAGACCCCACACCCACTTAGGTGTGCACACATCTGGAGGATCTTTCCAATTCCCTCACTTCCAAGACTCCTGCCAATTGGTTCTGAGGCTAAAGGCCAGAGGAGCAGACATGGCCTTGAGGCCCTACAGGTCTCAATAAAGAACTCACGCCTTAGGAAATGGGGAGCCCCTGATGGCTCTGAAGGAGGGAAGTGACCTGGTCTGATTAAAAGCATACTCTCTGGCACTCCTGACAAGAACCGCAGTATCTGGTGAGAAATGGGGAAGACTGGGACAGTGGTAACAGGGGCTGAGGGGAGGGGACAGATTTGAGGACTATTTGGAGGTAAAGTTGGTGGGACGTTGTGAGTGATTGTACAAGAGAAGAATCAAGAATTGATGACCTTCAGGTTTCTGGCCTGAACAACTTGGTGGGTGGTGGTACCACCAGTTAAGAATATAAAAGAAGCCACCAGGCGCGGTGGCTCACAGCTGTAATCCCGGCACTTTGGGAGGCTGAGGCAGGCGGATCACTTGAGATCAGGAGTTCAAGACCAGCCTGGCCAACATGGTGAGACCCTGTCTCTACTAAAAATACAAAAATTAGCCAGGTGTGGTGGCACGTGCCTGTAGTCCCAGTTACTCCGGAGGCTAAGGCAGGGAATCACTTGAACCTGGGAGGTGGAGGTTGCAGTGAACCAAGATCGTGTCATTGCACTCCAGCCTGGGCAACAGAGCCAGACTCTGTCTCAAAAAATATATATATAACATATATTATTTTATATTATATATAATGTATATTATAAATATTATATATAACATCTATATTATTTTATAATATATAATTGGCTTATTTTATATATAAATATATATTACACATGTATATATTATATTATATAATCATGTATACATATATTATATATTTACATATAATTACATAATTTTATATATTAAATATATATTAAACATATGTACTATATATAATAAAATTATAATTTATATATTGTATCTATATATAATTGTATATAGATACAATATATAAATTGTATATAGATACAATATATAAATATATATTATATATAAAATAAGCCAATTTCAGGACAAAGATGAGTTTAATCTTGGTCTTGGGGTGCTCAGGGGCACAGTCCAACTATGCAGCTTGGGGGCTGGTTAGGGCTCAGCTCAGGGGCTGGTTAGGGCCGGGCTAGAGATAGAGATGAATAAACGCCATGAAACTGCAAAACAGAATAAACTTCCAAAGAGAGTACTTAGAAATTAAATTTTAGATAGAGCCAAGTAGGCTGAGCATGGAAGCCTGGGAAACCAACATTCATGGGGACAGGAAGGGACAGTCAGAAAGGCTCAAGAGGTCAGGTCCCAGAAGCCAAGTGAAGAGTGTTATGGAGGGAGGATCAACACCACCAAATATAGCAGAGAGGGCCAGAAGGACAAGAACCAAAGACACCCTCTGGGCCTGGCGCTCCCAGAGCCAGCTGTGACCTTGCTGAGCGCAGTTTCAGAGGAGCGTGGAGGGCAAGGTCAGTTGGCAGGGGGTGAATGACCGAGTGCACAGAGACAGGGAGGAGACTCCACTGTAGTCAGGGGTGGACCTGGAGCCCCTGGAAGGTTCTCAGGACAAAGACTTGAGCATGTTACCAGGCTGAGGAGAAGTGCCAGTAAATAGGGTAAGGTTGGAGAAATGATGGCGGTCCCAGGCAGTATTGGGCAGGGGGGATTGGAGAAATGGAGGTCCCAGACAGTATTGGGGGTTGGAGAAATGATGGAAATACCATGCAGTATGGGGTGGGCGGTTGGCTTTGAACAGGAACACACTATCCCCAAGGCTGTAGCAAAGGCAGTCAGGATGAGTATGAATGAAGAATGATTTAACAATGGGGCTGAGTTAAGAAATCACTCCATTTTCTTGAAGTCATAAGCAAGATTTTCTAGGGAAGGGAGACGGGGAGACAGGAAGGTTGTCTAGTGGCCTCAAGAGTGAGCCTCATGGGAGGATTATTGGCCCTCATGGGGGAAGGGAGGGGGTGGAGGCCATGCACCTGCCAGGGCACCCTCAGCCTCTGTGGCAGCACTGGGCTGCCCAGGGAGGAGCAGGGAAGTCAGACTGGGTGGGATTGGGGTTTTGCTGGCAGATGTGTAACAATGGATGCCAGGAAACGAGAGGAGGAGGAGGACCAAGTCGGGCTAGGTGAGAAATGAAGGAAAGGCCACGAGGAAGCAGGCTGGCCTCTCCATCAGCCTCCCTGTGAGCCACACGAGGGATGAGTGCTGGTCTCTAATCGTGGAGACCAATTCTTAAGGCTCAGGTTCCCAGGGCCAACCCCAACCAGTTGTTTTTCCAGGTGGGACCAATCTATTACAGAACAGCATGGTTGGTGGGTTTGAGGGAAGACAGGATTCTGAACACAACAGCACCAAGTTCTGTTCCTTTTTTTTTTTTGGAGACGGAGTCTTGCTCTGTTGCCAGGCTGGAGCGCAGTGGCACGATCTCAGCTCACTGCAAGCTCCACCTCCCTGGTTTAAGCGAGCCTCCTGCCCCAGCCTCCCGAGTAGCTGGGACTACAGGCAGGCGCCACCACACCCAGCTAATTTCTGTATCTTTTGTAGACAGGGTTTCGCCATGTTAGCCAGGATGGTCTCGATCTCTTGACCTCGTGATGCCGCCCGCCTTGGCCTCCCAAAGTGCTGAGATTACAGGCGTGAGCCACCATGCCCAGCCAAGTTCTGTTCCTTTTACATCATACGAGACAGGGTGAAGAACGTCATTTCTGATCTTTTCCATCATTGGCTGCAGGGGTCTTCATCTCTGTTCCAAATACCAGCCAAGCAGTGTGCTCACCCCTTTGCTGGGGATCTCCGCCCCTTCATATTCACAGAAAGATGAAGTGTACTCTGCCATCGTCTGAAAATCGGGTTTTGTGTGTGTGAAGTTGAGACACAATGAGACGTTTGGTTACTAGTTGAATCCTTAGTAAAGTGAACAGTCACTCCTAATCTTTTATAAATGTTCATATACTGGACTTATAGTTCGGCTTATTTATAGTTAACAACAGTTGTCCCAAAAACCACCAAAGCCAGTTTGGATCATCTGCAGGACTTACCCAAGCCTCAGAGAAATATAGCACTCAATGTTTCCCCCAGGGCATGTGGTTTTACAGGGGAGACCTGGCAATGTTAGGCACCAATTTCTGGCCTGGTTATTCTTGCTAAGTTAATACACCCACCTGCCCACCTTTGGAAAGTGCTGCTTTTGTATGCCTCTTGAAATAAGAGCATCCCCATCCTGAAAGAATAAAATAGCCCACTGTAGCTTCCACAGCAGTACTTGACCCTGGTAGGCACTGAGCAGCTGTCTAGTAAATGACCCAGTAGAAATGTTGTCAGCACCAACTCCTCTGTCCCAGCCTTGCATTTGGGGGCACATCTATCGCTTGCTAGCCCTACCACAAACTTCCTAAGTGCACTTGCTCAGGACCCCACAATCCACTTGGTCCCCTCTCAGCTGTGTCCCTTGTTTCCAATGCCAACCAGAGTCTCTGCTCCTCCTGGGAGCCCCATCTGCAGGTCACCCCAGTCCCATCCCCTTTACGCTTCTGTCTTGGAACTTTGGCAAACTGTTGCAAACTGACCCCCCATCTCACGTCGTTCTCTTGCCTCCCACACCTCTCCAAGAACCCAGCATGGGGGCCCACACAAAGGTTTTTTTTTGTTTGTTTTGTTTTGTTTTGAGACGGAGTCTTGCTTTGTTCCCCAGGCTGGAGTGCAGTGGCGCGATCTCAGCTCACTGCAAGCTCCGCCTGCCGGGTTCATGCCATTCTCCTGCCTCAGCCTCCCGAGTAGCTGGGACTACAGGTGCTCGCCACCATGCCCAGCAAATTTTTTGTATTTTTTTTAGTAGAGATGGGGTTTCACCGTGTTAGCCAGGATGGTCTTGATCTCCTGACCTCATGATCCGCCCGCCTCGGCCTCCCAATGTGCTGGGATTACAGGCGTGAGCCACCGCGCCCAGCCCACAAAGGTTCTTAATCCATGTTTATTTGGACAACCCTGATGACACCAGATCAGCTCAGTCCCTCTAGATGCCTTGCCTCTGCCTGGGTCTTGGACATGCCCTGCACCGCACATCCATACTGGAGCTGACGCAGTGCCGGGCTCCCCTGGATGTCCCTGTTGAAGCTGCTGGCATTTCCTTCTGTATGGGGCAGCTCGTTTTCTAGCTGCCCCCACCCACCCCTCTCCAAATACCTGTTGGTTTTCATTTGGGGATACTTACAGGTTTTGCAGGGAGCGCTATTTACTGTGTCTGTAGGATATTAGGATGAATCACGCACTGTTCAGTTTCAGAGGAACTGCCCATAAACATGAAGTAAAATCTCAGGATAACTCCCAAGGGCCAGTTCACCCTGTGCTCCTTGCCCCAGCCTACCCACCTCTTTCCTAATCAGGTGAGGAGGACTTCCAGCAAGCCGTGGCCTTGGCCTGATTGCACTGTGGCTGGCTCTGCCACGGCCGCCTGGACTTCCCAAGGCTCTGCCTGTCTGGACCTAGCAAAACGCAATGCTCTCTGTCCCCTCTGGGATACTACATTTACCAGGTCACTTGTGAAAAATTCCTAGTTCCCTAAATCTCTTAAAAACCAGAAAGTGAGAGAAATAAAACAATTTAATGATGGCTTCCTTGATTTACACACAACTCTAAGACAAGAGGACAAAATTTTCTCTCCATGCACTGGTACAACGAAGTTCAGGGACAAGAGGCAACCCAAGTACAGGGGCTGTGGTGTTCAGATCCACGCTCAGCCTCGAGTCTCATGTTCCAACCGACCGTCTGGCTCAGTGACTGTGGACACTGGGGAGAGGAGGGACTGCCCAGACCCCTCAAGTGCAGGTGAGGGGACCGGCAGCAGAGTATGCATGGGCACTCCATGCCCCAGTGCGAGAAGTGCACAGGGGACAGCGAACACCAGCTTCCAGTGCACCCTGAAGACCCAGTGGGCTCAGGGGGCCCAGCTCTCCCATCAGAGCTGTCCTCAGGGCTGGAGCTGGGGCTGGGGCTGAGGCGCTGGGGCTGGGAGGGAGGTGGTGATAAGAACCACTGCAGAAAGGAACACATGCTGAATGCTGGGCCATGCTTTCCTCCCAGACACTGAGTTCCTGAAGACCCAGCTTTATCTTCCAAGGGTAACAACATTCCCAAGACTCAGAGCTGGAAGGCGGCAAGAGTGGAGCCAGGAGAGACAGATCGCATCCACTCCTGAGGCCGCCTCGAATGTCTCCATTCCCTTCTGGCCTGCCTTCCCCCTCCCTTCAACCCCAAAGACCCAAGAAGACAACAGAGATCAGAGACCACATCCCTCTTCCCTAATCAAAATAGCCAAGTACAACATTTCTAAAGTTAGGGAGAAGGAGGAAAAATGCCACAGGCTTTTAAAGGGAAGACTGGAACCGAGGGAAGGGAGAAGTAGCCCCCTGCTTTGTCCAGCCTGGAAGCTGGCAGCCATGGTGTTGGGGCCTTGACCCAACCACACCAGCCCATCTAGCTGAGCATCTTGTGCCGATCGAAGACTGTCTTCCGCTGCTCCTGCACCTGCAGCTTCCACCGCTGCTGGGCACCTTCCACACGCTCCAGGACTGTGTTTGCTCGGGGTCCCCCGAGGGATGCAGCAGCTGCTGCCATAGAGCGAGCATCCTGTAGTGGGAAGAAAAAAAGAGAAGATCTGGCACGGTAAGCCAGAAGGGTCTTGGATCCTGAAAGTCTGACATGGAAAGAACGAACCCCAAAGCCTTACCTTCCCCAGACTGGGAGGCTGGGCCTCCCCAAGTGCTGCAGGCTGAGGACCTTGCCTTGTCATCTGCAGAGCTGAACACAGTGTGCCAGGTCTGCTGGAAGCCTTAGTGTCTGTAGCATCTGCAGGATGGGGCCCCTGCCCCTCCCTGGGGCCTGGGAAAGGAAGCACTCCAGGAAGAGTAGGTTCTGCTGGGGCTCCAGTTACTGCCACACAGCTAGCTCAAGGGAGGTTCCCAGCCTGAACCCACCCCTCACCATGCCCCATTCCACTATTTCTAACTCTCAAGAAGGATGCTAAGTATAGGCTTCAAGACCTCACTTAGGCAGAGGACTTGATGACATCTGTTGTTTCAGCAATGCACCGAGGTGCCCCCAGGGCTAGTACTAGGCTAGAGAACTCCCCTGCCCTCCACGCCATTGCCCAGGGGACAGGAAGAAGGCCCAGGGGCTAGGGTCTGGCTACCCTGAGATGGCAACACATCTGCTCCAGATGGGAGGGGGCCTACTGAGGAGTCTGCATAGATCCAGATCCATGGGATCTTAGTTTCCCTGGGAAAGAGGGATGTGACATCACTCAGGGAGTCTGACAGGGATGGAAATTCAGAGCCGCCCCAGCATTCCCTTTGCAGAGCCCTCTCTGGCCCATTCCCTCCTTTGATAGCTGAGGACAGCTCAGCTTCCTCCCTATCTGACTCTGCTGATCCCCTTCCCCTTTGCTTTCAGAACTGTTGCTGCCGTCAAAAGCATCCTCCCCTAATTACCACTTCTCTGCCTCTGAAGCTCCGGAGCCTCTGCATTTCCTGCAGGACCTGAACCTGATCTTTGGAGAGAATTAGAGCTGAGGGCCAGGCCCACACCCCCGTGGGGATTTCCTCCCTAGCTTTCCCTGCCTCTCATCTCCTGCCACACATCTCTTAAGGGATTAGTGCACTTCTCTAAGCCCAGAGCCGCCCAGTAAATGCAACTTTGCTTCTAATGCCCCAAGCTGGCACGGCTTCTGTCACCATGCAGCTGCTACGCTGGGGCGAAGGGGGGTGGTGAGGTGAGGGTAGGGTGGACAGAGAACAAGCTGGCAGTGAGGAGGCTGGGAGAGGGTTCATCATCATCCTCTCAGAGCTCTGAGGACTTCATCTTGTGAGTGCTCCTCTCTAAGCTGCGTTAGAGATGGACACTGCCTTCTGGGAGCCTCCCGCCCAGGTCCTGAGGAAGGCTTCCTGTGCCAGGCTAGGTGAGGCTCAGGCAACGCCTGAAAGGCACGTGTGGCCATGTCAGGCAGGGGGCATACTGAGCTTGGAATTAGGACCCCTGGGTTCTGTTCCTGGGCTGGGGATCACCTGCCCCTTCCAGCCTCAGCCTCCCCTAGGCTCGCGTCCCAGGTGGAACTACAGATCCACAGCGGGGGCTGGGAAGGAGACATGGCCTCAGTCACTTATGAGGCTATGTGTCCCTGAACAAGTTACTTTATTTCTCCAAGCTTCAATTTAATGTAGTAAATGTAGTCATTGAGACTTTTTTCTGCTATACGGTCATTAGGAATTATAGTTACCAAATTATCTAACACACACACACACACACACACACACACACACACACACACACACAGAGTGAAAAGAAGTTTCATAAAACAATACTTAGTGTAATGCATTCTGATATTCTTTGCTCTGTTCCATTCCATTTTTTTAAAAATCCTGGTCATGACTCACAGAATTCATTTCATGACCTAATGGCTTGCTTGAAATACACTGGTTTAAGATTAGTAGATGGGTATGGCAAAGTTAAATAACACACATATAAAGCACTTACTATCCTGGCTGTCACAGAGCTAGGGCTCAAGAAATGTTTGGTTTCTTTCTTCCCTAGGAGCGATGACTAATATCAGAGCCTAGCTCTGGAAGCCACTAGGCAGTAAGGCTGGCGGCTGGCTGCCAGGAGAAAGCCTGTGAAAACTGCCATGGCTGCTGCCCCTCCTTCCAGTTCCATGCCTTCCCTGTTCACTGTGCTGACTGAGCTGGCCACAGTGCTAAGACCAAGCCTCCACCCAGTCCTGCCTCAGTGTGGCCGTCTACATGAGGTGGGCACTAAAGACCCATCTGGGAAGCTATTGGCCCACCGGGACTTGGCTCTGGGGGCTGGATTGCCTTCTCTTCTTCTTTCCATTCCCAATCTCATCCTTTCTGGGACCATCTTTCTCATGACAGGGCTCCAGTGTGTGTGTGGGGTGGGGTGCTACGCTTGGAAGGGTGGGGCAGCTTTAGCCCTGCCCTCCTTCCACTGCTCTGTATCTCAGGGGAGCGTCTTGAGAAGGGGAAGCCAGGGAGAGCCCAGAGCACAGCATTAAGGGAACATGCTGAAATTCACCACATTACCACAGTATCATTTGTTTTCCCTTCATGTAAAGTCTTAACAAACAGCTCCTAAGTGGGGGAAAGCTGCCACTGAGAGGCTGAGTTTCCATCGCTAATAGTCTGATTAAAAGGTATTAAAGACTCCACATCTGTTTCAGAGACAGCCCAGAGTGGGGCCTCATCCTTGCTTGCTCTGCAGCAAGTATGGTGGGTGGAAGTGGGAGAAATGCCACCAGTTCCTCCCCTCTCCCTCTGAGGCTGGGCCTCCGGTTAACTCGGGAGCAGAAGGGCAGTTAGGAGGGGAGGCGGGTGGAGCCCCTCCCAATCAGAAAAAGAGCTTGGACATGGATGGATTCCCAGGAGGTCCCCAGGGGGACCAGACCAGTGTGACTATGACAAGTGCCACTATGTGCCAGGCGCTCTGCTAGGCACTTTACACAGATTATTCCCAGGCTTACAACACTGGCAAATGGGTAAAACCATCCCCTATTGTAGCTGCAGAAACTGAGGCTCTGAAAGATGAATCATCTTGCTGCCCAAGGCTGCATGGCTGTTTAGTGGCCAAGTCGGAATTTGAACCCATGTACGTATATCTCTTATCCTAGGACCCAGCTGGATCCTTCTTTGGCTGGTTTCTCCTAAGAGGGAGCCAGCATGGACAACCAAAGAGACAGGCTGGTATATTTCCCCACAGCTAGAGCAAGAACAGAGCACTTCTAAAGGAACCAATGCTCAGGACATCAAGCGAGGCCCTCTTCTCCACACTGGAAGGACCCAAGTAACTGTGTGGATAAGCCCCAGCTGATCAAACTAGCCCTGAGCCCTTCAGGCCGTCCCAGATGAAACCCTCTTCAGTCTGCCCAGAAGCACTGGTTCTGAGCTGGCACTGGACTTGGCCAAAGCCTGATGACAAGGAGACAGGGAGAGTGAGAACCCCACCTCAGGCGGCTCTCCTCTCTCTGGCTGCTCCTCCTCCCTCCTCCCCAATCCCAGGCACAGGAGCATGACCAGGTGGTCTCATCACTTACCAGCCACTCAGCAAAGCATGGTCCTAGTGCAAAGCCCTTCAGCAAGAGGACTATACAGCCTCTCTGAGTTTTCCATGTTTGACCCAAGTCCTTGCTGCTGTTGCTGAGTCCCACTGCACCTCTGCTGCGAGGCTCTCCCTGACCCCTGCACGCTGCGGCTAGGGCCACCTTCCTATGACACACCAACTCATGCTGTTTCCCTGCCCAAAAACCCCAGCTGGGACCCACCTGCTCACAAATAAAACCCTGCTGGGCCTGACATTCAAGGGCACTCCCAGCCTCACCTCCCCCCTTACCCCCCAGCCCAGCCTCTGGCCACACTGGTCCATGCATCCTCTGTCTACCTGCGGTGATCCTCACTCAGGCCCTTGTGCACGCTGCCCCTCAGGCTTCCCTCCAGCAATCATGATGCTACTTAAGTATTAACACCTGATTGAAATAGCGCATTCTTAAGGACGAGCAAACACTTGTAAAGCTTCCATACACACGATCGCAACAGTTATGCTGAGGTAAACATGATTATGTGTATTCCAGACTTAGAAAACTAAACCAGGAGGTTAGCACCAAGGATAGTAAATGGCAGGGCTCGGCCCCTCCCAGGACTGTGATTAACCACAATGCTGTGCTGCCCCACTGGAGGCTCTAGAAGCGTCTGTTGAACCGCACATCTTTCTATTCTGCCCTCAGGGGAGGAGGCCGACTGGATTGCCCTCATCAGTGTGTCTGTTCCGTGTTTCACTGTCAGCTTCCCAGGGCTGGGGTCCTCAGAACACAGCTGCCACCCATGTGCAGACAGGAGGGGAGACTGCTCCTCAGTGGCCCGAGTCTTCTCCCCGGTGCCTGCATGTTCCAGTTCCCATCATCATCATCACCTTTCCTTGATTTCCCTGTATACTCTCTCCCAAAGGGGGCCCAGAACTCTACCCACTGCCCCAGCAGGGTGAGCACTTTGAAGACCTCTCCAGAGCTTGGGCCCATGCTGTGAGCAGCGACATCCCCAGCCTCAGAGAAACCATGTGTCTCTCTTCAAAGAGGGCCCAACCTGCACATCTAAAACAGCTCTGTTTGCCGTTTCTGCCCCAGCAAACATGCTTGCTTCCTCCTTTCAAAGGACGTCTGAGCCCAGGGATTATGCCTAATGCTGCTGGAATCCCAGGGGAGGCAGCGCCCAGCAATCAGGGCCTACTGAGGCTCTGCCAGCGCTTTCAAAGGGAACATGACAAGCTTTCATCTCCCTCCATGAACGGGGCTGAGGCTGAGGGGGAGGCCTCCTCTTCCTCTTCCAGTTCTTTACCCCCTGGGCAGGAGAGCTCCTGGTCACAGGAATTGGGGAGAAGGAACCAAGGGGTCCCTAACCCTGAAAAAATGCCCTGACCTCCAGATCTCACCCCTAACTGGGTCCCAGACTTCTGGGGCGTAGGGCCTGAAAGCTCCTGGAGCCTAGACAGAATTTTCCTTCTAAAGTCATCGAGTTGTACAGGCCTAGGCGAACTTTCAAGGAACCCAAGAGGCCATGTCCTGACTTTGTTCCTCTTGGGGTGAAACCCAGAGACATGGCTACAGCCTAGGTGCTGCTGCCGCTCAGCTGAATGCCTGCCCCCCAGCCCCATGTTTCCCCACATCCCTTTCCTCTGTGCACTGAGAGGGGCAGTAGATTATCCCTCGTCGTCCAGGACTAGGGCCCCCAGTCTCTGTAAAGACAAGCTCCTTGGGTTCTGTCCAGCCCCAATGCCCTGTTCATCCTCCCTGCAGTTCAGCGGTCACTCTCCCAACCACCCTGAGTGGGCACTGAAAATCCCCCTCTGCCAGGAAGCCTTCCTTCCCAGACTAACACAACGAGAAGGGTAACTTTCCGACCCCTTGTCTAGTAAAGAGGGGCCTCCCAAGGCACCTGACTTTTCAGCTGACCACCCGTCTTACGAAGCCAGATCTTACTGCCAGCCTTTACGTTTCCTGCTGCTTTACCTGCTTTTGGCCGTCTTGGGGCTTAAACCCCCGAGGGCAGACATAAGGTCTGTGCAAATCTCAACACTGTGCCACCTGCAGGTTTTCTGAATACACTGAGAAAAGCAGAGTTGCTGAACCACAGACATCTGTGACCTGGAGACCACACAGAATCACAGGAGGTGAGGGGATAGAGAGATGATGCCAAAGAACGGGACTGGGGGCACTTCCTTACCCAGCCAAGGGCACCCAATGAGATCTACCTGCCCCAGGCCACAACCAGCGAGAGTTGGCTGCACCCTAGGTCAGGGTATCAAAGAGATTAAACACAACTTTTTATGAGCTTTTAGAACCTCAGGTGAGAGGTGAGGGCGTGTCATCCTGTCCATCCCAGGGCCGCAACTTCCCCTACAGGAGGGAGCATGGCTCGCCAGCTTCTATGTGCTGCAGCCTATCACAGCCTACTGTCCTCCCAGGCAGTCCTGCCACAGTTACCAAATCTAGCCCTTCTTCCTCCCAAGGCCCCCTCATACAAACAGGCTTCAAATGAGGAGCACTCCAGGTCTCCTGGGGGTAAGAGAGACCTGGGTTCATACCCAGGGACGGCAAGCTGCTCTCCCCAAGCTGCCCTCCCTCTGGCTCCCTGGCTAGGATGGCAGGAGACATAACAAGGCCATGCCCCAGAGCCATGCATTCCACGGAAATCATTGGGCTGCATCTCTCAATTACTACCCCAGCCAGGACTGCAATTACCACATTACCCCTAATCGCTGAGTGTTTATTAGCGATGCTCCTCCCCTATCAGAGCTGCTATTACTCTACATTAATAACCAGGTAGGCACACGAGGTTTCCTCTTGAACACAGACCACCCAACTGCCAGTGCCACCACCTCCCAGGCCCTAGCTCCAATGGGGCGAGGCTCATCCCCTCTGCTCCACCTTCGGCCAAACTCATGTCAGCAGGAGGCTGGGGGCAAACTGGGAGCAGTCCAGGCATGTGCGCAGGGTGGGGCAACACAGCCCTCGAGAGCAGCCAGGCTCCCTCCCTGATCTGCCCTTCTCTTCGCTGTTCATGCTGGCCCAGACCCACATCACCCAGGCAGCTTCACACTTAGACTTGAGCCCCTGGGTCCTCTTTTTGGTGAGGAACTGGCTCATGGTCTTGCAAGGGAGCCCAGCCCACCTACCCCATAGTTAGACCACGCTGTCTACAGGAAGACTCCCAGCCTCCTCCTCATATTGTGTTAAATCTCTCTGTCCCTGGATGAAGCCAAGCTGTCTTCTACAAACTTCTGAAGGCAGCTATCATGCGTCTCCTTTAGTTGTTTTTCTTTTCCTTTAAGCTAAATGACTCTCAGTTTCTTCAACTAATTCTCTGAGGCCTAGCTGAGGCGCTTCCCGACTAGATATTCCTTATGCATACGCATGAGTTCACTCAGGGCATCCCTCCATCAGTCAATAAACAGGAGTATCTTCCAGCAGCAAGGCCCTGGGGACAGAGCTCAGAGTGGAAGCAGCAGCCAACCCCGCCTGCCTTGGCTCCACGCCTCTAAGCAGCCCGCTCTGCTGTCTCATGCACCCAGCTAGCTGGTACATGAGCGCATAAAGGGGGAGCCCGAGGCACACGGGGCTGTGCAGTCCTCACTCAGGCAAGATTCCCCTAGACCACCTGGGGAGTGCAGGGCTCATCACAACTCTGCTCAGCATGGAGGTACACCACGTCTCACTCCCACGAAGAGCCCTTCACCTGAGCCCTCCTGTCCCCCCGGGTTTCCTCGCCATGGTGTCCACAACTTTTTAGTATGAGGATGAATGGGAAGACGGTGACAGCGCTTGTTAACTGCACTGGGCCTGGTCCAAGCCCTGCCAGCTCCCCACCATTGCATGAACTCCTGGAGGCCTTGCAGGCTGTCTGGGGTCAGTGGTTCCCCACTTTCCTTGTCAGATAAAGCCAAACCCCCTTAGCTTGACATTTGGGACTTTTAATAATGTGACCTAAATCTACTGGCCAGCTCTCTTTGCCACTATTCAAACATCTCTACCCTATCCTTGCAACGCTCAAAATTCCTCACACATACTTGGCAATGTCCCCTGCCCGGCACCACTGTCTCATTCCTCTTCCGCTCTTGAAATCCTACATTTCTCCCCAGACCCTGGAGCTCTGGTTTGCATTGAGCAAGTGTTCAACAGATGTTTGTGGAATCACTGGACAAACAAATTAACCTGCTGCCGTCCAGTCCACCAGCAGCTTGTCACCAATGTCTGAGCACACGGGGGATATCATGTGTATCTATGTGTGACTGGCTCTGGCTGGCTGCGCCCCCTCTGCCTGGAAGCACAGTACAGCAGGATGACATGGCTCCCCCGGCTTGTACATGGAGACTGCTTGATGCCCGGTGTCCTGCTTCATCTGGAAGGGCAAAGAGCAGGTCCCTGCTGAGTCTGGGTGATGTGTACGACACTGACCAGAAGAGCAACTTGAAGCATTTTGGGGAGGTGGGACCTGGACCTAGGTGACGCTCCTCTGGGTTTTGCCCTGGGGACGCACATGCAGGGACCCAGGGCCTGGGCACTCAAAGCCCTCTTACCTCATTCTCCTCCTCATTGTGCAGTTGCTCAGTATATGCATCCGGCTTTCGGATCAGAGGGTCCACCAGCATCAGGAAGGCCATGTAGAGCAACAGGGCACCCACCACGGACAGGTAGATGACAATGATGACCTGAGGAAGAGACCGGCGTGCCTATGAACCATTATCTGAGGCCAGGGCTAGAAATCCGTTGCTAGTCTTGGGCCATCTGTGTCCGGCTGGCAGTGACTCCTCAAGTGGTGCACTAAGAAAGGACTTGGAGGCAACGTGGGCTCAGAGGGAAAGCATGCCCAGAAAGGAAAGGGAGGGCCCTACTCCACAGAGGAAGCACTCTGTCCTAACTTGAGGGAGTCTGCACAGCAGGCATCACGACAGCAGGCAGATGACAGAGGAAGAAGTCTGGAGCCTGATGCCGAGAGGCTCCCGGGGTAGAGATGGGAACACAAGGGCCTCCCTGGCTGTAGAAGAGTTCATGATGAAGGGTGGAAAGCAATCAGAAACTAAGAGCAAGGAAGAACAGGCTGTGGAGAGGCTGGAAAGCTGGGGCCAGGAAAAGTAAACCTGGGCTGGTGGGCTCATTGCTCCTGTGGAGAGCAAGACGGATGGGGCGCGCTGGCCCACTCATGGCATGCCCCTGAGCAGAGTGGCTAGGGCTGGTAAGAAGGTGTGTGCTGGGGGTGAAGGTCACGCCTGCCCTCCCATCAGCCCCTCTGCAGGGAGGGGAAAGCCAAGGGTAGAACAACAACTCCACGAATCTCTTACATACACAGTGCTTCACAAGCTGGAGTCATTTTGTTTTTACAGAAAAGACAGATTTAATGAGGCAAATTCAATGTTTCTCAATGTGGGTGCTCTGGGATTTTGGGTGGGACATTTAGCATCCATGGTCCCTGTAACAGTGTTGGTAATACACCTGTTATTGGGACCACAAAAGCACCTTCACCCACCTCTAAATGCCCCCTGGGGGGGCTGTAATCATCTGATTGAGAACTGCTGGGCTAGATCACCTGTGATCCCAAGGCTACCAGATGGTGGAGGTGTGACTCAAACCCAGACTTGCTGACTCCCTCTCAAATGCTTTTCCTAATTCCACAATGCCTGGCCATTGCCGGCTTCTGATCTCAGCCCTGCCCTACCTAGACTGTGAAGAAGAGTGAAAAAAAGAACCTCAGGACTTTCAAGCTGGGTGCCCCGCTCAGCCAATAGCCAAGTTCCACTGGACCAATGTCCCACCTGATTGGGGCACCGCGTTCACGCCTGTTTAAACAGGGCAAATAATCAGACCTCACCTGTACCCCAGGAAGGCGGAAGGAGAACAGAGGCTGGGTCTTCAATAGGCTGAAGTTGAGGGGAGCCTCCTAGGTAGGAGGACTGGGGGAAACACGAGGGATTAGGAAGTTGTATCTGATGAGGTCCCCATGCCAGGAAGTTCCCTCCCGGCCAAACAGGGAGCAGCGGTGACATCTGGCTCTGAATTTCAGGTCTCAGGCATCTGGTCCCTGGAGGGTGAGGCCCACTGGAGCAAGTTCAGAGAAGGAGAATGACAGTTGCAGGAGGGGCTGCCTCAGGTGGATGAAAGGAGTTGGGTCTGCACAGGGCACTGGCTGGGAGTGAAGGACAGACAGCTGCTTTTTCCCTGAGTGGTGAGAACACAGAGGAGCTACAGCACAGGGCTCCCTGGAATAGGCAGGAAGGACAGCAGTGAAGACCACCGCCCCCTAAATGTGCCTCGAAAGGAGAAACCTGATGGAGGACCCAGCAGTGCCTTTAAATATGAGAATTATTTTCCAATGCTATTTATAGACTCTTCAAAGGACAAGCAGAAAAATGCTACAAACTGGAACAGAAAGGGCTACATTAGGCCAGGCATGGAGCTCACACCTATAATCCCAGCACTTCGGGAAGCCAAGGCTGGAGCAGTGCTTGAGGCCAGGAGTTCGAGACAAGCCTGGGCAAGACAGTGAGACCCTGTCTCTACCAAAAATTTAAAAAATTAGCTGGGTGTGGTGATGTGCACCTGTGGTCCTAGCTAATCAGGAGGCTGAGGTGGGAGGGTTGCATGGGCCTGGGAGGTCAGAGCTGCAGTGAGCTGTGATCGTGCCACTGGACTACAGCATAGGCAACAGAGTCAGACCCAGTCTCTAAAAAACAAACAAAAAAAGAAATGGCTATGTAATCAGTGAGTACTGTGTGTGCCAGGTGCCTGGCCCAGGATTGTTAGAACCTGGACTAGGAAGCCGCACTGGGGGGCTGGGGGTCATGACGGTCTCTGCTAGGGCGGCTTCACAGCCTCTAGAAGACACGGGAAGTTCTGCCTGGTGCAGGAATGAACAGACACCTCGTGACGTCTATGGTGGTGACTGTGTCTATCATCTCTTTCCTGAATTCACCCAAATGATCAATGAGAAGGTGGTTCAGGAAAACACAAAAGAACCAATCTGATGTTCTCCCAGCACCCAACACCCAGCCCTAGTCCACAGCTCTGATGCTTTTTAGAGGAGCTTAGTCACTTTGGAAGCTTAATTAGACTAAGCTCCAGGAGGGCAGCCCAACCTCCCCATTGGCAGCATCTTGCCCAGAATATAGCAGGCACCGAAAAGAGATTTACTGGATGAATAGAAGAAGGGAGAGGAACGAAATAAACTGTAAAGAATGCAGGGAAAAAGGAGTCTCCAGCAGCTCTCCCAGGGCTCTCCCCTCTCACTGTAATGGTAACTACTGGAAAGAGAGCAGAGAAGGGAGCTGGCTCCAGGAAGGTGTGGGATGTGGGTCCCAGTGTCTGCACTAGGCCAGCCTAGAAGCCAGTCTCATAGCCATTGGGACATTCCAGAATAAAGTGAAAAACTGTGGGTGTAGGCCAGTCTGCGATTGGAGAATGGCGTGTGGGAATCCCACTGGCTTCCTGAGACCCTGGCGTTACCTTGATGGTGGTGGTGCTGCGCTCCTCGTACCTGCACTCGCACAGCAGGCAGTAGGCCTCCACGTCATGGCCAGGCACTGGCATGGGCTCCACCACGTGCAGGCAGTTGCTACAACAGAGAGAGACAGGGCTGTCGAGGCAGGGCCACCACGTCTTAGAGCCTCAAGACCAGAGAAGCAGGTAGCCAGGGGAGCTGAGAGGTAGGGGCTAGGCAAAGGTGAAGGGTGCTCCCAGAGAGGGCCAAGGGCTTATAAAGGATTAGGCTGGCAGAAACCCTTCCTAACCCACAGCCTCACAGCCCATGCCCCTTACACATCAAAACCAGCTCTCCAAACTGCCTACAGGGCTGGCTCCAAAACCATCAACGTTCCCAGGGTTCTACCCCCAGCCGCCTTCCTCATCTCATGCTATGTTCTCCCGGCATGTGCTCATCTGTCCCAAAGGTTCAACTCAGAAGCTGACGGATCTTAGATCAGAATCTCCAGCCAGGGCCGCTCTCCTCTATGAGCTACAGGAGTCACTATGTGCATGTCCCATAGAGACCATGAACTCTACACCCGCCCCTGCACACCCTTTGCCCTCAACTCCCTACTCCTGCAAACTGGCTCCCCATTTGCAATGGCAGAGAGAACACTTCTACCGTCCACTTCACTGTCCGGGTCAAACCCTGGAAATCATCTTTGACACTGCCTTCCTCTCATCTAAGTAAAATCACCAAAGGCCAGTGATTTTACTTCCCTAAAAATTCCTAGAATCCATCTCCTTTATTCTCTCCCACTGCTGTGTCTTAGCTGAGGCCCTCATCCTATCTTCCTCGGACAACCGCACCAGCCTCCGCGCTGCCCTCCTGCCTCGAGTTTGGCCTTTCTAACACATACTACCTTCCCACGGCAGCCAAGTGGTTTTCCAGAATGCAACTCTGGTCATGTCATTCCCCAGCTTAGGCCCGGTCAGTGCCTCCACAGAGCCCCTAGGGCCAATGCTAACTCAATTGCTCTGCCAGGGGTCCCAACCCACCTCACTCCAGTTCCATCTCTTGCTACGCCTCCCTCACCCACTTTCCCAACCTCCAGCCACACGGATCTGCCAGGCTGCTCTCTGAAGGAGCCACACCCACACTCTCACCAGGAGGGCATGGCTTTGCCACCTCATCTTTTAACTCTCAGCTTAGCCACCTGTGCCCAATAGCCAGCTCCCCCCAACCCCCCGCCAATGCACTGCATTGTAATCCAATCTTTATTCGTGCTGTCTCCCCAGGAGATGTACGTTCCTTGAACACAGGGTTATGTCTTATACATCTCCATATTCCCAGTACCTAGCTGGGTGCTGGCCAGAGCAGGCTTAGTAACTACATGATTCCCAAAGGAAGAGTAGACCCACTTTCATCTAACAGCACTCTTGCGTAAGGTGGGATAAAGATCATAGGTTCCACATCTAAAAACAGGGAAAGAGGCTTAGGAGGCAAAGTGGCATCTCCATAGTGGTAGTGAGGCCAGAACCCAAATCTAGACCCTCAGCCACAGGTCTTTACTTCTGACTCAGCCTCAGTGGGGCCTGGGCTGGTACCTGGCTTGTCTCAGGCCTCTCATTCCCAGCCTTCCTCAGATCAGCATGGTTCCAACCTGTTTGGTTCAGGGACCACACTGACAAAGCAAAAAACTCTACAGAATGCACCTTCATTACTACCAATGGAAAAATCCAAACCCCTTGGAGGTGTGCAGAGGTGAAGCAGGTGTCATGCTGCAATGCACCTGGGCTCTGTCCTGGCTCTGCCACCAAGTGTCTATACCCTGGGCCCGTTCTCTTCTCTTTGAGATAAAGCGGTTGCACCGGATAATCTTTAAAAGGCCCTTCCAGCTCTGACAGGAGTCCTGCAAGAGTCAAGCATAGCTCCCTTCTGAGCTACAGGGCTGGGTTTCTGGCAGAAGCATCAAGGGTGTGTGATATAAAGACCATGTGTTGGATTAAGAATGGGATGTGCTCTAAAGGACTCTGTTCTCCCAAAAAGCCATATGTGGCATACATGAGTTTATCTAAACCTTTCATGATCCAGTTCCACCTCTGTGTCCAACATGTTATTCCCTGCTCTGAGCAGGTCTCCCCTGTTGTAACCGGAAGTACTGCTTTCAGGCCTTGCATGCTGCTTCCGCTGGGAGCAGCGGAAAAAGGGTCACCCAGGGCACTTGGCTGCCATTCCTGTCCAGAGGCAATGCCATCTTCCCTTCTCCAGGAAGTCTCTACAAGCCTCCAGATTCCTCCCTTACCTGAGCTACACTGGGTCCTGGGTCTAGAAGGTCATACCAGTATTGCAGTGGAATCTATGGATTTCTCACAAGGCCAAGGTGTCAGGGGCAGTTTGGAAGGGCGACCTGAGTTCTTCAATGTGGGATCTTGCTACCCAGGGGAACAGCAATAAGGAGCTGAAATAGTTCTGCTGTCTCCAACTCTCCTGTGATTGGGGGCAATTTATTTAACTTCTCCAGGCCTCGGTTCCCTCATTTATAAATGGAGACTGAACTTGGTCAGTGTCTTTCAAACTGTACTCTTTTGGGACCCACAGGAACCACTGTACGGTGGGGTGGTAGTCAGGGAGGGGCTGAGGGACAGTTCCCTCTCAGGCAGAGCAATTCCGACTTTTATGTTTTATAGATTTTGTTTCCAAAACGGATTTTGTTTGCAGAGAAGTTCTATTTTAACAAGTTTGAAAGGCAAGGAACTAGCCAACTTATTCAGTGCTTTCCTGCTCTGGGAGTGTCTCTAATAACACATCTCCTTGCCGGACCCACCAATGGGGCAAAGCTGGGGTTTTTGCCTTTTTATGCACATATGGTCATAATCTCTCAACACTAGGTGGCAGGATACCTGTAAACACAGGAACATACATGGCTTGGCCATTAAACCTGAGGACCGCATGTCAGATGATTCTGGCTTTACTCTGCACAACCAAGGAGAAGGGTGCAAGTGTTCTTTAGCATGGACCAACGTGACAGCAAAGTGAAAATGTGGCAGAGACCAGAAGACCCACTCAAACTGGCCTCCTCTAACCCTAGCACTGAGGTACTCAGATCAATGTCAAGGCCCCACCCTACCCTTAAGAGGCTCCAGGCAAGCACAGGATGACTCCCAGTCAAGGTCAGTGTCACTGGGTCCTAGAATCCTGGAGTCTTTCCTCCAGCCTCAGTTTACACCCACCACCCTTAATGGAGCTGCCCTGAGGTTCCTGATGTAAGGCTATTCATCAAGCAGCCCCTTAATTCTGACTTCTGAGGGGAAGAAGGAGATAAACTACAGCCTGAGAGGTCTAGACAGGACTCCGTCCTCTGCAGGCATCCAACCTTGGGTTTTCAGGCCATCTATAGCTCCAGGACAGAGAGAGTGTTCCTAAATTTGCAAGTGTCTGCCTGCATAAGGAGTTTGGGATATAGCCTTGTTATCTGGTGAAGGGCTAAGACAGCCCATCTAAGTTTTTACTGATGCTATTTGAACTATAACCACAAGATACAAGGGGGTTACTTGGAATTCTCCTAAGTAGAAGGCTAGTGCTTCAGGAGGAGCCCATTTTCTCAGTCTGTGGTGTAAGTTTGACCATGACTATCTATGTGGCCACCAGTAAGGCATGATAATATACATTAATATCAGCTAACATTTATATAAGCATTTACTGTGTGCCAGGTATTGTTCTAAGTGCTATAGTTACTGACCTGTGCACATACACGCACAACACACACACAAACACGTACATACTTAACACAGAAAATACTGCCACTATTTATAGATAAGGAAATCAAAGTGCAGTGGAGATTAAGTAATTTGTCACACAATTAACAAGCAGCTAAGCTAAATTTGAAGTCAGGAAGGTGGAACACAGAGTCTGTCTATCTAACTAGACTGCCTCTCAGAAAATCACCGACAGTCTCAGAGTTGGAAATTCAACTAGTTTCAAAATTCTCGAGTGTTGCTCTGGATCAACTGCATCCTAAGCACCAAAGGAAAGAAAGGTTACTGCCTCCCCTCACCCTCACTCCGTATTTGAAGAATCAAAATCGAGCAGTGGTGGTGGTACTGGAAATGTGTATTTTCTCAAAGCTCATCTGCTTTGAGAAAGCAGGAGAGGCAGCACTGACCCGGACCTCTCATCTGATGTTGATCTCTTCTACAGTGACCTCAGCCCATCTGTGCTCGGGGCCCTCCAAGAACGGAGCTTCCTGGCTCCCAAAACTGCCTAGATTAGAAATGCTCCCTCAACTCATGCTTAAGTCGGTTTCCCTGAAGCTTTTATCCTTGGCCCCAACTCTACACCAAGAAACCCCACTGAACATAACTGATCCACACCAGTACCTGCTCCCACATGTCCCACCTCCCATAACATGCCAGCTTTCAATCAATCATCGTGTGTCCCCAAGTCCTCTCCTCTTTAGGCTTTCCTTGCTTCCTTAAACCATTCCTTCCAGGACAATGTGCTAAAACTTCCCTTCACCGCACTAGTCTCCTTTCTCTGAATGAATTCTGGGTTATTCTTCTCTTTTTAAAAGTGAGGTACCCAGAAATGAATTCAACACTCTAAATTATTTCTTTGGGCCTCTGTCTCTGCTATTATAAAATGGGAGCAAAATCCATCCCACCTACTTTACAAGGATGCTATAAGACTGGCACAGAATAACACATGTAACACAGCTTTGCAAAAGCATTAGGTATCCTACAGCATGTGGTCAGAATACCTACCTTTGCCAACTTCTCTACTACTATTCTGTATGCATCACTAAAGACCAATATTCAAAGCAAAACAACAAAATCCACTCCTCTAGCCAGGGACCACTCAGCTGGAATTCAGACACCTGGATCCTGTTTCCACAGACAGTTGACAACTATGAAATTGGTTCTGTGACATGAATAATTACTCCTTTGAAAGGCTCTCCATAGGAATGGGAGAGCATGCTTATCCTCCAGGGTCCAAGAACTCTAGTAAACACCCATAACTTCAACTGGGTATAGCAGCCAGGGGCCTGCGTGTAATGCCTTACCAGTCCTTCTGGGATACATTCTGGTTGTAAATGTGCCCACTGATGTTTCTATAAGGTGGACAGATGCATTTGCACCGGATATCTTCAGAACTCTGGAAAAGAAAGCACATGTCAAGTATGCAGAGACCCTGCCTGGGGTTCAGGGGGTTCAGGCTCTAGCAAGGTTGTCAACTTTCTGTTCCCCATCCTGTTAGGTGAACCATATCTATGCTCTTGAGCTTTCTCCATCCCCAAGTTCAAATCCAGCAAGGACTGCCACTGTAGGAAGCAAGCTGCAGCACCGGGTCCTAAAGATAGAAAAATGTCCAGATGGCAAATGAGACTCACAGAAAGTTGTCTAGGCCTGCCAGTCCCAAAGCAGGTACTTAGAGGAATGCGGGGAGAGGGATGAGGGGAAATGGGTGTGTGTGTGTGTGTGTGTGTGTGTCCTCTACCCCAGACCCCACACTTGTGTGTGCACCTCTGTCCAGTGGACTTGGCAGCCACCCTCTTCCCCACATTCCTTCTCCAACTTCTTAGGTAGGATTGGGGAAACATAAAGGGCGAGGGTGAATAAGAAAAAGTGGATCATTTCTGTGGGAATACTCAAGCAACCCCTTTGAAAGTTCTTCCCTTCTGGAATGAGTAAGAGATATCACCATAAATGTCTTTACTAATTAGGATTTCTGAGGAGAGAATGGAAACAAACTCTCAGCCTTAACCTTACTTCAAAGTCTGGATGATCTTTAGTTCCATAGATCTACCCAAACAGCTCCACAGGAATGTAGCAATAAAGAATGGAAGTTATCTCAGGAGTCCCAGAACTTAGGTGGGTCACCCTTAATAATGGAAACTTCAAACTGTATAGGACTTTACACTTACAGGGCATTTTTACATTGTCATGTAATTTGATTCTCCCTAAGCAGAGTAATAGATACAACTGCTACTACAGGTGGTAGTACTAGCACCCCTAAAACAAAAATTCGAAATGCTCCCAATCTAAAACTTGTTAAGCACAGACATGACCACAAAGATGATGTTAACATTGCAGAAAAGCACCTACAGACATGGTAACAATGAGTGACGGGCTTCTTGAAAGACTATAGCAGAGCGCATTCATAACAGAACAAGAAATCGTGTCAGTCTATAAAATCAAAGAGACTTCTAAGACAAAAGCTTGTTAATGAATCAGGTGACTGGCAAAAACATTTTTAAAAGCCATCTGGCAGAATGCCTCCTCATCTCTAGAGGACCCACTTTCTGGTCCCTCTACTGCTTCAGATACTACTTCTCACCTAAAAAAATACTGTGCACAGTAACCTTTAATCAAAACACAGCATCACAGCAGGAGACAGAAAGCCTTATGTTGCTGTGTCTAACAGCTGATACAGGTATTCTGGTGATGCTACTGTGCTTAGTTACCCTGAACACATCATTTATTTTCACTGTGTTAATAGTACATCATATTTTTTTACCGTTAAGAACTTATGTGTAACGTAAGAAAATATTTATCGGTAGCATATAAATTCATTGTCAGGAATGGTGGTGATGCCAACCAACCAGACTATCCACATGGGTGCCTGAGATAGTGACGCCTTTGCTTTCTGATGGTTCAGTGTAGATAAACTTTGTTTCATGCACACAATTATTGAAAATATTGTATAAAATTACCTTCGGGCTATGTATATACAGCATATATGAAACATAAACGAACTTCAGGTTTAGACTTAGGTCCCCTCCCCAAGATAGCTCATTTTTTATGTGCAAATACTCCCAAATCCAAAAATATCTGAAACAAAACATACTTTGGTCCAAAGCAAAGGAAGGTATGGAGAACTTAGATAACTTCTCCAAACTTCCTTGCTGGAAGTCCACCACTGATCTGTCTGATCAGAGTGAGCCAGTGCTCTGTGCCCCACCCTTCCTCACTCCTCACCCGCACTATCCTTAGGGAGGCCAGCAGCCTTGAACCTGAAGGAAGACCACTAAAAGAAGTATGGCCCATAGGTGAGTGAGAGGCAGGCTTAAGGAGCAGCTGGCTACCTCTGAGTCAGCCCTGTAGACAGGGTGGCCGTGCACTGTGGTCGTGACCAGGTGCTGCAGGCTCACCTCCCTCACCTTGTTGGCTTCAGCTGGGGGCACCAGCAAACACCCGACCACAGCCACCAAAGATAAGAGCTTCATGCTTATCAGGCTTGCTGGGCCAGCAAAGCCGGACACCTGGAAAAAGAGATACGGAGTCGGAGAAGGGGAAGGTGGCCACACCGCAGCCAGCACGCTAGGCCCTTAACCATCCGGCCAAGTGGGAATGGGGTTGGGGGCTGGGCTCCAGGATTCCAAGGCCTGCTAAACCTGGTCGCCAAACCCTGCTTCCCTCCCGCCCAACTCTCCGGCTCTCCGCCAGCCACCTGGTGAGCCCGGCAGAGGGGTCCTCGAGGGGACACCGCTGCCAGGGGCCTCCAGTTCCTTCTCAAGGCCCGGCTCTGACCCGCGCATCACGTCCCACCGCCCTCCGCCATCTCCGCCTCTGCCCGCCCCGCAGCTCCTCCCCGCTCGGGCCCGACGGGAACTTTTGGGTGCGAGTCTGGGACCCCTGCTCCGACGGCGAAGGCCGGTGCCCACCACGCCCAGAGGTCTTAAGCCGGACTGGGACCCCCAATAGCCCCGCGACCCCCGTCCCCTCCCCCAATGCCGCGTCCACGAACCTACAAGCCCGCTGCAGCCGCAAAAGACCCAGTTGTCCCCGCCCTCTCCTAGCTTCTATTGGTTGCCAGAGCAGCCCCTTAACCCGACCGCGCTGTCGCCATGGCAACAAGACCCGCCTTCACCTGGGCGGGGAGACTCTTGCGCAAGGGAGAGGCGGGCATTTCTCAAACCCGACCAAACCAGAAAAGGGAACGTCAGCCTTCCAAACTCCTGGGGAAGGGTCTTGCCTTTGTGTGGCCTGAGAACTCCCACTGCGGTGCTTCTCCCTTCCTTGTATTATAAAACTCAGCTTGTTTCATCTTGCTGTTTTAGAAAGAAAGCGCTTTATACACTGTAAGCTAGTAACGTCAACAAAAACGATACGAGATTGAAGGGCTTTGTCCTCATTCAAAATCTGGAAATGTTATTTAGGGATCCACGTCTTTGCTGCAGAAGACTTTCTGCGCGGCAACGTCTCTACCCCTACACACACCTCTGAGAAGGAGAAATCTAGGGTTGGCGATGGGTGGTGTGGGCTGGGCCTGTGAAGAGTGTGCACAACAGCGTCCTCAGCCTGATCCCCCTACCCCATGCTGGTGCTGGGCCTGGCAAAATGGGGCAAAGTGTGCATGGCCAGGATGCAGGGGTGAGGGTCCCTGGCTGCTATGTGGCAGATGTGAACTTCTTGCCAGCTGTGAAGGAAAGGGGAGTCATATGAATTCAGGGCACCAGACCCGGAGTGAGGACACCGGGGCTTTGGCCCTGGCGCTCCCCCTAAGCAGCTGTGTTAGCCTGGAAAAGATACCTCCCTTCTCTGGGCCTCAGCTTCCCTTACTTCCCTTATCTGTAAAATGATTCGGTTGGATTCTAAGATCCCCTTCAGCTTTGATATGTTGGGATTCCTTAGGGGTGGGTGGGAGGGGTATCAATATGGCCCAAACTTGAGGTTGGTGGCTGGATTAGCATAGGGGCTGGGTCCAGGTGGAATCAAGCCCCTCGCAGGCCCTGTGAACTGAGGTGGGCACTTATCTGGAGGCCACTGAGTTTGTGTTCCTCTCTCCTATGCTTATGTCTTATTCCTCTTTATATCCTTGCCACCTGGCAGAGTGACCTGTGTTTGGTAGGTGCTCAGGAAGTGTTTGCTAAACTGAATTCTATAGAATTAAATTAAATCTAGTTGGCAGGGGGCAGGGGCAGGAGGCCTGCAGTGTGATGCAAAGGTCAGGGGCTTTGGAGCTAGAGTGACCAGGGCAGGAATCCTGGTTCCTCCCTTCCTAGTTGTGTGAATTTGGGTGGTTTCCTTTAGGACACCGCCTTTGGATCTTTGGAAGTCTTTGGAATCCTTTCAGAAGTCTCGGTTTCCATGCCCATAAAATGGGATTAATATTACCAAATTTTCAAGGTGGTTGTAGGGATATAATGAGTTTACATATGCAAAGCACCTAGAACAGCATCTGACACAAAGAGGGAGGCTCTATAAATGGCAATGTTAGCTCATTGTGGAGGTCAGAATGGCTGCTTTGGTGAGCAAGCTCAGGCAGAGACAGAATGCCTACCTCGTGGGGGCAGAAGGGATAGTTCAAGTACTGGAAAAAGACACTTCTTCCCCCCATATACGTTCCATATGAAGGTGGGACTTTCATGGGGACAAAAGCATGGGGCTGAGTCTGTCACCTCCAATGGATGACCCTCTGACACACAACACTAAAGATACCCAATGCTGAGCTCACCATCTTCCTCATCAAACAGAAGGGAGGCCTTCCACTGTCATTCTGCATTTCTGCAGGTCCTAGATTGTGGCATCAAACTATCTTTGACTCCTCTCTCATATTTCCACATCTTGTCTATCCAGGTGTCCCCAGGAGGTAGCTATCATCACCCTGCCTGTATCTTTCCTCGGCTAGCATTCTGCTCCCTGAAATGCACTCCCTTCCTGTGTGCTCCTAGGTCCATCCTGTCTTCCTCCAATTCTGTTTTCAGCACATCGCTCATTGCTCAATCCCTGGTAGCAAGCACCCTGTTGCATCCAATTCAGACCCCTCCACTTGGCAACCAAGCCAAGTGGTTACCATTTCTGCACTTCCCCACCCCATCTCATCACTGGTTACTCCCCCCACCGGCTGTCCCTATATCTGACTTTGCTCATTGCAGTCCTCCATAGGACATTATCACCCCCAGCACTGCCAGTCGTTATCTTTCATCTTATTCAAATCTTTGCCCAAGCATTTGCCTTGCAGAAGCTTTTCCCAAATAGTCCTACCTGACCCAGGGCACCTCATTCCCATACATCCTCCATGTGCCCTGTGTTTATGAGCCATGCCAGTGAAGTGAGTCTGAACCTATTCATTAAATTTAATTCCATAAACATGTGCCAAGCACTATCTGTGAGCCAAACTCCAGGGCTCACAGATGCTAGGTACCCCAGGGATACAACAGACAAATCACATGCAACTCTGCTTTCAAGTAATGCACAACCTAATAGCAGACCAATCACATGGTCAGAATGTAACATAGAAAGTGATGTGTTGTAGAAGTGAAGCAGCCTTGTTGTCTGTGGTGACACTTGAGGTTTGTTGTCTCCTGGCCATGAAGATCAAGGAGGTAGACACACAAAGAGTGAGGTTAAGAGTGGAAATTTAATAGGTGAAAGAAAGACAATAGCTCTCTGCTACAGAGAGGGGTCCTGGAAAAATGAGTTGCCAATTTAAGGTGAAATGCAGGGGGTTTTATAGATGAGCTAGTGGGGAGGCAGTATCTCATCTATACAGGGCATCTCAAAAAAAGTTAGCACCAGGTGTGCCATCTGCATAGGGCACAAATCTCTGGCAGCTCCCAGCCCAATCTTTATTATGCAGGTGGTTTCTCTGCCTGAGCTTCTCCATGTTGCCCAGTTCTTTCTTACTGTACATGTGCTAACAAAAAAGGGAAGGTGGAGTCCCATGGTGAACATGCCTGGCCCCCCGGTAGCCCTTTTCTATGAGTGCAGCTGCCAGCATTCCTCCGTGCAAGCTTCCAGCTTCCTTATATATGTTTGCAGCCCAATCTTTGAGGCTGCTCTGTGTTAGAAAAGAAATGATTTCTAGGGCTGCTTCTTATTAGAAGGGAAGTTCTGCCAAGGACTTTTTTGTCCTTGCTATCTGCCTAAATAATTTCTATCTCCCGTATCAGAAATGCTTTTTCCCTTCAAAAATTTTTTGAGCACTGTGCTAGGTGCTGGGGATATCTCAGTAAACAAGACAAACCCTGTCCCTGTTCCCACAGAACTTGAAGTTTATTGCAAGAAAACCACAAATCAACAAGCAATGACAATTCAGGGTGGTAAGAGCTGTGCTGGGGGAAGGCTGCAGAGGCACTTGGGAAACCTAGACCAAGGGCCAGGGGAGCCCAGAATGGTGGAGAGGGGGCTTTGAGGGCAGTGAGGGCTACTTGGGCTGGGCCAGAGTGGTGGGCAGAACAATGTCGCACCCCCAAATGTCCACATCCTAATCCCTGGAACTTGTGAATACTGTCTTACACAGTAAAAGGCACTTTGCAAATATAAATTAAGGCCCTTGGTTGGGGAGAGTGGCTTGGATTATTCAGGTGGGCCCAATCTAATTAGATGGCTCCTTAACAGAGGAACCTTTTCTGGCTGTGGTTAGAGAAGGAGATGGACATGGAAGTAGGGTCAGAGAGATGCTATGCTGCTGGCTTCAAAGATGCAGGCAGGGGGCCACCAGGCAAGGACTGTGGGTGCTGCAGAAGCTGGTCAAGGCCAGCCAATGCATTCTTCCCTAGAGCTTCTAGAAGGAATGCAGCCCTGTAGACACCCTGATTTTAGTTCAAGAGAACACCTCCGTCAGACTTATGGCCTACAGAGCTGTCAGATAATACATTCGTGTTGTTTGAAGCCACCAGGTTTATGGTAATTTGTGACAGCAGCCATGGGAAACAAATACTGCCAGGAAGGGTGGGCAAAATTTGAGGCACAATTCAAGAGCAGGGTGATGGTGAGGAGGGCATTCTGGTGGGGGGTGGGGGCGGGGGCAGGGGCAGTGTAGGGAGAGCAAAGAGATGGGACTGGGGAAGTTCAGGGAGAGACATGTAGAGAAAGAGTCAACAGTTCAGTTTGTCTTGATCCCAGGACAAGCGAATGGGAAAGGAAGGCAGGGAGCTCAGTGACATCAGAGTCAGAATGTGAGCCAGGAGGGAGCCGGGAGCCCCTGGCTCGGGGCTCAGTGAGAGGGTGGAGACCAGGTAACATCAGCAGTGCACTCTCCCCAGCAGAGGAGGCCTAAGGAAGCTCTGGAGCCTTCCACTGCTTCCTCTCAGGACTTAGCCTTCATCCTGCCTCCAAGTTTGGAGCTCTAGAACTCAGGCCAAAACCCATACCCTCTAGTTCATACCTGCTTTTATCCAACAACCCTAAAATCAGTTTGACTTTATGAGGCGAGGTCTTGGCATCCGTGCCACAGCTGTGGGTCTGGGTTCTTCCTCACTCCCTGTCCCTACCGTTGGTGCTCCTGGATAGGGGATGAGTGCTGTCATCACTCCCAAATGGTGTCTACTCTCCCTGGCATCAACTATATGCCCCTGCTTTTCCTCTAATCCCCACTGAAGCTTATCTGTCCAGTGTCTCATAACCTCAAGCTCCTATGAGATGATTGACTTCCTAATTTTTGCATTAGCAACCATGTCTTAGACACACTAAAAGATCATCCAACCTAAACAGAGAACAAAGCTCAAGTGATAGAATACAGATATGTGTTAACACTCTCAAAGGGGCAGTAATGTGGGGGTACAAAGGAGCGCTTGACCCACCTCTTATAGGACATTGCCCTCTAGCCACAGATGGCAGGTCAGGTGCCTGACGATGTCCTTAAAATAGTATGGGCACCATCCTCAGATACCTGAGTACCTCTTACCTCTCTGGCCACAGCAGGATTTCTCAGGCATCAGGGAAATGGGGGCACTGAGCTAAGGGCAGAGAGCGCCCTGCTGTGTAGTACCCTTTTCTAGCTGGGCAAGGCCCTGGACAAGCACGCTGTTTTTGGCTGGGGTCCCCACATTTGCCTTTTTATACACACACACACACACACACACACACACACACACACAGCTCTCTCAACACCACTTGACTAAAGCAACACTTAAGCAAATAGCAATTAAACCTTTTTTTTTTTTTTTTTTAAAGAGATGAGGGTTTTGCTGTGTTGCCCAAGCTGGTCTCAAACTCTTGACCTCAAGCGATCCTTCTGCTTTGACCTCCCAGTGTTGGGATTATAGGCATAAGCCCGTACGCCTGTCTGAATTACATTTTAATTGAACAAAACTTAGAATAAAAGCATTATTCTACCTAAAGCTTAATAAATGACAAACTCTACCTGGTTTACTATTTTTTTCTATATAAATGCACACACAGATGTAATATGCACACTCATATTTAAATTGATATACTAGACCCAGTTTATGTCAGGCATTCTACCAGCAGTTGCCCATTAGCTACCCTGATGTGTACAGTCCTGGGTGCTACATGTTCTGCTCCCTCTGTTGTATTTTTCCTGGTTCAGCTCCCACCACTGCATGTGCTCTTTTGGGTGTAGACCTCATGGCACTGCATAAATAGAGGATAACAGCTAACTTTTTGGTTTCAGTGTTCTTAACTTCATCAAATATCTTGGGTTTTTGTTTTTCAGCTCGCAGTAGTGAGTAGGAGGCAGGGTAGGGTTATGGTAAGGCCCTGGGGCCAGAAATCATAAGTTCCGGCTTCTAGTTTGAACTTACTCCTGTCAAAGCACTAGTCCATTGGGCCTCAGTTTCCCCCTGAAAAGATTTGTTTAGAAGAGCAGTTTTTAAACTTTCAGGTCTTGTGTCCTTTTACATTCTTAAAAATTATTGAGGTTAGGCCAGGCATGTTGGCTCACGCCTGTAATCCCAGCACTTTGGGAGGCTGAGGCAGGCGGATCACCTGAGGTCGGGAGTTCAAGACCAGCCTGACCAATATGGAGAAACCCTGTCTCTACTAAAAATACAAAATTAGCCAGGCATGGTGGCACATGCCTGTAATCCCAGGTACTCAGGAGGCTGAGGCAAGAGAATCGCTTGAACCCAGGAGGCAGAGGTTGTGGTGAGCCGAGATCGCGCCATTGCACTTCAGCCTAGGCAACAAGAGTGAAAATCTGTCTCAAAAAAAAAATATTGAGGTTATACTGGGGAAATTTTTTTTTTTTTTTTAAAATCGAGGACCCTAGGGCTGGGCGCAGTGGCTCAGGCCTGTAATCCCAGCACTTTGGGAGGCTGAGGTGGGCAGATCACGAAGTCAGGAGATCGAGAACATCCTGGCTAACACGGTGAAACCCCATCTCTACTAAAAATACAAAAAATGAGCCGGGCGTGGTCGCAGGTGCCTGTAGTCCCAGCTACTGCGGAGGCTGAGGCAGGAGAATGGCGTGAACCCGGGAGGCGGAGCTTGCAGTGAGCCGAGATCATGCCACTGCACTCCAGCCTGGGGGACAGAGTGAGACTCTGTCTCCAAAAAAAAAAAAAAATATTGAGGACCCTAAAGAATTTTGTTTATCTGGGTCCTATCAATATTTGCAGTATTAAAACTAAAACAGAAAATTTAAACATATTTATTTGTTTTGAAATAACAATAAATTCATTGTATGCATAAGCGTCTTTTGGTCAAAAAAACCCCTATATTTTCCAAAAGATAAAATTTAGCACGAAGAGTGGCATTAATTTTTTTTTTGTATATCCCCTTACCATCTGGTTGAATAGAAAACAGGTGCATTTTCACATCTGGTTCTGCCTTCAGTCAGTTGCAATATCACATGTCATCTAACCTTCCGAAAACCCCACTATATGCTTGTAGGAGAATGAGTGAAAAAAGCAAATAACATCTTAGTATTTCTAGGAAAATAGTTAGAACTTGTTTCCCTAAAAGAGCCTTGGAGACCCACAGAGTCCTCAGACCATACTTCAAAAATGGCTGGTTTAGAAGGCCCTAAGTTTCCTACCAGATCTGATACTCTGAAGTGTTTCTGATAATACTCTATGGTAGCATTTTTCAAAATACACTTCAGGGAATATGCTCCCAGGAACAGTATCATAGGATGTTATTGTATGTGGGATGCAAACTGTATGTGGGGAAAATGTGGTTTCTATGAATAAATTAGTTCGGGGAACCTTAAAGTAAATGAAATAGGCATATTTTACTTCAGGACTTTTCAGATGCTTTGATGTGATAAAACATATTGTGAATCCCTTACAATACATTATTTTGTGTAGTGTTTCCCCACAGTTTTGACCACAAACTCTTTTTCGAAGAGCAGCCTTCAAGGCTAGAGTACCAAGGAACACACTTTGGGAAGTGCTGCTCCAGTGACTTCTAGATCCTTTCCCTGAGTATTAACAGATCAGGTTCTATCATTTGGAAGCAATTTTCCTCTAAATAAAATTCTACTTATGCACTTTTTGGTTTTTTAATGCAGAGACTTTATGATAGCCATTTCTAAGGCTAAGAGAACTTCAAGTTACTAAAATAGATAAGGGGCATTTTTGCTGAAAATTAAAGAATATTAGTAACTATGTGAATAGTAGTATATATTTATAGGGTGATTGAATAATAATTCCATGTATTGAGCATCTACTACATGCCAGGAACCTTTTAATACATATGAGTGATCAAGAGTGTGTGGTATTAGTGGAGGTATAGACATATAGAACAGAGAACCCAGGCATAGATCTAAACAAATATGCCCAATTGATTTTTTTTTTTTTTTTCCTGAGACAGGGTCTCTGTGACCCAGGCACAATCATGGCTCACTGCAGCCTTGACCTCCAGGCTCTTGAGTAGCTGGGACTATAGGCATGTGCTACCATGCCAGGCTAATTTTTTTATTTTTATTTTTTGTGGAGACAGAGTCTTGCTATATTGCCCAGGTTGATCTTGAACTCCTGGGTTCAAGCAATCCTCCCACCTCGGCCTCCCAAAGTGCTGGGATTCCAGGCATGAGCCACTGTGCCTCGCCTTATGCCCCATTGATTTTTGACAAAAGTGTATAAGCAATGAAGCGGAGGAAAGATAGCCTTTCAATGAATGGTGCCGGAACAACTGGACATACATAGGGAAAAAAAAAAAAAAACCCTGACTGAAGTCTCATACCTTGTAAAAAATATAACTCAAAAAGAATCATAGACTTAAATGTAAAACTGAAAACTTTAAAAATACTTAGAAAAAAATCATAAGAGAAAATTATTGGAATCTAGGGCTAGGCAAAGAGTTCTTAACACCAAAAGCACAATCCACAAAAGAAAACAAATGGTTAATTGGACTTCATCAAAATTAAAAACTTTTGCTCTGTGAAAGACCCTGTTAAGAGACGAGAAAGAAAATATTTGCACATGACATATCTAATGAAGGACTGGTATGTAATATATATGAAGAACTTTTACAACTCAACAGTAAAAAAAAAATACAATTAGAAAGTAGGCAAAAGACAGAGACATTTCACTAAAGAGGATATACATATGGCAAATAAGTACATGAAAAGATTCAACGTCACAGCCATTAGGGAAATGTAAATTAAAATAATGAAGGCAGAGTGTGGTGGCTCATGCCTGTAATCTTAGCACTTTGGGAGGCTGAGGCAGGCAGATTGCTTGAGCCCAGGAGCTAGAGACCAGCCTGAGCAATATGGCAAAACCCTGTCTCTACCAGAAATACAAAGAATTAGCTGGGTGTGATGGTGCACGCCTGTAGTACCAGCTACTCAGGAGGCTGAGATGGGACGATCACCTGAGCCTGGGAAGTTGAAGCTGCAGTGAACCATGGTCATGCCACTGTACTCCAGCCTGGGCGACACAGTGAGACCCTATGTCAAATAAAAAAATAAAAAACAAGGCCGGGCGCGGTGGCTCACACCTATAATCCCAACACTTTGGGAGGCTGAGGCGGGCAGATCACCTGAGGTCAGGAGTTTGAAACCAGCCTGGTCAACATGGCAAAACCCCGTCTCTACTAAAGATACAAAAATTAGCAGGGCATGGTGGCGTGTGCCTGTAGTCCCAGCTACTTGAGAGGCTGAGACATGAGAATTGCTTGAACCCAGGAGGCAGAGGGTGCAGTGAGCCAAGATCACGCCACTGCACTCCAACCTGGGTGACGGAGTGAGATTACGTCTCAAAAAATAGAAGTAAATAAATAATAAATAAAAAATATTTTAGAAATAAAAATAATGAGCTATCACTACATATCTATCAGAATGGCTAACTATGTATCTATCAGAATGGCTAAAATAAAAAAAAAATAGTGACAATTCCAAATGCTGGTGAGGATGTGAAGGGATTGGCTCACTCATACATTGCTGGTGGGGATAGAAAACGGCACAGCCTCTTTGGAAAACAGTTTGGCAGTTTCTTTAAAACTAAACCTGGAACTACCACACGACTCTAGGCAATTGCACTCCTGGGCATTTAGCCTAGAAAAAAGAAGACTTATGTTCACATAAAAACGTGTGCATGAATGCTTGTAGCAACTTTATTTAAAATAGCCCTAAACTGGAAACAACTCAGATGTCCTATTATGGGTGAACAGTTAAACAAACTTCAGTATGTCTGTACCGTGAAATAGAACTCAGCCAAAAACAAACAAAAAAGGAATCAACTATTGATAGATGCAACAACTTTGATGAATCTTCAGAGAATTATGTTGAGTAAAAATACCAATCCCAAAAGTTTGCATACTGTATGATTCCATTTATATAAATTCTTGAAATGGCAAAATTGTAGAAATGGAAAACACATTAGCAGGTGTTAATGAGCGGGTGGAGGTGGATATGACTATAAAAGGCAAAGTAAGGGATCCTTGTAGTGATGGAAATGTTTTGTATCTTGATTATGGAAACGTTAATAACCTGGTTTTAATACTGTACTATCATTTAATAAGATGTTATAAGTGATCTTTGTATATTATTTCTTATAACTTCCTGCAAATCTACGACTGTCTCAAAAGTTAATTTTTTAAAAGCCTACCTGAATTAGTCAAGATGCTAACTTGCAATCTAACTCAATTTTGCTTTGATTATTAAGCTGAGCCATATAAAATTGCCAGTATTTGACTGCTTTTGACTTACAAAAATGGTGGTTTCATATGGTTCAACCTAATAAAAATAATAAATAGTAATGCATTAGCACACATAACTGGGAAATTAATGTGTAGAACCAGCTTCAGGCACAATGGGATCCAATAGAGAAATGGTATCCTGAGGGCTCTATCACTGTCTCCATTTCTTGGCTCGGCTTTCCTCTGGGAACGTGCTTTATTCTCAGACAGGATCATTTCACACAGTTGGAAAGATGCTGCCAATGACCTCAGCCCCGCATTGTTGTGGCTTATGAACATCAAAGAAAAAGTGACCCTCTTTATCATAGCGTCCATGTGGCCAGTCTCAGGGAAGACTCTAATTGTCTTTGCTTGCGTCACAAGTTGATCCATTAACCGATTATTGTGGCCAGGTTGATGAATAACTCTGATTGGCAGTCTCCCTAGGGAGGGTGAGATACCGTAATTAACTCATGTCAGGCCCAATTGGATGCTAAGCAGGGAAAAAACAGATTGTTTGCTTGTTTTTCACAGGAATGGATAAGGAAAGGACAATGGGTAACTTGTTTTTTATTTTACTTTTCCAGTAAAATTTTTCTTTAATGAGGACACATCACATTTTATCACTTTTTAAGAGAAAATTATATATATATATATATATATATATATATTCATTATCATGAGGGTAATATTTAGGAGAGATAAAAGTCCAGGATGAGCTGAAGTCTGCCAAAAATTCTAAGAATACTCAGAAAGGGCTCTTTTATAAAGTTATATTAGTAACTTAGAGATAGAAGAAGGTATAGGTTTGCTACCTGGAGCCAAGGGTGTAATGCTCATGGTGAATACAGAAAAAAGAGAACAGAAATGCAGATAATGTTTTATGTCTATGGTTTCTGCCAAAGAGAATTGTCTTTTAATTTTCTTTTTCTTTCTTTTTTTTTTTTGAGACAGAGTCTTGCTCTGTCGCCAGGCTGGAGTGCAATGGCGCGATCTTGACTCGCTACAACCTCTGGCTCCCTGGTTCAAGGGATCCTCCTGCCTCAGCCTCCCGAGTAGCTAGGATTACAGGTGTGCGCCACCACGCCCAGCTAATTTTTGTATTTTTAGTAGAGATGGGGTTTCGCCATGTTGGCCAGGCTGATCTTGAACTCCTGACCTCGTGATCCTCCCAGCTCGGCCTCCCAAAGTGCTGGGATTATAGGCGTGTGCCACCGTGCCTGGCCAATTGTCCTTTAATTTTAAAGGGTGGGACCTTGCTTAGCCAGAATGGCAGACTGAAATGGAGGCCTTGATTGTAAGCAATTGTTCTCCACTCATGTCCCCTGATCACTTATGCATGGAGTCCTAATTAGGGAAAAGAAGTTAGACTGTCAGGAGCAGGGGAAAGCAAAAAGAAAAAGCAGATACGCTGTAAGTCTGCCTTTCTTCGTGGTCCAGGACATAGAGCCCTCCCGTGCAAATATCTCACAATCTTTCTGCGACCGACTTATCACCAGACCTTCAGCTGATAGAAAAATGCAAGTTAGCTCACTGCAACCTTGACATTATCAGTATTGCATGTAGCCCCCTCCAGCACACAGCACAGGCACCATCCTATAAAATCCCCGGCAAACCTTTGTCTCCTTGCAGTCAGCTCCTCTCTTGCTAATTTGTCCGTTGCTTTCTTGCAATGTGTTTTTCTACTTTCTCTAATAAATCTGCCTTTCTTTCCTATGACTGTCTTGGTATATTCCTTTTACCACCCACACCACTGGCCCCAGTTAGTTGGTCACTACCCACGATACTGTGTATGAGCTTCACAATCTTTTTCCAAGTCCATCTAGTATTGGACTTGGAAAAAAAAAGACTATGATTCTTTTTTTTTTTTTGATACAGAGTCTCACTCTGTCACCCAGGCTAGAAATGCAGTGGCATGATCTCAGCTCACTGCACCCTCTGCCTCCTGGGTTCAAGCAATTCTTGTGCCTCAGCCTCCCGAGTAGCTGAAACTGCAGGCACCTGCCACCATGCCCGGCTAATTTTTGTGTTTTTAGTAGAGACGGGGTTTTGTCATGTTGCCCAGGCTGGTCTTGAACTCCTGGCCTCAAGTGACCCGCCTGCGTTAGTCTCCCAAAGTGCTGGGATTATAGGTGTGAGCCACCATGCCCACCTGACTTTTTATAGTTTTATTAAAGACTCTTCTACCAGTGGTCAAAAGGGAGAAAATAAACCCTAGTCCCGTCATATATTTTGTTTTTTAATTTTTTAAAATGGAGGTATAACAGATCTACCATAAAGTATATAAGCCCCAGTGTACAGCTGCATGAATTTTTACATTGGAAAACTCAGGTCTAGGAGCCAGGAACCCTGGTTCTGCCGCAGCTCTGCTGTTAAATCTCTGTGTGATTCTGAGCAGGGCAGCTCTTTCCTCCTGAATTTGTTTCCCTAACTGTAAAGTGAGAGCACTAAACAAGATCACTATTTTACAAAGTGTGCTATGTGTATGCAAGTTGATTCTAAGTGTATTTGGGAGAGATTTTATTTTGATAGAGATGTATTTTTTTATTTTTTAAACCTTCATATTGAGTTACAATTTGTATAGGATAAAGTATACAAATCTTAATTGAAGGGTTCAATGAATTGTTACTATAACCGCCTGATGGGTTTTTCCTTCCAGCTGTACAAACAAAATTCCTGAAGACCGTGGCACTGCAGTACACAAAGAGTTTAATTGATGCGGGGCCAGCCACGCCACGCGGGCGACAGAGTTATTACTCAAATCAGTCTCTCTGAAGGCTCAGAGGTTAGGAGTTTTTCAAAGGTAGTTTGGTGGGCAGGGGGCTAGGGCATGGGGAATGCTGATTGGTTGGGTCGGAGATAAAATTATAGGGAGTCAAAGCTGTCCTCTTGGGTTGAGTTGCTTCTCCATGGGGCCACAGGGGCGGCTGGCGAGTCCAGGTGGAGCATGGTGTTAGACATGGAAAAAACCTGAAAAAGCTGTTCTTGGGTTCTACAACAGTGACGTTATCTGCAGGAGTCACTGGGGAAGTTGCATATCTTGTGACTTCCAGAATAATGACTGGCGACCATTTATGTCTACACCTTAGCTGAATTCAGGCTTCTCTATCCTGCTAGCCTGGTGGTCTCTCATTAGCTTTGCAAAGGTGGTTGAGTTTGGGGGATAGGCTATTATCCTTTAAACTATAAACTAAATGTCTCCCAAAGTTAGTTTGGCCTAAGCCTAGGAAAAATTAAGGGCAGCTTGAAGGCCAAAGGCAAGATGAAGTTTAGCTAGATCAGATCTCCCCTACTGCCATAAGTTTCTTACTGATATAATTTTTGCAAGGATGGGATTACCTTTGCATAAACTTGTGTAAATATAGATATAAATCATTCCCAGTTCCCCCAGAAAGCTCTTCGTGCCCTAGTTACTACCTTCACTGTGAAGGTAACTAGTATTCTGAGTTTTTTCAACATAGATTGGTTTTTGCCTGTTTTGAACTTCCTGTAATTAAATCATACAGTAACTACTCTTCATCTGTGCCTTGCTTTTCTGGGTCATCATTATGTTTGTGAAAATTATCCATATTGTTCTATGTAGCAGTTCATTCATTTGCATTGCTAAATAATATTCCATTGTATGAATATACCACGATTCACTTATCCATTCTATTGCAGCTGGACATTTGCATTGTTTTCTTTGGCTATTGTGAACAAAGCTACTACTATTGTAAATGTCTTTTGGTGGACATGTGCATTCATCTCTCTGGGGTATATACCTAGGAGTAGAATTGCTGAGAAATAGGGTTCTCAGTGTTATCCCCATACACAATCTTGTATGAATCTTGTATGAATATACACAGGTGTATTTTAGGGGAGGGAAATAAAGATGATCTTAAACTTTTTCAGATTCTTACAGGGATTTTCTAATTTTAAAAGGTTTTTAGGCCAGGCATGGTGGCTCACGCCTGTAATCTCAGCACTTTGGGAGGCTGATACAGGTGGATCACTTGAGGTCAGGAGTTCAAGATCAGCCTGGCCAACATGGTGAAACCCCGTTTCTACTAAAAATGCAAAAATTAGCTGGGTGTGGTGGCGCATGCCTGTAATCCCAGCTACTCAGGAGGCTGAGGCAGGAGACTCGCTTGAACCTAGGAGGCAGAGTTTGCAGTTAGTTGATATTGCACCACTGTACTTTAGCCTGGGCAGCAAAGTGAGATTCTGTCTCAAAAAATTAAAATAAAATAAAAGGGTTTTTGTGTCCTGGTAAACAATCCTGGGGCAGGGGGCATTATTTTTATTTTTATTTACTTATTTTCTAGACAAGGTTTCACTGTGTCACCCAGGCTGGAGTACAGAGGTGCTATCATGGCTCACTGCAGCCTTGACCTCTTGGGCTCAAGTGATCCTCCCACCTTAGTCTCCCAAGTAGCTGGGACTCCAAGCT
This sequence comes from Homo sapiens, assembly GCF_000001405.40. Taxonomy (NCBI): domain Eukaryota; kingdom Metazoa; phylum Chordata; class Mammalia; order Primates; family Hominidae; genus Homo; species Homo sapiens. The sequence continues at coordinate 201,168,938 of NC_000001.11, forward strand.
TGTGCCATAATGCCCAGCTAATTATATTACTTTTTTTTTTTTTTTTTTAGAGATGGGGTCTCACTACGTTGCCCGAGCTGGTCTGAACTCCTGGGCTAAAGCGATTAGAGGGAGGGTTTTAGAATGCACACATTTGTGTAAAGAACTTAGATGAGGAGAGAGCACATGCTTAGAAAATTGCGGAAACTGCAAAGCTGTGTGTAGGTATAGAGGTGGGTTGGGGAGGAGGGTACAGGAGCAGGGAATATCAGGATCCAAAAAGATACTGTAAGGTTGAAATGAAGGCTGAATCTAAGTTTCCCACTTACACAAATATGAGAGGGACAGGTAAAAGTAACTGAGGATAGCTTAGTGAATAGTACGAGTGTAACGTGACTGACAAGAACAAACAAGCTAATTTGACCTCAGGCTGAATTAGAGGAACTTAAGACCTAAGAACTCATTTTCTCTAGAATAAGGGTAGTGGTGATCCACCCACTCTGCACCAGTAGCCTACAGCTGGGTGCTCTGTTCCATGTTACGGACACATGCTCCAAGGAACACAGACCAGAATGCATTTAGAGGACAGTGGCCAGTATGGTGTATGGTAAAGGCCTCAAACCCTGCCACATGAGGAACAGCTGTAGGAAATGGAACATTGTCCTGGGAAAGAAAAATCTTGGTGGTGATAGCAGTCTTTGGCTCTCTGAGGGGATGTCATGTGGAAGAGAAATGAGTTGCCCAGAGAAATTTCTTGCTATCAGTGAGGGTGTTCACACATTTTTTTTTTGGATGAGCACTTGCTGAAGCTATTTCAGAGGGAGATTAAATATCAGATGAAAAGTTTGATGAATGACTCTGAGTTCCCTTTTAACTCTGAGATCCTGTGAATCTGGCTATGTGACCTTGACTTGGTCACTGAACTTCTTGGAACCTTAGTTCTTCATCTTTAAAATAATAGGTAGACTAAGGATTCTTTAGTGCTGAACACAATCTACTGAATTGCTTCCCAGAGAAGCTAGGTGGTGTTACATATTCCCAATCTTCAGCTGTGACTCCTGCAGTTAAGGTGCTTTGGTCTTAAGCAACAGAAACTGACCGTTTAAGGAAAAAAAAAGAGTTTGTTGGAAAGAAGTGGGAAATTCATATAATCTATGAAACGACTGAAGAACAAGACTTGAAGAAGGCAGAAACCAGAGCTTCCTCCCCTGGCATGCCATGGGGGTGCATTGGCTGTGATGGATTTTTCCCTTATTCTCAGGTCACTATTCAGCATTCAAAGTCCAGATGACAGAATCAGTCCCTTGGACCTAAGTTGGCCTCAAGCCTGCTCCTTGGCAGGAAGGTCAGGACACCTTGATTATCAGCCCAATGTCATCCCCCAAGATGAAATCAAAAGCTATTACTAGAACAAGAGCCAAATAACATGTACCCTACAACCTCCACCCTTTTCTCTTCCATTTATGACAGCACATCAGACTCAAGAGAGTGAGCAGCATTATAATGGAAATAATCTTCAATCTATTTCAATTTACCTTTAAAAGTGAAAAATGCACTCATCTGGATGCTCAGTTTTTACCAGTAGTAGCCCACATGACATGTCATAACTGGGTGCTGAAATGCTGACAAGTCTGAGAACACGACTCCCCTAGGAGACAGACACGCTGACGGGCTTGAGCATTCACAAACAGATATCGGATGTCTGCTATGTGTCAAGCCCTGTGGTAGACACCGAGACTCATTAAGTCAGTGCAAAAAATGGAAAGGTTAAATATTTGCCCCGGGTAAACGCAAAGGGCAAGTGTATTGCATCAGGGTTGAACAGGGTGGCGCCGGCCAAAGAGGGATTCCTTTCAGGCCCGGGCCTCGCAGTCCAAACGTGGCCCGCCCTAGCCCCACCCCCTAGTGACCGCACACTCCAGCCGTCCAATCCCGTCACCACCCCGTCCAGTCTCCACCCCGGGAGGCTCCACTCCGGGTCCAGGCCGCCTGGGGCGTTTGCAGTCCTCTGTGGGAGGTGGCGTCCCGCAGAATGAGAACATTTCTGTGCCGGGCCAGCAGGTGTTACCTGAGTAAGATTGAGATTCTCTCACCAGGCGACAAGGCTTGTTGTGCCCGAGACAGGCACAGCTCAGATTCCCTCCCCGTGGTAATTAACCCGGGGAGAAATGTAACCAATCCCCGAGACTCGGGCCTCCAGCCAGCCGCCCGCTCGCTCCGTCCTTCCCCACCCGGGAGCCGAGCCTGGAAGGATTGCGGGGGGCGGTGCGGCAGGTGGAGGTGGGAGAGTTTGAAATGGATCCTGGCTGGGAGGACTTCCCAGGCCCCCTGCCGGACGGCGGGCTAAAAGCGTGAGGCGAAGGTCGTGGAAAGCCCGCTGGGACCCACCGCGGGGGTGCACTGGCCGCTGGGTCCCAGGCGCCGCGGCGATTTACCGCGCCTGGAGGTCACCGCTCCGCGTCCCAGGGAGGGGCAGGAGGCTGGGTCCTTCTGATCCCAGAAGACATAGCAGCACGGAGACACTAATCCGCTGTTTTTACACATAAACACTTCACACGAGAGAGATTACGTACCTCACATTGCAGTCATAGAGGGATCTGTGGGTGTTAGAGGCTTTCAGCTCCTGCTCTCGGGTGCATTGTGGGACAGAGCCTAGCAGGGAGGGAGCAGAGGCCGCGGCAGCCTCTCGGGTTCTAATCTCCCACCTGCCGCTCGCCCTAGATCATGACGTCACCCTGGACCTCAGTTTTCTCACCTGCGCAGTGGGTTAAGCTAAAACCTGCGCCTCTCTGCCTTTTGAGGATAAAACTGAGACTCCGAAGAGTGTTCGGAAAGAACACGTCAGGAGTGTGCAAGGGTTTCTTTGAATTGTGGATCTCACATCCCTGTCTGGCCTGCACGTTTACTCACCAAGGAATGCCAATTTCATTGTTTTTTGTTTGTTTGTTTGTTTTTTTAATGGTGATAATTGACTTGAAGGAAACCAAGCTAATTACTTGGCTGGATGAGTGTAGAGAGGCAGGGGATGACCAGGTGGAAGAGGGCTGCTGCTTTGCAAAGATTCTCTCAGGGAAAGAAGGAATGGAACTAAGGCCTGGAGTGTGATTTTTTTTTTTTTTTTTTTTTTTTTTTTGGTAAAGATTCCTGTATTCAGAACCGCTCTTAAGTCTGCCGAGTAGAGTAGGAGACTAGGAATCATTTTGAACCAAACCTCTCATTTAACAAATAATGAAACCGAGGCCCAGATAGGAGAAAGTGACTTACCCAAGGGCACGCAGCTGTTGGCCAGTTGGCTCTGGGATTTCTTTGAGGCTGATTGAAACTACCTTCCTTGACCTGGACTTTAATTTCATCTCGCCTAGGCTCCACTCCATGTGAAACCAGGTTTTAGGATTTGGGCTTTTCCCCCAAAGAATTCATGGAGTTGTTTCCTGCTTCCAAGGCATTTTGAATTCCTCTGGTTAAAGGTGTACTCTCTGTCACTATGTCTCTCAAACGAGGCAAGGCAGGAGGTTTCGGGGGTTAAGGAGTAAGTACTCACTGGTGTGGAATTTAGCAGAGGTGAGATTTTCATGGGCACTGTGTACTTTATCAGTTTACAACTTGCTGTTAATAGAGGCCATTAATCACAGCCAACTGCAGCTGGCTTAGCCTGGGACAGGGACAGTCCAGCCATGGTTAGGAGGGGCAGGCGCAGCAGGAGTAACCAGGGAAGGACCTCCTACAGTTACCCTTGAGGCCCGAAAATCAGTCCTAGGAAGAAGACAGTGGAATAAGTGCTCCCAACATGAAGACACTGGCACATATAAATGGTCTCACGGTCTCCGGCTGAGTCCTTCCAAATGACCCAACCTGTGTTAAATGCCTAACACAGTGTCTGACACACATTAGGTGCTTAATGAATACTCTGGAGTTTGAAAGTCCTTGCCCCAAACATCAAGATATCATTTTATTCCCACTTTACAAGCATGGAAACAGAGGAATAGAAAGGTTAAATTATTTCACCCAAGTTATAGAGCAAGGAAGGGGCAGAGCTGGGATTCAAACCCAGACCCTCTGGCTCCAGAGTCCATCCTCTGAGCCACCCAGCAGGGATGGGCCTGGGAAGAACTTACTAACAGTCTAGTTGTCAGCCTCAGACTCCGTCCACCCAAAATATCCTTCCTCCCTCCAGCTGGGTGTGTGCAGCTCTTGCTGGAGAAGGGGTGATCAAGATGACCTCTGGAGGCCCTTGAAGATTTACAATCCTCCAATCCCCCCCTGGAGAATTCCCCCCTCTCAGACTTCACTTGCTTCTCTTTCTGTACTGTCCAACAGGCCGGCCTGGGCCTCCTGACTGAGTTCAGCTGTCATTGTGGGACAGAAGAGGAGTGTGCAAACCCTGCAGGATTAGGGGTGCTGATGAGGCAGCCATCAGAAGACATCACTTGACAGGGCCTCTCTATTTCATGAGTCACAAGGGCTGAGCATGGAGCCCTCTTCCTGCTCCTCCAGAAGCCCTGGCCTCCCCGTGACCCAGCCCTTCTTGTTTCCACCTGATGCTTCTCTCACAGCTGCCATGATTTCATAATCTTTTGTCATAACCTTCCACATCATCCCTCCATCATCCGGTCTCAGCTCACACAGAGGGCTAGGAGGTGAAAAAGTCCACTTCCTGCTTCTCTGCTGGATGACCCCTTCTCCATGCCCAACTGAGAACTCTTCTTACAAATCTCCATAGAAGGGGGTTCTTCATGTTTCTTGTCAATGTTTCTCAGTGTTGACAACTTATAAGGCCGGGGTATTTGGTGAAATGGAATTTCTGGGGGCAGGCTTTCAGGGATTTGTTGGGGCATATATAAGGATTTAAAGTATTCAGATAATCTAGCTCAGGGGTCTGCAAACTTTTCCTGTAAAGGCCTAGACAGTGAATATTTTAGGCAGGTTATACAAGTTCTGTGGCAACGACTCAGTTCTGCTGTTGGAACACAAAAGCAGCCACAGGTGCTATGTAAATAAATGAGTGTGGCTTTTTCCAATAAATTGTTATTTACAAAACTAGGCTGTAGACCAGGTTAGGCTTGTGGGCCATAGTTTTGCTGGCCTCTGATAGAAGTGGTTTAAGGTTGGGGCCTGGGTGGGCACCCCAGGGGAGAGCAGTGGGTAATTTCTGTGTAATGCCATTGGCTGCCTAAGGTGCACCCTGGACCTGCACAAGGATGGGGTACCTCCCTCACCCATCCTACCAGAGGTCATCAGTGGACAGAGGGCGTTGGGGAGCACTACCCAAGGGTCAAGATTGCTCTTCTGTAATGGAGCTGTGGGATGCTGTGTCAAGAGGGTGGAGACCCATAGGTCTTTTTTTTTTTTTTTTTTTTTTTTTTTTTTTTTTTTTTTTTTGAGGTGGACTCTCACTCTGCTACCCAGGGTGGAGTGCAGTGGTGTGATCTTGGCTCACTGCAACCCCCACCTCCTGTGTTCAAGCGATTCGCCTGCCTCAGCCTTCCAAGTAGCTGGATTACGGGCATGTGCCACCACGCCTGGCTAATTTTTGTATTTTTAGTAGAAATGGGGTTTTGCTACGTTGGCCAGGCTGGTCTCAAACCTGTGACTTCAGGTGATCCGACTGCCTCGGCCTCCCAAAGTGCTGGGATTACAGGCATGAGCCACCGCGCCTGGCCCCCACAGGTCTTCTGACCACTGTATTCAGTCCTGACCTGCCCAGACAGCCTTCTCCCTAAGGAAGGAGTCCCACACAAATCTCACTGGCGAATGCCCTTATCTTCTGCAGCTGGAGCAGCAGCTTACTAGGCCTTTCAGATACACTTAGGAAGAAATCCTAAAGCAGAATCTCATTAGCTTGTGTGTGGCTGGTGAGGTGGTTTTTGCTCAGGACAGGGTGCCCAACAGCTCTGGGAGGTCTTTGGTGAGGAGGGGCCTCAAGGAATTATCTCAGATGTGATGGACTTATTTCATTTCCTCTGGGGCACCCCCTCTTTCTTCCACCTCTAAGCCTCTGCATATGCTGCATTCTCTGCTGTTTCTTCCATCTTCTCCACATAGCTAAGTCCTTCTCATCCTGTCAGCTCCTCCAGGAAGGCTCCTCAGATTGCTCTTCTCCCCCAGTTTTTGGCTGGTGTTCCTGTATGTGCTCCCGCTGAGCTCTGATTGATAGTCCCCCACTAAAGCCTTTGTTATGCTTCTCTGTGATCACTTGTTTCACCTGTATCTTCCACTAGAATGTAAGTTAGACTGAAAACTCTGTGAGGACAAGGACCCCAGCACCTTGCACAATATCTGATCTGCAGAAGTAGCTCAATAAATATTTATTAAACAAATTAATGAATTTCACTCACATCAGTGGGCAGAACTTTCCTTTAACTATTGTGAAAATGAATGTGTCCATCACATTCTCTGTAAACTTCCCAAGAAGTTTGAGAGAGCAAAGGTCCTTTCCTGTGGTTATAGAACCAACCTTTCCCTTTCAGCTTCTGTTCCTATTAGTATGTGTGCCGCATGTTGCAATAATTGTTTGAACAGAGGCAGGCATCTTGTTTCAGTGGGATTTCATTTGGAGAGGAAAGTGATGGAAGGAATATTTTCCTGGACTCCTCCTGGAAGGGGAACTTCGTGTCTCCCTTTATTCTTAAGCACCATATTATTTCTCCGTGACTTAGTTCCCCTTCATAAGTATGAAGGTATACCCAGAGCTCTGGGAGGCCAAGGGAGGAGGATCGCTTGAGCCCAGGAGTGCGAGGTTGCAGTGAGCGATGATGACTCTGCCACAGCACTCCAGACTGGGTGACAAAGTGAGACCTTGTCTCTAAAAATACATACATACATACATACAAAATAAGTGCAAAGGTACTGTGTGTGTGTGTGTGTGTGTGTGTGTGTGTGTGTGTGTGTGAAGGAACCCTTGGTAGAGTGAATGTTTACATTGGGAGTAGTTTGAGGGGTTTTCTTTTGAAAGGGGTGTTCCTGAGCTCATTGTGTTCTCAGAAAATTCCAACTGTAGCTGGGATTAGGATTTTTACATCACCACAGATTAATTGCAGACCACCCCCAACCCTCCTCTCCTGGGGGTCGACACGGTCCCCCAGCTGGGGAACAAGGGCTGGGCTTGCAGCCTAAGGGTTCTGATAATACCCCTTGGACTCAGCAACCGTCTCCCAAGGAGCAGCAAGAACCTTCCAGATGTCATCATACCAACCTTCCCAATTTCCCCAGAAAGGAGGAGAGGCACCCAGATGTATGTTGCAGAGTCAGGGAAACTGAAACACAAGTTGAAGAAAATCAGGTGAAAGGAGCCAGTGAGAATTTGAATTCAAATAGCAGCCCACCCTCCCTTCTGCACACTGCCTTGCTCTAGCCGCACTGCTGTGTTCCTCAGTGCCCTCACTGGGGCCATTGGAGGTGGTAGCTCTGCCGCCGCAGGCTGGTCAGTGACCAACTTGTGGGTGGAAAGGAGTTGGGGAGAGGAGGAAGGAGAGATGCGTTTCCAGCCTGTTCAGGCATCCTCCATGCCCATCTCTCCTTATCTCTTTGGAAAACCTGTCTTGACCTATTTTCACCCTTTTTTTGGGGGCCAGCCATAAATGGCCCCAATCACAGCCCTTGGGTAGTGCCAGACCTGTGACTCAGGAGTTGCTGACTCTCTTGATTTCAGGATTTTGTGACTTTGATGGGATAACCTTTGAGGAATTCTTGGGGGGGCAGCTGGAATGAGCCTACTTGGAAGCTCAGTTAGGCCTTGGTTACGAGCAAAGCATGTTTATGGGATATTAAAAATAGATTTCAAGCAAATATATAAATCTCTTTCTATCCTGGCCCTTTGTCTCTGGCCTCTGGCCTCTCACCTCCTGGGGTGGCCCTCAGTACGGAGGCTTGATTTGCCCAGGTCCCCTTTAGACTATACAGCCTCTGCAAGCCCCTGCCCTGTAAGACTTGCCCTCCTTCCCCATAGTTCCAGGTTCTTCTCACCTCCTCTCCTCACCAGAGTGTCCCTGGCAGAAAAGCTAACAATGAACTGAAGGCAATTAACAGCCTGGGCAGTTCATTCATTGCTAGAGCTGGAGAGGTGCTAAATCTTCTCCAGCCAGTCAAGGGCAACCTCCTGCAGGTCATTTAGTAGGGGAGGTCCGTGTCAAGTTCTGAGACTGGCCTTGCTGGGTGAGAAGCCTCACCCTAGCACCTGTAGTCCTGAGCCAGCCACTCTCTGACTGTCCCGTCCACACCCCTCTCCATTCCTCAGGCAGTCATTTGGTAAACATGTGATATGCTTAGTCTGCTCAGGTCTCTGCCCTTAAAGATCCCATCTCCTGGCAAAACACCCAGGGCTGAGTAATTCCTATGCAGAACCCAGGCTGAGGTGCTGTGGGGATAACCAGAGGGAGAAGGAGACACTGTCCTCTCCTTAGGGAGCTCACAGGGATTGTGAATTGAGTGTGTATGTGACGGGGAGGGGAATGGATAAGACATGCAGGCCTTGTCTCTGGCAGGCATTCGTGTGATGCTGGAATGGCAGCAGATGGAGGGGGAGATAGGGAGGAGAGGGCAGGAGGAAACTGAGTCAAGAAGAGTTAACCAGGGAAGGTTTCTGGCAGAGACAGTGCTTCAACAAGCTTTGAAGAATGGCGCATGACAAAAAGAAAGAGATCCAGATTCAGAGCAGATTAAGTGACTTTAAAATAGGCTCAGAGGCAGCAAAGGGGGCCTTTGATTGGAAGGACTACAATAAGGCTCCTGTAGGTATGTTGGGCTAGAATAAAATTCCAGTATCACCAGAATTTTCTCTCTCCAGATTAGGCCTAGGAGAAGAATGATGAGGCAAGAAAGGCGTCACATTTCAGGGCAGGACTTGCGATCTTAAGACTAAATTGCCTGGTGCCTAGACGGGTGTGTGTGTGTGTGTGTGTGTGTGTGTGTGTGTGTGTGTGTGTGTCGTATGTATGCATGTGTTTACACACATGTTAGACAACCAAATGTGTGAGGTTCTTCTATGGGTGAGGCAGTGGAGAAAGCAAGGAGTGTGTGCACTTATATGTCACAGGTAGCAAGGTGAGCTGTGTATAGGGGTAAGCGTGGGCTGTGGCCACAGCTATGAGACAGCCTGTGAACATGTGTGAATCCCTGCTGAAGACAGGGATGGTGGGTGATGGCCTGGTGAGGGAGGATCACTAATTTAAAAAGAAGATGACAAGGCCGGGTGCAGTGGCTCACGCCTGTAATCCCAGCACTTTGGGAGGCTGAGGCAGGCGGATCACACCAGGAGTTCAAGACCAGCTTGACCAACATGGTGAAACCCGTCTCTACTAACAACACAAAAATTAGCCGGTCGTGGTGGCACGTGTCTATAATCCCAGCTACTCAGGAGGCTGAGGCAGGAGAATTGCTTGAACCCTGGAGGCAGAGGTTGCTGTGAGCTGAGATTGCGCCATTGCGCTTTCCAGCCTGGGTGACAGAGTGAGACTCTTTCTCAAAAAAAAAAAAAAAAAAAAAAAAAAAAAAAAGAAGATGACATGGGTCAGAAGAGGGGCATCCCTGTATCTCTGTGCCCCCCTTTCTTGTGATCCCTTCTCTCTGTGCCCCCATTTCCTGTGATCCCTTCTCTTTTTCTCCTTCATACCCCAGCCATGATCTGCTTTCTTGTTGTCCCTGAGGTGCATTCATGCCCCGCCATGCACCTCCACATGCACTATTCTCCTCCTTCAGTTTGCTCTCACATACACATGCCCCCTTGGTATGGTTTGAATGCCCCCTCCAAAACTCATGTTGAAATGTAATTGCCATTGTGGTGGTATTAGGAGGTGGGGCCTTTAAGAGGGGATCAAGTCATGAGGACTCTGCCCTCATGGGAGAATTAATGCCATTATCTTGGGAATGGGTTAGTTATCATGGTAATGGGGTCCTGATAGAAAGGATAAGTTTATTCCCCTTTCTCTTTCTGTCTCATGCACTCTTCTGCTTTCTGCCTTCCATCATGAGATGACATTCGCCAGATGTTGGTGCCATGCTGTTGGACTTCCCAGCCTCCAGAACGACAAGCCAAATAAACTTTTATCATTCATAAATTACACAGCCTGTGGTGTTCTGTTACAGCAGCATAAAACAGACTTAGACACCTCTTCAACCCCAATGTCTCCACCCACCCACATCCATTTCTACCCTGTCCCAGAACCACCAGGCTACAAAAGAGGAGGAAGTCAGATATAGACCTTCGACTATTGGTGCCCAGGGAAGAGCACAAGCTAACAACTCCATGCCTCCCAGTATTTCTGATGTAAAGTCCATCCCTACCATGCCAGTGAATCAATGTCACTGGTGGACTGATCTCAGAGGAGCACCTACACTAACATTAGCCACAGAAAAGCCCAGGTTCCATTTCTGTCTTCTTTTGGCCCCAGCCTCCATCCTCCATGTGACTCTCCCATCTCCTCCATGTGACTCCTCTCCTCCCTCTCTTTGGCCCTGTGATTATTCAGGCTGCTGCTTGAGTATGTCCTTCTCATCTCCACATTTCCTTCCCCTCCACCTCCAACACCACTTTTCCACCACTCTCCCTCTTTGTCCGTGGCTGCAATTCCTCTCTGGCCTCAGCTCCAACCAACCTGTCACTTTGCTGTGGAGTCAGAGAATTGCTGGAGAGAAGTGGAGAGGGTGGGCAAGAGAGAGTTGGCTTAGGGGGCACAGCAGACACGGCTTGTCAAGATGTTCAGGTTTCATTCCTTCATCAAATATTGCTGAACTGAGCTCAACATGGGAAACTCATCAGTGCATAAAATACACACGATTCTTGCCCCATAGAGTATTCAGTTTAGTAGATTAGACAAATTCTTAAAAAAAACCTACTCAGTTATAAATGATAAACTATGACAAGTCAGTAAATCCTTAGAATCCACCTGCAAGTACGTCTAGAATCTGACCTGCTCACCATCTCCACTGTGACACCATTGTCCAAAGTGTCATCCTCTCTCACTTAGATTATTGCAGGGGCTGTGTATCTGGGTCTCTGACTTTCCACCCTTTTTTCCCTTCAGTCTATTTTCAACCCAGCAGCCAGGCCAATCTCTTAAAAACATGAATTACATCTTGTGATCCCTCTGCTCAAAACATTGCAACAGATTCCCATCTTATTCAGAGTAAAAGCCAAGGTCATTACTATGGCCTTATAGCCCAATGTGATCACTGGCCCCTTCACTCTCTGATAATTCTCCTCCCACTTCCCCTCTGCTCCATCCACTCCAGGCTCATGGCCTCCAGGTAGTAAAAGTGGGATTTAAACCTGGGTCTCTCTTAAATTAAACCTGGGTCATGCTTAAATTAAAAACCCAATTTAAGCATGGGTTCAAAAGTCCATGCTCCTTCCACTAATAATATTGTCATCCCTTCTTACAAATGAGGAAACAGACATTCAGTGAGTTTAAGACTAGGCTATAGTCACATGACTAGGAAATGTCAGCATACTTGTAAATCCTGAGATAGTCTCCACGACAATTCTTCTAGAGGATCATAAATGTCCTCCAATATGGACCAGGATATGATATTCTTGACAGTTCAGGTCCCTCCCACTGTACCAAATTCCTCACAATTCTCATTTCTACCATAGCTTGTGGTCTTAGTCCTTTTAGCTTATGGTCAGTTTAAAGTGATCTCAGAAAGTCAACCAGGAAATGAAAATTTCTCTTCCTTTAAATTCTCATGCTACCAGAATGTAAGGCAGTTTTTTTTCATCCCCACGAGTTTTTAAAATAAAGTAGAGGGTAGCACATGGGAAGTCTGCTCCCAGCCTCTTGTAGAGAGGGCACTGAGGGCACTCTAGGAGATTCAGGAGATGCCAATGAAAGCTTTCATTGTATCACCTTGGAGCCATCATGGGGGGACAGTGAAAAGCCCTTTAGACAAGAAAGCCCCAGGAGAGAACCAGCAGGCTCAAGACACCATTTTTGATTTATGTGGGTCAGATCATGCCCATGCAATGAGAAGAAATGGGGAAGAGAGTCTCAGAGAATTTTCTTCAGCATGGAGATGAACACCTGTGTTACTATCTTCAGGATGGACACAAGACTGAACCAAGAATGGATCTCCAGTCTTCAGGTTCTCAGTTCTGTGAAGCCACTGTACTGGCGCGCTGTCAAGCGGTTCCTGATCGAGTTCCTCCAGGAACACAAATCAGTCACCAGGCAGCAAAGCCCTTTTCCACCCTGGGCATTAGTGAGATCCAGCCGGCTCCGTCAATCTCCCAGGAGCAAGCATCTAACAACCTAGGCTGACAGGTGGCCTCCTGGGATATTGTCTAAGTTAGCCCAGGGACTGCCTGGGGAACTTTCCAGAATTAACTGCAGGGAGAGTGGGAGGAATGGGAGTTTTAGGAAAAGGGAAGCTGGGGCATAAGAGGGAGAAGCACGCTCTGGCTGCCTGAAATCACTGGTTGATGCTGTCTGGGCATTTGGACAGAACAGCACCAAAGGATGTCACTGAGCTAAACAAACCAAAGGGTTTGTCACCTTTTCTCATGACTGGTACTAATGGTATTCCTCTGGTGAAATTCTCTTCTTCTTCTTCTTCTTCTTCTTCCTCTTCCTCTTCCTCTTCTTCCTCTTCCTCTTCCTCTTCTTCCTCTTCCTCTTCTTCTTCTTTTTTTAGGTTTGTCTTTCTCTTTCTTCCACATGCTGTCTTTCCTTCCTTCCATCCATCCCTTACTCTCTTCCTTTCTTTTTCTTCTGTCTTTTCTGGTTCTCTAGGAGGACTTCTGTAGGGGGAACAGAACAGGGTTGCTGTCATGCACATCTTGGTTTCTTGTTTTATAAACGGAGGAGCCCAAATTTTGAGAGGCCAGGAGACTTGTGTGCCAGTTCCATTTCCAGCTCCACCACTGCATTCATCAGGGCTCACTCTGTCACCTAAACTGACTTTACCTCTCATGTCCCAGGTTTCCTATGTGTAAAGCAGGGATAAGAATCCCAACTTACAGGGGGATTGTGGGATTGAAGATCTCCATACATGTAAGAGCCCAGCGTGGCACCTGGCACTAAGCCAGGGCATAAAGTTACTGTCCTGGTAAAGGGCTTCATGTTCACCCGACCTCTCATTCACTGGACTCTGACAGTGGCACAAACCTCCCAGAACATGGGATTTAATTTTTAGAAAAGAAACCCCAAATTTATTTGGGGCTATGTTTGAGAAATTAAATGAGTAGGGATTAATTGTGGTAAAAACATTTGGGAAGTCAAAAAAACATGCAAATTTAAAACAGAAAGACCTCATGGGGCAAGGTTTTCCACACTGCATAGAGGCAAATGCCTTGCATATCACTAAACACACCCCAAATCCTGGTTCTAACTTTAGAGTGACTGATGTTACTCCAGCACTCAATGGTTATTTCCTTTTGCTGCTCTTTTGTACTTGTGTTTGGGAATATTTAAATATTTGAGGAAGTTTTAACAGTTTGCATCACAAATTCTGATTGAATCCTTAAAGCATCAGTTGCTCTTTTCAAACCAAAATCAATAGAGAAGTGAGTTTGGCTTTCTACCATGGAGCCCTTTGAGTCTTCAGTTGTTAACCAATTCTCCATCGCTGTTCAGAAATTGGGAGGGTGGACAACTTTGGTAAGCCATTTAGTGACTGTAAAACACTGTAGCAATGCAAAAGTCAGGGCTGAGGAAAGAGAGGGTTTCTTTATTAATCCTACATCAAGACCCTACTCTCAGCCCCTAGCTTTAAGGACCAGCCATGGTTTTTTTTTTTTTTTTTTTTAGATGGAGTCTTGCTCTGTCATGCAGTGGTGCAATCTCAGCTCACTGCAACCTCCACCTCCCGGGTTCAAGTGATTCTTCTGCCTCAGCCTCCCAAGTAGCTGGGATTACAGGCACCCACCACCATGAGTGGCTCATTTTGTATTTTTAGTAGAGACGGGGTTTCACCATGTTGGCTAGGCTGGTCTCGAACTTCTGGCCTCAGGTGATCCACCCACCTCGGCCTCCCAAAGTGCTGGGATTACAGGCGTGAGCCTCTGCGCCCAGCTCAGCCACATTTTTAATTTGGCTCCTAAAGTGTGTAATTCCATTCTAACTCAGAATCTCATTGTTCTCTTTGACATGGAACCTCTCCCTTCCCTGTCTTCCAGTTTTATTATACAAAGCCTTAATAGACATCTTCTCCTCTCTCATAGTTACAGTTACAGAAGAGTCTCCAAATATCTCCAGACTTAAAATCAAGTCACGGTGGTAAATAATCTATTCTTCCTCGCCCTCCCCTACTCCCTCTTAAAATTAAAGTCAGGTAAACTATTTGCAGATTCTCTCAGGCCCTGTTCATTTAATAAATGAATGCCAAGCCCTATTCTCAAAGTCAGTGAACAAGACAGAATCCTTCTCATGGGGCTTGCAATCTAAGTTGCATTTTATGTGGGGAGAGAGCCCATAAACCAATACATGCCCTAAAGATGGATGAGATAATTGCAATAACAATAAGTGCTTGTTACCTTGCATTGGACAATCAGAGGTCACATTAAACCAATCTGAAAATGAGTCAGCTAGGCAGAGGCTACAGCATGTACAAACACCTGTCTACAATCCACAGCGGAAACAGTAAAATGAAATGAGATAATTAAAGAGAGAATTGCACAGTGCCAAGTGCCTTGCACGGTCGCCCACTGTAGATCCTTAATACCTGTGAGCTTCCATTTCTACTTGTCATGGACAGGACTGGCTGTCGGAGCCGACCATAGCAATGACAGATACCACTTAATGGTGACCTGATAGTGAAGATCGTGTCTCTTCAATCAGAAGACTGAGTTTTTCCTCTGCCATCCTAGGTGGAAGCCTGAGGCTAAGCCTCTTGTGGGCAGGAACTGTCTCCTCACTAGCCCTTATGGGAGGGTCCTGTCCCCATGTTTCTTAGGCAGGGGAGTGTCAGCCACCTTTCCTCCCCATGGCTGGGCTTCCCAAGGACTTGCGGTGCCCAGCAGGCCCCAGCCGCTGCCTGCCCAGCCCTCAGCCTGTCCTGCCCGCGGTGTTCTGCTTTGGCTCAGTATCCCAGGGCCAAGCCACTGGGCAGGGATGGGGTTTCAGCCTGATCTTTACCACCAGCTGTG
Source organism: Homo sapiens (assembly GCF_000001405.40). Classification (NCBI taxonomy): domain Eukaryota; kingdom Metazoa; phylum Chordata; class Mammalia; order Primates; family Hominidae; genus Homo; species Homo sapiens. The sequence continues at coordinate 201,183,993 of NC_000001.11, forward strand.
TGTGGCTGGGCTGCTGGGAATTTAGGAAATTGGTGCCAGAAAGAGGAGAGATGATCCAGGGAAGGAGCCACGCTGGAGGCAGGGGGATTGTATCCCATGGTTGCATCCCCAGGGTCCATTTCTAGGCTGGCCAGGGGGAGTGAGGGTTCCTGGAAATAAGTTATGTCCCCATCAGCCTCAATTTTCACCTCAGGTAAATCAGTCCACAGGCATTAAGCTTTCCCTGAGCGTGTGCCCAGGCTTGAGCACAGGGGTTGGGAGTCCCTGTCCCTGCCCCTGGGAGCCCCCAGTCTGATGTAGGAGACATGGCCCCTACACTTGAGAGTCAAGTCCTGGTTTCAGAATTTTTTCTACTCCAATCTAACCAATGCACACCACCCACGGGCTCTTTCTAGCATACAAATATGTTATCTCTCTGCCTGAGAGCCTCCCATGACTCCTCATCCACTCCAAAATAAGTGCCAAACTCCATAGCAAAGTACAAATGACACTTTACAGCTTGCCTGGATGTGGGTGGTCCTGTTGGTAATGGGCTCCTTCCTGTCATGTCAAGAAATATGACCTGCTTGAAGCTTGTTTTTGGGAATCTGCTAAACACATGTTTAGCCAGGACTGTCTTTTACTTAAAGGGAACTCTTCCTTGCAGGGTGGGGATGGGAAAGGGCCTATATAGCTTCTGAGCATCTCCCGACTCCGGGCTCAAAAGAAACTGCCTTGTCATAAAGCTTCTGTGATCAGAGCCGTGTCCTTGGGTGTGGTGGGCTGTGGAAAGGTGAAATAGAAGGAGAGGCAATTCTGGCTCTTGGGAAATTCCCAGGACTCAGAAGGAGACAGAGTGTCTGCAAGACAGACTGAGACCTAAAAACTGAGGTGAATTAATGCAGTCACATAGAAATGCCACTTAATATGGTGACCACAGGAGGGCAGGGAGGTCAGCATTCCAGGCAGGAGGGAGAACGCAGTGGGGACGAGAGGCCAGCCTGCCTGAGTTGGAGGGAACACGCTGGGAGGTCAGCGGTGAGAGTGTTGGTTGGTGTAATGCTCTGGATGCCGGGAAGAGTTCAGATTTGTCATAAGCCAGGCTCTATGCATGGGCAGGAGAGTGCCCTCTTCAGCATGGAAGAGCAACTCCACTCCAAATCCAGCCTGACAGAGTCTGTTTCTAATAGAAGAGTCTGAGTCAGGTTGTCCGGCTTGGGGCTTCCAGGAGACAGTTCCAGGACTCGGGTCTCCTGGCTCCCCTGCCCCAGTCTGCCTCAGGGTCTCCCAACTCAAGGTGGCTGGCTCCTCCAAATTGCCTCACTGCTACTTACCCAGCATTCTAGCTCCTTTTGGACTCTGTTTCTGCACCTGAGAAAATGGCTTTCAGCCCTGGGTTCTAAGAGTTGCTCAGGGCAGTGACTTAGCTGAGAGCTGGGTGAGGATTCCAGGGGACCGCAAGGTGGGTTCTGCAGTCCCACCCCTCCCCATCTCCTGCCAGCATAAAGCCTCTTGCTGCGAGGCCCAGGGCCACTAGGAGAAGTAGCAGTGGTGGTTGTCAGAGGCACGTGGCATGGCTGCTCTGAGCTGTGGGGGCAACAGCCCCAGCCTCCTCACCGCTCTTGGGAGAGATGGGTAGAAGGGCACCTTTTTCCCAGCGACTTGCTACCTCCTTCCTCTCTGCCAGCCTCTAGGCCAGTCTTCCAAGGCCATTGTGAGCTGGAGCCACTGTGCGGAGAGAGCCAGGGCCTGGAAGGGGTGAGGCAGAGCCTCCTCTAACCTCCTGCAGACCTGCCTCCCTTGCTGGGCTCCTGCCCTAGACAGAGCCTGTCATGGCAATGGGGATGGGGTGCTTCTTGAAGAGACCAACACTATATACAAATGAGTTATCCACACGGTCATAGAAAAACCACTGATGGAAATGAAAGAAGAGAATACTCATTTTATGCCTTTAACCACAAATAGTGTTTATTCCTGGTAAACACTATTACCCTACTGGTAGGGCATCAGGAATGAACCATTTTAACTCACAGACACAAAATGCCTTGCAGTGTAATCATGCTTTTCACAGACTATTACAGGATTTATAAAAGTTTTAAGTGGTTTGATGTAAATATTTTAAATGTACTACCCATTATTTCTAGTCCTATTTTCTTCTTTTAAAAAAATACCAGAAGACTCAAAAATTGCAAGTGGCCAGGTCCTTCTCAACTTCTGATAGGCCCTGTTAGATCTTTTGAGGCTAACATTGATGATTAAAAGAATATAGCCATGAAGCCTGCAAAATGTGAGACTATGTCTATTTTTAAAGAATCCGATATCTAGGGCAGGAAGTAGAAGTGTAGTAGAATCAGATGGCCTGGTTTACATCTTTTCTCAATCACTTACTAGTTGTGTAACAGTGGAAACATTATAGTTGCTCTTAGCTTTAACTTCCTTCTCTGTAAAATGGAGATATGTTTCTACGTCATAGGGTGTTATGTGGGCTAAATGAAATAACCCATGTAGAAAACATCACACAGTAGGTTGGGGGCCTGTGAGTACTGTGATTTGCCTGATTATATGAAAATAGGCAAGTGTCCCTGCAAAACGACAATGCAACATTAGAAACCTGAGTGGGTTTGCATCTGTTTAGCTGGAGTGGTTTATTTACCTCCTCACCACCTGATGGAGATTTGAAGGGAGCAGCTTTCTGGAATGACTTGGGGTTTGGTGCTTCATTCCCACGAGGAGGCGAATCTGGCTGCAAAACACTTCACTGTGTGCCTTCCAGGAGGAAACCACTTCTCTCCAAGCCCCAGTGTCCATATCTGAAAAGAAGCGAGTTGGATTGGATCCACAGGACATTGGTCGTTAAGAGTGTAGACTTGGCACTGGATGGCCTTGGTCCACATCCTGGCTCTGCCACTCACTAGCTGTGTGACCTTGGGCAAGTTACATAATGTCTCTGTATCTCAGTTTCCCCTTCTGTAAAATGGGGTTAGTGATCAATTCTGCCTTTTGGATTTGTTGTGAGGGATTAAATGAGTTAACATAACTAAAGATTCAAAAGAATATCTGGCATGTAGCAAGAACTCTATCAGGGTTAAATACTGTTGTTACTGCTATAATGTTATTGCTGTTGTTAGATGCCCTCAATGGTCCTGTCTGGCTCTGACATTCTGTGAGAGTCTACACTGCCTCAATAGACTGAAGCCTGTTGTGGCTCAGCCATTCCTGGAAAGTGGAGTGGGATTTCCTCCCCAGCTTCTCCTCATTGAGGGTCCAAAGGACCCCCTCCTGTAGCCCTTGCGCCAGCTGAGCCTGCTGGACTAGGCCCTTCCAGATTAGGGATTGGCTCCTGACTCAAGTTTCTCTGTCACTGAAAGCCAGCTTTGCAAACATGAAATTACCCTTGGGGTCTCCAAGGTCTTCTTTCCCATGAGGCTACATGGGATTCATTACACTGCAGGTGAGGTGAGAAAGACATGAACTAAGGCTGACACATGGGCTGGACTGGAGATAGGGAGGAATATCGGCTAGGCAGGCAGCTGGGGGGCAGAGTGGATGGTTCAAGGGAGCAGGTGGACTGGAGGGCATCCTTGACCGTGGCCAAGGAGGATGGAAGGAAGCACAGGAGGGGTGTTGTTTGTCCACTGGTCCTCCCAGCTCCATCTTCCTGGGTAGGGACTGTGGTTGAAATAGAATCTTATGCCCTAGCTCCAGGCTTAGAGAAGGCCCCTAGTCTCTGAAGACATCTCCACAGGGCAGCTCATAGTCTTCTACCTTTCACAAAGACCTGCTCTGTTGGTGTTGTGTGGTGTATGTGTATGTTTGTGTGTGAGCATGTTTGCATGTCTTTGATTAGAATCTTCCTCTGCTAACCCATCTACATGGACCCCATTGGGTGCAAGAGAGGACACCCTCCCCTGGACAGCACCCTCAGTGACTCACCCAGCTGGGACAGAACCAGTTTTACACCAAGCATAGAGGCAATGAACGCCTGTGAATGAATTTAAACTCTCTCCTGAGTCACATGGACTGCTTTTCAAGTCCACATGGCCTTCCCCATTCAGTCACAGGACTGTGGAAGGTTCAAATTGGCCAGGATCTCAGAGATCATCTCATCTGACCCATGCCATCAGGAGTAAAAGGGTCCCAAGAGAGGCCTTTATGGGGCCTGAGCCTCTTGGTACCTGCCATATAATGCATTTCGTTCTTGTGGGGACAGGAGAGCATTAATGAATTCTGAACCTATCCCTACCCAAAGTCCCTGAGCCCTTTCCATAAGGCACTGAGGAACAATGAATAATGCACACAAATTCACTGCCCAGAGTTCTTTTGACATGGATATTCCCCTAATCGATGAAGGTAAGGTCTTGTGTCTTTTTTTTTTTTTTTTTTGAAACGGAGTCCCACTCTGTCACCAGGCTGGAGTGCAGTGATGCGATCTCAGCTCACTGCAACCTCCGCCTCCCGGGTTCAAGCGATTCTCCTGCCTCACCTCCCAAGTAGCTGGGACTACAGGCATATGCCACCACAGCCAGCTAATTTTTGTATCTTTAGTAGAGACGGGGTTTCACCATGTTGGCCAGGATGGTCTCAATCTCCTGACCTTGTGATCTGCCCGCCTCAGCCTCCCAAAGTGGTGGGATTACAGGCATGAGCCACTGTGCCCGGCCAGGACTTGTCTCTTTATCTCCCAAAGGAAAAGTCTATCAGGAGGTGTAATAAGATTATACCCTGGGAAGTGGTGGTGGATGGCTGGCGATCCAGACATAGCTAAATATTACTGGACACTACATTTGATAGAGGATAAAGTGGGGAGAGTGGTAAAAACTGTGTAACTCATTCTCAGTTCCTTGGAGTCCCGAAATTTCCATTTTATTGCAACGATAGGGATCCATGTATGACACAGCGCAGAGAGGAGTAGGTCCCCTAATGTGGGCTGCTGTTAAAACATGGAAAATGGGGTGAGTGTAGTGGCTCATGCTTGCCATTCCAGCACTTTGGGAGGCCGGCATGGGAGGATCACTTGAGCCCAGGAGTTTGAGACCAGCCTGGGCAACATGGCAAGATCTCATCTCTGTTTAGGAAACAACAACAACATCATGGAAAATGGAGGCCAGTTAGCAGGGCACACCTTGACTCGTGGATCTGCAGGCCATCCCCAGGCCCCAGGGAAGAGCACATGGGCTGTCTAGGGGGGCAACAGAGGCACGTGAAATGCTAAAGGCTCTGCATTGGGCCATGTTCACAGCCTCCTCCTTCCCCCTCCTGGAATGATGCAGCCTCCTCCTTCCCCCTCCTGGAATGATGCAGCATTGTGGCTCAGGAGGCCCCTGGAGCTCAGGGCCCCACCATGAGAAAGAACACCCTAGGGTGTTCTCCTGGGACTGCACTCCTGGGAGGTAGACTCCTGCCTCTCACTTTCTCCTTCCTCCAATCCCTTCCATTTCTGCAGCCAGAATGAGTTCTTCTAAAATGCAGATTGGATCCTGTCACCCCTCCAGCTTAAACAAACCTCAGTAACCTTTACAATAGAGATCAAAACTCTTCAATGGCCCCCAAAGCCTACCTGTCCAAACTCAACTCTCACTGCCACTCTTTCCCTTGCTCTCCAAGGTCCAGCCCTCCCCTCACACTCTCCATTGTCTCCTTTGGAGCCCCTACATCTACCTGCCCCATTAGACTGTGAACTTCATGATGGGAGGGCCCTGTCACTTGCTTACCTTTGTATTCCTAGGGCTTAACACAGTGCCAGAGCCAGGGCTCAACCCACGGTAGGTGTTCAACACATGTTTGTTGAACAAATGAAAGACCAGCCCTGACACTCAGAAACACACAGGGAGGACACACAAATGTATGTGTGTGTGCATGCATGCACACACATACACGTACTTGCGCAGAAGAGGTCAAACACCTCCCCTCTCGGAGCACATCCAGAGGTAGCGCCTGTAGAAATTGGCAAGATGCTAATCAACACATGTAAATATTCAGTGTCCTCCCCTGGATGCAAACATTCACCCCATTTCCCTTCTACTTCACCTGAATCCTCAATCAAGCCTCGCTTATGGGTGGCAACAAAGCAGTTCTCTGTCCTTAAGGAGAGAGAAGGTGGCTCTTTCAAAGCACACCAGGTGGCCTTATCTCCTGGGCCTCACCTGCCCTCCACTCTCCTTAAGAAAATCTGTTACCAGCCATTGTATTTCCAATTTCCACTTGCCATCCATCTGTCCGACCAAAAACCCAACCATCTGCCCTGCCGACTTCGCCCCCAACCCTGCTGGTCAGGTCACCCCTTCTGTTCCTTGAAAAGCTCCTGAGCAAGCTCACCTTCTCCAGCAGGCCTGCTGACTACACAGTTCCCAGGGTCTCCTCCTTCCTGGTCACTCTCGGTGGACTCTGTGTCTGTGACTCCGTTAATGGCTGCCTTCCCTCCCACTCCCAAAGTTTGCTGCCTGTTTGATACCACTTGGAGGTGTGATTCCCAAGAGGGCAGTGGCTTATGTATCTGTGTGACTTATGGTGTCAAAGGTCCCAAGGGACCAGCTTAGCTGAAAAGTTAAGGGTTTGGATGATGAAAATGTCCTTGCTAAAAAGGGTCGTATAAATGAGGCTTCATGGGGCAAATTTACACTAAGCCAGTCTGGTTAAGAGCTTAAAGCTCTGCAAAGCGAGGAGTTGGATGGACTGATGTCACAGGACCCTTCCATCTCTGACCTCCTCTGAGCTAGAATGTTAGCCCTGGGGGCCTTGCCCTGCCAAGCCTGGACTGGAGGAGAAGGAGGAGGCGGGGTGAGTGGGAGGGGCAGAGGGAGCAGAGGCGCCTGCAGCAACCGACACCTGCTCCAGCCCTGCCTGTCCACTACCAGTCAATCCAGAGCCTCAGCAAGCAGCAGCTGGAAACGGGGAAGAGGGAGCAGACAGGAAGCGGGAGGTCAGCTGTACACCCAGGTAAGTGGGTGCTCACACCTGGCTGCCCACCCGGGCCAGGGTAGGGCCAGGATGGAGACACTAGCCTGCTGTCCAGCTTTTCTACGCAGGAAGGGGCAGGCAGTGGGCAGGATGTCTGCCTGGGGAACATTCCCTGGCTGGCGGATCACACGCTGGGGTGCACCTGTATCCCCTCTAGGTTACTCCAGGATATCTGGAGGAGAGAATTTCAGTGTGTCCTGTCTGGGCATTTCTGTCCTGGCTCTAATTTTCTGGACACGGCTTGACTTTGGGTGTGATACGATGACCAGATTAAAAATATCACTAGCAGTCCAGAATAAGGACCTCGGGCTGGGACTTGTTATATTTTGGTTAGTATCATGGTCAAAGCAGTTGAGAGAACTCCATTTGGCTCTTCCTGCCTCAATTTCTACCAGTTGAGAGGTAGCAGGGACCAACTGGAGGTAGCAGGGACCTGGATGTGCAGGATGGATCCGGGGAGGGTAGGGAAAAAGGATGGGGAGCCATAGGTCCTGGAGAGGGGGCAGGGAGGGACTGTCCCAGGATCCAGTGCTGAGAGTGTTGTTGGGACAGCTGAAGTGAGGACACAAACTGCTGTTTCCTTCTGGGAAGAACTGGAGTTCTTCTCAAATGTGGGAATGAATTATGGAGGAGAGAATTCATTTCCTTTCTCATCCCTTCCAACTGAGACTACATCCCTCTAGTCTCCAATCCAACAGATCTCTTTCCCTGTGTCATTGACTTTGTACCAAATCTGGCTTATTCTAAAAGAGAGTGGAGCTCCAGAAGTGGATGCTTAACGTCACATCCCTAAGTTCCCCCAAGAGCTTTGCTTCTTTTGCCCTCCTCTGCTGGGAGCTGTAGGCAGGAGGCTGGAGGGAGAAGAGTGGTATCAGCGTCATCCTTCTTCATGTGTGACCAATAGCTGAGTAACAGGATGATAGCTGCTCGTGGTGATGATGTGGGTGACGATGGGGATGATGACTCAGATAGCTGTGTTGAACTCAAACTACTCCAGTGTGGGGGTCACCGACTGGCACCAGTGCACTTGCATCTACCAGGAGGCTGCACTGAGGGGTGGGTGGGATGGGGGCCCTTGCAGCCCTCCCCCTGGCCGTGTCCAGCTGGGTCCTCATCCGTTGGTGGCTGCCTTCCCTCCCACCCTTCCTCGTGACTCCCTTCGGCGTAGTGCCTGTGGCACCCGTGACCACTCCAGAACGCAGTTGGCGTACCATGGCATTCCAGCACGCTAGGGTGCAGCGGCTGGGCTGGCGAGGGGCTGCCAGGGGTCAGAAGTGCCAGTGGGTGGCCGTTGCGAAATGGAATGATCTCCATGGGAGAGAGGAATTTGCTCTGTCATGTGTGATTCTATATTAATGATAAGGCTCTTTGGGCAGAAAATGGAGTCCCCAAAATGGAACCGCTTGGCCATGGGCCAATCGCACAGAGGGTGGGACTGCTGGAAGATTCTTTCAAGACATCCCCCCTCCCTGATTTATGGCTCTCATCCCACCCCAGACCCAACCCCCTTCCTCTCCTGTGTGGGACTCCCCATTGGCCATAACAGATGGATGCAATTAAGAGGAAATCAGGAGAGATGGTGGTGGTGAGAGAATGGAAAATACTCCTATTCACCTGACACTATAATTCACTGGCTTCTGAGGGGAGCAGATGGATTTATGGGGATCCTACAGGCCTGGGCCAAGAAGAGCTTAAGAGCAGCAAATTTGAGGCCTCTCCCCTGCAGACCTTGTGACTGGAAGGATTCTAGATTGGTGGAGCGTGGGAAGTAGAGGGCTTCAGTGTCCTGCCAGAAAATCTCAGAGTTGGGGGAAGAGCCAGGAGGCCCAAAGAATGTCCTTGGAGAATTCCCATTCCAAAGCCAATGGGGCAAGCTGAAAGGAGCCTGAATCCTTTCACAGCTGAAATCCTTTCACAGCTGAATCCTTACACAGCTGAAAGGATCCTGAATGGGTCTGATTTCCTCAGGTTTGGGAGGGTTGTGTCTCATGTTCTGGGCAGGGTAATCAGGTCTGGGGTCCCACCAGGAGGCCAGGCCACCAGCACAGTGTGCAGGCTCAGCTTATGGTTCCCTTTACCTGGGAATGTTACCAACTGGGTAGCATGCTACCCACTCCCTGGTCTCTGGGAAATTGGTTTTGCTGGGGACAGGGAATTGCAGGAAACTAATCAGTGCCATTAGTGGGTTAGAAAAGCTCTTGGGGGCAGCAGCTTTTTCCAGCTCCCACCCCAGACATTGGCTGATGCACTGATGGTGTGGGAGGGGTGGGGTGAGACCAGCCTGGATTTCTCAAAAGCAATTCCATTTCTGTTCTCAGGGTAATAGAACTTCTACCCTCAGAGGAGTCAAAGAGGAGGCAGAACTATGGCAGGTAAGAGAAGAACTAATCTCCCCTCCCCAGCCCTCCCTGGCGATCCTTACCAGGACAGAGAGGAGAGAAGTGGTAGGGATCAGAGATTTCTGGGAACTTGCCCATCTTGTTGTTGTTTTTTTTCTCCTTATTTTATTTTATTTTATTTTTATTGTTGTTGGCTTTTTTTGAGACAGAATCTCACTCTGTTGCCCAGGCTGGAGTACAGTGACGCGATCTCAGCTCACTGCAACCTCCACCTCCCAGGTTCAAGTGATTCTCCCACCTCAGCCTCCTGAGTAGCTAGGATTACAGGTGCCTGCCACCATGCCTGGCTAATTTTTGTATTTTTAGTAAAGGTGGGGTTTCACCATGTTGGTCAGGCTGGTCTCGAATGCCTGACCTCAGGTGATCTGCCCACCTCGGCCTCCGAAAGTGCTGGGATTACTGGCGTAAGCCACCGTGCTTGGCTTTTTTTTTGAGTCTTGGCTTTGGGTTTTGATTTGTTTTCCTGAGTAAGGAGTGCAAAGCCCCCACACGAGCTCCTGCTTCTTGGCTTCCTGAGAAGGAGCCCTTTCTCACTCTTTCTTCCCAGCTTTTCCCCAGTGACACACTCAGGGTCTTCCTAGGGTGCCCCACCCACTTCCTAGAGGCTCCATTCACACTGCCAGAGTGTGTGCCACCAGATTCCCACTAGAGAATTCAAAAGCACTGTGCACAGGCAGGAGGTACTACAAATAATCCTGACCCAAAAGTAGGAGCGAGAAGGGGCTTCTTGCTCCTGGGGTGAGTGGGTGGATGCCCATTCTGTTGAAGGGCCACCCAGGAGGAAGAAGGTGGAAGGCCCCATCTCCTTCCCTCCTGCATTCTCCAGGAAAGCTCCGGAAGTCCCACATCCCTGGAGTGAGCATCTGGCAGCTGGTGGAGGAGATCCCTGAAGGCTGCAGCACGCCGGACTTTGAGCAGAAGCCCGTCACCTCGGCTCTGCCAGAGGGTGAGCCCAGAGGGGAGCTGCGGAGGGGAGGCAAGATTCTTGCTCTCCTACCTCCCAGGGGAGAGGGCTGGGGCACCAACCTTCCTGGGGACCCAGGCCCTATATCCATCACTAGGCCATAGCCCATCTCCCTCCTATCCTTGAGGGGGTATGTGCTTACCTGGAACCCTAGAAGTGACAAGAGGCCTGGGGAAAAGAGTGGATAAAGAGAGTGAAGAGACACCATGCTATTCTGGTGTGAGAAATATCTGGGGGGCAGGGATGGAAAAATGCTAAACTGGGGAGCAGGGAGAGGTTGTGGTGTTTCCTGGTCCCTGTCTCCTCACCTCAAAGCCACTGCTGCAGAGAGGCACTGTTAAAACAGTTAATTTGACTCTTCCCAATCCTCGCCTCCAGGCAGCAGCACCTGCTGTGGCTCACAGGCTGGGCTCAGGAAGGCCCTTCTAGAAGGCCACATAAGAAGGTGTCCAAGAAAGTGGTGGGAACAAAGGCTTATTGGGGAAAAAGTGGGAATTGGTGTTCTTTCCCCAACACACACCCTGCAATAAATTTTAGTTCATAGCATCCTGGTAATAAGAAAAAGAATGGTATTTTATTTTTCTAAATCTGGAACAAGGTAATGAGAAATTGGGAAGGGCCCTTGGGCCTTTGGTCTATATTGCTGTCTACTGAGATGTTCCTGGTGGGAGGCTGAGGGATTCCTTGAGGGCGGGCAGTTCCCAGGCCTCCATGACAGGCATGGAGCATGGGGTCTTTTCTGAGGCTGAAGCCTGTGTCTCAGCACCGGATCCTTCGGGCACCAAATAGTCACTCCTTCTCCTAGTTGTGATTCCTCCTCCCCCTAGAGAGTAGGAAGGGAAGCCAGAAAATCTCTTCTTTTTTTTTTTTCTTTTTTTGAGATGGAGTCTCGCTCTGTTGCCCAGGCTGGAGTGCAGTGGCGCAATCTCTGATCACTACAACATCTGCCTCTGGGGTTCAAGTGATTCTCCTGCCTCAGCCTCCCAAGTAGCTGGGATTACAGGCACATGCCACCAAGCCTGGCTACTTTTTGTATTTTTAATAGAGATGGGGTTTCACCATGTTGGCCAGGCTGGTCTCGAACTCCTGATCTCAGGTGATACGACTGCCTTGGCCTCCCAAAGTGCTGGGATTACATGCGTGAGCCCCTGCGCCTGCCCGGAACTCACAAAATCTCATTCCCTTCCTAGTCTTGGCAGAGCCTTCAGACTCCTTGCTCACCCACTCTCAAAGAAAAGCCCCTGTCCCCTAAAGCCCTGCTGGCCTCCCCTTTCACCAGGGCCAGTCCACCTGTCTCTTTCCCTCAAGCAGCCCAAGCTTCTGCAATATAGAAAGAGGAAGCACTGCCTTCTGGGTGCCTGGAATCTGCTGCTTTCCACCTGCGTATTCTGAGTCCTGAGTCAAGGGGACCAAGGCCTGGCATCCTTTTTGGAAGGGGCAGTTGAAATACCTAGATGAGGAAGACGATATAAATTAAAATTTAAATAAAGTATACAGTCACCCTCTCCCAACTTGTCAGTCTCCCTACTCGTCTCTTCCTGCTGCAGGGAAAAATGCTGTCTTTCGGGCTGTGGTCTGTGGGGAGCCCAGGCCCGAGGTGCGTTGGCAGAACTCCAAAGGTGACCTCAGTGATTCCAGCAAGTACAAGATCTCCTCCAGCCCTGGCAGCAAGGAGCACGTGCTGCAGGTAAGAACCGTAGCTCTTCCCCTGACCAGGGTCTACTCGTCTTTTCCCATCCCCTTGAAGGTCTCTTTGGCAGCCTCCAATCCCTAGAGGAGTAAGACATACTCCTCGTTGAGGTTGAATCCATTCAACTCCATCTCGTGACTCAAAGTTGCCTGAGCCAAGAATGGATCTGGCAGGCTTGCAGATACCTCTGCTGATAACCTGGGAGGTGGTGTAGACTGGAGCTTAAGAGCTCAAGCTCTGAAGTCAGACTGCTGGAGTTACAATCCCAGGCCCACCACCTTGGCTTTAGAAAGTCATTTTACTCTTTTTACCTCTGTCTCCTCATTTGTAAAAATGGGATAATAATAGTACCTACTTTAAGGAGTTGTTATGAGTTGTTGTTGAGATGGATCTCACTCTGTCGCCCAGGCTGGAGTGCAATGGCGTGATCTTGGTTCTCTGCAACCTCCACCTCCCAGGTTCAAGCGATTCTCCTGCTTCAGCCTCCCAAGTAGCTGAGATTACAGGCATGCGCCATCACGCCCGACTAATTTTTGTATTTTTAGTAGAGTTGGGGTTTCACCATGTTGGCCAGGCTAGTCTTGAACTCCTGACCAACAATGATCCATCCGCCTCGGCATCCCAAAGTGCTGGGATTACAGACATGAGCCACTGCGCCTGGCCAGGAGTTGTTATGAGGATGAAAGTTTTATGTAAAGTGTCTAGCTAGTGCCTGGCCTATAGTGAGTACTCAATCAATCTTGGCTAATCTGAGCAATATTATAAATACTAACCATGGGATACCTACTATGTGCCAGGCCCTACTATGTCCCAGGGGCTAAATATTTGACATAGATTATATATTTAATTCTAATTATTCACCACTTTTTTGAGGTATTATATTCCCATCTTACAAATGAAGAAACTGAAGTTGAGAGAAGTTAGGTAACTTGCCCAAGGTCCCACAGCTAGTAATACAGGACAGAGACTGTTTTCAGGCCCAGATCCATCTGACCCCAAAAAGCACACTCTTTCTACTTCGCTACATTGCCTCTGATGGCAAAGAATTGATACATCCACCCTCTGTCCCAAACCAGGTTTCTGTTTTGGGGTCTGTCTTTCCTGATAAAGACTGTGAGCTCCATGAGGACAAGGACCATGTCTTACTCACTTTATACCCCCAACACATAGCCGTGTCTAGTAAATGGAGGAAGGGGATGTGGTAGCCCTGTTCCTCTGCCCTTGGCCTCTCTGCAGATCAACAAGCTGACAGGCGAGGACACGGATCTGTACCGCTGCACAGCAGTAAATGCGTACGGAGAGGCCGCTTGCTCAGTGAGACTCACTGTCATCGAAGGTGGGCTTTTCCCTGAGTTTGTCTCATCAGTGCACAGGGCAGAGACCCACAGAGGAATCAGATGCCCCGTGGCTAGTGAGGGAGGGGAGGGGAGGGAAGGGAGGCCCATCCAGGCTGCTGCCGCTGCTGCAGCCCCACCTTGTGCTGGGCCCCGGGCTTCATCCACATGCACACTGAGTCTGCATGTGTTTAAAAAGGCACACCTTGGCAGATACTCTGAAGGATATTCTCTTGGCCCAGTAAATGAGCAGGACCTGAAAGCTGGCTTCTAGTCCTAGAGCTTCTGCTAACTCATTCAATGGGCTTCGTTTTCCTCTCTGGGTCTCAGTTTCTCCACCATGCAAAGGATATTTTGGACAGGCCTATGCCAGAGTTGACAAACAGGTCACACAAAGGCCAAATTCTCTCTCAGACATGTTTTTTTTGGTGTGCGTGGTGTTTGAAATTTTAAAAATTGTCAACCTGTAGTAATTAAAAGGTAGATATCTCTTGAGGAAGCAGGTCTAGTCTCGCCATTGGTTATGCTTACAATTGATCTGCCTGCAACTAACAGAAAATCCTACTAAGAGCAGCCTAAGAAATAACGATATTTCATTCCTTCACATAAGAAGTTTTGCGAGTGGCGTCCAGGGCTCATACCACAGCTCAGGGCTGCCATCGGAGAGCTGATTCCTTCGTTCCCACTGCTCTGCCATCCTTAGCAGATTGGCTTATCACCTCATGGCCATAAGAGGGCTGTGGCAGATTCAAACATAATCCATGTTCAAGGTAGGAAGGTGGAAGAGGTGGCCCAGGTCCATCTGCCTCTCTTATTTTTATTTTTATATTTTTGAGATGGACTGGAGTCTTGCTCCATCGCGTAGGCTGGAGTACAGTGGCACAATCTCACCTCACTGCAACATCTGCCTCCCGGGTTCAAGCAATTCTCCTGCCTCAGCCTCCTGAGTAGCTGGGATTACACGCGTTTACCACCATGCCTGGCTAATTTTTGTATTTTTAGTTGAGACAGGGTTTCACCACGTTGGCCAGGCTGGTCTCGAACTCCTGACCTCAGGTGATCCACCTGCCTCGGCCTCCCAAAGTGCTGGGATTACAGGCATGAGCCACTGTGCTTGGCCTTTTATTTTCTATTTTTTGAGACCTGTTGCCCAGGCTGGAGTGCAGTGGTGTGATTATGGCTCACTGCAGCCTTGACCTCCCAGGCCCAAGTGATCCTCCCACCTCAGCCTCCCAAGTAGCTGGGACTACATGCATGTGTCATCACACCCAGCTAATTTTTTTATTTTTTTTGTAGAGGCGGGGTCTCCCTGTGTTGCCCAGGCTGGTCTGGAACTCCTGGGCTCAAGCTATCCTCCCCCCTCGGCCTCCCAAAATGCTGGGATTACAGGCATGAACCATCACGACCAGTCCATCCACCCTTTTTATAGAGGAAGCAAAGGCTTTCTCAGAAATTCCTGGAGCTCATTGGTCAGGACAGTGTCACATGAGCACTGCTAGTTGCAAGGGAAGCTGGGGAAGGTGAGTGTTTAGCTTTTTCAGCCTCTCTAGTGGAAGCAGATGATGAAGAATACAAATGGCTGCAGGATTAGCCAAACAGCAATGTCTGACCTATTTGGCAATATTGGGCCTATACCCTGAAATGGCAGCTCCCAGGTGGAGTGAAAGAGCAGCTGCCCCTTTAGATACTCTTGAGTTTGTTGTGGTTGCCAGTGTCTGCTTCACGCATTTATGCCACCTCCCTGGCCCCTGCGGACACATGACTGGGCCTCCCCTGCATGAGATGATGCTTAGGTTGGTCCCCTTGGTCATGGTAAGGCTCTAGGGTAAAAAGGCTTATGATGGACAGACCCTCCACCCTGCTCCATCCCTCTTGCTGGGATCGTCCACGCCTTAGAGGACAGTGGGGAGAGCAGGGCTCTGGGACTCCATCAGTTTCTCAGGAAGACCATCAACATGTCTTGCTTCTCTCCCTGCTTGTCCACATCGACTCCTTCCTCTCCTCCCTGGATGTTGCAGTTGGCTTTCGGAAGAATCGGAAGAGGCACAGGGAACCGCAGGAAGGTAGGCAGATTTGTCAGAAACCTCCTTGGGGGCCTGTGGGGGATAGGCTACTCCTTTCCTGGTGTTCCCTGCCTGGTTGAGCTACCATGAACACCTTGTGGATCACCACCAGTCTTCAAGAGAGCCCCTTCCAAAGGCTCAGTTGTCAGCATGGACAACACAGAAAAGCTCTGCATCAACCCTCAGTCATCCCACCTGGGACTGAGGCCTCATTCCTGCTCCTTTTTCAGACCTCAGGAAGGAGCTGATGGACTTCCGGAAGTTGCTGAAAAAGAGGTGGGTTTGGGCCTGTCCATGAGGGATTTTGGAGGCTCCCATAGTATTCACCCCCTGCTATTTCCATAAGTAAGCTGGGCTTGAGCCCCACCTCTACCCAACACAGCAGGGAGCTAGACTGCCAGTAGCAGATGGGAGGATGGGAAGGGGACTGAACTGGATGGGAATGGGACAGAGCTCCAGCTCTGCCATTTCAAAGCTCTATATCCTTGAGTTAATCATCTCTCCTCTGATTTCCTCATTTGCAAAATGTGGTGGTCCACCAGAACAATGATGTACTTTTTTTTTTTAAGCAACAGAACAATGCAACACCCACTTTCCCCAGACATCCTACTTAGAAATCTACAATACAAGTTGTCAGGAGCATTTCTCCTGAAAGTTGTGGGGTGAGGCTGAGGCTCGCCCCACCCATCTCTGAATCCTTCTGGCCTCAACAGTGGTCAGTCCCAGAGATTCCAGGCTCTGCGTTTCCTCGAGTGCAGATAGAGCAGCTTCCCAGAACTACTTGGGACACCAGAGCCAGGTGGCCAACAGAGGAGCAGGGATTCCTCTGGCCTCTGACCTGCTAGCCTTGCTCCCCAGGGCCCCACCAGCCCCCAAGAAAAAGATGGACCTTGAGCAGATATGGCAGCTGCTGATGACAGCAGACAGGAAGGACTACGAGAAGATCTGCTTGAAGTATGGCATCGTCGACTACCGTGGCATGTTGCGCAGGCTGCAGGAGATGAAGAAGGAACAGGAGGACAAGATGGCACAGGTGCCTCACCCCATTCCCACCCCTCACTCCATGCCCACCCCACACACCTGGACCATAGGTGCCTCACACCTGGAGGTGGGCTTGGAGGCAGAACTTAGGAAACCAAGTATGATCAAGGGGCCTGTCTCCATCTAGTCCCCAGTGGGGTATCTGGCTAAGGCCCTGGGATCCCAGGTTGGTGTCCTGCCTTTGCAACCTGGTTCTGATACTTACTAAACTCTGGAGCTTTGGAAGGGTTAGGGCCTCTGTATCTTGGTGTCTTCATCTGTAAAATGGGAATTATAGTCATGCCTACCTTGTAGGGTTATTGGGAGGATAAATGAGAGAATGTAATTAAAGTACTTAGCTTAGTGCCTTGATTTTTGCTATCATTATCATTGTCACCAGATTGCGGGGGGGAGGTACCTGGTTTATTTCTTTCTTTTTTTTTTTTTTTTTAAGATGGAGTCTTGCTCTTTCGCCCAGGCTGGAGTGCTGTGGCCGGATCTTGGCTCACTGCAAGCTCCGCCTCCCAGGTTCACGCCATTCTCCTGCCTCAGCCTCCTGAGTAGCTGGGACTACAGGTGCCTGCCACCACACCCAGCTAACTTTTTGTATTTTTAGTAGAGACGGGGTTTCACCGTGTTAGCCAGGATGATCTCGATCTCCTGACCTCGTGATCCGCCTGCCTCGGCCTCCCAAAGTGCTGGGATTACAGGCGTGAGCCACCGCACCTGGCTACCTGGTTTACTTCTAAAGGCTTTCATGGAAGGGAATTTCACAGTTCCCATTAGCACTCTGATCCCAGAATCTTATCAGCTGTACAGGAATTTCTTTCCTGTGTCTAACTTAACTATAGCATAAGTCTAATTTTTCTTCTGAAAATGGAAAACAACTAGTTTTTATTATCCTGAAAATAGTATCTTATCCCCTTGAAAGATAAGCTTCCTTAAACCTAACACCTAGGGTCTCAGCCTTCTCTCCTCCAAGCTTTCTCATTGGCTTTAACACGGGACCTAGCACAGAGCTTTGCACACGGTAGGTGTTCAACTAATGTTCGTTAGAAGTACAGATAGATGGAAAAGCCCCACTGTGTTCTAGCAACTGAACACCTGGGGTCTTTTCTTGGTTGTCTTCCTGATCTGATCTCTCATCTTGGAGAATTTCCTTCCTTGAGGGGCTTACTTTCCCCCACTTGTAAAAGGGGCCAATGCATGCTCATCTGGAACGCTGTGGGCCTGGGATGGTACCAGAGCCTATGAGGGTTCAGAGTACCCCGAAGAGAGAGCTTCATGAGCTCTCCTGCTGGGTGTTTGTCTGCTTTGTAGTACATCAACACCATCTCCAGCTTAAGACACATCAGGGTCACCAAGGATGGGAATGCAAAGTTTGACTTGGAGCTGGATCTCAAGGATTCTCAGAGCAAGATTTACCTGTATAAGGTGAGGCTGGAGGGGCTATGGGTGGGGGGGATCTGGCAGGGATGCTTCAGGTCTAGTGGAGAGGGAACTATGGGTACCCTGCATTCCTCCAAGGGAACAACCAGAGCACACAAGTGGTGAGCCCCTCATCCCATGGAGTTCCTGGCTGGACCTGGACCAAACCCTGGTGTAGACCATCCATCCACAGGGACTTCTTATCTCACACTGAGCAACTGGGCTCTCCAGCTGGGCCTGTGATTCTCTGTAAATTGTGTCTAACACCAGAGCACGGGGGTGAAAAGAGGGTTCTGAGAAAGTGCACCCCTTTCCATCTGAGCTTTCTCTCCAGAGACTTCATACATCCCTACCTGGGCTCTAGGAGTAATTATCTGCCAACCAGATGGGGGCAGAGGCAGGTGGGGAGCAGTTGGTAAAATTTGGCTAGTTCTGTAGCCAAACTCATCCAGCTTCATCACTTATAAGCTGTATGACCTCAGACAAGATACTTATCTTCCCCATGCCTCGGCTTCCTCACTTGTGAACTGGGGATAATATAGGACCTGTCTCATGGTGTACTGCAGCGCTAAATGACATCATGTGTGACTTGCCCCTCCCCTCACCTCTCTGCTTATTCCTGCTTCTCTTCCCCTTGTCCCTCAGTTCCTGGCCCACTGGCCTTGTCCCTGTTCCTTTGCCCAGGTGTTCCCTCTGCTTGGCATGCTCATCCCCGATATCGACAGGGCTAATTCCTTCATGGCAGAGAGACTTCCCTTGGCCACTCCGTGTGATTCCACTATGTCCCTCCAGCCCCACCCTGGCACTCAGGAGCCCTGGACCCATATCTACCTTTTTGTTCCCTAGTTTTCTCTCTTTCTTTCCCTTTCTTTCTTTTTCTTTCTTTCTTCCTCCCTCCCTCCCTCCCTCCCTCCCTCCCTCCCTCCCTTCCTTCCTTCCTTCCTTCCTTCCTTTCTTCTCATTCTGTTGCTCAGCCTGGAGTGCAGTGGTGCAATCTCGGCTCACTGCAACCTCTCCCTCCCAGGTTCAAGTGATTCTCCTGCCTCAGCCTCCCGAGTAGCTGGGATTACAGGTGTTTGCCACCACACCCAGCTAATTTTTTGTATTTTCAGTACAGACAGGGTTTCACCATGTTGGCCAGCTGGTCTTGAACTCTTGGCCTCAAGTGATTCACCCGCCTCAGGCTCCCAAAGTGCTGGGATTACATGCATGAGCCATCACACCCGGCCAGTTCTATTTTTTTCTAACATAAATTATTTACTTATTTATGACATCTATTATTTATATTTTTCCCCCATAGGATTTTAGCTAGTGAGAGCAGGAATCTTTGTTTTATGCATTGATGTGTCCTAAGTACCTGAAACAGTGCCTGGCACACAGTGGGCCCCTAATAAGTATTAGCTATTGTTAATATTCAGCAAGTAGCAAACCTATCTAGGGCTTAGTTAAAGCAGGTATGCATATAGATTACTGGGTTTCATAGAGCCTTATGGATATCTGATGTTATTCTCTGCAAGTTCCTGTTGGTGAATAAGTTGAGCTGGGGCCTCTGGGCCATGGGTGTTGTGTCCGGCCTCCCCTGCTATCCTCGCAGGGCTGCTGGAGAGTAACTCTACTCACAGCCTGAGCTGGAATGTCAGCAACTTCAGGTGCCCCTTTGTATAACACTTGCAGACTTTTCACTCCATGGACATTCCTAGAGCATGGATTCCCATCCAGCTCACAATCCCTGTTCCCATGTTCTCCAGGCCCTGCTGTCCACCCCATCCCAGCTCCTCTATGGTTCCAGGAATCTGTTGTCTGGCGACTGGGCCCGTGGGAGAAAACTGCTGGTTATAGCCAGAATGGGACTGGGGCAGGAAGCACTGAGGACCCACTGAGGCCCGCCTCCTCTTCCTTTTCTGGCCTTAGGATGGTGAGATGATCCCCTATGGCTTCAACAACCAAACCAAGCACTGTCTGCGCCGGCTGGGGAAGCGCTATGAGTTCCAGATTCAAGACCTGAGGCCTGAGGACTCTGGCATTTACCAGGTCAAGGTGGAGGATGCTGTGGTCTTCTCCACAGAACTGGAGGCCAGTGGTGAGTGGTCTACACTGCCGAAGTTGGAGTTGGGGAGATATGTTAGAAATGGAGTCCATGTTGGTGCAACGTGTGTGTTGGGGGGTAAATGTGATGTGGCCCCAGCTGCAAAAGACAATTGGGAGAGGGACACATACCTAGATGGCCAAATTTTGATGCTTTCTGTTTTCCAAAGCCTTGGTGCGAGTTATCTCTCCTGGTGCTGAGCTGGGTTCTACTGAATTACTGTCACAGACATAGAACATATGTGTCATGCCTCTGCTTAGACCTTCTCTAGCCATCAATTATTTTCAGATCAGATCCAGACTAATTGCACAGCCTCTAGAACTCCTTTCTGTTGCATGTCCTCATCTCCCACAACACCCTAGCAAGAATCTCTGGGTTAGGCATCCTCACGCTCCATACAGACCTTTCCTTTTCTGCTTCCTGTATTCCTTCCCCATCTAGGAACTGACACTCCTCCTTCATCAAACTCTGTCCCATCCCCATGAGTACCTGTGTCCACATCACTCTCAGAGCACCTGCCAGCTCAAGGGGGTTCTTGAAAGGACAACGAGAGGCCTGGGGAAGGGAGCTTTGGACAGACATGTCGTAAGAACATGGCTGAATCAAAGTTGGGGGAGAAAAAAGGGGGTTATGTGCCCCAGCACGGGGGAGGTGCCCAGATGGGGCTTTGGAAAGCCTGAAAACAGTGCAGTTTGGGAAAAGAAGTATGGGTTTGGGAGTCAGCCAGACCTGGGTGTGAATCTTGGTTTCTCTTAACTGCGTAAGACTGGGGCAAGTTATTTAACTTTTTAAGCCTTAGTTTTCTCACCTGTAAAAAGAAATTAATAATACTTATCTTGGAGATGGTCACAAGGATGAATAAGATAAACTACCGGCTCTTAGCATAGTGGTTTCCTTCATGCATCCACCTTGTCCCTAAATATAACTTTTGGGTTTGGAAGTATAGAATCCCAGAGCTGAAAATAAGCCTCATTGCTCATAACTGTAGCCCCTCATTTTACTTGGGGGGAATTGACACCTGAGGTCCAGAGGTGACCTGTCCAAGGTAACATGGGGAGTTTGTGGCTGAGCTGGTCTAAGCCAGGATTTCTGAATGGCCAGCCTTGCTGCCTTAGGTCACACTGTGTCATACCATCAAGCTGATATCCCCATTCCTATTTCCCCGGCAGCCATCCCCCCAAGAGTGGTGGTCCCACTGGCGGAGACCCACTGTGAGGAGCAGGGTGACGCAGTCTTTGAATGTACCCTCTCCAGCCCCTGCCCTAGTGCAGCCTGGCATTTCCGGCACCGGCTACTCCACCCCAGTGACAAATATGAAGTGTATGTGTCCCCTGACGGGCTGACCCACCGGCTGGTGGTGAGGGGGGCACGTTTCTCAGACATGGGCCCCTATTCGCTGGGCACCGGGCTCTACACTTCCAGCGCCTGGCTGGTGGTTGAAGGTGAGTGCTTCAAAACTCTGTCTTTCTCTGCCTCCAGGGAAGACCTTGGGGCTGCGGAGGCATGAGGAAGGCGAGGCAGTGGGATTTCCTTTGGTCAGAGAGAATAAGGAAAGCTCCTTAGATTATTCTCCACCCACTGCAGTGCAGACCTTCATGGCCAACCCAACCCTTCTCAGCTGTGCCTGCTCTACTGGGTCTCTTGGAATTACTTTGGGGCACAGATGGCTCTAGGGTCCTAGGCAGCCTTGGGACAGTGGCCCAGGTTCAGTCTGGATGAGAAGCCCCTGCACCAGACCAGAGAGCACTCTCAAACTTCCCTGGGGATAGAAATTTGCGTTCCAGATGTTCCCAGGAAAGTGTAAATTGGACATAAGTAAGGCAGGTGGTTGAGCAAGTCGATATTTTAAAAACCATGCACCTGCTGCGGCAGTTTGATAAACAAATGACTTTTGGCTTATGCGTTTTCTCCAAAACCCTCATGAAGCCTATAGCAGGGTGGCCTGCGGGTATAGGACTAGGGAGGTGGTGATGGGATTCACCCATCCATCCCTGGAACACCCTGGCTTCCTTCCCAGGTGGTCACCTTGCTTCTCTCCTGGGGAAGTCCAGGTCAGGCAAGCAGCTGGGCTCAGGCAGGTGCTTTGGCCGGATTTAACAGGAGTTTTGGTATTTTCTCTTGTCTCTCCATGTGGGCACTGACCTTCCATATGAATAACCCCTCACTGAAGCTGGGAAGGATAAAGACCTTCAGTCCACAAGTGCTGACCACAAACTGCAGAGGCAAGGAGCCCAGGCATCAGGAGCAGAAGAGTCTGGGAGCATCGAGAGCCAGGGAGAGAAATCCAGAGAGCAGGGCCCCAGGGGGGGCTCCCTTGAAGGGGCTGGGCCGGCTTCTGGGCTCCAGCACATAGCCAGCCCAGACAGGGATGGCCTTGGCAGACATGGCTACTCCTTGATGGGGGACAAAGGGACAGCTGACTCAGCCTGGGGCCCTGGACAGGAGGGCGAGGGCTTTCCAGTAGCAGAGGGAAGCAGAGCCACTCTTCCCAGGGAAAATCAATCCCACAGAGAGGGAGGCTGGGCCAGAAGCCTTGCAGAGAGGCCCCATCTACAGGGAGAGAGCTCAGAATCAGGGTTGGGCCTCCCAGAAAAACAACAGCAAGATCGTGGCAGAGACAGCAACAGTGATGAATGCTGGAGGAAAGCAGGAGGCTGGGAGGCTGGGTCCAGTCGGCTTCAGGCTGGAGGACTGGGGAGCAGCAGGGAAGGAAAGGAGCACAGAGGGGACAGTGGAAGACAACTGGACAGGCATGCCCCAGAGCAACTGTGGGATGCTCGACTGGGACCTGGGAGAGGAAAGAGCGACCTGCAGGGATGCCAGTCTGATCCTGTAGGGTCCTGGCCAAGAGGAAAGCAGATAGAGATTTCACAGGATGACAGCCTGGCTGAGATGGACAGAGGGGATGCTCCAAGTAGGGAAAGGGGGAGAGGAATAGTAGTGTGGGGTGGTGGGACTGGCCTGGGAGAAGCTGGAGACAGCAATGGGGCAGGAGGTCCTGGCACCCTGGAGCTTACTGGAGGAAGAGGTTCTGGCTCCAAGGTGGGCATGGCCCCTGAATCCTGGGGTTCTCAGGGAGGTAGAGATGCTGACTATGGGGAAGCCAGGGGCTACTGGGGGTCAGGAGAGTTGCTAGAACAGATACCTGGAGGCAAGGACTTCCAGGAACCATCAATATCAGGTGGTAGAAAATTCCTTCTGGGAGATGGGAGTCCTGAGATCAAAGCTGAAGACTCACTGCAGGAGGCAGATGGTATATGCCGGGGGGAGTCTGTAGTTACAGGAAGTGCCTACAAAACTGGCCCTGGAGGCCCAGGAGACCCCAGAGGCTGCGAAGGTGTCCTACAGGAGCTCAGGGGAAGGGATGGCCAGGAAACAGCTTGGGCCTCGGGTGAGGTAGAGTATGACCCCAGAAGCTTCCAGTCTTCCCAGGGCTGGACAGCAGGTCACAGAGCAGCAGGGGGTATTGGCAGAATAGAATCTAAGGGCACAAGTCCTTGGGATGACACACCATCTAGCCTCAGAAAAACTGGGGCCCACCATGGGCCTGGAGTGCTGGGGCCCAGTGGAGGACAAGAGGGTATGGGTGGTATCTGGGTGGCTGGACTGACGGAGTCTGGTCAGGGGGTGGATGCCAGAAGCCACTGGCTAAGTAGGGCTCCAGGCCTGGGTGCTCAGGGATCTGGGGGGACACTAGGAGATAAGAAAGGATTAAGAGGTCCTGGGTCAATAGGGTCTGAACCAGATTTCTGGAATGGGTCAGGGAGCTCCAGAGTAAAAGGACCCAGAGGTGAGACAGGCTATAAGGATGGCTTGGAAGGTCCCGGGAGAATGGAATCTAGGTACGAGGGTGGCTTAGGATATTCTAGGGAAATAAGCTCTAAAAGCGGGGCTGGTTATAGCTATGGCTCAGGGGTTCCAGGAGAAATGGGGTCCGGCCATGGTGCTGGTTGTAGAGTTTCCCCTAGGGCACCTGCGGGAGTGGAGTCTGAGGAAGGGGGTGGGTACAGGCATGGCTCCGGAGCGCCTGGGGGAGTGTGGTCTGGAAATGAAGATTCTGGCCCTGCAGGAGGAGGGTCTGGGAGAGTTGCCAGTCTTAAAAATGGCTCAGGTGGTCCTGATGGAGCACCCATGAATGACACCAGGAATTGGGCCTCTGCATGCCAGGCAGGCATGGACCCTAGGGGAGGGCACCATTCAGATGGTGGCCTAGGGAGTCCTGGGGTGACAGGGTCTGCGGGTAGAGGTGGTCTCAAGGCCCCTGGAGTAGTGGAGACTGTTGGGATGGGATGTGTGGAAGCAGAACCAGAGAGCTCTGGAAGAATAAGGCCTTGGGGTCAGACTGGAAATTATGGGGGCTTCAGAGCCTCAGAGGCCCTGGGGGCCTTTGGAGAAGGAGGCTATGAAGATGGCTCTGGGGGTCCAGGAGCCATGGGACCAGGGTCTCTGAGGGCAGGAAGCAAAGTGGGTGAGGGGGATGGGACAAGATGCCCTGGTGCTAAGGCCTCTGGAGCTGGAGCTGGTTATAGGGATGATACCAGGCACCCTGAGTCACTCGCACCTCACAATGGGGCCGCTTCTGGGAGCCAGTGGGCTTATGGGGCTGGCAATGTGCTGGGTTATGAGGATGGATCAGAACTTCCAGGGCCTCAGGGAACTGGGGTCAGAACAGCCTATGGAGAAAGGTCAAGGGGCCTTGGGCCTAGGAGTACAGGGCCAGGGGGTGAGGCAGGCTTTAGAGATGGTTCAGGAGGCCTCCAAGGAATGGGATCAGCAGATGGGCCAGGTTGTAGGAAGGGTATTGGGAGTTCTGGGGAAATGGGGTCAGTGGATAAGGAAGGTTATAAGAAAGATTTGGGGGCTCCTGAGAATATGGGTTCGGGGAGCAAGGCAGATTATAGGGATGGTGTAGGGGGTTCTGGGGCAATGGGGTCAATGGATGAAGCAGGTTATAGGAAAGATTTAGGGGCTCCTGAGGGAATAAGTTCAGGGAGCAAGGCAGATTATAGGGGTGGTTTACAGGATTCCAGGGAAGCGGGTTCAGGGAGCAAGGCAGATTATAGCGGTGGTTTAAAGGGTTCCAGGGAAATCGGGTCAATGGATGAAACAGATAATAGGAAAGATTTGGGGGTTCCTGAGGGAATGGGTGCAGGTTACAGGGCTGGTTTAAGGGGTCCTGGGGAGATGGGGTCACTGGATGAGTCAGGTCATAGGAATGGGATTGGAGGTTATGGGGAAATGGGGTCAGGTTATAGGGAGGATTTGGGGGCTCCTGAGGGAATGGGCACAGGGAGCAAGGCAGGTTATAGGGATGGCTTAAGGGGTTCTGGAGAAATGAGGTCAATGGATGAGGCAGGTTATAGGAAAAATTTGGGAGCTCCTGAGAGAATGGATTCAGGGAGCAAGGCAGGTTACAGGGGTGGTTTAAGGGGTTCTGGGGAAATGGGGTTAATTGAGGCAGGCTATAGGAAAGATTTGGGGGTTTCTGAGGGAGGGGGTTCAGGGAGCAAAGCAGGTTATAGGGGTGGCTTAGGTTCTGGGGAAATGGGGTCTGTGGATAAGGCAGGCTATAGGAAGGATTTGGGGGCTTCTGAGGCAATAGGTTCAGGGAGTAAGGCAGGTTTTACGGATGGTTTAGGAGGTTCTGAAGAAATGGGGTCAGTGAATAAGGCAGGTTATAGGAAGGATTTGGGGGCTCCTAAGGGAATGGGTTCAGGGAGTAAGGCAAGTTTTAGGGATGGTTTAGGAGGTTCTGGAGAAATGGGGTCAGTGAATGAAGCAGGTTATAGGAAGGACTTGGGGGTTCCTGAGGGAATAGGTTCAGGAAGTAAGGCAGGTTTTAGGGATGGTTTAGGGGGTTCTGAAGAAATGGGGTCAGTGAATAAGGCAGGTTATAGGAAGGATTTGGGGGCTCCTAAGGGAATAGGTTCAGGGAGCAAGGCAGGTTTTAGGGATGGTTTAGGGAGTTCTGGGGAAATGGGGTCAATGGATGAGGCAGGTTATAGGAAGAATTTGGGGGCTCCTGAGGGAATAGGTTCAGGGAGTAAGGCAGGTTTTAGGGATGGTTTAGGGAGTTCTGTAGAAATGGGGTCAGTGAATGAGGCAGGTTATAGGAAGGATTTGGGGGCTCCTGAGGGAATGGGTTCAGGGAGTAAGGCAGGTTTCAGGGATGGTTTAGGGGGTTCTGGAGAAATGGGGTCAGTGAATGAAGCAGGTTATAGGAAGGATTTGGGTGCTCCTAAGGGAATAGGTTCAGGGAGCAAGGCAGATTTTAGGGATGCTTTAGGGAGTTCTGGGGAAATGGGGTCAATGGATGAGGCAGGTTATAGGAAGGATTTGTGGGCTCCTGAGGGAATAGGTTCAGGAAGTAAGGCAGGTTTTAGGGATGGTTTAGGGAGTTCTGTAGAAATGGGGTCAGTGAATGAGGCAGGTTATAGGAAGGATTTGGGGGCTCCTGAGGGAATGGGTTCAGGGAGTAAGGCAGGTTTCAGGGATGGTTTAGGGGGTTCTGGAGAAATGGGGTCAGTGAATGAAGCAGGTTATAGGAAGGATTTGGGTGCTCCTAAGGGAATAGGTTCAGGGAGCAAGGCAGATTTTAGGGATGCTTTAGGGAGTTCTGGGGAAATGGGGTCAATGGATGAGGCAGGTTATAGGAAGGATTTGTGGGCTCCTGAGGGAATAGGTTCAGGAAGTAAGGCAGGTTTTAGGGATGGTTTAGGGAGTTCTGTAGAAATGGGGTCAGTGAATGAGGCAGGTTATAGGAAGGATTTGGGGGCTCCTGAGGGAATGGGTTCAGGGAGTAAGGAAGGTTTCAGGGATGGTTTAGGGGGTTCTGAAGAAATGGGGTCAGTGAATAAGGCAGGTTATAGGAAGGATTTGGGGGCTCCTAAGGGAATGGGTTCAGGGAGTAAGGAAGGTTTCAGGGATGGTTTAGGGGGTTCTGAGGAAATGGGGTCAATGGATGAGGCAGGTTATAGGAAGGATTTGGGGGCTCCTGAGGGAATAGGTTCAGGGAGTAAGGCAGGTTTCAGGGATGGTTTAGGGGGTTCTGAAGAAATGCGGTCAATGGATGAGGCAGGTTATAGGAAGGATTTGGGGGCTCCTGAGAGAATAGGTTCAGGAAGTAAGGCAGGTTTTAGGGATGGTTTAGGGAGTTCTGTAGAAATGGGGTCAGTGAATGAGGCAGGTTATAGGAAGGATTTAGGGGCTCCTAAGGGAATGGGTTCAGGGAGTAAGACAGGTTTCAGGGATGGTTTAGGGGGTTCTGAAGAAATGGAGTCAATGGATGAGGCAGGTTATAGGAAGGATTTGGGGGCTCCTGAGGGAATAGGTTCAGGAAGTAAGGCAGGTTTTAGGGATGGTTTAGGGAGTTCTACAGAAATGGGGTCAGTGAATGAGGCAGGTTATAGGAAGGATTTGGGGGCTCCTAAGGGAATGGGTTCAGAGAGTAAGGCAGGTTTTAGGGATGGTTTAGGGAGTTCTGGGGAAATGGGGTCAATGGATGAGGCAGGTTATAGGAAGGATTTGGGAGCTCCTGAGGGAATGGGTTCAGGGAGTAAGGCAGGTTTCAGGGATGGTTTAGGGGGTTCTGAAGAAATGGGGTCAGTGAATAAGGCAGGTTATAGGAAGGATTTGGGGGCTCCTAAGGGAATGGGTTCAGGGAGTAAGGCAGGTTTCAGGGATGGTTTAGGGAGTTCTGGGGAAATGGGGTCAATGGATGAGGCAGATTATAGGAAGGATTTGGGAGCTCCTGAGGAAATGGGTTCAGGCAGTTACACAGATTACAGGAATGGTTTAGGCAGTTCTGGAAAAATCAGTTCAGGGGATGAGGCAGGTTATAAGAATGTTTTAGGGGGTTCTGGGAGGAATCCATTAGGGAGCGAGGCAGGTTCTAGGGGTAGTTTGGAGGATTCTGGGTACATTTTGTCATGGAATGAGGCAGGTTCTAGGCAAGGCTTTGGGGGAACTAGTGGCATGGGGTCAGGGAGTGAGGTCAGTTATAGAGGAGGCTCAGGAGGATCTGGGGAAACGGGACCAGAGGGTAAGATGGGTTATGGAGATGGTTCAGGGAGGCTTGGAGTACCAGGCTCACTGGCTGGAATAGGACATGAGGCTGGACCCAGAGGCCATAAAGCCATGGGTCACAGGTCAGGATATTGGGTAGCATCAGAGGGTGACACGAACTCCAAGGATGGTCCAGAGCGAGCCAGGGAAACCAGGCTTGTGGATGGGGCAGGACCTGGGGTGGAACCTGGGATGGCTGGAATGCCAGGCACTGCAGGTGGCATGGCACACAGAGACAGCCTCAGGGGCACAGGGGTGCTGGGGTCTCAGGGAGGGCGACAGACTCTTTCAGATGAGCGAGGCTCCACCAAAGATCTTGGGGGCTATGGAACTTCAGGGATCCCTGAGGCCTCGGAGGCTGCTGGTGCCAAGGGAAAACCAGATGTCAAAGAATGGCAAGACAGTTCTGGGACTCCAGGGTCTTCTAGAGACAGAGGGGCTCCCAGGGTGAAGGATAGGTCTCCAGACCAAGCAGGGATAATGGGGGCTTCTGGGTTTCTTGATGGCAAGGGGGCAGTGGAAGGTGAGACCTGGGCAGGAATGGCTGCTCTAGGGTCTGGATATGAACGGGACATCTGGAAAGCAGGCCCAGGAATGACAGACAGGGGTAGAGTTGCTGGCCAGGGGGGGTTGGCATCTCAGGGAGGTGGGGACTCACTTTTGGGAGGCAGAAGGGTAGGCTCAGGGAGTTCAGTGGGGACAGGTCAGGATCTGGACAGCGGCTCTATGCCTGGGGGAAGGGGCAAGTCAACATCAGGGCCTGCTGATAGACAAGGGACGAGCAATGCTTGGGCTCCTGATTGGGAAAACCAGGGGTTTAGCCAAGGCAGCATAGATGCTGGGAAGCAGCCCGCAGGCTCCAGAGCTTCCGGTTCTCTGCAGGAGAAAGATGCCGCTTTTGGTGGGACCCATGAAGGGCCAGGGGGCTTTAAGGGTGGGGAGGGTGCACCAGGCCAAGAGGCGGCTGGTGGATGCCGAAGCCCATGGTCCCTGGATAGCAAAGGTTCAAGTCCTGGAAGGGGCAGTTCTGTTGATGCAGAGGACTCAGGTATCCTGGGCAAGGGGAATTCTACTGAGTGGGGGAATGCCCTCACCCCAAAACCTGGGGAGTCCGGACCTCAGGGAGCCTGGAATGGCTTAGATGGTCCCTTTGGCAGAAAAGCCTCTAGAGATAGGTCAGGAGGGACCCAGGACCTGAGCTCTCAGCGAGGCAAGGGACAGAGAGGAGGAAAGAGGTCCCTCGGGGAGCAGGGGTCCCTGGAGGCTGAGAATGGTGAGGTCCAGGGTCCTGGGGCCCTAAAGGAGGATGAAGGGCAGGGAGTGGAAGAGGCTGGGAGGTCAGGCAGGAGGCCTGGCTCACTCAGGAGCAGGTCTCAGGCACAGTCAGGGGCTGAGGTTGGAGGAGGAAAGAGAAGGGGAGCAGACGAGGCTGGAAGCATGGGGTGGCAGCCTATGGGAGAGAACTGGGGGTGCCTGGAGGAGATGCTGAATGAAGATCAGAGCCGGGAGCCCCCTGGTCACCTTGGTAGCAGGAGAAGTGGCAAAGACGGCAGGTTGGACATCTATGGAGAGAGGAGAGATGCTACCCGGAGTTCCACATCCAGATACAAGCCTGGCACTGGCAGTTTCTCCAAGGATGCCCAAGGTAGGTGCTTCTCTGCTGAGCTGGCTCCCATGGGCTAGAGACAGTGGGGAGCTCCCTGGCCACTGGGATGCTTGGGTCTGTCCCAGTTCTGCCTCCAGCCCCAGGAGTTTGTCCCTGCCAGTGCTCCCCATTCTCAGGAATCTTTTGCAAATTTAGGAAGCAACCTCTTCCTCTTTACGCAGATGGGGTCCAGCCTGTGAGAGGCTCAGAGGTCTCCTAGGTATCTGCTCTTGAAACCTTATGTCCACAGCACCAGAGTTGTTGACCCAACTCTCTGTGGGTTACCAGACTTCTCACCTGTGGCGGGGGGGCCCTTCATATACCTTACACCCCAGGTCTCCTGGACCAGCCTAGGTCCTGCTGAGAAAAGCAGCAATGCTTGGGCTCCTGTCTGGGAAGACCAGGGCATTGGAGCCAAGATAGCATAGGTGCTGGGAACCAGCCCTGCTGACACCAGCCAAGCCCAGTTGGCAGGACCATGGTGGCCTTGCGGGGCACAGCGCAGGCCATGGCCTGGGGCGCTCGGCCCTGGGGATTCCCTCTGTGTCTCTCCAGGCCCCATGGGCCACTTCTCCCAGGGCCTGGCTGACATGGAAGTGCAGCCGGGGGAGGCCGCCACACTCTCCTGTACCCTCACCAGTGACCTGGGACCTGGCACCTGGTTTAAGGATGGCGTCAAGGTACTGCCTCCCCTCACACCTTCTCTTTACCAGTGGGAGGGACAGAGGTAAAGCAGAGAGGGGCAAGAGCGTAGAGGCTTTGAAAGAAAGATTTTTCATTCTTCATTTTGCTAATGTATCCACCTCAGGAGAAGTTTAAATAGCCAATAACTTGGTGTGTTTAAAATAAAATTGGATTTTTAAATGATGTGTATCCTATGCCCCTCAGCATACCCCTTGTTCTTCCACCATCCAAAATGCCTCTTCTATACCCATACCTGCTGAATCCTACCCATCCTTCAAGGCCTCGTACAAATGCCATCGTCTCATCCCAACCAGAAGGGGGCCCTCGTCTCCCTGCACAATCCTCTGTCCTCCATTAAAGCTGTCACCCCAAGAGACATCACAGTGACTCAGGGCATGGGGCTCAGTATCAGCTAAGTCTGGCTTCAGATCCCAGCTCTGCCACTACCAGTTATAAGACTTCAAGCAAGCTGGCAAACAGTCTGGCTTCCTCATCTATAAAGTGGGACAAATAATAGTACTTACTTCATAAGGCTGTTACGACAATTAAATAAGGTGCTAAGCACAGAGAGCATTGGCACACAATAAGCATTCCATTCACACAGCTGTTATCAGGATCCCAGCATCAGTAAAGGGCTCTGGTTAGCTGGCCTGAAGGAACTGGGATGGGAGTGGGGTGACCTTCTCCTGCTGTGGCCCTGTCTCCAGCTCACCACCCAGGATGGAGTCATCTTTAAGCAAGACGGTCTCGTGCACAGCCTCTTCATCACGCATGTGCAGGGGACCCAAGCTGGGAGGTACACCTTTGTAGCTGGTGACCAGCAGAGCGAGGCCACCCTGACCGTCCAGGGTAAGGCCCAGCCCTGCCCTGCCCTGCCCTGTCCTGTCCCACAGTCTCTTTGTACCAGGTGATATGCCTTGCTTTAAAACACCTGAATTTGTGGCTAGTCTGCAGCCAGTATCTAATCTCATCCCCAGAGAAGATGATTTAAAAAGCCGACTCATACCCTGCCTATTCCAGCATCTTAGCTCTTTCCCTGTCAGGAAGTCCTTGGTGAGGTCTAAGCCTGGTCTCTTCTGCTGCAGATGAAGCCCCTTCCCCTTGTTTGTCCTCATGTGGTGGGGCAGGGGATTCCTTACTCTTCCCCCAAACTTCCTTCTCTGGGTCCTCCTTTCTATATTCCCCAGGTGCCCAGTGCCCTGGTCTTCCTTGACTCTCTTGTTTTATTTCTAGATTCCCCTACCATTGCTCCAGATGTGACAGAGAAACTGAGAGAGCCACTGGTGGTCAAGGCTGGGAAGCCGGTGATAGTGAAGATCCCCTTCCAGAGCCACCTCCCCATTCAGGCTGCCTGGAGGAAGGACGGGGCTGAGGTGGTGGGCAGCAGTGACAGGGAGGCCCAGGTGGACCTGGGGGATGGCTACACGCGGCTGTGCCTCCCCAGCGCAGGCAGGAAGGACTGTGGCCAGTACAGCGTGACACTGAGGAGTGAGGGAGGCTCTGTGCAGGCCGAGCTCACTCTGCAAGTCATAGGTACCAGCCCTGTCTTCCCCCAACTAAGGCCTGAGAGTCCCTGGGGTTCTGGGCCCTCCCTGCCATCAAGGGCAGGCCTGGGATATGATCTCTGCTGGCTCTGATCCTCATTTGCATGCTGTTTAAGATCCAGACCTACCACTAACTCTGCTCAGACTGCTTAGGAAGAAGCAGTTGAGATGAACACAGTGCTGGGCTCCTGCTGGGGGGGAGGAGCCGGTTATGCTTCTCTGACCCCAATACACTGGGCCCTCAGGAAGTTGCTGGGTAGGATGGTGGTCCCCAGCCCTGAGTGGTGCCAGCAAGGTAGGACTGCTCTTGGCCGAGCAGGTGCCCATACCAGCCACCGGACGGTGGGGCCGGGAGGGGCTGGTGCATTCCATGGCACATCCCTGGGTGCATGTGTGTGTTGGGGGTGGAGACATCTCAAGAATGTGTGGCCCTCTGGGTAATGCCCAAGGCTCTCTGGACAGTCTGCCCCATTGCAGGCTTATCTGCTGATGAGTGGATGGGGGTGGGGGGGAGTCGGGGTGGCGGGGAGTTGGGGGGGTTGGCGCTGCTCCCCTCCAGCTCCTCTGACCCCTCCTCTTCCCGCTCCTCTCTGTGGGTCCCCAGACAAGCCTGATCCCCCACAAGGCCCCATGGAGGTTCAGGATTGCCATAGGGCTGGCGTCTGCCTCCGCTGGCGGCCCCCAAGGGACAATGGGGGCCGGACTGTAGAGTGCTACGTGGTGGAGAGACGGCAGGCTGGCAGGAGCACTTGGCTGAAGGTGGGCGAGGCCCCCGCTGACAGCACCACCTTCACGGATGCCCATGTGGAGCCAGGCAGGAAGTATACCTTCCGAGTGCGGGCTGTGACCTCAGAGGGGGCTGGCGAGGCCCTGGAGTCTGAGGAGATATTGGTGGCTCCTGAGGGTGAGAGAAAAGGCTGGGGCTGGGGGTGGGGGACACTCCTGGGCTCCCCACTGTGCCGAGGAGGGCAGGCTGTCCCAGAGGCTGAGTGACACCAGCCTGTGCTCGGGGCTTCGGAGGCCCTTCTGTAGCACTCTGGAGACTCCTTCCCTCAGCTGCATTTGGGATCTGGCACCCAGATCAGGAAGTGTTTTACAGAGTCTCCAGGAGTGAGGGTGTGGGCCAGCAAAGCCCACTGTCGCGGGTCCCAGGGAGAGAGGAGCATCCGCCTCCAACATCCTATCAGAGGACTGGAGGCTGAGGGGTCTCAGGGCTGGTTCTAGGCTCCGAGGCTGCAGTGCCTTCTCTGTCCTTTCGTTCCTTCCCTTGAATAGCCAGAACACTGACCTAGGGCGGGCTGCCTCAGCCCCGACACTCACCAGGACAGGGCGGAGTGTGGCCTGTCCCAGATGCCTGTGCCCCCTACCCCCAGGGGCTCCCCATGAGCCGGCACCTTTCCCAGGCCTCTGGCTGACTGGAATCTTTCTTACCCCCAGCTCTCCCCAAGGCCCCTTCCGCGCCAGCCATCCTGTCGGCCTCCAGCCAGGGCATCACACTGACATGGACAGCACCTCGGGGCCCCGGCAGCGCCCACATCCTGGGCTACCTGATCGAGAGGCGTAAGAAGGGGAGCAACACCTGGACGGCAGTGAACGACCAGCCGGTGCCTGGTGAGCATTGTCCTGGCTTCCAGAGCTTCCTTAGACCCCTCCTGGCTCCAGGATCCCAGGGACTTTTCAGTTCAGATTGGTTTAATACAGTCGTTCTCGTCTAGGGTGGTTTGGCAACGTCTGGAGATATTTTTCGTGGTCACAATGGGGTGGAGGGTAAATGTTACAGGCATCTAGTGCAAAGAGGTCGGGGATGCTGCAAAACCTCCTACAGTATACAGGACAGAGCCCACCTCCTCCTCTACAGGACAGAGCCCACCTCCTCCTCTCAAAAATCCCAAAGAAGAATCTGGCAAAAAAATTTCAATTGTGCTGAGGTGAAGAAGCCCTGATTCAGAAATCCCGGCTGAGAGCCAGAGATGAAGCTGTTAGCCCTGGCCCCTCTACTTCTGGCCTTGACCTTGGACAGTTCACTTCCTCTCTAGATCTGAATTTCCACATCCATAAAGTGGAGAGGAGGATCCCCTGCCCCACTAAGTAGTTTCCAAAGAAACAAACTGCATTCTGAGATCAGAAAGAACTTGGAAAAGCCAAAGGGCTGGGCAGATGCTGAAGGGTCTTGTGATAACCCTTAGCATTTCCTTGCTCTGCATGCGTGCTGCGGAAGTCCAGGTTTGAGGAGGAAAGAACAGGCTCGGAACAGCTTGCCAGGAGACCTGGATTCAGGTCATGGTTCTGCTACTTAGGAGCTGAGGCCTGTCAGGGCTTCAGTTTCCTTATCTCTAGAAAGAGAGAGATGAACATTCTCCCAATTTCACTATTTAGTGATTCTGCTTTATTTAAATATGACAGCAACTCTGTAAGGCAGAGACAACCAGGGAGATTAAGGTACTTGCCCAAGAACATCCAGCAAGTTAGTGGTGGAACCAGACAGGGATCAGAGGCTCCTGACGCCCTGAGCAGTGCTCTTTCCACCTTGGAGGGAACTGAGTCACAGCGGGTGGAGGGATGTAGGGAGGGATGTGTTAGGACCCCAGGCTTGGTCTCCTTCAGAACTTGGAGGCACCCAAGCTATCTCCCCATGTCCAGCACCATCAGGGTGGGACTCACATGGGCGGGCTGTTCACAGAGAGGAGGTGGACGGTGGCGGACGTGCGGCAGGGCTGTCAGTATGAGTTCCGGGTCACAGCTGTGGCTCCCTCAGGTCCCGGAGAGCCTGGACCTCCATCGGATGCTGTCTTTGCTCGGGACCCCATGAGTAAGTAGGGCACCAACCCAGGATGGGGGTGGAGGTGAGCATGGGATAGCCCTGAAGCTGGGTGGGACTTGATGGGAGGTCAAAGGTCACAGGTCGGGGCAGTCCTGAGGGAGATGGTCAGGAGGGCTGGGATATAAAAATCAAAAGGCCTCTCGGGTGAGCCACATCTTAGGGGCCCTACGTGAGCTCAAACAGGCCCAGAAGCCAGGCAGTGGGATTAGAGGATTCCTTCCCTGCCAAGTAATGGTTCATACTTGTAATCCTGGCACTTTGGGAGGCAGAGGCAGGAGGATTGCTTGAGCCCGGGAGTTTGAGGCTGCAGTGAACTATGATTGCACCACTGCACTCCAGCCTGCATGACAGAGGGAGACCCTGTTACAAAAAAAAAGAAAAGAAAAGAAAGAAGAAAAAAAAAAGCAGAGTCCTTTTCAAGATCACTTCACTCACTCTTTGGCCTCTAGGCAGGCCAGCCCCCAAGCTGGCCCACCTGCCCCAGTCTCATAAGCATCCACTCACCCTAGTGTTGCCCATCAGGCAGGGCGGAGGGCAGGTAACAGGGGAAGCTCAGCATCAATTCTCTATCCAATGAATATTTGCCCATCACCTACTAAATGGCCAGCATTGTGCCAGGAAGTAGGTAAATCAATCCTGGTCTCTGCCCTTGAGAAACTTATAGTCTGAGATAGCATTTTCTATCTGAGACCTGTGGTCTTGGGAACATGGAGTGTATTGAGAGATGCCAACAGACATTCTGAGAACAGGAACAGCAAAAAATGTCTGTGATTAAAGATGTGTATGATGTGAGCTTTTGATGTTTCCAAGTCCTGCAGGGGAAAAAAACCTGTCTAACCTTGATCCAAATCTAGCTTTTTCACAAAATACCTATTAAAAGCGTCACTCCAAGGCGTACAGCTTAGAAAATGCTGCTCTGTATTTCTCATCCCCTAATCAGTTTGCCTACGCCAAGTCCTCTAGGGAGCAGCACATTTCTGGCACTTGACGGATGGGCCAGGTGGTCAACACCTGGAGAGCATCTCTGTGCCCCACAGGGCCCAGCCCACTGCAGGTGTTCAGGCTGTTTGAATGAACCCAACAAGACCGAAACATTCTGTACATTTCATTGTTCAAGTGGTATCTGAGTTTTAGTCCTAGGAAGGGCAGGACATGGAATGGAGGGATGGGGGAGGAAAGCCGGCCCATGCAACTTACTCCTTGCAAATGGACCAAGCCTGTCCTATCTTTTCTTTTCTTCTCTGTTCTTTTCTTTTCTTTCTCTCTCTCCTTCCTTCTTTCTCTCTCTCCTTCTCTCTTTCTTTCTTTTTTCTGTCTGTCTGTCATTCTTTCTTTCTCTCTCTCTCTCCCCCTTCCTCCCTCCCTGTCTTCTTTCTTTCTCTTTCTGTTCTTTTTTTTCCTTTCTTTCTCTTTTTCTTTCTTTCTTTCTCTCTCCCCCTTCCTCCCTCCCTCTCTTCTTTCTTTCTCTCTCTCCCCCTTCCTCCCTCCCTCTCTTCTTTCTATCCCTTTCTTTCTCTCTCTCTCTCTCTCTCTAACAGGGTCCACTCTTTTACCCAGGCTGGAATGCAGTGATGCAATCTCGGCTCACTGCAGCCTTGAACTCCTGGCCTCAAGCAATCCTCCTGCCTCAGCCTCTTAAGCAGCTGGAACTATGAGCATGTGCCACCACACCCTGCTAATTTATCTTTTTGTAGAGACAGGGTCTCACTATATTGCCCAGGCTGGTCTTGAACTCCTGCTTTCAAGCTATCCTCCTGCCTCGGCCTCCTAAAGTGCTGGGATTACAGGCATGAGCCATGGGCCCACAGCCTGTTAATCTCTTTTATCAGTGGTGGGAAGTAGAGACAATAGATAGGATAAGCAGTGTCTAACAGTAGCCACAGCAATCACTACATTTTCTGGATTCTTGCTGCTAAGCAAGGCCCATGGCCCAGAAACATCATCTTATTAGAACTTATGAGAAATGCTGAATCTCAGGCCTCACCCCAGACCTACTGAATCAGGGTCTATATTTTTTACAAAAATCCCCAGGTAACTTCTATACTAATTAAAGTTTGAGAAGTACTGCCCTAGCCCAGTGGTTTTCAAACTTCATTGCATATGTAGAAACACCTGGAAAACTCTTAAAAATGTTGATGCCTAGACTGCACCCCAGACTAATTAAATCAGAATCTCTGGGGTGGCATCTAGGTGCCAGTATTTTTAAGCTCACCAGGTGATTCCAACGTGCAGCCAGACTTGAGGGCCAGAGCCCTTTCACACTCATTGTGCTTTTTGCTTGTTCTAAAACCTCTGTGGGTAGGTGGGGCTATTATTATTGTTCTCATGTAATAAGTGGAGAACAAGAAGCCTGCACTGAGTACCCAGAAGGCAGAGTCGTGACTCTAAGAGCTTAGAGTCCAGAATAAAAA
Source organism: Homo sapiens (assembly GCF_000001405.40). Taxonomy (NCBI): domain Eukaryota; kingdom Metazoa; phylum Chordata; class Mammalia; order Primates; family Hominidae; genus Homo; species Homo sapiens. The sequence continues at coordinate 201,221,082 of NC_000001.11, forward strand.
CACATGGAAGTCTAGTCATACGGGATAATGGAACCCAAGAGGTCATCAACTAAAATATCAGTTTTCAGGAATTACAGAAGGATAGTTAGGAGAAGGCATTTGGCAGGTTGGTGAATGAATGAGGGGAATGAGTTGAGGGAGGCTTCCTGGTGGAGGTGGCCTGGGATCTGTGTGCATAACGGAGACAAAGTGCTGGTTACAGTAAGAATTTGGAACAAGGTAGGTGCTTCAGGAAGAATCTAAAGGCAGAATTGCTAAGTGAAAACAATTCCCAGTCTCCCACAAGGAAGGCTAATCAATATCCACACTGAGTGGCCTCCCTCAGGAGATGCCATTCCTGACTCTCCCATGGTGCCTGGCAGGACCCCCTGGGCTGGTGAGGAATCTCCAAGTCACAGACAGATCGAACACCAGCATCACTCTGAGCTGGGCTGGGCCAGACACCCAGGAAGGGGATGAAGCCCAGGGGTATGTGGTGGAGCTGTGCAGCTCAGACAGTCTCCAGTGGCTCCCGTGCCATGTGGGCACCGTGCCAGTCACCACCTACACGGCCAAGGGGCTTCGGCCTGGAGAGGGCTACTTCGTGCGGGTGACAGCAGTTAATGAAGGAGGCCAGAGCCAGCCCAGTGCCCTGGACACATTAGTGCAAGCCATGCCTGTTACTGGTGAGTGCTGCCTCCTTCCCCGACCCCTGAGCCCTGCAGGCCTCTCCTAAGAGGGGGCCCCTGAGTAGCCGCAATGCACTTACTAAGCCAGGATCCCCACCCTCAGTTTCAGGAAGTAACATTTATTGAGCACCTACTAGGTGCTAGGTACTGGGCTAGGCAGTCCCTTCTTAGAAATGTTTTCTCATTACGACTCATAACTATACTACAATATTAATGTTTTTATTCCGAAGTTACAGAGAAGGAAACTGAGGTTCAAGGTACTTTGCCCTAGTTGTCACTAATGGTATGTGGTACAGCCAGGATTTAAACCTGGAGACTCCAAAGTTGATGTTCTGTAGGAGAGAGAGTGGCTGCTTCCCGGGCATGGCCTTCGAAGGCCTAAGGGCCGCTCAGCTCCCATGGTTCACGTTCAGAATGGGACATGCCCAGCTCCCCGTTATTATTGAAAAGAGGATTGTCTTTCCCTTTGGGCTTTAACCACCACAAGCACCTGATCTGCCTTTGACCCAAGCTGACACTGGGCCACCCCAGCTGACCCTAGTCATCACTATGGCAGTAGGGAGTCACAAACACAGCACACGGAGTCCAAAGTCCCAGAATCTTGTCCTGGCTCTCTCCCGAACAAGGTGTGACCTCAGGCAAGTCATTTCCTGTCTTAGATTGGTGTTTATCTCATCTGCAAAACATAAGCGCTCTGCCACATGTCTGCATCTTCCTCTGTTCCAGCCTAGTCCACCCCTCTCCCTGCAGGGTTCCTTTCTCAGCTCCTGTCCCTCCCCCGCTAGCATCTCCCCATCAGCCCCTGGGGTCTCCCCTGAAGATTCTGCTCCCAGCTGTACTCCAGTCCTTTAGAGGCCCCAGTATGTTGGGATCTCAGCATCAATCCGACTGGCCCAGTCTTCCCCTCCAGCCCTACCTTGCTGGGGACCTGGGGCTGGGGTCCAACTGTGAGGGAGGAGGGAGGTAACCAGTCCTCTTGTGCGTTTCAGTCTGTCCCAAGTTCCTCGTGGACTCCAGCACCAAGGACTTGCTGACAGTCAAGGTCGGGGACACAGTTCGTGTGCCCGTCTCCTTTGAAGTGAGTGTACCTGCAGGGGTGTGGGGAGGGAAGCCCAGAGAGGCCAAGGGGGCCAGACTCAGCCCTGTGGCTCTCTTTTCTTCCCTGTTCCTTTTTGGCCCCTAGTCAGTGCTTGTGGAAATCACTGACTGGGCTTGTGGAAATCAGGTGAGAGACATGAGGCAGGAAGGATTCAGGTCCTCCTTGAAGGTACTGCCCTCACTTGGCGGCTGGGTGGCCATTCTGCTCCAGGCCTGCAAATCCCTCTAGTGGTAGCTTCAGCTACTGCACCTCCAAACTAAGGCTCTTCGGTTCTCCACCTCTCCTAGTCTGGGAATTCAGGGAGCCGGTCGTGCAGATGATCCCCTTTGACTTCACAATGTATTTTTGTGCAAGCACATGACCTATATTTGACTCAGGGTGATCCTTAACCAACACCAACACCACCTGACTTTACAACAGTAGGGTGGTGGCTAAAAGTACAAACTGCCTGGGTTCAAATTTTGATGTCATCACTCACAGCCGTTTGACTTTGGACAAATATTATTTATTTATTTATTTATTTATTTATTTATTTATTTTGAGATGGAGTCTCACTCTGTCACCCAGGCTGGAGTGCAGTGGCACGATCTCGGCTTACTGCAACCTCCACCTCCCGGGTTCTAGCGATTCTCCTGCTTTAGCCTCCCAAGTAGCTGGGATTACAGGCGCATGCCATCACGCCCGGCTAATTTTTGTATTTTTAGTAGAGATGGGGTTTCGCCGTGTTGGCCAGGCTGGCCTCTCAAACTCCTGACCTCACGTAGTCTGCCCACCTCGGCCTCCCAAAGTGCTGGGATTACAAGTGTGAGCCACTGTGCCCAGCCAGAACAAATATCTTAACATCTCTGTGTTTCACCTTCCTCATCTGTCAAAAGGGGATAATAATAGTAACCTACCTCAAAGGTCTGAGGGTTCAAGGAATTAATATATTGAAAGTGTATATGTAGGGCCTGGCATATGACAGCACCCAATATGTTTTAATATTATTATTGTTTAAAATCATCATCATCTGTGTAGGAATTCAAACCAGTCTATCTTACTCTAAATGACTTGTTCTTAACCACAATAATGACAATGATAATGATGGCAAAAATATTTAATGCACATTGAGTAGTTACCATGTCCTAGGCCTTGTTCTCTCTGCTTTCCGTGTATTTATTATTAACGCCTTAAATTCTCAGAACAATCCTGTGAGGTCAGTTAGTGACTATCAGCATCTTCGTTTGACTCTGGTGCCCACCGTGCCCTGTACTGAGGGCCCCGTAGGGAGTTGACGGCATGGTCACCAAGCAGCTGGGCTGGCCTTCCCACCCTGCTCAGGGTCACCACAGTTCAAGGCCAGGACACCGCAATCTTCCTCCTAGACTATTGCCAAATTATCTCCTACATGGTCTTGGCTGCCAGGGTGGTTAACACTCCCCTCCCCACACATCCCTTCTCATTCCCATCCCACCCCCTGCCATGTGAATCCAGAACTCATTATGCTTTCCTGCTCAGAATCTGACAACAGCGGCTCCTGGCTGAGAGGATAATGTCCAGATGTCTGTAGAGGTGTGACGTGGAGGGCACTTTGCATTTTTGCCGAACCTCTTCGTCCAACTTCCTTTCTTGTTCTACCGCCCCCCTACCATACCCGCCTGCCAACCTCACACTTTATCACCACCCCTCTTTCCCACCTGTGTTTTCTTGTCGACGTTGTGTTTTCTGGTCGACTTTCTCCTTGTAGAAGACTCTTCTCACCGCTTCTACCTTTGGCCTAGCTTAAATGCCATCACCTCCATGAAACTGCCAGCTTCCCCTTCTCAACTTTTCCTTCCTCTCCTTTCTCAGGCCATGCCCATGCCTGAGGTGACCTGGCTGAAGGATGGCTTGCCCTTGCCCAAAAGAAGTGTGACTGTCACTAAGGATGGCCTCACCCAGCTTCTGATCCCTGTGGCTGGACTCTCAGACAGTGGTCTCTACACTGTGGTGCTGAGGACCCTGCAGGGGAAGGAGGTTGCCCACAGCTTCCGTATCAGGGTGGCAGGTGAGGCAGGCCTTGCTCTGGGCTCTGGACGCTGGCTCGGCCACTCACCAAGGCAAAGAGGTGTCCACTGGTCTGATCATAGGTCTCAGCCACTCTACCAGGGCTGGGTATGCAAAGTGACCATTCTCCACCTTTCCTCCATGCTTGATGATAGAAAGTAGAAAGGACCCCAGAAGATCCCCTGGGGACTTCCATTGTCCTTCTGCCTCAGGAGCCTAGAGACAGTCATGTCATGTCTCCTCTCCGACCTCAGTTATCCTTCCCGTTGAGTCAGTGAGCAGAGGCGGTTACCACTGTTACATCACTCCAAAGACCCAGGGGACAAAATTGTCTGCAGCCGTTGCACAGGATAAAGGCTTTCCTCCCCAGCTGTGGCTCCACACAGCCCCTGCCCTGGAGGAGCTTCTGGATATCCAGAAATGATCAAATAGACTAACAGTGGGGGCTCTGTAATGCAGCTTCATGAGAGCCCTGCCTCTGTCCAAAAATGCATGCCTTGTCCTGTGTCATTTTACTTAAAAACTGAAGTGAATTCAGTGAAACCCCATCTCTGCGAAAAATACAAAAAATTAGCCGAGCGTGGTGGTGGCCGCCTGTAGTCCCAGCTACTTGGGAGGCTGAGGCAGGAGAATGGCGTGAACCCGGGAGTTGGAGCTTGCAGTGAGCCGAGATCGTGCCACTGCACTCCAGCCTGGGTGACAGAGCCAGACTCCGTCTCAAAAAACAAACAAACAAACACACTGAAGTGAATTAAAATTACTCTTTTGGGGAGATTTTCTACCCTCTAGAGATAACTGTGGACCGCTGGCCAAGCTTACTCTGGGTCCAGCTACTTGTGTGGCAAGACTGCGTTCCCCAGGACCCTCAGAAGTCCTGGGACCTGGAGGGGGCTGGTAGCAGCCCTGCTGGGTCCCCTCCACGTGACCTCCCTCTGCCGTCTCTCCTGAAGCATGCCCGCAGGCCCCTGGGCCCATCCACCTGCAGGAGAACGTGCCTGGGACGGTGACGGCCGAGTGGGAACCCTCTCCTGACGAGGCCCAGGATGTCCCGCTGCACTACGCGGTGTTCACACGCTCCTCAGCGCACGGTCCCTGGCACGAGGCAGCCGACCGCATCCACACCAACCGCTTCACCCTCCTGGGCATCCTCCCCGGCCACGAATACCACTTCAGGGTGGTGGCCAAGAATGAGCTGGGGGCCAGCAAACCCTCGGACACCAGCCAGCCCTGGTGCATCCCCCGGCAGCGCGGTAAGCAGCCCCTGAGAGGGAGGAGCAGGCAGGGTGGGGGTTGCGCTCTGCAATGCAGTGGGATGCACCCAAGCATGGCAAGCGCGCAGGATAGGGACTGTGGCAGGGATGGCCTGGAGCATGCCAAATAACAGCCAGCAGCCCCGAGCTGCTGCTCCTCCCGCTCCTGCCTCACACCCACCTGTTCTGGCATCCTCTGCACCCCGACCTCCGTGGGAAGAATGAGATTGGTGTGGGTGTTTTGGTGTCTGAGGTGCCTTTGGGAGGATTTTCAAAAGCAGCCACAGACAATAAGGCAAATAGAGGTTAATGTTTCTCTGAAAACAAAGTGTATATTTTACCGCAAAGTAGATGTGGACCTTAAGATCAGTCACAGAAAAGCAGGCTATAAAATCAAATCAAGGTTTCATTTTCATAAAATACAAAAATTTCAGGAAAGCTCTACACCAGAATGTCAGCTATAGTCATCTATAGGTAGTGAGATTATGATTTGGTTTTTATTCTTTCTCCTTTGATTCTCTGTGTATTCTAATTGTCCACAGTGAATGTGTATTAGCTACAAAAAAAAATCCATAAAGAATTTTAGGAAAAGGATAGAATGAGGCAAGCCTTGGGGTCCAAATTTGCAGGCAAGATGTGGCAGGAAATCCCAGATAAGGCCTACATGGTAGCTTCATGAACTCTTTACCCAGACCCGGGTCTCAGCCAGGCCTTCCTCGCTTTCTCACCCTCTTCTCTCACCCCGGCTTTCACCACAGACAGGTTCACAGTGAAGGCTCCGTGCTACCGGGAGCCCGACCTGAGCCAGAAGCCCCGGTTCCTGGTGGGCCTGCGGTCCCACCTGCTGCCCCAGGGCTGCGAGTGCTGCATGAGCTGTGCCGTGCAGGGCTCGCCCCGGCCCCACGTCACCTGGTTCAAGAATGACCGCAGCCTGGAAGGAAACCCCGCGGTGTACAGCACTGACCTGCTGGGCGTGTGCTCCCTCACCATCCCCAGCGTATCCCCGAAGGACAGCGGGGAGTACAAGGCTGTGGCTGAGAACACGCTGGGCCAGGCAGTCAGCACTGCCACCCTCATTGTCATAGGTAATGGTGGCTGCCCTGGCAGTGGGGCAGGAAGGAGAGCCAGGAGAGCAACCACCTGCCTGTCAGGGAGGCTCCGGGGGGTGCCTAGAGGGATTCAGCCGGGAGTCAGGAGACCAGGACTCTCTGCCTGACTCTATGAACTTTCAGCTATTTAACCTACCAACACCGGCCCACATGTGGTCTTTATTTGCCCACTTTTTAAAAAATTTATTTTTATTTTTAGTTTTTTTTTTTTTGAGACGGAGTTTCGCTCTTGTTGCCCAGGTTGGAGTGCAATGGCATGATCTCGGCTCACTGCAGCCTCCACCTCCTGGATTCAAGAGATTCTCCTGCCTCAGCCTCCTGAATAGCTGGGATTACAGGCATCCGCCACCACACCTGGCGGATTTTTTTGTATTTTTAATAGAAGGGGGGTTTCATCATATTGGCCAGACTGGTCTCAAACTCCTGACCTCAGGTGATCCACCCGCCTCGGCCTCCCAAAGAGCTAGGATTACAGGTGTGAGCCACTGTGCCCGGCAGATTTGCCCACTTTTAAAATGAGGTATTTGAACTTGGTGAGCAACTCTTGATTGAAGGGCTGTGTACTGCTCACCTAAGCTTCCCAGTGGGGCCACGCTACACATTGCAGGCTGAGAGATGAACAGGCATCCGTATTGCTGTTTCTTAAGTATGTCAAGATATGAACACTTAGTGCCTAGAAAGCCATGCTGATTCTCTCATTGGTAGTCTCCTTTTCAGTAGCACAGATATATATGTTAATAAAGGTTTTTCCTTCGATAGTACTTAAAACACCTTATATTTTGAATAGCAATAAAAGGCAAGCCTCAATTGACCTTTGTGGAAAAACGGCCCCTTTGCACTGGAGCAGAGCATCTCTCCTCTCTGTAGCACCTGTGCTTAGGCATTTAGGAAGCCACTCTCGAAACACCCCAGCTTGTGTACACATGTAGTCCCGGAACGAAGATGGCATTGGGGGTGATTATGGTTCCCCGAGGGGCCAGCAAAGGGCTTTGCCCAAGCTTAGAGAGCACGTGGTGGCTCCAGATTTGAACCCACACCCCCTGATGGCAGAGCCTGTAGTCTAAGCCCCATTCTGAGTTTTCTTCACCACTGAACAGATGCAGGGTGGGGTGGCTGCCCCTCTGAACCAACTGGAATATCCTGTGTCTTGCAGAACCCAGCACCTAGCCTCACCTCACCCTGGGATGGTCCTGGACCCTTGAAGCTTCACTTCCGACACCTGCACTGGCCCGGGAAGCCAATCCCAAGGATGGAGGCTGTGCCCAGAGCCCCAGGAAAATGGGAGTGAGAAGATGCCTGGCGAGGTTTTGGCCAGGAGGACGTGAAGTCCTTGGGGAAGAAAAACAAGGGAGGAGGGCATTCCACCTCCTGGCTCCAAGCTAAGTCACTCAACAGAATGACAGCGAACCTCCTGGACCCTCACCATATGGGTTTCTTTCTTCTTCGCTTCAGGAGATCCAGAGGGCACCTGCCTGCAGGATGGGCCGGCTCCTTATTTTCCTGGGCTGAGCCGTTTGGAGGGAGGGTGGGCACAGCTGGGCCTGCTGTGACCACTGGGAGGGAAGAGGAGAGGAGGTCAGAGGACCTGGGTGAGGACTAGGGCATCAAGGTCGTGTGTGTGGGTGGGGGCAGCCTCCACCTCCTGGATTCAAGAGATTCCAGGGGTGCAGCAAGTGCTTTCTATGCGTTTCTTCATTAAAACATTAGGCTAATACAGGCAGATCATTGGCAAATTTACTTGGGGTGGGTGTGTTGGAGGAAAGATTTCCAAAGCGGAGCCTTTATTCCAGGCTTCAGTTGGGAGGATGGGTGGGTTCTGGATAGAGGAAGAACGGGCTCAGAACTGGACTCTTCTCCTGCAGCCCAGGCCTACATAGTTGATTGCAAGGGCGAGAAAGCCAAGAAGGGTTAGAGGGTAATGGAGAGGCTTCTCTTCCTCCTGGCCTTTGTTTCCTGCACTCTTCTGACTGGCAGAAATCCTGTGAGCAGCAGGGCTGGAGGCCTCCCCAGGTGTTACGTGTGTGGGGACCACAGGGCTGGGGTTGCCTAGGGTTGGCCTATGTCCGTCACTCCCCGGGACCAGAAAGAGTCTGAGTTGGGGAGAATCCTACTCCAGGATCTATGCCCCTGTCAGAAGGGGAAGAAAGAGGCTCTCAAGTGCATGAGGGTGACTCTCACTCAAGGCTGCATGAGGCCTCCTCACCTTCTTCACAGTCCCCACTGCCCCATGTCACAGGAGGGATGGGATGCCTCCCTTTCCCAGGTGGGTCACCCCACCACTGCCCCCAGAACTCTTGCACTCCATTATCCTCAAGGCATGGCCCCCAAACTCTCAGGCTCCCAGGAAATATTCCAGAGTTTCCAGGAGCCAAAAGAAAGGAAGGAGCCCCGGGGAAGGCTGAACCCCACTCTCTCCCAGGGCATCAGCTCTGAGGCCCAGCAGGTGACCCGATGAGCTAGAACACTGTCTGCCCTTCACTCCCTCTGCTCAGATCCTGGCTTCTGCTTCCCTCAGCCTCCCTTTGCCACTAACTGCAGGTCAGATGCATGAAGGAAGGAGGGTGAATCACAGGAGGAAGGGTTAATGCCAAAAATCTGTTTCTGAAGAGTGAGAATATGTGACCAAGGGAAGGTTCTCTGAACCGGAGAGAGAACTGTTCACCTAAAATAGACCAAGAGTGTCCCCCAGAGGCAGGGACACACACCAGACAACCTTTTATAGCTCATTCCTTCCCCTACCAAAGAAACCTGCATGAGCTGTTTTCCTTGGAATTTCTCTTGTTATCTCTACCTTGCTAACACAGCAGGCCAACACCATGGCCATAGGAAAAGAAGGAAGTTCTTAGAAACTGAGAGGCAGTGGCTGGACACCTCAGCCTGTGTGGGGCAGTTCTCATGAGTTCTTTCCATGCTGCACGGTCCTGGAGTTGAAGGAGGGCAGGGCCTCAGGCCAATAGTCTGTGGTTTCAGAAATGCAGAGAAGAGGTCGTTTGCACAGAGGGGGTGACCCAGTGCCTGTGGCATGCCTAGCTCTGAGCAGACACTCATATTGAGGATGAGAAGAGAGACCTTTCTGTACCTCTAAGGGTGGGCTACAGGGGACTGACCTATTGAGGCAATATAAGGACAAAAGACTATAACTCATGATGGCTTCATAAGACACCTTCATTTTTTTTTTATGAGCCTGGATCAGGCACTGTGGAGGCGGAGATGAAGATGACTCAGATATGAGTCCTATAGCCAAGGGATCCATGGCAGGGACGCAAGACTTGAATACCAAGAGCCATAATCCAAGGTAGCCTGTGATGCATATTCTAAGAAAGGCACCAATAAAGTCTAGAGGAGTTCAGAGGAGGAGAGATGCTGCAGACTGAGAACCTCAAGGAGGGCTTCGTAAAGTGGTAACATGCTTGAGGGAAAAGTAGCAACTGGACAGGCAGGAATGGGCAAGGGTGTATCACGGTGGAGAACACCATGAGCAAAGGCAAGGAGGTAGGGAAGCACAAATTGGGTTCGAGGGCTGGCAAATGGTTCAGATTAGACAATTCAGGGTGACCTATGTAGCTATCACAGCCCTTTGGTCTAATGCCAAAGGGAAACATTCTAGGACCAAATTTACAGGTGCATGTGTGCTCTGGGCGCCAACCACGATGGAGGTGGAGTTCCTGCCCTTGGAGGCCTGGGACAGTGGAAAGCAGTTGTCTCTTTTGGCAGTGGACAGCAGAGTGCCAATATCCTGGGGCAGGCCAAGTTAGGTGTCCCTGGGAGGGGCTAGCATACTTCTGTAACTGGGGTGGGATATGAAGACAAAAGGAATGGTCATGGCATTTTCATTCATTTCCACACAAAGCCAAAAAAAGTCCCTGCCAGTCAAGTATAGAATCTGAGCGTATCTCAAAATAATAAGAGCTATTTGTGACAAACCCACAGCCAATATCATACTGAATGGGCAAAAACTGGAAGCATTCCCTTTGAAAACTGGCACAAGACAAGGATGCCCTCTCTCACCACTCCTATTCAACATAGTGTTGGAAGTTCTGGCCAGGGCAATCAGGCAAGAGAAAGAAATAAAGGGTATTCAATTAGGAAAAGAGGAAGTCAAATTGTCCCTGTTTGCAGATGACATGATTGTATATCTAGAAAACCCCATTGGTTCAGCCCGAAATCTCAAGCTGATAAGCAACTTCAGCAAAGTCTCAGGATACAAAACCAATGTACAAAAATCACAAGCATTCCTATACACCAATAACAGAAAAACAGAGAGCCAAATCATGAGTGAACTCCCATTCACAATTGCTACAAAGAGAATAAAATACCTAGGAATCCAACTTACAAGGGATATGAAGGACCTCTTCAAGGAGAACTACAAACCACTGCTCAATGAAATAAAAGAGGACACAAACAAGTGGAAAAACACTCCATGCTCATGGATAGGAAGAATCAGTATTGTGAAAATGGCCATACTGCCCAAAGTAATTTATAAATTCAATGCCATCTCCATCAAGCTACCAATGACTTTCTTCACAGAATTGGAAAAAACTACTTTAAAGTTCATATGGAACCAAAAAAGAGCCCACATATCCACAATCCTAAGCAAAAAGAACAAAGCTGGAAGTGTCATGCTACCTGACTTCAAACTATACTACAAGGCTACAGTAACCAAAACAGCATGGTACTGGTACCAAAACAGAGATATAGACCAATGGAACAGAACGGAGGCCTCAGAAATAGCACCACACATCTAAAACCATCTGATCTTTGACAAACCTGAGAAAAACAAGAAATGGCAAAAAGATTCCCTATTTAATAAATGGTGCTGGAAAAACTGGCTAGCCATATGTAGAAAGCTGAAACTGGATCCCTTCCTTACACCTTATACAAAAATTAATTCAAGATGGATTAAAGACTTAAATGTTAGACCTAAAACCATAAAAACCCTAGAAGAAAACCTAGGCAATATCATTCAGGACATAGGCATGGGCAAAGATTTCATGACTAAAACACCAAAAGCAATGGCAACAAAAGCCAAAACAGACAAATGGGATCTACTTAAACTAAAGAGCTTCTGCACAGCAAAAGAAACTACCATCAGAGTGAACAGGCAACCTATATAATGGGAGAAAATGTTTGCAATCTACCCATCTGACAAAGGGCTAATATCCAGAATTTAAAAGGAACTTAAACAAGTTTACAAGAAAAAAACAAACAAGCCCATCAAAAAGTGGGCAAAGGATATGAACAGACACTTCTCAAAAGAAGACATTTAGGTAGCCAACAAACACGTGGAAAAATGCTCATCATCTCTGGTCATCAGAGAAATGCAAATCAAAACCACAATGAGATACCATCTCATACCAGTTAGAGTGGCGATCATTAAAAAATCAGGAAACAACAGATGCAGGAGAGGATGTGGAGAAATAGGAACACTTTTACACTGTTGGTGGGAGTGTAAATTACACTGTTGGTTGGTGGGTGGGAGTTCAACCATTGTGGAAGACAGTGTGGTTATTCCTCAAGGATCTAGAACTAGAAATACCATTTGACCCAGCGATCCCATTACTGGGTATATACCCAAAGGATTATAAATCATGCTACTATAAACACATATGCATACGTATGTTTATTGCAACACTATTCACAATAGCAAAGACTTGGAACCAACCCAAATGTCCATCAATGATAGACTGGATTAGGAAAATGTGGCATATATACACCATGGAATACTATGCAGCCATAAAAAAGGATGAGTTCATGTCCTTTGCAGGGACATGGGTGAAGCTGGAAACCATCATCCTCAGCAAACTATCACAAGGACAGAAAACCAAACACTGCTTGTTCTCACTCACAGGTGGGAATGGAACAATGAGAAAACTTGGACAGAGGGTGGGGAACATCACACATGAGGGCCTGTTGGAGGGTGGGGGGCTGGGGGAGGGATAGCATTAGGAGAAATAGCTAATGTAAATGACGAGTTGATGGGTGCAGCAAACCAACATGGCACATGTATACCTATGTAACTAACCTGCATGTTGTGCACATGTACCCTAGAACTTAAAGTATAATGAAAAAAAAAAAGCATCTAAGCATAAGTTTAAGGGTTTAAAGACTAGTTCCACTACTAACTAGTTGCGCAAGATCTTTAACCTATCTATGCCTTGTTCCTCATTTGTAAATTAAGAATAGGAGTTGCCTAATCAAGGTCACAAAGATTTTTCTCCTGTTTTCTTCTAGAAGTGTTATGGTTTTACTTCTTGCATTTCATTCTATGCATTTTAAGTTAATTTTTGTATGTGGTGTGTGTGGTGTGAGGTATTAAGAGTCAAGCTGGGGGGTTTTTTTTTGTCAGAGTTTCTTTTTCTCCATTGAATTACCTTGGAATGCTTGTTGAAAGTCAATTGACCATACATGTGTGGGTCGTCTTAGACTCTTTATTACTTACTCCTCTTCTATTTTCTGGAAAAGTTTGTTTAGAGTTGATGTTACATCTTCGTTAAATGTTTGGTAGAATTTACCAATAAAGCCACTGGACCTGGAGTTTTGTTTGTGGGAAGGATTTGACCTCAGATTCAATTTTTTCAACAAATATATAGGGCTATCCAAGCTACCAGTGACTTCCTGAATGAACTTTGATAACTTGCGACTTTTAAAGAATTTGTCAATTTCATCTACATTGTTGAATTTGTTGGTACAAAGTTGTTTATAATATTCCCTTATAATCATTTTACTATCTGTAGGCTCTGTAGTGATATCCTCTTTCATTCTTCATAGTAGAAACATGTATCTTCTTTTTATTCTTAATCTGTTACCTCATTATCTTTTCTCACTTATCTTTTTTTTTCATTTCACAGTTCCTTTCATTTTCTTTTTTTATTTTTATTTTATTATTATTATACTTTAAGTTTTAGGGTACATGTGCACAATGTGCAGGTTAGTTACATATGTATACATGTGCCATGCTGAGGTGCTGCACCCATTAACTCGTCATTTAGCATTACGTATATCTCCTAATGCTATCCCTCCCCTCTCCCCCCACCCCACAACAGTCCCCAGAGTGTGATGTTCCCCTTCCTGTGTCCATGTGTTCTCATTGTTCAGTTCCCACCTATGAGTGAGAACATGCGGTGTTTGGTTTTTTGTCCTTGCGATAGTTTACTGAGAATGATGATTTCCAATTTCATCCATGTCCCTACAAAGAACATGAACTCATAATTTTTTATGGCTGCATAGTATTCCATGGTGTATATGTGCCACATTTTTTTAATCCAGTCTATCATTGTTGGACATTTGGGTTGGTTCCAAGTCCTTGCTATTGTGAATAGTGCCGCAATAAACATACGTGTGCATGTGTCTTTATAGCAACATGATTTATAGTCCTTTGGGTATATACCCAGTAATGGGATGGCTGGGTCAAATGGTATTTCTAGTTCTAGATTCCTGAGGAATCGCCACACTGACTTCCACCATGGTTGAACTAGTTTACAGTCCCACCAACAGTGTAAAAGTGTTTCTATTTCTCCACATCCTCTCCAGCACCTGTTGTTCCCTGACTTTTTAATGATTGCCATTCTAACTGGTGTGAGATGGTATCTCATTGTGGTTTTGATTTGCATTTCTCTGATGGCCAGCGATGATGAGCATTTTTTCATGTGTTTTTTGGCTGCATAAATGTCTTCTTTTGAGAAGTGTCTGTTCATGTCCTTTGCCCACTTTTTGATGGGGTTGTTTGTTTTTTTCTTGTAAATTTGTTTGAGTTCATTGTAGATTCTGGATATTAGCCCTTTGTTGATGAGTAGGTTGCAAAAATTTTCTCCCAATTTGTAGGTTGCCTGTTCACTCTGATGGTAGTTTCTTTGCTGTGCAGAAGCTCTTTAGTTTAATTAGATCCCATTTGTCAATTTTGGCTTTTGTTGCCATTGCTTTTGGTGTTTTAGACATGAAGTCCTTGCCCATGCCTATGTCCTGAATGGTAATGCCTAGGTTTTCTTCTAGAGTTTTTATGGTTTTAGGTCTAACATTTAAGTCTTTAATCCACCTTGAATTAATTTTTGTATAAGGTGTAAGGAAGGGATCCAGTTTCAGCTTTCTACATATGGCTAGCCAGTTTTCTCAGCACCATTTATTAAATAGGGAATCCTTTCCCCATTGCTTGTTTTTCTCAGGTTTGTCAAAGATCAGATAGTTGTAGATATGTGGCATTACTTCTGAGGGCTCTGTTCTGTTCCATTGATCTATATCTCTGTTTTGGTACCAGTACCATGCTGTTTTGGTTACTGTAGCCTTGTAGTATAGTTTGAAGTCAGGTAGCGTGATGCCTCCAGCTTTGTTCTTTTGGCTTAGGATTGACTTGGCGATGCGGGCTCTTTTTTGGTTCCATATGAACTTTAAAGTAGTTTTTTCCAATTCTGTGAAGAAAGTCATTGGTAGCTTGATGGGGATGGCATTGAATCTATAAATTACCTTGGGCAGTATGGCCATTTTCATGATATTGATTCTTCCTACCCATGAGCATGGAATGTTCTTCCATTTCTTTGTATCCTCTTTTATTTCCTTGAGCAGTGGTTTGTAGTTCTCCTTGAAGAGGTCCTTCACATCCCTTGTAAGTTGGATTCCTAGGTATTTTATTCTCTTTGAAGCAATTGTGAATGGGAGTTCACTCATGATTTGGCTCTCTGTTTGTCTGTTATTGGTGTATAAGAATGCTTGTGATTTTTGTACATTGATTTTGTATCCTGAGATTTTGCTGAAGTTGCTTATCAGCTTAAGGAGATTTCGGGCTGAACCAATGGGGTTTTCTAGATATACAATCATGTCATCTGCAAACAGGGACAATTTGACTTCCTCTTTTCCTAATTGAATACAATTTATTTCCTTCTCCTGCCTAATCGCCCTGGCCAGAACTTCCAACACTATATTGAATAGGAGTGGTGAGAGAGGGCATCCCTGTCTTGTGCCAGTTTTCAAAGGGAATGCTTCCAGTTTTTGCCCATTCAGTATGATATTGGCTGTGGGTTTGTCATAGATAGCTCTTATTATTTTGAGATACATCCCATCAATACCTAATTTATTGAGAGTTTTTAGCATGAAGCGTTGTTGAATTTTGTCAAAGGCCTTTTCTGCATCTATTGAGATAATCATATGGTTTTTGTCTTTGGCTCTGTTTATATGCTGGATTACATTGATTGATTTGCATATATTGAACCAGCCTTGCATCCCAGGGATGAAGCCCACTTGATCATGGTGGATAAGCTTTTTGATGTGCTGCTGGATTCGGTTTGCCAGTATTTTATTGAGGATTTTTGCATCAATGTTCATCAAGGATATTGGTCTAAAATTCTCTTTTTTGGTTGTGTCTCTTCCCGGCTTTGGTATCAGGATGATGCTGGCCTCATAAAATGAGTTAGGGAGGATTCCCTCTTTTTCTATTGATTGGAGTAGTTTCAGAAGGAATGGTACCAGTTCCTCCTTGTACCTCTGGTAGAATTCGGCTGTGAATCCATCTGGTCCTGGACTCTTTTTGGTTGGTAAGCTATTAATTATTGCCACAATTTCAGAGCCTGTTATTGGTCTATTCAGAGATTCAACTTCTTCCTGGTTTAGTCTTGGGAGGGTGTATGTGTCAAGGAATTTATCCATTTCTTCTAGATTTTCTAGTTTATTTGTGTAGAGGTGTTTGTAGTATTCTCTGATGGTAGTTCGTATTTCTGTGGGATTGGTGGTGATATCCCCTTTATCATTTTTTATTGCGTCTATTTGATTCTTCTCTCTTTTCTTCTTTATTAGTCTTGCTAGTGGTCTATCAATTTTGTTGATCCTTTCAAAAAACCAGCTCCTGGATTCATTAATTTTTTGAAGGGTTTTTTGTGTCTCTATTTCCTTCAGTTCTGCTCTGATTTTAGTTATTTCTTGCCTTCTGCTAGCTTTTGAATGTGGTTGCTCTTGCTTTTCTAGTTCCTTTAATTGTGATGTTAGGGTGTCAATTTTGGATCTTTCCTGCTTTCTCTTGTGGGCATTTAGTGCTATAAATTTCCCTCTACACACTGCTTTGAATGTGTCCCAGAGATTCTGGTATGTTGTGTCTTTGTTCTTGTTGGTTTCAAAGAACATCTTTATTTCTGCCTTCATTTCGTTATGTACCCAGTAGTCATTCAGGAGCAGGTTGTTCAGTTTCCATGTAGTTGAGCGGTTTTGAGTGAGTTTCTTAATCCTGAGTTCTAGTTTGATTGCACTGTGGTCTGAGAGACAGTTTGTTATAATTTCTATTCTTTTACATTTGCTGAGGAGAGCTTTACTTCCAACTATGTGGTCAGTTTTGGAATACGTGTGGTGTGGTGCTGAAAAAAATGTATACTCTGTTGATTTGGGGTGGAGAGTTCTGTAGATGTCTATTAGGTCCGCTTGGTGCAGAGCTGAGTTCAATTCCTGGGTATCCTTGTTAACTTTCTGTCTCTTTGATCTGTCTAATGTTGACAGTGGGGTGTTAAAGTCTCCCATTATTATTGTGTGGGAGTCTAAGTCTCTTTGTAGGTCACTCAGGACTTGCTTTATGAATCTGGGTGCTCCTGTATTGGGTGCATATACATTTAGGATAGTTAGCTTTTCTTGTTGAATTGATCCCTTTACCATTATGTAATGGCCTTCTTTGTCTCTTTTGATCTTTGTTGGTTTAAAGTCTGTTTTATCAGAGACTGGGATTGCAACCCCTGCCTTTTTTTGTTTTCCATTTGCTTGGTAGATCTTCCTCCATTTTTTTATTTTGAGCCTATGTGTGTCTCTGCACGTGAGATGGGTTTCCTGAATACAGCACACTGATGGGTCTTGACTCCTTATCCAATTTGCCAGTCTGTGTCTTTTATTTGGAGCATTTAGTCCATTTACATTTAAAGTTAATATTGTTATGTGTGAATTTGATCCTGCCATTATGATGTTAGCTGGTTATTTTCTCCTTAGTTGATGCAGTTTCTTCCTAGTCTCGATGGTCTTTACATTTTGGCATGATTTTGCAGCGGCTGGTAATGGTTGTTCCTTTCCATGTTTAGCGCTTCCTTCAGGAGCTCTTTTAGGGCAGGCCTGGTGGTGACAAAATCTCTCAGTATTTGCTTGTCTGTAAAGTATTTTATTTCTCCTTCACTTATGAAGCTTAGTTTGGCTGGAGATGAAATTCTGGGTTGAAAATTCTTTTCTTTAAGAATGTTGAATATTGGCCCCCACTCTCTTCTTTGTAGAGTTTCTGCCGAGAGATCAGCTGTTAGTCTGATGGGCTTCCCTTTGTGGGTAAGCTGACCTTTCTCTCTGGCTGCCCTTAACATTTTTTCCTTCATTTCAACTTTGGTGAATCTGACAATTATGTGTCTTGGAGTTGTTCTTCTCGAGGAGTATCTTTGTGGCGTTCTCTGTATTTCCTGAATCTGAATGTTGGCCTGCCTTGCTAGATTGGGGAAGTTCTCCTGGATAATATCCTGCAGAGTGTTTTCCAACTTGGTTCCATTCTCCCCGTCACTTTCAGGTACACCAATCAGACGTAGATTTGGTCTTTACACATAGTCCCATATTTCTTGGAGGCTTTGTTCATTTCTTTTTATTCTTTTTTCTCTAAACTTCCCTTCTCACTTCATTTCATTCCTTTCATCTTCCATCACTGATACCCTTTCTTCCAGTTGATCGCATTGGCTCCTGAGGCTTCTGCATTCTTCACGTAGTTCTCGAGCCTTGGCTTTCAGCTCCATCAGCTCCTTTAAGCACTTCTCTGTATTGGTTATTCTAGTTATACATTTGTCTAAATTTTTCTCAAAGTTTTTAACTTCTTTGCCTTTGGTTTGAATTTCCTCCTGTAGCTCGGAGTAGTTTGATCGTCTGAAGCCGCCTTCTCTCCACTCGTCAAAGTCATTCTCTGTCCAGCTTTGTTCCGTTGCTGGTGAGGAACTGCATTCCTTTGGAGGAGGAGAGGCACTCTGCTTTTTAGAGTTTCCAGTTTTTCTGCTCTGTTTTTTCCCCATCTTTGTGGTTTTATCTACTTTTGGTCTTTGATGATGGCGATGTACAGATGGGTTTTTGGTATGGATGTCCTTTCTGTTTGTTAGTTTTCCTTCTAACAGACAGGACCCTCAGCTGCAGGTCTGTTGGAGTTTGCTAGAGGTCCACTCCAGACCCTGTTTGCCTGGGTATCAGCAGTGGTGGCTGCAGAACAGCAGATTTTTGTGAACCACAAATGCTGCTGGCTGATCGTTCCTCTGAAAGTTTTGTCTCAGAGGAGTACCCGGCCGTGTGAGGTGTCAGTCTGCCCCTACTGGGGGGTGCCTTCCAGTTAGGCTGCTCAGGGATCAGGGGTCAGGGACCCAGTTGAGGAGGCAGTCTGACCATTCTCAGATCTCCAGCTGCGTGCTGGGAGAACCACTGCTCTCTTCAAAGCTGTCAGACAGGGACATTTAAGTCTGCAGAGGTTACTGCTGTCTTTTTGTTTGTCTGTGCCCTGCCCCCAGAGGGGGAGCCTACAGAGGCAGGCAGGCCTCCTTGAGCTGTGGTGGGCTTCACCCAGTTCGAGCTTTCTGGCTGCTTTGTTTACCTAAGCAAGCCTGGGCAATGGCGGGCGCCTCTCCCCCAGCCTCGCTGCCACCGTGCACTTTGATCTCAGACTGCTGTGCTAGCAATCAGTGAGACTCCATGGGCGTAGGACCCTCCAAGGCAGGTGTGGGATATAATCTCCTGGTGCACCGTTTTTTAAGCCCGTCAGAAAAGCGCAGTATTAGGGTGGGAGTGACCCGATTTTCCAGGTGCCGTCTGTCACCCCTTTCTTTGACTAGGAAAGGGAACTCCCTGACCCCTTGCACTTCCTGAGTAAGGCAATGCCTCGCCCTGCTTTGGCTCACACACGGTGCGCTGCACCCACTGTCCTGCGCCCACTGTCTGGCACTCCCTAGTGAGATGAACCTGGTACCTCAGATGGAAATGCAGAAATCACCCGTCTTCTGCATTGCTCATGCTGGGAGCTGTAGACTGGAGCTGTTCCTATTCGGCCATCTTGGCTACCCTCCCCTTAGTTATCTTTTGACTTGCAATTTTTGTTGAAATGTCAGCTATCATTCTTATCTTTGTTCTTAGGTACAAAGAACACTTCTCTCTGCTTTTAATATTTTCTCCTTATCAGCAATTTAATTACAATATATCTTGGAGGGATTTTCTTTGTGATTATTCACCTTGTGGGGTTGTTGAAAGTCAACTGACCGTATGTGTGGGTCTACTTTTAGACTCTTTATTACTTACTCCTCTTCTATTTTCTGGAAAAGTTTGTATAGAGTTATGTTGTATCTTCCTTAAGTGTTTGGTAGAATTTACTAATAAAACCCCTGGGCCTGGGGTTTTCTTTGTTGGGAAGGATTTGTGGGT
Source organism: Homo sapiens (assembly GCF_000001405.40). Taxonomy (NCBI): domain Eukaryota; kingdom Metazoa; phylum Chordata; class Mammalia; order Primates; family Hominidae; genus Homo; species Homo sapiens. Next base: position 201,240,613 of record NC_000001.11, read on the forward strand.
TGTAATTTTCATCAAATTTAGAAATGTTTGGCTATTATTTATTCAAATATTTTTCTGTACCTCTACTTTTGTGGCTCCAATTTCACTTAGGTTAGAATGCTTGACATTTGAACACAGCTCATTAGGGCTCTATTCTTTTTGTTTGTTTGTTTTTCATTCCATTTTTCTCTGTGCTTCAATAGCTATGTATTGAAGTTCATTGAATTTTTTTCTTCTGCAGTGTCTAAACTACTGGTGATCTCATTTTGTATGTTTTTCATTTCAGATGCTGTATCCTTTAAATCTCTAGAACTTCTAGAGATTTGAAGGTATGTATCTTTTGTTTCTCTTACCATATTGACGTGTTTCTACCTTCTTGAGTTTATGGAGCACATTTTTAACGGTGGTTTTAATATCCTTGTCTGCTGATTCTACCATCTCTGGGTAATTTCTGGATATATTTATTTTGATGGATTTTCTCCTGGTAATGGGACATGTATTCATCATTGACATGCCTGGTAATGTTTTATTTTATGCCTGGCATTGTGCATTTACACTGTTATATCTTTGATTTTGTTGCATTCCTTTAAATAGTGTTGGTCTTTGTTCTGGCACACAGTTAAGCTTCTTGGAATCAGTTGGATCCTTTAAGGCTTATTTCACCAAAGGTCCTACTTCACGTCCCTCTACCCCTTTCATTAAAATTGATAAACTCGAAAGTGTTGGTGATGGCACAACACTCACTTGACACTCAGGATTTGTGCTACCAGTTTATTTTTGGCCTCTGAGGATTTTCCTTTCTTTCTTGCAATCTCAGCTATGCATTTAAAATTACATTTAAAAATATTTTATCTAGCATTTTTTAGGTGTTTTGCAGCACTGGGTTTTCAGGATATTTTTTTCCATTATATTGCTAGAAACAGAAGGCTCCTAACCTATCATGTTTGTTAACTTAACCTATGGTGCTTTTTAGTAAACAAAAATCATTAATTTGGATGTAGCAAAATCCATTATTCTTTTTCTTTATAGTTTGTGCGTGTGTGTGTATATATGTGTGTGTTGCAAGGGAGTTTTGTTTAAGAAATTCTTCCCAACCCAAAGTCACAAAGATATCCCACTACATTTCCTTCAGTTAGCTGTTTTACCTTCACATTTAGGTCTTTAATTTGTTTGTAGTTCACCTTCATAAATGGATTGAAGTAGAAGCTATCTTTATTTCTCTCCATTTAGTGATCTAGTTTTCCTAATGCTATTCAATAGTCTCTTCTGTTAACACCGGAGAAAGTTCTCCTATATAATTTTGTATGTTTCCGGTCTCTGTATTCTGTTATTTGGTCCATTTCCTGTTTCCACATCAGTAGTATAGTGGTGTAATTTTTAGTATGACTTCATGTCTGATAGATTAGATCCCTCTTTTGGGTTTTCTTTTACAAAATTAGCATGGCTATTTGTAGAACTTTATTTTTTCAATATTGACTTTAGTATAAGTTTGGGTTTTAAAAAATACTGCTGGAATTTTCAATGAGATTGCATTGATTTAATGTAATCAAAGGGGATAATGGACAAATTTACAATATTCAGTTATTCTACTGATGAGTGAGATTTAACCTCTTCACTTATTCAAGTCTTTTAAAAGACTTTATTAAATGTCTTTTATTAAATGCCCTTTATTAAATTTTACATTTTCCCTACGAATGTGATGTGCCTCCTTTGTTAGAGTAATTCCTAGCTACTTTGTAGCTTTTGTAACTACTATGAATGACATTCTATTGTCTACTCTATTTTTTGTTGGTTATTGATGGTGTAAAACAATGATATTGATTTTTTAAAAGTTAATCTTGTATTCAGCAATTTTGCTGAACTTATTCATTATAATAGTTTGTTAAATCTTTTCAGTGTCTAAATATTTTATCATATCATCTGCAAAAATACAGTTTTATTTCTTCTCTTCCTGTTTTTTACACCCTAATTTTCTTCACCTATTGCATTGACTACTGCTTCCAACACTGTATTGAACTGTTGCGTGGATAACAGGCATCCCTGTATCGTTTACCATGTTAAAGGAATGCATCTACCGTTTCGTTATTTGTCTTTTCTGCGTATTTGTCTGTCTCTCCAGCTAGAACATTAGCTCCGTGAGAGTAGGTACTGGATCTTATTTGTTCTTGTCTTCACAACTTTTTGCTCAGTCCCTGGCATATAGTGAGCTCAAATATTTTTTATTACTTGTCAAGATGTGATCCCCCCCAATCTCTCAAAAGGCCCACATACAGAGACAGCATTACTCACATATCTTATTCTCTCTTGGCTCTAATTTATAAAAAGGAGAGAGAGTTTAAAGAGAGACTATGAGGCAAATGTACAGAAAATGAAATAAATGTTTGATGTAAGTGCAATTTTTAGTCATATTTGGTTGAGGAAATCTACCAAATGCCATACGGATGGAGAGAAAGACTTTATTCAAACAAATAAAAAACAAAATGCTTAGTTTAAAGGTGAAATAAAGATAGCTTTTTGAGTAAGGACGGAAATAGTACCAACTGATCAACTAGTTGGGAAAAAATTAATTGGATGCTTACCTCATACCATACACCATAATACATTTCAAATGGATTAAAGAGAGTTATAAAACATGCATATATAAAAGTAAAAGAACAAAATCTAAGTTATTGTTTATTTCATCTTGGGACTGGGAAAGGGCTTTCTGAGCCCTTTACCTCGAAGACAAAAATTTTTATAGAGTTGACTGCTTAACAAAATAACTTTTGAATTTTAAAACGACCGTAAACAAAGTTAAAAGACAAATGAAAAATTGGTTTAAAATTTTCACAACATATATGGCAGTCAAATTTTGATAATAAATAGAGTTCTCATAAGTCAATAAGAAAAGGACAACATTGTAATAGACAATTGTACGAAAAGGAATCAGGGAGTTTATAAAAATTATGAAGCAATGTATTGCAATTATGTGCCACTTGTCACCCATCAGTTTAGCAAGAGTTAAAGAATTATAATAACTAATTTTTCAATGTATCAAAAACATAAACTTTCATATACTGCTGTTCTATAAATTAATAGAATATATCTGCAGGAAAATTAGTTAATATATACCAAAAGCCTTAACATGTATAGATCTCTTGGCAATACAATAATTTAACTTCTCTGAATGTATTATTATGAGGACAAAAAAGAGCTGAGAGAATTAACCAATAAACTGAATAATTTTCACTCATTAACTTCAGATAGAAGAGAAATGATTCTAGAGATAAGTTCTGAGAAGCAAGAGAGAATGATCAGTATAGATATTTTAAAATAAAAAAGATATATAAAAAGTCCATACATTTGGAAATTCAAAAGCATACCATTGAACAATTAATTATGCAAAGAAAAATTCATAATAAAAAAGAAAATATATAGAACTAAATAATGATTTTTAAAACTACATATCAAAACTTGTAGAATCCAGTGAAAATAAAATGTAGAAGAAAATTTGTAGCTTATATGCTTACTCTGAAAAAGAATAGAAAGGTTCAATACTAATAAGATAAGGATCCATGTCAGAGACAATTTTCCAGACTCCCACAATCTGCTATGATCATGTGACTGAGCTCTGGTCAAGGGAATAAGGACAGAAGCAATGTGAATAACGTTACTTCCTGTACAAGCATCCATTCTTTCTCTCCTCCTTCAGCTACCAGCTGAATGCAAAGCATCTTTTGTAGGACTCTGCAATCCAGAGTATAGTGGAACCAATTGATGAAAGCGTCTCCAGTTCCTGAGTGACTTTGGGTGGAGCAAGATCCTCCAGAGCAACCTGCATTGGACTGAGATATGAGAAATAAACTTTTACTGTATTAGACTACTGAGATTTGGAGGTTGTCACAGCAATTAGCATATCCTAACATAGAAAATAACTTTTTAAAAATGAAAAAAACAAAATAAATGTAAAAGAACTTAGAAGAAAACAATAAAAGGCAGCAATTAATGATTTTAAAACACATTATAGAGTGGATAATCAAACTCAAATATTGTCTTTTTGAAGTGGCTATTAATATTAACAAATGTGACACGATTAATCAAAGAAAAAAGAGATGTCAAATATTATTAAGAATGAAAAAGAGGACCCCTTACATATTCAGAAGAGATAAATAATACTATTCAAAACAATAGGTTAATGCAATTGAAAAGGTCAATGGCATGTGTAAATTTCTAGAAAAAAAGAATCATTTACCAAAACAGACTCAAGAAGAGAGAGAAAACCCGAATAGTCCTATATTATCAAATAAATCCCACTGGTAGTTAAGCATTTTCCCACAAAGAAAACACAGCCCAAAAATCTGATAGGTGGAAAGTTCTTCCAAATGTTTGAGGAACATTTACAATCTTTACAAACTTTTCCAGTCCATTCAGTTCCTGCTATGGACTGAATGTTTATGTCCTCCCAAAATATACATGTTGAAGCCCTAACCCTCAGTGCGATGTTATATGGAGATGAGGCCTTTGGAAGGTAATTAGGGTTAGATGAAGTCATGAGGGTGGGCCCCTCATGGTGGGATGAATGTCCTTATAAGAAGAGACACTAGAGAGCTTTCTCTCCCTCTCCATGTGCACACACCAAGGAAAAGCCATGTGAGTGCACAGCAGGAAGGGTGCCATCTGCAAGCCAGGAAGAGAGCCTTCACTGGGAGTGGAATCAGCCGGCACCTTTATGTTGGACTTCCTGGCCAAGAACCAAGATAAACAAATTTCTGCTGTTGAAGCCACCCAATCTATAATATTTTGTTGTGGCAGCCTAAGCTGACTAATATACTCCTTCATTTATGAAATGAAATTAGCCTAATATTGACACTAGAATCACAAGGAGAGCACAAAGGAGAAAATTTACAGGCTAATCTGATTTAGTAATATAGATGCAAAATCTTTAACAAAATTCTTAACAAATGTCAGTGAATTGAATTCAGCAAGAAGGAAATATGTTTAACATCATGACCAAGATAGATTTATACCAGAGTTGCAAAATGGGGTTAATATTAGAAAAATGATTAATATAATTCACCACATTGATAAAGGAAAAAAACCATACAATCACCTCAGTAGATGTAGATAAAGGACTCAATAAAATTCAGCATTCAGTGAGAGGTAGTAGCATGTTATAAGAGGGACTCTGGAGCCAAACTCCCTGGTTTCGAATGCTGATTATACTGTGAAGAAACTTTATAACCTTCAGCAAGCTATTTAATCTCTCTGAGCTTCAGTTTTGTTTCTTATCTATACAGATAAAATTAATAATAACTTCTTCATAGGTATTACCTATGAAGTTGTGAGGATTAAAATAATTTACATATGTAAAGCATTTAGAACAATCTTTTCTGGTAATACATGTTTGCTCTTATATTTGTGATTTTAAAAAACTGTTAGTTAACTAGAAAAAGAAGGAAAATATCCATAACCCTGGAAAGAGCATCTAGAAAGACCTGCAGGAAACATCATAATTAATATTGGAATGTTGAAAGCATTCTCTTTAAAATCAGAAGCAAGACAAATTGTTACTGCCATCATTTATAGAAATTATCATTGTACTGGGGCTACTAGTCAGTGCAATGAACATGTAAGAATTGGAAAGAGAGAAGCAAAGCTGGCGTTACTGCAGATGATAGAATTGCCAACATAAAACTGCCAAATAATCTATAAATTATGAAAATTAATGAAACAATTTAACAAAAGTTCTGAATAAAATAATCGACATTAAAAAATTATTTGTATTTCCATGAACAGCTATCGTCAATTAGAAAATGTTACTTTAAACAAATATCGTTTTGGATAGCAACAAATATCGTTTTGGATAGCAACAAACATATGAAACACCCAGAAATAGATCTAAGAAAAAGTGTGCAAAAACTACATGAAGAAATTATGAAACTTTATTGAAACAAATTTTAAATGGCATAAATAAATGAACATGCTATGTTCCAGGATAGGAAGATAATATTTCAAAGATGTTAATCGAGTCTGTAGATTCAATGTATTTCAATAAAAATCCCAATGGGGTTTTTCATGCAAATTGACAAAGTGATTATAAAATTGATGTGAATGAGCCAAGAATCAAAAATAGTGAAGACATTGCTGAAGAAGGAAAAGGAGGGAGAAAATGTGCCCTATTAGAATTGAAGACTTATTATCTCTATAGTAATTAAAGCAGTGTGATATTGGTGTATCAATAGACACATAGAATAGTAGAAAACAATAGACCCACGCCTATTTGGAAACTTAATCCATGACACAGTGGTTATTACAGGTCAATAGTTTAAAGATAAACTGTTTAATACGTTGTTCTGGGACGATTGGTTATCCAAGTGAAATTGAATCCCTACCTTATACCATATACAAAAATGAATTCCAGATGTATTAGACGTTTATACGTAGGTGGCAAAACTATAAATCTTAGAAGACGCTGTAGGAAAATATCTCTGTTCCTCTTAGGTAGAGAAGGATTTCTTGAACAAGATTCCGAAAGCAAAGCCATAAAGGAAAAGATTATAAATTTGACTATATTAAAATTAGACATGTGTTTTCATCAAAAGACAATAAGGAATGTCAAAGGATATGCCACAGGGTAGAAGAAATATTTGCCACAGGAATATCTGTCAAATTATTGTACATAATTAATATTCATGAGAAACCCTTCAAATCAGTGAGAAAAAAAAATCTCAAGAAAAAAATTGGCAAAAAATAAAGACATTTCAAACAAGAGATAATACCAGTATTGGCCCATAAACTTGTGAAAAGATACTTAGCATCATTTGTAACTCTAGAAGTGCATATTTGAGCCACAATTGTATATTTCATCTCTATTCGATTGACAAAACTTAATAGTCTGTTTACAAGTTTTGGTGAAACTGAAAAAATGAGAACTCTCACCCACTGATAGGAGTACTGATAGGAGTGTAAACTGGAGAAAGTCTGCTGTTACCTGATCAGGTTGACCATGGGAATTATGTCTCTCTTTTTTTTTTTTTTTTTTTTTTTTTAATGGAGTCTAGCTCTGTCGCCCAGGCTGGAGTGCAGTGGCCCAATCTGGGCTCACTGCAACCTCCACCTCCCAGGTTCTAGCGATTCTCCTGCCTCAGCCTCCTGAGTAGCTGGGATTACAGACACCCACCACCATGCCAAGCTGATTTCTGTATTTTTAGTAGAGATGGGGTTTCACTGTGTTGGCCAGGCTGGTCTCGAACTCCTGACCTCATAATCCGCCAGCCTTGGGCTCCCAAAGTGCTGGAATTACAAGCGTGAGCCACTGCGCCCAGCCAGGAATTATGTCTTTTGACCCAGCAATTCCAATTTATATGTCTAGTATATAAGCTAGATGATAAACTTTTGCACATGTGTCCTGTGTAAAAGAATGTTCATAACAGCACTGTGGCTATTCAATAGCACAAACTGGAAATAACCCAATACCCTCCGTGGTAGGACAGATAAAAACATAAAATATAATAAAGCTTTGAAAAAGAATGAACAACTGCTTTATTCATCAACGTGAATGTATTGCAAAAACAACTTGATTGAGAGAAACAAATAACGTAAACTACAAACAGTACAAGCCCATTATATAAAGGTCAAACTAAGTAAAACTAAACATAGTAAAACTATGCATGCAGGATGGATGCATACATAGGTGGTACAGCTATAAAGAAAAGCAAATGGGTAATTAAGGTAGCTGTCAGGATAGTGGTTGTTCCTGAGGGGAAGAGGATAAGATAGGGGAGGAACTAAGGGGAGGCCTTTAGGGAACTGGTAATGGTCTATTTCTTAATTTCTTAATATGGGTAGTGTAACATGGAGTTTATTATCATTCTTTAAGCCAAAAAATATTTGTTAATAAATTCTCATATGGATGATACATTTATCAATAAAATAAGTAAAAGTAATAAACGATTGCAAAAAACACTTCTCTCCCTCCCTCTTCTTTCTCTCTTCACCTCTCCTGACTCCCCTTAACTGAATTACATATATAATATATAGTAGTTGAAAGAGTGCTCTTGAGTGTATTAATTTAGATTCCAAACCTAAATTTATTAGATTTGATTGCAGATGTATTCGAGTTATGTGTTTTCTGTTCCTAATTTTAGACTCTGCACAGGATAAAAGTTGTTACACCTGCACTGACATATAAAAGATAATATTGCATTATTGTTCTGACGACCCTTGCACCTCCTTCGGGGACTTCGCAGGTTGGGCTCACCTAGGCCGGGTGCAGGCCTGCGCCTTAGGTTCCTGGAGCTTGGTGTTGTGGGGAGCACTGACTGGGGAGGATGTAGTTTCTGGCTCCAGACTAGCATATCCCTCTGCCCCTGTGCAAACAAGAAAGAGGATCACCGTCATCTCTGTCCTCTCTTGCCCCCACCCTCCAAATCCTAAAGACACAAAGAACAGATCCTCCTTGTGGGGAAGTCACTGTTTTCTTAGGCCAAGGAAGCACTCTGGGCCTCCATTTTCTCCTCGTATAAGATTGGGCCATCCCTCCCTTACCTGCCACTTGCCATGGTTGGGTCGATGAAGTGACTTGGTGGATGTGGAGTGAATGAGAAACCTGGTGCCAAACCACCCACGGCTGGGTAAACTTCTACGGATTTCAAAGAATTGACATCTTTCATTACGCTTGGGTACTGTATCCAGTCGCATTGTCTTAGGGAGGCTGTTCCTGGCGTGCCTGTACCTCTCTGAGCGCAGCTAGTGGTCTTGGCCACCTTTGTTCCAGCCCCACTGGTCTCTTTATTGTCCCTCTCCCTGGAACATTCCTCCTCCAGATACCTGCACAGCTCACTCCCATGCCTCCTTCAGGCCTGTGTTACAAAGCACCTTCTCCATGAGGCCTTTTCTGACCACCTTATCTAAGATGGCAACCTCCCTCCCTGTCATCAATCTCTGTCCATTTTCCTTGCTTTATCTTTCTCCAAAGTATAATATCACTATATGACACATTGATTTTATTAATTTGCCTTGTATCTGTATCACTCCTGTGAGAATGTAAGATTCCTTACCTGCCACTTGCTTTTTTACAGACTTGTTTTTTCTTTTATGTTCACTGCTCTATTTCCACTCCTAAAATAATACCTGGCACAAAACCGATACTCAAATATTTGATAAATAATGAATAGGGTAGTGTTTTAGTCTGTTCTCTGTTGCTTATAATAGAATGCCTGAAACTGGGTAATTTATAAGAAAGAAAACTTATTTCTTACAATTATAGAGGCTGAGAAGCCCACGGTCGAGGGGCTGCATCTGGTGAGGGCCTTCTTGCTGGTGGGGACTCTGCAGAGTCCTGGACCCAGGGCATCCCATGGCAAGGGGACTGAGCATGCCAGCTCAGGTCTCTCCTCCTCTTCTTATAAAGCCACCAGTCCTGCTCCTGTGATAACCCATTCGCCCACCAACCTATGAATGGATTAACCCTTTCATGAGGGCAGAGTCCTCATGACCCAGCCACCTCTTACAGGCCTCACTTCTCCATACTGCCGCATTGGGGATTAAGTTTCACATAAGTCTTGGATGGGACAAACATTCAAACCACAGTGATTGTAATTCAGTTATGGGCTTTGGAGTTAGACTACTGTCTCAACTCAATAAACTGACCAGCTATGTGATATGGAGCAAGTTCCTTTAACCTCTCTGAACCTCAGCTTCCTTATCAGCAAAATGAGCACAAAACAGCACTCCTTTCAGAGTTGTGAGAAATAAAGGTATATAAAATGCCTCCCATCGGGGCTGGCAGGAGAATGTGAGGTGAGTCTGCTGTGACTATACATGATTAGGAATGCAGCAATGGGGCAGGATGCTTCTCAAGTAGGAGAGTGACCCCCTGCTTTGTTGGGTTACAGGGCCCTGGCCTGGGAGTCCTGGAGCAGGAACTGGATGAGCTTCGGATGGTGCAGGCCCAGCTGGGGCCGAAGCTCCGAGAAACAGAGGTACTCAAGCAGGCACTGGCCAAAGCCCCCCCTAGAGAGATTGGCCTAGGCACTCTGGGGGAGGGTGGAGGTGCAGGGCCAGCTGGCCATGCTGCAGGAGAGGCAGGCCTGCCTAGGAGCAGGGGCCCGAGGCTGCTCAGCCAAGGACTGGACTGGGGCCAGGCATCAGGCTCTCGTCTGGTGTGCCTTGTCTAGACCCTGGCCACCAGCCTCTGGGAGACCCAGGAGATGCTCCAAGCCCTGGAGAGAGGAGTATAGGAGGCACAGGAGCCGGCTGGAGCAGAGGCTGGGGGATGTAGCCCAGAGCACCTTGGAGGTGGAGAGGGCGCTGGGCCAGGTGAGCTGCTCTCCCAGGCTCTGCAGCTACGGCTGGACGGGAGCCAGCAGGAGCTGAGAGAGGTGAAAGAGAGTATGGCAGAGCTGACAAGTGGAGGCTCTGGGGTGTAGCAGCTGGAGAACATCTGGTGAGAACAGGGGTGGTCAGTCGGACTGCATGGGGAGTCAGAAGGGTAGCCCTGCCCTGTGGGGAGGCCTTGGGTACTTCACTTAGCCACCCTGAGCCTTCGGCTTTCCTTAAATGAGATGAGATGCTGTCCTGCCTGCTTTGCAAGGTTGTGAGGATGAACGTGCTTCGAGCACTCCTAATACTGGGTGATGTATAACTGGCTCCCGCTGGGTCTCCTTCGTTGTCCTGCTGATGCTGGCGAATGTCAGCAGGCCCCTGGGTTTTGTAGGGAGGAGTATTGATGGGGCACAGGAGACCCTGCTGTCTCACTTCTTCCGTTGTGGATGTTTTCTGAGCCCCGAAGCCTCAGGGTTTCCCAAGCATTATTCTCATTAATGTATCCATTCCCTCATCCACTAGTTATGGAGTGCTTACTATGTGCCAGGTATCATCTGGGTGCTAAGAGAACACAATATGGCCTAGAGGTGCCCCCAGTTTAGGAGACACTGGCCAGTGGCCAGGCAGTTGCATTATTAGCAGGTAAGTCCTAGCTTAGATAAGCACAGGGTGCCATGGGGGTGCTTCAGTGGGATACCCAACTCAGCCTAGAGGAATCAAGGAAGGCTTCATGGTGGAGGTGGCACCTGAGCAGTGTCCCAAAGGACAAATCAGAAATTAGAGCATCATAAAGGCAAGGAGGAAGTTCAAGATAGAGGAGCCATTGAGAAGTGGGTGCTCTGGGAGAGAAGGAGGTAAAGTTCATGGCTTTTTGTCGATTGGCTGTCAGCTGAGAGGGGCAGTGGTGCAACGCCCTGAGAGATGGGGAAGGTAGAGATGAGCTCATTTTAAACACAGCATGTTGACTGGTGGGAAGTCGGGTTGGGGGATTGGGGTTGGAGATGTGCATTTGGGAGACATCACCATCCCTTTAGTTAGGAGCACGTGGGAGGGGTTGAGGTCGCCCTGGGATAGGTGCCAACTGAGAATAGGGGTGAGCTGATGGGGGGCTCCAAGGTGGACAGAGGGTTCAGAAGCAGCCCGGGGCCAAGCAGCAAGGCTGGTGGGAGGGACACCCATAGAGTGCCAAGGTGGGAGGATCTGCAGAACTGAGTGAGACGTTCTGGGCAGAGAAGGATGCACATAAGCCAAGGCGTGGGGTGATGGTGCTGCCTCCTTGGGGCACTGGAGACTCTGCCCACAGCGGCAGACCTTGGGAGGAAGTGGCTGCTCGTGGGCCCAGCTCATGGAGCCCCATGCCCTCCAGCTCCCAGGCCCCTGCTACAGAAGCTGTAGGCCAAGAAGCTGGCCCAGGAGCAGCAGACACAGCTTGCCCCGCAGGGCCACTGGGAGCAGAGTGCAGAACCGGGCAGCAGGGCCACCATCCTGGAGACCTCTCCACTGCCCTGTGTGGTGACTGACCCGGATTGGGGGTGCTGCTGGGATGTAGAGATAGGGCAGGGATGGTGAGGAAGCCAGGCAGGGAGAGAAGTCTGAAGGGGCTGAGGGAGGGGAACAGCGGCAGGCAGCCAATTTCTCATGGCCACTTCATCACCCACACCACATTGTCCTCATCTGTCGAATGAGGTAATAATACCTGTATCTTGGAGTTGTTGGGGTTAAATGAGGAAACATGTGTGGGAAGAGCTTAGCACCTAGCAGGTATTCAATTGCTGTCAGGCTACTAATAGGCCATTAGTATTAGGCTATTTCTAATAGCAGTAATAACAGGCTTCAATGCCAGGTTGCTAGGAATTTAAATTCCCCAGGGAGCAAGACGTTGGTCCTGGAGAACAGAACCCAAGGGGGAGGAGGGCTCTGCTCCTGTCTCTTGCCTGGAGGAATCCAGTCCTTCAGTCCTACCCTACCCCCTAATCAACAGCACTGTGTCTCAAAGGACCCAACTATGTTGGGAGGTGGGTCAGGGACTCTCCTGCCTCCATGGGGACTCTTCCTGTAGCACCCAGGACCACAGACAGTGCAAGAACCCTGGGCCAGGACACCTGGCCTCCGACCTCAGCTTTGAGAGGCTGGCAAGTCCCTGCCTCATCTGTGCCTCTGTTCACTTCTCTGTGCATGAGAAGGCTGGCCTAGGTGACTCCCAGGCTTCCTTCCTGCTTGTCCTGTGCTTCTGACACCCTCTGGCCACAGTGGGGCTGGGCCTCCTCCCTCCTCCTGGCATTCTACGTGTGTCCACTCCCCAGGTTTGCGCTCTGCTGCCCAGGGGAGGAGAGCACGGCCTGGGCTGGGGCCGGGGGCAGTGTGTCAGGCACCTTCCCAGGATGCCTGTGATGTGGATAACAGCGGGCTAAAGCCAGGGCTGGAGAAGGACCCCAAGCAGCAGCCTCTCCCCTCCTCTATGGGAGGCAGGAGAGGCAGAGCTTCTGTCTTTAGGTGGACAGGAGGTGCAGGGATACAAAATGTGTGAAAGTAAGTGTGGGGCCAGATGCCATGAGCAGGTGGCGATGGACAGTTACAGCAGGCTGCACACTGAAGTGCTTAGGCATTTGGAGCATCTGCTGCATGCCATGTGCAGCACCGGACCCAGGGTACAGCAACATGCTCCCTGTGAGGCTTCCCAGAGGGCTGACTGTACCAGTCAAACTAGTACCTAGTCCATAGAAAGTGCTGGGTGCTGTGGGGCCATATAACACGGGGACCTGAGCAGGCCTGGACTGAGGCCTGGCGGGGCAGAGGCTTCCAGGCTAAGCGGTGAGGGGACAGCATTCCAGCGCGGAGAGGACCATGCAGTGGGAGGCCCGGGAGAGCACCTCTGACAGCCAGAAAGAAGCCCGCGGGGACTGGAGTCCATGGTGCATGGGGAGTGAGAGGAGGGCTTTGAAGGCTGCCTTCCAAGGCGAAGCCAGGGGCTTTAAGGAATTGTCAGAGGTGCTTCCTGGAAGGAGGAGAGGTGGGGCACAAAGGAGTTGGAGCCTTGACCTGCAGTCTGTGAGGGCCCATTTCAGACACCACAGTCAGAACTCAGGGTTTCATTTAATACTTTCCTGTGGGAGCTGCAGCCGCTCAGCCAAGCCCAGCCAAGCCCAGCCCAGCCCAGCCCTGCAGGCAGCAGCCTGGACCTCTGAGCCCAGGGCCCAGTTCCAGCTCGGGAATGCATGGGATTGCCTGGTCTGATTCCCCCAGGGTAGAGAAGGCCCGGACAGAGAAAGGGCCTTGCCCTGAGTCCCACGGTGAGTTAGTGCCAGAGCTGGGCTTAAAAACCAAACTCCTAATTTACATTCTTTCCACTCTCCCCATCCAAGGCTAGCACTTGTCCTGGGATTGAGGCTGTGGACTCCACCAGCCTCTGCTGGGGGAAGCTCTGGGGTTCCTGGATGCGTGGTTCAATGCAGTGTCATGTTTACTAGTTGCGTAGCCTTGGGTAAGTGACTTAACATCTGGAGGCCAGCTCCTCATCAGTAAAATGGAGATAATAGTAGACCCTCCCCCAGAGCACTGTGCGGGTTCAAGGTCACTCCGCATCATGGTGCTGCTGTTATTTCCAGATCTCTTCTCACACCCCTGGTGGAGGTTAGCATGGCGTGGCTCTCCAGCACACCCAAGGAGCAGCTGTGAACACTGTGGCTGAATCAGTGAGGGCCAGCAACATAATGGCCAGAAGCCCCAGGGAGAGCAAAGCAGGGGTTGAGTGGGTGAACAGAGCTGGAGGGAGCAGGAGAGGCCTGGACCCCTTCCCAAGTCCCTGGGGTCAGCCTGCCATCCCAGACATGACCACCAGGTGGCACCACAGGCTTTGCGGCGGGGCCGGAGCCTGGGAGAGGACAGTGGGCCCTTTGAGACCTCTGGGGACAACCTGGGGCAGGGAACAGGTGAGTGGGGTGGAAAGTGGGCTGGAGCTGGAGTGGTGGGCGCCGGCAGGCCATGTCTCTCTGGGAAAGACGGCATGCTGTCCCCAGGAGGCCTGCACCTGGCCCCGGGTGAGGGGTGCCTCCTTCTTCCCCTCCTCAGTGTCCTCCATGGTCCTCAGCCCGGGGTCTTCTGGGTCTTCTGGAGGTCAGGACTCAGGCTCTGGGTATCACAGAGGGTCTGCATAGTGGAGGTCGGTGGGGCGGGCCCTGGGAAGCCCCGGGGTGTGTGTGAGGGAGGGGCTAACTGGCCCTCGGTGCCCCAGCCTGGCGCCACCCTCTCTCTCCTGTGCACCCGGCCCGTTTGGCCTCCTCACCCCACTCCCCACACCCGCCACCGAGCAGCAGCCCCTCTTTCCGCTTCCTTCCCTCACGGATGATGGCGGGATTCTAGACTCCCTCCTCCTCCGCCCCTGCGGGACCCTGGGGACAGAGCAGGTGGAACAGAGGCCGGGCCCACACATCAGACTTCACCTCTTCTTCCCTGGGTCCACAGCTGGGGTTCTCTCTGAGAGTCAAGGAGAGCATGGCAGCTCCCTCAGGACCTGTCTTAGATGACCTGGACAGGACCGCAGAGTGTCCCATCAAGGTACAGGAGCTGGAACAGAGGACACTGAGGCCAGGAGCCGGCACTGGGCTCTCTGGCAAGACATGCTCCTTGGAAGATGGCGTCGGACCCTTTCCCTCCACCCTGCAGCCCTTGGCAGGGGAGCCCGTGGGGGTAGCCAGGAGAGAGGAGAGCGGCCTCAGGGGCGCGGCCTTGGCTGCTGACAGCACTGTCGCACTCCTAGGACATGTGTCCTGGGTGAGGCGCCTGGGATATGGGGCACAGGCTCAGTGAGAGGCCCCGAGGGAAGGGACAGGCTCTCTCCTCAGCAGTTGGCTGCCGCTGATGCTGAAGAAGCCGCCAGGCTGGAAGGGGCTGGAATCCAGTTACTGGGGAGGGCTCCTCCGAGCCCTAAGTGATGGAGTGAGATGGAGTGATCAAAGAGTGATGGAGTGAGATGGAATGATGGAGTGTTAGAGTGAGTTGGAGTGATCGAGGAGTGATGGAGTGAGATGGAGTGATGGAGTGAGATGGAGTGATGGAGTGATGGAGTCAGATAGAGTGATGGAGTAATGGAGTAAGATGGAGTGTGGAGTGATGGAGTGAGATGGAGTGAGATGGAATGATGGAGTGAGATAGAGTGATGGAGTGATGGAGTGCTGGAGTGAGATGGAGCGATGGAGTGATGGACTGAGATGGAGTGATGGACTGAGATGGAGTGATGGAGTGATGCAGTGAGATGGAGTGATGGAGTGACGGAGTGAGATGGAGTGATGGAGTGAGAGAGTGAGATGGAGTGATGGAGTGAGATGGAGTGATGGAGCGAGATGGAGTGATGGAGTGAGATAGAGTGAGGGAGTGATGAAGTGAGATGGAGTGATGGAGTGAGATGGAGTGATGGAGTGAGATGGAGTGATGGAGTCAGATGGAGTGATGGAGTGAGATGGAGTGATGGAGTGAGATAGAGTGATGGACTGATGGAGTGATGGAGTGAGATGGAGTGATGGAGTGAGGTGGAGTGATGGAGTGATGGAGTGAGATGGAGTGATGGAGTGATGGAGGGATGGAGTGAGATGGAGTGATGGAGTGATGCAGTGATGGAGTGAGATGGAGTGATGGAGTGATGGAGTGACGGAGTGAGATGGAGTGATGGAGTGACGGAGTGAGATGGAGTGATGGAGTGATGGAGTGAGATGGAGTGATGGAGTGATGGAGTGAGACAGAGTGATGGAGTGATGGAGTGAGATGGAGTGATGGAGTGACGGAGTGAGATGGAGTGATGGAGTGACAGAGTGAGATGGAATGATGGAGTGAGATGGAGTGATGGAGTGAGATGGAGTGATGGAGTGATGGAGTGAGACAGAGTGATGGAGTGATGGAGTGAGATGGAGTGATGGAGTGACGGAGTGAGATGGAATGATGGAGTGAGATGGAGTGATGGAGTGATGGAATGAGATGGAGTGATGGAGTGAAATGGAATGATGGATTGACGGAGTGATGGAGTGAGATGGAGTGATGGAGTGATGGAGGGATGGAGTGAGATGGAGTGATGGAGTGATGAAGTGATTGAGTGAGATGGAGTGATGGAGTGAAATGGAGTGATGGAGTGAGATAGAGTGATGGATTGATGGAGTGATGGAGTGAGATGGAGTGATGGAGTGATGAAGTGAGATGGAGTGATGGAGTGATGGAGTGAGATGGAGTGATGGAGTGATGAAGTGAGATGGAGTGATGGAGTGAGATGGAGTGATGGAGTGAGATAGAGTGATGGATTGATGAAATGATGGAGTGATGGAGTGAGACAGAGTGATGGAGTGATGGAGTGAGGTGGAGTGATGGAGTGATGGAGTGAGATGGAGTGATGGAGTGAGATGGAGTGATGGAGTGATGAAGTGAGATGGAGTGACGGAGTGAGATGGAGTGATGGAGTGAGATGGAGTGATGGAGTGAGATACAGTGATGGATTGATGGAGTGATGGAGTGAGATGGAGTGATGGAGTGAGGTGGAGTGATGGAGTGATGGAGTGAGATGGAGTGATGGAGTGAGATGGAGTGATGGAGTGAGGTGGAGTGATGGAATGAGGTGGAGTGATGGAGTGAGGTGGAGTGATGGAGTGATGGAGTGAGATGGAGTGATGGAGTGAGATGGAGTGATGGAGTGAGATGGAGTGATGAAGTGAGGTGGAGTGATGGAGTGATGGAGTCAGATGGAATGATGGAGTGAGATGGAGTGCTGGATTGATGGAGTGATGGAGTGATGGAGTCAGATGGAATGATGGAGTGAGATGGAGTGCTGGATTGATGGAGTGATGGAGTGAGATGGAGTGATGGAGTGATGAAGTGAGATGGAGTGATGCAGTGAGATGGGGTGATGGAGTGATGGAGTGCGTTGGAGAGATGGAGTTGGAGTAATGGAGTGAGATGGAGTGATGGAGTGAGAGTGAGTGATGGAGTGATGGAGAGAGATGGAGCGATGGAGTGAGATGAAATAATGGAGTGATGGAATGAGATGGAGTGATGGAGTGAGATGGAGTGATGGAGTGATGGAGTGAGATGGAGTGATGGAGTGTCATGGAGTGATGGAGTGAGATGGAGTGATGGAGTGAGATGGAGTGAGATGGAGTGATGGAGTGAGATGGAGTGATGGAGTGAGATGAACTGATGGAGTGAGACGGAGTGATGGAGTGAGATGGAGTGATGGAGTGACATGGAGTGATGGAGTGATGGAGTGAGATGGAGTGACATGGAGTGATGGAGTGATGGAGTGAGATGGAGTGATGGAATGACATGGAGTGATGGAGTGATGGAGTGAGATGGAGTGATGGAGTGACATGGAATGATGGAGTGATGGAGTGAGATGGAGTGATGGAGTGATGGAGTGAGATGGAGTGATGGAGTGAGATGGAGTGATGGAGTGAGATGGAGTAATGGAGTGATGGAGTGAAATGGAGTGATGGAGTAATGGAGTGAGATGGAGTGATGGAGTGAAATGGAGTGATGGAGTGATGGAGTGAGATGGAGTGATGGAGTGAGATGGAGTGATGAAGTGAGATGGAGTGATGAAGTGATGGAGTGAGATGGAGTGATGAAGTGAGATGGAGTGATGAAGTGATGGAGTGAGATGGAGTGATGGAGTGATGGAGTGAGATGGAGTGAGATGGAGTGATGGAGTGAGATGGAGTGATGGAGTGATTGTCTCACCCCCTCAGGCTGCTGCCTGCTGTCTCCAACCTCCACTTTTGGGGAGTAGGGTGCCCTGCAAAGCCCGGAACCCTACAGCTAAGGCCAAGCCCTGCTAGCCTGCACTCTCACCCCCAATGGTTCTCTGTGGAGCTCCCGTCCCTGTGTGGACATCCCCCTTTACCCAGGAAGCTCAGCCCTGTCCCTCTGTTCCCCTCCTCTTCTCAACCCATGAGTGATTCACAGCCCCAGGGGCCTGTTCCCCGCTCTTGAGGTCTCTAGAGCACCCTCGTAGCTAATGGCTGGGCTGTGGAGGAGACACATCCTAAGGCAGAAGCCCACCCTCCTCGGCCACTTCCCTGTTCTGAGGGCCACTCGTATATTGGCTGAGGAGCAGTTCTACCGTCCACAGCGCAGTGGACTTTGGGCGCCTCCACCTGGTGCTGAGTGCGCACGACCGCTCTGCTGTCCCATTCATCTCTGATGTTGGCTTCAGCCGGTGCAGCCCACTCGTAGCCCAAAAGCTGGAAAAACGTGTGTGTTGGCCTGGGAGCAGTGGGCACTGGGCGAGGTGTCAGGGCAGAGCTGGAGGGAGGCAGGGCTGCAGTGGGGGGCAGTGGAGGTGGCATGGCACTGCACAGCACAAAGATGGCCCTAGAGGCTCCAGGCCAACCCTCTCCTGTTTCTAGACTTGCTGCTCCCTGACACTGGGAAGAGGAAAGGCCCCCAGTTCTGCTGACCTTACCGTTTTCAAACTCCTTCCTGACAATTGGAGGAGGGTTTTATTTTTTTAATGATTAAAAAAAAAATCAGTGAGTTGGTTCATATTGGCTCAACCTGGCAGTATCACGGGCACTGCCGAATCCTGAGCAGCCCCAAGAGCTGGGGACTGCCTTGGGCCACTCTGCTCCTTCTCTGGTGGCTTTCCCCCTAGAGGTCGACAGCGTGAGCCTCCCTCCTGGAGCTGGGGGAGGCTGGGCTTGGGAACGTTACCAGGACAGCTCAGCAGGGGAAGATGGCAGGGGCCAGTCATGCCTCGTCATGGCAGTTACAAGGTTAGGGAGGGCAGAAGGCGAGTTTGGCCAGGGAGGCCTGGGTGGGGGAGCTCTCACCTGTTATAGGTAAGAGGGGTGTGGCCTGGTTGTTTGGGGGCTGCGGTGGCGGATCCGCCCCTCCCCCAGGCCTGGCCTCGCCCAGAGAGCCGCCCTCTTCCGGGAACCTCCTGCTCCGGAGCCAGGAAGGGCTGCCCTTTCCCCACCAGGAGGCCAGGCACGAGCTCCACCAGGGTGTGGACCCCCAGGGAAAGTGCGCCAGGTGCCTGGGATGCTCAATGGGGGACTTGTTCCAGGACTGGGAGGCTGGCGGGGTGGGGGCTGCTGCTTCCCTGGAGCAGCACCTGTCCCCCACCCCCACCTCCCGCGTCAGTGGAGCTGTTGGCGCTTGCACCCGGCTTCCCAAGCGATGAGACACGGCTCCCAGCCAGCCGCCCCAAGCCGCTGGCGGCTCACATCCTGTCATCTGGGGCAGCTCCGCAGAGTGCTCCCAGAGCCCCTCTCTGCAAATGGCCTGTGCCTGCCCCAATTTCCCTCTGCAAGAGGGAGGCCCGTTGGTGGACTGGAGGGAAATGAAGCTGCGGGCGGACAGATCCTCCTCCACCAAGTCAGGGGCGTATTCTCCCAGCCTCTTCCCCAGACCCTGAGGGTGTGGCTGAGGACGGGAAAGGGACCAAGAGCTAACTGGCCTGCGCCCAGCCTGGGGGCAGGTCTTGGTGTGTCCTCCAGCCTGGAGAGAGGCCTGTGCGGAGGGAGGGTTCTGGCAAAAATGTGCACACGCAGATGGGTTCTGGCAAAAATGTGCACACGTCTGACCTGAGCTTCCTGACACAGAACCCATCCGGGCACCTCCGGGGGCCGCTGCTGGGACGGGCAGCCACACCCATCTCTCCGTGGTGTGATGGAGTCCTTTCTTTGCCTTTGTGCAGGAGGCACATACCTACCTGGTGGTCCCCACTCAAATCTTTCTCCTTCCTAGTGTCTCCCTCAGGTGATTTTTTAAGTCATTGATGTTACATTTTACATACAATAAAATGCTCAGACTGTAAGTGTATATCTTGATGAATTTTGATGAATGTATAAAATTCAAAATACAGCACATTCCCATACCCTGAAAGTCTTTCTCTGTAAATAGTGACTTGTGTTACAATCACCTTCGCATCCCACCAGCACCTGGCACCGGGCACCAGTCTGTGCATGGAAACCCTTTTCTTGATTGACTTGCCTTCCTTGTACACAGGCACCCCTCACGCTCTGTTCCTATTAGAGGGGATCTCTGGGTACCCAGGCTTATGTTCAGAGACTTCCATGAGTGTAGGACAACCCCATTGCACTCAGAGAGTCCAGGCTGAATCCACTCCCCATGTTCTTGGCACTCCCTGCCTCTGAGCTCTATACGTACTCACCCCTGGCGAGATGCCTCCCTGTGCCCACAGAATCCAGGAAGGTAAGGAGCCAGGAGCTGAGTGCCCTGCCTGAGCCAGGGGTGTTGATAGCTGAGTCTGAACTCCACCCAGGGAAGCTGTGGGGCATTAGTTAGCAGCCCCCTTCCCCCAGCACTGGAGTGAACCCGCTCGTAGCCACAGAGCTCTGGCTTCGTTGCTAGGCTCTGCACCTCCTTCTCTCTATGATCTTGGGCAAGGCCTCCATTTCCCCAATCTGTAAAATGAGGAGGTTAGAAAGAAGTGACCTCAAACTCTCAAGGCATCAGAAATTTCAAACAATGCTATTTGGAACCTGAAGGCATAAAGCAGACAAAAGTGAAGCCACTCCGAATTAGGCAAGAAGGGTCCAGAACCCCACCCACCAGGAGCAACCTTCTCCCTCTTCCCCCAGTAGCTCCAGTGAGATCCTTGTGTTCCACAACATATGCTTTGAAGTTCCTGGTAGTGGGGCCTTGCCTCAGAGAGAGGCACATGGATCCCAGGCTCTGCCGGGCACCCCAAAAGACCCATCACTGTGAGCAAGGGGGTGATGGTGGGTAGGCTCTCCCTAGCATGGAGCATTCACCATGTGCCATGAGTCTTTATGACCTAATTTCATTCTCACAACCATCCCAAAAGCAGGGGTTACTACCCCATTTTACAGATGAGGCTGTACATTGAGAGAGGAGAGAGGTAGGTACATGCCTGGGATTATGCAACTGGCTGGTGGCAGAAACCCTGCGCCCTCCAGGAATGTCAGGTTGCGATGAGGAGCCCGGGAGAGTGGGCGAATCCTGGTCTGGATGGGCGTCTCTGTTGAGTTGGGAGATTTACATCACCCAGCAGTCACTCAGCAAGCATGCCAGGCATGAAGTGAGGAGTCTGTGTCATGGGAGGAAGGGGTAGTCTTTGTCCAGCAGCTGTTGTCACCAGGAAGGCTGACTGTTGTGATTTCCCACCCTCAGGACAGCAGGAGGGAGCTTACCTTCTTTCAGGAACTCTATGACCAGGCAGGCCAGCTTCCCTGGTGGGGCCTGAGAGTGGCCGGGGGAAGGGGTGGTGGAGGGAGAGTGGGGATGGGCTGTGGTGAAAGACAGGGCATCAGTGGACTGAGGACACCTGGAGTGGCAGGTGGGGAGCAGAGGACTGGGCCCTGAGCAGTTGGGAGCTGCTCTTTGGGCGAGAAGGAGCTCTCCAGGCCTCCCTGAAGGTCTCCAGGTCTCAGGCTCTTTCTAGATGAGTGTGGAGCCTCATGAGCACCAAGGAAGCCTGCTCCACTTTGAAATGGAAGCTCCATGAGGGCAGGGGCCCGCCTGGTCCACTTGCCACTCCTCCCAAGGCCTGTTGCTGGGCTGCCATCATAAACATGTGTTGAATGAAGTTGTGGGGAGACTTGAGGCTAGATCCCCTGTCCCCAAATCCCCCAGGGCCAGGGACCCAGAGGGACCTTTTCTGTTCTATTCTCTGTCCCTCTTCCCTCCCCTTCCCGTCCCCTGCCCTTCCCTTTCCTTCTTTTTTCCCAGGTAGGGAACCTACTGAGAGCAGAGTTGGGAATGAAACCCAATTGGGTAGGGGAGTCATACAGCAAAGGGGCCTCCTGCTAAGGGCCTGGTAGGGGGAGTGGGAGGAGCTCGTGGCGGCTGGCTGGCTGGATGAATATTTCACCATGCTTCCATTGTCCACGCCAGTCTCCTCGCCATCACACTCTTGGTTTCTGTCTTGAAAATCTTTGCTGTCTAGTATCACATGTGACTGCAGAGCACAGGTTTCAAACACTTCATAGGAGAAGGATGCAAAATAGCTCAATTTTTATATTAATTGCATGTTGAAATGATAATATTTTGGGGTAAATAAAACATTAAAATTCACCAGTTCTTTTTACTTTTTAAAATGCAGCTACTAGAAAATTTTAAATTGCACGGGTGGCTCACGTCATGTTTCTGTTGGAGAACTGTGGTCGACAGGCATCTCTTTCCGTTCTCCTCCAGCCCTGGAATCTGAAGGCTCTCTCCAGCATGCAGCCCAGCCCTGCCCTCCTGACTGGCAGAAATCTGACCCAAGGCCAGGGCCTATGAACAGGGTCTGGTGAGCAGAGCCCAACTAGACCCACAGCCCAGCAGCTGGTGGGGAAACTGATCTCGGAGAGGAAGCCTGACTGTCCAAGGCCACCAGCCAGCACTCAGCTCTAACAGAGGTCAGGAGCCACCAGCCAGCACCAGCTCTAACAGAGGTCAGGAGTGTGAAGGAAATCCATGACCATGACAGTAAGGAATGGGTTCAGCAGGAAGGAGTCACCCTCATTGGGCATCTGCCGTGTCTCAGCCACCTTATCTGTGCTGTCCCATTTAAGCTCCATGACAGATAAGTGGGTAGATAATATCTCCATTTTATGTCTGAGGAAACTGGGGCTGAGAGGTTAACTAACTCAGCCTGGGTCACACACCTAGTAAGTGGCAGAGCCATGATTCAAATAAAATTTATTGGACTTCCGAGCTCATACTCTTCACCTCTAGCTTGTCCCATGAGATGGTTTCAGTCTCAGAGGTGGGAGTGGGGCTTGGGAAAATTCCATCCATGGAGAGGGAAGGAATGAGCTTCAAAGGTCAAAGCAAGGATGGGGGCAGGACCGATGTTCTCTGAAAACATTCTAGGCCCTTCTATGCATCTGCATTAGCATATTCCCTGCCATTTATGGTAGGAAGGGCTGAGGGGCTTCGCTGAGGTTGCCCGGTAGGTAGGTCATGGGCGTGGACTTCAAGGCCAGGACTGCTGTACCATGACAGTTCTGCCATCCAGGCAATGACCAGTTTCAAGTGGAATATTGAAGCTCAGATACAGCAAGGCAGCTGGCTCAGGACAGAACCCTTGGGTCATGAGTCCCAAGGCTCTGAACTCTGGGGAAGATGAGGAAGACCGAGACCATTTTATTGTCACTTGCTATATAATTAATGACTTAATGACCTTTTGGGAGGCAAAAGGAGCAGGAGAGTCATTTATGATCTCTGAGAGCGTGACCCCATTTGAGATCTGAGTCTCTGTGCCCTGCAGGTTTGGTTGGGTACAGTCACCACCATGACCTTTGCCTGCTGCTGCGGCTTCAGTCTTCCTCCACCTCCCCTCTCTTGGGCATGGCATCCCCATGGAGGACGTGCAGCCTCAGCCAGGTGCTGCTCACCACTGCTGAGAGCTGATCTCCAGCGGCCAGGACCCTGTCTGTTGTGGCATGGGAGATGAACGCCCATCATTGCTCCCTCCCCTGTCTGGTCTCCTTGCCATCTAGTTCTGAAGACAAGCCTTGTTGTTTTCAAACACACAGCTACAAGGTCCCAACTCAGAACCTTTGTACGGAACCTCCCTCACTCAAACTGGGATAATCTCCTCCCCAGAGTTCTGCTCAACTGCCCTTGGAGGCCAGGTCTGAGCACTGCCAGTCAGAGTTCCCGCTGCATTCTCAGTTCCCAGAAGTGCCTGTGCTTTGTGCTTCTGTCTAGCATGTACTTCCCTTACTGACACTCTCTGGCCTCAGTTTCCTTATTCTTGAAATGGAGTACATACTTCTTACTCCACAGATCTAGGAAAATTAAGTAAGATAATTCATGAAATGCCTGTCAAAACAGATGCTCTCGAGCACTCAGCTCCAACTCCATCTCCTCCAAGCAGCTATCTTCTGTATCTGGCCATCCCTGTCGGAGAGGGTCAACAGGTGTCACGGAGGGAGGCCAAAGCCTTCGTCACATGCCAGCCTGTGGTGCCCACCCCTTCTGCTCTAGAACTGATTTTGGACTACACTCACTTTAACCTTTCCTTTAATGTTTCTAGGTAGTGATTTTGGTGATTTTTGTCAAGTTGATACATGCTTATTATAAAAATTCAAGCAACACAAAAATTTGCAATCACTCCAAATCCCACCACCCAGAAAAAAACAACATAAATATTTGCTAAACATCAGTCCTGACAAATTTCAAAATATAAATACAGATACATTGGTCAGTAAATAAATAATAGATAAATCATTTTGTAAGAATAGGGTCATGTGTTACATTCTCTTATTTATTTTTTATAGAGACAGAGTCTCACTCTGTCACACACGCTGGGGTGCAGTGGTGCAACCATAGCTTATCACAGACTCAACCTCCTGGGCTCAAGCGATCCTCCTGCCTCAGCCTCCTGAGTAGCTGGGACTAGAGGCGCATACCACCACATCCCACTCGTTTCTAAAATTTTTTTGTAGAGATGGGTGTCTCGCTAGGTTGCCCAGGCTGATCTCGAACTCCTGGGCTCAAGTTATCTTCCTACCTTGGCCTCCTAAAGTGTTGATATCACAGGAGTAAGCCACCATGCCTGGCCCATACTTTTAAAATATGAAAACGTTAAATGTATTTGTCCTTACATATAATAGAAAAAAATGGAAGATTAAGCTGAAGGCATTATTCAATCTTGGATAAATGTTTCATAATTACATGAGACACTTGTACCTATAAGATCCCTCTATGGATAAGAAAAATCATTTTTCAAAATTGTTTTAAGAAGCTGTAGTCACTGACTTTTAAAAGTATGCTTTCATTTCAGTCTGGCTGACTCCCTGCTATGAAAGATGAAATAACTAGCACCCTGTACTTCATCTCATCTCCCCTTCCCCCACCTCTTGATTTTTGTTGTTTACGTAATTTTCATTTTGTTGGGAGTTTTACATATTTTTATTCTGCTCTGCAACAGTTCTATATTTAAATGAATGCAGTGCTCACCACCAGCCTTTTATTCTCTGGGTTCTCTGGGTTAGCTCAAATAATTCATGGTTTTCTGGCTTGTGTGTCGGATTGTGTGTTCAAGACAGGCTTATCATGTCTGAGATGCTTCTACTGCCTTTAGATCTGACACAACTTATCTGGTATAACATTTGTGAGTCATGCTCTTCCTCATTCAATATTTTGTGGACATTGCTTTATGTACTTGGGCATTGAATGGGATGTCTGAGTCGAACCTGAGTTTTCTCTCTTTTGATGACTTTTCTTTTCTGCCTGCACTCCTGAAAATTATTTATGCTTTGAAGTTCAATAACTTAAACAGGATATGTCGGTGTGGACCATTTTCTATTTTTTTTCTGGTATGTCATGTGCCTTTTTTTTTTTTTTTTTTTTTTTTTTTTTTGCAAATTCAGTCCCTTATTGAAGAAAATTTTTTTTCTGTGTTACATCCCTGAATATCTTTTCTGTTTCATTTATATGGTTTTCTACTTAGGGATATTAATTTTTCTTATATTAGCTAATCTTCCTTCCCTCCCTCCCTCCCTCACTCCCTCCCTCACTTCTTTCCTTCCTTCCTTCCTTCCTTCCTTCCTTCCTTCCTTCCTTCCTTCCTTCCTCTCTTCCTCCCTTCCTCCCTTCCTTTCTTTTATCCTCCTAACCTCCCATCTTCTAATTGCTTGAATCTCTGCCTCTTTTTTTCTCTGCATTGATTATGATGGTTTCAAGCCTTTCCTTTAGCCATTCTATTTTTGGACTTGTATGTTGTTTCTAACTAGTTTATTAGCTGTGTAATTGCATCTAGTTCCCAATTGTTTTCCTAACCCTGCAATCTCTTCATCTCATTCAGTTTTATAATTATCTAGTCTTTGTATTTATATGGTATTATCATACTCTGAAACATGAAACACTGGTGAGGAATTTGTTTCTGTTTTCAGCTCAGGTTTTCTTCCAGCTTGGACTCTTTCACCTGTTTTCAGGCTATATTCCTTCCTTCTTGTTCCCCTGCCTGCATAGTATATTTTCATAGTTGCTGTGCTATTTCTTTTCATATTGCTTACTCTAACATGAACAGCTCTGTCCACACCCTCTACTTGCTTTAATATAAAGCAGATGAGTCACACGTGTCTCATATTGTTCCCTAGATTGCCTCATGCATGTAAGTCTTGCCTGAATGCCTGTGGCCTCCTCAGAAACAAGGAACCTGCTTCATTCTCCTCTAGCCTCGGTGCTATTCCCTGGTACGTGGCTTGCCACAGGCACACAAAATTGGGTGTCTGGGTTTTGACTCTAATTGTCAGAAATTGGGGATATATCAGGTTCTTAAATCCTAAAAGGCATTTAGAAAAATAATGACAGGATTCTGAGCAGCAGTTCTGGGAGCTTACTGAGGATAAAACAAGACAAAATGTATTTAAATTACGGCAAGAGAAATAGAAATTACTCAGAAAACATCACTTGCTGAATTCCAAGAGTTTACCTGCTACTAACTTATACTAATTTACAGTGGCAGAAACCTTAGGGTTATTTCCTTGAGGAGAGGGGATTTTATTTGTCTCATCTTCTGTGAGTGTGGAGTTTGCTTTGCAAAGTGCTACATCTCATATCTATACTGTCAGGAAAAGCTTTCTGGAAAAATTCCAACAACCACCACCATTTATTAAATACCTGCTCTGTGCCAGAAACTTTATATGGACCTTCCCACTGAATCCTCTCAAATGATCCTACAAGCGTGTTTTCACGTCTCCTTTTGCAGTTAGGAAAACTGAAGTTAGAGCAGTTAGGTAAGTAGTCCGAGGACACAGACTGGTGAGCGTCTGAGACAGGTGCACAGACCCACCGGTCCAGGCCCGGAGCCTGTGCCCCTCCACTGTGCTGCCTCCCAAGCTGGCGTTAAGGAGGTGAGATTTAGACAGGTTTCAACAAGGCAAGGGAAACAGAATGGGGCTTGAAAGATAGAAATGAAGAAAGCATTCTAGGCTATGGGAGTAAAAGGGGTGAAATGGCAGAGGGAGACGCGAGAGAAGGGTCTGGATATATACCCCAAAAATTGAAGACAGGGACTTGAACAGAGATTTGTCCGCCCATGTTCATCGCAGCATTACTCACCATAGCCAAAAGGTGGAAACCACCCACCGTCCATTGACAGGTGAATGGGTGAACAATATGTGGTCTATCCACACAGTAGAAAAGGAAGGAAACTCTGACATGTGCTACAATATGGATGAATCTTGATGACATTATGCTAAGAGAAATATGCCAGTCACCGGAAGACAAACACTGTCTGATTCCACTTAAATGAGTTGCCTAGAGTGGTCAAATTCATAGAGGATGATGCGTCAGGCACTAGTGGGAGAAGGAAATGGGAGTTCTTTTTTAATGGCTGCAGAGTTTCAGTCTGTGATAAGGAAACAATTCTGGAGAAGGATGACAGTGATGGCAACCCAACAATGCGAATGTACTAATGCCATTCAATTGTGCACTTAAAAATAGGTAAAATGGTGAATTTCATGTTTTGCATATTTTACTACGATTAAAAACATGTATAATTATTTAGCTACACCTGAATGCTCCTTAAAAGTTCATATTCCTGAGCCCCAGCCCAGACCTGGGTGGGCTCCTGAAATGTCCCTTTTAAAAGAAGTAATGCCAGATGATTCTCACGCTCTGTAGTTTGAGAATCATTGGCTGGAACGAAGAGGGCTGACTAGTGACAAGAAACTGGTCTGGAGGAGTATGCGGACATGGCCAGTCTTCTCACAGCAGGGGGCTGTGTCCAGCAGCCTGCAGGGACCCTGCACCACTCCACTCTGTCTGCTGGCCTTGGACCCTCGACGTGGCAGCCTGCCTTATCTGGGATAAGCTCGTCCTCATCGCAGAATCCTGATCCAGCTGCCTCAGCAGCAGCTGCTGCAGGGAGGGAGGGCGGTGGAGAGCTAATCCCCTCTGCTTTGGCCCAACACCGAGGCAGAGCCATCCCCCAGAACCAGATCCTACTACGGGAAGAGCCTGACAGGCCATCTGGCTCTTCTTCCCATCACTGCCAGACTCCCTTGTACCATGGCACTCCCACGTCTGGGTCCAGGATGATTCATTCTTCACAGAGGCTTCGTCCACAGGGAAGTGTCCACATGCAGCGTCTGGGAGAGGGTGGACACTGGCTGGTGGCCAGGAGGCCATGTCTGATCTTGAGAGCCAGGCTGCATGGAATTATCTGGTAAACGGGGTGCTGTCATTGTTTTTATTCCCCAGGGACCAGGCCCCTCCCTTGCTCAAAAGAGTCTACTATTAGTTACCTTGGGTCCCAAACACCAGGATTCTGCGAGTCTACCTGAGTGAGAATCAGGGGCTGGATGTCTGCCAAGACTCACTTGTCTCTTCTTTTCTCTCTGTGACTCTGCTTCATTCTCTCTTTCTCTCTCTCTGAAGCAGGGTTCTCTGTATGCCAGACAACATGTTAGACAAATAGGCTCCCCGCTACCCAGAGAGGCTCATTCCCACAGAGTCCCGATTCCATATTCAGGGTTACTGTTTGGAGCAGTTCAGGTCAGCTGGACCCCTAAAGGTCCATGTCACCGTCATGGCTCCTGAATACCAGGGCACGCGCTTTCTGAAAAGGCAGAGCTAGGAAAGGAGCGGTGTTGGGAAATAAACCAGTCCTTCTGGCTCCAAGTCCCAGCTCGTTCCTCTACCCCAGGTTGCTGGGTTTTCTGTATAATGTGGTTGATGATTTTCAAATCTCTCCTGATGTAATCCAGATTTTTTTCTTCCTTTCCCTGAATTTCTCTGTGATTAGGCTAAGCCAGGAGGCTTATTGCTAAGGAAGGATATAGAAGAGGGGAAAGAAGCTTCCACCCAGCAGGAAGAAGAAGGAGAAAACCCTTTCGTAACCTGGGAGAGGGGACAGGAAAGGCTATGGGGTGAGAATAAAGGGATCAGACATTGACCTCCTCCCCTACTGTCAGGTTCACGGCAAGAGGAGGAAAGTATTGTTAGGGGTAGAAACACCCAAAGAGGTTTGGTGGGAGACTCCGGTGCAGGGGCCTTGCTCTTAGGTTCCAAGGATATAGACCTAGAAAATTGCTAGGCTCTCAGAAAAGTCTTGTGGTCTCCATGAAGCCACAAGACTCCAAAAAGGGACAGGGCAACTGATTACAAATGACCAAGAGAGGTGCCGAGGGAGATGGTCCTGAGCTCTTGTCCCCTGGCTGCCTGTGGACTTCAGGAGGTATACAGGACATCTAGAACGTCCTGCGTGCCCCAGAGGAAGCTGCACAAGAGGCTGAAAGTGCTGACTGGCAGATTTGCCAGGGATTCAGTGATGGGGCAGGAAACAACCAGGAGGCTGCAGGGTGGCACACCCTGGCCAGGATGGAGTTCTTGTCACAACAAGGACTCGGGGCATCTTCAGGACCAGCAAGCGTGGAGATGGGGTGGGGTCTGGCCCAGACTTCAGACATGGCAGAAGGCTCTGAAAACGAAGGGCAGAGGGCAGTGGGCAGACCTCACTCTCCCAAAACCATGAGTGTGCATTTGGAGCAGGAGGCACAGGGGTGGCTGAGTGGAGAAGCCCCTTTAGATGGGCAGGGACAGTCCTATAGGCAGTTTTGATTCTGAATTGACTACATCCGCAAATCACTTCGAATGAATCCAAGAGGTTCCTATAAATAATTCCTTCAGTGGGCAAGTTTGGTTTGCTTTCTACTATCGATTCACTGCCATCATCAGAAAGGGGGCCTGTGAGTTCAGTAGAACTGGGTATAGACAAGAAAGCAATTTACTTTTTTTTTTTTTTGCACACTTAAGTATATTATGTAAACTTTGTGCATCCATAAACCTAAACCACACGTAGAAACCAAGAGATCTTCTAATCATGGTCAGAGACCCCCTAAAGGCCTGGAGTGTGGTGCATGGTAGACCTAGGCTCAAATAGGACTTGGCTGGCATCCAGGGGCCATCTGAGCTGCATTCTGGGTCCTCCCTCTCCAGTGGCTTGGGATCTGGCCTGCCGCAGGCTGCTGTTCCTTGGCCAGGTGGGGTGAGTAATGCCTATCCTATCCTCGGACCAATGATGACAGTATAATTAGCACAAACAGCAATTAGGGTAATTGTTCTGTTTAGACATAACCAGACTTCACTGCCACGGGTTGGGAGAGAGTCTACACTTGAAACCTTCTCCAGAAGGCTGCACACTGCTGCTTCTGGTGTCACAGTGTCCACCCTGCAAGTGGCTCATGCTAGGAGAAATGATGGGATGCTGAGACAGGGGTGGGGAAAGAAAAAGCCAGTTCTTGGAGGAGTCCCCATTGTTGCCAAGGCCTGAAATGGGGGTGGGAGGCTGTGCCCGCAAGCTTACTCTATCGGGACTGACTGCTCTGCCAAACCCCAAGCACATTCAAGTGGCAGGCAATTTCCCAAGAAAAATGAAATGCACATCCACCCTGACATGAGCCAGGTAGCCTCCCTCCTCACCCAATCAGGGCATCTTCAGGAGCAGTGAGTGTGGAGATGGGGTGGGAAGATGGCTATGCTCCCTTGGAGCTGTGTTCACAGATTCTGCAGCAGCTCCAAGTGGAGGACCCAGGCACAATCAGGGGACTTGGGCAGAACAAGCTGCTGGTCCAGCCCCTAGGACAGTAGGAAAGTGGAGGAGCTTGAGGGGGACCTTGAGGGACCTTGGAGACCAAGTGGCCATTATGTCACAGCCCAGCAGGTGAACTCCAGTATGGGAGAGACAAAAGCAGGTAAGGGTGAAGGCATCCTCTTCCTGCTGATGGGTTCCCATCCTGCACGTGAGGTCATGGTTAAGAGGAAGAATGACCACTGAGTGTCTTCATGTACAAGATGAGATGTTCTGTTGCTGCTCTCAATGATCCTGTTTTATTTAGTCCTCATAACGAGCCCATGAGGTAGGTTTTATTACGCCCATGTCACAGGTTCACCAAGACCAGGCTCTTGAACCAAGTCCTTTGCCACCAAATATCAAGTCTTAATCATATATTGGTGATCTTTTTAAAAAACATATTTGTACAGGACTTTATAGCTTATAAAGTGCTCTTACCCATACTAGCCCATTTATTCTCCAAACAGCACCCCTGAGGAAGTAGAGATGATGACATGATGGCATTTTACAGCTCATGGTCGAGTGACCTGTCCTGAGACTTGCTCTAAGTGTGGTCAGAGGACCTGCAGCATCAACATCTCCTGGGAGCTTGCTGGAAATGCAGAGCCTTAGGCCCTGCCCTAGACCTGCTGAATCAGAATGTGCACTTTAGCAAGATTCCTAGGTGATTCGATGTGCATTAGGATTTGAGAAGTACTGACTTAGAGCATCCAACCCCCTCATTATACAAGCAAGGAAACTGAAACCAGAGAGGGCAAATGACTTGTCCAAAGCCATACAGCAAGTTGGTAGCCAACCCAGGCCCATAACTCTGCTTTGTCCCAACTAGAGTGAGATACGAAGGACTCCTAGTGCGATTCCCTCTTTTTCTGCCTCAATACCCACCTTCTGCCCCATCAATCCTCCACCCCCATCAGGCTGGGCAGGCTGTCTGAGTCCCATTCTGACCATCTCTAAGAAGACACCACAAATCCTGAGAACTTTCTGAAAAAAAAAAAACAAAAAAACTAAGCTTCTTGTTGAAGCCTGGTGACCCTGACCATCAAGGGAGCTAGATGGGCCCTCAGAATTAAGCTCTTGGTCAGTAGCACTGATTAATAACTTGACCAGAGCCCTGTTCTGGCACTCTTCCTGTGCAGTACCTCAGTTTACCTTTCTGTAAAGGGAGTAACAGGGGGCTTCCCAAGGCTCATAAAACCACCTGGTGAGCTCTCAGAATGAAAGGCCCCATAGAAAGACAAAGTCCCATTATGTTTTCTTGTTATGTTTAATTGTGGCTGTGTTGCCTTTGACTACCTCAAGACATCCCACTAAGTGGGGAAGTATGAAGATGACAGCCGCCAGGGCTGAGAGTCTGGCAGTTATTAGAGGCTGCCCCCCCACCAACTTCCTGGCTAAGGTGTAACTGGCTTCATAAATTCCTCCTGGTGGAACGGTGACATCGCCCATGGCCGCTTCACTTTTCCCAGGGCTGTTGGGGCATCATTCTTTTCTTGGTGTGGAGTGAAACCAGACGTAAAGGCGGGTGCTGAAGGGAGCAGGGCAGAGGAGCAAGAGATTGGCCATCCAGGCTGCGCAGGAGCCAGCTGGTCCTCACACGGACCATTGCTGAGGGACGATGTCACTCTGGTACTGCCCCCCAAGCCATTCACGAATCTCACATGCCCAACAGGCCACATGCTGAGAGGGTTTGCTGAGAGACTGACAGCTCATACCACATGACTGGGAGAGTTTCAGGGTTAATGTCGCTATTAACTCCCTAGGACTGCTGCAGAAATTAGCACCAACTTGGTGTCTTAAAACAACAGAAAAGTATTCGCTCACAGTTCTGGAAGCCGGTAGTCCAAAATCAAGGTGTCAGCCTGGTTAGTTTCTTCTGGAGGCTCTGGGCATTCCTTGGCCGTGGCAGTATAACTCCATAAGACTGCCTCTGTCTTCACGTGGCCTTCTCTGTGTCTCCAGTCTCCTTATACCTTTCTCTTGGAAGTACTCCTGCCATTGGATTGGGGACCTGCCCTAAATCCAGGATAATCTCAACTCAAGATCCTTCCCTTAATGCCATCTGCAAAGACCCTTTTCCCAGTACGGTCACAATCACAGGTTTTAGGGGTTAGGACATGGACATATCTTTTTTGGTGGGTGCCATTCATAAGAATCAAGTGTCCCTGAAGACTGCATTTCACAGCAGCTGTCTCCAGCCTGGAAATGTCTTGGGGCACATATGGTGTGGCATGGAGGAAAAGCAGTGGACTCGGAACATAGGAAGCACCTTTGAGGCCCAGCTTTGCTGCTAAGTGGTGGTGACTTTGGACAAGCCACACACCCTCTCTGAGCCTCAGTCCCCTCATCCTTACAATGGGATGATAACAGAATGACCACAATTCTCAAAGAATAGATGGGCAGATCCCAGGAGATAAAGGACCGGAAACTACTTGGTAGACTGTAAAGATCCAGTTATATTTGAAACATTATCATGGCCCTGTGTGCAAAAAGTTGAAAGTAAAGGCAAAATCATCGAAACCAGCAAGGAACCCTCAAAATCCTGACTGTTTTTGGAAGTCAGCATATGATTTTCCTTTGCAGCAGTAAAAACAAAACTATTTTCCATGGACTACAAACTTACCTTCCCAATTTCAGTGGTCTCCAGTATTCAAAGCCTCCTAGAAGGCCCCCAAGTTCTGTCTCAACTATCACATTGCCCACCCTCCCCAACCCCTGGCCCCTGTTACCTCCTGCCTGAGTTCTGGAGCTGAGAGCGGTGAGGCAGGCATCTTTGGCCTAAGCTGGGGGTCAGAGTCACCAGGAGAACACTGAGCTGATGAGCTAACCTCTCTTACCAATCCAATCCCAGTGATCCCTGCTTGACTGATCAGCTTCTAAGACAGTGGAGTGGAATGGGGGAGAGAACCGTGCATGATAGAAGTCACCCAGGGTCTTTCTTGGGCAAAAGGGACTCTCAGAGCAGGCCAGTCAAGGACTAGGAATGGCCAACACAAAGCGTCATCACAAGGCCCATTTGGAAAGCAGGAGGGGGCTCTTCCCAGCTCTCCCAGGCTCTGCCCAGGTTGCTGTGCCCCCTACTCTGCTCCCTTGGCAGCTGCGGTGAACCGTGAAGTGCTGAGTCTGGAGATGGCTAGGATGTCAGAATGTCATGGAACCCCCCAATTCCTTGACGGCTCTTCGTCAAAATGGATCCAGGCCCAGCCCCAACCCCAGCAGGGCCTAAAGTCAAGGCCTGGGGGACAGCCTCTAGTAGGGTGATATGACCTGGAAAGAGTGGAGGGGAGCGGGAACAGAAAGGTGCCGAGAGAGGCATCTGGTCCCAGGAATGTCAGAACAGAATACCTAAGTGGAATGTGGATCGACTGCATAGACATTTGTTGAGCCATTCTCATATTCAGAGCACTGTGGCAGGCCTGCTGCTGAAGCCAAGAGCCCACAGTGCACCTAATCACTTAGCATGATGCACTAAATGGCAAAGGAGGCACAATTCCCTCTAAGAGCTCAAGGAAGGAGGTGTCACCCCCAGCTGGGGACATCTGGGAGGGTTGTTGGGGAGATGAGAGCATTTGATTTGGGCTTCAAAGGGCAGAGCCGTGATGGGATTCAAAGGGGCAGCGATGAAGTCGCAGCTGTGTCTGGCAGAGAGAGCCGCAAGTGACCCGTGGCTCCTGACTCAAGCCTGGTCAGAGGGAGACTCCGACCCTTTGGGAGCAGCCTGAAGCCCAGGGCCTTACTGAACACAGATGGGGCAGGTGCCCGGTCCTTTGCTTGTTATTGGCGATCCTAATAAGAAGGCACCTGGCAGAGGCTTTCCGCAGGAGGCCCCGGCCATAGAAATGGGGTAATGCAGACGGGAGGCTCTGCCACTCAGCAGGTTCCTGGCCTGGCCTGAGGTGCTGGAGCATCTTGGCTCACCATTGGTCGCCGTCCGTGGCCTGGCAGGCTGCCTGCCCAGCAGCTCACAGCAGAAACCCCGGCTAGGGTGCCAGCTGCCCTGGGTGTGGCTGCCCTGTCTGCAGGCAAGGGTGGGTGACTCACGAAATTATCATTGAGGCTATACAGGGCTGGGGTTGGGGCTGGGCCCGTGACTGTGAGACGGAAAGAAAGAGTGAGCACAGGGGCCTACTCGGCGCTCTGCCACACACCCCATGCTGATGCCAGCTCTGCGGCTCCCACGGCCTTTCCCTGTGCTGCTGCTCCACCTCCCAAATACCGGCGATGCCTCCAGCACAGGGCAGCGGGAGCAGCACTTACAGGAACCGCCTCTGGGATGCCTCTCTGGCCTTGACTTCCCTTTTAAGGCTCAAACTTGTCACCAAGCCCCCTCCCCCATCCACCTGCCAAGGAAGGAGGAGGGAACCCCGGTCCCCGTGTGGGGGAAGTAGGACCCAGACACCCAGGACTTTGCAAGACCACATCACCATGCCGCTCTCTACTCAGCTGCCTCTTCTGACAAATGCAGGGGCTCCAAGGGATGGGCTCTGAGGCCCCTTCCACCTCTGCCGTTCTGAAGTCTCCAAGCGTAGTAATGGCAGAGCCACAGTTGCAGACAAAAATGCTGGATGGGGAGTGAATGAGAGGCAGGGGCTATAGGAGAGAGGCTGTGAGTGGGACCCAGAGTGGGGTATGGCCCTGCTCCCAGGGGAAGGAGGAATGCTTGAAGACCCTGAGACTAGGAAGGAAGGGCATGAGCTGGGAATTTGGCCCTGGAAAATATGTCAAAAGGGGAGAGTGTGGGAGAGAGGGCAGTTCGATAGGAGGCTAGGCGGTGCTGCCAGAGGAAGGAAGAAGTCCTGCATCTTTATTAGGCACCTACAGTATATCAAACACTGTGTTGGGCATTTTATGTATAATACCCATTTATGGTCATAAGGCTCCTGTGAGATGGTTGTTACTAATCTAATGTTACAGTTGAGGAAAATGAGATACAGACAGGCTAGAGCATTTCAGATCACCCAGCTAGCAGTGGCAAAGCTGGGGTGCACCGCTTGGTCTATTGACTCCAAAGCCCCTGTTGTTTCTTTTGTTTTGTTTTGTTTTTGAGACAGAGTCTTCCTCTGTCACCAGGCTAGAGTGCAGTGAAGCAATCTCGGCTCACTGCAACCTCTGCCTCCCAGGTTCAAGTGATTCTCCTGCCTCAGCCTCCTGAGTAGCTGGGCTTACAGGCATGCACCACCACACCCAGCTAATTTTTGTATTTTTTTTTTTTTTGTAGACGGGGTTTCACCATGTTGGCGAGGATGGTCTCGATCTCCTGACCTCGTGATCCACCTGCCTCAGCCTCCCAAAGTGCTGGGATTACAGGCGTGAGCCACCAAACCCAGCCCGAAGCCCCTGTTCTTATTTTCCCAGTCTGTCCCATTGGGCACACTTTGGAGTCTATGTGAAATGGCTTTTGGTCCCAGAGAGAGCTGGGGGCTGAGCAGGATCCTGAGGCTGTGGCCAAGGCCTGGGGCCCTCGTCCTTCCAGGGGGCCACAGAACAGCACTGCTGGCCAAGGGGAGAGGGTGGATAGAGAGGCAGGCCCCCGGCAGGCCAGTGTTGGGAGACAGAACTAGAATTTGGGTTGGCAGAGGGGCGGGACCCAGAGCAAATCTAGTGCTGACAGCAGCCAGTCGGCACTGGGCTGGGTCTTTGCTGTTATTCATCACCTCCACCCCACCCACCCCACCCAGAGAGACCAGAAAGGCAGCTCTGAGAGCGTTCTGGTGTGTGGAGGAGCCCTAGGTGCACACCTTGGCCTTGCCCCTTAGCTGGCCTAGCCCAGCACGCCTTAGACTCATCCAAACCCTCCTTTCTGGGCCTCTGTAACCAGCCTCTTTGCTGTCTCTCTCCTCCCACTGCCAGCATGTACCCCTCAGCTCCTTCCAGAGCAGAGCTGGGTTAGTGTGAATGGGCACAGGCCAGCCTTTTCACCCCTGCCTTCATGGATAGGAGACTCATGGTCACATGCCCTGATTCTCTCACTGGGGTGCTTGCCAAAGGGCTGGGAGAGAGGCCCCTACTGTTCCCGCCCCTGCCCCAGTAGCCCCCATTTCCCTGTCCATGGCTGGGAGCCTCTCTGTGCACTGTCTGCACCTTCCAAGTGTAATGGCTTGCAGTCTGGTACCTGCAGTGGCATATATCACACCAGGAGTCAGGCTGGGAGTCTGGTGCAATCTTGCCCTGGTACCCTGAGGGCGGTGAGGGTCTAGGATTCTGGAAGGAGTCATCACAGGGTTTCTATGAGGCATTGTTTGTCCAGATCCTTGTGAAGATGACTTCCTGGATTGATTTTTCCTGAGATGCCTAGGACAGGGCAGGGGATTGAATGACTTCTTACTTCCTGATGTAAATTTCCCTTGGGAAGTGAGAAGGGCAGGTTTTCTGTGCTCTCGTGGAAGCCCGGTGGGATTGTTCCTGAGGGCATCCCTACTGGCAGGAGGTGAGGACAGCGGTCTTAATGGAAACTGGCTTTGAGAAAGGCAAAAGCTTGGCCAGGATGCCCTGAGCCCAAATCACTCCAGAGACCTGGGAAAGTTCTGGGACATGGCCTTGCTCCAGAGCAAGATGGTGGCTTTAGTTTAACAAAAACATGTATTGAGCACGTGATGTGTACCAGTGTGAACAGTGAGGAAGCAGAAATGAAAAGCACACATCCCCTCCCTCAGTCTGCTCTAGGTCTTATGGACATCTGAGTATGACAAAGTGGCCGAGGGCTATAACACAGTTGGCACCAGGCACAAAGGTCCCCAGGAGGGGGTCTTGAATTTGGTTTGGAGATTCCTTCACCAAGATAGATAGGATTGACAAGTGGCAAGAAGGCAGGAGGTGGGAGGGGCTTGTCACCCCCTTGTTTAAGACTTATCAGTGCTCTGTCATTACTCTTAGAACAAAATTCAAGAGGCCAGGCACAGTGGCTCACGCCTGTAATCCCAGCACTTTGGGAGGCCAAGGCGGGCGGATCACGAGGTCAGGAGATCGAGACCATCCTGGCTAACACAGTGAAACCCCGTCTCTACGAAAAATACAAAAAATTAGCTGGGCGTGGTGGCGGGCACCTGTAGTCCCAGCTACTCGGGAGGCTGAGGCAGGAGAATGGCGTGAACCTGGGAGGCGGAGCTTGCAGTGAGCCGAGATTGCACCACTGCACTCTAGCCTGGGTGACAGAGCGAGACTCCGTCTCAAAAAAACAAAAAAACAAACAAACAAAAAAAAATTCAGGAGTATTTTCTGTCTTCCCAGACGGAAGTTTCCAAGCTCCAGCATGATCCTGCACTGGCCAATTTAATGGCCACTAGCAGCATGTAGCTATCAAGCCCTTAAAATGAGGCTGGTATATTTAAGGAACTGAATGTTTCCTTTACACAATTTGAACTGATTTAAATAGCGGGCACAGAGATGGAACATTTTCATAATTCAAGAAAGCTTTACAGGACAGTACTGCCTGCCTGCCCATCTTGTGCCCACCTGCCTGGTCTCCCTGGTCTGTCTGTTCTGAAGACATGCCAGGTTCATGGCTTGTACACTCACCATTTCCTCTGCCCAGAGCCCTTTCCCTCACTCCTGAGATGGGCAGCTGCCTCTCATGCTTCAAGTCTCAGCCTGTCACAGTCTGGTCACCATGGCTAAAGCTGTCCCTCTCTGCAGCCTCTAAGCCGCTCATTGTTTCCTTCATAGCATTTAATATAATTTGCAATCATTTACAGATCGACTCTTTGTCTATGTCTTTAGAACATATGCCCCATGAGAGCAAGATCTGGTCTTTTTCATCGTTGTATCCCCAGGGTTGACATGGTGATACCAGCCCCTTTAGGCACTCGGTACGTATTTAAGTGACTGACTGACAGTGCTCCACACAGAGGGAACAGCAAATATGCAAAGGTAAGGGGCAGGTGGCTGCATGGGGTGAGTGCTAGGATGAAAACAAAATAATGCAGGAGAAAAGACAGAGGCGATTTAGAGACTAGGGAGGGGGCAGTGCGAGTTCATCAGGGAAGGTTATAAGATTCCTGAGTTGAGCAGCCATTGAGGAGTCTGCTAACTGGCCAAAGGATGTCATCCAGAAAAGCTTTCACAATAGGGAGCTGGCCCCGTGGCCGCTGTCCAGGAAGTTCAGTTGCAGACGGACTGGGCTGAATAAGATGGGGCCACCCAGCAAGCCCAGGGATCCAGGAAGAAAACCTACCTCTTCCACGCTCCTGCGGTGTTTGCGTCAGTGAGGGGCTCAGCTAGAGGTGGTCCCCTCACCTGGGGGGCTGGAAACTGAGAAGGGAGAAGATTCAGCCCAGACACTCTTAGAAGCAGCAGGAGCCCCAGAGACCTCCTCTCAGCCTTCCTTGGGATAGCCCCCACCCACTCCTGGCCCAGCCTTCTCCTTCTCTCCTGTAGAAAATAAGCTCTAGGCCAGGCACAGTGGCTCATGCCTGTAATTCCATCACTCTGGGAGGCCGAGGTGGGTGGATCACTTGAGTTCAAGAGTTTGAGAACAGCCTGACCAACATGGTGAAAGCCTGTCTCTACTGAAAATACAAAAATCAGCCTGGCATGGTGGTGCGCACCTGTAATCCCAGCTACTCAGGAGGCTGAGGCAGGAGAATTGCTTGAACCCGGGAGGCAGAGGTTACAGTGAGTCAAGACACACCACTGCACAGAGTGAGAGTGACAGAGTGTAAATTCTGTAAGAGCAGGAACTTTGTCTTCCTCACCATTGTATCCTTAGTACCTGGGACAAGGTCTGTCACATAGCAGATGCTCAGTCAATACTTGTTGAGTAAATGAACTCATATTTCACTTTTTAATGAACATAGAGATGACAGGATGTGAAGTCTGGGAGCCAGAATGTTGAAAGGGAAATCTGGGTCACACTTAATGCTCTAAGGAGGCAGCAAAGAGAATTAGAAGCCCGTTCATACTCATTCCTTTGAGGATGAAAATATACTCATCTTATTTCAGAATCAAGTCAAAATTAACTTCTTTCAGGATGCTTCCCCCTGATCACCCCCAACACCTTCCAAGCCAAAATTAACCCATATCCATTAGAATTTTAACATCTAAATATATGTTCTGACAGTCACCTGAAAGCATGCCATTTCAGAGCCAGGATCATGTGACTGTGCCTCCTTGACATCTTTTCTTCACTTTAGGAGTGTTAGCCTCCTTGCTGGTTGATTTCTGAGACAGGCCCCACATAGGGTGGGGCTCAGGCAGGCAGAAGAGAGAGAGAGATTATGGAAATAGCATTGGCCTGCTGGCTCAAAACCATATACCTGAGCCCCAAACCAATCCTCCCAGCCTGAGTATATCTCCCTCACCGTGGCCCAGAATGTGTAACCTGACTTCTCTTTCCTCTCCTCCTCTGTCAGAAGGGCCTGATTCAAGATGTCCTGCCCTACAAATCCCCACAATCGACAGAATTATAGAATGTTGGGGCTAGAGTGGAGTTTAGGAGCCACGAAGTTTACCCGCTCTCTTTGTAGATTGGTGCAAGGGACGGAGGAAGGCACTTGTCTAACATGAAGCTAGTTAGTGACACAACTAGATCAGGAACCCAGCTGGCCTGACTTTCGTGCCCTGTGATGGGAATGGATGCTGTTAAAATACCTATCCAGAGAAGGATCTGCTTGTCACAGAGAAATCTCGAGGCGGCAGCCTGGCACTGCCACTGAGTGTCCAGCTCTGGATTGCAGTTGCCTTGTCTGCCTGTTGCCAGCTGGGTGGCCTCATGGAACTTCAGTTACCTCATCTGAAAAAGAAGGGTGATGGTGCCCACCTCATAGGGTCATTGTAAGGATTTAAATGATGTGGTTCGTGTACAGGGCTCAGAACAATGCCTGGTTGGTAGGCATGGTGTTTGGAGGAGCATAGTAAATGCTATTGCTATCAATATGTCAAAATAATGTCAATATTAACATAGTAGAGAAGTAGCTAGAAAAACTGAACTTCATACCTGGAAACAATTTTAAAGATAATCAGTTCTGCTTCCACGGACTTGCCTTTTATAGGAAGATGAGCTACTCTAATCCCCTCCTTCAGGGCCCTTCTATATCCTAGAATAGGAAAATTATCGTTATTTAAAGATGTAATTAACATTTATTATGGCTAGCATATTAGGTTTTAGATAGGCCAAATGTGTGATACAATAGAATTGTATTTTTATATGCTGCTGTGTATACTTTACAGTACATTGGGGCCCTTATATAATCGGTGTGCACTGTACTTTAATGTCCATTTTATAGGACTTTTATAAGGGAAGCTGGATGATGTGGTGGAATGAGCACTGTGCCAGGAGTCACAAGGCCTGGTTAGGATGCAGGCTTTGCCACATATTAACTGGGGCATTGCAAGCAAGCTACCTCC
Source organism: Homo sapiens (assembly GCF_000001405.40). NCBI lineage: Eukaryota > Metazoa > Chordata > Mammalia > Primates > Hominidae > Homo > Homo sapiens. Next base: position 201,281,771 of record NC_000001.11, read on the forward strand.
TCTCCTAATCAGTGAAATGCAGTGCTTGGCTGGATGAAGTCCAAGGCTCTGTCCAGTCCTGGCGGTCTATGGCTAGAGGCAGAATCTTACAATATGAAGTGATAATAGAGGTTTACAGGTATTTTGTACACATCTATGACATATTTTTTATCACATCTCTGGTTTACTTGAGGTTAAGTTCTTAGGAACAGCGCCCTCAATAATAAAACTGTTTCTATTGGAAACTATAATCTGCTTTACAATAATCTGCTCTGCAAATTGCTACTAGGAATACCTTCCTTGGGAAAGCTGGGGCTCCCCGCATGTAACACCCACATCTCAGGAGTTGCGTGAGTGACCTTCATGTACATGGTCCCTGAGACAGTCATTCAGTCTTCTTGATCCTTCCTCGACATAAAATTCCCAAAAAGAATAGATTTCTGATTGTCCTTTCCTCTGTAGATTAGAAGAGCAAACTAAAAGTAAAATATGTGAGCTGTGAGCGGCAGCCTCAAATGACAGCAAGAGTGACGGCTGTGATAGTGTCACACACTGGTGGAGGCCCCAAAACTAAGAAACTGACCGGACAGCACGACTACACAGTTCAGTAATGGATGTCCAGAATGAGAAACCCAGGGCATCAAGAAGTACAGCAAATATGTTCAGTGTTGTTTGCTTTAGGAGGCAAACAGAATGCGATACCTTTTAGAAAGATTTCCATCAAAGTAAATACTTAAAAAAAAAAAAAAACACTCAGCTCCTGTTACACACCAAATTCACTGATGTGGGCTCCCTCCACGCCTGGAGAGGATGCTACATGAATAAAGCTTCACTGCACATGTGTCCCCAGGGGTGAGTGTATATAGGGGAATGCACACAGTGGTCCCAGAATAATAAGTCCAGAGTGAAATTTCAGGGTAAAGCAGCTTTTCAATTTTTCAGTGAGGATCTGGTTAGGATCCGAGTTAGATTTAATTTACCTTAAATTAACTAGCATTCACGTATTCACCTATTTAAAATATTTTTTATTAAGCGCCTAATATTATGTGTGCCAGGCATTGTTTTAGAGGTTATAGTGGAGTTTCAGAGAGGATCCGCTGTTCACGTGGTGTTTTACCGGGGTATACTCATGAACAACAAATAACCACCGGTTTTACCAAGGCATACCCACTGTGTGGTCTGATATCCCAAGTCTGCTCCTTGATGTGGCCTTACTGCCCCTACCCCACTTTCTTCAGAGGAAGCTCCTTTAGAGTAGACTGGGTTACCCCCATAAGATGGAGCACTCCTTTGGAGCAAGAGCTATGGTTCTGCCATCAGCCCGGGAGCCTCCACCGCCGGGGTTGGTCTCTGCTATGACCTCAGTACAGAGGGAGATGGACGCCTGGCTCTCCTGGGCAGCCTGGTCAAGAAAGACTCCTTTCTTTCCTAGAGAGAGGTCTCCCTCGGTTCCTGAGCTGAGCACATGCTTTCTCAGTGAGCCGGCAGAACAGGACAGAGGGGCGTCTCCCTGGGGCCTCAAGGCTTGCGACGTTTCTTGCTCATGGGGAGAGGGAAGGGAGAGAAAAAAAAGAGCGAGCAGGAAGGCGCCCAGCGTCCCACACAGGGGACTCGCAGCCCTGCCCCCAAGAGCGCTGGCTCCGCAGCAGCAGTGCCCTGCAGCTCCGCGTCTGAGCAGCAGCAGCGCGCGGCCCGGTGGAGTGGGTGGTGCAGGGCAGGGGTGGTATATCCTGTCTGACGGAGGGCGGGCCTCGCCAGTGCCAGAGAGGGACGAACCAGGGTGGAAGCGCCAGGAGCAGCTGCAGGGAGCCCTCACGCGGACCACGCACTCTATGGCCGTAGGGAGCCGCTGAGAGCGAGAAGAGCACGCTCCTGCCCGCCCGCTGCACCGCACCTCGCCTCGCCTCTCTGCTCTCCTAGGCCCCGGCCGCGCGCCACCCGCCTCCCGCCACCATGAACCACTCGCCGCTCAAGACCGCCTTGGCGTACGAATGCTTCCAGGACCAGGACAACTCCACGTTGGCTTTGCCGTCGGACCAAAAGATGAAAACAGGCACGTCTGGCAGGCAGCGCGTGCAGGAGCAGGTGATGATGACCGTCAAGCGGCAGAAGTCCAAGTCTTCCCAGTCGTCCACCCTGAGCCACTCCAATCGAGGTAAAGGCTCGGCCCCCGCGTGGTCCGTGCGCCCCTTTCCAGAGCACCCTGGCCCAGTGGCGGGGACCAAGAGACGCACGCATCCCCGGGGATGAGGGGAGGCGAGGGGCTGCCGGCCCCAGGCAGGGTCTACGCACCTAGTGCGAGCAGCCGAGCTCCCAGCCGGTTCTGAGCTGGTGTAAACGCGACCCGAGGCTGGCTCGACGGCCCCGCGAGCTCGATGGCGCGCTAGTGGGCAAGGATGGGTGATTCACCGGGACACAGCCAGGAGCATGTCCCAGCGTGCCAGGAGGTTGAGGATCCCCCGCGAGCGGTTCTCCTGTCCCTGAGCCCTGGGTCTGGACGGCTTTCTCTTTCGGATGCTGCTCTAGGGATCTGCCCTGCATCCTGTCTGGCCCCGGCTGTCCTGGGGCCCATGGTCCCCGCGCTCGCAAACGGTTGTGGGCCACCCTTCACCCTTCCTGGGCTTGATCTCCTGGCCTTCAGCTGGAGGCCGATGCCCAGCGTCCAGGCCAAGGGGAACCCCAGTCCCTGTGGGGCCGCGCATGAGTATCCGCGAGCGGGGTGAGGGAGTCGCTGAGACAGGAGTGCAGCTCAGGAGAGGCGCTGCGGGACGGGAAAGTGGCACAGGGAGCAGGGACGAGGGCCTGGAACTCCAGGGCACTTTATCGAGAGCCTCCTGAAAGAGGCTAGCCTAGTTGGAAGGCCGCCCCAGGGCCAGTGGGTCCCTTGACGACAGGGAAGGGGGTCAGGGATGCTTTCTTTCCCGAATAGCCAATGCAGAAATCCTCTTTCCCACTGGATTCTTCTTACCCCACCCAGCTTAGGTAGAAACAAGTGTCTCATGGGGAGAGTACGGAATGGCAGGTTGGAAATCCCCCCGGGCCCCAGGGAGACCTCCAGCTGAACCCTCACGGGCACTTTTCCAAGCTGGATCCCGGGCCTGGCACCCCCTCCTCCAGCCTCTGAGAGGCCAGATCCCATGACTGGGGGAACCTGGGAGAAAGGGGCAGCACCCAGGAAACTCAAGGAGGAAGGGGCAGTACCTGACAGGGGAGAGCTTATAGACCAAGTAAACACTTTGATACAAAGGATGCCTGGTAAGAATTACACACAAGTGAGCAAAGATTCCACTTGTTTATTTATTTACTTATTTTATTTAGCTAAGTTTAGTAAAATGCTAATAAGACTTTACCCATTACCAAACAGTACAGGTCAACCAAGACTTATGTATTAAGACAGGCCTTAGGAGAGAGTGAGGGGCAGGGGGTAATAAGGTGGAAGGAGACAAAAGAAACCGACCCTGGCCCTTCCACCACACACACACACACACACACACACACACACACACACACACACACCTCACACTTCCTTCTACCTGTGGCTTCTGTCCCCCCACCTACTCCCTAGCCCCCATTCCTGAGTGGCCCCTTGTAGAGCCGAGGGAAGGAAAATGGCCGGCAGAGGACTTCCTGGGCCCCAGACCTAAAGGCCTTTGCTTCTCTGTGTGCTCTTTGCCTTTGTGTGGGCTCCAGGCTCCTCTCGTCACATTTCCACTCAAGATCATGCCACCTCCAGAGCACTTGCCTCCTTCCCTTTTATTTGGTGCCTTGGTAGGTGCCTCCTAGCCTCTTTAGAATTAGGTTTGGAATAACAAAGTGCCCCCATTTCTGGCTACAGCCCAGAGCACAGCTCAACCTACTCTCCTCTCTGCACAAGACTTGGCTGTCCCCTTCCCACTCCCACTCCATCCCAGCCTGAGCTCTTGGCTCACAACTCCAGAAAACTCAAACCGGCCCTGGGTGCCCCAAGGACCCCTTTTTCCTCCTACCTATCGGGATATTGGCTGAGTGTCTGTCAGCAAGAAGTGCACTTTCTGGGCTTGGTCTTTGTGGGGAACTTCTATCTGATAAGGTCTCCTTTGTTCCCTCTTTGTTTTTCCTCCCAAGGTCCCCCAGGGGGCTTCACTGGGGGAGGGTTGATGCTGATGGCTACCTCTCCAGAAACTCCAAGGTCTAGCCCTGTGGGCGTGTCCCCTCTACCCTCAGACTCTGCGGAGGTTCCTAAAGGAGGCTGCAGAGGCATCCTTGCTGGAAGAGGCGGTTTGGTCACTTGGAGCTGGTGTTTCTGGTTTATCTGGCTTAGTTTTCATCAGATTTCCTTGTCTTCTCCATCAGAAACACCCAAACGTCCCCTATTTGCTCTGCGGCCACCTCTACTCACTCTGCTCCCTCTTTCTTATGCTGGTTTACCTGTCAGGAGCCTGCTTTGGTTCCTGGAATGGAATGAGCTGGTAGCTGTGGAAGGACCATGCCCCAGGCGTTTTCCCTCGCCCCCTGGACAGATTCAGGTTCTTGTTTAGTCTCTTCCAAGAGCAGAGTCAGTTTACCTAGGGTCTTCTTGAGCCCCTTGAATCCCATCCAAAGTTTCCCTAGTTAAGAAGGGCCAACCATACCCCACAGGTTGCCTGGAAGAGTAGCCACTGCTCCTTGTACCCCAGGAAGGACAGTCAGGACCAGCCATCCTTGGTCCTGTGATAGAAGTGGCTTCTCAGTTCCTCTCCACTAGTGCTCTTTTCTCTCTTGTCACTGAGGGAGTATTGAGCCACTGAGGACTGGAGGAAGGGCCCCTGGAGCCTGTCACAAAATGCCTGTCTGCACTCATGCTCTCCCTGAAATGCCACAGATCAGACAAGCACCTTGCCCTGGTCATGAAGGCCCCGGGCAGGAAGAAGGTGGCTTCTGTGGCCTGGAGACCTTGCAGAAGGAGGTTGCTCTGAACCTGCCTACCCATCTTGAACTGCCCCTGAAGTATTGCTCCCCTGTGTTTTCAGGCTGTCCCTGTGTGCCTCAGGGTGTCTGGCCTCCTTTTCTTCCCAGACTGTGTGGAAGGCAAGGGGAAACTGAGGGGGATGTCACCACCCAGCAAAAGATCTTTGCCAGGGAAATGACCTCCCTGAGGATGGGGAAGGAAACACTTATCCACCTTCCAGATCTTTATAACTTCACTTGGAATCTCTTCCTAAAGCTGAACCTGAATCTCACTTGCCCTAACCCAAGCGCTCCCCCGCCACTGTGAATACAGATCACACCCAGCTCAGTGAAAGGAGCTTCCTTTCACCTGTCCTGTCTCCTTCCAGGGAAGTCCTAACAACACCAGCACCATTGCCTGCTTTGTCTCACTGCCTGCTTAGCCATCTGTGATTTTTTATTTCAGCCTTTGGCCTGAAATTCTCTTTCTCCCTTCTTCATAGAAGTACTGTTTCCCATCTAAAATTGCTAAGCCTCTATTTCTCTCTGATCAGAGGTAGGGGCTGGAGGCAACATTGAGCCAGGGGAGGTGCCTGCTCCCTTTCTGTAGTTCCTGTGTCTATTCAGCCCTCATCAGGGGAGAGGGGGGCATGCTTGTACGAACTCCGCAGCCTGCACAGTGAAGGAGCTCGCCTCAGGAGCCCCCACTTTGATGGCTTTTTGTATTTGTGTTTGACTATGTCTCAGCATGAGCTTCTGCCCGAGTGTTCTGCTCATTAGAGTTTCTAGAAAGTTGTCCTTTCCTGACCACAGGCATCACTTCTGGGGTTGTTTTCTTGGGACCGAAGCTGAGATTGCAGATGGTAATGGCTATGTGTGCTTTAGCTTGTTCCATTGGCGAAACATACCAATTAAACTTCAAATGAACCAATTCTTGTTTCTTTACAATGTACCTTGGCTTGAAGTTGGAGTTTTAGCCAGAATTTCCGTTGGCCTGTTACAACACATGCAAAAATGCTGGGTATTCTAGGGTGTTTTGCAGCAAATGCTGCTTCTCTGGATCCTGCTCCTTGACAGAGATTTTTTAAAAGTACAAATTCCTCCCCCGACCCCATACCATTGTAAGTATCATTGTGCCAATTGTTCTAGGTTTAGAAATCTGGGAAGCGCTTCTGCGATGGGCCGTGACCCTTACAAGATGTGTAATGTTTGAACAAAATAAAATGGACGAATGTTAGATATCTTCATGTGAAGTTCCTTCTAGGCATACGCTGGACACATGCGCACACATGTATACACACATAGGTCACACATGCATATATGCATGTATACACAATACACCCCACACATGAATCCACACACCCACACATGCACACACGTACACACACATAACATGCACACACTTATGTTATGTGTGTGTACATGTGTGTCCTTGCAGCTGTGCTGTGTCAGGAGCCCAGCCTGGCATCTACCTGGTGTGCGATCTTGGACAAGTCGCTGCCTCTCTTTGGGTCTCTGCAGCTGTCAGAGGTTGGATTAGATCATCTCCAAAGTGCTTTGCAATGGGAACACTCTTTGGAAATAGATTTTATAACTCTCTAGCTCTGCAAACCATTTGCCCAGACCGCCAGCAGCTGTTCTGCCAAAAAGCTCTTCCCCTTAAGGCATGCCACTCATCGTGTCTCTCTCGTAAACATCCTAACATATTAAAAAGTCTTCTCATCCACTCTTCTCAAACTTGGCTACATATTGGAATCACCTGGAAATTTCAAACAACACAAATGCGTGAGTCCCACCCCCAGAGATTCTGACTTAGTGAGTATGAAAGATGGCACGGGCATCAGGACTTCAGAAACTCCCAGGTGATTCTCATGTGTAGCCAAGTTGGAGAACCACTGTTCTAGTCCCTGTCCTTCACTCACACAGATCCAGCATGGGGGAGCACCCCTATACAATGACATACACCCATGTCTTTCTCTCATACACACACACACACGCACACTTAATGTAGTAGTTGCTGGCGAGAGCCTTTGACTCTGAACCCCACCTGAACCCGTCAACCCTTGCCCACTCTAACCCACCACCCTGCCCCCTCACGCCCATCCTGTCCCCACAGGATGCTCCCATGCTCTGCCCAGTCCTCAGGCTTGGTGGTGGCCATGAACAGATCTGCTGAAAGAGCAGCAGGATTGTGGCAGAGCTAGGTCTGAACGCGTCCCAGCAGAGCCTGAGGGAGTCACATGGGCTGGAGAGGGAGAAGAGAGAACACAGGCCACAGCAACCCAGTTTGTTTCAGCATTTCTGTTCAGTACGTACACCCAGGAAAAGGTCAAGAGCCACACCAAAGTGCCCGGTGAGGCTGTGCTGAACTCCTTGCCCTCCCCATCTCCTAGAAGCTGCCGAGTTGGGGAGGCATGTCCACGGTGCTCCCAGCAGCCCAGCAGAGGGGGCAGGAGGCTGGCCAGCCCAGTCCTCCCTCCAGGAGCTGGAACCATCCCGCAGACACAGTCCACTCCTGCCCACTCCGAAACACCTCTGAGGGTATTCTCTCAGCAGTAGCTTCCTGGCAGTTCTTGTTATCTCATTTAAATTCCTATTGCTGTGGGCCTAGCTTTTCTGGGCACCATGGGTGAAAGAGATTTCAGAGGGTGAAGTAAAGGCATTTTCAAGACTAAAAGAAAATGAGCTTCCTTTCTCAAGCTTTTCATGCTGAAGGACAGGTGGGCTTTATTCAAAAGTAGAATATGCTAGAAGAAGCATCGGCCTTAAGGGAGACAGAGTAAGCAAGAATGTGTTCCGAGCAGCTTGCCCTGTGACGAAGGAGAAGGATTTGAGGGGAGGGAAAGTGGAAAAAGCGGATTTCCCTATGACCTCTGTCTGCAGGAAGGCTGATGTCCTGAGAGCCTTCTCTATGTAGAACCTGGGCCTGGGATTGGGGGTGTGGAGTGTGGATCTACCAAAGGTGAAGATTCCTTGCTTCAGGGAGCTCCCAGCTTGGTTGGGGAGACCCAGGCCCTACCTTCTGGGAGGAGTGCACACACACACACACACACACACACACACACACACACAGTGTACAGAAGCCACATTCCAAGGAGCCCACAAGCCAGTGCAGAGTCAGCCGCTGGATTGAGTGCTGACATGGTTATGCTGGCAAGTTTGGAGTGCTCAGAGCTGGGTGCGGTCATCTTTAGGAGAAGCTGATTTTTGTGCAAGGTTTTGAATGCAGGGGGAGGGTTGGAGAAGAAGAGAAAGAATGTTTCAGGTGCAGTAAGTGTGACCTATTTGAAAGCTTGGAGGTGGAAGAGGATGAGTCATCCCTGCAAAGGCTCACCTGCCCCTACTGGAGAGAGATTTCCACTCATCCTAAAGAAGGAGCTGCCTCCAGTTTCAAAGGTTTTGAGGCGAGAAAGCTTGAGTTGCACCGATGACACAAGAAAGAATCAGCCTGTCGTTGTCTAAGGCACCAAAGGGAAGCAGTGTGCCAGGACACTGGTGACCTGAGCGGTAGATTTTCTGAGATGGTTTTACACCCTAAAACGCGGATGTAAAATCAGACGAGCTATGTGGACAGAGCAGGTTGTGTTGCTTGTATACCTGGGAAAGTGGCAGATGCTCTGAGGCACTTGCTCCTTGACCTTGGGGTTCTGTGGGTGGGCAGATGCTTCCTGAGGATGGCACACAGGTTGGGCACACTGTCAGTGTCACCGAGAAGCCACCACATCCCTGCTCATGCTGCATGCACCCATATGGGGAGAAGAGGGGCAAAGCAGATGCTTAGCTGGAGGGTAGGAGTGATTCTGTGGGGTGAGCTGGGAACTAGCCCCTCCCCCATTCCCCAGGAACTAAGAATCCTCCTCAAGGAGGTGGCCTTGGGTATTTGAGAGCTGCAGCAGCCCTCCTCTCTTCCTGGTTTACCCCACTCACCAGGGACCTCTTTGAGTGGGAGGAGAGCCTGACCCCATTCTAAGCCTCTAAGCACCAGGCATCAGAGCACGTTCACCACAAGGGTTGGGCAAGGGAGAAGAGGTCATTGACGCAAAGAGCCAGCTCAAGCCAGTCAGGCCCAGACCCAGCTGGGGCAATGCCCTGAACTCAAGGTCCCAGGGAAAGAAAGACATGGTTCGCACTTCAGAGAGTGTCCAAAGTACATGGTGGTGGAGACTTGTACGGGCGTGAGATGGAGATGGGAGTAGGCGTCATTCATCAGGAAAGGCTTCCTAGAAGTGCATTCTAGAGACATCGGGGACCAAGTGGAAGAGTGAGCTAGCACCATTACACTCATTAGAAGCCCATGCTCTTGCTATTGAACTTGACTTTTAGAGGGCATTACTTACCAGTCAGACACCCCAGGGTCAAGAGAGGGAAAATCACTTTTGTTGTGGGAGCAGTGCTCTTACAGACAGAGCACACCTGCCCCCAGTACTCCTTGGTTATCTGGCACACTGCGAGCTGTGATTTCAGGTGTGTGACAACTATGGACTTTTCCCCTCTCTCACCACCTCCGCCCCAAATACTGTCACCTTCTGCCAGATTAGCAGTGCAGGCAGGTGTGATGTTACCCTCATTCTCACCAGAGCCAAGCAGACCCCAACTACAGATAGGTCTTAGGAGATGCCTTCAGGAACTGCCTGGAAGGGCCTGCAGGCCACAAGTGAGTGACAGTCACACCTGCCTTTACCAGAGTTCATGCTGGACATGGGGACTGGCTTTGGGAACTGCAGGGCATTCTGGCCTCTCCCTCCATGTGTCTGTGTGTCCACTGCCACCTCCATGGCAGAGAGGCCTCTACCTTCATACAGAGAAGAGTGTATGAGAGGGAGGCAGGCAGGTGCAGGGTGTGGCGGGAGGAGATGGTTAGTCTGATGACCCATGGGGAGAGCAGCATCATGCTGACAGGTTCTCTCCCAGAAGACGGGCAAGAAGGCCCTGGTGCAAGCCCCCCGGGGCTGCTTCTCATAGCAGGAGGCCTCCCCGGTGCTCCATAAAGTTCTGTCTGTCACCACCCCAAATTTTCCACCCAGAAGCAGCTGACTGACCCACACCTGACCTTTGGTGAGAAATACCTGCTCACAGGGCCAGATCCAAATGAACTCTATCCTATCAAACCTTGGAAGAATGATCAAAGTGGGCTGGGTGGAAGGGAGGCAGACAAGACCTGGTGGTTGGCCACCTAGGGTCCTGACTATGAGTGTGCCTGGCTGCAGCCCCCTTCCTTGGGAGCACCAGTCCTGAGTGACTGAGCCCATGAGATTGCCTCCAGCCTCTTCCTGATAAGGACAGTCTTGCCAGAGGAGCGGTTGCTGGAGAAAGGTGGAGGAAGAGCTGTGTGCACTCTACAGGGAGCTTGGAGGAAGCCAGAGGTTCAATGGGCCACATGGCAGAGTCCCAGGATGTTGCTCATAGGCGGATGGCCCTTCTGGAGTCAGGGCTAGGCCTGGAGTATAGGGGAGGCCTCTCAGAGGACCCTGAGGCAGGTGGCAAACGAGGCGGTAGTGTGGCCTTTGATGTCTGCCCTTCTTCCTTGTAAGCTGAGCTGTGTCTCTGGAGAGGAGGAGTCGGCTCCTCTGAACGCAGTCAGGCACGTGTCACTATCATCACACCACCACAGGGCAGTGGAACTGTACGGGGCCTATGGGAGGTAAGAGGCCAACCCTCTCTTTTGACAGAAGAGGACACTGAGGCTCAGAGAGAGCAAGTGACTTGCCCAGGTGCCAGAACCAGGACAAATATCAACACCGCTAGGCCCCCAGGGCAAGCTGTGTCTGCCACAGCTTGAGACCCCTAATGTCCATGATGGAAGGGTGCAGAGAGTTGGGCAGCACTCTCTGCTGTGGGCTATGGGTGGTGACCTGGCGCTGGACAGGGGAGGTGGCACGAGGTGGGGATCCCTGCCTCATTCCAAAGCTGCCCCTTGGCTATTCCCTCTACTCCCAGCTCAGATATTCCAGCCCTGCTCCCCCAGGCAATGGCCGGGGAGCCTAAGTGGGTGTGGCAGATGGGGAGGAGCTACCTTGGCTGGGTGAGATCACTGCCCAACTCTCTTCCCCACAGACAGGGTTTCCGATGGGGGAGTCTGACCATCGCTTTAGAGAAAAGGAGTGCATATCCCTCTTAGGAGGCTCTCACTGGATCCCACTCACCTTCATCCCCCAAGGCCATCACTTAACAAGAGTGTGGGCCAGGCCACGGAGCCATGGCTTGCTCTTCGTGGAGCTCCCAGTATAGCTGAGGGAATGGGACGCAGGGCAGAATGAGACTTGGGCTACCAAGAGCAGGACAGTATGTGTTTAGAGGCAGGAGAGATTGCCTTGTGCAGAACTGATCAGAAAGGGCTTCCTGGAGTGGGTGAGGTCTTGAGCTTGGCTTCAAAAGATGAGCAAGATTAGAAGGTAGTGGCCAAGGAGGGAAGGCAGGTTTGGCATGGAGGGAGATGTGAGTAAAGTGGTGAGCCTGTCACCATTGGCCATATTTCAAGGACAGCAGGACAGTGAACAGACCAGCTTGTGCAGAGTTGATGCTATCCCTTAGGGTGTCCCTGCTGGCCAGTGAAAGGGAGATGAGGGGGGTGGCCCCACTAGGAGCCCCAAATCCAGTTCTGTTTTCTGTGATGCAAAGCCACTTTGCCACTAATAACCCTAATGACACTCTGTCCTCCTGCGGAGCCTGTCATTTGTGGGTCTCCAAGCACTCCGAAAACATTAATTAATCCTCACTGGGCCTTTGAGGTTGATCGCCGCTCCCCCTTCACCAGCCAGAGCATGTTAGAGGTGAAAGAATGGGAGGAAGTTTGGTCACTGGTAGGGGCTGGGCTGAGATTTGAATCCAGAGTCCTGTCCTGAATCAATCTCTAATCAGCTGTTGCTGCTGGACTGGGAATGTCGGAATCCTGCCTGTCTCCCCTGAGTGGGAATCTTATCCTTGTGGAACATGGAGTGATGATTCCCTGGGCTGGAATGGCCGTGCTCCAAGGCCCTCCAGACCAAGTCCTGACCTGTAGGTGTTAACCTACCCAAGCAGCAGTGGAGCCACTGGGCTCCCAGGAAGGGGACAGATGAGAGTTTTAGAGCTGTCCCTGCAGGAGTCTGTGGTAGCCCTTCCCTTGGTCCCGGCTGTGGAGGATGTGGAGATAGATGGAGATGACATTCCCCACCTTCTCCTCCAGGAGCTCAGACCTGGTCTCCTCCATGGGCATAGTGGACCTGGATGCAGAAGTGATGCCCTGAGGAACAGGGGTGGATGAAGATCATGGCCATCCCTGTCCTAATCCCCTCCTTTCTCCTCTAGGTTCCATGTATGATGGCTTGGCTGACAATTACAACTATGGGACCACCAGCAGGAGCAGCTACTACTCCAAGTTCCAGGCAGGGAATGGCTCATGGGGATATCCGGTAAGGAACTGCTTCCATCCTAAAAGACCTGGAGTACTTGTGGGGATGGTTTGAGGTTTATAGTGGAGAAAACCGGCACCAGTTGCTAAAAAGAGTGATGTAGGCTTTGGTCCGTGAGTTGAGGCTCATCAACTCTGACTAGGTCTGTTGACTTGGCCATTGTTTCATAGGTGGCTCTCGTTTGGGCTGACTGGATATTTTTGAATGTCTCAAATGATAATATTTTAGGAAAAGCATTTTTAAAAGGCATTTAAAAACAAGTCCATTTCCCAGTAGGTCTGATTTGATCATGGATTTGGGAAATGTTTGCATTCTTGAGGTCTATTAATGGACCAGTTTAGATGTTTCTAGGAAAATCCTAAAGGGTCATCTCTGTTCGTTCTGTGCCTATGGTCAAAGAGCCAAGAGAACATGTCCACTGCATTGACTCCTGCATATGACACTGCATGCTAGAGTGGAGCCTCCCTGACAACCCGACACATTTGGGTTCAAATTTTAACTCTGCTACTCACTGAGATGTGGCTTTGGGCAAGTTACTTCAAACTTTGGGACTCAGCTTCTTCACATGGAAAGTGGATATAACAAAGAACTTCTGGGGTCATTTTCAGGATTAAATGAACTAATGTACATGAAAAAAGATTACAATAATTCTTAAGATTATTTGTTAAATTAACATGGATAGAGGTTATTTTAGATCCTGTAATCCTGGCTCTGTCTGCTTTCTAAGTGATCTCAATCCACTATACTTCATCTATCCATTTACTGAACAAATATTTATTGAGCCCTAATTCTGTGACAAGCACTGCAGTAGATGCTCAGGATACAACCACACCAGCCAGTGCAGGAATTTTCTGCTGCTCTAAAGTCAGGAGTACCGGGCTAGATGACACCCAAGGTTTCTCCTAGCCTCCAAATTCTATGACTTTCATTTACTTTCGCTGATGCAACATTAGCCTGCATTATTCTTGGGAATTCTTTTGTAAGGCCCTCAAGACATTGTCAGATGGGGATTAAAGGCTGCTTCTCTGTGGGAATCTGGGGTTCTGTCTTGGTGGGGCCTTAGGATGAAGCAGCATTTGCTTTAAGACACAGATGTCTCACAGATATCACTCCTGATTGACTGTCAAAGGTCCTGGGTCCTGGGGAGAGGAGAGGGTGAGGAGTTTATAAGTTTGGTGTTCTTTTGTCATTTGCTTGATTCTTCCATTCCTGAGTTCTTTTGGGGGCTAATTTTGGAGGCTATGTCTTTCTTACATATTACAGCTTGGGGATGAAAGGAGACAATTAACTAGATTTGCTGTGAATTTACTTCCCTCGCTTTTTTCCTGATTCTTGATGGCAAATGACACTCTTAGTGCAAAATAAACCCAGCACACTGAGCCCGGTAAACTGACAGATCAAGCACAGATGTGAATAAAAGGGCTTTTACACAAAGGGTGATGACCAAATTGAGAAAATGGCTTAGGAATGCAGCATAAAGGGATTAGATGAAACCCAAGGAAGGCAGATCACTGCACCAGCAGCCGGAATGGATGATTATGCTGACAGTACAGATGGTACGTGTCTTTACTTAAATGACATTACCAGTTCAGAGCTTAGGAGGCTTAGGTTCTAGTCCTAGTTCTGCCCCTCTCTGGCTCTGTGACTTTAGATAGTTTAATTTCTCTGGGCCTCAGTTTTCTCATCCATAAAAAGGGAATGATGATACTCGTGTGTCTACTTCACTCACGGGTTGATATCAGATGACATTAACTGTGAAGTATTATCAAATGGGTAATGTAACCATGGAAATTTGTAACCAAGAACTGTAAAGGAACTCTTTCGGGGAAGGTGTTTCTAAAGAAAAAAAAAAAATCTTCATTTGGCCCATGTTGAACATTTCACTTCTGGTTAATTAACTCAGTCCTCAGTCATCTCACTAGCTTTTAATGCTCCCAAACTGTCCTCACCCCTCCCTGTGCCCATTTCCTGACAACCAGTGAAAATCTCTTTCCTTCTCCCCACCCTAAGACCCAACCCTCCTTACTCCCTCGCTGGCAGGACTGCAGACATGACTCATGGCAGGGTAGCTGCTGAGGCACGTCCCATCTCCTTTCAGTTCAGGAGAGGCTGTGGGAAGAGGGAAGAACTGAGCACACATGAAGATTTGGCAGAGGGAGGAGGCCAAGTAGGGAGGAAGTGGAATAATTGATATTGGAGCCAGACATATAATCAGATGAAACCTGGGCAAAACCAAACGAGGTCCAGACATAAGGAGAAGGAGAGCAGGCGAAAAGGCAATAGAGATCTGTGGCATGAGATAATCCTATGTCCGTGGGATTTTCCCATGGATGGTACAACTGGCACAGGACGATGTTATTCCTCCCCTCTGGTGAAACCAATATGGCAGCAGAAGGCAGGGAGGGTGGGGAGGAGGGTGTAGTTTGTCTGCACAAGCATCATCAGCATATTTTCAGGAGCTTCTGAGAGCTGATGAAGGATCATTTGCTGCAGATACTTTATATTCACTCGGTCAGCCAACTTGTATTGAGCAATTGCTGGGGCACAGCAGTGAGTGAGGTGCGCTACAGAAACACAGTTGAAAAGAATCTGACTTTGCCCTCAATGAACCTGCAGTCAAGTTAGAAGCACAGAGGTCAACAGACAAATAAGATAAAGGCATTAGTTTCTGTACTGGAGCATAACACCAATACTGCCATTGCTCAGAATGTTTCTAGAACCCCTAAAAGTTCAGAACTGTCTTCAGCATCATTTCAGGAGCCAGACAAGAAAACCAGTCTCATTTCTTTATTGTCATGACCTGGGTTTGACCAGAAACAATATTACTCACTTGGAGCACCTCACTCCTCAGATCTGGCTCTAGTTCTAAATATCAAACCATTCTCAAATAGCAAAGCTTTGTCACCTCCTATACATATCTCATTTAAATATGTAAAGGATCTGTAGGCAATTCCAAAAAGAAGGCTCTAAAAATATTTAAAAAGCAATGGTCGTACCTTATAGTTTTACCTTATAGTCTATATCAATAATAGCCTTGTAATTAAAAAACAATCATCATACTATTTATAATCTATGATTATTCACATCACAAATTGAATGTAGAGAGACTTTCTTATAATAAAATAAAACTTAAAACAAAGATAGTGTGACACACAAAAAGCATCTAGGGGCTTAAGGAAAATAAAAGACTGCTCCAAAGAAAGTCATTGGCCCAGTCCATGTTCTGCTCTCTGCTGGCCACCCCAGCCTCCTCCTCCTTCAGGCAGAAGGATCTGCTGGAGGACAATGTTGGAACCTCAGAGCCCCACAGACCTCAGGGAGAGGAAGCAGCTGGTGAGATGGAGCAAAAGATGGGGCAGGTTTTAGCCTCGCTGCCTGGTTTCTCAGCTGCATACTCAGCTATGCTCTTCTGGTTCTCAGCACCAAACCTGTAGAATATTAGAGCCCAACACTGTTTGCATTTTACAGTTGAGGAAACGCAGGCCCAGAGAAGAGAAATTACTCCTTGAAGGCCACACAGCTGGTTACTGGTACAGCGGACTAGATCTCTGACCTCGTAACTCCTAACCTAGTGGAGTTTGTTTTCATTACCCCAGACATTTGCACTTCTTATGACTGCCATTCTGTGGGTTTCCACAATCTCAATATTTGAACGTTACAACTAAACACTAAACACTAAAGTTTAGGGATCTGCAAGACACTCATGAGTCTGAATCCCTCCATTTCCTCCCTTCCCATCCCCTCCAACCAGGCCTACTCTCACCATGGGGAGTCAGCCTAGCTCAAAAGAGGCAGGAGAGAAGCTCTGTTTTTCCCTTCCTAGACTGAGGCTGGGTTCACTTGGGTATAAGCATTAATGGGTTTCAGGGCAGGGTTACCAGATAAAATACAACAAAATACAATAATTGAGACATGTCTTAACTTAGAAATTATTTGCTGTTTATGTAAAATTCAAATATAACTACATGCCCCGTCTATCTATTTGTTAAATCTGGCAACCCTCTGTCACTATGTCTCCCCACTCATTCCTGTGATAAAAACAACACTCCTTTACGTGCTCCTCTCCTAGGCTAGGGACCCAGCAGAATTACTTTAGGCTGCAGCATTTCTGGTGAGAAAAGGAGGATTTTTGTCCCATCTTAGTTGTCCTTGTAATATGTCCCTTGAATATCTTCCTCTGGGTCAGCAAAGACGAGGATGCGGGGAATAGAGAGCTGGAGCCATGGAAAGGCACAGCCCTTCAACTCCAAAGCTGAAAACAGGCCTTGATCACATGGGTTTGTCCTCAGTGAAGCTGAGGCGTGTGGACAATTTTGATTTCCAGGGAATGGTTCTGGATTAAGATGACACTCCTTTTGTCTATCATCTTCAGCTCCAAAGGGTTTACTTATTTTTAAATCAAGAAGTGCACCCTGAGCACTTCTTCTGGGAGTCCTACCAAGTAAAAAGTTCTTAGGTGGCAGATTGCCCTACACCACCCTGCTCAGGATCTAATCAGTAGAGAGGAAAACCACTGAGGCATCATCAGAGGGAGGTCTGGAACAGGGTGACCATGGTGACTGCCACATTGAATCACTCAGTTAAATCCAGCCTGGCATGCCTAAGAGTGAGAACTCCCAGAATATAACAAGGGAGAATTCTGTCTTTGTCTTGGCATTGTCCTATTCATTGACCCCATTTCTCCTCTTTAACGCAGGACTTACTAGCAAATCTTTCTTCCAGCTTCTTCTCAGTTGTACTTGCCTAACTGATATGTCTGTATTTGACGATCCCATTGTGACAGAGTCTTGTGGACAATGTGCTAGGGGCCCTTACCCTAAGGAGAACTGATCTTGGCCACCCTAGACCTGAAGAAATGTGGATGAAGCCTCTGTTACAGATGAGAGGACTGGGGTTGCATCACACTCCAGCAGGGGATGGGAAAGCCAAGCACAGTGCTCCCCAGGTTGGTGGTTCACCCTCAGTCACAGCCATGCTAATCGAGTGTCCACAAGGGCAGAGCCATGGGCCAGGTACTGCAGAGGGGCTGCCGGGGAGAAACACGGTAGGACTCCTACCCTAGCAGCAGCAGAAACAGACTGTCCTTACCAATCCGCAGTCAACAGAGGCCATGCCCAGAGACAGCCCGGAGTGGAGGAATAAGCCCTGGACTTTGGCCAGGAACTTCACTAGCCATGTGACTCTTAGTCAAGTCTGCTCCTTAACTAGCTGTGTGACTCTAGTCAAGTTCTTAATCTAGCTGAACCTCAGCTTGCTTATCTCTGAAATGGATGAAAATTCCTGTCTCAAAGAGCAGTATGAAGTTTATGGATGTGACATACCAGATCAGCAGTGGGAGGCGTGGATTCCAGTCTCAGCTGGGCTGCTACAAACTGAGGGATCTGGAGTGGACTTCACCTCTCTAGACCCTGGCTTTCTCAATTATGGAGCAAGGCAATTGGACTAAAGCACAGCCAAGGACTCACTTAGGGTTGCATGTGGCTTGAGAGCTGACTCTGAGTAGCTACAGGGAGCTAAAGTCTGTGTGCTGGTCCCTCCAGGGTCAGAGGTAGTGTTAATTCCTCCAGCCCAGATTTTTGCTTCAAGCCTACAGATGGATAAAAGCTTCTTAATTTCCTCTTTGCTTTCATCTGAGCACTCCAGGCACCAGGAAAACAGCAGTTAGTTAGCCCTTGCAACAGGATGAAAAGATGGTAGGACTTCATTTACTTTAGCTTCACAGACAGGGAAACTGATGCACAACAAGTAGCTCTGCTGAGTAACTACCCTAACTTAAAACAGACCCAACTCCCTCTTTCCAAACCATGTGTCTCAGCTCCAAATGCCACTTTCTAGGTGTATGAGCTGGGTTCCTTCGGCAGTGCCTGCCGGGCCTCTCGTCTTTTCTTGAAAAGTCCAGGTGAGGGACTGATAGTAGACCACAGCCTCCTACTCCCAGGCAGGCATGGATCCTGCTCCAAGAGGGAGCAATTGATGTGTTTGCCAACTCAGTGTCCCCGCTGCCAACTCATGACTCACCCCCACCCAGCCCTGGGAGATAGGAGAGTCCTACAAGGGCCCCAGGCTCTCACCCCAACAAGAAGAGGCAATGATCCTACTTGCCAAGGGACAGAATGTGCCTCTGAGAGAAAATGGAGGCAAGTGAGCGGGAGCGGGCGGGCCGGCTCCAGGGGCACCCCTCCCTGTGGAAGGAGCATGCCGTGTGCTTTCACAGACAAACTGCTGCCACTGGGACACTCCCTGTATTAAACTGAAGGAGAAGCCTATGGCAAACACTGGTGTCTGGGTACTCCTTGGGAGGGGCCCTCCTTTCTAAGCCACAGTCCATCAGAGTGGCTCTGCTTCCCCTAAGAAGCTTCTGTTGCCCTTAGGGTTGGGCTGAGCTCGGGGAGCTTCCTTTCTGGGCTTGCTCTCCCCTCCATGGCAGGTGAGTTGAGGCTCTGCCTCCTGGCTGAGGACTGGGTAAGCCAGGGAGGCCCCTTTAGAGCCCAGAGAGAATGTGGAGAAAAGGAACAAACATTGGTCTGAGGGCTGGTTTCCCGTGACTGTGTTGGGGACTCCTCTTCTGCTGGGCCTCAGGCTTATCATCAGCAAGACTAGATGGTGGCTCAGACCACCTCCTTGTAACTCTGACGTCTGGCTTCTGTGTCCCTCTTTTGGGGAGAGAAGTCAGAGAATGGCCCCATGTCAGCAGCATGGGCTTGCAAAGGGAGGAGGACACGGTTCCAGTGAACAAATGCAAGTGGTGTCCTCCAAGGGCAAGCTCCAGGTGCAGGAAGTCGGGATCGGCTCCTGGAGGAGCTGAGCTTTGAACTGAGTGTGCAAGGAGAGAGGGCTGCCCTTAGCAGACAGGATGGAGGGCAGAGCAGGAATGCCCCTAGGTCTGGACTGTGGTCTGAGAGTACCTTGCTGACTGTTCACAAAGCATAGGCATCCCCTGCAAGGAGGGCAACTGGTTCCATGTTGCCAGCTCCTGAGGTCTCCTAAGCCTCCCAGGCCTTCATCACAAACCCACAACAATGCTCCTCAGGGCCGAGTGAGCACGCTGGCCCCTCCATCCTCCTGCCCCAGGGAGGAGCACCAGACCCAGGAGAGGGCAGACTCCCACCAGTCACTGTCCTGATAGTGTGGACCCTTGTAGAGGAATGGAGAGGGAAGGCCAGGGCAATTTGGTCAGGATGTGCAGGGAGACTTGTCACTGCTAAGGGACTCAGTGTGGCAGCTGCTTAGCAAGTGGGGAGCACCAAGCTTTGGCAGCCCAGGATGCGATCAGCAGCGGATCCTTCTCAGGATGTCTGCAGGAAGGAACTCCACTCTCCCCAGAGACAACAGAAGCCAGTTCTCCTTCCTTTAGCTTCACTAATCAACAACTAATCTTCCTCCATCATTTCCATTCATGTTGTGTAGAGCTCTGAGTTGATGGCTAGGCTGGGAACACTTATGCTTGGATGGGCCTGGGGCTCGATTTCTTCCATTCTGATGAGATACTGTGAGGCAGACAATTCCCTGGCCACAGAGAATGGAATTCTGTCTTCTCCGGAGAAGGAAGCTTCTGGATGAGTCGGCTGTTGCTCTCTCCCCTTCTCCCCTAATATGAAACTTTAGAGAGAAGATTTGAAGAATCAAGGATAATTATAAACTTTTTTATTTTGCCCCAGCAGAAATTGGTGGAGTTTCATTTTGGGCTTTTTTTTTTTTCTTTTGGCCCTGACAAAAACTAATCTACTCAACCAACCAGTATTTAAAGTCCTTACGCTATAGTTGAAAACAAATAACAGACAAAACAACAGCACAAGAAGATATAATTAAAAGCTAAATTTTGCAGCACACGCTAACTTAAACCTCTCCAGGCCTCGGTTTCCTCATCTGTCATTGAAGGCGTGGGACCAGATGACCTCCAAGCCTTGCTTCCCCAGCTTCAGTTCTGAGTCTTGGACATCTGGGGAGGGGGTCTTGGGTTCTGGATGAGCCGCAGGTGGTGGCTTTCGAGCCTGTTTCAGCTGCGCTGTGTCCTCAGTCAGCTCTCAAGGGAGAAGTGCTCCAACCCGCGGCACCTGGTTATTTAATAATCCCTTGAATTAGTGTAGCATTTTGAACTTGTACAAACTGCTTGTGTTTTCATCTCCTGACTTGATCCTTCAGTCTTTGTGAGCTCAGTAGGTGGACCAAGCTTTGTTATTCTCATTTTATTTGCAGGGAAATCAAACCACAGAAAAGTGTAGGGGCTTGCCTGTGACCTCACAGATAGATCTGGCAGAACTGAGTCTGGACCCCAGTGGACTTTGAGCGGGGTGTGAAGAGCAAGAGGAGGGAGGGACCTAGAAGGGCAGGGGGAGAAGTGGGCCAAGCCTCTCCTGCTGGCCAAGTTTCGAAGCCAGCAAGCAGGGCATGGGATTAAGTCATCAAAATACAGTCCTGGGGGTATCTTCTGGTGCCTTATTTCTGCTTTGAGAGTTTTCCTTTTGTCACTAGACTCAGCGAGACAAATGCAGCAGAATTTCCCAAGCGGGTGGAAGAGCCGTCCCCACCCTTTGCAAGGGTGAGGCTCTACTTTCTCCCCCAGGGCCCTGGCATGTCTCTACGGAAGCCTGCCTGCCCCAGGAGAGCAAACTCAGCTGAAAACAAAATCAGCTCAGGCACGGGGAGGGGACGGGGGATCTGTAGAGACACAGGTGGGGAGAAAAGCAGCTCTAGACCCGGAGCCCCTCCCCTCCCGCCCCCACAGCGTGCCCAAGGGCGAGGCCTGGAAGGGGATGAAGACAGGCTGGGAAGGAGGCCGCTTGTGACTTCAGCAAGGGGTGAATCACAGGCTGCCGAACTGCCGAACTGCCTTCCTTCAGAAGAAGCCTTACAGGGCATGCTGTGGTTGGGGAAACTGAGGTTCAGAGAGGCGAGGCGACGGCCTGAGGCTGCACAGCTAGGCAGGGGAGACCAAGACTGGAGCATGGTCTCCTGACTCCTGGCTCAGGGCTCCTGGTCACACTGGCACATCATGGTACTTTTGCCACTACGGGCAATCATGTTTCCCAGACATTCGTCATTTGCATTCTACTGTCACAATTTTTGCAAAATCATACCAACTATTATTTACTTATTTTTAAGGGAATTACTTATCAGTTCCACTGCACTTATTTATTTATTCATGTATTTATTTTAGAGACAGGGTCTCACTATATTGCCCAGGGTGGTCTTGAACTCCTGGATTCAAGCAATCCTCCCGCCTCAGACTTCCAAGTAGCTGCAACTACAGGCACGTGCCAGTTTTAGAGATGGGGTCTCACTATGTTGCCCAGGCTGGTCTTGAACTCCTGGGTTCAAGCAATCCTCCCACCTCAGACTTCCAAGTAGCTGGAACTACAGGCATGTGCCACCATGCCCAGCTATTCCAATGTATTTATTTTGAAAGGAAACTTTATATCACTCACCCAAATGACAAAAACCGGTATCTTTTGCCACAAATGAAGGCTAACCACAACCTTGGTAATCAATTATAATAAATAGAATAAAAACATAACATTAATTCTAGCTAGGTACTTTTACCTGGCAGAAAAGTTTTATTTTTTTGTTTGTTTGTTTGTTTTATTTTGTTTTTTCTTAAAAAGAGAGGTTGGCAAATATTAAATAAATATATTAACACCCAGCTAGACTTTCTCCCTGTGGTAATCAAAATGGGAAAAAGAAGTCCTTTCTATGAGTTTCAATGTTAGATATTGCTGTGTCCTTGATTTCCCTGGAGTCACCCCACAGCCACCAGTAGTGTGTTGCCAGCACTTGGGGGAGATTCCGGGTCATATGCTAATGGCTCAGGATAATTTTCCCAAAGCAGGCAAGGTAGGAGAGCTGAGGTCCTAAGAGCAGAGCCATGAAGTAGAGCCCTCTCCCCTCACCGAGGTGACCTGCCCCACGCCTGGCTGAACACTTTTTTAACTGGCACATTTAAGGTGGATGTTTCTGACTGAGCACCTACAGTTCTCTGGACTCACCAGGGTCTGCTGGGTGCTATGCCCTGTGGGAGGATTGCCCTCTGTGGCCAACCTGGAGAGGGCCCCCAGGAAGTCCCTAAGCTTCTTTCATATCTACCTAGGGTCCTAATCAGCTCTCAGGAGGCCCCACAGTGCTGGGATCTGAGTTGGGGTGCTCACGGGTAGCCAGGGACCCATTCCTCCCTCCTCCTCCTTCCTGGCCACGCCAGAAGCTCAGCAAGACTGAACTAATTCCAGAAGATCCAGGGCTCAGCTTCAGGTACCAGCTTTAACACTAGTCCCTGTTTTCTCAGCCCCAGTTGTGTGTGCTCAGTGGTGCGTTTAGAGTACCACTAAGGGTGGCTGGAGAGGAACCAAACAGTCACATTCCCATCACTCACTGCACCTTCATTCTCATGGTCCTGGCCAGGACAGAACAGTTATCATGA
Organism: Homo sapiens; assembly: GCF_000001405.40. Taxonomy (NCBI): domain Eukaryota; kingdom Metazoa; phylum Chordata; class Mammalia; order Primates; family Hominidae; genus Homo; species Homo sapiens. Next base: position 201,304,457 of record NC_000001.11, read on the forward strand.
CCACAAGGTCTCCTTGCCCACAGGCCTGGCATCCCTTGGGACAGATGGTCTTCCAGCCCAGGTCTTTGGGCATTAGAATTGTGACACATAGCTAAGCAACTACACACTTCTTAAATGTCTTCAAGAACCTCCCACAGTTGGCTCAAAGAAGAAGGGCTGGCACCTCCTGTGTCTAGAACCACTGGGGATGGGGTCTTCCAGGAGTCGGGGCCAGCAACTGGCCAGAGATGCTAGAGTTTCTGTAGAGGGCCCCCTAGCTATAGAGACTCTTTGCCCTGTAGGCTTTGTTTGTGTCACCAGACTCTGGTAGCAGAGTGGCTGGAAGAAAATCACTGTAAGAGACACCAAAGACCTGAGTCCTGGCTTAGGGTCTGCCCCATCTTAGCTGCGTGGCCTTGGACCAGCCTAAAGTTCTCTGAGCTTAATATGCTCACAAACAGAACAAAGCTGCTGCTCTCTGCCCTGCCACCTCATTGGCCAGCTGGGAGATAATCACAAGGTGATGAACGGGGAAGCCCTCTGCACACTGGGAAGTGCCACACCAGTGATGGTGTTCAGGATATGCTCAAGCAACTTCCAAAGACCTTCCCTACCTGAGTCCACTTTGGGCATGGGATGTGTGTCCCACGTGGGCAGGTGGGGAGTGCATATAGAAGTGTGTGTCCGTGTGTGTGAGCATGCATGCACGCATGCTTCTCTTCCAAAGGTGAGATCTCTTACCCAAGCACTGAAGGTCCCAGTCAAGTGTCTCTCCCTTCATGTAAAATTCTTGACTAACAGGCCAGGCACAGTGGCTCACACCTGTAATCCCAGCACTCTGGGAGGCTGAGGCAAGAGGATAACTTGAGGCCAGAAGTTTGAGACCAGCCTGGGCAACATAGGGGGACCCTGTCTCATAAAACAGTTAAAAATCAGCTGGGCATGGTGGTGTGCACCTGTGGTCCCATCTGCTTGAGAGGCTGAGGTGGAAGGATTGTTTCAGCCCAGGAGGTCAAGGCTGCAGTGAGCCATGATGGCAGCACTCCACTCCAGCCTGGGCTACAGATCTGTCTTAAACAAGCAAACAAACAAAAACTGTAACCAGCAGGAGTGGTTTCTTTCCACTGTTGGGTCTCCAGGGACCTCTTTTCTGGGCCAGGTAAGCACCTGCCCTTCAGGATGCTGCCACCTCCCAGCCTTTGGCCCTCCTCTTCCCAGGGCTGGGAAGCACCTCCTGTTCCAGTGCATGGGGTGGCTCTGGGGCCAGCCAGCCTCTCCCTCCAACTTCCCAGTATAGGGTGGGGGGCATCTGGCCCAGTGGGATCTTCCTGACCCTCAAGGGTGCTCTTCTGAGGTGCTGGCTCGTCATCCAGGACTCCAGGAGTTATTTCATATCAGAACGGCCCCCTCAGCTTTCCCTCTTCATGATGAACCATCACTGGGACAATTGAACCAGCCTCTGGGTTTGAAAGCCAGGAGCTATGACCTCAGAACATGGAGCTCCTGGAGGGCAGAATGACCATGCCTTCCACTTCTCTGGGGCCATGGAAGGGAGATGGCTGAGGGCCAGTGGTCCTCCACCACTCGGGCTGTGAGAGCTGCGTCTGAAGTGGCAAACGCCTGCCAGGGATTTCCCTTCCAAAAGGAAACAGACAGGTCTGTGTATGAAACCTTAGGTTCTTGTTTCCAAACCCATCCTAGCAGTGTTCAGAGCTGAGAAAAACCTATTTCTCAGGTGTAGAGGGGGAAAGGTAAAACAGAAACATTTCGGAAAACCTGTTTTTTCCACAGTGCAGTAAATAGGCAAGGAGCAGGAAGTGGAGACAGAGCTGATGCAGGAGCTGGCATAGTTGCGTGTTGATGGAGCACCAGGTGTCGGCTAGGCGCTGGGCTGCACAAGTGCGTGTTGTCCCCACACCAGGCTTAGGAACTGCCATGGACCTGACCTTTGCAGGCAGGCTTAGAGCCTGGAGCCCAAGAGGCTAAGATGCCTTCTTTATCCCAGAATTGTGGCCTCACTGGAGAAAGAAGCATCTTCCCAAAAGACCCGCAAGCTACAAAGTTTTATAGGATATTTTCTACTTAGAAAAGTTGTCCTCAGTTATCCATAGACATTTGTTAATACTGGCATGATTGAAGTATGCTCACAGTTTCTGCTTTTCAAAGCTTATAAGGGATACTGACCATTATTAACCAGATCTCTGGGGAAGTCTCTACTCTGAGGATGGGCACCAAAACTTTTACTTTTTTTTTTTTTGAGACGGAGTCTCGCTCTCTCACCCAGGCTGGAGTGCAGTGGCGCAATCTCAGCTCACTGCAAGCTCCACCTTCTGGGTTCATGCCATTCTCCTGCCTCAGCCTCCCGAGTAGCTGGGACTATAGGCGCCCACCACCGTGCCTGGCTACTTTTTGTTTTTTTTGTATTTTTAGTAGAGATGGGGTTTCATCGTGGTCTCGATCTCCTGACCTCGTGATCCGCCCGCCTCGGCCTCCCAAAGTGCTGGGATTACAGGCATGAGCCACCGCACCTGGACTACATTTTTTTAACATTTAAAAAATTCAGGTGGCAACATGTACCTGCACTGGGCATCAAGGTGTTTATGGCTTCTGCTGTGCCTTCTCTCAGTGGACACTTAGCGACTTCAGTTCAGTAGCACTTAGCAAGTACCTTCTGGAGTTCTCACCTGGGTGGGCACTGCTGGTCTCGGGGTGCTGGTGATGGCATTGTGGGTGCAGCTCCCTCTGCCTTTGAGGACCCACAGTGAGGCACACCCACCACACTTCCTCCAAGGCCAAATGGGATTGCTCTGTGTCCAGGCGTCAAGGCTTCTGAGCAATGGGGCTGCTCTGCCCAAAGCAGTGTTCCAGGAAAAGAAAGGAGGGCCAGCCCAGGGTGGAACCCCCTGCTTCTCAGAGAAGGAGCCGTGCCCAGAGAGGTCAGGAGGCAGGGATCGACACTTCCCCTGCTGAAGTCCCATCTGTTGTGACTCAGGCCTCAGTGGTTCCCATGCTGACTCAGACTGCTGAATAAGCAGGCACCCCTACCCCTTTGGGAAGATTCTCGACCGCCTGGAGCCCTGTGTGCCCCATTCTCGGCAGCCTTGCTCGGGGAGCACCTGTGCTCTCCAAACCCCTAGAGAGGGTAGAGCAGAGCCGCTAAGCCACTTGCGAGGTGCCCCTTGTGATGGGTCAGCTCTGCCCAATATCCCAGTCCTGACTGAAATCCCAGCAAGATGAACAAGGGTCACTACATGCCTACTACATGAGAGCCCCTCATCTGGGCACTGAGTGGGGAGTGGCAGGTACTAGGCAAGTCGCAAATGGAACCTGTCTTTGAAAGACTTCTAATCAAGGTTCTTTCTCCAGCAAGCCCTCACCAGGCCTGAGAGGCACGAGGACTCCATGAAACTGTGCGTGCACTCCCTTTCATGAAAAGGGCCTTGGGAGATCACGCTGCTGAAGATGGCCCTGTTGGACACTGCTGGGTGTGTGACTTGGCAAGCAGACCAGGGTGTGTCTCGCTGGAGAACCGGTTTGGCCGGCCCCACCCTGCTGGCAGAAGCTTGGTTTCAAAATGGGCTAATAGCTGGGGACACAGACACTCTTTTCATCATACCCAGCTCCCAAGGAGTCCAGCAGCTTCTGTCTGTCCAGCTAGAGTTGGATAGAATTCTCTGGGCTCAACCACCCAGCTGCTTTGCTCAGGTCAAGCGGTAAAGGGAAGCATTCTGGACATCACAGCTGGACCCCATGCCGTGCACCGGCACAGGCTGCCTCACCCTGCCTAGAACGGCCCTACCTACCGCCAGCCCACTTTACTCATGGTGCCTTCTCTCTCTTCTGTGCCCTGGAGGCCATGGGAACTGCAGTGCTGTCAGCATCCTGAATCTCCACCCCTAGCACAAATTCTCACAGTCACAGTCCACCTTTCACTGAGCTCTTGCTGTGAGCTCAGCCCTGTTTTAGGCATCTTTGCCCTGGAGAGCTCAGGGAAATGACAGAAACCTACATTAGCAACTAGAAAACAAACAAGACCAGAGGCCCCTGGCTTTAAGGGCAAATAATTCCAACTCTGGTCATTATGGAGACAGGGCTGGGTTAGAACAGGCCTTTTGGAGATGACAGGTGGAGAAGAGGCCTTAGATAAATGTAGGATTTGGGAGGCTGCAGGTGAGGAAAAGCTGTCCAGGGTGGAGGAGCATCTGAACAGAAGCAGGGAGCCTGGGATGTGGCTGAGGTCATGGGGCAGCTTAGAGGGGTGTGCTGGGGAGGGGAAGAGATGGCTGGACAGGCAGGGTGGGGCTGGGCTGGGGAGTTTGTCTTGTAAGGAGCAGACACTGTAGGTTCTCCAGCACGGCAAGAGCTGATGAAAGCTTTCCCTAAGGAAGGTGGAGTGATGGCATCGCAAGGCAGGGACCAGAGCCCTGGGGGCTGGGCAGGGGCCAGTGGGGGGCACTGGAGTGGCCTGGTGGTAAGCTGATGGGACCCGGAGTCAGAGCCTGGGCAGTAGGGGTGTAAAAGAGGGGAGTCAGTAAGGACTCTCTAATGGAAGGACAGGAGGATGCCATCTCTTTTTGAATGGTTAGTTACTGCCCTATCCGATGATTTGGGCAAGCTGGAGCTTTTCCAGCTTTGGGGGCCACTCCACACTGAATGGCTCTCTCAAGGGGCAACTGGTCATATTCAGTTCTTTGAGGCCCTGGATCTGGGGCTTGTATTGCTTCACTGAGACTGTCTCCTTGCCTATAAAGGAGGGGTTGGCCTCTGAGAGCTTCCTGACTTAATGAGGGACAGGAATAGAGGGGAGCTTTCAGTGTGGGGTTAAAACACCCCACTTCTCCAAGAAGGAAGGGGAGAAGGGGAATTACACAAGCAGGCGGCAAAGCGGGGACTGGCTGGGGGGCTCCTAGCTAAAAGCAGCTTTTCCTGGCTCACCTCGGGCTGTGGGACCCCTCAAAAGCCCCACTGGTCTCCCAAGTGAAGAAACATGTCTCTCAGAATGCTCTGGATTTCTGTCTGGCTGTCCAGTCTAGCCTGCTGTCTGGCAGAGTGACCAACTCTGCTCTCAGGAAATTGAGTTTCCAGCCTCTGGAATGTTCTGATCCATGGGATAACCAGACAAGAGGTTGTGTGTGTGTCACTGTCCTTTGTATTCAAACAGCCAGACGCTGCCAGCAGATTGCTATCTGAGTGTGGGGGTGTGGCTGGGAGAGCCGGCATTGGCGGTGAAGCTCTCCCACCTGCAGCGGGCGCACGTGCACTGCCCGTGCATCCTCTTCTGGCTGCAGCTGCTCTCTCGGGACCTGGAAGACAGTGTTTGGAAACGTGTGGGGACATTTTGCAATGACTGTGAGGCATTACTAGCATTTAGAACCTGGAGGCTGGGGCACTAAACATCCTGCCATGCTTGGGACAGCCTATACAAAGAATTGTCCTGCCTCAGGTGCCGACAGCACCCAAGTAAAGAAACACTGCACCATTCATCATAAAGCCTGGCTTCACTCGAAGTGCCCCATCTGGGCAGACCATGCTCCTCCACTTTTCTGAGACATATTTAGACCCATTCTATGTCTGTGGGGTGAGACTAGCACGGGGCTCTGATACTGGTGCATACACTTTCCTGGGCTGTCTTGGCTTCCTGGGTTCATCCTCTCTCTTATGACACCTGGTATCCCATTTAGGTATGTCACAGGTGACATAAAATCTCTCCTTTAGGAGCCAAGTCCTAAGGCAGCCAGCCTGTGCCCAATCTAAGAGTCAGAGGGATATGATGTCCCTACCGAGCAAACACTCATATCGTGGACTGTCCTGAGTGCTTTACTAACATTAGTTCACTGGATTCTCCCAACAATCCTCTATGTTGGCTACAATTATACTAGTTTTACAGATGGAAAAACTGAGGCACGTTGGGCTTAAGTAATTGCCCAAGGCCACCCATTGGGCAACGACAAGGCCAGGCAGGCTGGCTCCAGAGTCTGTGTTCTTGACCTTGGGTCTTCCTCCAGTTTGTAGATCTCAGCCCAGTGAGCTGGAGGAAGCACCTGGATTCCCAGGCAGTTGCTGCCGTTTCAGCCTTCAAGGCTGCAGGCTTCATCCAGGTCCCAGGCCAATTTGTGCAGGGAGAGCTGGTGGCAGTTCACCTCCTTGTGCCTTGGAGGGAATCCAGGCCCCCTCATGGTACTTGGGGAGGACGGGGTCTGAGAGGAGGCTTTACTCCTGCTTGTCAAAGTGACAGCAAAGGGCCATGATGATGGGAGAGAGTCATACCCAGCTGTCCTCAGGCAGCACAGCCCACCAGCACCATGACACTAGGAGCTGGGGTGGGGTTCCCAGGAATGGGTGACGCCACTAGGGTGTGGCTGATGGTGGTAGGCTGGGAAATGCAGTCCCACGGGGATGTCTCTGCCTTCCCCACCTTGCCCGCTCCCCTGCAGGTGCAGCCAATGCCCATTCCCTGTGGGCAGCCCACCCTTGCTGAGACTTGGCAAGGCTGCCAGCTGCTCCTTTTCCCAGCACAGGAAAGCAAAGCCCAAAGCCTCTGAGAGGCTCAATCAGCATGATCACATGTTTGCTGGTTTTGGGCCAGGATGAGTGTTTGGGCTTCTCATTAGGTGTCTGAGATGACGTCCAGGCGTGTCGTTTATGGAGAACAAGGGTGCTCCTTGTTGCATTTCCATTTAAGGCTTAGCTGGCTCTTTGCCCTTTGGCAATGCTGGGCTTCCCCCTCCATGTTGTCATCTGCCACCTTCCTTCCCCTGAGAGGAGAATGGAGGGTGTGGCCATTTGTAAAGGCTTTCATGGCATATTTTGCCTGTAATCTGCAGGACACGCATTCCATACCCAGATGCTCAGAAAATTGCCCAGCTGCTCTCCCCATGCCTTGTGATTGTCCATCTATGCCTCTCCCAACAACCAGACACCAATTCTCTTTGGAGTAGGTTGGTTGACCCAGTTTGGGGAAGAAAATTATGCCTGCCTGAGTGCACAGCTGGGCGTGTGGGTGAAGGGGATGAGCAGGCTATTGCCAAGGTTAACAGTCTGTGGCTTCTGAGTTTTGGATGCAACTTCTGACTGGTGGTTTGACACCCAGTCTTTCTGGGAGCTCAAACCATGGGAGTTTCCTGCTGTCTGTGACTCCCTGCAGAGATGAAAAAGGACCAAGTCGAGTGCCAGCCCCTCCCCAGCTTGTGTGGCTAGATCTGGTGCAGAAGGGAATTACCCAGTTGCCTAACGACCTCCCCTACACACACATACTCTCTCTCTCTCAGGGAGGGGCAGGGGTGGGCGGGCAGGCCCTAGGTTGCTGGGTTTGGCCCTGGCCCATCCCAGCAAAGGTGAGTCCCAAGTCAGCACCTGTGTGGAGATGTTTTTTTATCATACTCGATGTTGATCCTCTACTATGAGAACAAGTTGGAGCAGGCCAGACCCACCAGCTTGTGAGCTCCTGGGAAAGTCCTCCTCGGACAGTTCTGTTCCAGAACTGATTCGCACCAAGTCTCCAACCTCACAGGCCCCTCCCAAGGAGGCCGACTCCCCACTTGGGCTCACACAGAGCTCATGAGGCACCTCATTGTCTGTTGTATGTTTTTGTGCCGGATTGAGCCTCTGCCCAGCTTCTCCCCATTGCCAGCCTGACAACAAAGCCCAGGAGGCCCTCCCTGTACCCCACCTTGCAGCCCCAGGCCTGCCTCCATGTGTGCACGCAGGCCCCTAGCTCACAGTCCCTTGTAAAAGGGCCCAGGGAGCAGGAATATTGTCCCTCTTTGGCCTTTGAGGTGACCTGTTACCCTTTGCTTCTTGCCCTGGAAGAGGGGAGGCAAGATGAAGAGTTTAGCAGAAAAGAACAGTAGAAAACAGTCCTGGCCAGAATAGAAGTTTCTGTGTGCTGAGTATAAGGGGCCCAAGAAGGCTGGCTGTGTGAGAAGCTGCTGGTGTCTGGGAATGGCATAGGGCTTGGAGACCCAGACTCAAGTCCAGGTTTTGTCCTTTCCTCACCGAGTGACTACTAGAAGGTCACTCTTCTCTGGGCCTCCAACTCCCCCTCCTGGACTGTACCATGTGGGACCAGATCAGAGGTTGTCAAACTTTTTTGACAGCAATTCACAGTAATAAATGCGAAGGATTGTTCTGCCTCAGGTGCCGACAGCACCCACGTAAAGAAACACTGCACCATTCGTCATAAAGCCTGGCTTCACTCGAAGTGCCCCATCTGGGCAGACCATCCTCCTCCACTTTTCTGAGACATATTTAGACCCGTTCTGTGTCTGTGGGGTGAGACTAGCATGGGGCTCTGATACTGGTGCATACACCTTTCCTGGGCTGTCTTGGCTTCCTGGGTTCATCCTCCCTCTTATGACACCTGGTAGCTCCTTTAGGTATGTCACGTATGTTGCAACCCAGTACCCATACACTGTTTCACAAAACAATGTGTGACTTTACTACCTGCACTGCACTCTGATATTTTATATTCCAGGATATATTATTCTATTCCATCTTTTTAAAAATGATGGCCATAGTCTTCTAAATTGATTTTATAATCCACAATGGGTCACAGCCTGCAGTTAGAAAAGTAATATATCAGATGATGGCTCAGGTTCCTTCCACGCCAAACATTCTGGGATTCTGTAAGCGTTATTATGGGGGCTGGGGAGGGCTGTATCTCATGCCCTGCTGGATCCAGGACCCCCATTTAGGAACCTTGACTGAGCTTTTCTCCCTTTCCCTGGCCAGATCTACAATGGAACCCTCAAGCGGGAGCCTGACAACAGGCGCTTCAGCTCCTACAGCCAGATGGAGAACTGGAGCCGGCACTACCCCCGGGGCAGCTGTAACACCACCGGCGCAGGCAGCGACATCTGCTTCATGCAGAAAATCAAGGCGAGCCGCAGTGAGCCCGACCTCTACTGTGACCCACGGGGCACCCTGCGCAAGGGCACGCTGGGCAGCAAGGGCCAGAAGACCACCCAGAACCGCTACAGCTTTTACAGCACCTGCAGTGGTCAGAAGGCCATAAAGAAGTGCCCTGTGCGCCCGCCCTCTTGTGCCTCCAAGCAGGACCCTGTGTATATCCCGCCCATCTCCTGCAACAAGGACCTGTCCTTTGGCCACTCTAGGGCCAGCTCCAAGTGAGTGCTGCTGGGCTGGGTTGGGGAGCCAGGAGGGCCAGTGGGGAGACACACCCTTAGCCTGACTGCACCCTGCAAAGGGCTCCTGGGATGACAGGAGAGACATAGCTTCTGTCCCTGGGGAGTTCATTGCCCCTGGTGTAATGGACTCCCTAATGGGGAGAACCTGGCCCCATGGGCCCTTGAACTCAAGAAGTTCTTAGTGTGAAGGTGAAACAGACATTGACTGTGTAGGTTTTAAAGGTCACAGTTTATGAACAGAAAGAGGCTAATAGTTCTCAAAGTGTGTTCCTCCAACCAGCAACATCAGCATCACCCAGGAATTTGTTAGAAATGCTCATTTGGGGACCCACCCAGACCTATTGTCTCAGAAACACTGGGAGAGGGGCCCAGCAATGCATATATTAACAAGCCCTTCAGTGATTCTGATTTACACTAGAGTTTGAGAACCTCTGATCTTAGGCATGTAAATCTCTATCCATGTTCTGAAAGAGCAAAGGAATATGCCCCGGTATGGACGACGGGAATAGAATGGGTTTCAGGTTACGTTATAAGACAGGTAAATCCAAAGGACAAATAGGACAAATAGACATAAAAACTGAGGGACATGGCCTGGGTGTGGTGGCTCACGCCTGTAATCCCAGCACTTTGGGAGGCCGAGGCAGGAGCGGGTAGAGGGTGCTTGAGCTCAGGAGTTTGAGACCAGCCTGAACAACATGATGAAACCTTGTCTCTACAGAAAAATACAAAAATTAGCCAAGCATGGTGGCGGGTGCCTGTAGTCCCAGCTACTCAGAAGGCTGAGGCAAGAGAATCACTTAAGCCCGGGAGGGGGAGGTTGCAGTGAGCTGAGATAGTGTCACTGCACTCCAGCCTGGGCAACAGAGTGAGACCCTGTCTCAAACAAACAAACAAACAACAACAACAACAACAAAAACCCTGAGGGACTTCATGGGGCTTCATGATCTACTGCTACAGAACAGAGCACAACTCCTGTGCATACATGTGGAAGGCCATCACCCAGAGGAAACAAAGGAGACCAAATGGGGTGCCCCGTTAGGAGCCATAGACGCAGAGGTGTCGTGAGTGACACTGAGCCTGCCCTTCAGGGCTGGGGGCTCCCTGAACCTTTGAACTGTCCTTCATCACCACCTACTGCTCTTGTTATTTATTTATTTGGCAAATGTTTGCCGACCATCTACTACATGCCAGGCTCTTTGACAAGTGCGGGAGACACAGCCATGATAGGGACAACCCAGAGCTGTTCTGGAGCTACACAATTAACTCCTTTTCTGAGAGCCTCAGGAGCTTTGCATTCTTCATCTTTAATCCTCACACCCGCCACCAGGCAGGCATGAGTATTCCTGAGGAGAAAACAAGGCACAGAGATGTTAAGTAGTTTGTCCAAGGCCACACAGCTGGCTCTCCATCCTGTGCTCTTCCCTACTGGTACCACACTGTTCTGAAAATAAGCAGAACCCCGTTATAGAGCTAGACGTTTCCGAACTACCTGATGGCCGTAAGGCGTATTTAGGATGATCTGGAGAAGAACTAAGAAACCTCTCTGTCTTGGAGGCTGATCAGGGCAGCCTCTGGCTTCAGCTCATTGTCCCAACCAGAGGCCCTGAGTGGAGGTTCTAGGTGAGATATGGAAGGGATGAGTGTCAAGCCATTTTGGGGTGACATTTTACTGATGAATGCAGGGTGACATTCTCTCAATGCAGGCAGCAGTACTACTTACCCAGTGCCAGAGAACTCTGCACCTCGGGTGGTTTTCCTAGAAATGAAGTTGGGCTGCTATAGCTAAAACCATGGGTATTTATTGACCACCAAGTATGTCAAAGCATAAGGATAGGGCTCCCTCTTTGAATGCTGGACACAGCCAGTCACCACCCTGTGACTCTACACCAGGGGAGCTGGAGAGGTTCTTAGAAGAGAGGTTTCCCTTCCCTAGGAAGGCTTCACAGATGTGGGGCATCAGCAGGGCCAGTGGTGTGCCTTGAGGCATGCCTGAGACCTGGCCAGGGTACAGTGAAGGGGACAGTCTTGCTGGAGCAGACCCTGGATAGGGGCTGGGGAATGTTCATAGTGGAGCCGGGTTATTAGGTTAAAACATATGAAATTTCTGGTTTTATGGCTGAAAAAAGGTTGACTACAGACATTTCCTATGATTCAACCTAATACCTGCCCTTGGACATCAGGCTAAGCTGTTTAAACTTGAACCTGAAGTATGGAGAAGCCGCTGATGGTTTCTGAGCTAGAGAACAACACAGTGAACTGGGTTTTAGAACCACTTATCTAGTAAAAAGGGTATGAAATTTTAGATGGGGGAACTTGAGGAAGAAAGCCAAATATGGAAGTCCCTTGCTGCCTTTAAAGTGATCAAGATCAGGAAATTGGTGGCTATAAGAATGGGAAGAAAGGCTAGATGTGAACATTTTTGTGTAAGAGCCAGCTGGACTTGGGGATGGATAGATGGATGGATAAATGGATGGATGGATGCATGGATGGACAGATGGACGGACAGACGGACGGATGGATGGACAGATGGATGGACGGATGGACGGACGGACGGACGGATGGACGGACGGATGGATGGATGGATGGATGGATAGGATCATGGCCATTGTCTTCCATTTTCCTAATACCAGACACAAACAAGAGAGATGGCAAGGTAGGTGGGAAGCTTCCCCTCAGGGAATAGGGAGGAGTTTTTCCTCAGTGGAGAGATAACATACCTGCTAGGACATTAACTGTGACCAGGGGCTCACTATTCTCACATGGGGCAAATCCAGTGGGTGTAGCCTTCCCTCCTCTGGAGGAGAGGAGCTGTTCCCAGGGGTATTCTCCAAGTGGGCCTGGGCTGCCTTGTTCTGGCTCTCCAGAGGGCAGATGAGGCTGTGGCAGCTTAGTGTGCTGGGAGGAATTCTGAGCCCCCTCAGCAGGGCTCCCAGCCCACCCCGTAACCACCCCCACTGCCTATTCTTCACAGGATCTGCAGTGAGGACATCGAGTGCAGTGGGCTGACCATCCCCAAGGCTGTGCAGTACCTGAGCTCCCAGGATGAGAAGTACCAGGCCATTGGGGCCTATTACATCCAGCATACCTGCTTCCAGGATGAATCTGCCAAGCAACAGGTAGCTGGTTGCATACCTTCCTCCTTGGTGGGCCTGCGGAGGGCCTGGGTGTGTCAGCCTGACTCCGCTTTTAGAGATGGGTGAGGGCATCTGCAGTTGGCTTCTCTTGCCTTGCCCAGCTGCCAGGAGCCTTCGCATTGCCCAAGGTTAGAGCTGGGCATCTTAACTTTCTGCAGAGCAAAGCCCTCTGTTTAAGTGGACATTAGGCAGGTACAATTCCTCCATTGGTCATGGAAGAGACTTCAATGCCAGCCACGGGTTCAACAGAAACCCCTTTTCTCAAATCCCACTAAAGAACATGACTGCTCCTCACCTCTCAACTCCTGCCCTCCTACCTGCTTCCTCTCTCCCACTCCCCTTCTCTCTCCAGGCATCTTACGGTAGAAAACAGGCCTGTTGATGCCTCCAAAGCTTTGCTGGCAGGAAGGACACTACAGGGTTCTTCAGTTCAGCCCAAGGATGTAGTGTCAAAAATGAGTTTCCCAGAGTCCCGGATAAGTTTGTATGCATTTCTATGTCTGTGTTCTGCTTTAGGGTTTTGAAATGTATTTACATCCACTCTCTTATCAGGTCCTCACCATCATTCTCCAGAGGAAGAAAGCAGGACTCAGGAAAGAGGAGGGACCCTAGCTGAGGTTCTCCCAGCTAGGATATGGGAGCTAGGATATGGGAGCTAGGATCTGAATCCAGGTCTTTTGCCTCCGGGTCTGGGTCAGTTATCATGACCTCACACTGCTTATTTATTTTGGTTGACTTGAATATTTCTGAACTGATAGATTTTTTGGTCTGAAAAAAAAAATCACCTTTGAGTAGAGAATAACTAGATCAGCCTCATCTCCCTTGACCAGGCAGCGTGGCAACTCTTTCCTGGCAGGTCTATCAGCTGGGAGGCATCTGCAAGCTGGTGGACCTCCTCCGCAGCCCCAACCAGAACGTCCAGCAGGCCGCGGCAGGGGCCCTGCGCAACCTGGTGTTCAGGAGCACCACCAACAAGCTGGAGACCCGGAGGCAGAATGGGATCCGCGAGGCAGTCAGCCTCCTGAGGAGAACCGGGAACGCCGAGATCCAGAAGCAGCTGACTGGTAGGACAACACGGCCACCGAGAGCCAGCCTGAGGGCTGTGCAAGGCCACTGGCTATGGCCCCAGGCTGGGGTGCAAGCCTGTCTCTCCAGGCTGGGCCAAGACACAGCTGTGCAGATTTGGCCCAGGGCTAATATCCTGAGAGTTTAGTGACACTGGCCTTGGCCCAATTAGGGGTGTCCAGAGGGTGACCTTGGGTGGTGTGCACACACAAGGGGTCACCATCTTTTTGAGGTTAAAGAGCAAAAGGAGGAAGGCTGATGTCCAGGCAAGATCCATATTCCACAAGCCCTGGGATTCCCAGGTGATGGAAAGAGAGTAAGACTGAGGGGAGAAGGGGTTAACAGGCCTTAAGCACCTACCCTGTGTTCAAGAAATATGGTAGGCACTCAAGGTGGGGGGCACAAGAGGAAGAGGTCACCGTGAAGACCTAGAATTGGGCTGGGAAGATCAGACCATGTACAGAGTAATGACTGATAAGTATTTCTGGCATAACTTTCAGATGGAAAAGAGACAGCGTTAGAAGACTCCAAGTGCTAAAATTTATACTAAAAACCACTGATCAATCAAACGTTTTTTGATCACTTTCCACATGCATAATTTTGGCCTTGACAGAGAACTCTGAGATGTTCCCTGCCTGCAAAGAACCTTCAGTCTGGTTGGGGCATTGAGAAATAGCCTCATGACACAGACAGACAATAGGTTCTACAGACCAGGGCTACCTGGAAAGCGACATTTCAGTAGGGCCCATTTGCCAGAGTCCAGGCTGGGGCTGTTACCTCGGTCCCTAGGGCATCCTGAGCCTGGCACAAATTGGGTTGATGGTCTCTGACCCCCAGGGCTGCTCTGGAACCTGTCTTCCACTGACGAGCTGAAGGAGGAACTCATTGCCGACGCCCTGCCTGTTCTGGCCGACCGCGTCATCATTCCCTTCTCTGGCTGGTGCGATGGCAATAGCAACATGTCCCGGGAAGTGGTGGACCCTGAGGTCTTCTTCAATGCCACAGGCTGCTTGAGGTGAGAGAAGAGGATACATGGGGTCTTTTTGTCCCAGCCTTGGGCCCTTCCCCAGGCAGCCCCATCTCAGCCAACATTCAGCCGGTGCATAGAACATAACAGACAACCCGGCACTCCCTCTTATGGGCAGGCTCCAAGACACAGGGACTCAGGCCTTCCTAACTTCCCTGGAACTGGATAAGGCCCAGGACCCTACCACCCCCTTTGAGAGAATGCAGCGGACATTAGTCAGAAATCTGAGCTTGAAAATGCCTAGATCTGAATATCCAAACTGGTTCAACCATTTCCCTCCTCCACCCCATGAAAAAAAATGCATTTCTTGTGCTATCATCTTGAAGAGTGTTCTTTTAGACAAAAGTCTACCGATGGGTTGCTAATGAGTCACTTCCCAGCTGTGGTGTTAAAACCATTTGCCATGTTCATTGGCATGAAGATGGCACTGCTTCACCCAAAGTTGCCTAAGTTCCATACCAGGGTGTGGCAAAGCCCCTGTGGGGCTGGTGGGAGGGCTTGTTCTAGAAGCAGTGGTTTACAAGCTGGCGAAATGGGTGGGTGTGGAGGGGCGGCTGGTACAGGGCTTGGAACCCTGGAGCAGGATCCCTTTTAGGGTCTTTAATGGGGTTTGTCTTGCTTTAATGGGATTTGTCTTTCCCAACTCCTGAGAATCCCCCCAGAGTGGTGGGTGCAGCTGGCATGTGCCTCTGTGTCTCAACTTGTGTTTCTCCCTGCCAGCCTCCGGTAGCAGCCTCCAGGAAGCAGAGAGGCTGGGGAGATGAAAAGTGAGGATAATTAAGAGTTTTATGGGGTTGATGTGCTACTGGTAGCAACAGCAGCCACACCCCACCTGCACCAGGCTGATGAGCCCACATTGCTTGGGGATGAGCCCACATTGCTTGGGAGTGAGCCTACTGCTGGGGGCAGAACACAGCTTGGGTGGAGAGGGAGCTTCTGGTGCCCAGCCCGGCCACCCCCAGATCCACTTCTGATCCAGCATCAACAGGGCTTCTTCCTGTCCCACAGAAAGAGACTGGGCATGCGGGAGCTTCTGGCTCTTGTTCCGCAAAGGGCCACTAGTAGCAGGGTGTGAGCCTTGGGATGCAGCTGCGGAGGGACCGTTGCCACATGGAGCCATTGCCAGTTATAAAGTTACTGGGCAGAGTGAAGGAGGAGAAGAACTGAGTGCAAATGAGACCTCATTTCAGCCTCAGCCAGGGCCAGGCGGAATTGGCTAAATGGTTTCTCTTTCCTTCCGTTTTCATCTTTTCCTCTCTTCATTCCTTTCCTCCCTTTCCTCTTCTCCTTCCTTCCTTCTACCACAACTTCCAATCTCCACCCCGTCGTCTCCTCTCTGCCCTCCCCTCTCCTGCCTGTTCTCTCTCCTGCCTGTCCCCCACCACACTCTCTTGTCCCCACCTTCCCCGTTCTCTCTTCCCCCTTTCTCTGCCCTCTTCCACCCTCTTCTCTCCCCCAGGAACCTGAGCTCGGCCGATGCAGGCCGCCAGACCATGCGTAACTACTCAGGGCTCATTGATTCCCTCATGGCCTATGTCCAGAACTGTGTAGCGGCCAGCCGCTGTGACGACAAGGTGAGTGCATCCCCTGGTGGCACCCTGACCCCTAGGCCCAGCCCCCTACATTTTCTGGGTGCCTTTGAGGCCTGGCCCAGTGACAAGACAGGAGCACAGACTCAGGGGTGGTAGAAGAGGCATCTGGATGCAGGGCTCAGTGGTGGCTACAGGAGTGGGCTCTGGGGACAGCGTGCCCATGCAAATCCACTCTCCCTCACTTAGAAGTGGAGTAGATGCAGCTGCTTCCCTAATCTCTCTGTTTCCCGGTTCACTCTTCACTCTAATGGAAAGGGTCATAATCATATCAACCTCAAGGGTTGTCTGAAAGGCTTGATTAGTTAATAAGCAAAACACGAAGAGGGCCTGGCACAGAGGAAGCTCCCAGCGAGCATCTGCTGGCTGTGCTTCATTGGTGGTGCTGAGGCCTGTCCTGTGACCCCGAGCCCTGCCCCACAGCCCAGAGGAATCCATACTGGTGCCCCCAGGGCTTAGTGTCCCCCCTGAGATGAGGCTCCTTCTGCCACTGCTATCTTCCCACTGCCTCCCAGAAAAGCCATTGGCAGTCATCTTGCTGCCCTCTCTGGACTTCTGGACACACAGCACAGACAAACAGAAAGAAAAAAAGTTGTGGAGGGCAGATAAACAGAAGGCTGAGATGTTCCCACCATGGCAGGACAGTGGCTCAGGAGATAGTGAGGCCCAGCAGGCTCCAGATCGCCAGGGAACGGGCTGACATCACAGCACCTGGGTTCTCAGCACAGTTGCCGTAAGGAGGGATTTTATCTCCTGCTCCCTCCACTGGAAGCAACAGCAGGGCCACAGAGGAGAGCCTTGTCACTGGGCTGCTCAGCCTGCTTCCAAAGGGCAAGATGCTTTTCTGCTCTGTGTGCAATATCTCCAACACCTGTGTAACCCCAAGCCCTGGAAGTCAGATTCCCTTAGACCCCAGCAAGGGCCAAACATCATTAGGAGGGTAAATCTGCTGCCCCCAAACCCTAGTCCTTTGGAGGTTTGCCAAAGGAGATTGACAAAGATCTGAGCCCAGCTGCCATGATGAAGCCCTGGGCTCCAGGTGTTGCTGTGTTTTGTGTGGACTTAGCACCGCTGACATTGACAGCTAAGGACTGGCCCCAGGAAGAAAGAATGATGGGGGCACTAGATGGCTTTGGAATCTAGAGGCATGGGGCTTCTTCTGGAGGAGTTTGTTCTGGAAAAAAAAAAAGACACATTCTTCAATATCCCAGTCTGCCCATTGGCATGTTGTCCATAGCAGTCCTACCACACACTAGGCCCTGTGATAAGTGCTTTCTCTGTATCATCTTCCAAATAGCCTAGTGAAATGGACAATTGTAGTCTCATTTTACATTTGAGATAGCTGAGGCCCAGAGAAGTGAGGCCAGTCAAGTTCATGCAGCCAGGAAATGACAGATTCAAACTCAGGTCCCAGAGGTGGCCCTGGAAGACTTCCCAGGCTGATAGTGTGGTGGTGCCTGCGCTCATCTTTCCCGATGCAGCCCAGGTGCCTCTGCTCTCTTATTAGCTAGGGTAGGTGGTAGGCCAGGAGCCTGTCGGGCCGGGCAGAGGCTCAGGCCCATGCCTCTCCTTGGTCCCCAGTCTGTGGAAAACTGCATGTGTGTTCTGCACAACCTCTCCTACCGCCTGGACGCCGAGGTGCCCACCCGCTACCGCCAGCTGGAGTATAACGCCCGCAACGCCTACACCGAGAAGTCCTCCACTGGCTGCTTCAGCAACAAGAGCGACAAGATGATGGTGAGCACAGCATCAGCAGGGCGGGGCCTGCCCCATCAAGCACCCCCCCAGGAGCCACTGCCTCATCTGCCCTTTCCTCTGGGCCCTCCTGGAGCCTGAAGCCAGCCCTAAGGGACAGGCCCATGCTGACACCTTGGCCTGGGGCTCAGGGTGCACTCTGGGAGCTGGGTAGAGGCCATTCATCTTGCACAAGGGGGAATCTGTTCTTGGAACTGTAGGGGCTCAGACCACCTTAGAGGTCAAAAACTCCAGCCTTCTGTTTGCAGGCCTTGGTCTTTCTTCCTGTATAGTGGGTCAAGTCTCCCCCATCTTCTCCCTTGCCCTTGAGGATCTGAGGAAAGCCAGAACTCTCACTCTTTCTGGCCTTGGTTCCCACCATCTCCTGAGCCCTGCCAGGTTTCCCCAGAAGCAGAAGCCTACCAGGGATGGGTTGTCAGGTCTCCTTCACTGGGCCCAGCTGTGGAATCCAGGTCTCAGACCACCCTCTTTGGCCCAGGGTGGGTCAAACCTACTGTCTGAGTCTGGAAGAGGAGGAAGCATCATGATGGGAGAGTCCAAAGCAGCCCCACATATCTGGAAGGTTTGGGCCAAGGCTGCCCTGGAACACAGCTCCCAAGATGCCAGGATGCTCTCTTCTCCCACATCCTGGGACAGTCTGGGGGACCATGGCCCATTCCTGCATCCCATGGAGCTGCTGCAGTGCATAGAGGAAAGGGGTGCAGCGGGGCTGTCCTGGGCCCCCTGCCTCTGCAGGCGCTTCCTCAGCTTGCCCTATCTGGAACCACGACCCTGAGGCTGGGGGGATGGGGACAGAATGCCTGGGTTGTGTCCTCTCACAAGGCTCCCCATTGACCCCCCTGACCGGCTCTTTATCCTCAGAACAACAACTATGACTGCCCCCTGCCTGAGGAAGAGACCAACCCCAAGGGCAGCGGCTGGTTGTACCATTCAGATGCCATCCGCACCTACCTGAACCTCATGGGCAAGAGCAAGAAAGATGCTACCCTGGAGGCCTGTGCTGGTGCCCTGCAGAACCTGACAGCCAGCAAGGGGCTGGTGAGTGGGACTGTACCTTCTCTACTGCAGCAGCCCCATCCTCCAGCCACCGTCCAGCCTCTGCTCCCTCCTTTTCCCCCCAGCCTGTCCCCTGACTTCGGAGCCTCCCATGAGCAGAGTGTGCCTGGCATATGCTGGGCTCTGGGCTGGGCAATGGGGAAACACTCCTGCCCTTTAGGAGCTGCTGGGGGATGCAGAGAGGGTGGGCCCACTGATGCTGGATTCTGTCCATGCACACACAATCCCCTTGGCCACATGGCTCCCGGTCCCCAGCTGGCCTCCTGGGCTCTGCTTGAGGTCGGGGAATGCGGCGGAGAAGGTGTTTGGCAAAAGGAGTTTCCCATTTGTTGAACTGACAAAGGTGGAAAAAGAGGGTTTGGGGTCCAAGCAGGTCCAGAGAAGATGTGACAGAATCCGTGCAGATGTTGAGGCCAAATGTATGTAGCTTGGAGGGCACAGTGGTATGGGGCAGAGCCAGAGGAAACCTGTTGCAATCAAGAAGAGTTGAGATGGGCCAGGCGGCCAACTGTTCTTCAGCTTTACTTAGGAAAAGGGAACCGAGCAGCAGCAGCACTAGAGTAGACCGAGGGCAGAGAACTTCCCTGGCTGTGAGGAGAGAGGCTGGGCAGTTCTGAGAATGCCAAACCCACCTAGACCTGTTACACCCAGGATAGCTATGTTGCTTAGAGGCCTGGGCGAACTGGCCTACCTCTAGGGGACCCCAGTTCTCTCTCCATGTGGGCCCAGACCCTTTCTTAGCCCTCTTTTCTCAGGCAAGCCCTCAACAAATATGTGTTGGATTCTAAAGAGGTAGGAAAGTTGGAAGAAGATGGCCAGATGTTTAATTGACAAATACCCTTGACCATATAGTTTCACATGGGCAGATAGCGTGGGGAGATGTAATGGGGGCAGCGCTGAGACAGTGGGGTGAGAGAGCAGCATTGGACGCTTGGGTTACTCTGGAAGCTAACTCTGGGTCACTATGAGTAGGGGAAATGAGACTTCCCTCTCTCCACCCATCTGGGCTGCAGGCTGATCCAGGAGACAGGATCAGGGCTGGGAAAGGGGAGGTGCATGTTAGCCTAGGTTTCTGTAGTTGCCCACATGTGAGCTAGTGCTTCCAATATGAAAGAGAAAGGGTTCTGGGATGTCTGCCTTTGGGGCTCCTTGCCCCTTTCTGCCTGCCATGGTGCCTGGGAAGCCACAGGCTAGCTCATCATCTACTCCTTCTCTCTTAGATGTCCAGTGGCATGAGCCAGTTGATTGGGCTGAAGGAAAAGGGCCTGCCACAAATTGCCCGCCTCCTGCAATCTGGCAACTCTGATGTGGTGCGGTCCGGAGCCTCCCTCCTGAGCAACATGTCCCGCCACCCTCTGCTGCACAGAGTGATGGGTAAGGTCCCTCTCTCTCCTCCCCCTCTAGCTAAGACATGGCAGGCTCCCTACAATTCAAGCCTGCTTGAAGGTCATCCTTTAAGCCATTCCCTGGGATGAGCATTCCAAGAAAGGAAGCTGGCCAAAGACAGGTATGGAGACAGGAGAAGGGAGCCTGTCACCTGAGGGCTGGGAGCAGATCTGCAAAAGTCCTATCTGGGTCTCTGAGCCCTGAGTTGGAGCTGCCAGGAAGCCCTGAGGGCCACCTGGCTCAGAGCCCGGCAGAAGGCTATCGAAGAGTGTGGCCCCAGAGGGAACCCCTCAGCCCTTCCTTCCCCAGTCATCCTGACCCTGTGCCCCAACTCGTTCCTCTCCCAGGGAACCAGGTGTTCCCGGAGGTGACCAGGCTCCTCACCAGCCACACTGGCAATACCAGCAACTCCGAAGACATCTTGTCCTCGGCCTGCTACACTGTGAGGAACCTGATGGCCTCGCAGCCACAACTGGCCAAGCAGTACTTCTCCAGCAGCATGCTCAACAACATCATCAACCTGTGCCGAAGCAGGTGGGCGGGGGGTTGCTCCCACGGGCTGCACCCCAATCAGAGCCCCTCCTCACCCTGCACAGCAGGAAGCAGTCCCGCAGCTCTCCATGGAGTAGGGGAAGCACCAAGGGCAGGGGGAGCCAGGGACGGGGGAGGCTTGAATGGAGGAGAAGTTCCAGAAGCCGAGAGTGCGTGGAGAGAAGGGTCCAGCATCCAGGCCCCAGGGCTGCATGGAGGGAAGAGGCAACACACTTCCTGGCTGGGGGACTCGGGGGCACAAGGTCCTCAGAGGGCCAGCAGGAGGCATGGGGCAGCAGGTCCAACTGAATAGGGACTTTATCCTGCTCTGTGGGGCTCTCTCTTCCCCGGACAAGGCTGGGGACTGGAGTGGAAGAGCACTGCCACCTCATGGCCCCTGAGGAGAGTCCTGGGGTGCTCTAGGTGGGCAGGGGCATGGGGTTGTGCCCACTGGGTAGGGTGACCAGGCTCACCACACCCCAATGGGGCTCCTCTCTTTTGCACACCTGAGGCCTCCTCTGAGGCCTCCCCTGTGTCCAGGCCCTGGCAGTGGGGGTGGGAGGGAAGAGGGTGCTCCTTCTCACACCTCCTGGAATCTCATCTCACAAATGCACTTCTCACCTGCCCAGTGCCTCACCCAAGGCCGCAGAAGCTGCCCGGCTTCTCCTGTCTGACATGTGGTCCAGCAAGGAACTGCAGGGTGTCCTCAGACAGGTAAGAGCCCAGGACATCATCCTCTTCTGAGGTTCTTCCTGCTCATGAGCAGAGGGCCTGGCATATGCTGGGCTCTGGGCTGGGCACTAGAGAAACGCCCCTGCCCTTCGGGACAGTCTGAGAGACAAAGACAGCGTCTACGTGAAAATGAATGTGATGAACGTTCTGATCAAGTCTCTGGGCTCTGAGATCTGCGAGGGATGCTGAGAACATGGAGGGCAGAGGAAATCAAGGAAATGTGTGAGAGGCCTGGGGTGGGATCCTTTAGGAGCAAACTGAAAAACAGAGTGGACAAAAAGCACACAAGTCTTTTGAGGGCATGGGGTTCACTCCAGCTAGAAAAGTAGGTGTGGGCTAGGTTACAAAACCCTTCTAATGTCAAACTGAAGAGCTTGGACTTGTACCTTTGGCACTGGGGAACCATTCAAAGTTTTGAATAGAGGGTTTCATGATCAAAGCAGCACCAAAGCTCACCCTGTGAGCAAGGCAGAGTGGGCTGAGAAGCCTGGAGGCTGCTGTCCTTGTCCTGTGGTGACCTTGGCCTCCTCTCTGTCCTCCACCCCTCCCCAGCTAGCCAGGTACAGAGTCCTCTAGGGTATAAGGTCTTGTTGTATGACATCTTCACATGGCCTCTTCTTTCCCATTCCTCAGTGATAAGCATGGACATAAAGGACAGGAGGTGGAAGAAATGGAGCAGTGGGGCTGATTAGGCTGGAGCTTTTAGCTTGGAGACTATGGTTATATTCATAAAGACACATCAGATGAGGAGAGCCTGAGAAGGCTTTTAGGTGGGAGTAAGAGGGGTCCCAATTTGGAGAGGTTGAGTTTGGAAGACTTGGATGGGAGTCCAGGCTGGAGGTGGTGTGGGCCCTGGCAGAGGGGCCAGAGCTACCATACAGAGTGGAGCTTTGTTCAGGCAGGCGAAGCCATGAGAACAGGCAAGACCACCATGGGTTGCATGTGTATGGAAAAGTCTTGAAGGACAGGGCAGAAATATGAAGACCATCTGCTGGGGACAAGAAGGAGGAAAGGCCAGGGAAAAGAGGAACTGTGCAGGGTGCCAGAAGGGGCTGAAGACCTGGTAAGAAGAGAAAGCTCTAAGGAAGGCAGGGCAGCAGTTCCCAGGGCTACCTAGAGGACCAGGGGATGGACACTGGAAAAGGCCCTGGATCCGGTGCTTCGGAAGTCTCTGGAGCCGTCCAGGAGCACTGCTGGCCAAGCAAGGGGAGCCCCATGGGGCCTGCTGCAGTGGGCAAGGCAGTGGATGGGGATGGATGGGGAGTTGCTGAGAGGAGATGCTGCTCCCTGCAATTTAGCCTGCAGAAAAAGGAGCAAAACAGTGGGTAAAAAGAGATCTGTTTAAAGACAGAGGAGACTCAAGCATCTCTGTCATGGGAGGAGAGGGAGTAGGCAAAGAAGGGAGAAAGACAGGGATGGAGGACAGGGAAGCCTGGGGATTGGTTGAGCAGCGTGGGGCAGAAGGAAGCCCAGCTCTTCCTCCAGCATGGCAGGGGACAATAGGGAGACTCATGAACGCACGGTGTCCAAAGATGATTGGGGAAATCTGAAGGTCACAGCAAAGGGTGGCCCTTGTTCTCCATGTGACAATCCAGAGCTCCTTTCCAACAGCACTGCATTGAAGATGGGCTTGGCAAATGGCAACTGCCAGATAGACAAAGGGAGACGAGGAGGCAGGTAAGGAGGACTGGTGTGAGCTTCCTCCCGCTGTGTAATGGTGGTCCAAAGCATTCAGCTTACCCCAAAACACAGAGTCCACCCCCGGCCTAAGACACACAGAGAATCCACTGACATCGCTCTCGGTGGGAATTCCCTTCTACACATGCCTTTGGGAACCAGCGTCCCCATTCAGTCTCCACTCCTCCTTCCAGCTATGCTTGACAACCATCCTGGGCATGATCTAGTTGGTGCGTCTGTTCCCAAAGGGCCTTCACATCCATCATGCATTGAGTTGTCACAAGCACAGGTGAGACAGGCCACATGGCTTGTGTCCATTTTGCTGAATAGGGAATCAGGGTCCAAGGAGTTTGTCTTGATTCAGTGAGTCAGGGCATGAGCCATGCTCGACAGGAATGAGCATGCCAATCTGCAGAAGAAAAATGGCATCATGTAATACATGCCCAAAGACAGGAGGGGCAGGGCTTCGAACCGGCTGCTGTTTCGGATCCCCTATGCCATCTCCCCTCCTGTTCCCACAGGTCGGTGATGGCTGGCTTGGCTCTCAGAGCTCAGGGCTGGCAGCAGGACCCTCTTTTCAAGGGCACCTTGGCCTATTGCTGCATTCAAATCATGCTGTCCACATTCACTTGGAAGCATGTATTGGGCACCTGCTGTATGCTGGGAGAAATAACAGGAATAAGACTCACTCTCCATCCAGCAGGCACTCAGGGGCTAGTGGGGCTGGAGGTGAAGAACAGACAAGTAAACAGAACCTTCTAGCACAGCGGCTTCTTACCAGTGCGAGCCCCCTGCTCCTGTGTTTGAGAAACAATGGGCATGTCCTCTCTGCCCAAGAGCTCTTGTCAGAATTGTTTAAAAAAAGAAAAGATAGAGGTGGTCAGAGGGAAGAACAATTGACAGCTTCTCTAATCTGATTTTGATTGTTGCTCTGTTTAAAAAATAATACTAGCCTAAATCCTCACGCCTTGACTCAGGTTTCTGCAAATGCAAGTAGGAAATTCACATGTGTCAGTGGAAGTTCAAACACATTGCACCGACTCATGGAGAGTTATTATGTTTTGTTACACAGTTACTGAGGCCAGTTTTCGCCCTGACACATGTACTTAGTGATAAGAGAGAGGCTGTGTGAGCCGAGGTTGCTCTGGGAGGGCAGTGGACAGTGTCTGACCCCACAGCAAGCCCCACACAGTTTTGTGTCATTTGGTTGCTGTTTCTCCCTTTGCAGCAAGGTTTCGATAGGAACATGCTGGGAACCTTAGCTGGGGCCAACAGCCTCAGGAACTTCACCTCCCGATTCTAAGAAGAGACTGTCCAAGCAAGTTAGGCTTGCAGGTAAGAATCACCCCACCCTCAGGGATGCCTCTGGGACCACTGCAACAGCCTCAGCCAGTCTCAGAGACAAGGGCTAGGCCTGTGCTCCCAGGGACACAGAAGCATCCTTTTGCCTGGCTCTGGACAACACAAGCAGTTGTGTAGACTGCTTGGCTGGGGGCGTAGTTTGTCCCACCCTCAGGACGTTAGGGGTGTATAATGTCCTGGGAGTTTCAGAGGGGTCAGAGGGTCTGGGCAGGACTGCTAGGTACAAATGTGTGGGTTGTACACTGAACAACACAGGTGGTGCCCTTCACATGGACTACAGTGAGTTCTACAATATGGATAACTGGAGTTCTAGAATATGTCATTCTGGGCTTGGCCATACACAGCTCACTTTTTTATCCTTTTATAATTCACTTTCCACTCTCTGCACATGCCCAGTGTGGACAAGTTTATTTCCAGCTGATGATTCTAGGCCCCCAAAACTCAGAACCAATCCTATGATGAAGGCTTGCCAACCTCAGTGTTCATTGGAATTATATGGGTTGCTTGCTAAAATGCACACACTTGGCCCAGCCCCAGCTATTCTGACTCAATAGCCCTGGAGTGGGATCCAGGAAAGTCTATTTTTAAACAAGCGTCTAAAGTGTTTCTGATGCGGGTAAACTGAGAATCACAAATAGAGATACTCCAGCCAGATGTCATCACCCCTAGAGAGGGGCCTCAGGGGCAGCCCAGCATGGAGCCATCTGCAAATAGCCTGGGATCAAGACAGGGTCTCCTGAGCTAAGGGGGACCTCTTAACCAGGCTGTCTGCCAGCACCCCCCACCCCAATCCCTGGTGGGGAGAGAGGACTGTAACTTTGGTCTGGATGAAGGTTAAATAAGACTTCAGATATCCTCTCCTAGTAAACAAGCTGCAACAACTTGAAGGCAGAAAAGGGGAAAGAGATTCGGTTTGGCAAATCCTTAATGAACACCACCTTCTTTCTTAGTGAGGAAGACGGTGGGCAGGGGACACTGTGGCAGGGTGGCAGACAAAGCTGACAAGCTTCTGAATCCACAGGGCAATCTATAAATGTGTCTAGGGCAGCCTTGAATCCAGTCTCAGGCCAGGGCACACTTGAGGGCCGATGTGAGAAGAGGGTGGCAGTACAGGCTGGGCTTGTGGTGTGGAAACATCTCACTGTAAACACTAACTGGAGGACTTTCTCCTTTTCCAGGAAGATATGACCCAGCTGAGAAGCCCTCAGGCCTCGCTGGATGGGGTTTTCTGTCCATCCTATGCAGTATTTGGGAAAGTTCACAAGAAACTGAGAAGAAACCTAAAAACTGTGGATAGTGGAAAGATTTTTAGATTTTTTTTTTCCTTGGGGAAACTGGCAGGCAATGGGGGTTAGGGAGGTTGGGGCGGTGGGGGCTTTCTTGAGTTAAAGGGGCTTATATGTGATGTCAATATTTCTTCCTCTGAGAAATGGTATATATATGTGTATAATGTAAGTGTGTGCATGCATGTGCGCGTGCATGTGTGTGTGTGTGAGTGTCTTAAAGCATAACCACAAACTGCAAAAAGCTAGGTAAGCTATTTTGTTGCAGCTCATAAGGTGGTGAAAAGGACTCTCCTGTGTTTCTTACTCATAGGCAAGGACAACATGTGCTTTTTGGTGAGCTGCTCATAATTCCTGAAATGTGTGGTGCCAGGGCAAGGGGGCCATCACTGCAGTCAGGCCCTCAGAGGAGTCCTGCAGGCTTCCTACCAGTGGTCTCCAGGGGTGCAGGAGTAACTGGGGCTGGGCCAGCCTCCCCACTTACAAGGCTGCTTTCCAGGAAGGGAGGTCTGGTGTATCTCATGGGAGAATCTGGGGTGTCTGTAATGTCACCCCTCCAGCAGCGCCACAAGGACTGAGGTTGGGTAGGTGTGGGGTTCCAGAGGACAGCAGGACACTCTCGCATACTTTGCCAAATGAGGCCTGCTCAGAGGAGTAGGAGCTGAAAGATGGTGCCTTCCACCCTCTTGGGCTGTGTGCCCATCAGAGCAGGCTCAGCCTGCAAAGGCCCTGCATTCAGAGGTCTTGTAATCTACTTGTTGCAGGAGAAAGAAGGTAAAAAATGATTTTTTTAAGAAAAGCTATTTTATTGCAGCTCTTTCCCAAGAGCTGTTCTGGGAATGGCTGGTCTTCATATTCCCAGTGGAGAGGGGAACAAGTGGGGCTGGGCATATACCTATTCCGGCTTCTAGTGGGATGGAGTTGGGGTATAGAAATTAACCAGGAAGATGTTTCCACCAAGCCTGCTGTGAGTCAATTGAGGGAGTGTTTGGGGTCCCAGGAGACTTGGACGGGGGGAGTTTGGGTAGACTAGGAAAGGAAAGTGCCATATCAGGGTACCGGTACCGGCAAGCTCACATCTCAGCCAGGGGCCATGCCCCACTTCCCCTGACCCCAGCTGTCTTGTCTCCACTCTGTGAAACCCACAGGGGATGTGATAAACAGGGCTATTAGGGGTATCAGCCACGTCGAGCCCCCAGACTCTGTGCACTTCAGACCAGCAGCAGCAGGAGGGCTCCCGAGGGCCTTATGAGAAAACCTGTGTGGACATCCCTTGGTGTACACTAAGACAGAGCAGAGCCCAGCGCTCCCAAGCCTTCCTCCTTCCAGCTTCTACCTCCATGCTAGCATTGCTGGTGTTAGAGAGGAATTAACTTCCTGGTCTGTGCCCTTCTCTAGAAGAATATAAGATGCTCCTCCTCCTCACCCCTTCTCAGCCTCCTCCCAAGTCTTCCTCTTCTGCACCACCCCCGAGTCCAAACCCACCTCTTGCCCCAGCATTCAGGCTGGAAAACACTGATGTGGACTCAGTATGATAACTGAGATGGGGGACGCCAGACATGTGAGGACGCTGTCCTCCGAGAGGTGTCCCCGGCTGTTAGCCAGCTGTGCTGTGGTGCTGTGGGTCTGTCATACCCTCCCTTGCTTCTGTTCACACTGGGAGGCCCACTCCTGGCTCACCTCTCCCTCTCAGGGACCCACGTGGGAGCCTGGATCCCTGGACTGTCCTGGGCATAGGTTTCAGGGGCCTCCTTTGTTGTCATCAGAACCCAGAGGAATTCTTCTCCTAAAAAATACGTATGGCATACCAATCTGTGCGGGGCAGTGTCCTAAGCACTTAGACTACATCAGGGAAGAACACAGACCACATCCCTGTCCTCATGCGGCTTATGTTTTCTGGAGGAAAGTGGAGACACAAGTCCTTGGCTTTAGGGCTCCCCCGGCTGGGGGCTGTGCAGTCCGGTCAGGGCGGGAGGGGAAATGCACCGCTGCATGTGAACCTTACCAGCCCAGGCGGATGCCCCTTCCCCTTAGCACTACCCTGGCCTCCTGCATCCCCTCGCCTCATGTTCCTCCCACCTTCAAAGAATGAAGAGCCCCATGGGCCCAGCCCCTGCCCTGGGAACCAGGCAGCCTTCCAGACCTCAGGGGCTGAGGCAGACTATTAGGGCAGGGCTGACTTTGGTGACACTGCCCATTCCCTCTCAGGCCAGCTCAGGTCACCCGGGCCTCTGACCCAGGCCTGTCACTTTGAGAGGGGCAAAACTGAGAGGGGCTTTTCCTAGAGAAAGAGAACAAGGAGCTTGCCAGGCTTCATGTAGCCGACACACGTCTCAGGATTTTAAGTCCACATTGGCCTCACACTACCAGGGCCAATGCCCAAAATAAGGAGTTCCAATTTGGGGCCAAATGAGGAAGGACACAGACTCTGCCCTGGGATCTCCTGTGCTAGCGGCCAATGACAAATCCAGTCATTGGCCACCAGCCACCTCTGCAGTGGGGACCACACTAGCAGCCCTGACTCCACACTCCTCCTGGGGACCCAAGAGGCAGTGTTGCTGTCTGCATGTCCACCTTGGAATCTGGCTGAACTGGCTGGCAGGACCAAGACTGCGGCTGGGGTGGGCAGGGAAGGGAAGCCGGGGGCTGCTGTGAGGGATCTTGGAGCTTCCCTGTAGCCCACCTTCCCCTTGCTTCATGTTTGTAGAGGAACCTTGTGCCGGCCAGGCCCAGTTTCCTTGTGTGATACACTAATGTATTTGCTTTTTTTGGAAATAGAGAAAATCAATAAATTGCTAGTGTTTCTTTGAACTTTTTCGAGGAGTGGATTCTTTGGGGTGCTGTTGAGGGATGAAGGGGCTACTCATTTCCTTCCATGATCTCCTCTTACCCTGTACCAGGCAAGGACTGAGAATGCCACCCGGGGGCACAGGGACAGCGCTATCCATGGACACCTGCTCTACAGCAGCACATCGAGCCTCACCGCAGCTCCATGACACTAGGATTGCTGTCCTGATTTTTAAAATAAGTAAAGCGAGACTTAGGGAAGGAACAAATACCCCCAGGGTCACACAGCTTGTAAATGTCCCCAAGCCTGAACCCATCCAGGTGGGGCATCTGTAGGAAAGAGAAATTCAAAGATGAAGGTCAAGGAGTTGGTGTTTATTTAGTTTTATTTATTTACTTTTTGAGACAGGGGTTTTGCTCTGTTGCCCAGGCTGGAGTACAGGGATGAGATCATGGCTCAAAGAGGGCTCAACCTCCCAGGCTCAAGCAATCCTCCCAGCTAAGGCTCCCAACTATGGGTCTCACTATGTTGCCCAGGCTGGTCTCGAACTCCTGGATTCAAGTGATCCTTCTGCCTTCGCCTCTCAAAGCACTGGGATTACAGGCATAAGCCACTGTGCCCAGCTGGAGCTGATGTTTATTGAATGCCTATTCTACCTGGGTTCTGTATTGGTGCTGGAGGGTCACAAAAACAAAGGATGTGATGGGCCCCAGCCTCAGAAGTCTCATAAGGGACAAGACAAACATAAGCAAACGAGGCATGTGTAGTAAATTCCAAGTAGTGCTGTGAACATAACCACCGTGGGCCATCAGTGCCAGTCAGGGCCACCTGGATGGGGAAGGTCAGGATGCTTGGGGAAGGGCTGAATGTGAGCTTTTCCCAATTTGAAAGAGTGGTGACTGGCAAGTCCTCTCTACTACAGCCCACGGCCCTGACCTCCTGGACCATCCCACAGTTTAGTAATGTCCAGAGAGGTCAGAGAGAAGGAGCTGTACCACAGACAAGAAGAAGATGGCCTATCTGTGGCCTGGACTGTTAAATACACGAGGCCTCGGACATCCAAAAAATGTTTTGAGACCTGAAAAATATGTATTGACTCCAAAATGTGAGATCAAGTTACAAATTTACAATCAACAGATGTTTAGATTGCTAAGCTTTCATTGGAATATAGCATGCATGCAGAAACATGTACAACTGAAAATGCATGCAGCCCAATGAAGCTTCACAAATGAATAGCACCCAGACCGAGAAACAGAACATTACCAGCACCCAAAACCCTGCTCAGACCCCTTCAGGTCACCATCCTCCTCCCCAGGGGTAACCACTGTCCTGACTTCTAACACCGTAGATTAATATTGCCTATTTTTGAACTTTATATAAAGGAAGTCAACAGTAAGTCCATTTTTATGTTTGGTTATTTTATCTCAACAATATGTTTGCAAGATTCATTCATTCCTATTCATGTTCCTACCACTGCCATATAATAATCTATGTGTAATTACGTTACAATGCAAAATGCAATATTACATCATCGCCATTGTTACATCTATTATTTATAAACAACTGGAAACAATTTGCGGATTAGTTGTCTCACTTCCTAAAAATTCCCACATGTGATATAATTACTGGGAAATTACAACTAACAGTAAAGAAGTTCGATTTTACGTGGGACGTGGGTGCACTTAATGTGTAGGAGTGCCAAAAAGCTACAGAAGTACTAATTCAACTGTCCCTGGCCAAGTGGGTGGCAGGCCCTCTGGCCCCTTCAGAGGACTGTCCAGTGAGAGCAAAAGGGTCCAGGAACAGATGGGCAAGACCAAACTGGGAGGCACCAGGAGCAGCTGGCAGCCTAAGCTGTGGAAAGGAGAAGGTCTCATGGTGCTGGAGGCTGAGTCTCCCAGACTCCATGTCAGGCTGCCTCCAGGTCTCTCTACCCTGAGCCCTGAAGCCATTTCCTCCTGTTGCCTTTGGAAGTATTCTGGCCTGGAACCCGATTCTCTCCACGAGAGATAAAGCATTCATTGTGCATCATTTTTGGAATGCAGTGCGTTCCGTTGTCCAACACAGTTGGAGAAAAGAGTGAACAGAAGTCGTTAATAATAACAATAGTCTTTTTTACTTGAGGGGGCCACACATTAACTCCTTTTGCTTTCAAAGCCTTAGGGTGTTGGTTTGCTGTTTTGATCTTTACTTCATTCTAGTGAGACAGGCAGAGCCCAGAGTATTACATTTCAATTTATAGATGAGGAAACAGACCCAAAGAGAGAAAGTGACTTGCGCAGAGTCACGTGGCAAGTTTGTGGCGGAACCAAGCCTGAGACTCAAGCCTCCTGTGTCCCAGCCCAAGTCTGCTCTGGTCAACTCGCATGAGGCTGCCCAGCTGTCAAAGTGTTAAAACTGTTCAGAGAGGCCTGACACAAAGGCGATACTGTGCATAACCAAATCTTTAATGAATCAGAAGCTCACAGCACCTCGAGGCATCATAAGATTACACATCTTATGAGCTGTGGTTGCTGTGCAGACATGCCAATAAACGAAGAGTTCTGATAGACGGAATATCAGATGCCAGAAACTACAGTGTGGATCATCTAGTCTGGGGCTGGTGGTTTGGTTGATTAGAATATGGAGGTAATGAGGCCAGGGCCACAGAGTGAAAAATACCTTAAGGACTCCTGCTGGTATCCTCCACCCTAACCCGTCATCCTGCACACCTCAGCAGGGTGTGAATGTCACCAAGTGACATGCCAGCCTCTCTGGGAAGCGTGTCAAAGCTGACAAGCCCCACTGATGGTGGATCAGCAGAGATATCCCATATACAGAAAGGATTTCAGGCTTCTGGCATTCCTAAGCCCTCTAGTTGGCCCATTAAGAAGTTTTATGGCTGCTGAATTAATTTTTAAAATTTCTAAAAAGCATTTCAGCATTTACCAAGCGGTTCTAAATCTCTGGGGTATAAATGTCACCCTCTGCACACAAGACCATTAAAATCCTGCTTTCTACACCTCTCTCTGAAAGGAAATGTCAACCAGGTCTCCAGGGCCAGTGGGGCCCATGCTGCACCCATGCGTGTTGTTCTGGATCCCTTTAGGCTCACCTGGCTGCATTCTGGGGCCCAGAGTTTTCCTGGAGGATAGCAGGGCTGTGGGGGACAACAGACAAGAACGACCACCTATTCTGTGACCCCCGTGGGGGTGGGCACTGACATGCATGAATGACCTTCTATCTCTATCCAGATGCTGCAAAGTAGGTGGGATCATTCCCATTTCACAGATAGGGAAACTATGGTTCAGAGGTGGAGCAACTTTTTCAAGGTCATACAGATAGTAGGTGATGGATTCGGATTTTGAAACAGGTCTGAGGCCAAGGTTGGTGCTCCTCTCCCTTCTCTATAGCTGCCATCTAGACAGCAGTTGCCAACAATTAGGTTGGCTCCAAAACTGCCCTCTAATGACTCCAACCTGTGACCATGGTGCCCCTCTGAGCCTTCTGTAACCAGTGTTCGAAAACAGAATAAGCACCTGTACCCCAGACATATACTCCTCATCTTTTCTTTTTAATTCAAGAAACGTCTGGGAAAAAAATTCTTGTCCTCTTCCAAAAGTTGAGAGGTCAAGGCAAAAATACCCTACACTCACCTCCTCCTCTGAATTGAGAAAGCCCTTTTCCAGACAGCCCATCTACCGTCCACTCTTGAATCTGAAAGGAGTCACTTCTTGCCCAATCTCTCTACTTCTTTTTCTTTTGCCAGCTCAGAGCTGGTCCTGCCTGGTCCCCTTGTCTGTCTGGTTTTGAGTACTCCTGGGGGCAGAGCCTTTATTCTTGGCCCCAACCAACCAGATCTCCTTGATGGCTGGACCACTGGCGGACTGCAGAGTGTGGGGCTGTAGCCACAGGTGCTGGGGGCTGGGAGACAGGCTGGCAGGGAACAGGCTGGCTTGGTGGCATGCTGGACCCACCATCCAGCATCTGGGATCTGCTGTCTGGAGCTGGCCTGCATCAGGGTCACAGACTGTCGGAGTGGAATGGCCAGGGAACACCCCTCAGCAGACGATATCCACCTATTTTCCAACCACAGAATCCTTCGGGTAAGCTACACTGGCATGGGGAGACAGAGGCAGCCCGGGTGGAAGAGACTTGGGGCAAGAGCTCCACCTGCCCACTCCCTTTCTGCCCAGGAGTGGGATCCTCAGAACCCCAGGCTCCGAGGAGCTGTGGAGAAATCGCTGGTCTAGCCCGACTCCCTCACTTTGCAGGTGAGAAACTGAGGCCTGGAGAAGGAAAGTAACTTGCAGGGGTCACAAAGCAGCACTAGGAGCAAGGCCAGGCCCCTTCTCCAACACCACCCTCTGCTCTTTCTTGCAAGTCCCCTTCCTCACTGGACTAACTGCACCTTTGGATGCTCCATAGGCCCTGCCAGAGCCCTGATGTAACACCCGGCACCTGGGTGGTTGGTACAGCCACTTTCTGCACTGGACTGTGAACTCCCTGAGGGCAGGGACCCAAGCAGTCTCTGGCACAGGGAAGGAACTGGATATTTATTCTTTTAGGTGAACAAGGAAGGAAGGGAGGGAAAGGGGAACTGGCAAATAAAAGAAGAAAAACATTTTCTTGTCTGGTATACAACCAACCAAAGAGAATGAGTAGGAACAGCCAGTGACGTGAAAGGCCAATCAGGAGAGTGTGGCATCTGGAAGACAAGGGAAGAAAGTGTGCCTAGATGGAGGGAGGGCCCAGCTGTGTGGGATGGTGCTGATGAGCACACAGGATGAAGAAACATGGGACTCTCTAAACACAGGGGGAGTTCACACACACACACACACACACACACACACACACACACACACACTGATAGAGCCCTACACACACACACAACCACAAGGCTGCTGGAGGGATCTGACAGCACCTGGCACTGTGGGCACAGAGCAGAGGCTTGGTAAGGACCAGCATCCCTATATGATGAGTAGGGCTCTTCTTGAAGCCTTAGCTTTGGTGACCAGGACTCCGCAGGGGAGAGATTGAGGCCAAGTATTCCCACCTCCTAAAAAGAGTCTAGATTAATTGGGGCCACATATCTTTGATTAAAGATCCAAGGGCTTTTGAACGATGAGACTAGGCCAGGCATAGTGGTTTATGTCTAATCCCAGCACTTTGAGAGGCTGAGGTGGGTGGATCACCTGAGGTAGGAAGTTCGAGACCAGCCTGACCAACATGGAGAAACCTCGTCTCTACTAAAAATACAAAATTAGCCGGGCGTGGAGGGGCATGCCTGTAATCCCAGCTACTCGAGAGGCTGAGGCAAGATAATCGCTTGAACCCGGAAGGCGGAGATTGCAGTGAGCCGAGATTGCACCCTTGCACTCCAGCCTGGGCAACAAGAGCGAAACTCTTGTCTCAAAAAGAAAAAAAAAGACCCAAGGGCTTTTGAATGATGAGACTAGGCCAGGCATGGTGGTTCACATCTGATCCTAGCATTTTGGGAGGCCAAGGCGGGAAGTTGCTTGAGCCCAGGAGTTCAAGACCAGCCTGGGCAACATAATGAGATCCCATCTCCAAATAAAAAAAACAAAACAAAACAAAACACCATGAGACTGGATGAGATGACCAACGTCATGGGGATAGATAGAATAGAGAAGAGCTTCAAAGGCGGTGGACAACCAACCAAAGAGAATGAGGAGGAACAGCCAGTGACGTGAAAGGCCAATCAGGAGAGTGTGGCATCTGGAAGCCAAGGGAAGAAAGTGTGCCTAGATGGAGGGAGGGCCCGGCTGTGTGGGATAGTGCTGATGAGCACACAGGATGAAGGCAGAGCTGACAACTGGATTCACGATTCTTTTATTTCCTCCTCTTTCCTTTCTGCTCCTTTAGGTAAAATTTAGATACAGTGAAATGCACAAATCTTAAGTGTACCATTCAATAGATTTTGACAAATGCAGACGTCTGTGCAACCCAAAGTTCTATCAAAATATAGAACATGTCATCACCTCAGAAAGTCCCCTCATGCATTTTCCCAGTCAACAATCCCCCTTCCCACTAAGAGGCCACCACTGTTCTGCTTTTTTCATGACAGATTAATTTTGCCAGATTTTAAAAAAATGTAATATTTGGGAGACCGAGGCGGGTGGATCACGAGGTCAGGAGATTGAGACCACCCTGGCCAACACGGCGAAACCCCATCTCTACTTAAATACAAAAAATTAGCCGGGCATGGTGGTGTGTGCCTGTAGTCCCAGCTACTCGGGAGGGTGAGGCAGGGGAATCGCTTGAACCCAGGAGGTGGAGGTTGCAGTGAGCCAAGATCGCACCACTGCACTCCAGCCTGACAACAGAATGAGACTCCGTCTCAAAACAACAACAACAAAAAGTAATGTCTGGGTTGGACACAGTGGCTCACACCTGTAATCCCAGCACTTTGGGAGGCCAAGGCAGGTGGATCACCTGAGGTCAGGAGTTCGAGAACAGCCTGGCCAACATGGTGAAACCCTGTCTCTACCAAAAAAAAAAAAAATTAGCCAGGCGTGGTGGTACACACCTGTAGTCCCAACTGCTGAGGAGGCTGAGGCAGGAGAATCGCTTGAACCTGGGAGGCGGAGGTTGCAGCGAGCCGAGATTGCCCCACTGCACTCCACTGCCCCAGCCGGGGCAACAAGAGCAAAACTCCGTCTCAAAAAAAAAAAAAAAAAAAAAAAAAAAGTAACGTCTGCAGGATCTATAGTGTATGCCCTGTTTTATTTCCAATGTTGGTAATTTGTGTTCTCTCTCTCTCTCCTTCTCTCTCTCTCACACACACACAAACACTTTTTCTTGAATAGCATAGCTAGGAGTTTATTTTTTCAGAAAACCAACTTTTGGCTTTGTTAATTTTCTCTATTTTTTTTTTCGTTTCATCAGTTTCTGCTCTTTATGATTTTCTTTCTTCTACTTACTTTGGGCTTATTTCGCTTTTATTTTTCTAGATTCTTAAAGTAGAAACTTAGGTCATCGATTTTAACCTTTCAGGTATTTAAAGTTCCCTCTCAACACTGCTTCAGCAGCATCTCATACATTTTGACATGTACTTTCATTATCATTTCAGGAAGAATATTTTCCAAATTCTCTTGTGATTTTTTTGACTCATGAATTATTTAGAAGAGTGTTATTTAATTTCAAATATTTGGGAGTTTCTAGACACTTTTTATTTATCTCTAATTTAATTCCATTATACTCAAAGAACATTTTCTGTATAATTTCAGTCCTTTTAAACTTATTGAAACTTGTTTCAGAGCCAAACATATTTTCTTAGTGAATGAACCATATGCACTCAAAAATCATGTGTATTCTACAGTTGTTAAGTATGCACATATATTTGTTTGCTTTGTCTTCCCAGTGAATGTCCTCATAAAATGTCACTCTGTTTCTGTTGATACTCTTTGTTTTGAAATCTGTTGTATCTGGTATTAATCTGTTCTCCAGTCTTCTGGTTACTGTTTGTGTCCTATATCTTTTGCCTTTTTTTTTTACTTTCAATGTATCTGTGTCTTTATATTAAGCATGCATCTCTTTTAGATAGCAAATAGTTGAGACTTAGTCTTATTTTTCCCCATTCTGATGACCAATGCATTTTAAACAGTGTTTAATCAATTTAGAGTTGGAATAATTATTGGTACGGTTAAATTTGTCTACCATTTTACTATTTGTTATCTGATTAGTCAACTCTCTTTTTGGTCCTCTGTTTTTTGGGGGTTTTTTTTCTTCTTTCTTCGGGGTTATTTTTAGAATTTCATTTGAATTCATCGATAGGCTTTTTGCATCTTTATATTTTTGGGTTTTTTTGTGATTGATCTAGAGATTATAATATATATCTTTACATTTTTAATCTGCTTACAACTGATATTGTGCGACTTTAAATAAAATGTAAGAATTTGGAGCCACATACATCTACTTACCAGCCCTCTTCCTTTATGTTGGAGCTGTTATTTGTGTTATATTTACATATATTGTAAATGCCACAATAAAATGTTATCATTTTTGCCTTAAAATGTCATATCCATTTGAAAGAAATTAACAGAAAAGTAGCCTTTAGTACTTACCATTTGCAGTGCTTCTCATTTCTTCCTAAAGATTCAAATTTCCATTTGGCATTATTTCCTTTCAGTCTGAAACACTTCCTTCATCATTTCTTGTTGTGCAGGTCTAATGGTGATGAATTCTCTCAGTTTACATTTATCTTTAAAAAACTTCATATTTCAAGGCCAGTTTCTCCAGACACAGAATTCTGATTGATGGTGTCTTTTTTTCTGTCATTACTTTAAAGATGCTCTTCCACTGCCTTCTGGTCTCCACTATTCCTGATAAGAATTTAGTAGTCATTTGTATTGTTGGTTCCCTGTCTGTGTGGTATCATTTTTTTTTCTGCCTGCTTTCAAGAGGTTCTTTACATCTTTGATTTATAACAGTATGACTATAATGTGCCCAGGTGTGGTTTTCTTTAGACACAGCTTGCTTAGGGTTTGCTGAGCTTTTTAGGTTTATACATTATGTCTTTTATCATGTTGGGGAAATTTGGGCCACTGTGTCTTCAATTATTTTTATGTCTCATTTTTTTTTCTTCTCTCATTCTGAGACGCCAATTACATGTATGTTAGACCTTTTGATATTGTCCTGCTGATCACTGAGTGCCTGTTTATTTTTGTTCTCTGTTCTTCAGATTAGTACATGTCTACTGATCTGTGTTCAGGTTCCCTGACTCTTTCTCCTGTCATTGTAAATGTGCTGTTGAGCCTATCCAGTGAATTTTTTTTATTTTACTTATCATATTTTTCAGTTTTATAATTTCTATTAGGTTTTATTTAGTATCTCAATTTCTTTGATAACAGTTCTTATTTATTTATTACAAGCATATTTTTCTTTATATCTTTGAGCAAAAGTATAATTTCTGCTTTAAAATACTTGTCAGTTAATTCCAGTATCAAAACCATTTTATGATCAGTCCTCAGGTATTGTCTTTTCTCTCAATTATGAGTCAGGTTTTCTTGTTTCTTACTATGTTAGTAATTTTGGATTGCATCCTGGACTTCATGAATGATACATTGTATTACTTCTGGATTCTGTTCTTCACCCCTCTGAAAAGTGTTGATGTTTTGTTTTAGGAGGCAATTAACTGGCTGAACTCAAACTTCAAACCCCGTTTCCTTTAGGGTGAGCGTCAGCTGAAATCGCTGTTCAGTTCTGTTGGTTCAGTTGGGCTTCTTGGATTCTCCCCTATGTTTGCATAGTTAAAGAGTCAGTCAGAGATTTAGGCTAAGTTTATATTCAGAATTTGGGGCACTCTCTCTGTGACTCTCTCCTTTCCAATATGTCCCTCCTCCATTTTCCAGCTGCCCTAAACTCTCTCCTCTGGTTATCTAAGCCAATAAGACTATAAGCTTCTACTTGGGCTTTAAGACAGTCTGCATGAAGCTAATTGCAGTCTGCCCTTTGATGAAAAGCTATAAAATGGAAAACTTACACAATGAAATTTTACTTATCTGAGTGCCAGCTTCCCTTAGTTTCTTCTTGCTTTTGGTGACTGTCCAGTATTTGCAGGTAGTTGCTACTTTTTGTATTTCACCCAGAGTTTATAGCTGTTGTCTTTAGGAAAGATGACTATGATTTGCTAGAACCTTCTGATCATCAAATTTAGTGACATGGAAGTCATTGGTGCCTTGACCAGAGCAATTTTGTTTGAGTGGTAGGGGCAGAAACTTGACTGGAGTGGGTTCAAGAGAAAGAGGAAGAAAAGGAATTTTAGAGAGTGAGGACGGACAGCTTTCTGAAAAGGTATTTGTAAAGTAGAAGAGATAAATGAGGTGCTTTTAGAGAGTGAATGTGGCATAAACATAGATTTTTTTGTAAAATAAAATCATGTTTTATATACTGATGGGAATAATATGGCAGGGAAGGAGAAATCGATGACCCGAGAGAGAGGAAAAAATTGCTGGTGTGATGTAGGTGAACAGGCATAGGACCTGATCCATAAGTGGAAGGGTTGGCCCTGGCTGGGCTGTGGACAGCTCAACTATGGTTCCCGAGGCAGGTGGGGATAGATGTGGTGGTGGGAGATTATTGGAGTTCTCTTTGTGATATGTCCATGTTCTCAGTGAGATCTGAGAGTGAGGATAGAGGAGGACATGTTAGACGGTGGAAGAGGGTAGAAGGCATGAAATAGTTGAGAAGTGTAGGAAAACTAAAGAACTAGTGAAATATAGTAGGAATGCTGGGCAGCACTGAGAACCCGCTTAAGGTTGGTGGTAATGAATTTAAAGGAAGACTGGTCAGCACAGTCATGTGCTTACTCTACCCACATGTTGCTACCACACAGTGAAGAGGACTTAACCAGGGGGTTTTGCAGGCAGGTCAGTGAGGCAAGAGAGGAGGAAGGGAGTTAAGGATGTGGGCAAGGGAATGGCTATAGACGAGCCATAAACTTTAACCTGGGTAAGGAAGGAGAAAACACGAGGGGGTTGGTTGAGAGATCATGAAAATTAACATGATAGTATCAACGGATTGCAGGGTCCAAAGAGTGATTAGGGCCTGAGTACTTGAGGCAGTGAGGTGTCATTTGGAAAGTAGTGGTCAAAGAGTGTGTTGCTTGGAATTGAGAATATGAAGGAATTGTCATTATTGGTCACAACAAGGTTGACCAACCATGAAAGTAAATGGCTAAAGTGGGATAGAGGACAAAAATCTCTGGAGAAGAGATCAAGAAACCAAGAGGCCAGGATATCGGAAGGATTGTACTCAAAGTTTTTGAAATCATCAAGAATTATAATAGAACTAACATTGAGAAAGTGATGGTAGATTGGAGCGAAAATCTTCAGGGAAGTGACAGGAGTGCCCCAGGGGTCTATCAGTGACTGCAACAGAAGGGACAGCGGTGGGATAGTGTGATGACATGAGACACTTGTTTAACTAAACTGAAGTACGGCTCCACAGCAGCTCCAGACATTCCTCTATCCCACACTCCACCTATGATAGTTGCCAGTCAATACACAAACCATTTGGGGATGAAGAAGAGCTCTTCTCCACATACTCAGAGATAACTCGGAACAAACCCTTGTTTGAGATTAGATAGAGAAGGGCTCCATACTTCATATCTGGTGGTCTGGTAGGTCTGAGCCCTGTGGATCAAAGATCCTGGCTGGTGGTTACCCAAACTCCTAGCAATGCTGGCTAGGGGGATGGGTGAGGCTTGTGCAGGGGGTACTGACAACTTGTCATATCATCAACCTACCAGCTTATCTTGAGAGGAGAGTTGCAGAGGTTGGTAGAGAGGTTGAGATGGAGTGAGAGACTCAGGTGTGAAAGAGGGAGGCAGAGGAGAGGGTCTGGCTCTTCACTAGAGAGCCAGGACACTGTGTGTGCCCCTGCTGCTCATTCAGGGGAAGCTGAGTCTCCAAGAGGGGAGCACTCACACAGCAACCCTCCGGCCCCTCATGGCTGCCCCTCAGAGCTTCTACCCAGCTTCCCCACACCTCCCTGGGCCTTCCCTTCTCCGCTCAGGGCTCCACAAAGTTCTGAACCAGCCTGAGCCACATGTGTTTTGGTTCATTTGTTTTTGAAAAACAAAAGACAACGGTTAATTAAATCACCACCCACCCAGTCACCTCATCAAGTAACTCTGGCCTCATCTTTCATTCTTCCTTTCCCATTGAGGCACCAAGTCCTGACAACTCTAAACTATTACCTCATCTCCACACCCACTACCGCTGTCTACCCTGGGCCTCCTTGAGGCCTGGCCCCTTCCACGGCAATAGGCTGGGCCTCCTGGCTGGGCCCTCTGCCTCTTGTTTCCCGCCCCTTTGCCCCCAGAGTGCCTCCACTAGAGTCATCTTTCTAAATAATGCTGACTGTATCCTTCCCCTGCTTAAATGCATCACCAGCTCCCACTTTTCTGTAGCCAGAATTCTTAGACTATCACCCAAGGCTCTCCCAGGCCAGCCCCAGCCCACCCCTCCTGCCTCCTGCTGCTTCCCATTCACTCCCTCTACTCCACCCATGACTGGCATCTCCCCAAACACGATGTGCCAGGTTAATCCCACTGTCTTTGTGTTGCTTCTTCTGCCTGGTGTGCCTTTCCCCTGCCTCTGCCTGTCAAAATTCTATTCATCCTTTGAGGCCCAACTGGCATGTCATCCCCTCTGTGAGGCCTGCGTGCACCTGTGTGGAGGCACGAGTCGTGCCCTGGCTTGTGCGTGTGTCTATTTTCCCCTCTGTGATAGTGACTTGCTCCATTTTTTGCCCTTTCGTCATACCTGGTACAGTGTCCAGCACAGAGCACAAACCCAACATGAGCTGAATAGAACAGGAGTCTGGATATAGATGCATAGAATTGCATGTTGAAATGACCTTAAAAGTCTCCCAGGCCTCCCTCCTGCAGCTGACTCTTGAAGACCCATAAACCTTCTTCCACATTGGCCAATCAGCACCCTCCAAGCACCTCCAGGGGAAGAGAACTCAAAGCTGTGCTGGCCGTTAGTCAAGTATCTGGTATTGCTCTGGCTTCTGGGTTCCTACAACTTCCACTCACTGGTCTTGTCTTTACTCACTGGGGCCATGGAGAATCGGTCCAGCCTGTCTTCCCCATGACAATCCTTCCAGTATCTGAACACAGCTCTCTGGTGTCTCTGAGCTTTCTCATATCCAAGCTAAGCCTCCTGAGCTGCTTCAACCATTCCTCAAGGACATGATTTAGTGTCCCTCTTGGTCACCCTTCTCTGAACATGTCTCAGATTGTCACTGTCCCTCTTAAGAACTGGAGTTCTGAATAGGTAAAGGGACATCAGTTGTGGTCTGAGTTGCACCGAATACACCGAATACAGGGCTGGACTCTCTCAGATTTTGGATATCCCAAATCTGTCATCTAGGCCTGGAAATTGCCAGGTTGTGGGATCTCCAAACTCCAATTCCTTGGAAACTCAGGCAAAGGTCTCTTTTGACTGCATGGCACCCCAGATCATCCAGCACCTTCAGCCCATGGTGGATCCTACTGTGCCACCTCCTCAAGGAGGAGCAAGGAAATTGGGCATGGCGTATGTTAGTATTGGGAAATGGGATTCTCCAGAGCCGATAGATCAGCTTCGGGATAAATTTATTCTCAGGTAAGTCTGAATGTGACAGTTCCAGCTGGGGAAGCAGCCCAGATGCCACAAAAAGTGATGCCTCAATGCAACTATCAGGAGATCCCAGATCTACCGCAGAGTCAACGTGTGGCCTTGGAAAAACCTCCTCACCAGCTTCCTTCCTGCTGAAATAAGGGGATATCTGGGGTCCCTGCCAGCCCAAATCAGACCTTCATGTGAGTTTTGTGGAACGGAAATCCCTGCCTTCACTCTGTGATTCTCAGAGCATTGGCGCTCTCAAGGTCTCCTTTTCCCATGCCCATCAGCTTCCCTAGGTTCTCAACAAGCCCCACACACTGCCCCCAGCCTGCCCCAGCTCCCTGGCTAGGACTGAGAAGCCTCCAGTTTGGCATTCCTGCACAGATTCCCACACCCTCCCCCCACCCAGCCTCAACCTCCCTGTACCAGTGGCAGGGAGCTAGAGAAGCCGTGAGTCAGGCTGTCAGAACTGGCCCTGCCAGTTCCACCTTCTGTCTAACCACAGTGTCAGCAAAAGGCGAGTCGAGATTTGGCTAGAAAACTCTGCTGCCACCATTCTCCAGGTGGGCAAGGCAGACAGAACTTCCCTGCATAAACTGAGCCCAAGCACTGGATTCGTAGAAGTCCTTTCCAACTTCCCTCAGCTGGGGAGGACACCTTTTACAATGACCATCAGGCCCATGGGAACTGGTAGGAACTTCCCCCTGCTGGCAGGAACTTCAACTACAGGACTAGATTGGCAGATTTGAGAGAACAAATAGCATTTGAGACTCAAAATAAAAGTCAAGCCATCCAGTATACAGGAGAAATCAAGGTTGGTAAGAACAGCCTCCCCATAGACCCTGGTGAGTTGACGATGCCTGTACCAGCCCTGCCCCCCCCAGAAAGGATTTGGAAGAGAAGCCCCAGCAGATCCTCTCCAACACCACAAGACTCAGCTTCTCACTTAGAAAATGAGCTCAAGGGGTCCTGCAGCATCCAAAGAGCCTTGCATAAAATCTTAGTAGTTGCTATGTGTCTCTGTGTGTGTGTGTCTGTGTGTGTGTGTGTGTCTGTGTGTGTGTGTGTGTGTGTGTGTGTCTGTGTGTGTGTGTGTGTGTGTGTGTGTGTGTGTTAGGGAATTAGATTAGCATTTCCCAAAATGAGTTCCAGAGGATGTTCACAATGCTAAGTGACAAAGGAGGTCTAAGTTTTGGAAACTCTGGGCTAAATGAGTGAATCAGTTTTTTTTACTCGTGATTCTCAGCAGTTTTAACGTGCTCATGTGTATCACAGCAGAGAAAGAAAGAGAAAAAGACAAAGGTGGCATGAAGCCCCTCCCAACTTACTTCAGTGCAGAAAACTTTAACAGAACTCCAATTTCAGAGAGCCAGTTTGGGCAGCCACACTGAGATTGTTTAAGCTTACTTCCAAAGGGAAATTCTGGAATCCCAGACAAAGGCTCTCCTGGAACAAGTCAAATGGCAAAGCAGATGGGCATGGACTGGGAGAGTGTGTCCGCAGACCAAGTGCAACTGATGAGCCCTGCAGGGGGAATTCCAGCATGCTCAGCCTCGAAATCTGGACAGGCTGGTGGACAGGCTGCCATGAAAGTAGGAGTCAAGATATAAGACAGGAGCAGGGCTCGCTGCATTCTTTGAAATGCTCTCTCCTGTCTCCCTCCTGTCACCATCTGAGACAGGCTCCCAGAATCTCTGTCTTTTCAAGGAATGAAGGACCTTTGGGACTGCAGGGTGACCTAGTTCAATACTTCTCAAACTGGAATGTGCACATGGATCCCTGGGGATCTTATTAAAATGCAAATTCTGAGATTCTGCATTTCTACAAGATCCCAGGTGGTACCATTGATGCCGGTCTGCGGGCCACACTTTGAGCAGCAAGGTCCTGGCCAATCCAGGAAGACTTCCTGGAAGGGCAGACTTATAAAAGAAGGGCAACTTGGAGGGAAAAAACACATGGAAGCAGAGCTGAGGCTGCAGAATAATGTGGAAATGGGGAGAGAGTGTGGAAGTGAGGATTGTTTAGAGAGATAGGGAGAACAAGGAGGCCAGGGTAGTCTGGGGGCACGGATTTTACAGTTAGGAATGGGGTGGGAGACACAGACGGGGGGCTGGGAGGTGGATGCTGGGAGGTGGGCAGGGCTCTCTCTGGTCCACACCGGCAGGGCGACAATAATTCAGGTGCAGGGCTCCCAAACCACACCCAGGGGGAGCTCTAATCCCTCAAGAGAGCGATGAAGACTTGGGGCTCCTTGTCCATCCACTCCTTGGAATAGATCTCTGCTGTCCTGGTGGGAGGTGGGCGGGAGGTGGGGGTGTCATCAGCACTGGCGACTCATCTTCCATCACTGTCTGGCTGCACATGGCAGGGCAAGGCCGGCTGGGCTGACTCCTTCTGAGGAAGGAGAAGGTGGGAAGGAGGAAGCCAGACAAGGCTCACCCTAGGCCTGGGGCATGGGAGGAAAGGGAAACCTAAGTTGGAGGAAACTAAGGGCAGGCAGGAAGGAGGGGATGGACATCACAATTAAGGGAAAAGGACAGGGAGCCGGGGACCCTTCCTATCTCCACAATATGCCAAAGATGACAGCAAACGCTTATCTGCTTGTTCCATGTGCCAGGCACTGTTCCAAGCACTTATATTTATAGGAGCTTTCTTTTTTCTTTTTTGAGATGGAGTTTCACTGTTGTGGCCCAGGTTGGAGGGCAATGGTGTGATCTCGGCTCACTGCAACCTCTGCCTCCCAGGTTCAAGCAATTCTTGTGCCTCGGCCTCCCAAG
This sequence comes from Homo sapiens, assembly GCF_000001405.40. Lineage (NCBI taxonomy): Eukaryota > Metazoa > Chordata > Mammalia > Primates > Hominidae > Homo > Homo sapiens. Next base: position 201,348,859 of record NC_000001.11, read on the forward strand.
TAGCTGGGATTACAGGCGCCCACTACCACATCTGGCTAATTTTTGTATTTTAAGTAGAGATGGGGTTTCACCATGTTGGTCTGGCTGGTCTTGAACTCCTGACCTCTGGTGATCCGCCTGCCTCGGCCTCCCAAAGTGCTGGGATTACAGGCGTGAGCCACCGTGCCCAGCCCTATAGGAGCTTATTTAATCCTCACCATAACCCAATGAGGTGGTTGCTAATATCATGCCTGTTTTACAGATGAAGAAACTGAGGCACAGTAACTTGACTGAGGTCACTAAATAAATACCTAGTGCAGCTGGGATTGGACCCAGGGAGTCTGGCTTCAGAATCCATGCCCTTCAACACTTTCTAGAATCCAAGCAGATTCTGGGGCACATGTGACTTCCTCCCACTCCCTGCCACTCTCAACCCCTGCCTGAGCAGGATGCAAAATGAGTTGCTGCTGGCGAGGACATTAGTATCCTTCTGTCCCATGTGGCAAGGCAGCCCGGTCTCTTTCTCATGAAAATCTCCTTTCTGACTGGTTCCCGACTCATTCATTCAGAGTGCAGCAGCCCTGGCCTAGACAGCTCCACTAGCCAAAAATGGTGTTTCCTGAACTCTTCAGATTGTCAAATACCCAACTACGCCTGTTCTGGAGCCCCCAAATCTTCTGTTCGGCAAGATTCTCCCTCTGCCCTTTGTGGAACACTGTGTAATATATGCAGTCTATTAAATAAGAGCCCTCAACTTCCTGGGCAAACATCGTTCATTCATTCAGCAAGTAGTTACTGAGGGCTACCGTGTGCCCAGTGAGCAGAACAGACATCCCTGAACTCTTGGATCTTACAGTCAAGTGGAGAGAGAGACGGACAAAAAAACAAGGTAAACAGTGAAAACATATTGTATGTAAAAGACAAAAAGCTCGGAGAGAAAAGTCAGACAGGAGAGGAGACTGGGAGCGCAGTGTGGAAGGGTGGGGGCTGCAAAGGGAGCTACTGTGGCTGGGGCTGGCCTCCCAGGGAAGGCTGAGTGGGGACCGAAAGGAGATTTTGTTTGTTTGTTTATTTTTTGGGACAGAGTCTCGCTCTGTCGCCCAGGCTGGAGTGCAGTCATGTGATCTCAGCTCACTGCAACCTCTGCCTCCCAGGTTCAAGCGATTCTCCTGCCTCAGCCTCAGTAGCTGGGATTACAGGCACCCACCACCATGTCTGGCTAACTTTTTGTATTTTTAGTAGAGACGGGGTTTCACTGTGTTAGCCAGGAAGGTCTCGATCTCCCGACCTCGTGATCCACCCGCCTCAGCCTCCCAAAGTGCTGGGATAACAGGCGTGAGCCACCACGCCCGGCCTGAAAGGAGGCTTTGTAGTCAAACCTCACCCAAGGAGTCAAACCCTAAGTGAGGAGTGTATCGCCTTAAGTGAGGTTTGGCTACAAAGAGCTTTAATTTTTTCTCAGTTACTGCTACCAACTGGGAAAGCCCCTGCCCTGTGGACAGTGAGTGCTATTAAAGGTTTCAAAACTGCACGGCCACTGCTGATTCCTACAAGGTCACATTTTGGTTATTAAGTCTCTGCCCTCATCCATTTCAAACTCCAATCTCCTATTCAACTCAAAGCTCCCCTTCCCCTCCTTCTCCTGCTCAGCATGGACTAAACTTGGGGACAAACCGGGAGCAGGGCTGTGCTCTGCCATCTCATGGGTCCCTGTTCCATGGGCCCCTCTCCTGCTGGGGTGGGCATGGGGCCAGGGAAGGAGCTGACTCCTTCCTCAGTACCCAAGGCTGTCCTGCTGTCTGCCTTGGATAGGTGTCCCTGCTCCTCCAGCTGATTTTTATTTTATTTTATTATTTTATTTTATTATGTCATTGGTTGCAAGACTTTCCTAATGAAGGAAGCAGTGAATTGACCTCTATTCTGGTGCAAACTCCAGGTCTCATGTGGCTTGTCTTCCTGAGTGGCTCTGGTTTAGCAAAGGCTGGATCTAGGTGGGCGTGTCCCTGGTACCTGCAGACTCCTTGTCCTGTTGGAAGGAGGACAGCCAAAGGAGAGCCACAGTGGGGCCTTTTAAAGTGTAGGGCCCAACGCCTGACTCCCAGTTGCCAGGGTCTAAGGCTGGTGCTGGAGAGAACGGTGTGGGGTTGGGGTGGGGAGTGGATCAGAACCTGGGGGAAGGAGGGGACTCATGTAAACAAACCCCACCTACAGTGCACTCTCTCCAAGCCCCCACATTCTACCCCTACTTTCCAAAACTGCCTTCTGCTGACATCACCTCAGATCTACAGTCCCCCTCTCTCCTTCTCCCACACTACCAGCCCAGGTCGCCAGCGTGACCCCACCGTCGCCATGATAACAGCCTCCTAACTAGTCTCCCTGTTTCCCCGCATGTGCTCCAACCAAAAGGTCACTCCACAGCCAGAGTGATCTTCTAAAAACATAAGTCAGTGCATCCTCCCCTTGCTTAAAATTATCAAACACTTCCCATCACACTCAGCGTAAAATCCAGTCCCCTTAACGTGGCCCCCAAAGCCATGACGCAGCCCTCCCTCCTCCTTTCAGTCCATCCATCACACCAAGTTGTTTGCACCTGCTGTTCCTTCTGCTCCCAGCATCTTCTCACTTGCTTCCTCTGGCCAATGCCTATGAATCCTTTAGTTTTCAACTCAGTGATATCTTCCACAAGGACGCTTTCCCTCATCCAACACCTCCGTTTAAGTTATGTCCAACCTGTTCTCTTTCACAGCACACTGCTGTTTTCCTCTGGGTTTCTCTTTTTACAATTTGAGACCCAGGCACTGCATATGTATATCTATATCTGTACATACATGTGTCTGTGTCTATGCATATATGCATGTATGTATCCACCTATCTCTATCTATCTACCTTCCTCCCATCTATCTACCTATCTCTTTTCTATCTGCTATCTATCTATCCATCTATCCATCTGTCACCTATCTCTATCTCCTATCTATCTATCTATCTATCTATCTATCTATCTATCTATCTATCTATCATCTATCTATCTATCCAGTGATCTAATGTCTGTTTAATACTTTTCTCCTCTTGTTTATGAAGGTAGGAAACAGTCTTGGTCTGTCCTCAGGTATAACCCTGATAACTAGCCAGTACCTAGAATAGAGTATGTGTTTAATAAATATGTGTTGGATTTACACAATGACTGAACCAATGTGTCAGTGACCCCTATTTTCTAATAGAAACATTGGTTATCAAGCAGATTTAATGCTTGCATCGATATGATGTGAGCGAGGTAAACGTATGACCCTTCCAAGATCAAAGGTCTTCTTTTTCTAAAGTTACTATCCTATGGACTTGTTACAGTGCTTTGACAACTGTGAAAGACAATGCAACTCTAATGTGATTAGTTTGCCATATTTTCCCTCTCTGATATTTGATATTTAAAAGATCAAACCTTAAACAAGATCATCTAATTTGAGAATGATTTTTCTCCTGTATTCATTCCCATGCATGGAGGCCACTGGGATCTACGGATGAACAACCCAGGACCCCAGGTCCCAGGAAGTGCCCAGGCTAGATGTAGGGGAGAGATGAGGAAACCACCAACCGCAACTGAGTGGGATGAGGGCTAGGTGAATTCACAAGCCACTTTATATGAGCAAGAGGCAGTGGTAAGATCTTACATTCCTAATTCCAGATTTCCCAGGTGAGTGATCAAATTTTTGCAATAGACAAATTTGAACATTATTTCACACAAGTTTTTCTATGATAAGGATCGATGCACTCGTACTTTGCATTATATAATCAGAAATTATTCAAATATTTGTTGGCTAAAATACAGAAGGGACTTCTTGAAAATATGCTTTTCTTTGTTTCTATCAGATGCCTGACTTGATTTGGTAGGAAGTGTACCATTCAAATAATTTTAACATTGTAATAAAAATACAGTAATCAGGATCCTGCCCTGTATGACCTTGGATGAGTCACCTAACTTCTCTGAGCCTCAGTTTCCTTGTGTATAAAATGGAGTTATTATATAGGACCTAATTTTGCATGTTACTGTAATTAGAGAGTGGACATAAATTACGTAACATAGTATATGGCACACGATAGGTGCCTAATATATGGAGGCAAATATCATTTGTTAGTATTATCATGTAGCTGGCTTACAAATTATGCCAAGTGTCTCCCAGCAGAAACCACTGCTCACCACATCACCTGGGCCTGAACAGGTGGGAGATGTGGGGCCAGAGGAGTCTCTGTGTGAAGTTCAGAGGGAAACACTGCTTTGTCTATTGCCCCCAGGTAGAAGTGAAGTGACCTTCTGCCTTTATCTTCATCAACCTGCATTCCTAGCTGGCATCATCTTCTGGGAATTGGCAGGGTACGGATGGGTGGGGAGAGGACGGGGTGAGGCAGCTCATCCTAAACAGGTCTCCCTGTCCCACATTTAGCAAACCCAGCACAATCTCAGCACCTCTCAGCCTGGGAATCACACCACCTCTCCCACCCCGCCCACTGCGTTCCTGAAGAGCAGCCCCAGCCTAGCCCCAGGCTTCTTCAGGTTTGCATTGCTCAGGCCTGGCTTTACGGGGAAAACTGCTTTGGGATTGGGGCGTGCTGCAGGTGTGGCCAGTGTGGCCAAGGCCAGCACTGAGGGCAGGGCCACAGGGCGGAGCTGGGGCTACTTCCCCCAACCCCCGCCCCAGGTCAGGGCGCTCTGCACAAGTATGGAAACATTTTTCTCCTGAGTCTTCATTTGAGAGCAATTTAAATTCCTGTAGATGCTGGGGTGGGAGCTGAGAACCTGGGATGAGCAGGTGGGTGGGGCTGAAGCCCTGGGAACAGTGCCAGGCAGGGAGGTCTGGGCTGGGCACCCAGTCCTGGTTTCTGTGAACCACAGGAGGCCCAGAGTGAATGGGCCTTCAATGTGCGGCTCTTAAGGCATCACCAGAGGCATCGCTGGTGCTCAGGAAGCCCCAGGTGCTCAGGAGGGAGTCCCAAAGGCTTCTTGGAGAAACAGGGACTTCATCGAGGCCCTGAGGAAGGCGGAGGGCAGTTGGATAGGCAGAGACAGAAAGAAGGGCAAGAAAAAGCCATGCAGAGGTGGGAGAGCATAGGACATGCTGGAGAAACAAAAGTAGCTAGCTCCATTTGGCTGAAAAGTAAGGCTGGAGGTAGACTGCAGAGGGTCCCTAAAGCACCTCTGCCACCCCCAACAACAGCCAGATAGGCCCTGCTGGCATCTAGACCCAGGATTCTGCCCACCCTGAGGTTTACTCACTATCTTTGCAGAGTCGAGGGGTAACCCACAGACAAGGTAATGACAGGTGCTTCCATGACCCACAGATCCCCCCAACTACTCTGGGACACAGGTATGGGGTATAATTACTCCCAAGAAGGAGGAGGCTGGCCAATGATTCTCTTGCACCCTGGGTAGAGCCCCACTCAACCCCACCTCTACTGTTCCCTCCAGAGGCCGCCTCCATGTGCTAGACATAGCACATCTCCTCCTGTCAGGTCCCAGGTGGGCAGCTGGAGGGCAGCAGAGAGGGTCAAGCTCCTGGACTCCTGCCCTGTGCCCTCACCCCAAGTCAGCCCACGGGAGGCTCTGATTCTGGCCCAAGCACTGCAATCTGGGGAGATTTGGGATGCTCCTCAATCTACAAGATCCACATGTTAGGAAGAATCCTGGCTCTGGCGTCACATAGACCTGGGTTCAAATCCCAGCTTTGCCACTTACTAACTGAATGGCCCTTGGCATGTTGCCTAAACTCTCTGTACCTCAGTTTCCTCATCTGCAACATGCGGTGTGATCTGGGGACTGTGGATGGTTGGCTGGAGAGAACATATGTAAAGTAGCTGGCCCAGTGCCTGCGTGGGGGGCGCAGAGCGAGAAACACATGAAGGGTATGTGTGCAGGGGGAGAAGACGAGCTGACCCAGATCAGCAGCATTTTCCCCAAATTCACACTTAGTCTTCCTCCTGGTAGGGATGACAGGGCAGACTGGACTTTCAGAGGAGAAGCCAAGCCCAGAGAAGCAAGTGAGTGCCCGTGGCTACACTGTGGGAACATGGGGTCCAGCCTGGTCTCCCCTGCACCCCCAGCCTGCCCCATACCCAACAGGAGCCTATTAGAGAGCCTGGCCCTGAGACCTATCCCTGAGCCCAGCTATTTCCCCCAACCAGGGCAGGTTCCCTGGAAGCTCAGGCCCTGCCCCACCTTTCCCAGAAATCAAGCTGCAGAGTAGGGAGTGGAGCCTGGCCTGGGAACAAGTTCTGGCACCTCCATCCAGACAGTGGCACACGCTGAACCACGTGCCAGGAGGGACAGTCCGTAGCAGCAAATCCCACCCACCCCCAACCCCTGGTGGCCTATCTGGTGAGGGAGAAGACCAGGCCGTGGAATCCAGGAGGAAAGAGGAGCCATTGAAGGGTTCCCTAAAACCACACAGGCAAGGAGGAGCCAGCCCAGACCCAGCATGGGTGAACTCTTCTTCTGCAGACCTTGAGCCCTTGAGAAAGGCTAATAACGTGTTTTCATCCAAAAGGCAGTAGCAGTGGCTCGTGCTGATTACACACTATGCACTAAGCACTGTGCTAGTTGCTGCATGTTTATTTCATTTAGCCTTCATAACAATCCCCATTGTTTAGATAGGGGAACTTCAGCACAGAGAAGGCAAGGAATTTGACCAAAATCCCAGAGCTGGGAAGGGGCAGAGCCAGAGTTTGATGGGAGAAAGTGAGGCTCTAGCTTCAGAGCATCGGGGCTCCAGCTGGAGGAGCTGGATTCCCAGGCGAAGGAGCCCTGGGGGAACACCTTGTTCTCTCCCAGCTCTACCTCTAAAGTGGGCATCACACGAACAAGCTCTGCCCAGGATGCGAGCTTGTTAGGAGAACGAATCTGATGACAGGATGGCGGAAGAGTCTTCACCTCTGACTCAGGGCTGAGAAGAGCCTGCAAGTAATTTTCCCTGAGCATTTGGTGTACACAGGGTGCTGAGAGGCCCATGAGGCAATGGGTCATGGATCGAAAGTACAGTGAGATGGGATCTGAGAGGCATAGAGGGAGGTCCCTGCAGGGGACAGTGGGGACAGTGGGGGTCAGAGTGTCTGGGTGGGCGTCAACTCACCCCGCTGCATCCAGCTCCTCAGTTGTCAGGAGGCCCAGGACAGCTCTTGGCCACTGCTGCACCTTCAACGTTTGGTTCAGGACCATCATAAGCACAAGAATGATGGAAGTGGTGGGTGAACTGAGGAGGGTGTGTGGAGGCCCTATCTGTGAAGCTATCTCAGTGTGTTCTGTGCACACATCCATGATCTTTCTGTTCCCTAGCAATATTATGGGGAGAGCACAGGACCACTTGGTCTGAAGCCCCCACCCTTGCCTTTTGAAATTGGCAGGACTCCCTGCACTGGGCTGATGGACCAGGTGTGCCCCTGCACCCTGACACTCACTTGCTTTCTCCTCTGTCCTGGGATAGGACAAGGTCCCCTTCCCAGGCTCCACTTATGGATTAGTGCTCCAGGTTCCATGCAGACCAGGTGTCTGCAGATCTCCTGCCTAGAGGCAGCGCTTGGGTTAACCTGTGGTGTTCCTCTTAAGATGATGGGATGGGGACCTCAACTGGGTGAGGCCCCCATGGGGGCAGCGCCTGGGACACTCCGAAGTTCTTTCCTGAACACCAGGTGACCTTAGGAGAAAAGAGATTAAGTGGGATCTGGTCTTAGGGGCTTTTCAGAGTCGGAGGGCAAGGGTGTCTTCTGTGCCCACCTCTGGGCACAGTTGTTTTTTTTTTTTGAGCGATTCCCCTGCCTCAGCCTCCCGAGCCCTACTACAGGCACGCGCCACCATGCCCAGCTAATTTTTTTTTTGAGACGGAGTCTCGTTCTGTTGCCAGGCTGGAGTGCAGTAAAGACAGGGTTTCACCATGTTGCCCAGGATGGCCTTGATCTCCTGACCTCATGATGTGCCTGCCTCGGCCTCGCAAAGTGCTGGGATTACAGGCATGAGCCACCGCGCTCGGCCTGGGCACAATTTTTAAAAGAGAGACCACATCTACTAGAGCAGGGGTCCCCAACCTCTGCACCGTGGACCAGACTCTACCAGTCTATAGCCTGTTATGAACCAGGCTGCACAGCAGGTGAGCTGTGGGTGGGCGAGCATGACGGCCTGAGCTCCACCTCTTGTCAGATCAGCAGCCAGCAGCATTAGATTCTCATAGGAGTGTGAAACCTATTGTGAACTGTGCATGCGAGGGATCTAGGGTGCATACTCCTTACGAGAATCTATTGCCTGACGATCTGAAGTGGAATAGTTTCATCCTGAAACCACCCCCACCCACCCACCCCTACTTTTCTTCCCCACCCCACCCCTGTCCATGGAAAAATAGTCTTCCAAGAAACTGGTCCTTGGTGCCAAAAAGGTTGGGGACCGCTGTACTAGAGAAATGGTCACAAGGACCCTGCTGGGAGAGGGGGAGCAGGAGACAGGGCCCCAGACACACGGCCCATCATGACCTCTTGTTGCACCAAGGAGACACTGAGGCATAGGCGGTGGAGCCAAGGCGGCAGGTGGGGGTAGAGGTGCAGTGCCCCTTTATGGGGAGAGGGGCTAGGGCACTGCCCCAGCTGTCCTATCCGGCAAACTGAGATAGTAGGGCTGGTGCGTGCCAGGAGCTGCCAGTGGGTCTCCCAGAGCCCGTGGTGACAGCCCTCCTTGGGCCTGAGGCCTGCGTCCTGCCTCCCTGTCCATTTTGGGGGCATTTATGATGGAGCCTTCTTGTCCCCACCAGAAGATGCTTGGATTCTGCTAATAACTATATCTCTTCAAACACACCATGCTGGCTCTTGCTTCTCAAACTTTCTATGTGCCGTTCCCAGCCCCACCCCCAACCTCTTCCCCTTGACTTCCCCCTCCTCACCCTCTGGTACTCGGCCTAGACACTCTTTCCTCCAGAAAGCCTTCCCACCTGCCAGGGCCAGGTGTGGTGCGTGGCTATGCCTCTCCCCAGCATCGCACCCCCCACCCGCCCCTGTCACCCAGGGCTGGGACCTCTGCTTGCTGTCTCCCTGCTGCTGGATGTGAGCTCTGTGAGCTCCATGAGCGATGTGCTGGCTTAAATCACAGCACCCCACACCCAACACAGTGTCTAGCACATAGTTGGTGCTCAGGAGGTATTTGAATGACTGAACGAATGAATGAATAAGAAATGAGGCCGAGACCCCAGGCTAAGCCCCTCCCTGTGGCCCAAGGACCATTTCCTCTTCATCTCTCACTACATGGATCCCAGTGCTTGGCATACAGCACAGGATAACATGTCTGCATTGTCTCCTGGGAGCATGAGAGCCACGCCTGCAGGAAGAGACCCGTCTAACAGAGTGTGGCATTGGATGGCATAGCTGTGACAGCACATGCTCTAGCAAGCAGAAATGGATTTGCTCTGGCTGGGAGACCACAGGAAGCCTTTCCAGACACAGCTCATGAGGCACTTGCTGATGGATGGCAAGTGGGGAGCCAAGGGAAGGAATCAGGAATTGGGGGAAATTCCACGCCTGACAAAGGAATGGAGGGTCAAGAGAATGTGTCGTCTCAGGCTCTCCTCTGGAGAGGAGGATGGTGCCCTCTCATCGTTTCCTTGTCTTTCTGCCAACTGAAATCCATGCCACCAAGCTGTCCTCTTCAGCTCAGGACCCTGTGACTTAAGCCCTCGAGGATGTGCAGATCATGGGAGGGGGAAACTGAGGCACCCAGACTAACCCACACCTCTCAACAACTCAGGCCTGAATAGCTGCCCAATAAAACTGGCCTTCCTTCCTTCCTCAAGAGCTCCCTGTCCCTCAGACACCTGGTTCCTAGGGCCCTGGCTAGGAGGAGAAAGAGAACGGGAACCATCCGAAGAGTCCTGCATTGTTCTCCAGTGAGTGACTCATGCAGGGAACACTCTGTCCCCCTCAACAGCACTTTTCCCATGTGCTGTTTTGGTGACTCCCAGGAGCAATGATCTGAAGCCCTTTCCACTGCTCCTGCCTCCTGGGCTGCACCCTGGGCCCTCCACCCTCTCCCCAGCTAGAGGCAAGCAGGGAGACCAGACAGGGGAAAGCTCCTTAGAGCTTGGCAGACACCGGGGACCTGTGAGAGCAGGGTCTCGCCTCAGTTTCTCTCTCTCTCTGAAGGGGACGTGACAGAAATGCCAGTCAGTGTGTGGTGGCTTTTTATTACTGGTGTGGAGTGGGTGTGGGGGCAGGCAGGAGTGGTGGCTCCCACCTAGGCCAGCTCCCCATTTCCAAACAGGAGCTGCCTGGGGTGCCCAGGAGGGCCCGGGAACTGGGGGAGTGCAGGCCGGAGGCAGGTGCGAGCGAGGAGCAGATCTTTGGTGAAGGAGGCCAGGCTCTATTTCCAGCGCCCGGTGACTTTAGCCTTCCCGCGGGTCTTGGAGCTGCAGGGGAAGCAGGACGCAGTGACATGGAGACACAGGCAGGGTAGTAGGTCACCATGCGGCTGGGGTAGGACTGGGGTGCCAAAGGGGAGAGGAGCAGGCTGGAGCTGCCTCCAGGGGCAGAATAGGACAGCAGCCTGAGGCTGGAGGGAAGCTTCTCCGCCCCACATTTCACCCCCACCAGCAAGCAGAGGCCACAGGGAGAGAAGCACGAGGCCCCGGAGGAGCCAGAGAAGGAAACCTGTGGGCTGAAGCAGAGGAGGAAGGGCTGGGAGCCTGGGGCCCTCCAAGGAGGAATGGGATAGCTGGAAGGTAGGGAAGGAGGGGGCAGGGGGAGGGCTAGGCGAGAATGACCTCAGACACTTACACTTTCTGGTTATCGTTGATCCTGTTTCGGAGAACATTGATCTGCAAGAAAAGTGGGAAGGACAAAGAGCAACGCTGGAGCTGACTGGCTCAGGTCCCAGGTGGCCTGGGGATGGGGAGAAGGGGGCTGAGTGCAGCAGTGCAGGAGGAGAAGGAGGAGCATGGAAGAGTAGGAGGGGTTAGGATAGTTAAGGGTCAGGAGGGGCCCGTGTACCACAGGCAGAAGCCAAGGAGAAGCTTCCAGGATGCCTCATGGGCCTCCCACTGTGGGGTCCCAGGGCCATAATAGGTTCAGGATATGAGAGTCCCATAAGAAGGGCCTCTGAGAGCTGGGCACAAAGCTGGAGGCTGTGTCATGGAGCCCTCCTAGCAGCCCAGCCCCAGACCCCTCTGGGGCACCCCTGCCCAGCTGCCCACCATCCCGGAAGCTGTGCCCTTTGAGCAGTAGCATCCCCATGCACCACCCCTGCAGGGTGCTGCCCCAAAGTTTGGCAAATCTGTGTCCTGTTGGCCGGTGCAGAGTTCAGTGTGGAACCAAAAAAAGAGAAAAAAGTGGAAGGCACAGGACTAGAGAGGCCATAACAATGGCTGACACCTGCTGAGCATTTAGTGGGTGCCAGGCTCTGTCCTGAGCACCTTCCCAGATATGAACCCATAGGGCTGCTATGAGGGCATAGTAAGTTAATACATGGGACATGCTTGGAACAGTGGTTGGAACACTATAGCAATAATAACAATTAGTATTATCTCTGTAACCCTCACAATCACCCTCTGAAGTATATTGTAGTGTTACCTGTGGAAATGGAGGCAAGGAACAGTGGACTAACTCACCCAATGTCACACAGCCAGTGAGGGGCACAGGTAGAAATTCAACCCAGGCATTATGGCTCCAAAGTCCATGCCACTGTCACCAGGCAATACAGCCTCTCTCCGTATTGGGAGGTGGGAGTACCCTGTAGCCACTGCAGCCTGAGCCTGCCCAGCGAGGGGCTTCTTGCCCAGGGAGGAGTGGTTTGGCAGGAGCAGCAAAGGAGACCTTCCAGGGGAAGCTGAATTCTTCCCTTAGGTAGCAAAGAGGCCCTGGGACCGGGGCTCGGGGGTGGTGGGTAAGGAAGGACTGGCGCCCAGGTCTAAGCTCCGGTATGCAGCATCAGTGTCCTCTAAGCCATTTCCTTGCCTGGTGTCTGTTCACCTAAGACCCTCATTAGTGCACATAGGACTCCGAAAGACTGTGAGCTTGAGGCTCAGCCTAATTGTGCCCACACCAGGACCTTGGGTGTATGTGGGGAGAAGCACCTCTCTGTTGGCAGCACTCCCCTTCCACTGGGGGTCCTGGCTTGGTGCATCCTGGTCCTTGTAACCAGCTCAGATCACTGAGCTGCTGCCTCAACGTGTTGGAGACCCCCAGGGTTGGAACACCAGGAAAGTGTCTCTGCTCAGCCCCAGCGAGCTCTCAGACACTTCCAGCAAGCAGTCGTCAATGCGGTGGACATGGAACACTGCTGAAGGCCAGGCAGCAGGGGCAGATGCAGGAGCTGAAGGGGGCTGTTGGGGAATAGGGACAGGGACCCAGGGACCTGCAGCAGTATTACCGGACCCAGTGAACCAGGAGGAGTGTGAGATGGAGATGCTGGGCGGGGACAGCATGGCGGCCCACCTCATATTTCTGCTGCTTGAACTTCTCCTGCAGGTCGAACTTCTCTGCCTCCAAGTTATAGATGCTCTGCCACAGCTCCTTGGCCTTCTCCCTGCACGGGCAAGGGTGAGAATGGGGAGGTCCAGTAAGAAAGGGCCCTCCTGGGCCTCCGTCCTGGTCCCGGCCCAGCCCCCAGCATCCCAGCCCTCCTTCCCACCTCCAGGCCTGCCAAGGGTACCCCAGCCCACCCCCTGGGCCTGACCCAGCCTGGGGACCAGACGGCAGCACCCAGTGCTCAGGAACGGACACCAGGGACTGCCAGGGCAAAGTTCCAAGAACAAGCGGGGAGCAGGAGAAGCCCTTCTGGCGCAGGAGAGCATCTAGTTCAATCCCCTGTCCTGACACCCGTGTGCAGGTGGGTAGGTGAAGCTCAGAGGGGTGGGGCACCTGCTCAGTTCTCTTTCCCCATCAGCAAAGCCCAGAAAGGAGTTGGCCCGACCTGCTGGGGCCCAGCTCTGGTCCCACCAAACTTGCCATGGGAAAATATGTGAGGCAGTCCTGCCCTCTGGTGGCTCACAGCAAGAAGTGCCCTTGGCCCGACCCCTCCCAGAGCAGATGCGGGCAGTGCCCCAGGACCATTCCTCCCAGCCCCCACCTCAGCTGATCTTCATTCAGGTGGTCAATGGCCAGCACCTTCCTCCTCTCAGCCAGAATCTTCTTCTTCTTTTCCCGCTCAGTCTGCCTCTTCCCACTTTTCCGCTCTGTCTGGAGGGTGTGGGAAGCAGAGTAAACTGGCCAGATTGCCCCCTCCCTGTCCCCTAACCCTCCCCAAACCCCCTGGGGGTGGAGCAAGGCCTGCAGGAGGGCCAGGTTCTTATGCTCTTCTTCCTGCCACACCCCCCAACTACCAACTACATGTATTCCCTAGGGAAACTGAGGTAGGGGCAAGAAGGATCACGTCAGTCTCTTCCTTCTTTGCCTAACTAATCTCTTTCACCTCTCACCAGCTTCCCCCCTCCCCAGCCAGCCCAATCTCTTCACTCCTCCCCTCCAGCAAGGCGCCTTCCCCTCCCAGGGAGCTCTCCAAAACTATGGGGAGGAAGAAGGCTTGAGGTTTTTGGTACCCACCTGGGCCTGCTAAACCGGGAAACCATGAGAGAGAGGCCCATAGAAAAAGACCAAGACGGCAACAGAGACACAGAGAGAAGGCAGGAAGACAAAGGCAAGGAGAGACATGGAAGAGAAGATTCAGATACTCGCTGTAGTCAGCCGGGTTTACTAGGACGTGGGTCTGAGGGTTACAGCAGGGGCTGTTCGGTAGCATGAAGACTTTGATGCCAAAGTCTTGGCTGGTGTGGTCACCATGGGGGCAGAGGCAGGGGGTGGCCTAGTCCTGAGCTAGGGACTAAGCTGGAAATCTAAGAAAATGTTTTGATTCCTTCACTACCTAGAGAAAATCAATTTCACATATCCCTCCTCCCTCGAGAATGGAGGACCTAGGAGGAATGGGGCACAAAAGTTAGGGATCGAGAGTGAGTTTCCAGGAACAAACAACCTCACATCTGTGTGGCACATAGACACTTTCCATGGTAGCTCATTTGAGCTTCTCAAAGCATCAAGGCAGGCAATATGAGTGCCAGTTGAGGAAACCGAGGCTCAGAGGTTGCAAAAGGTCACACAACTGTATGTGGCAGAGCTGGGTCTCCAACTAGAGCTCTGACTCTAGGCACAAGGCTCTTCCAGCTGCACCCAGCCTCCTTGGGGGCTCCTGAGCACTGCTGGAGCCAGGCATGGGGGGCACCATTGGTGCCCCAGGCTCTGCCTGTAGCCCCCTACCCCAGCAAGCCCCTCCTAGTGCAAGCCGCGGTCAGGCTGAAAACCAGCTCAGGGCTGGGCATGAGGAGACCTCAGTCTTCCACCCACAGCAGCTGGGAATCTCTTCCTGGGACCTGACCTAAAGTCTACCTGCTGCAGTGGACACCTCATTCCTCAGGGCTATACTAGGATCTCCTGGCAACCCCTGCTGCTCCCTACCTACCTTCTGGATGTAACCCCCAAAATGCATCATGTTGGACAAAGCCTTCTTCTTCCGGGCCTCATCCTCAGCCTTCCTCCTGTTCTCCTCCTCCTCTCGTCGAGCCCTCTCTTCCTGATTTACAGCAGGGAGGAAGAAAGCAAATTAGGGGAAAGGATTGGAAACCCTGATTCTGGGCTGAAGCTTGTGGTCTTTATGGGTGAGTTCAGCTTTCTCTCCGCTCAGCAAGGAGCTTTCTGAGAGGGTAGCTCCCAGCACAGTGCTGGCCCACAGGAGTCCACTGACTGAGAAATGACTGCGTGATTGAATGAGGTCCTGATTCCCAAATGTGAGGTCTCGTCATCCCCTTAAGCTGGGAGTGCCCCTGGAAGACCTGTTGCTCTGGAAATGCCTTCAGCAGCTGCACAGGAAGAGAGCTACGGGGCCTTCGGTTCCCACGAAGTCTGCACTGGGGAAGGGATGAGGGCTGGAGAGTCTTATAAAATAACACGTTCATAAGGACGCAGGCATTTCTGTCTTGTTTGCTGATGTATTATCAGAGCCAAGACAATGCCCAGCACTTCCTAGGTTGATATTGATATTGTCTCTTTTTTTTCCTTTTTTTTTTTTTTTGAGTTGGAGTTTCACTCTTGTTGCCCAGGCTAGAGTGCAATGGCATGACCTCGGCTCACTGCAACCTTGCCTCCTGGGTTCAAGCGATTCTCCTGCCTCAGCCTCCTGAGTAGCTAGGATGACCGGCATGTGCCACCACGCCTGGCTAATTTTGTATTTTTAGTAGAGACAGGGTTTCTCCGTTGGTCAGGATGGTCTCGAACTCCCAACCTCAAGTGATCTACCCGCCTTGGCCTCCCAAAGTGCTGGGATTACAGGCGTGAGCCACCGCACCCGGCCAATATTGTCTCTTGACTGATTTCATTCATGTTGATGAATAGAGAGGGGCCTGGGGGCCCAGCAGGAGCTGGGAGCATGGGGGGCCTCCATGGGCCTGGGCTAGGGGTCACTCACAGCCAGGCGGTTCTGCCGCTCCTTCTCCCGCTCATTCCGGATGCGCTGCTGCTCGGCCCGCTCTGCCCGACGTCTCTCCTAAGGAGAAGAGGCAAAGCCCACCCAGGTGTGCATAGGGAGAAGGTGACATCGCAGGTACAGAAACCTGCATGGGGTGGCAAGGGAATTCCTGGGGGAGGGTTCCTTCCAGAGTCTTGAAGCAATGGTGCCCGGCCTCCAAGGGCCTCCACTTTCAACCAGCTCCACGGACGTGCACACCAGGGTACCTGCAGTGACCCACCTCCAACATTCCTCATGGTGAGACTGCCCTCCACAACTGGGAGACATCAGGCAGGCTCCTTCTGGGCTCTGCCCCCACCTCCATCCCACCCTGCCCTGGCAGCTGCTCTGTGCCATATGCTTGGATAGATGGCCAAGTCATTGCTCCAGCCAGAGCAGCATGTCTGTGGGAAGGCAAGTTTGATGGGGAGAAACAAAAGCAATCAAAGCAGCCTCCACGCTCTGCAGGAGAAGGATGTGGGATTCTGCAGGTCACACTCCCCTTCATCTGCGGGGGAAGAGGAGGCAAGGGCAGGGGTGGCGCAGCAGGCCTGTGACCAATCAGTCCACAGCCCGGGCCTGAATTAGGCCCTGGGGGAGGCCTGAAACAGATCAGACTCAGCTCTGGCAGTCAAGGAGCATCCAGTAGGATGGGGAGGGAAGGCAGGGACCCGAGAAACCAGTCAGGGCTGCAGGAGCTGTGCAGAATGCTGGAGGGCCTCTGAAGGAGACCTCACACCTAGCTGGGTTTGAGGCGCCGAGGAAGGCTGTCTGGAGGAGGTGGGGCCTCACAAAAGGGATGGAGGACAGACTGGGCCATCAGAGAATGTTAGGTGGGCAGACTGGACACCTACGATCCTGTCTTTGAGAGAAACGAGCTCCTCCTCCTCTTTCTTCCTGTTCTCAAAGTGAGCCTCGATCAGCGCCTGCAACTCATTCAGGTCCTTCTCCATGCGCTTCCGGTGGATGTCCTGTGGGTGGACCGCTGCGGCTCAGAGGCTGCCACTCCAAAGAGTCCAGAGGAGAGATGGGTGGGCTAGACACCCCCCAACGCAGTGCAAAAGACCTCTGGCAGGGCCTGGCGCCTGGCCAGGGAAGGGGTAACTGTGGCCTGAACCCAGGACCACGCTCATGGATGGGCACCCAGCCTGGCTGGTGCTGCACCCCATCCCACCTATGCTCTACCCCAGCCCAAGGTCACAAAATCTCTGTCACTGAGGGCCCTTGGGACTATCCCCAGCCCAGGCCTACTCAACCCACAGCCACCGCTTACATCAAAGTCCACTCTCTCTCCATCGGGGATCTTGGGAGGCACCAAGTTGGGCATGAACGACCTGTTGGAGAGAGGAATAGTCAGCATCAGCCCCATTCTGGACCCAGGGACTGAGGGTGTCCAGGACAGGCAGGGCCCTGATCCTTCCTAGAGAATCTTCCAGCACTGCCCCGACCAACCACAGCAATGATAGTAACACTGACGTCAACAATGGCAGTCCTCAGCCTTGCTCAGCACCTGGGAATACACAAAGCTCTTTCACATATGCTATTTCACTTCATGCTCATGATATGCCCATGAAGTGGGTACCGTTAATCTCACTTAGGAGAACTGAGGCTCAGGGAGGTAGAATGACTTGCTCAAAGCCACACAACTTGGAATCAAAGAAGCTGTGACAAGATGCCATGCTTCTTGGACTTCAAATCCCCTGGTGGACCCCGCAGAAACTGGCCATGAACCTGGGAGTCTTGCAGTTTGGTCCTGGTCCCAACACATACTGAGACCCAGGGGGTTCTCTGATTCTTCATGTCCCCATCTGCCCTCAGGTGTGTGGAGCTGAAATGAGATACCGCAGTGCACAAGAGGCCAGGAAGGGGGAAGGCACTGGGCAAATAAATGGATCTGGGATGTCTTGGGCTGGTTTCAGAAGGCCCCACTGAAATGGGAAGAGCCTGTGAGTGGGCAGAGGTGCCATGGGTCAACCTCTGCTGGCAGGGTTGGCATCATAAAAAGGGAAATGCTCCCTATCCCCCAGCCCCCCCCAGCACACACCACCTTCAGGTGGGCTTCACGTGTGTGGCACCAAGCCGTCCTGCCCTCTCTCAGCTCTCTGAAGCCGCCATGCCTATGCTGGCACGGTTTCATTGTTTGGCTCCCCACAATTTGCTTCCCTTAATCCCAAGGTCCCACCTCGGCCATGGAGGAGGGTGTTCTGGCCATACTGTGAGAGAGGAGAGTGTCCGTTCAGGGCCCTTCCTCTAGAAGAACATAGCCCCATCCCTGCTAGGGTGCACGATTGGTGATGGAGTGTTGGGTGGAATTCAGCCCTCACTCACTCCCTTAGGAAGAGACGCTTGTGCAGTACACAACTTGTACAACTGTACTGTGGTGCTCTGTGCCCACCAAACCCCCAGCCCGTGTCCACTGCACCATACTGCACCCCGTTCCATCATCATCCTCTCTCCCTGAGCCTCTGCTCCCGGCTCTACCCAGGTGCCTCCCCACTCACCTGGGCTTTGGTTTGGACTCCTCCATTGGGCCATCTGGAGGAGATAGAAGCACACAGCCATGGGTCAGGGGGCCCCAGAAGTGGTCCCAACTCCGCCCTCGATGAGCTAGATCCCTGTGGATTTCCATTTCCCCATCTGCACAGTGAGTCCCTCCCGGCACTGGGGAGCCCTGATTCCAGAAGCATCCAGGAGAATGAAGGCAGCGGGGGCTGCAGATGCCACACTCCCCCTCCCATAGAGTTCTGCAGGGCACACACTCACGCAGTGTGGAACTTCACACAAAGCCTTCTCTCACTCACCAGTTCTGGGCAAAGCAATTTTGCTTCTCTTGTGCTTCACAGTGACAAGGCCTTTGGAAAGGTCCCCAAGGGTCCTGGCCCTAGAATCCCCTCCCAGGTCTTTGCCTTCTTTGTTACCCCTTGGACTTCCCGGTGGCCACAGGGCAGAAGCTGATGACATGATTCCAAGCCCCAGCTGGTTGTCCCCTCCCCTTTGGAGAAGTGACTGGGACCACTTAGAACCCTGGTGAAGGCTGCAGCATGACGATGACTGCAGCAATGACCCACCATGACCATCTATGCATTGGGATTTCATCCTACGGACACCACATCCTACAAGTGATTTCACCTAAGCTCTAGGAGCTTCATGTGTGGATATGACTTCTGGGTCCCATTGCTCTGTCCAGACCAGGGGGCTGGACAATGGTCCCCTCTCCCACTGGGTGCCACCAATGCAACTTCTCTGGGAGAAGGGGCAAAGTTGAAAGCTCAACATCTAAAACTTTGGAAGTGCCACCAAGTTCTGTCCTCTCCTCTCCCAAACCCTCTCAGTGCACATCCACTTCCCTGGAAAGAGCACTGTGGGCATTCTCCTCCAAAGCTGCTGTGAGGGGTTCCTTTGCCTCCCTTGTACCTCTCTCCTGATATCCTTACCTTCAGCCTCCTTTGCTTCCTCTTCTTCTTCATCTTCTAAATGAAACACGAGAAATCAATCAAGGTCCTTGTTCTGAGCTCAAGTCCCCCCCTCCGCCACCAGCAAGAGCCTTCCCCACAGATAAGCCCTAGCCAAGATGCACTCTGTTGGTTTTTGGGGTTACAGAGCTGTCTCTCACACACACATTCCCCTGGACCCAAGACTGCCTGACACAAGAGAAGCGCTGGGTCAACGTTTGTTGATTGGGCAATCAATGGTTGAATCTTAGTCAATAGGAGAGTCAGGTGCACATGGGAAAGCCTGTTCTGGGGGGTTTCTTACTGCCTCAGGAATGGCTCCAGGGGCTCTCGCCACCCCCTGAGGCCCCTGCACCCTCAACCAGAGACTTACCTTCTGCCCTGGTCTCCTCGGTCTCAGCCTCTGCTTCAGCATCCTCTTCCGCTGCCTCCTCCTGCTCTGGAGAAGTGAAGCAGACAGAGTGAAGAAGCAGGCCCCACTCATGCTATCAGGCAGAACCCAGAGCAGAGAATGGGCAGCGGGGAGTGGGGATGGGGGTCAAGACGTCTAGGTCCAGATGAATTTGGGGGCAACCAACGTGCTGGGGGGCTGCCATTCTTGGTTTTGACTGTCGGCTACCTCCCGCCACCCAGCTTAGCCCCACTCATCCCGGCAACCTCCCTGATGATGGGACTCCACCTCATTCCCCAACTTTCCAGCCCAGAAGTTCCACCCCGTGTCTGGCACCACAGAACATGCTCTGCTTAAGCCGAGGTGTCCAGAAGCTCCTGTCCTGAACCTAGTGACTCTAGACACCCTCAATCCACATCTCAAAGAAACCAAAAGAGTACGACTGTGTGGCTGGATGGCACACTCAATATCTGGATCTTCGTACTATCCAGAAAGTGGGCAGGATTTTTCTATTTTCATCTATTTGTTTGGCAGGATGTGGCCCCCATCTCACTCAGGCACTTGGTGTAGACAGACAGACAAACAGATAAGGGAGACAGGATGCCGCCTGGCCTGGGCTGTGCCTGTAGGAAGTGTTCTGTGATGCCTGTTCACTGATGCACTGGGAAGTGGGTGCCTCTTGGCAGAGGGAGAAGAAAAACCTCAGACAGGAGGAAGACACCATCGTGGGAGAAGGGTTGGCCTTCATTCCCTCTGTCCTCCCTTCCCAGGTCTGAGTCCTCTCTGAAGCCTGGAGATGCCTTTTATTTGATCCCTGCAGGAGTCTTACCTCAAAATGATCCTTCTAGAAAGTGTGAAAGCAGAGGGCTAGCGAGGAAGGACATGGCCATTGTGGGGTCTACCTTTAGGCCATCTTGTTCACACCTCTGCCACCTCATCTGACGTGTCATTTCTCTATATAATATACCCCAGCCCACCCAGTGGCCATGCAACATCCCAAGGATGGGGAGCTTACTGCCTCCCCAACCCACCTACTGCATCTTGAGATATAGCTGTCAGAACGCACTTTCTAAAATTAAGCCCTGGTCTCACTCCCTTGCCTTGGTCCTGTGCTCCCCATCAGCAGGGCGCATCTGAAGGCTGACGTCATGTCCTTCCTGCTCTGGCTATTTCCAGTCTCCCTGGCTGCTCTCCAGAGGACTCTGTCCCCAGACCCCCCAACCAACACCTGGCCACCCTGCTTGGTGCTGTCCAGCTCCTAAGGAGGGCCCAGCATGGAACACTGGGGTGTGCGCGGGGGCAGGGTGGCGCTGCTGTCTTCCAGGTGCCAGGTCCCCTCTATGGCCACATTTGGAGCAGCTTGGGAGACCAGCTAGCCTTGGTCCCTCCCACCACCCAACCCAGGGGAAGGATCCAGGAACCAGGAAGAGGAGCCAGTGGCCCTGAAGTTCAGGCATGATGATCAGCTTGGAACTGTGATCCTGGCCCCTGGGAGGCAGGGGAGGAAACGACTGACCCACTCCGTCCCTGCCGCCTACTCACACCCCCCAGCCCCCAGAACAGGGCCCCTGGACAAGGAGGCTGCACTTGGGACAGCAGGCAGCAGAAAGCACCACAGAAGGAAAGGCTGTACTACCGTCTTCGTCCTCTCTCCAGTCCTCCTCTTCTGAGGTTCAGGGAGTGGCCGCAGCGGAGGGGAAAAGCGAGACAGGTTAGTCTGGGAGCAGAGAGCCCGCGGCAGGAGCAGCCACCCAGCGCAGTGGTTTTAAGAGTGTGGGCTTTGGAGTTAGGCCGGCATTCCAATTCCCAAGCCACTACTTTCCAGCAACAGGGGCAACTCTCAGTTACTTCCCTGAGCCTCAGGTGCCTCATCAGTAAAATGGGAATCATTCTACTCACTTCTCAGCCGTGGTGAGGACTGAATGACCTAGCGTGCATAGAGCGCCCAGCAGGTGCCTGGCACAAGAGGAGCATGCGATCTGTGGTAACTGCAATGCCTCTAGACGACAGAGCCTTGGCCTCCTTCTTACTAAGACAGAGGCCCCTAAAGAGCAGAGAGTGGGGGACAATTCTCTTCCATCAAATTTCCTGCCCTCAACGAGCCTGCCCATGTTCCTGCTCTGAATGAGGCTCTTGGGTATCCTGCAAACTATGTCCAGTTTCCAGGAGTCACACTTTAGAAAGCCTCATTGGAGAGCCTGGCCCCAGGGGAGATTTGCCCGGCCTGTTGGGAGGATGCTGCCCCATCTAAGAAGGGTCCAGCATTATAAATCTAAGGAAAGAGGCTGCATCTACAACAGTTGTTCTACGTACAAATATCTGCCCAAAAAAACAGTTCCAGCAAGTGGAACAATTCCTCTCCTGGAAGAAGGACACCTGGCATTATCTATCCTGCAGGCTTAGTGGACACCCATCTAGACGTTGCTCTCTCTTGATCATTTGCAGCCAGATCCTCAACTGTGTGGGAGGCAAGTCTCGTCTATTCATGGCAAGCAAGGCAGATGCTACACGGCTCAGGCCCCAGCACAGTGGAGAATGACTCTGCTAACTCACAGCCAAATTCTACTGTGTGTGGCAGGCAGATTGGTCCCAAATCCAGAGATCTATGTCTCAAACTCCACCACCCTAAACCTGTTATAAGGAAGTGGAAAATCCTCCAAAACAAAGGAAGGGATATCATATCAAGAGTCTGTTCAGGGAACACAGCAGAATTTGGAGCCAGTTAGATTTTTTATTCAAAAATATATTTCTGATAGCTTCTGAAGTATCTGGTGTTCCTTAAAAACCAAAAAAGACGCCTGTGGCCTCTTTCAGTTTCTCCTGTGAATTTCTCTTCTGTCTCCTCTTTGGCCAGACAGCCCTGGAACAGCCCTAAATGTGCAGGAGGGTCCCCATTTTCCCTAGGAGCCATGGGGAGCAAGGGCGGGGCCACCTGGGCTCCCCCCTTGGACCTTCATAGAGACCCTTCTCCTAATATCTACATGCCACATGCTGAAGTGATACCTGAGCCACTAAAAGGCAGGGTCCACCTGCCTGGGGTGCAGGGGGAGGACTGGAGTGAAGCCTCTGAGTCATTTCCATGTGCCAAGCTCTCAGGAAGAAGGGAAGGTGAGGGCGTTCTTTCAGGGAGATGTGGGACCCACAGCTGAGGAGGGCGATGGGTTAACCGATCAGCATAGGAGCAGCAAGAGGGGCCTCTGCAAGCTCAGAATCATGACAAATCTTCATGCCGAGATAAGACGTCTCAGATCACTGAGCAATTTCATACTCACAATCGCATTTGAGAAATTACTAAATGGAATCTTTTGGGGCATATCATGGCATTGTGGTTATGGTTTTTAAGTAGTGCTTATCTCTTAGAGATACGGTGTAGCGAAATCTTGAAGCGTGAACTGACATGGTGCCTGGGAACAATTTTGGATGTCTGCTCCAAAATAACTGGTGGAAGGTGGAGTATAGAGGAAAGAAGACTGGCCCTAAGATGATGATTGTTGAAGCTGGTAATGGGTACCTTGGGCAGGGGGGGCCATTATTATTATTATTGCTACCTTTATGTGCATTTAAAATTTCCCATGATAAAAGGGAGAAGAAGCAAAAAAAATTGGGAAAAGTGATCAGTGTGTTTGAAGCAAATGGCAGACAGAAGAGACAGGTTTAAATCGTTTGCCTCAAGACCCGAGCAACCCAGGTAGGACTGATTCCCATTTTAGAAGGCACTGTTGTTGGAGGATCTTGCTCAGCTGAGAGTGAGGAGCAGGGACAGATGAGCTGCTTTCCCAGGGCTCCCAGGATTTCCACATTGCTGAGCCTGCCCCTTTCTGGCTCTCCACCTGCCTGAGGCACATACCTTCAACAGCTGCTTCTGCTCAGAAGAGAAGTCCAGGCAGCAAGAGAAGAGAGAAGAGGTGGGTCAGTTTCGAACCAGGCTGTCTTTGATCCAAATGAGTACACACGTTTACGCTTACCTTCCTGCTCCCTGAGAGCAACAGGAAACACTGTCAGTAGCTCGCACACAAGCACATGCAAACACACACGCCTGCACACACATGCACACACTGGCCTTTCCCCAAAGATAATCCCCCTTTCTTTTCCCTTGTTGCCTAGTGGAGTCCACGCTGCCCTGCCCACCTTGCAATGACACCCACTAGCCTGGCCTGCCGTTCTCATGCAGGGCTGCCTCCTACCATCCTCCGCAAGCCTCCGCCCCAGCCAGCTTGGTCTCACCAGCGTTCTGCTCACTTACTCTTTCCATCTTTGCCCAAGCTGTACCCCTTTCTAGAAAGTCCTGCCCTCTCCCAAATCTCTTATCTTTCCAAATTCTACACAGGTAAGACCTGCCTTCTCCACACAGCCCCCTGACTATTCCAGCCCCTGATCTCCCTCTCCTCAGAACTCCTACACTACCAACAGCCCGCCCTCCACACCAGGCCCCCAGTTGCTAATTTCTTCTCCCAGTTTATGTCTTAACATCTCAACAAGAGTAAGTTCTGTGAGGGCAGTAGCCGTGCCTATACCTCTGTCTCCTCCCTGGTGACCACTATCCTCTGTAGTTATTGGATTGGCTGTGTCCCACCCCCTGGTTTCCCTCTGGGATAGGACTGTGGGCAGGGCACTGTCATGAGAGAGTAGGGATCCAAGACAGGGTGATAACACTGGGTTCTGAGCTGGGGTTTGGGGGGCATAATCAGCTCTGTGCCTCTGGAGAGTCACTGAACCTTCCTCAGTCAGTTTCAGGAGACCCAACATCTCAGCTTCTCTGTTCATGGCCCCTAGCCAAGACTGGCCAAGGACACTGATGACCCTGGAGCTGAACCTCTGTGCTTCCCGAAGTCTCTCGGCCTGTGCTCTGCCTGGGATCTACAACCCAGGGGTACAGGAGTGGAAAGGAAATGGCTATATCTCTCCT
The DNA here is from genome assembly GCF_000001405.40 of Homo sapiens. Classification (NCBI taxonomy): domain Eukaryota; kingdom Metazoa; phylum Chordata; class Mammalia; order Primates; family Hominidae; genus Homo; species Homo sapiens. The sequence goes on from NC_000001.11 coordinate 201,373,086, forward strand.
CGGGGTGCCCAAAACACACACAGCTACTTCTACCCAGAATCCGAGGGACAGCTGGGAGGCTCCTGGACCAGGTGTCAGGGCAGCGGCGGGAGAGGACCCCACTCAGGCAAGATGCTCCAGATACTCACTCCTCCTCGTACTCTTCCACCACCTCTTCTATGTCAGACATGGTCTCTGCTCTCCCTCCAAAAGGAGAAAAAAGTCAGTGCAGGTACAAAGGGAAGCCTGCCTTCCTCAGAAGAGCTCTGGCCCCCGTTGTACAGAGATCAGCGAGGCCTAGGGTGAATCTAGTTCCACCCCTCATGAGCTGTGTGACCTGCAACAAAAAGCCTGTTTTCTCCCCTGCTGGGGGAGATAGTGACACCCACATGGCAGCAAGGCCACCTGCTGATGTCCACTTCGTTCCTTGCCCCTGAACAGGCAATACTGCCTGGGATGCTGCATTTCCATTTGTGACACTCAAGACAATGTCTGCAGTTTCTCAACCTTTCCATCCACTCTGCCCACCCCCACTCCACAGGATCTGTTCAGCACTGTACAAATCTTCACTGCACAAAGCCTCACTGCAGCCTCAACCTTCTGGGCTCAAGCGATTCTCCCACCTCAGCCTCCTGAGTTGCTGGGACTATAGTTGTGCACCACCATGCCCGACTAATTTTTGTATTTTTAGTAAAGCTGGGATTTTGCCACATTGCCCAGGCTGTTTCGAACTCCCAGGCTCAAGGGATCCTCCTGCCTCAGCCTCTCGAAGTGCTGAGATTACAGGCGTGAGCCACCACACCCATTCCATGTGTGCTGGACAAAAGTGAGACCTGGACAAAAGGTCTTTGGGCACCCCAAGAGACTGGCCTGGACAAATGAGTGAGAACTTGTCTCTAAATAAATAAATCAAAGCACACAGCGGGGATCCTTGTGGTTTGGGATCTTTTCAGTATGTAGACTGTGGTGATGGATACGTGAACCTCCACAGGTTAAAGTTGTTTAGAGTTTCACATACACATGGTGCAATTGTGGGCAAATCTGAATAAGATCATAGATTGATTGTATTGATGTCCAATCTTGGTTTTGATATAGTACTAATTTTGCAAATGTTGCCCTCGGGAGAAACTAGGCACCGTGTGTAAACGCTCGTTATTAAAGACAACTGTGTACTAGTCTTTAATTATGTCAATGAAAATTCCGATTAAAAAATGTTCCCCCAGGGAACTCATTCTGAGATCATCTTCTCACTGCACTGGGAACAGATAATCTAGATTCAGATCCTCTTCCATTAGCTTGCCGAGGGTGTTTAGGCGAGTCTTTTTAACATCTCCAAACCTCAGTCCTTTCTCTGTCTCATGGAGATAAAGTGTACACATCCTGGCTACTCAGGGTCTTTACGAGGCTCCAGTTGACATTAACAAAAGGGGAAGGCATTAGGCAACATCAGGTGTTACAATGAGCATGTAATCACAGGGAGGGGGCAGAGAGCAAGCACTTGAGTGTGAGACTAATCTCGTTTTGAATGCTGGCTCCAGCATGCGTTTGCCTGCGACCTTGGCAAGGTCACTTAACCTCCCCACATCTCAGCTCTCTTTGCTGTGAAATTACTGCTCTTCTTGGGTAGGTGTGAGGAACAGAGGTAGTGTGAAGTGTAGGCATTCAGCTAATAACTACTATGACCCAACCCTCCGGGGCCATGACAGTGCACTGCTCCAGGGACACAATCACGTTGTTTGAAACGTGAACAGCAGCCTCTGTTATAGTGCAATATGCCAGCTCCACAGCCTTCCTGATGTTGGCTTCCAAGGGAGAGAATGGACAGGGTGATGTGAGAGTGAGGCTAAAGTGAGGCGGGAGAAGAATCCAAATGATGCTCAGGACCACCCTCCAATGCTCCTCCCCTGCTGCCCACCTCCTGCCCCACTCACGCGTGCCAGTGCTGCAGCACCAATTTCAGACCCAAGCCTCAGGATGAGGACAGAGGCACATAGACAGTCCTGCTCACTCCCTCATCACCTCTCCCTGCACATCCCCCCCATAGTGGCTGAGACCAATCCCAGGCACTCATCTGTGGACATCCAGCAAGAGCCAGGGCTCTGGTTGGGTGGGGTGATGTCCAGAGGCTGAGCCATTCCAAGGGAGCTGCCACTGCCCAGCTGCCCCTCCAGGTGGAGGCTTCCCCAGACTCAGCACCCACTGCAGCCCTGGATTGATTGTCTTCAGACCCTGTTCCCATTATGTCCAGTTCTGCTGGGTTAGAAACAAGCATGGCTGCAGCAGAGTGGTCCTTCCGCTGCTCCCTCTGCTGGAGCAGGGTGAGGACAGTGAGGGAGGAGCCTTGTTTACAAGGAGCTCTGAACCGCAGCTCTGAGCCACTTTTTTGCCCCAACCCCCAGGGTGGGGTGAGTGGGTGAGAAGAAGAGACATCAAATGTGCGAGGTGCTATAATGCGGGATCAAGCCTCATTCTGCTGAAAAAAAGACTCAAACCCCAGAGGTTCTCCAAATAGGTCTTAGGATGAGAGTGGCCAAAGAGAATAGCCTTCCTAACCCTAGGATGGGTGGGGCTGACAATTGTTACCCAAAGCCCCAGGGGAGCGGCCAGAACTAGTGACTTGAGAACTTGAGGAGCTCCTACCTGAGCCCCAGGAGAAGCTTGTCCCTCAGTGGGAGGGAGAAAATTCTCAGAGGAACCGTGCATGGCCAGCCTGGGCGCATAGCTTCTAGCTTTCTCTCTCCTCTCCTACTCTGCCCTTCCACCAGTTCAGAGCCACTGGGCATGGTGCTGGGGCCTCACAGGAGGACAGAGCAGCTTGGACTCCTCTCCCTGTTCCTGGGGGCACCATCCAGCTCCCAAAAATAGCATGCAGACATGCAGGATGGAGGAGGGCTTTCAGCCAGCCCAGAGGACACCACCATGCCAGTGGCTCAAAGGCAGGACCTGATGCAGGGGAAAGAGGTGGGCTGAGACTGGGGGCTGCAGAATGGGAGAGAGTCAAGAACCTGGCAGGGCAAGGAACCAGAATGTCCTGAAACACCTGTGTCCTCACACCCAAGTCCCACCCACTTCCACAGGCAGCTTTCTAGCCTAATGCATTCATAGCCAACACGTGTTGGAAGCCTAACACGTTCACAGGGTCACCTTTCTTGGGGAGTAAAGCAAAGACAATAGAAGGCATAAGGCATACTGACCTTGGGGTCAAAAAATCTGGGCTTAAAACCCAGATTTTGCTGTGTGGCCTTATTTAAGTCACCTAGCCTCTCTGACTTCAGTTAACCAACTACAAAGCAGGAGAGCCTTGAGTTCTGTCCCTGTAGAAACAGTCTCCGAGTTTCTGAGAAACACAGGCCCCACCCCTCAGTCCTTGTCCCCAGCACTCGAATGGGATTTTCCTAAGCCAACAGCTGTTAGCCCACCAGGAGAGCGGGGGTAAGGGGATGGGGAGAGGGCAGGAAGAGTGGAAGTGGGGGTCAGAAATAGGAGGCAGCCAGCAACCTGATCCTCTCAGATTCCACTTTTGCAGAGAGAAGGAAGATTCGCCCTCTAAGACATGGGTCAGAAAAGGAATTTGGGAGGGCAGGTAGCTTCCCGGCTACAGCAGGCCAGGAATGTGCTCTGAAATTCCTTACACACCAGGCAACCCCCTCCCTGAATAGTCCTCAGCCTGCCCAGGAGAAACTAGAAACCAAGGGAATCTTTCTCTACCACTCCTGGGCACAGAGCAAGGCTTGTCCCAAGATGGGGTGTTGGGGTGGGATGGGACAAGGGTTACACTTACGGGGGCCCAGGTTAAACCCTTTAATGCCAACCAGCTGGGCTCACACCCAAGGACAGGTTCTCCCAGTGGGGCCTTTCCCCATCTGCCCCCCAAGTGCAGCTCAGCTCAGGGTCTGGGAGCTCAGCTCAGCTCTGGGAGGGAATGGCACTGAGTCAGCGGCATCAAATGGAATTCCCGCGTTGGCCTGGAGAGGCGCTGCAGAGGACCCTGCACATCTGGTCGTTCTCAGTACTTCCAGGACAGTTTCTGAGTTCCTAGCCTTGAGAATATGACCAGGAGACTCACTTGACTGACAGGGCTGCAGTCTCGCTCTGCTCCCTGGGACTCAAGAAGGACCTGACTGGAAAGGTATAGGTGACCCTCGGCCTGGAACAAGCAATTTAGGGGAGTCTCTGTTGGTTAGAGCCTCATTGTATTTAGAGCAGGCAGAGGCCTAGCAAATATTTAGCCCACTCTACAGATGAGAAAACTGAGGCCTGGGGAGGGAAAGTGACTCATCCAAGAGTTTAAACTCTACATCTTTAGTGGCAGGTCCAGGACTCCAACCCTAGTCTCCAATGGCTACCATGGGATTCTCTCTTTCTCTCTGCTCTATTGTACCAATCTTGGAGCCCAGACCTGGCAACCTGTCCTCTGAAGTGTGGCCTCCACCAGGAGGGGCCATGGACTTCTGCGGACACAGGCAGACTCTGGGTAAATATGCCAGGGCCCAAGACCCTCACATCTCCCCGTCCATTCTCTGCTCTCCTCTTCCCCAGAGCCCTGCCCGAGCCTTACCTCAGAACAGCAGCTGCCGACAGATCCTGGAGGCGTCTGCTCAGTCTCAGCGGGGACTGGGTGAGGCAGAGGATGGAGAGGGCTTTAAGCAGGCATGTGGGCTGGGGCCTGGTGAGCCAGCCCTGCGGAGGGAGGAATGTGCGACAGGGGACGGGTGGGGCAGGGGGATGGCGGTGGGGGTGGGGGGTGTTGGCTGCTATTTTGGCAGGTGCCAGGGACAAGGCTACAGGAACATGTACCCCACGCCATATAAGCCCATGTGGTCCTCCAGCTGCTCAGATAAGCTATTTAAAACCAGAGCAGATATGCAGGGAACAGTCATGCAACATAAACCAGCTGTCCCTCTTGAGAATCCTGATAAAGCAGAGGCCAGCAACCCAGGCCTGGGAGGGCCAGCTGGGAGCAGGGTTGGGGGGCAGAAGGCAACCTCCAAGACACTCCATAAGTCTCAGCACCAGAATCTTGGAAGGCAGAGGGCAAGAGTTATGTGCTGCTCCACTTGAACTGATGCTGGGGGTAAAGACATCTTCCAGGCTACTGGCTCCTAATGGACTGAGCAGCCTTAGGCAGGTTGCCGGCTCTGCCAGCCCCAGTGAGGACATCTGCAAGGTGGGTCTTCTCCATGACCCCCAAAGCCATGTGGCACACCCTCCTCACAGGGAATGGACTGAAACTGCTACAGGAGGCCAGATACAAGGTAGAACTTCCAGTCAAGAACCTTGAACAGGCGCTCGTTGTGTGAGAGGGGTGATGCGGACTGTCAAAGGTCATCCCCTAACGGCTTTAAAATCAAGCAGTGCGGGGCTATGATCTGCTAAACCTACTAGATTGCAGATGCATAGGTCAGGCCTAGGGGTCTTGCTTGCTTGCCTGTGTCTGACCATGCACATGCACTTGTATGTTCAAGGCTGGCCCATTGCAGGGTTTGGTAGATTATGAAAATGAAAGAGACAGGAGGAAAGCAAGCCAGTAAGCAGCTGAGCTGACTCTCCCCTCCATCTCTTTCTCCGAATCTTCACAGCCTAGGTCCTGCTTGGCTCTGAAGCAGGAATGGTCCTCCTCTGGAGCAGGCCCTCCCCTCCTCCATGACCCCCCCTGGCACTTAAAGATCTTGCCCATTCATGATCCACACTCCTCTGTTTCTCCGTGGGCAAAGAAAGCAATCTCGCTATTCTCTGCCCCCTTCTCCCATCACCCAATCATGTGTCCCGCCTTCCCAGTCCTCAAACTCTTCTCTCAATCCCTCTGCCTTGGGAGCTACTATGCTGCCTCCACCACTAATGTCCTTGAAAGGGTCCTCTGCGCAGGGGACTGCCATTTGCTCCACACCCATGCTGCTGTCAGACTCTTGTCCCATCACTCAGCTGACTCCATCCCCTCCATAGTTCCCTGTGGCCTCTGAGTCCAGTGGCCTTGATTGCCCTGCCACGTGGGCCTCCACACTGCCAGCACATCTGTGGCAGGGCAAGCTGAAGCCAACCGCCCGCTGGCCAGCATTGTGGGACTGAGGACCACCACAGGGAAGCAGGGGCACTTTGTAGAGAGACAGGCAGATGGAGGGGACAGATTCCCGAGGGATAGTGAGGAAGGAGTCAGGCTGTCAAGAAAGTGGGGGGAGCCCCATCATCTCTCTCTCCCATTCTAGCCCACGAAGCAGGGCCCAGCCTTGCCTTGGGTCCTGGCCTGGAGTAACGTAGAATTCGGAATTACTTTTCCCAAACCCTTTTTTAACTTGAGGGTGGGTTACTGTTCCTTGTAAGCCCAATAACCTTTCAAACAGACCACGGTTTATTTGCATGGATGCCTAGAAGAGGGATCTGGGCACCTAGGTCACTACTGAGCCCCATGGGAAAAGCCCAGTAGATCCTTGGTGTCACAGGCCACACGTGTATGGCTTCGAATTGTTCTAAGGCAGGAGCTTCGTTCAGAGCGCTGTGAGACAGCCTCTCAGATAAGGAAATCCAGCCCCCATGCAGCAGCCACTCCTGGGCATAGTAGGGTTACTCTTAGCCCATTTTTTTTTTATATCCCTGTCCTTTCAAAGGGATGTAAAGAGAAAACAAAGCCAGAGTGGAATGGGAGGCTTATGCTGAAACAGTGCATGTAAATTTGAGGATCCACAATAGGACGGGCCACTTGTGGGGCACAGGGCCCCTGTGGCAAGACAGCAGGAGGGTGCAGCCCGGAGTGGTGTGTGGGAGCCCTGTTCTGTCTCCAGAAGGTGCCCAATGTCACCCATCCAGAGGCCTCCCCACCCGCCTGGACACCCAGTCGCTACCACTCATCTATCCCCAGCTGAGGTCATCTTGGGCACACCCTGGTCTCCTTGTTTACTGGCTGCGTCCCCAGTAGGAACGAGGGCAGGGCCCTCACGTGCTGGATTCACAGGGGAGGGGGCTGTGCTGTAGCACCCCGACATTTCCCCTAGCAGTCAGCCCTCACTGGGCACCCCAGGGGAGGGGGGTGCAGGCATGAAGGGCCCTGCTGAGGCTGCAGCTGCAGGAACAGGCCCCTCAGTGTCTTCCTAGGCTCTTACTCCACGGTCAGGCCCTGCCAGGTGAAGGCCTCCAGGAGCCTCTCCTCTGTGTGGGGACAGTTTTGTTTACTGGAAAAGTTCACCTATCATGGCATGAACATATGAAAGTTCTCTGAGGTCATCTGCTTGAAGTTCAGAGAAGGAAAATGGCTCAGGGTCACACCTGAGGTCTGGGCAGAGCCAGAGCTGTTTAGATGTCCCGAGGCTTAGGCAGGACTCAATCCGTTCCTCGGCCCTGCCCCAGCCTTGTCCTCCAACTCTCGGCTATGAAGTTGGAACACTCACAAAGCCCCAGCACTAGCAGTGGGTGGGAGGTGCTCGGGGCAGGGACCCCAGGTCCCGATATCCCTCACTCAGGCACAGGAGACTCACTGACCAGAGGTGGGTCAGCCTGGGGCACTGGGACCTGAGCACGGATGGCACTTTGAGGGCCTGTCCCCTGGGGCACAGATCTGAGGAGCCCTCACCCAGAGTCACAGAGTAGGGCTAGGGCTCATCCCCCACACACTTGGGGAACTGGACTGGTGATACCCCCTTAGGAGCCGTGTTAAGGGTCGTGTTCCAAAAAGACCTGGAGCTTCCCCAGGCATGCAAAGGGGGAATGGGCAGGGGGCTCTGCACCTGGCCACATCCCCAGCTGATTCTGGGTAAAACTAGGGCAGTCAATCAAGATGGAGAGTTCTAATGATTTAAATTTTTGAAAAGTTGTAAACCACAGCTTTAAGGGGTTAACAGGGCACCAGGCTGATGTTCCTAGCTTGGTTGGTTCTAGATTCTCTGATGGTTCACCATGCTCCAAGCTCATAGGAGCCATGAGGTCCAGAGCATGGGGGTGGGGGTTGGAGGGGGCTTGTGGGGAAGGAGGGTAGGCCTGGCCCTGTATGTGGCAGTTCCCAGTCACCAAGCTAGGACTGCTGAGTGGCAAGCCACCACCTTAATGTGAGAAGAGGGGGGATGAGGAAAATGATGATCCTCCTCACACACTTCAGGTGACCTCTGCTAGAAAGCAAGGCCTCCAGAGAGGAATTCGCTTCTAAGGTCTCATCAGTCTCTTACACCTGAGAGTAAATGAGTTTATCAGATCCTTCCTGAGAACAGGTTTTTCAGAGAAAGGGTAAGTGGTTGCACACAAAAAGGCACTTAGCTCCTGGCCATGGCAGCCGGCCAGGGAAGGGAGGGGAGAACCAAGCAGGGAGACGGGGCACAGGGAAGACGCACGGCAGCTCCTTCTCCCCTGGCCAGAGCGGGCCTCAGTGGCTGGGAGCAGGCCCCAGGGACAAAGATGGGTGGGTCCAGGCCTCAGAGAAGGGGGACATCATAGACAAAGAGGCACTTGCTGGGAGCCGATGAGACAGGTGACTCTGGAGTTCTTGAGGGGCGCCGTGCCCTGACTGTGGATGTGAGCAGGAAGGAGCAGAGGTCTCTGGGCAGGACATAGGCCCCATAGTGCTGATGTGCACTTGTGCTGTGACCTGGGCAGAGACTGGGTCCCAGCATCTGTTGTGCCTGCCGCAGGGTGAGAAAGTCCCAGCCCCAAGAGGCTGGGCTGGGAAGGAGCTGGCTGAGTCTTGCAAATATTCCTGACCCCAGGGACCCTGGCCAAACAGATCCACAGGCAAAAAGGGAACAGGGACAATGAGAGGAAAGGGTGCTGCTGTGAGAGGCAGGGGCCTGGCATGAGGGAGGTCCCTTGAGACGAAGACTTGCAGGTCTGTCTTGGCGGGGCTTGTCACACCTGTGGGGCAAAGAGCTGTTAGCACAAGTCAATGGGGTGTCAGGGATGGAAGGGGAAGGGGGCCACTGGATAGGAAGGCATCCCTTTGCCCAAGCCCCACACCCACAAGGAGTCAGAGCCCTGTAATCTGCCAGCTGAAGAGGGAGGGGCTCTGCAGAGCTGCAGGCAGCACAACCAGGTGAGGGCTCAACCTTGTTCTCACGGTTGGCTCAGACCAATCTGCATGAGCAGGGATGGGGGCGTTCTGGGTGGACTGCGCGATTGCAGGCCAATTAGTGTGTGCACACGGGGACGATGGGGTCTCCCACAGTACACCGTGGCCCTCCGCCGTAGGGCCAGGCTCCTCCCCACCATTCACCTCAGCGTCCAGCGAGGAGTCAGATTTCTGTCCCCACTGAGTCCTCTCGGTTGCAGATGATGCTTTCTGTGCCTCCTGATTGAGGGTATCAGGGTGGAGACCAGAGACTAAGACCAGGCTCCAAAGGGCTCGGGATACCCCAGGCCCAGCTCCCAGCCCAGGATGTCCTTTCTCTTCCCAAAAGAGAAAAGGAACCCAGACCCACCCCTCCTCTCTGCCAGAGTCTGACCCACACACCCATCTATTCCCGACTGCCTCCACTCCTGAAATGACTCCTCCTCTCCCGAAATGACTCCTCCTCTCCCGAAATGACTCCTCCTCTCCCGACTGTCCCTCCTCTGTCCCCAGTCATCCCACCACAAAGGCTCCACAGTAAGAGACATCAGGGAGGGTGAGGATACCTGGGGGTCCTGATCTCCAGATTCCTGGGTCCTGCTGATCCACAGGTTGAGCCTTGATGTCACAACCCCTGAGAGCCTCAAGTTCTCCTAAAAAGAGAACTTTCCATCTCAGGGTTTAGGGCCCTTGGCAGCAGCGAGGCATGTTCAGAGGCCCTGGAATGGGATAGGACTCTCCCTCACTCCCCTATGCATCCAGCACATGCCACATATACCTGGGACAGCCCCCTCCCCTTCCCCCAGGGAGCTGTGTGCCCAGCTAAGGAGATGGGCTCAGGAACGTGAATGGGAACTCAAATGGAGGTTCTGCCAACATTAATTGACACATGAAAACAGTTTTCTAGCATTGCCACAGCCAAGATTTGGGTTTTGGAGACGTCAGGGCTAATCACCCTAAGGACCCTGTGGGGCCTGAGCCCCTCACCTTCCGGCTGGAGGCTGGTTCTGCTCGGCTCTGGCCCGCCAGTTCCTTCTCAAAGAGGTGGCGCTTGCTGGCTACACCCACAGGAGCCACGAATAACTCAGTGCAAGGCAGACCCCGAGACTTGACAGATTCTGATCTCTGGGAACCAAGAACACCAACAGCTGACCCATGCTGGGGAGGGGAAAGGGCCATGCCCACTACTCATCCTGCACCCTCCGCCCCTCAGGAGAAGCCCCCACCCACCCGTATGGCCGTGTGGTATCTCTCCAGCTTCTCTCCCAACTTCACTGTGTTGTCTGGGAGCTTCATGCTGGCACTGCAGGATGGAAGATGGAACAGGCGAGCCAAGTGAGACACCCAGGGAGACCAGGCCTGCCCCCAGGGCCTGAGGAGCAGCCCCATCACACGTTCTCATTGTGGCCAAGAGAATGTGGCCCTCCATCACACAGCAGGCTGTGTTGACTTGGCCAACATGAGGAACTTACAGACGCCAGGGATTTCCCTCCACTTCCAAGAAACGTCCCATTCAATAGGACATCCCTTCTCCCCCATACCTTGTCATTTCCACTGCAAAACACCTCCCAAAGCAGGTCCTTCCTTTCCGTCTTCCCCATCACAGCAATCGCCACTTACCTGCTCTCCCAGCCTGCCACCGTGAGCTCTCCACATGGCTGCTCCTACCTCAAATCTGATCCTGTCCTTCCAGCTCAGACCCCATAGGCCTTGGCACAGCATACAAGGCTCTAGTGATCTGGGCCCTCCCCTTCCCTCCCCCACAGTATGCCTGTGTGCCAGCCAGCTGGACACCATGCTCTTCACTCTGCCTTTTTCACATGCTGTTCCCTCTATTTAAAATGCTATTCCTCCAGTTTTACATGAGCAAACTTCCTGCTAGTTCATGGAAAATCAATTGCTCCATGACACCTTCCCCAGCTCTCACAGGCTGAGCAGGTGCAGCTACTCCTGAGCTCCTAGCCCTGGGTTCATATTCCTGTGTCCCTGTCCCTCCCTGGTTGGCCAGTATGTAATGTTCTCATGTTTGAGAGAGCTGCTATAGGTTTGCTGGGTGGGTGTGAGTTGCTTGAGGACAGCAGCTGTGTCATTTGTCTTTGTACTCCTCCTCCTCCACCCCCACCCCAGCCCCCAGGCCTAGCCTAGTGTAGTAGGCTCCAGTAAATGTTCATGGGGCAGATGAATACAGCATGAGTGGATGACATTCCTAATACATAAGCACATCTGCTTCTCAGATCCTATTTCAGTTTTGCTTTTTTTTCAAAGCATAGTCCTCAGGCTTCTTGCATCAACACCAGCGAGCCCAGGAATCCTTGTTAAACCTGCAGACCCACAGCCCCCCAACCAGGCCTGCTGGAGCAGGGGCTTCCCCTCCCTTACACTGTTCGTGGTCTCCCTCCCAGAAAGCCCCCTTTCCCTGTCCTAACCTCAAGGCTAAACCCTCATCCCCCTTTGGGGCCCCACCCAAGCCCTGCCTCCTCTGAGCAGCTCTCCCTGATCCTTCCCCATCCTTGTTCCATCTTATCCCGCCTGAGTTCATCCTGTTAATCCCATCCCCCTGCCAGATCTGGAGCCCTGGGCAAGGACTGCACCTTCCCCTCATGTGCCCTACCGCACAGCCTGGCACAAGGAGGGCGGGTGCAGGTACTCAGAAAATAGCCTGAACATGGCCAAATAGAAAGAACCAGAGCCTCCAGGCCCCCCACCTGCGAGTTAGGGTTGTTTCCGAGTTTTCTTTCTTGGGTTTCATCTGAAATGAGAAGGAAAGGCATTGTTGTGTGGGAGTCCCCGGGAAATCGGTGGCCCCCTCGAGTGAGGAGCCCAGCTCTCAAGACATGTCCTCCTCCTCTTCAGACCTCCCACCCCTTCTACCAGGGGTCAACCCCACCAAAGAAATATGTGGACAAGCCTTCGTTAAAGATCCTTGTTTGTATCTGGAAGACACAGGTTCCCACCCACTAATATGGGTCAGAAGACTTTCTTCAGACTTCCTTCGCAGGGCACCTGTAACCACCTGTTTCCTATCTGCCTCCCACTGCCCATGAGCTCTGTGGGGGCACCAGTCGCTATTGGGCCACCTCTCCAGGGCCTGGCACACATTAGAGGCATGATACCCAATGATTGAGTGAATGACCCAGTGAACAGAAGAACCAAGAATAAACACCAGGACAAAGCAAGACGAGATTTCCCCAATCCACATAGTTTGTACTATTGGGAGAGTGGCAGGGCAGGGAGCAGTAGGAGAGCCTTGCTGCTCTCTGTTCCTCCCCTCCCCTCCTAGACAAGTCTCCTAGGTGAGGCCAGGAACTGATGAAGGCAGGTGTGGACCTCCCTGCAGCCCAGGGCCAGCCCTGCCTGTCCGGTCTTCATGCAGCCCTGGCCTTGCCCACTAGGTGGGGCTGCTCATGCTTACTGGCACCTACCCCCCAGGTTACTAACCTGTTCTCCTCTGCTGAATACAACCTTGTTTGTTCAGGGCCACCCATGGGAATCCAAAGCTCCTCTCTATCCAGGGGACCTTCCTACCTAACCTACGGCTCCTATGTTGTAATGGATGCGGGCTTCCTCCACTTGCCCTCCAGTGGCTCGCAGACCAGGGTGCCCAGGGCTCTCACCCGAAAGGAGATGGTCCTGGGGCTGGAGCGTTTGAGGGAGCTGCTGTAGGTTCGCTGTGTGGGTGAGGACATATCTGCCTCTTCCTCCTTGCTGGGGATTTTCACCTGGATGGAGCAGGGGGAGTGTCACATAAGAGGTCTAGGGCCCATCAAGCCGGGGCAGCCATAAACCCCATGGCTCACCCCAGGAGCTGCAGGAAGAGGGGAGAATGAGACAGCCCTGTGCCTTCTCTCCTGCCTCCTTCATCTGCTGTGGGAGTGGCTCACAGACAAAGTCCCTTGGGGCCAGGGCACCAGGCAGAGCTTTCCAGGGGAGCTTCTAGAAGGATCTGAGGCTCCCCACTAGTCTGCCGGGGTCCTGGAGCCCAGGCCCTGGATGAGGATATGGTGGGGGGCACCAGATGCTCCCTGCCCCACAGCTGGTGCCCCTTTAAGCTCCAGCAGCCTGCCCCATCTCAGCCTCCCTGCTCTGACCATGGCTAGAAGCAGGCAGGGAAAGAAGAGACTTCCAAGGCCAGCCTGCAGGTAGGAGGATGGAGGCAGCCAGGGAACCAGGGACTACCTGGGTGGGACTGGCCGGCAGTGCCAGCCAGGTGGCAGAGTAGAAGGGTGGGAGGGACGGGACACTGCCAACCTGGAGTGTGACGGGTGGGAGGCGGGAGGCCACAGTCGGAGGGTCTGAAGCCCCCTGCTTTGCCAAAGAGGGCAGGTTCTTCCCAGGGAGGGCCCTTCCTCTCTGCTCCTTGGTGGTGGCTGGGCTTCCCCCAGAGGCTGGCGGCTCCTGCGCCAGGGGCTGCTCTGAGGCTGTGGCCCTCTTTGGGGCCGGCTTAGCATCTGCAGTTGGGCTCTTCTCTGAGGCCAGTGCCTTCTCAAAGATGGAAGCTTTCTCAGACACCAGCCTCCTTCCTGAGCCCAGTGCCATCCCTGGGGCCAGCGACTTCTCAGAGACACTGGTTTTTTCTAGAACAGACTTCTTCTCTGAGCTGTTTCTTTTCTCTGACACTGCTATCTTCTCTGATAGAGATGTCTTCTCTGAGGCCAGCACCTTCTCAGAGATGGAGGTTTTATCGGAGACCAGGCTCTTTTCAGGTGCCGTCTTCTTTGGCATGGAGGACTTCTCCAAGACTGGGGACTTTTCTGGAACCCCTTTCTTCCTCTCTTCTGGCTCCCTGCCCACCAAGCTCTCCTCCTCCAGGGCCCAGGGGCCCCGCTGTTCCCGACTCAGTCTCCGGCGAGGTGGGATTTCCAGTTCCTTCTTGGAGACTAGGGGTTTCTGTGTGGCCTGCACAGGGCTCAAGCTGTTCCTCCCCTCCTCTGCCTCCAGCCTCTCCTGGATGGGGGCCTGTGCAGCCTCCACCACCTGCCGCCTCTGCCTCCGCTCCTGCCGTGTTCTGAGGATGCTCTGGATGTCCTCGTCCTCATCTTTGGAGGCTGGGGGCAGTGGCTTGGGCACCTCTGCTTCTTCCACGCTCGGTAGTCTGAATCAGAAGATGGGAGACAGAATCAGAGGATAGAGGTGGAAGATACCCTAAGTATACCTAACCCAATGGAGATGCTGCCAGGGCCACCAAGGAGGAGGTGAGGATGTCAGGCCCTGGCCTCCCCGGCTCACCACCACCTTTATCCACTCGATATATTGCACTTCCAAGGTATCATCTGAGCAAAGCACACTATGCTTTTTAAAAAGCTTATAAATTCCTATGAAGTCCAACGACTCCATGTTCAGACGTAGTCAACAGACTCTGAATAACTGCTTTAATATGTGCCAGAGCCTGCTTGGGGCATTGGGGATCAAAAGGAATAAGCACAGTCTCTGCCCCTTAGATCTTAGATCAAGACTAGAGATGTCCAGGGATTTTGTCAAGGTCACACAGCTGATTCGTGGGGGAGCTGGGAGCAGAACCTAAGTCTTCCGATGCACCATTCCACACTCCTGTCAGTCTTGTGGGTGCAGCCAAGACTAGGTGACAGCCACAGGTACTGGTGCAGCCCAGCTCTGGACATCCTCCAGAGTCTGCTGCCGGGCAAGGCTGGGGGAGGGGAGGACAGGAGAGGAGAGGGTCATCACAGCCCTGTTCTCCCTTCTTGGGGGACCCAAAGAAACAAAAGTAACATGAGAGGATTGTCCATAACCCACAGCACCTGGCCTCCAGCAAAAGGAGATTATTTTCCTTCCTCATCACCCTGCTCTCCATGTGCTTTCAGGCAAGTTAACTTACTGTCGGAGCCTCAGTTTTCACATCTACAAACTGGGCTTGTTAGGAAGCAAAATGAGACTCATGAGGGTGCCCAGGACAGTCCTGGCATGTAGGTGGCATTCAGTAAACCCCAGGCTCTTCCCCCACCTCATAATCCCAAAATCTAGATGGCAAAACTAGCCCCAAGGTTCTTCTCCTCAGAAGTAAATTATAGGCCGGTGCAGCGGCTCACACCTGTAATCCCAGCACTGGGAAGTTGAGGCTGGTGGATCACCTGAGGTCAGGAGTTCAAGATCAGCCTGCCCAACATGGTGAAACCCCATCTCTCCTAAAAATACAAAAATTATCCGGGCATGGTGGCAGGTGCCTTTAATCTCAGCTACTCGGGAGGCTGAGGCAAAATAGCTTGAACCTGGGAGGCGGAGGTTGCAGTGAGCCAAGATTGCGCCACTGCACTCCAGCCGGGGTGACAGAGCAAGACTCCATCTCAAAAAAAAAAAAGGCAGCTGGGCACGGTGGCTCATGCCTGTATTCCCAGCACTTTGGGAGGCCAAGGCAGGTGGATCATGAGGTCAACAGATCGAGACCATCCTGGCCAACATGGTAAAACCCCATTTCTACTAAAAATACAAAAATTAGCTGGCTGTGGTGGTGGGTGCCTGTAGTCCCAGCTACTCAGGAGGCTGAGGCAGAAGAATTGCTTGAACCTAGGAGGCGGAGCTTGCAGTGAGCTGAGATCGCGCCACTGCACTCCAGCCTAGCGACACAGCGAGACTTCGTCTCAAAAAAAAAAAAAAAAAGAAGTAAATTATAGAGGGTCAGGGTTAGAAGAAGGCAGCCTGGATAATGGAAGGAGGCGGGAGCTTGACAGATCTGGATGGACATTCTGGCCCTGCCACTCTTGAGGTACGTGACCTCAGCAAGTCACCTAAGTACTTTTCAACCCTGTTACTCCACCTGTAAAATGGGTTAACAATACCTCTCTCTCAGGGACATTGTGTGGATTACGTGAGCTATGGCCATAAAATGTCCAGCACAGTATTGGCTCATGGATGGTCTACAAATAGTAGCAAGCATTGTTATGAAGAGGATGGAAGCTGGCAGGACTGAGTCTGGGGAAGGTGGGGAACTGGAAATTCATCATCACACCCTTCAGCCTCATTTCCTGGGCCCCAACTCCCTGAGCAGACTGAATATGCTGCACTTAGTCTGAGGCAACCAGTCCATCCCCATCCATCAGGATAGAAACCTGAGCACCTACCTCTCAGAAGCAGAGGCCTGCCGGTCTCCATTCTGGCTGAGCCTGGGAGCCTCATCGTCCGTGGTGGAGCTCAGGTTGCGGTGCCGCCGCCTGCGCTCGCGCTCCTGTTCCTCCTCATCCTCCAGAGTCCTCTGCCGGGCAAGGCTGGGGGAGGGGAGGAGAGGGTCAGCACAGCTGGGGAAACCCAGGACCCTCCCGAGGCAGGCTCCTCTAGGGCTGGGAGAAGAGACCAAATGCCCTCTAGGCCTGCACTGGCTACTAGCAGCTCAGAAGTGCTTGAAACGTGGCTGGTGTGAACCAAGGCATGCTGTGTGAAATACACACTGGATCTTGAAGACCAGTGAAAGGTCTCATTAAGAACTATGTACATCGGCCAGGCGCGGTCGCTCATGCCTATGATCCTAGCACTTTAGGAGGCTGAGACACGCGGATTGCCTGAGCTCAGGAGTTTGAGACCAGCTTGAGCAACATGGCAACCTCCATCTCTACAAAAATACAAAAAAAAAAAAAAGATTAGCCGGGTGTGGTGGTGCACACCTGTAGTCCCAGCTACTGAGGAGGTTGAGGCACGAGAATCACTTGAACCCAGGAGGCAGAGGTTGCAGTGAGTCGAGATTGTGTCACTGCACTCCAGCCTGGGTGACACAACAAGACTCTGTCTCAAAAAAGAAAGAAAAAAATTGTGTATATTGATTGTGTGTTGAAGTGGCAATATTGTGGATATATTGGGGTAAATGAGCTATAATATTAAAATTAATTTTGTTTTTTCCTTTTTTTTGAAACAGGATCTCGCTGTGTTGCTCAGATTGGAGTGCAGTGGCACAATCACAGCTCACTGCAGCCCCAACCTCCCAGGCTCAAGTGATCCTCCCACCTCAGCCTCCTGAGTAGCTAGGACTACAGGTGTGCACCACTACACCTGGTTAATTTTTAGATTTTTTGTAGAAATGAGGTCTCACAATGTTGCTCAGCTGGTCCTAGACTCCTGGGCTCAAGCAATCCTCCCACCTTGGCCTCCCAAAGTGCTGGGATTACAGGCATGAGCCACTGTGCTGGGCTGCTTTTTACTTTTTTAATGTGACTACTCAAAAACTTAACATTTTAGGCCGGGCGCGGTGGCTCACACCTGTAATCCCAGCACTTTGGGAGGCTGAGGAGGGTGGATCACCAGAGATCAAGACTTGGTGAAACCCTGTCTCTACTAAAAATACAAAAAAAAAAAAAAAAATTAGCTGGGCATAGCGGTGCATGCCTATAATCCCAGCTACTCGGGAGGCTGAGGCCAGAGAATTGCTCGAACCTGGGAGGCAGAGGTTGCAGTGAGCCGAGATAGTGCCATTGCACTCCAGCCTGGGCAAGAGTGAAACTCCATCTCAAAAAAAACTTAACATTTTAAATGTAGTTCAAATCATACGTCTATCAAATTCCTAGTAAAGCTGCAGGGCTTTGGATTAGACTGGGGTTTCTCCAGCTCAGCACTGTTGACACTTTGGCCAGACAATTGCGTGTCCAGGGCTGTCCTGGATCACAGGACGTTTAGCAGCATCTCTAGCCTCTACCTGCTGGGTGCCAGTAGTACATGCCCCAGATGGGACAACCAAAATGTTTCCTGACATTGCCAAATGTCTCCTGGGGGGCAAAGTCACCCCACATAGGAACCACTGGGTTGAACTGTACTCTGGACCCCGGGATGAGAATGGGAGGGCCTCCATCACCGGGGGTGACTAGGAACGTGGAAGGGCGGGCCTGGTCCTGCCTGAAGGAAACAGATGAACTTGCCAAGTGCCTTTCTCTTTTTGGTCCTGGGATTCTTAGGTAATATCCATCAGTGGACAGTCATGGAGATATTTCCTCACTCAATTCCCCATGGAATTTCTTAGCTTTTGGGAAGGGAAGACTTACAAACAAAACCATTTACCCATGGAAAAAACTCCAATATCGCCTTCCTTTCACTTCCCAGGGGCTCTTGGAGCCTCCCTCACCTTTCAGATGGAAAGAGCTTCGTGGAAAGAGTTGAGCCATGGAGCTCCACAGATCTGGATGAAAATCCAGACAACTTTCACTTCTCTGGGGAGCAAGGGGACCCCACACTCTACTTTTGGTTCCTGCCCCAGTCACCCTTCATTCATGGGGCCAAGCAGGCATTCTACAGCCAGCCAGGCAACTCCACCAGTCTATCCATCTACTACTCGCCCACACATCCATGTACTCAGCCACTCAGCTGTTTCCACCATCTTTATCCACCTGCCCTACCTACCACCTCCCACCAGCCCATCTTCCATCCACCCCACCCCTTCCAGTCCAACCAAACAGCAAATGAAAACTGAATGACTATGACAAGCCAGCACCATGTCAGGAACTGTGTGGGCATCACAGAACATGGCAGGGTCTCTGCCCTGGAGATATTGACAATCCAGTGAAAAAGAGAAGTGTGTCCACCAATAACTCCCCCAACCAAAGTGCATAAGTTGTTCTTCAGTGTGAGAGAACAGATGCTATAGGCCAAGATTATCAGAAAAGGCTCATGGAAGAGATGAACCGGGCTGCATCTCAGTGAACAAACAGGCTTTCGATGGGGTGGGGCTGGCAGTCCAGGCAGAGGGAAGGTACCGAGGTTCAGGGTTTGCTGGGGACAGGAGGCTGAGCTTCACCCCGGGAGACAGGAGGGGGTGTGAGCAGGGGAGTACCAGGCTGTGAAAGTCAGCTGGGGGAGCCCTTCTCTGTGGTTCCCCCTGCATTGTCTGCAAATCAGGTTAAAAGGTTCTAGAAAAGGCCTCTTTCTTCCCTCCCAGAGTTATAGCAACGACTGCAAGGCCTCCTCTTGCCACTGCCAGATGCCAAACTCTCTACCCTTTGCTGTCCCAGCCTCTCCTGCTGCTCAGCCCTAGTTCCCACTGAGCCTGTCTCCTCCACAGGGAGTCTGTGGTAAGGCAAGGTCAGGTGATCTGGTTTCTAGTCCTCCTGCCCTTTGGCAAGTTACTTCCTTTTCTCTTCCTCAGTTTTCCCTCCTAAAATGAGAAGGATGAACCACATGAACCGCTCCGATTTTTTTCTAGGTCCAGCATCCCCTGGATTGAGCCAATATTCACTAAAAAATTACTTTTGAGGACCTACTATGTACCAGGCACGATTCCAGGGGCTGGGAACAGCTGGGAATGAGACCAACAGGGTCTTCCCCTTCACAGGGCACACATCCAGCATGGGGGAGTCAGACCATGAGCAAGGAAACAAGCCCATGAACAAAATGACACCAGCTAAGTGTCACTAGGACAAGGGAACAAAGTAAGTGACATGAGAGAAGGTGGCTGGGTGGGAAAGCCCCCTCGGAGAGCCCTGGTTCATGAGGAGGAGGCAGCAGAGCCAGATCCGTCAGCCAGTGTTCCAGGAGGAGGATCCAGCCAGTGCAGAGCCTGCATGTGAGGAGCTGGGTATTCAGGGGAAGACGGGAAACCAGGGCCAGAGTGGCCCACAGGGAAGCTGGAGAGGGAAGCAAGGCCAGAGCAGAGGGCCTTGGAGACCAGGGAAAGGACTTGGGTTTTATTCCAGGTGTGCTGGAGAGCCCTGGAGAGTGTTACACAGAAAAACAACATGATGGGATCGCTCTATTTTTAATCTCTCTGGCTGCTGTATGAAAAAAAAAAACATTGAAAGGGCCAGGGGAGAGGGGAAACAGAGGACCCGTCAGAAGGCACCTGCAATCCCATAGGCGAGAGCTAGAACTATGGTGGCTTGAACTGGGGTGGGGACAGAAAATATGGGGAAAAGTGATAGATTCGGGACATGTTCTGAAGATACAGCCACCAGGGTTGACTGTTGGATTGGATGTTGGGTGGGAGGAGGGAGAGGAAAAGAGAAAAATCAAGAACTGCTAGATTTTGGGCCCAAGCTATTTCTGGAGGGCCATTAATAACATGGGGAAGACCAGGGGAGGAAGGAGTGTGGTGGGCTGTTGGGTGGTAGTGGGGAGGGACAAGAAGGAGATGAAGAGCTGTGCTTCTGGCTTGTTCCAAAGGAGAAGAAACCAGCGAAAGGCAAAGATCAAGACGTTGCAGCCAGGGAGCTGGAAGGAAACCAGAGGAGGGTGTTGGCATGAACAGGGGAGTGAGGGCCCCAGTCAGATGCTGCTGCGAGGGGAATGAGACCAAGACAGAATTGTGAGCACAGAGGCACCAGATACCACAGGAAAAGCAGATGCCAGGGCTGTACCAGAGCCTGAGCAGGCTGGTGGGGGTAAATGGAAACCAAAAAAGGAATTAGTGAGTATCAACAACTCTTTTGAGAAGCAAATAGCATGGAACAGTAGTGGCTGGGCACAGTGGCTCATGCCTGTAATCCTAGCACTTTGAGAGGCTGAGGCAGGTGGATCACCTGAGGTCAGGAGTTCAAGACCAGCCTGGCCAATATGGTGAAACCCTGTCTCTCCTAAAAATACAAAAATTAGCCGGGCATGGTGGCAGACTCCTATAATCCCAGCCACTTGGGAGGCTGAGGCAAGAAAATGGCTAGAATCCAGGAGGTAGAGGTTGCAGTGAGCCAAGATCACGCCACTGCACTCCAGCCTAGATGACAAAGTAAGACTCCATCTCAAAAAAAAAAAAAAAAGTTGGGACAGTAGCTAGAGGAGGATGTGGGCTCAAAGAATGCTTTAAGTTAAGGTATAATTTACATTAATGTACAGATCTTAAGTTTTGCTTTTTTTTTTTTTTTTTTTGATGAGCAAACAAAGGAGAGAGTGGAGAAGGTCTGAGAGGGTTGAAAAGAGTGTGACTGGCTGGGCATGGTGGCTCACGCCTGTAATCCCAGCACTTTGGGAGGCCAAGGTGGGAGGATTACTTGAGCCCAGGAGTTTGAGACCAGCTTGGGCAACAAAGTGAGACCCCCATCTCTATATAAGTGAAGAGTGATTGAGTTGTCCTGCAGTGAGAGAAACAACCGCAGGATAGGGTGTCTCATCTCTAGTGCCCAGTACGGTGCCCGGCACCCAGCAGGTGCTGACAAATGTGGAACAGCAAGTAAGTGTCAATTTCAGGGGTGCTGGGCTCTCCTCCTCCCTAGAAATTACAAAACTTCTGCCTCGATGCCGAGGCGCACAAAGGGGGAACAAAGCCCACTCCTCCCCCAAAGGCAATCTGCCCAGCTGTCTGCCCAGGGAAGGCGAGTGCCTGCCCATCACCCCAAGGGGAAAGGAAGTGCCTTTGGAGGAGAACCTTCCAGACCCTCCCAATTCTGCCAGCAGGGCAGCTCTTCCTGGTGAGAACCTCAATCCCTCCTGTCAGTCACACCTCTACTTCCTCAGGGGAGATGGAGAGGCGCCCAAATCAAACTATCCCCCTATGGCCTTGGCCACGGAACTTAAACAAGATTCCCCTGGGCCTCTGCATGACTGCTGTGAGCTCTGGGTATTTGTAGATTGAACATTCATCATTCATTCATCCTTCATTCACTACACACAAACAGATGCTCTCTTATAAGGCAGGCTCCAAAGTCCCACCTCTCCTTGGTTTTCTTATTCAGATTTAGAAACGCCAACTTCTGCTGGCTTACACGTGAGGCCACACCTCCAGCTCCCTCCTCTGGATGCACCCCGTCCCTTGTCCATAGCCTGGAAACAGCTCTTGCCCTCCAAAGCTGAGGGATCCAAATACTGGGGAAAGTGGCCCACAAAGCCCAGAGTGCCTCTCCCCTGACCACACCCACAGCTGGCTGAGCTGGAGCCTCCAGGGTTCCTGGGTCTTGAGCCACACAGCTCCCACATGCCACCCTCAGCCCTTGGGGAAGTGGCCTATTTGTTTATCCTCCTGTGGGGCCCTGGATGGTGCATGAGCACTCAGAGCCTGGTCTCCTGGGGGTCTCCAGGGCTCAGCTGCAGGACTCAGAACCCAGGGATCCTTGAGTGTCCCCAAGCTTTATACTAAGACCCCATAGCTCACCCAAGGTGATGTGGCCACCGCCCCTGCTGCTTGGGAATCATGGGGCTGCCTTCAACCCTGACACCTGGCAAAACATGAGTCCCTTCAGCAGCACCACCCCACCCTGGGGAGAAATGTTATCTCCAATAAGCACAAGTTATGAGGATAAAAATGGAAGGGAGGGAAGGGCAAAGCCCAGTCCCCAGGAGGGGACTCAGTGGGTACAGCTGTTGAAACCCCAGTAATAAATTAAAAAACTGAGGGCTCAAAACAGTGTTAGGCACTTCTTGAACATGGTGAATAACTAAAGGAATAAGGGGGGAAGTGAGCACACTAACGTGGAAGTGCTTACTCTAACACCAGTCACTGTTCTAATACCCCTGGCATTCATCTTTACAACAGCCACTGGGTGCGGTGGCTCATGCTTGTAATCCCAGCACTTTGGGAGGCCAAGGCGGCCGGATCACTTGAGGGCAGGAGTTCGAGATCAGGCCGGCCAACATGGTGAAACCCCATCTGTACTAAAAATAGAAAAAAAATAGCTGGGTCCGTGGTGGCGGGCGCCTGTAATCCCAGCTACTCAGGAGACTGAGGCATGAGAATCACTTAGAACCCAAGAGGTGGAGGTTGCAGTGAGCCAAGATCATGCCACTGCACTCCAGCCTGAGTGACAGAGTGAGACTCTGTCCATCTCGTATATAAAGAAACTGAGGCTCAAAAGAGTTAACAACCTTCCCACGATCGCACAGCTAATAAAAACAAGAAACCAAGATTTAAACCTAGGTCAGCCTCTCAAAAGCACCTACGCTTAACCATCATACCAAGTGCCAGAAAAGGTATGGCCAGGGAGGGCTGGCCCTAACCCAGAGGGAGCTCAACAGCTGAACCTTCAAGGGAGGGAACAGAGGCCCAAGAGGGCATCTGAAGGTGTGGTATTCCCTACCCCAGGACAGGCTGGGGCCCAGGGCAAAGCCTGGGAGCCTGGGAGGGCAGAGGTTTGGGGAAACCCCGTGGCCCATGCAACATTGACCTTCAAGCCCCAGAGCCAGGCCCAGGGTGAAACCTACAGGCCCGAACAGCTGCGGAGGCTCAGCTGCTCCTACTAGCTGAGGCCACAGCCCCAGGCAGCTGCCTACCACTCCTTCCCTCTAGACAACCCTTTCCCCCACCTCCTGGCCTTCATCTGGGGACACATGTCCCTCTCGGTGTCTCCATGTAATGCTGCTATCCTCCTCCCCACTCCAGACTTCAACTCCATCCTTTGGGGATGGGGATCCTCTTTTTCTCTTAAATAATTCTAAAGGACATTCTGCCGTTACTCACTAGAGAGCTTGTTTTGACCTCTACCCTGGGAACTTTCTTCCTGAAGTCTAACTTCCATCTATTCTGCAGCAACTGATGGCAGGGATTTAAGTGAAGTGGTTGTTAAAAGTCATATTTAGCAGTACAAGCCATTTTCCCAAATTGAATCATAGACAGAAGCCCATTATACAACAGATTAAGGCTCAGCTGCCCTGCTTAAAGCTGGGAGAGGGTGAGAAGGCTGCCCCAGATGCATTTTGTGGAACCCTGGGGCTCAAGGAGCATAATTTGCAAATCTTGGGGACTGGGGTTAGGGAAGGGAGGACAGAGGAGGGTTGGGGGATCATGCCCATGACCTTGGCCAGTCTCCTGCACCTGAGCAGGGCAGGCCTTAAGTTCCCCTTCTGCATGGTCACTGTGGGGGGTAACTCAGGTCTCTTCCAGCCCCAAAGGTCTAGGGAGAGGTGTCTGGAGAACCCAGGGCAGCGATTGGAAGTAGGAGGGCGGCTCAAGGCCCAGGCAGGGAAATGATTAACCACTGGCTGTTCAGTCCCAGGCACTCTCAGATCCACCCCTCACCCCCTGCAGACAGGCCTGGCCCAGCCTCACTGGTCACCAGGCCAGTCCGGGGAGAAAAGGACAAGGCCTCTGACCAGGGCACCCAGCCAGCCAGCTCACCACTGCCCCCCCAATCCCAGGGTTGGAAGACTTGAATCTCTGCTCCATGCCAAGGATGGGCTGCAGGCTGGCCCCCAGCTACCCACCCACCTCTCCATCCACCTCCCCACCTGGGACCGTGCTGTCACACCCTAGCACGGTCCTCCCCAGCCCAGGAGGCTCTGTTGACAGTGACTCACAGCCCTTTCCTGCCTGCCCGCTGAGGCTTGTTCACCCAGGGAGCGGAGCGGGAGCGGTCCTCTGTTCCAGGTGCCTCATCAGGGTGACTGTTGGCAGCAGCTGCGTCTGCCCACAGGGCTCTATGAGGGCTGGGACCCGGCAGGGAGGGCAGGCCAGGGGCCCCTGTGGCAGGACTGTTCCCCAGAGCTTCCTGGCACTTACCCTGGACATCTTGTGGGAACTTGGCTGTAGCCACATGAGTCCATGTCCATCTGAGCAGTGGACAAGCTTAGGCCAGACCTTGCTCCCATTTTCAAAGTTCCAGTGCCCCAGCTGCCTCCCCACACACACACACCCCCCCATGCATATCCAGGCATGCTTTCAGACACAAAATCACATATATCCCACCAGACTATGAACTTCTGAAGAAGGAGTGTCTGGTTTGTATTTTTAACCCAATGCACAGTACTGAGGTCTTCAATAAACAGTTCAACTGAACATATGCAGACTGACAAACTCAAGACTCAGCAACATAAGAACCAGCTCCCCACACAGATGTGTCATCTCTTCATAGGCCATAAACACACTTGTCCACAAGTATGCCACACACACACACACACATAAGCATACATTCATAGGCACAGGTAGGCCCACATCTAGAAGCAAAGACACTCCCACATCAACCCCCAGGCACACTGACCCACATGCAAAGTCCAAGACCTTGACTCCTCAGCCGCACCCTCAGCATAGACCTTCCTCTATAGCAGCCTGGGTTTCTTTTCCAGAGCACTGAGTTCCCTCCATTCGTGGGGCTTACCTTTTCCCCTCTCTAGAGCCCATGGGCTGCCCACAGTGCTTCAGAGCACTGTGAGGTCTTGAGGGTCTGGGGAGGTGGCCCCCCAGTCCCAGGCGATGAGCTGCTATGGAGAGGCTAAGCCTGAGACAATGAGGTAGTTCTGGAGCCCTTATTAAGGGAGGGCAGGAGCGGGGTAGAGGACATACTAGAGCACTGGAAAAACCTGTGAAAGATGCCTTGCTGGGGAAAGCCTACAGGACCCAAATGGCTGGAGGGTCTGCACCTGGCAGAGATAGCCCTGGCTCAGGAAAGGCCAAGACCCAAATGCCCACCTGGGAGGAGCTAAGAGGCTAATATCTACCTGGCTAGAAAGGGATCAAAAGAGCAGGCTCCAGCTCTGGGCTACCGCAGGAGCCTCAGTTTCCTTAGGGACAAGATGGGGGACGGGGGCGCCCAGTGGAGGAATGAGGTGAAAATGCTCACAGGGGGCCTTCTTGGCAGAGGTGCAGGGTCGCTCCAAGAGAAGTCGCTAGAGGTCACCAATCTCCATGAGGGGTGCTGCCTTCTGAACACCCGCCTTCCCCAGGCCTCTCGGACCCTGATGGGATGTCCAGCAGGCAGGGGTAGGATGCCTCATCCCCGACCCTTTAGGAGACCAGTGTACAAGTAAAGATTGCAGCAGCACAGATGGGGATGGCAACTATCTTAAGGTTCCCAGCCCAGATGCCACCCCAAAATGCCATGCTGAGATTCTGAGCGTCCTTAGTGGGAGACGGGTCTGCTTCCCTCCAGTCCTCTTCACTGACCCCTCCAAGACGGCTCTCCCTGCTCCCCCTCCCAAGAGGGGCTGTGGGACACCTCCCAGGGGTCCTCTCCGCCAGAGACACACGGGGGCAGTGAGAGAGGCTTCTCTCAGGAATGAGGCTTGGAGGTTACTCCTGAACACCTCCACAATCCCCCAAAACGTTCCTTCCTGCTTCCACCTTCCACAGGGGGGGCCATATCCCAGCGGGCGTCCAGACTGAGGACCAGCCTTCCCCTAAGCACCCTGTGTGGGGCCTCAGGCCCCGAGGGGAGAAGACCCACCCTGTAACCTCAGGGGTCCCGAGTTTGGCCCCAATCCTGTCTCCCGCGAGTCGCAGCAAGACCAGGATCCAGCCTCAGTGTCAGGGTCCCAGGCGGGGAGGAGGCCGGTGCCCCGAGGAGAGGAGACCCAAAGGCTCCCCGCCGACCCCCCGCCCCTCCCGGCTCCCTCCGGCGCTCACCTGGACAGCGCGGACCAGTCCTTCCTGCTGACAGCCATGCTGCAGGAGCCCCGCGTGGCCGCCCGCGCCCCGCCGGCCGCCGCCTCACCTGGCGCCCCTCCCCTTCCAGCCCAGGTGGGATCACATGGCCGCTTATCTCACCCCCGCGCGCCCCGGCCGCGCTCCGATTTGCCGACCCGGGAATGGCCTCTGGGATGTGGGCGTCCCAGACAAAGCCGCATTGATTGCAGCCCAGGCCGGCCCGGCCGCGAGGCCGCAAGCACTGGGTGGACCGTCGGACGGATCGCGGGACCGAACGACGGACGCCCGGGGCCGGCGTGGGGCTGGTCGGCTGCCCGGGGCGAGGGCGGGAGACTTCCTGCTCAGAACCAGTCCGACCAGCTTGGCGCTGGGACGCCTCCCCGCGCTGTGCCGCGGCCCGGGGTGCCGAGGAGCTGGGCTGGGGGCGGGGACCCCTGCCGGGAACCCGACTTAGCCCGGAGACGCTCAAGAGCAAGAAGCCGAGCGGAAAAGTTAGCGCAGGTACTGTGATCTCGGGTCTAGAGCGCCCGCGCCTTCGGGGCCCCTTCGCAGGGAGCGCCCTCCCCACTCCCTGGCTTCGGAACCCACCCGGGCCCACCGTCCCAGTAGGCCTCGCTGAGATGAATGAGGCATTGCTTTCTGAGCTGCACACAAAACATGCCCCTGGTAGACCCAGCCCCACCCAAAGGGAGAATCTTAGACTCAATTCAGCAAACATTTGTGAAAGCACAAATATGTCAAAGGCACTGTCCTTGCTCCCTGATACTGGACTTTGGGCTAGAGTGGCAGGGTGTATAATAAGGGCAGAGGAAGCTCAGTTTTTCTTCCCCAAGGAAAGATTAAACACAGATATCTAGGACTCGAATTTTGGAGCACCGTGAGACAGCTCAGGCACCCCTGACACCACCTGGCTCCCTTTAGGTGCCCATCTGGGCTGGTGCGGGGCCAGGTGCTTTCTATCCAGGAACCAGCCTCAGGTGGGCTTGGGCTAAGAGAGGGTCAGGCGTTGAGCATGGGGAATCTTATCTTCCCTGATGGATCTGAACTGCAGGGTCAGCGCACAGTTGCTGTTCCTGCCCTGAGAGGAAGGAGGCACAGCCCCAGCGCCAGGATGAGAATATCAAAAGGGAGCCTGAGCCAGAGCCAGAACTGCCCTCATGCTCCTGGGCCTCGCTGCCCAGCCTCAGCCTCTCTTTGGTGCTCATGTCAGGCCTTCCAGCTCTGAGATCTCACGGCAAAGGGCAAGCTAGCTGCCGGGCAGAAGCCTGGAAACACAGACACAGCCAGCCTGTTGAGATTCCCCCTCCCGAAGTACCCCCTCCTCCAGGGAGCCTTCCTTCTTGGCAAGGGTGGGACGAGGTCCAGGACATGAGAACTGGACTGGTAACTTGCACACTTGAGCTCTGATTCTGACATTTGTGAACTGTGTGACTTGGGACAAACTCCTTCAGTTTCCTTATCTGTGGAGTGGATGTTACGATACCTTGCTCTGCTTCCTTCCAGGTTGTGGAAATCATATGAGTTCCCTGCTAGTGACATTGGAGTGCACAGATGAATATCGACAAGGCTCCAGGGAGTTCTGAACAGAGGCCAAGGCAGGCCCTGGAGCTGTATGCTGCTTACAGGAAAAGAGAAAGAGGGGACCCCAATAGTCTAGGTCCCTGGATCCTCTGACCCGGGGCCTGACACTGTCAGGGAAGCTGCTGTCTCCCTAGGGACCTACTGAATGTTCTTCCCATGGCTGGTCAGTGCTGACACCTCAACACAGGAAGAGAAATACTCCTATGAAGTCATCTGAAGCCTGGTCATGCCAGGGACACTTCACGAAGGCAGGAACAGTCCTGTTTCTAAAAGCCCAAAATCTAACAGCCTCTCTACAGATATAAAAGCCCAAAGACATGGAAAGTTTGTATGCAGACAACCCTAGAAGTAAGGAAAAGTGAATGACATATATGTCAATGCCCAGAAAGTTCCTTGAGATCAGACACTGTACATTTATGGGATACTTTCTAAGTGCCAGCTACTGTACTTGGTGCTGGATCAGTGCATCCATTTCCCGGGGCTCCCGTGATGAAGTGCCACAAACTGGATGGCTTTAAACAACAGAAGTTTACTCTCTCACAGTTCTGAAGGTTAGAAGTCTGCCATGAAGATGTGAGCACAGCCAGCCTCTCTCCAAAGGCTCCAGAGGAGAATCCTTCCTTGCTTCTTCCCAGAGCTCCTTGGCATACAGCTGCATTACTCCAAGATTTGCCTCTCTTGTCACACAGCATTCTGCCTGTGTCTCTTGTTTGTGTTCAAGTATCCCTCCACCCTAATTTAGTATGACCTCATTTTAGCTTGATTATGCCTGCAAATACCCTATTTCCAAATGAGGTCACATTCACAGGTACCAGAAGTTATGAATTGAACACATCTTTTTTGGGATGTGTTCTACCCATTATAATTCATTCTACCCACTATAATCACAAGTGGCTTTGACATTCAGTGACACAAAGATGATAAGGACTCGGTTCCTGACCTCAGGACATTCTCAGTCTATCAGTGAAGACAAACACATGCTGGTGAACACACACACATACACAAGCACACATATACCCCGAGCCTCATTCAAGTCAGACTGTGATTAAAAATGGAAATTGTGTCATCAGGAGGGATTGGGGAAGTCTTCACACAAGAAAGAACATCTAAGTTGGGCCTTGAAGGGTAAGTGGAATTCAACTGTCAGAAAGGGTGTAAGGGCATCCAGCTATAGGACACAGCATAAACAAAGACATTGGGACATAAACATGAAAGGTGTGTGTGGAACAGAGAGAAGACTAGTCTGCGTGAAGCATTGAGCCCCTTCCAAGGCTGAAAAGAAAGGTTGGAGACAGGTAGTAAGGACTTTGTGTGTTGTGCTAAAGAGTCAGTCAGCCTTGGCCGGTTATGGAGACTCACACGTGTAATCCCAGCATTTTAGGAGGCTGAGGCGGGCAGATCACTTGAGGTCAGGAGTTCAAGACCAGCCTGGGCAACATGGCAAAACCCCATCTCTACTAAAAATACAAAAAATGAGCTGGGCGTGGTGGCACACATCTGTAATCCCAGCTATTTGGGAGGCTGAGGCAAAAGAATCACTTGAACCTAGGAGGCAGAGATTGCAGTGTGCCAAGATCACACCACTGAACTGCACTGCACTCCAGCCTTGGCAACAGAGCAAGACTCTGTCTCAAAAAAAAAAAAAAGCCTTTATCCTGTAGAATTAAGTTGAATATAGAAAATGAGAAGGGTTTGGAGGCAGTGTGGCAAGAGATCACACTGGAAGGGAGACAGCTTAGGGGGCTATTTTTTATAGTCAACAAAAGAAATGAAGGCCCTGAGCAAGGGCACCAGGAGGATGGGGAGGAGAAGGTGTTGGCAGGAGTTTTGGAAGGCTGGATGGCCAGGACTGAGTTGATTGACTACGGCTTGTGAGGGAGGAGAAATCTAGGTGACTCCCATCTCCCTGCTGGAGGGACTGGGTGAATGAGATGCCATTGATGAGACAGGGATGTGAGAGCAGGAGATCTAGGGAGGGGTGACTTTAGACCACCGAGGGTTTCTCAGCCTCAGCATTATGGCCATTTCAGCCTGATAATTCCTTGTCGGGGGCTGTCTGTGCATTGTGAGATGGTCACCAGCATCCTTGGCCTCTACTCATTTGAATTTAACATCCCTGAAGACAGCCGGATGGAGCTGCCCAATAGATGGTTGGGTGTTGGAGCGGGGGAGCTCAGGAGACAGCTTTGCATTGTGTTTTCCATAGCATGCAAGGGCCCTTGCTGAGTAGGAAGGAGGAGGGAATGACTCCTTGTGAGCAGCGAGGTTGGAGTTCAAGTTATCTGTGCCCATGCCCTGGCTCCCCAAGCATCTTGTGGGTGCCTTGAGAAGAAAAAGAATGTCTTATTTGCCTCAGTATCCCCTCAATACTATGCCTGGCAGAGTTGGTGCTTAATAAAGGTTTAGAGAATTGCACTAACTTGATTTGGAAAGAACAGGAAAACCCAAATAGCCTGAGAGCCCCTGCCAAGAGTAACATTTGGAAGCTGAGTCAGGAAGAAGCTGAGATCAGGTGAGGTTAAGTATCCAGGATCTCTGGTCTCCAGGATCTGCCAAAACCAGGATGTGGAGCATCAGCAACTGTCATAGTTGTTGATGGGAGTGTAAGTGGTACAACTAGCAAAGGTGGGGATGTCATTCTTGTCGACCCAACAGTTGCACTCCTGGGTAGAGAAGCTCTTGAACATGAGCATCAGAAGTGAGACTCATGAATATTCAAATCAGCACAATTGGTAGTGGCAGAGATCTAAATGTCTATCAGCAGGAAAGGGAATGAATGGTGTTTTCATCATTTCATCATTTCATGGCAGTGAAAATGAATGAACTACAATTATCAATAGGGATGAATTTACAACCTTAACATTGAAGGGGAAAAAGCAAAATGCATGCACTTAAGTAAGGTTTACAAAAAGATCCAAAACTGAATGATGTATTAGGAATTCATAAATACGTAGTAACATTATGAAGAGAACCAAGAGAATAACAAACACAAAATTGAGGATTGTATTTACCTTTGTGGAGAGGAAGGGGTTGTGATTGGGGAGGGACGCATAAGGGCTTCAAAAGTATGTGCCATATCCTAGTTCTTAAAATGAGTGGTTGGCAGATGGGTGTTCACTTTACGATTCTTTATACGTACATTAAAAACGTATGCGTGTCCTGGTTACTTCCTCCAGGGACATTCCACCAGGCAGGGCTTAGCACAACTGGGAATTCCCTGGTCAAAGTCAGGGAATTTCAAGATTTTTCAGCCAGTGGTTGGGCAAGGGGTCATCTCTCTCGTCCCCTCCCTCGAGGTTCTGAGGAGCCTCAGAACAGACGTTCAACCTCTGGAATCCCCCAGAAAAAAGACTCATAGGGCAGCTTCCCCTTTCTCGGACAGGACAGAGTGGAGATCCAGGGGGATCCCCAGCCCCAACCAGCTGGCTCGAGGTCACATCCTGATATTTCAGTTCTGTTCCCATTCATGTGTCTCAGCTGAGCAACTGCCATGCTTGTGGCACTCTTAGGGGAAGGGAAGAAATGAATGAGGTGATAAGACCCACGCCCTAAAGAATCCAGGGCAGTAAGCTCCCTGGCTTTCGGTTTTTACAAACTAATAATATTGTGTAATATAAATACTGACATTGTGCTGCCACCATTTTATTTTGTGAAGTAAGAGCATTAGAAAACAATTGCCACCTACTGTCCTCCTATTCCATAAGTAAGGGCTAATTTAATACTCCAGTAATAAAACAAAGGCATGCATGCTTTTAGATCAGAGGAAGGTCGTTTCCACTGAATACATTTAGCTTTATGAAAATCTCACTACATTTGTGGCCCTGGTTTCCTCCTTGTGGGGTGGAGCAGTTGAAATTTAGGTCACAAAGAGCCAGTCAGGAGAAGAGCATCTGGGAGGCACTAGTACAGGGGACACACAGGTGTCTGTGACACTCAGGGCGGGCAGACAGGTCATCACCCTGCATTCTGCATGCCCACGCATACACACCATGCTCACCCCTTCTGATGAACAGGCACAAGCGTTCACACACACGCTCCTCCCCCAGGGGCTCCCAGGTTGGAACACCTCCCCTGACTGCCAGGCAAAGCCATACCTCTCTCCTGAACCCAGGGCAAAGGGCCAGGCTCACCCAGCCTGTGCCAACCAGTGAGAGAGGCCAATGGTTGGCACTGGAGCCAGTTGGGGTGCTGAGTTGAGGCCAGAGATGGGCAGCCTGTTCAGATCCCTGGGCGTTTGCCTCTGGCCAGGAGACCAAAGCCCTGTCCACATCCAATTTCCTCAGACTGGGAGTCTGGGGACCTACTTCCTAGCTCCAGTTAGGTTTGTGACCTTGAGCAAGTCACCCTCCCTCTCTGGTCCTTCGGACATTGACCGCAGTGCTCTGGGCCAGTGCTATGGGGTTTTCGAGGCTCACCCTGCTCAGCCTTCGTCTCAGGGGACCCACAAGCCAGCCTAGAAGT
This sequence comes from Homo sapiens, assembly GCF_000001405.40. NCBI lineage: Eukaryota > Metazoa > Chordata > Mammalia > Primates > Hominidae > Homo > Homo sapiens. The sequence continues at coordinate 201,405,332 of NC_000001.11, forward strand.
GTGTCTTGGAAGGAAGAGAAAACCCTTGCCCGTCACCTTTAATGAAAGACCCACAGGCAGACAAGCTTTGGGGATGTCTGAGGAAAGAGACCTGATGGGGGTCAGGAGCAGAAGCTGCCATTAGCACTGGTCCCAGCGAACTGTCCTGGGCTTCCGCAGCTTGGTCACCCACCTGGAACGAAGCTAACCCCCCCGCCCCCGGCTGCCCAGCCCAGAGACTTGTGGGGAGTATGACTCACTTCGCGGGGGGCCATTGTGGCTAATGTTTAACTCTGCCCCTCCTTCAGCAAGGCACTTTAGCCCCAGCAGCCCTTAGCGCTGGGCCCTGCCCTGATCATGCCTGCTGCTGAGTGGGCTCAGACACACAGCTGAGCTTGGCCTCCTTGCGCCGTGGGGACCGGGCACCCTGTGGGGAAAGGTGGGAGCAACAGCTGGTCTCCCAAGGGCTCTGGGACAGGCAAGAGTGTAGCAGGTGGCATCCTGCCCTGGTCATTCCTACCAAGCAGAGAGGAGCACCAGGCCCATCTCCACCAGCTGCAGAGAGAGGGGGTGCCCACCCAGCTATTGTGTGCTGATTAGTAATAGATATCCCCCAAGTAGCACCCTATCCCTCCACTCTCAGCCAGGGCCCCATGTTGGAGGAAGGCCTCACCTTAGCCCATCTGTATGTCACCTGCATCTCCTTTGAATGTTTCCCCTTTGGTGCGGGTGTGTGGGGACTCCCCAGGTGCATATGCAGGACCCTCGACCCCCAGCTGTGTCCTTCCAAGAAAGTTGGGCTCTGTTAAGGCCAGTCTGATCTCAGAAAAGGGCAACCCCAAGGCAGAGTGACCTGAGATCTAGTCTCCAGTCTGCAGCTAGCAAACCCTGTAACTTAGAGTGAGCTACTTGAACTCTCCAGGCCTCCATTTCCTCATCTGTAAATTTGAGCTAACAAATGTACCATTTTTGTGAGAATGCAATGATATAACTCAGATAAAGCATTTAACATCACATATTACTATTATTGAAATGCTGTTATTAAAATAGTCGATAAGAGTATGGATTCTAACAGACTTCTTGGGTTGAATCCTGGGACCACCACTTATTAGCTGTGTGATCATGAAAAGTCCCTAACCTCTCTGTGCCTCAGTTTTCCCCACTGTACCATGAGAATAGTAGCTGTACCTTTCTCCTAGGGTTGTTGTGAAAGTTAAATAAATTAAGGTGTACATGCTGGTGCCTGACGCATAAGTGTGCTACATGTGTGAGCTGTTACTCAGTGGCAGGCCCCAGCTCCCAGCTCTACTGGTGTTGTCTCCATGGTGAGAGAAGACTGGAGTAGAATCAGGGCTCTCCAGAGGCCAGGCCCCCAGCCCAGGCCCCATTCTTGGCTACAACAGCCCCTTCCATAGATCCCTCTCCCACCCCCAAGCTCTCCTTCCCCTTGTCCACAGGGCCTCTCAATCCTTGCGCTCCAGATATGTCTATGCCTATATTCGCCCTTGCTCCATCCTCACAGGAGATGAATTAGGTCTGTTGCTGCCTGGAAGCAGAAGGAGGAACCCGATGACCTCCAGGAACCCTCTGGTTGGCTCTTCTGCCCCTCCTAGAGGGCCACTGGCTTAGGTGTGTTGAGTGGGCCCCACCTCCTCCTCCCATGGGTCTTCTGCACCCACGTGTTTGCTTTGAGTCAGGCCCAGAGCAGGTCTCCTGCCTTTACATGACTGGGTGGATACCCCAATCTGCCAGGGCCCCAGGTTAATAGTTGACTGCAAAACTGGGATTTGACTCTGGAACTTGGGGCCAGGCTCTAGGGAAGAGCTGGAAAGAGGTGAAACAAGGAGATCGCTTTGGATCCAGGCCAACCGGAGGAGCCCTGTGAGGCGGGGAAGAGTGGGTTTCTGTGGCTGCCTGGGCATGAAGGCATGAAGCCTAACCCCATCCTCTGTGGCCTGGACCAGCCCTGTCAGGTTCTCCAACTTCGTGCATTGAGACTGGGTGTGTCCGTGCCTACGGGTTTCTGTGTGTGATTGGGGTTGTGCTTTTTGCACACATCTGCCTCTCTGCCCACTGACCTATTTATAGCAAGAACCCTGGGCAGAGTGCTGCTTCCCCTAAGGTAGCCCAAGTTGCTGGTTCCCACTGCCATGCTTTCTGAAAGGGGCTGGCAGCCCAGCAGCCCAGAGAGCCAGACCATGCCCTGGGGAGCAGCTGGCACTGCACTTTGTACCAATTTCTGGCACTTATGGAAGATAATACATGGGATTCGAAGGTAGAATGGGGACTCAGTAGGGTGGGTAGAAGGGTTGCTGCTCTGATAACTCAGCCCCTCCTAGGGCCAGTGCTAGGGTGGTCGAAAAGCCAAGGGACCCCAGGTCTGGGAACAGCCACTTCCCTTGCAGGCTTAGCTCAGAAGTCACCATCCCACTGCCCTGAAAAGTCAGAACTTGACCGGATGTGGTCGCTCACACCTGTAATCCCAGAACTTTGGGAGGCCGAGGTGGGCAGATTACGAGGTCAGGAGTTCGAGACCAGCCTGACCAACATGGTGAAACCCTGTCTCTACTAAAAATACAAAAATTAGCGGGGTGTGGTGGCACGCACCTGTAATCCCAGCTACTCAGGAGGTTGAAGCAGGAGAATCGCTTGAACCTGGGAGGCGGAGGTTGCAGTGAGTCGAGATCGCGTCACTGCACTCCAGCCTGGGTGACACAGCGAGACTCCATCTCAAAAAAAAAAAAAAAAGGAAAAAGAAAAGTCAGAACTTTGGTCTCTGCTTCACAGGAGCCACTCTAGTGAGTATGTTGGGGGAAGAGAGGCTGCCCCAGACCCCCCTTCCACCCCAGAAGGCCCTATGCTCTCACCAGGCTTTGGACCCAGGAGGTAGTGGGATGGAGAAAGGACCTGATCCAGAGGACAGATAAGTGGCCACCCCATCTCCGGGAAAGAATCAGTCCTGGGGGATAGGACCAGTGCAGGAGTGTGAAGGGGAAACAATTGGGAGGAGGGTGGGTGAACGTGGGGAGAGCAGAGGCCGGAGGGACAGGAGAGCCCAGGAGAGAAGGAAGGCGTCACCTGGTGGCCAGGCCTGGAACTGCAAGTATCTCTTCTGTGAGGCCTCCTGCCCTGTGCAGCAGGACTAGGTGAGGGATTGAAAGTGCCCTGACCTCTCAACCCAGCACACATCAGGGAGAGTTAATCCAGGTTTGCAGAGGAAGGAGAGTATGAAAGCCGGCAGGAGAAGCGGCTCTTAATGGAGAGGCCTCTTCTGATGGCCAGAGTCAGGGGCAGGACGGGGTCATTTCTCGGAGGTCAGGGCTCTGGTGAGCTGAGCATCCTGGGTGGTGAGTGTGTGCAGTGTGACGTCACAGGGACTGGGCAGAAGGGGCCCCAGGGGACCCTGGCAAGCAGCCACCAATTCCTTAGCCCTCCCTTCAGATCCCGAGCTCCGGACTGCAGACAGGGTGACTGGAGCCCAGCACAGCCCTCTCTTCCCAAGCCCCAAGTCTTCCCTTTCTTCTCAGGGCTCACAGTCAGAGCTGCAGAAATGACCAGGAAACTGGGTTTTTAATGAAGAAGGTGTGATGCCTGTGGACACTGTACACACATAGAAGGAGTGTGGCACAGGGCTGGAGGAAAGGTGTTCTCACCCCCTCCTCCTCCTCCACTTGTTACACCACGGGGTGGCTGAGAAGCCCCAGGTGCCTCATGGGTGGATAGAAGCCCACCCTGCCAGGGTGAGGTCTTCAGACACTCGCGTTTTTCCTGCCTCTTGGGTATCTGTTTAATCCCAGTTCCAGAGGAGGGCATGCAGGCTGGAGGGAAGAAGTGGGGGAGAGGTGGGAAGGGATGCTCCAGACACAGGCAGAGAGGTGAGTGAGCTGGGTTGGAGAAGAAGCATGAAGCAGGAGCTCAGAGCGCAGCACAGCAAGCTGGCCTGTAGGGACAAAGAGGCAAAGCCATCAGTTCCCGGGGACCTGTGTGCAGCGCATGAATCCCTGACTTACCTACAGCACATGCAGTCCCCAGGGCTTCTCAGCCCTAGCGCACCCCGGACTGGATCTTCATTCATAAGGGCTCCTACAAAACCTCAGCTTCTCGGCCCTCGGGCACAGTTGCTCCCCTTTTGGGACCCCTCACACCGCTCCTCCACACTGCGGCCCTCAGCTCTTACCTAGCCTTGCCATGCTACTCTGTGGCTGCTTAATTCCCACCTCCATGCTTCTGTTGCACCATCAGCCCTTCAACATGCCCTTCCCTTTATCAGCTAACACTCGCTCGTCGCATCCTCAGAGAGCTCCTCCTCTCCAGAAAGCCTGCTCTGACCAGTGCTGTCTGGTGGATGCCTGCCCTATTGCACATTCTCTCAGCACTTCCGTAGAGGGTTTTACGTGGCCTGATTTCCTTGCTTTGCCCAGTTTCTCCAGCTATTTCCTCAGATGGTGGGAAGTCTTAGCTTCTGTGAGTGGTAGCTCCTTGGGAACAGGTACTGTGAGTGCTGGGTACTTCGCAGGGAGCACAAATAAAGGACATCACCAGGAGGTATTTAAAAGTGCATAGATTCTCAGAAAGTCAGAGATGAAGGGATCCCAGGGACCCTCTAACCTAGTGGTTCTCAAACTCTCATGTGCATCAGAATCACCTAGAAGGCTGGCCTCACCCCAGAGTTTCCAATTTAGTGGATCTGGGGTGGGGGCTGATCATTTGCATCCCAGGTGATGTAGACGCTGCTGGTCCCAGGACCACACTTGGAGAACCACTGATTTGATACAGCCCCCAATTTCATAGATAATGGGAACAAAAAGGGCCGCCAAACAGAAATGACATGCCCAAGTATCATGGTGCTGGAGCCAGGACTGAGCCCAGGAGAGCCGACTCAAATCAGTCTCATCGGTGCCTTAGTCCGTGCATCCGTGCACCACACTAAGTACAACCCGCCTGCCCATTGTGGACTCCCTCATTATCCTCTAGACTCTGATGGACCCCAGAGAAGGGAGCTGGTCTCTAGGTACCTCTATTGTGAGGTCGGAGACTTGGCGGCATCAAACATCTTCTTCCGGCCTTCCATGCCAGACATGGCCTCCACGTTCTTCCTCCAGTCACCCACCTCCACAGGCCGCTCCTGTAGACAAGTGGCACACACATCAGGGACTTACCAGGCTGGACGGCCCCCCAGCTCAAGAGAAGCTGGGTGATAGGAAACCAGTCTCCTCGGATGATAAGAAATCCTGATGCCCCTCCCCAGCTGGTAAGGTCCTAGGACTCAGCCAGGCAGGTGGACACAGGCCAAGCCGAGGCCCCACAGGAAAAAGGAAGCTGTGTGGCTTGGGAGCACTGGGTGAAAGTGGCAGCTATGGGGCTAGTTCCCACCTCAGTGCACCTCAGCAAAACCTCCTCCAAGGCTCCATGCCACCCTCCTGGTCTGGCACTCAGCAGGCTCAAGGCCACCTCTTCCAAGAAGTCTTCCCCTGCAAATGCGGCTGCTTTTCCATTTCCTCAGTATATTGTCTGGCTTATCTCTTCTCCTCTGAAGCTTCTTGGGCCAGAGACTGTTCCTTCATCCCTGTTCCTTACAGAGCCTATCAATTTGGGGCACATATACTGTGAATTCAACCAACTTTGAATAATTTGTTGCTGGGTGGTTGAACTCAGTTCTCTAATGTCTATGCTCGTGTGTGGCTATAACCAAGATGAGCTGCTGTCTCCTTTCCCTGTGGTGACCAGGCAGTCATCTCCACCATTACCCTAAATCTCCACATTATCTTCACACTGGGAACAAGATTTTTACTTCATTTCTCCGTCTGGGGTCTAGCTTTCTTTATGTCCTAGTTTCTTCGTCAGACTGGGAACAGCCTGAAGGAAGGGAGCAAATCTTCTTTCTTTCTTCCCACACTGGTCTCCCAAAGCATTCTAGAATGTTCTGTCTGTCAAGCTGACTGGTCTCCAACAGGAGCTCCTGGGCCAGCCTGAGGCCATGTGAGGGGTTGACAAGGGGAAAGCTGGTAGGGCAGAGGGTGGAATGTTCTGAGGAAAGGGACCTCACCTTCTCTGTGTCTTCCTTCTTCACAGACTTGAGGTTGGCCCGCAGATCCATGGACACCTTGTGCTTGGAGCCCAGCAGGGCCCGGAGCATGGCGTCAGCCGAGACACGGACTCGACGCAGGGGCGGGCGCTTGAACTTCCCACGGAGGTCCATCACCTTCAGCTTCAGGTCCTTAATCTGTAGGTGAGAAGCGCCCGGGGCTCACTGGAGAGGCAGCTAGCCACAGGACACCCTTCCTGAGGACCTCAGACTGCTAGGGTTCCAGCCAGAGATACACCTTAAATTGTCCACCCTTGAAGCCAGACCTATCAGCAGTCACCAACCTTTTTGTCACCAGGGACCGGTTTTGTGGAAGACACTTTTTCCACGGAGAGGTGGTGGGGTGGTTTCAGGATGAAACTGTTCCACCTCAGACCATCAGGCATGAGTTTGATTCTCATAAGGAGCGTGCAACCTAGATCCCTCACATGCACAGTTCACAATAGGGTTCACACTCCTGTGAGAATCTAATGCCGCCGCTGATCTGACAGGAGGCAGAGCTCAGGCGGGAATGCTCATTTGCCCACTGCTCACCTGCTGCAGTGTGGCCCAGTTCCTAACAGGCCACGGACAGGTACTGGTCCACAGCCCAAGAGTTGGAGATCCCTGCTCTAGGACAGTCAGACCCACCCATCCCTTTGCAAATAACCACTGCACATTTGCTGATAAACGGATGGTTAAGTGGACAGATAAAGCCTATTAGCCGTTGCTAACACTATAGCCTTGAATAAAAGGGGCGGCTCCACCAGACTGAGACTTGTCTGATTTGGAAGCCCTATTTGGAGTGCAGGGCTGCTTCCTCTTGTTCCTGCAGCCTCATCCCTGCTTCTAACTTATTCCTCCCCAGTGAGCCTTCAAAGCAGCTCACAGCCTTGGTCCAGCAGGGTGATAAACTTACAGGTCCTAGACCCCTGGAGGAATTCCCAGGGTGTGATCTCTAGGGGGAGTTCTTAGGAGCTTGGTGACCCCACATATAATTCCTGGTGGGCAGAAGTGGGAAGGAGAGAAGTGGCTTGTGCTCCCTCCCTGCCCCCTCCTCACTGCCTGGACAAATGCCCCAAAGGAGCCCTGTCCTTCTCTGCTCTGCCCCTCCCCACTGGAGCAGGGTCTGGGTGGAGCTAATCCTCCCACACCCCATGCTAAGGGAGCACAGAGCACCGGAGTGGAAGCCAGAGACCAGCACTGGTCCCAGGACCACCACTGTGCAACCTAGGACAAGTCTTTGGCCTCTCTGATCCTGAGTGTTCTCCTCTGCAAGGTGCAGATAATAGCCCCTACTTCATCCACAGGCCTATAAGGAGGATCAAAGGCTATAACGAACATGAAAGCACTTCACAAAGGTAAGACGTTATTAACAGGCATATGATTATTTGTGTGGGTGGATAAAGAGAGCAGCTTCTGTTAGGCTGATGAGCCCACATGGCAGGTAGGGAGGAAGTTTGTACTTTTCATGTGTGATTATCCACTCTACCCATCTCCAGCCCTATGGGGCTAGGGCAGACAAACCAAAGTTTCCTGCTTAAGTGGCCCCTTCCTAGGCCCTGTGGAAGGAGGGGACCTCCCATGGCTGCTGCATCCGTGCCCATGCCCCTGCCCAACCCATTATGGCCATGCCCCTTCCCTTCCTTAGACTCACCTCCCTGGTGTTGTGGAGGCATTTGGCCTCAATGTCGTATCGCTCCTCATCCACCACCTCCACCTTGGCGTGCAGCTCCCGGCACAGGTCCTGGGGGCCGCAGATGGATCATGCAGGTGTGAAGAAGAGGGGAACAGAGACATCAGTTTCCAGCCCTTGACCCTCTCCCCAGCCCCTTTGCAAGACCTGGGATCCAGAGAGGAGCTGACAGTCTCCTCCACTCTGAGGCTCATGACGGGCAATAGCTCAAAGGGTATGCCCTCTGTTCTCCTGTCTGAATGTCATGATTTCTTAAAAAATAGTATTCCTTCGCTTGAACCCAGGAGGCGGAGGTTGCAGTGAGCTGAGATCACACCACTGCACTCCAGCCTGGTGACAGAGCGAGACTCCGTCTCAAAAAAACAAACAAACAAACAAAAAACTAGTATCCTTGGCTGGGCACGGTGGCTCATCCCTGTAATCCCAGCACTTTGGGAGGCCAAGGTGGGGGATCACCTGAGGTCAGGAGTTCAAGACCAGCCTGACCAATGTGGTGAAACCCTGTCTCTACTAAAAATACAAAAATTAGCCAGGCATGGTGGTGTGCACCTGTAGTCCTAGCTACTTAGTAGATTGAGACAGGAGAATCACTTGAATCTGGGACACAGAGGTTGCAGTGAGCCAAGATCACGCCACTGCACTCCAGCCTGGGCAACAGAATGAGACTCTGCCTCAAAAAAAAAAAAGTATTCTTTCATCATGGCTCATTGCAGCCTCAACCTCCTGGGCTCAAGTGACCCTCCCATCTCATTTTTTTAAACTTTGTATAAAGAAAAGGTCTCACACTATGTTGCCCAGGCTGGTCTCGAACTCCTGGGTTCAAGTAATCCTCCTGCCTCCGCCTTTCAAAATGCTGGGATTACAGGCATGAGCCACTGTGCCCAGCAAAATAAAATAGTTTTCTTATGATAAAAGTAATGCGTTAATTTTAGACATTTTGAAAACTATGTATTAAACAAAAATAATAAAAATTAAAATACCTAGTGATGCCACCACCCAGGGATACTTAGTAACATTTTGATATACTTCCTTCCAGTCTCTTTTCTCTATAATCACTGGCATTTAACCAATTTACCAGTGTTCTGAAAACATTGAAGACCAAATTCTAGGAAAGGGTAGACAAGTCCTTGGAAAAGTGGGGCTTCTCCCAACCCCGGCCGCCTCCCCACTCCATGCCACCACACTGGCTGATTGTGAAGCTGGGCCGCCCAGCCCAGGCAAGTCACGCCTCCCCTCTGATGCTCAGTTCAGTGCCCGTAAAATGGAATCTAATGTTCCCACCTCACAGGTGGTTGTGAAGATTAAATGAGACCATGTAAGGGAGGAGTGCCCTGTAAATTATGGAGCCTTGAGCTGGTGTTAGTTCAGGCTCCTGCCGCCTGGTCCTTGGAGCCACCCACACAGCACCTCCAGCCCCACCCTGCCCCGCCCCACCTGCCAGGCTAACCTGCAGGGCACTGAGGGACAGGCCACGGGTCTGCAGCGTGGGGATGCGCTCTGCCAGGTAGCGCACCTTCTCAGCCTCGCGCTCCTCGTGCTCCTGCTCCCAGCATTCCTTGGCCTTGGCCAGCATCAGGCTCTGGACAGGACACACCTGCTGAGCTGGGGGCCTCACATCTCCCACCCGGCATCAGGGAATGAGGGGAGGGCAGCCACAGCCTGGGCCAACTCTGAGACCACTGTCCAGTGTAGAAGTGTATGCAGCAGCCATGGACAGGCCACCATGAGGGTACACCCAGTGGCTGCACACAATGTTCCTCAAGCCCTGGAACTTGTTTTCCCCGGACAGTCTTCCTCTTATCCACTTACTGTCTGTTTTGACCCACAAAACTCCAAAGAGAGAAACACATATGAAAATAAAGGAAGTCCCTCTGCCTGCATGAGTAGCTTCCCACTCTGAAGCTGGTCACCACCTACTCTAGGGACCACAGGCGGATGCCAGAATCCATACTCGAGGATCCCACCTACTGATCACCTGAGCCTGGCACTGGCTCCAGCAATGCTGGACTCCTGCCCCTCATCATCCTCACTCTGGCCTCCTTCCTTTCTCCTTGCCATAATCCTCCACATCCCTTCAGAGTCTGCTCTGCTGCCCCTCTGCCTCCCACTGGGCATCCCCCCACAGCCAGCCCCCAGCCTCACCTTCAGCAAGAGTTTGCGGGAGGCAGTGATCTTGGGTTTTCTCTGTGGGCAAGAAGAGAGAGAGACAGGTGGTGAGGCAGAGGCTGCAGAACTGGAATTCTGGTCTAGGACAAGACAAGTGCCAGCCAGCGTTCTCTATCTTTATCCGGAATCCTCTGCTCACCCTACGGTGCCTTAAAAGCTCATCTTTGTTATTTAACCTCTGCAGTTCAGAGAAGGCTGCAGTCAGCTACCTTGACCTAGGGGCTGAAGCCTTAACTTCCCACTCTGATTCTGCTGCTGCTGAAATCTTGTAAGATACTATGAGGGCCACATGGCTTCTACAGGCACCTCCTTCCTCATCTGTAAATAAGGATATTAGGACCCCCCCCCTTACTTAGTTCACAGAGTTATTGCAGATGAAATGAGATCATGGATGTGCAAATCCTTTGAAAATCGTAAAAGCTATGTGTTTTCACACTCCAGGTAGTAATACAGCAATACCTTGATGATCCGTCATGCTGCATAAATAAGCTGTGAATTTCCCAAATAAATGAAACGTATCTATGTAGACCTCAAAACTTTTAAAAATGTTAACACCACCCATACAAATCTTTCTAAGATATAAAACCACTGTTTTATCTTCTTATCAAAAATCCTAAACATGTTCTTGCTTACTAGTCCTAGCCCTGTGACAGTGGTCCCTCAGGGTTGGCAAAGGTGAGTAGTAGGGCTGCTTGGTCCCCAACTAATGAGACTGTGATGCCTTTCGAGCACTAGAGTATCTTCTGGGCCATAGGCGGTCACTTCTCATTGCCAGCAGGAAGCATCCTACCTAGACTTAATGTGCTGTGAGCCGGCAGAGCATGGCTCTCAAATGTTATTCCAGGGTGTCAAGTAGAAGTGATTAGGCTTTGAGAGGGAAGTTCTCATGAGAGACAATGGATGAGTTTCAGCAAATGGAATGTGTAACTTCTATTCTGACTGTTCAGAGTGGTTGGTTTGTCTTTTCCTCTCCTAAAGATTTTTGTTACATTTCAGATAAGTGCAATTTCAAAAGAAAGAGCCTATGACTCTAAGCATTACTACCATGGTTTACACACTGTAATGTACACATGGCAAATGTTTGACTGCGATCTTATTTCCCCACCACTTGGTGAGCCGATGGCCACCTCATTTGACCATCAGTCAGTGAGGACTCACTTTAATACGAGCCTCAGCAAAACTTAAAAATTCATATGAATGTTGAAAAGTAACATGTTCAATTCTTACTGAGAATCTCTGTGCCAAATATCCCCTCCATCAATACTGCTAATTCTCACTGTTTCCATCCCTGGGCCCACATCCCTATCCCTGCCATCCCCATCCTTGGACTGTACATAGGCTGTGATCTCAGTAGCCTGGTAAGTCTGGAGTGTATAGAATGGCCAGTGTCAGGGTTTTCTAACACCTGAGGGATTTAAGGACATCTCTTTGCTCCTCAATCAATGTTCAGCCATTGGGCAAGGGTGGAATAACCCAATGACTATCCCTTACCCTTCCAATATAGCTTTGCACAGGATCAGCTCTGCATGGAATAGGATGGTCCCCCCAGGACTGGACCAGCTCTCAGAGTGGGTGAGGAAGAGCTTGTGCTCAGCAAGGATGCAGAGTCACACCCAACCCTGCTGCAATACCAGTCCTTCCAGTGACATGGTACACTGGCACAGCAACTCCCTGGACACTAGGAAGCCCCACATCCAGAATCTTCACCTGACGTTTCCATCTCCTGGGAATTTGTTCAGCCACTAAATACCCTACACCCCCTGGACTCCCACCAGGCCTTAACACAGGCTCTTCCCTCTCCTCAGATGCCAACCCCACCTTCCCACTTTTACCAGTCGTTAGAGTTAACCAAGACAGAGATACCCCAAATATCACTTACCTCGCTTCAGGCATCCATCACAGGAAGGACGGGGAAAGAGCAGAACACAGAGTGAGTATGAACAATGAGGATTACATGTGCAGTCGCAGAACCTCACAGACCAGCTTGGGGGAGGAGGGGGCCAGTGACAACAGTGAGCCAGAAAGTCATCAGGCATCAGGCAAGGGGAGCGGTTTGAGGTTCCGGCAGAATAAAATAAAAATTCAACAGCCCTTTGAACTACGGGGCATTCTTATTGGGAGGTACTGGGCATCGTAAGTTGGGGACAAGTGGTGGAAGGGGAGGGAAGCCTTAGCGTAGGGTTCCAGCAACGTGAAAGCATCCATCCACGGGTGCGTGGGTAAATTCCCAAAGCTTTGTTCACCTACTGCACCAGTGTTAAGTGGTGGCCTGGTACATGCAATTCATGTGATAGATCAAGACAGGAAATCTCTGAGGCACAAGCCAAAAAGGCACTCCCAGGGCAACCTGGGAGTGAGTTCTGCTCAATGGCTGGGAGGACACAGGCAGCACAGGGGAAACCATCAAGTGCTGCCCCTGTTTGAGGACCTGGTCTCTTAGGGAAAAGCTTTGGGGGTTGAAAACATGGTGCCTCCACTGCGGGGCTGAAGTCTGTGGCAAAGGGACTTGCCTTCCTGGGGCCCCAGATGGCAGTGAGACTACTTACACTTCCGGCATGGTGGCAGTGAGACAGCACCTAGGGGGCACAGAGGAATCATTCATAAGGGAAAGTGGAAACCCCTGCCCCTGCCCAGCTGGGCCTTGGGAGCCCAGCCTAGGAGACAGAGTCAGAACACAAAAGGAAGAAATCAGACACATTGGATTCCAGCAGGTCAAGATGGGACAGGGTTGCAGGGCAGGGGTCAGCTAACTACAGCCCATAAGCCTGACCTGGCTCCCAGCCTGTTTTTGCTTAAAGAATTGTAAGCTTTTTTTTTTTTTTTTTTTTTAAGAATTTGCAACAGAAACCTTATGTGAGCTACAAAGCTATCTGGCCCTTTCCAGATAAAGCTTGCCAATCCCAGTGGAGAACAGAATGGAGTCCATAGGAAATATGTTTGGAAAGTGAGAGCAGCTGGGCGCAGTGGCTCATGCCTGTAATCCCAGCACTTTGGGAGGCCAAGGCGGGCAGTTCATGAGGTAAGGAGTTCAAGACCAGCCTGGCCAATATGGTCAAACCCCGTCTCTACTAATGATACAAAAATTAGCCAGCATGGTGGTGCACGCCTATAGTCCCAGCTACTCAGGAGGCTGAGGCAGAAGAATTGCTTGAACCCAGGAGGCGGAGGTTACAGTGAGCCGAGATCGCACCACTGCACTCCAGCCTGGGTAACAGAATGAGTCTCCTTCTCAAAAAAAAAAAAAAAAAAATAAGTGAGAGTGTAGCTCACTCATGAGGGCCTTGAAGGACAGGCTGAGTTTAGACTTTATCCTGTGGAATAAGGGTGGTCATTGAAGGGCTCAGAGAGAGGAAGGCCTAGAAAGTGAATGAGCAGAGTGGATGCTGGAAAACGGGTAGCTGCCACATGGCACAACTCCATCCACAGATGGCAATGCAACTGGCACCTCCAGGGTGGGGCAGTGGGAGGCCTTGAGTGGGAGAGAATAAGCCGCAAGGCAGGGCAAATCCCGTGTTCACCCTAGTCTGTCTTTCCCCTCTCTGGGTTGGTTTTCCTCTCTGCAAAATTAGGGGTTAAATCAGTGAGTTTCCTCTTGATGTTTATTATTAATAATAAGTAATTAAAATAATATTTAATTAATATTATTTGGTTGAATCCTTTGTCCTAACCAAATCTTACTTGGAAGTAAAATAAATTCAATCAGTAAAAGCAAAATGGCATTTTGCCTATCAGAAGGTGGAGGGTGGGAGGAGGGAGAGGATCAGGAAAAATAACTAATGGGTACGTCTCTCATACCTGAGTGATGAAATAATTGATACAACAAACCTCCATGACACATGTTTACCTGTGTAACGAACCCACACATCCTGCACATGTACCCCGAACTTAAAAAAAAGTCAAACAAACAAAAAGAGCCAAATGGCACTGGTTGAAGGGGGCTCCCATAGCAGCCCTCTGGTCTTCTGTGAGGACACTTGGCTGTGGAATACAATTTGAAGCCCCCTGACCAGGTGATCCTGGGGCCCAGGCCAAAGAGGGGGTCCGTGAGGCTGCAGAGGGAGATGTTCCAAAACCAGACATAATTCACCGTCTTGCCTGGGCCTGGACACAGGGCATTCCAATGCAGGGGAAGGGAGGAACTGTGCAAAAGCTCAGGGAAAGGAAGGGGACAGCTGAGGTGGAGAGCAGGTGTGCAGGGGCGCACAGGAGCCCTGAGCCAGGCTGTGAAATGAAGGATGGGAGAGCCTAGTGTGTGTGGAGTGGGCAGGCATGGAGCTCGGGGGCAGGAGTTTGGACTTGGTTCAAGAACCTTGTTGTGGGGTCTGGGAAGTGGGGAATTAAAAGACACTTGTAAAGTGCCTGCCAATAATTGTATCCCAGAGCCACCCCTTCCTCTGCCCTAATTCTCTCCTTTCCCTTTGTGCCCATGAAGCACTATCCCAACCCCAATGAACACAGCTTTGGCCACCTCCCCTGAATCTCCCAACGGGTCAGAAAGCCTTCTGGGCCTCCCTCCACCTCTGCCTCCGCCACCAGGGGAGGGTAAGGCTGGGGTGGAGGAGGTGGAGGTGTAGTGTGACCCCAGAGTCTCAGCTGTCATGCTGGGGCACAGAGGGAGGGGTATGGAGACAATCCATGAATTCCTGAGATGCTTGGCTGGTATTAGATTTTATGGGCAGCTGCTTATTCTTAGGGCTCTGCTTCTCCAAAGACACTGAGGAAGTCCAAAGGAAACACCAGCTGGCGAAGAGCCACCTCCAGGCCCATCTGTCCATCATCAGCCTCCAGGAATGCCAGTGTCCAGAGGGCACCAGGTCTGCGTCTGTCTCCCTGGGATGTGCCTTGTCCTTGGTGGGCATTTGGCAGTGATCATGCCTCCCTGTCTCCCTCAGAGATCCAACTGTCCCCATTGTGGGGCCCTACCTTCCAAGGCCGGTTTACACCTCCTGCCAAGCTCCGGGGCCTGCCCCCAGCCTGCCTCACTGACAAATGCCAGACCAAGGGGTCCCACGTCAGGCAAGAGGCCTCAGCCTGTGCTCTGACACCCCTCAGACGGGGGCCCTTGCCAGGCTCTGTGGAAGACAAGCGAGGACTGATAAGTCAGGATGAAGATAGCAGCCACTGGAAGGCTTGGAGAGCCAGGATTCCATCTCCTCTACAAGTAGCAAGCAAGGAGATAATGAGAAAATCCTCCCCCCGAGGGGGGGAGCAAAGAGTCTCTGGTGGTTGCCTCAGAGCTGGGCTTTCCCTTCCTTGAGGCTTTGCAGCGTGGAAGGGACTATCCGCTAGACTATGAGATTGAGTCTGTGTGTGTAAGTGTGTGTAAGTGACTGTGTGTGAGAGTGTGAGTGTGAGAGAGAGAGCGTGTATATGTAGGGGAAAGAACTGATCTCTTTGCACACCCAATGATCACGTCCACAAGTATCTAGTTAGGCTCATGTGCTTCCCCCTGCTCCCCGCCCCCTGACCTTGGACCCCCATTCAAGGGCATCCCTGTCTTCCTTGACTGACGGTTAACACTCCCAAGTGCATGGCGCTGGGCTGCCCCCATCTTGAGTTCTGAACAGCAAAGCCTAATCTCAGAGCTGCTGTGGGACTGTGACTCCCAAACCTGGTGGCAGGTGCTGCCTTCAGCCCCCACCTGAGTCAGGGACCGCCACACGGCCCCCTGCCCCAAGCCTTGGGTTACCCTGTAGATACTGCCCTGGCTTATGTGTTCACTGGCTCCTGTGCCCCAACCCAAAATGCCGCCACCATTGCCTTCCTCCAAGAGGACCCCCAGTATCTACTGCTGCTTCTCAGAGCCAGGAGCTCTGAGCAGGAGCAGTCAAGAGGGGTTGCCGGTCTGCCCTCCTCTGCTCTTGTGCTACACTACAGAGGGATAGGCAAAGGGAGCTAACAGCGTCGCTCAGAGACAAAGAACACAGAAGCAAGATGGTTTCCTTGGCCAGCAGGGAGCTCTGGCCCTGCCTTCTAGGCTCCCTGGGAGTCCTGCGCGTCAGGCACCCTCCTTCTCTTCCGCTGCAGGCATTGCTGACTTTGAGCACTCACCCTGGCTCTCTGATCCCAGGGCCACCCCTTCCCCTGGGTGCGCTCTCCCTCCCACACTCTGCTGGGCATCCTGTGTGAAAACATCATCCCTTAGGCTCTGCCCTGGGGCTCCTAAGGAACCTCACGGAAGATTCTGCTCCTTGCTCACAGCCTCCAAATGGCCAGGAAAAAGTTTCACCTCTCACAACAGTTTTGCAGGAGAGATGCCATTCTGTGGGACAAAATGCTGTGGGAGTATTTTAGGAATGTTCTACCAACAAACCAACTGCACAGGCAAGAAATGGTTTTCTCCAGCTCCAAGACCTCGCTTTCTCCTTAAACAAAAGCCCCAGGTTCTCTGCCTGGGATCAACCTACATCTGAAGTTCTGGGCTGCAGACGCTTACCTTGTTCAGTCCTCGTGGAGCTGGGCTGGCCTGTGCCTCGCCGTAGACTGCAGACTGTGAGGGGCAGAGCCGAGGGGAGGCTATGAAAACTGTGTCCAGCAGCAACTGGCTGGTAAAAATAGAACAGACCCACTGCCCCCTCCTGCTGCCCCTCCTCCCTCCCACCCTTCACACACACACACACACACACACACACACACACACACACACACACCTCACAGGGCAGATGCGTGCTGCAATGCACACAACAGGCACATAGGCGGAAAGCCATGTGAATTTGTGGCTCAGGAGCAGAGGCAAATTCTGTGCACATAGGTGCCACCAACTGAGTGAAACCAGCACCCACCTGGGGAGACTCGAGCTGCAGAAAGGGAAAGAATGAGCAGCCAGACCAGGTGTGGGGACTGAGCAGAGATGGGACTGGGAGGGGGAATGAGGGAGAGCAAAGGGCCACAGTGAAGGCCCAGAGGGGCAAGTAGCAGCTGGGGGAAGAGGACCATTGGGCTAACCCTGCATCTCTTATAAGGCAATATGGAAATGAGGCCCCTGAACCCATGCCCCAAAAGCCCAAGAGGGCTAAAGACTCAGCTTTCAGGGATTTTTCAGTGGCTCTGGTGCACGTGGGATACGAGGGTGCCTGGCTGTGGGGAGTGATGTGAGCAGTGTTGCAGGCTGACCCCAGTGAGTGTTTCCAGGGCTGAGCAGAATGGCAGTGGCAGCAGGGCACACCTTTATGCTCAGGGAGGTCTGAGGGTCTGCAGACACTCTGCATCCCCCTCCAGATGGGTTTCCTGGAATCTAGATTTCCCAGGTTCCAAAGGACACCCGAGTCTCATGCCTGGAACTCAGTGAGACTAATTCACCTCTCCTCTGCCCTAATCTTCATCTCCAGCCAGAAGCCAACAGATCCCAGGGGACTGGAGCCACAGGGGCTGCACCTGTTTACCGGGTATTTTTAGGATGGTTGATGAACACATAATACCCACCCTATAGTCAGAGAAAGACAATGCCTGCTATGTTAATCCTGTGGCTATTATAGTCTGTCATCTCATGGGTTGGGGCAGGACACTGACCCTCTCAGAGGCCAGAGAGAGGCCTCGCAAGCAGGAGGTTAGGGAGCCCCAGCCATGCTCCCCATTTGGAGAAGGAGAGAGTAATGGGCAGGGGTGTCCTAAGGAGACACACCCCAGTGCCCACAGAGGTAAAGGCCCTGCCCTCTCTACAACGACATTCTGCTGCCTAATAGAGGTTGCTCTAATTCTGTTCTGGTCGGGTCAACTTTGAGAAGCCTCTATGTGAGACGGCTGCCAGGGAGAAATGACAGGGTCTGGGGAGGCATAGGGGTTGGGGACATAGGATTCCAAGTGGAGAGGCTGTGATGGATAATGAAGGCAGGCTCCAGCCAAAAGGAGCAGCTAGAGGGGAGAAGGAATTTAGGGGCTTTGCAGATGAGCCTACTGGAGTTTATTGCCTTGGCTTATTATAATTTATACAATAACTTTCCATTTATTTATTTATTTATTTATATACTTTTGGAGACAGAGTCTCACTCTGTCACCCAGGCTGGAGTACAGGGGCTCTGTCACCCAGGCTGGAGTACAGTGGCTCACTGCAACCTCCACCTCCCGGGTTCAAGTGATTCTCCTGCCTCAGCCTCCTGAGTAGCTGGGACTACAGGCACGCCACCATGCCTGGCTATTTTTTATATTTTTAGTAGAGATGGGGTTTTACCATGTTGGTCAGGCTAGTCTCAAACTCTTGGCCTTGAGCAACGCACCTGCCTCGGCCTCCCAAAGTGCTGGGATTACAGACATGAGCTACCATGACCAGCCTATACAATAACTTTCTTAAAAGGCCTTGATATTCTCAAAAAATGAATTCTCTGCATGAATTATCCTGCTTTTTGAAAAGGAAAAACAAAAGAAGACAGTTCGACAAATAGAAGAACAAAGCAGGGTGAACAAAAGCCAAGAAAGTAGGTGGCCGGATGTCCGCAGCAAGACGTGGAGAACATAGTGCAGCCAGGGGCCCTCCCTGGGCAGGAGCCATGGAGAATCTCAGACTCGGAGTGATTCATCTTCACACTCTGTTGGACAGCATGGGACCAGGACCCCTCACCCCAGTGTCCCAATTCCATCCCCACCATCCCTGCACACCATGTGGAATCCAGCCTCCAGCTCACCCTCTCAGATCCACCCTGACCTTTGACCCCAGTTCACACACTGACTTCTTTAGCGTCTCTCTCCTGCAGTCTCTCAAAGGTGGCCTTCAAAAGCAAGAATGCAGTGCCCTGTTGTCCTTGCCCCTGACCCCCATCTTCCTTCATGTATGGAGTGGGTGCAGAGCAGGCCTCAATGATTCAGGCCGCCCACACCCAGCTGAGGGGCCGCCACTGGAGGTCTTAGCCCTGTGGCCCACTCACTGCCCCAGCCAAGTGCGCCTCTGCAGCCTTTCTCCTCCCCTCCTTGCCTACAGAAAAGGTCACCCCTTCTCAGTGCACATCTGCCCTGGGGCCAGGCTTCCTATTCTCCCTGCAGAGCAGGCACAGCTGTCCCAGAGCTGAGGTTCTGTCTGACTCAGATGCTTACTGGTCAGGGAGGACCCTTCCTAGACACAGAGCCAGAGAGAGTGCTCCTGGCCCTGGAGATCCCCAGGCAGCACCCTTTGCGCTAGGCTGAATAATGGTCCCCACAGGTGCCCGTGCCCTAATGCAAATGTGAATCTGTTACCTTATATGGCAAAGGGATTTTGCAGATGTGATTACATTAAGACACTTGAGATGGGGAGATTATCCTGGATTATCTTGGTGGGCCCCATCTAAACACAAGTGTCCTTCTCAGCTGAGTGAGGCTTGAGGAGCAAGGCTGAGAGAAGGAAATGCGATGAAGGAAGCAGATGTCAGAAAAGATGCTATGCTGCTGGCCTTGATCATGGAGGGAGGCCATGAGCCAAGGAATGCAGGCAGCCTCTAGAAGCCAAAAAAGGCCAGGGAACGGCTTCTCCCCTAGAGCCTGCAGGGGGAAGCAGGCCTCCCACCACCTTGCCTTGCAGCCCAGGGAGACTGACTTCAGACTTCTGCCCTCCAGAACTGTAAGATAATAAACTTGGGTTATTTGTGCTGACTTGCCACAGCAGCAATGAGAAACTAATACATTCTTCGGTGCCTTGATGGGCCCTGGACTTCATGGTTCCGGCTGTGCTTAGGACCAGTCAGGAAAACAGTGACCTGGGAGGGTCAGTGAAACAAACCAGCCCAGGTTTCACAGCAAGGCAGCCCTGAGGAAGAGTGGGCCACAATCCAGCCCCACCAGGGCCTGGCCTTCCAGAAAGCCAGCTCTGATCTTGCCGAGAGCATTGCAGGACGCCAGAGCAGGAAGACCGTCCAGTCCAATCCATGTGCCCGTGAGGAAATCGAGGCCCCTCGAGGAGAGGCCACAGGGTGAGGGGTTAGGTCTCCTAACTCCCAGCCCAGTGCTCTGTCACGCTGCCCACAAAGCAAAGACACTTCCCTAACCTTAACTTTAGCCCAATTCAAATCCTAAAACTAACCCTCCTTTTTTTTTTTTTTTTTTTTTTTGAGATGGAGTCTCGCTGTGTCACCCAGGCTGGAGTGCAATGGTGCAATCTCAGCTCACTGCAAGCTCTGTCTCCCAGGTTCACGCCATTCTCCTGCCTCAGCCTCCCGAATAGCTGGGACTACAGGCACCTGCCACCACGCCCGGCTACTTTTTTGTATTTTTAGTAGAGACAGGGTTTCGCCGTGTTAGCCAGGATGGTCTTGATCTCCTGACCTCGTGATCCACCCGCCTCGGCCTCCCAAAGTGCTGGGATTACAGGCGTGAGCCACCACACCTGGCCCTAACCCTCCTTTTAACCCCAGTATAATCCCTGCCCCTGTCTTTATCCCTAACCTACTAGAACCTTCACCTTCTTGCTCTCTACTCTCTTGCTTGGTTTACTGAGGTGGCCGCTTGTGCTCTCAATCCATTCTGCACACAGCATGCAAAATGCCAAAACTGACCTTGTTCTAATTCCTAATCCAGCTTCATGTCCAAGCCCTACTCTATACCACATGAGTTTCCCCTCATTGCATTGGCCTAGCCTTATTGCAGGCCTTCTAGACACTAAGCTGAATTTAGGTTCACTGCAGAATTGATCCAGCTATGCAGCATCTTCTCTGAACCTTGGCTTCCTCATTTGTAAAGCGGGTTAAGGGTGTGCAGGGACCTGAGGCTGAGCCTGGCTTCCATGGGGTCCCCCTCCCTGGGACAAGGCTGCTGGCTTTCCCTTAACCTCTTTTTAAAAATATTTTTTTAATTTTTTATAGAGGTGGCATCTCCTTATATTGCCCAGGTTGGTCTTGAACACCTGGGCACAAGCAATCCTCCTGCCTTGGCCTCCCAAAGTGCTGGGATTACAGGCATGAGCCACCATGTCTGGCCCCCTTTATCCTCTTTCAAAGTCCAGGTAGAGGCTGAGGCAGCCTTGACCAGAATCCAGGCCTCAGGAGAATGGCCTCTGTGGTCAGTACCCTCTCAGATCTTCTGTGACTGCCCAGCTCAATGGAAATGGATGGAAGAATTGCCAGGAGAAGGAGTGAGAACCAGAGCTGGCCAGATCGCGGGAGGAAAAGGCAAGTCCAGGAAAGAGGGATGGTGAGATGGGCATCGGTGAGAGGGGAAGGCCTGGAGGGGTTTCCAGCCTCTAGTGCCACTGACTCCCAGTGTCATCCTTGTCCCTCCCGGGGCTGGGGAGGCCACGGGGCAAGGGAAGGAAGTGTCTGGCCAGAGGAGCTAAGCCTTGTAAGGCCGTGGGTTGTGGAGTCAGGGCCTATCACCTCAGAGGCTGACACCTGTCAGCCCTGGCTGCCCTGGCTTGGTTTGGGAAGCACAGAAGCCCAAATTAGCAAGTGACAAAGCCCAGACCATCTGTCTTCCCGGCGGCCCCTCCCGACACCGGCCCTCCCGCTACTACTCAGGGGCATTCGCTTCAGTGACAGCCAACCCCACACCCCTCCCCGCCTTCTCTGCCCACCCCCTGTTAAGCCCATCGTGGTTCCAGGGCCAGCTTTCTGTGGCTGAGTTCTGAGAGGGGGCAGGGCTGGGGGCTGAGGGGACTAGAGCAGAAGGAACAAAGAAACCAAAAGCTGTCACCCTCAATTTTTCACCACAAATCAGCCCCACATGAAGGTTTGTGGCATTAGAGACAGCATAGTGAGGTGAGTCAACACATGACTTTGGAAGTAGACGGCTCTGCCACTTGCCAGGAACACTCACTAGTGAAACTTAGCAATGTATCCCTCTGAGCCTCCACTTCCTCATCTGTAAAATGGGGATAATAATGGTGCCCACCCGGGGGGTTGCTGTGAGGTTCCTATGAGGTGCTGTGTATAAAGGGCATTGCAAAGGCCTGGCACAAGGCAAATGCTGAACAAATGTTGGTTCTTAGTATATACCCCTCGAGGCCTCACACTAATGTTCTGAGGTAGGCACTATTACTTACCCTACTATACCCACGAGGAAACAGACTCACAGTGGCTCAGCAATAACCCAGGGTCCCACAGCAAGGATGACGCAGAGCTGAGAGCTGCACCCAGCTCTCTGGTGCCAAAGTCCGTGCTCCTGCACACAGTAAGTGTTCAGTAAATGGGGGCCATCGCTATGACTTTAATGTTCTCATCTTCAGCCAACACTGTGGTTCCCACAGGGAACTTGGAATGGACCAATGTTGTGACCCCAAAGCTCTGTATAATTCATCCCAACATTAAACACAGTAAATGGGCTGAGCATGGTGGCTCAGGCCTGTAATCCCAGCACTTTGGGAGGCTGACACAGGCAGATGGCTTGGGCTCAGGAGTTTGAGACCAGACTGGGCAACATGGCAAAAGCCCCGTCTCTACAAAGAATACAGAAGTTAGCCGGGTGTGGTGGTGCAAGCCTGTGCTCCTGGCTACTCGGGAGGCTGAGGTGGGAGGATTGCTTGAGCCCAGCAGGAGGTCAAGGCTACTATGAGCCGAGATCACATGCCACTCCAGCCTGGGTGACAGAGTGAGACCCTGTCTCAAACAAAACAAAAAAAAACGTAAGTGATGGTTTGAATGACTGATTCTTGATGTACCTATTGTAAGAGGTTTGGCTGTGTAATAACAAATAATATTAGCCACTCTTTTTAGCACGGGGACACCATGAGAGGAGGCTCTTCTTCCCCTCCAGGAAGGCCTGGGTGGGGCTAGAGATGGGGTGAGTGGAAGTGAAGGAGAGGCAGGGCAGAGGGAAGAGGCTGAGGGTCTTGTGAGTCCCTGCAGGTCCCAGCACTGGGCAGGTGGGGGTACATCTCTCACCCTCTGCACCCTCCACACACCTCCCCATGCCCCGACCCCCCCCCCCCCACACCCGCCACCCTCTGCCAAACCTGTTGCTTCACTTCTCTCTTGAACTACTTGCTCCTTGAGCTCAGCATTGCCACACCCTGAATTCTCTTCTGGCTCATCTGGCTTCTCCCATCAGCCCAGTGCTAGAATGAAGGAGGAAGGCCCAAAGACCACCCCCACTCCCGCCCCAGGTTCCCTTTTTCTGTGCTGCCGCTGAGCCTCCACACCCTGAGCCCGGGACTGGCAGTGCCTTGACAGGCCCCCACAAAACAGGCTGCCTCTCCAGGAATCCCCATAATAAGTCGGTGGGGCTGACCCTGTATGTCCAGGGACTGGGGGATGTGGAGGACAGTGATGGAGAGTGAGCCAGCAAATTGGGTGTAGACCCCTCCCTAGAAACTAATCATTTTCAAGCTGGCACGTGAGCAGTTAGCAACCCTGGGAACTGGGACACCCGGTCACTGTGTCTCTCTCCCAATTCTGCCCCACGCTACCCACCCACCAGGTTCCACCCAGCTCTCCCGCACAGGACTTTCTGTCTCTGATGCTCACTTGGTTCTAGGCATTGCCTCCCCTGTGTTTTTGGGTGCACAGTTCTACCTTCCCTCTGAAAAGGCTGTCCCCAGGGGCAGCTGATGGGGCTTCTCCCCTCCATCTGTTCACTCTGGACCCAGCATGGTGTGCAGCAGAACAGGCCTCTGCCCACTCCCCCACCCACCCCCAGTGGTTTTCAAACCCTTATAGGGCATCCGAATTTTGAGGGGGGCTTGTTAAAACACAGATTCTGGGCCTCACCTCCCCAAATTTCTGATTCAGCAGGTCTGGGATGCAGCCCAGAAACTTGCATTTCTAACAATTTCTCAGGTGGTGGCCTGAGGACCTCCCTTGAAGAACCACTGAGGCAGTTGAGACTTCAACAGCAAGTTTCCAGGATGCCACCCAAAGGAACAAGTGGTTCTGGAAAAGGGGAAAGTGGAAGCAACCTCTGGGAGTGACAGTGCTGGCAAGAAGGCTCAGGGTCCCAAAGGCGGTGGCAATGCAGCTAAGGTCAGACACACTCTGTGTGAACAACATGGCAAAATCACGGCAGTCATGGAAAAGTTAAAGTCTGGGATAAGATTCAATGAAGCAGCCTCACAATATAGTGAAGATAAAGCCAGGCAAGGGGGCGACTTCGGTTGGATGACGAGGGTCCATGGTGGGGCCATTGCAGGACGCAGCATCTGTCTTGCCTGTAAGTGGGATGGATAAGCCTGTATAACATCCACCAGTTAAGACAAACTTTGGATATCATATTATTCTGGTTAAAGGAAGAAAATATAATCATAGAAAGACTGAAAAAAAAAACATCTAAAAGCAGCCCTTCTAGGCAGACACAACACTTTTGTCTGTGCTCACCCCTCAGTGGGGCCCCTGAACTGGGCATGGGCAGCCCCTGCCCTGGTCCATCCCCCATGCTGCCCTCCCCACCCTACGCTTCAGACCCAGAGAACTCTGGAGCCCCCCAAACACTCTTTATCAGGCACCAACCCAGGCCTTGGGGTACGATGATGAACCTTGGCTCCTGTCCCCGCCACTGTCCTCAGCACGGTGCCGGCCTCTTGGATGGTTTGGGCAGCTGGACACAGCCCCTTGACGTTCCTGATCCCCTCATACCGTGCTCACTCCATTCCCATCTTCCCATGCAGCAGATGGCGAGGGACAGAAATTATTTTCTTCTTTGCCAGAGGAACGCACTTAGTGCCAGGGCTAAGAGAGGAGAGGGAGTCCGTGGGGACGGCATCCCAGCCTGCCGTCCTTCCCTGGGGCCTGCTGGGGCAGTTTGGCCCACTCCAGCACCAGGCCCATGTGCCCAGCTGCCTGGGCAACACCCTGGCTCAGGCACCGCCAAGCCCCTCCTCACTCGATGGCCCCACCCTGAACCCCATCTGCTCCCTTCCTCTTCTCCCTGTCACACAAAGGCCCAGCCACAGCCGCTGAGCCAAACTAGAAATCTGAGGGTCCCCCCCTCTGCTCCATTCCCTTCCTCCTCGCAGCCAGGAGAGCAGCAAGTCCTGTCCTGCTCCCCTCGAGGCCTCCTAACCTGCCCTCCTCCACAGACCCACGCCACCGTATCTGTTTGAGCCACTGTCTTCTGCCAGCTTCATGGCAGCAACCTCCTCACCGCTCCAGCTGACTGCTCCGGAAGCCTCTCCATCCCACTGCCGCCCGAACCACCTTCCTTCAATGACAATATGAGGATAAAATGCAAACCTGTGGTCAAGTCACATGCGCTTCTGTGATCACACCCTTGCAGCTTCCCTAGCCCCTATGCCCCCTGGTCCCAGCTGCACAGAACTATTCAACATCCCCAGATCACCAGAGGCTTCTCCAAAGGCCCTTCTCTCCCAATCCACCTATACTCCTACCCTCCTCCAAGTCTCAGTGGAGCACTGACTCGTCCAGGAAGTCTACCCTGGCCACCCGACTGCACTAGGAGCCGCTCCTCCAGGCCCCATAGCCCTGTATGTCCCTCTTTCTACATGGCATCCACAATACTGAAGTCATCTATTTACTCATCTGGGAGAAACTTGAGTGTCAACACTATGTCTTATGCAGTTTTATATTCTCAGTGACCACCACAGTGCCTGACACATAGTAGATGCTCATCGAATAAACGAATGGACAAGTAACCAACACAGAAAGGCACCTTCTGGCCAGACACAGTGCAGGAAATTTGCCTTTCATGGCTCAGGAGGGATCTTTGCTTGTTTCTCAGGGTCCTGAAATAAGGCTAGGAGGCTCATGGCTAAGGGTACAGGGAAAGGGCCGTCTGAGAAGCCATCTGTTTCAAGTTCTTGGCACCTGGAGTGTCTGGGCACCAGATGCCCCCTCTCCCAGAGAGAAGCAGCCGCAGCCACTCACTGACCTTGACATAGGTGATGAACTGCTCGCCCTCCAACAATGTGCTCGGACACACATAGAAACAACAGCTGGGCACTGGGCCTTTGTTGTTGTTAAACTTAGGCCCTGGGAGGTCACCCTGAACTATGACCACCCCCTCCACCCTGTGCCCAGCCTGGGGCCAGAAATGTCAGGGGGAAGCAGGTGCCAACACAGACAAAGAGCCCTGCCCTTGTTTCTGGTGTGTATCCCCACCTCCCTGGCTGCTTCCTCCTCCCGCTCCATTCTCCTCCAAAGCCCCATAACTCCACAGACCCCAGCTGTCCTTCTTCCCTGCTCTCACGCCCTTGCCCCCACCCCATGACTGTTTTGCAGGAGGCTTGGGGAGGAATTGAGAAGGGTGGGACCTTCTCAGTCAGCAGATCTAATGAAGATCCTTCCAGACCCTAGCCAGGATAGGACAACCTCTCCAAAACTCTGAGGCTGGGCTGAGCCTCTTTCTGAGGATAGGGCTTTCATGGGGTCTCACCCTGTTCACAATGGGGCAGGGGGAGGGGCAAGCTGCTACCCTCCTCTCTGTGCAAGAAAGAGGAGGCCTCCCTTTGCTTCCTTATACATGCAGACTCCCAGCCACACTTCAACCCATCTCTTTGCTGCTCATCAGGGCTCAGCTATAGGAAAATTGGTAACACAAAGCCCAGCTCCAAGGTGCTCACTGTCAGTCCAGCAGGGAACGGGACTGCAGACATATAACTACACCCAGAGTGCATCTGCTGCAGCAGAGGCTGGAAACCAAACGGGGGCCTTGGGAGCTGGGGGTGGAATGAATTTCCCCAGCCAAAGCAGGAGGTGGAGAGGGATTAGGCCCCCTAAGACAGACCCCTCTCCGCCCCGTCACAGACTATCCTGGGTTTGCGATGTGGTAATGCTTCTCGAAGAGTGGTCCACCAACTCCTGGGGGTACCATATTTATCTTTGCATTGGATTGGCATGTGGGCTGATAGTGCGAAGGCAATGGTGGGTAAAACTGGTGACTTATTCTTTCCCATGTTGCAGTCATTGGGGCCAAAAAGCCAGTTTTATTTAAGCGTCCTTGATGAAACAGAAAAAAATGTTAATTGTATTAAATTAAATATGTTTAGAATATAGAGCACTTCTGCCATAGACCAAAGTATATGGAATACATATCTATATATCTGTGTAAGCTATAAGTGCTGTATTCCATCATAAAACATCTTTTTTTTTTTTTGAGACGGAGTTTCGCCTTTGTTGCCCAGGCTGGAGTGCAATGTCACAATCTCGGCTCAATGCAACCTCCACCTCCAGGGTTCAAGCGATTCTCCTGCCTCAGCCTCCCAAGTAGCTGGGATTACAGGCATCCACCACCACACCTGGCTAATTTTGTATTTTTAATAGAGACAGGGTTTCTCCATGTTGGTCAGGCTGGTCTCGATCTCACAACCTCAGGTGATCTACCCACCTCAGTCTCCCAAAGTGCTGGGATTATAGGTGTGAGCCACTGCGCCCAGCCAAGGCATCATTTTTACTTGAGAAAAGGACTGATTGAAA
The DNA here is from genome assembly GCF_000001405.40 of Homo sapiens. Classification (NCBI taxonomy): domain Eukaryota; kingdom Metazoa; phylum Chordata; class Mammalia; order Primates; family Hominidae; genus Homo; species Homo sapiens. Next base: position 201,432,495 of record NC_000001.11, read on the forward strand.
AACTATTGTCTGGATGCAGTGGCTCACACTGGTAATTCCAATACTTTGGGAGGCCGAGGTGGGAGGATTACTTGAGCCCAGGAGTTTGAGACCAGCCTGGGGAACATGTAAGACCTCATTTTTACAAAAATTACAAAAATTAGCCAGTCATAATCGTGTGCACCTGTAGTCTCAGCTACTTGGGAGGCTGAGGCAGGAGGATCACTTGAGCCTGGGAGGTCGAGGCTACAGTGAGCTAAGATAGCACCACTGCACTCCAGCCTGGGCAACAGAATGAAATCCTATCTCAAAAAAAAAAAAAAAAAAAGGAAGGGAAGGGGAGGGGAGGGGAGAGGAGGAAAGGGGAGGGGAGGGGACTATTGGCCGGATGCAGTAGCTCATTCCTGTAATCCCAGCACCTTGAGATGCCAAGGTGAAAGGGTCACTTTAGTCCAGGAGTTGGAGACCAGCCTGGGCAACATGGAGAGACGTCGTCTTTACAAAAAAGTGCAAAAATTAGCCACGCGTGGTGGCACATGCCTGTAGTCCCAGCTACTCAGAAGGCTAAAGTGGGAGGATCACTTGAGCACAGGTGGTCGAGACTACAGTAAGCTGAGATCAAGTCACCATACTTTAGTCTGGGCAACAGAGGGGCACCCTGTCTCAAAAAAAAATAAAGAGATGAGAAAAGAAAAAGAAAAACTGTTAATTGGACTTGACTATTTTCTCAAAAATGAACAAAGTAAGCCTGTAACTTTTTTTTTTTTTTTGAAACAGAATCTTGCTCCGTCACCCAGGCTGGAATGCAGTGGCCCAATCTCGGCTCACTGCAGCCTCCACCCTCCAGGTTCAAGTGATTCTTGTGCCTCAGCCTCCCGGGTAGCTGTGATTACAGGCATGCACCATCACGGCCAGCTATTTTTTGTGTTTTTAGTAGAGACGGGGTTTCACCATGTTGCAGGCTGGTTTCAAACTCCTGACCTCAGGTGATCCTTCAGACTCACCCTCCCAAAATGCTGGGATTACAGGCATGAGCCACCGCACCCAGCCTAAGCCTGTAACTCCAAGGAAAACAGTTCAGAGTACTTGTTGCCAATTATAAAATTCAAGCTTTCCAACAAAAATTTGAATCTTGAAAAGTTCTATCTGCCATCATGAGCTTGACAGGTTCCCAAACACGTAAAGACTTTTCAGATAAGATCAATGGTGATATTAAGAATGTAATTGTTTATCATTGTTTAATGTATGAAATGCATCAACATTTGGAAAATATGCATAACTCGGAACATCAATATCCTCCAAATGACCAAGGCATAATGTCACAAAATCCAGAGTATTAAAACTTTATTGATAGGTTTCAGATTGTACATTGTAGCTAACCCTTAAGAAACTCCCACTTATCGAGTTTTGATGTAGTACCCAAGAATATCCACAATTCTCTGAAAATGCTATTAAAATACTTCTCTCAGCCGGGCACAGTGGCTCACTCCTGCAGTCCCAGCACTTTGAGAGGCTGAGGTGGGCGGATCACGAGGTCAGGAGTTCAAGACCAGCCTGGCCAACATGGTAAAACCCGTCTCTACTATAATACAAAAATTAGCTGGGCATAGTGGCGTGCACCTGTAATTCCAGCTACTCAGCAGGCTGAGGCAGGAGAATCACTTGAACCAGGGAGGTGGAGGTTGCAGTGAGCCAAGATCATGCCATTGCACTCCAGCCTGGGCAATAGAATGAGAATCTGTCTTGAAAAAAAAACTTCTGTTTTCTGACTACATATCTATGCAAGACTAGATATTTTTTTGTTGTATTTCTAACAAACAGATTGATTGCAAAGCAGATATGAGAATCCAACTGTTTTCTATTAGGCCAGACAAGTAAAAGGATTTGTAAAAATGTAATAAAATGCCACTCTTCACTAGGTATTTCTGCTCTGTAATTTTATCACAAAACCTTTTATTTATATTAAATAATATTTTATTTGTATTTATTTTTTACATTATAATGTATAATATATTGTTACATTATTTATGACATATAATAAAATAAGTTAACATGTAAAATGGACTTATTATAGTTACTAAATGAATTAATATATTTTAGGCTGGGTGCGGTGGCTCACACTTTTAATCCCAGCACTTTGAGAGGCCGAGACGGGCAGATAACTTGAGCTCAGGAGTTCAAGACCAGCCTGGCCAACATGGTGAAACCCCTGTCTCTACTAAAAATACAAAAATTAGCCAGGCGTGGTGGCACATGCCTGGAATCCCAGCTACTCAGGAGGCTGAAGCATGAGAATCGCTTGAACCCAGGAAGCGGAGGCTGCAGTGAGCCAAGATTGTGCCACTGCATTCCACCCTGGGCAACAGAGCAAGACTCTGTCTCAAACATATATATGTTTACCTTTTTTCTCAGTTTTAATTTCTGATATGGAGAATATTGATAGATTTAACTGACTTAAACAAAAGGTCTTTGGAGTCCTTAACAAAGGGTGTAAAGCGGTCCTGGGTCTCCCTCTCTTGCCTAGAGTGTCACAAACTCCTAGGCTCAAGCGATCCTCCCACCTTGACCACACAAAGCATTGGGATTACAGGTGTAAGCCACTGCACCTGGCCAGGCGTATAAATGTTTCATTCAAAGTTGGTGACCCGGGGCTGCTACACTGAGACCTGACTTTACACCCTTTATTATTAATCTGAGAACAACATTCTATGTTTTTAGCAGATTATTATTGTTATTATCCTGATTCACATTATCATCTACAAAATAACATAAAAGATGAAATAATCAAGAAAACATAAAGTATGATTTTTAATTATGTCCAATGGCAGCCAATAACAGGATTCAACCAATAATTTTTTTTTTAAGACGGAGTCTTTCTCTGTAACCCAGACTGGAGTGCAGTGGTGCAACCTTGGCTCACTGCAACCTCTGCCTCCCATATTCAAGTGATTCTTCTCCCTCAGCCTCCCACGTAGCTGGGACTACAGGCGCCAGCCACCACGCCCGGCTAATTTTTGTATTTTTAGTAGAGACGGGGTTTCACCGTGTTGACCAGGCTGGTCTCAAACTCCTGACCTCAGGTGATCTGCCCACCTTGGCCTCCCAAAGTGCTGGGATTACAGGAGTGAGCTACCGCACCCAGCCCAAGAATTTTTAATATCCAAGTTATTGTGTGTAAGATCAGTCATTGCTAGTGAGCTCCAGGTATTTTGTGGTTTAATAAAATGCCCTGAAGGCACTGCATGAAACAGTGGCATTATAAAACTGTGAATTTTGTTTCAGTACTCCGTGTGGGTTATGTGAGAAAAACCTGGCATTGGCTGACCTAGTCCCGGGAGCTGTATTTCTATTCCTGGAATAAAGAGATAAAGTTCTTCTTCTTGCCACCAGAGGGAGCATTGGTGAGCCTTGGTGCATGTGTGTGCATGTGTGTGCGCGTGCCTGTGTGTGTGTGTGTGTGTGTGTGTGTGTGTGTGTGAAGAGAGAGAGAGAAACAGAGAGAGAAAGGGAAAGAACGTGTGGGTGACTTGTTTGTGACTGACTATATGCCTGAGATCGCTTGGGTGTGAAATTTTCAAAGTGGCTGATTGTATGTGAATGTCCCTCCTCCCTCCACCCACATGATAAACAATCAAAAGTGTTTCCAGTCCCAGCCTCTTATTCATCACTCCCTGAACCTTCCCTGCACGCTTGTTCACAGCTAGGTGATCTGGGTGGATTCCAGGGCTAAAGCTTGGAGAGCAACAAATACAGTTCATGTGAGAGAAGCGTCTTGCAATGCAGTTACTGTAACTCCAACATAGTTGCTTTGGACCTGTCTATCTTTCTTAAAGTGAGGTCTCCCTGTAATCCCAGAATTCCCTTGAGGATCTAAGTGTTCTATGGTTCTTAACTTTTGGAAGGGGGTTCAAGCTTCCTTTGAAAACTTTTGCAATGCAAAAGCATTCACACACATCATTTTGAAAAGCCAAAAGCTATTCCACACCAATTCCAGCGGGCTCAGAGACCCTCTGGAACCCATTCAAGGACACACATGGGAAGGAGGCCTGTAGTGTGTGCACAAGTGTCTCTAAAGACTTCAAGATGCTTCATCCCAGGAAGAGACACCAGCTGCAGTAGCCCCTGCTCCTCTCTGGGCGTGGCCAACAGTGACACTGAGAAGTGGAGAGAGCTTGGAGAGAAGGCGGCTGACCCTAGAGGGAGGTGTGGAGCCAGGAGTGAGTGGATGGTCCCTGATGCCTCAGGAGACCGAGGTATGAAGAAAATTCCCGTTTCCACTATTGAAGGATATTGAGGTTCCCAAGGTGCCTTGCGGAGTCCAGGGAGCCAAGAATCTCACAGCCTGTAACAAAATGATATTCACTCCCAACTCCAGGTGCAGCCACCTCAGAATAATTCAGGGGGTTCAGCCTGGAGTGAAGTATACTCTTGCTATACCCTCCCTGGTATCCTCTCCACCTACCTTGATAAATGTGAATTTTTTGTGATGCAGTCTAAAATCCAGACAGAAGGGAAGCCTGCTTTTCCTGCCTTGTTGGCCACATGAATATATAAAAACTCCCCAAACATTTATAATACATGCAATAACGTGTTTTAATGTCATACTGAGAAGGTAGTGATTAATTCTCTCAGAGGGGACTCAAGAGAAGATTTGCAGGGGGCATAAGCCCTGAGCCAGGTTTTGTAGGATGTATAGGAGTTCATCAGGCAACCAAGGACAAAGGGCACTACAGACCCAAGGAACAGCCTGGCCACGGCACAGTGGCCTAAGAAAGCATGGTGTGTGGGGAACTCTAGCAAGTTTACTCTCACTATGGAAGAGACGAAGGTTAAGAATAAGCCCCAAGGGGCATGGATGTGTTTTGTTTTGTTTTGTTTTGTTTTGTTTTGTTTTGTTTTGTTTTGTTCTTTGGAGACAGAGTCTCACTCTGTCATCCAGGCTGGAGTGCAGTGGTGCAATCTTGGCTCACTGCAACCTCCCCCACCCCAGTTCAAGCGATTCTCCTGCCTCAGCCTCCCGAGTAGCTGGGGCTACAGGTGCCCACCATGCCTGGCTAATTTTTGTATTTTTAGTAGAGATGGGGTTTCACCATGTTGGCCAGGCTGGTCTCGAACTCCCGACCTCAGGTGATTCACCCTCCTCAGCCTCCCAAAGTGCTGGGATTACAGGTGTGAGCCACCACACCCAACCATTGATGTGTTTTAAAGGGAGGCAGAGGAAGAAACTCAGAAGAGGAGAGAAAAAGAGACAGGGCTAGAATAAGATTAGTATGATGTCACAGAAGTCAAGGGGAGACAGAGTCCTGAAGGGACTATTAATATAGTTAATTAATGTGATATTATTAATTTTATTAATAATTAATATAACACTAAAGTCCTCAAAACCCTCTCTGGAAAAAAGCATAGGCCACAGATCCTACCGTGGTTTGTGTTTCTTTTTCCTAAGCGTGTCCTCAACCTTGGCAAAATAAACTTCTAAATCGACTGAGATCTGTCTCAGACACTTGTTGGTTTACAAAACATACAATGCAAACAACAGAACAAAACATCAAAAAACTATGATTAATATTTCCAAAGACAGAGAGATAATATTGCACCCATGAAATGGGAAGAGAATCCATACAAAAAAGGAAAAAATAACATTCAGAAAACAAAAGGAACTCTTTCTCATTCTTTTTTTTTTTTTTTTTTTTTTTTGAGACGGAGTCTGGCTCTGTCGCCCAGGCTGGAGTGCAGTGGTGCGATCTCGGCTCACTGCAAGCTCCACCTCCCGGGTTCACGCCATTCTCCTGCCTCAGCCTCCCGAGTAGCTGGGACTACAGGCGCCCACCACCACGCCCGGCTGATTTTTTGTATTTTTAGTAGAGACGGGGTTTCACCGTGTTAGCCAGGATGGTCTCCATCTCCTGACCTCGTGATCCACCCGCCTCGGCCTCCCAAAGTGCTGGGATTACAGGCGTGAGCCAACGCGCCCGGCAAGAACTCTTAATAATTAGGAATATGACAGCAACAATAACATGTTAATTGGAAGGGCTAGAAAATAAAGTTGAAGAAAGATTCCAGAGGCACAAAAAAAGGATGGAAAATAGATCAAGAAAGATAAGAAAATTCAAGATCATCCAGGAAGTCCAATATTTTACTACTTGGAACTCCAGAAAAACAAAACAAAGAGCTGGAAATGGAGATAGTTACCAAAGAAATTGAACGCACAACGTTCCAGGGGCTAGGGCTTACCAAGTCCCAGCTGTATTATTCACAAAGACCTAAGGCACGGGAGACAAAGAGAAGACACTTGAAACTTCCAAAGAGAAAAATGGGTCACATACAAAAGATTCAAAGTTGGATAGTTTTAGGCTTCTCAAGAGCAACACAGGAAACTAGAATACAATAGAAAAATCTCTTTAAAAAATTTTTTTTTTCTTTTTTTTGAGACAATCTCCCTCTGTCACCCAGGCTGGAGTGCACTGGAACAATCTCGGCTCACTGCAACCTCCGCCTCCCGAGTTCAAGCAATTCTCCTGCCTCAGCTTCCTGAGTAGGAAGGATTACAAGCACGCACCACCACGCCCAGCTAATTTTTGTATTTTTAGTAGAGATGGGGTTTTGCCACACTGGCCAGGCTGGTCTCAAACTCCTGACCTCAAGTGATATGCCCATCTTGGCCTCCCAAAGTGCTGGGATTACAGGCATAAGCCACTGCACCTGGCCCAAAAATTCTAAGAGAAAATAATTTTCAACTAGAATTCTATGTATGCCCAGGTAAATTATCAATTAACTGTCAAGGTAGAAGACAGATATTTTCTGGCTGGGTGTGGTGGCTCATGCTTATGGTCCCAGCACTTTGAGAGGCTGAGGCAGGCGGATCACTTGAGCTCAGGAGTTCAAGACCAGCCTGGCCAACATGGTGAAACTCCCGTCTCTACTAAAAATACAAAAATTAGCCAGGCGTGGTGACACATGCCTGTAATCTCAGCTACTCTGGAGGCTGAAGCAGAAGAATCACTTGAACCAGGAGGCAGAGCTTGTAGTGAGCCGAGATGGTGCCACTGCACTCCAGCCTGGGCAACAGGGTGAGACTCAGTCTCAAAAAAAAGAAAAAAAAAAGAAGCAGAAGAAAGATATTTTCATATATGCAAAGTTTCTAAATTCTCTTGCCTCTTTTCTCAGGAAGGTACTAGAGATTGGGTTTCACCAAAACGAAGGAGCAAATCACCAAAAGGCAGGCATGGGGTTCAGGGAATTTGGGATCCTGTAGGTAAGAGGCAAAGGAAATTCCCAGGACAGTGGAGAGGGAAGCTCTAGGATCACTAACAGCTGTATATGAGGCCCAGTAAGTAACTAGCACAGATTAGAGCGGGAGACTGGGGGCAGGCGAGGGGTATGGAAGAAAAAAAAAAGAAAAGAGAGAAGAGAGAAGAGTGCTCATAACTTCCTCACAGGTTTGGATCTACTGAGCCCTCTAGGCCAAGAGGAAAAAGAGGCTAATTTAGTCATGAAACATATATAGACAACTAAGCAAATAAAAACACGGCAAAACTTAACTTCAGAGAAAACCAAAAATCATATAAGTAGGGAAGGTTAATCATAATATACTACATGGGATGTAAGAAAATTTATCTAATCAAAGTTATGTAACTATTTTTAACTTAACCAAAACTTGAGATGAAACTAAATGTATTGAAAGGATGGGGGATGGGTTTGCATGGGGGCTGGGGTGAGGTTTGCACTGTTCTTGCCTTCCGTCACAAGAAGTCAGTTTAGATAGTATGTATTTATTTTTTTAATTAATTTATTTATTTATTTATTTATTTATTTATTTATTTATTTATTTTTAAGATGGAGTATCTCGCTCTGTCGCCCAGGCTGGAGTGCAGTGGCGAGATCCCGGCTCACTGCAACCTCTGCCTCCCAGGTTCAAGTGATTCTCCTGCCTCAGCCTCCTGAGTAGCTGGGACTGCAGGGGCCCGCCACCACACCCAGCTAATTTTTGTATTTTCAGGAGAGACGGGGTTTTGCCATGTTGGCCAGGCTGGTCTCAAACTCCTGCCCTCAGGTGATCCCGCCTCGGCATCCCAAAGCACTGGGATTACAGGCATGAGCCACCACACCTGGGCTAGATAGTATTTAAACTGAAAAATCTACAAAGAGCACTATCAGGCTGTTGTTGCAAATACACATTGGAATATCAGAAAAATTAAGTGGCTGCCTTTGGGGAGAGTGGGGCACAGGAAACTGCTGTTTTCATTATAAGAAATGTGGCACTTTTTCATCTTTCTAAACTGTGGCCATTCATTGTCTTCATAAAAATTAAAATCAGCTAATAAAAAGAAGCACGTGGGCATACATGAGGAAGTGAGAGAGTGAGCTTCTTTTTCAAGGAGGTTGGATTTTAAAATATGTAAAGATAAATAGAACAAATATCTGAGGTGGACACGGGGTCAAAGGAGTAGTTGTTAGGATGACAAAGAAGTGAGCATGTTTATAGCAAAGAGAAGGTGCCTGTGGAGAAAGAGCTAACAGGAACAGAGGATTGTTGTTGGGAGGCATTAGTGCCTCCCAACAACATCTTCTTTAAAAATAGAAAAATCCATCCTAAAATTTATGTGGAACCTCAAAGGACCCTAAAACCCAAAACAATTGTGAAAAAGAACAGCAAAGCTGGAGGTCTCACAGTTTCTGATTTCAAAACTTAGCTACAAAGCTACAGTCTTCAAAACAGTGTGGTACTGGCATAAAGACAGACATATCAATCAATGGAATAGAATAGAGAGTCCAGAAACAAACCCTCGCATATATGGTCAAATGATTTTAGACAAGGGTGCCACAACCCTTCAGTGGGAAAAAGACAGTCATTTCAACAAATGGTGCTGGGGAAAGTGGATATCCACATGATAAAGAATGAAGTTGGACCCTTACGTAACACCATATGCAAAAATTAACTCACAATGGACCAAAGACCCAAATATAAGAGCTAAAAACTACAAAACACTTAGAAGAAAATGTAGGGCAAAACTTTACGACATTGAATTTGGCAATGACTTCCTGGATATGACACCAAAGGCAGAGGCATCAAAAGCAAAAATAGACAAATTGGACTTCATAAAAATTGAAAACTTTTATGCATTAAAACACACTACCAACAGAGTGAAAAGGCAACCTGCTGAATGGGACAGCATACTTGCAAATCATGTATCTGATAAGATATTAATATCCAGAACATATAGAGAACTACAACTCAACAACAAAACAACCAACCAGATTAAAAAATGGTCAAAGGACTTGAACAGGTATTTTTCCAGAGAAAATATATGAATAGTCAATAAGCACATGAAAAGATGCTCAACTTCACTAATTGATAGGGGAAATGCAAACCAAAACCACATTCCACCTCACACTCATTAGGATGGCTCCCATCAAATACACAGGAAATGACAAGTGTTGGTGAGGATATAGAGAGATTGGCACACTAGTGCACTGTTGTTGGGAATAGAAATACAGCCACTGTGAAAAACACTATGGCAGTTCCTCAAATATTAAAAATAGAATTACCATATGACCCAGCAATTCCACTCCTGAGTGTAAGAACTGAAAGCAGGATCTTGAAGAGATATTTGTACACCTGTGTTCATAGCATCATTATTCACAATAGCCAAAAGGTAGAAGCAACACAAGTGTCCATCAACAAAAGAATGGAGGCTGGGCACGGTGGCTCACACCTGTAATCCCAGCACTTGGGGAGGCCAAAGTGGAAGGATCACTTCAGCCCAGGAGTTTGAGACCAACCTGGGCATCATAGTGAGGTCCCACCTCTACAAGAAATTAAAAAAAAAAAATTAGCTAGGCATGGTGGCTTCTGCCTCAGCCTCCCAAGTAGCTGGGACTACTATAGTAGGGAAGCTGAGGCAGGAGGATTGTTTGAGCCTGAGAGGTTGAGGCTGTAGTGAGCCATGATTGTGCCACTGCACTCCGGCTTAAGTGACAGAGTGAGACCTTGTCTAAAACAACAAATGAATGGATAAACAAAATGTGATATATACATACAATGGAATACCTGTACACCTGGGCAACAGAAAGAGACCCCATCTAAAACCAATAAGCTTGTGAATAAACAAAATGTGATATATACATACAATGGAATATTATTCAGCTTTAAAAAGGAAAGAAATTCTCACACATGATATAACACAGGTGAACCTTGAGAACATTAAGCTAAGTGAAATAAATCAGTAACAAAAAGGCAAATGCAGGCCTGGTGTGGTGGCTCATGCCTGTAATCCCAGCACTTTGGGAGGCTGAGGCCAGCAAATCACTTGAGGCCAGGAGTTTGAGACCAGCCTGACCAAAATGGTGAAACCCCGTCTCTACTAAAAATACAAAAAAAAAAAAAAAAAAAAAAAAAAAACTAGCCAGGCGTGATAGTGCATGCCTGTAATTTCAGCTACCCAGGAGGCTGGGGCAGGAGAATCGCTTGAACCCAGGAGGCAGAGGTTGCAGTGAGCCAACATCGCATCCCTGCACTCCAGCCTGGGTAACCAGGTGAGATTCAGTCTCAAAAAAAAAAAAAAAAAAATAGAGACAAATGCTTTATGATCTACTTATAGGAGATTCCTAGAGTGGTCAAATTCGTAAGGCAGAAAGTAGAATAGGGGCTGGGGGAGGGGGCGTGGGGAGTTATTGTTTAATGGGTACAGAGTTTCAGCTTTGCAAGATGAAAAGAGTTCTGTGGATGGACAGTGGTGATGGCTGCACAACAATGTGAATGTACTTAACACCACGAAACTCTACACTTAAACATGGATGGTTAATATGGTAAATTCTGTTAAGCATACTTGCCATAATAAAGAAAAATTGAAAGAGAAAGGAAAAAAGAAAAGAGCACCAGTGGCCAGATTGGCTTCAACAGGAAAAGGAACATGATCCCTGAGGCAGGAGGGGAGAGAGGTGTGGATAGAGAGAAGCTGGGCATTTGTATGGAATCAGGTTAAGCGCATCCAATAGTTGGCTTTCTCAGGGAAGGAAAAGGTAAGGGTGTTTGTTAAAATGCAGGAAAAGTGGGGGCCAGGTGGGGTGGGGTGAGGATGAGGAAGCACGCTCACCCATGCCTGTCTTAGGGCTCCTCTGAGTCAGGGATGCACATAAAATATATGTCTGGAAACCAAAAACAACTTAAAAACCATTCAGATCTTAACTAAAGTCCCTTTCCCCTTCTGAAAAAAAAAAAAAGTCAAAGAGGCAATTACATTCATGATGCCCAGCCTTCTCTCTGCCTCTGGATCTCACACACCAGAGCAGCTTTCCCAGCATCTTCGTCTCATTCCTGCTCCCTGCACCTGGAAGCCTCTCTCCCAGCTGTGCCCCTGCAAACCCTGCTTCCCCAGGCCCAGAGCCCATGGGAGGGAAGGAATGGGCTGAGGCAGGCAAGGCCTAGTTCCACAGAGACACTCAGGGCCAGGGAAGGATTTGATGGCTGTCCGGGGCCAGGGAGTCCAGACGGTGACCTTAGTGCAGGCGTCTGAAGCCTGAGAGAGGGGAAGGGGCAGGAGAGCAAGAAGCAGCAGGCTCTAGAGGATGATGGGTCTCACCGCGGAGCAGGCTCTGAGAAGGATAGATTGGATTTGAACAGGCAGACCGGAGGAGGGTGTGAGGACAGGCAGGTGCCATGGACTAAATGTTGTGACCCTGAAACTGTGAGGGTCACTACAACTGTGACCCTCTACAGTTTTGTTTTGTTTTGTTTTTTTCTGAGATGGAGTTTTGCTTTTGTCACCTAGGCTGGAATGCAACGGCACAATCTTGGCTCACTGCAACCTCCACCTCCCGGGTTCAAGTGATTCTCCTGCCTCAGCCTCCTGAGTAGCTGGGATTACAGGAGCCTGCCACCATGCCCAGCTAAGTTTTGTATTTTTAGCAGAGATGGGGTTTCACCATGTTGCCCAGGCTGGTCTTGAACTCCTGACCTTAGGTGATCCACCCACCTCAGCCTCCCAAAGTGCTGGGATTACAGATGTGAGCCACCCCACCCAGCCTCCCTCTAAAGTTCATATGTTGAAATCCTCACCTGCAATGTGATGGTGTTAGGAGGTGGGGCCTTTGGGAGGTGATGAGGTCATGAAGGTAGAGCCCTCATGAATGGAATTAGTGCCCTTTTGAGAAGAAACATGAGACAGATTATTTTTCTCTTGATTATGTAAGGATACAATAAGAAGACAGCCATCTGCAAACAAGGAAGAGAACCCGCACCAGACAAAGAATCTGCCAGCACCTTGAGCTTAGACTTCCCAGCCTCCTTCACAGTTTTCCAGAACTATGAGAAATAAATTGTTGTTTAAGCCACCAGGACTATGTTGTTCTGTTCTATCAGCCCCAGCTGACTAAGATTGCAGAGAAAGGCAGAGGGAGCTATGCAAGCAAAAGTTTGAAGGGGAGAAAGCAGAGGCATGGTGAGATCCTGCAACCTCTCTTTGTGGTCAGACCATAGGAGGCTGGTAGGAAGGGAGGCAAGAGAGGAAGGCTGACGTCATCGGAAAGTCTTTGAATCCCAGCTAAGTGACGTGGACCCACCCTACAGGCAAAGGCATCCTCTGATTGATTTTAGGGGATGCAGGATAATCAAACCTGAGTTTTAGGAAGGTAACTGTTGATAGCGGGGCAGGGACTGCAGGCAGAAAGGGAGGTAGGAGGAGTCAGGGTGATTCAAGTAAGCAGCAGTGATCCCTGGCCCAGGGTAGAGGCAGAGGCGTATTTATCAGATATTTATCACCCACCTGATCTCAGTCAATTTCCTTGGGGATCTCAATGCACTCATTCACACTAAAGTGTAAGTAACAAGACCTGGCTTTTACCTCCCCTGGAGCATTTATGTTTTACCAGGACAGCGTCTGGTGGTGGAAAGACAGTGGAATTTGAAGCTTTCTGACTGTTGTGCCACTAATATGGTTTGGATGTGTGTCTCTGCTCAAATCTCATGTGAAATTGTAATCTCCAGTGTTAGAGGTGGGGCCTGGTGGGAGGTGGTTGGATCATGTGGGTGGCTTTCTCATGAATGGTTTAGCACCATCTCCTTGGTGCTATCCTCGTGATAGTGAGTGAGTGATGTGAGTGAGTTATCACAAGATCTGGTTAATTAAAAGTGTGTAGGCTGGGCACGGTGGCTCACGCCTGTAATCCCAGCACGTTGGGAGACCAAGGCCGGTGGATCATTTGAGGTCAGGAGTTCAAGACCAGCCTGGCCAAGATAGTGAAACCCCATCTCTACTAAAAGTACAAAAATTAGCCAGGCATGGTAGCATATCCCTGTATTCCCAGCTGCTCGGGAGGCTGAGGCAGGAGAATTGCTTGAGCCTGAGAGGCAGAGGTTGCGGTGAGCTGAGATTGTGCCACTGCACTCCAATCTGGGCAACAGAGTGAGACCCTGTCTCCAAAAAAAAAATTTTTAAGTGTGTAGCACCTCCCCTCTCTCTCTCTTCCTCCTGCTCCCACCATGCAGGACGCCTGTTCCCGCTTTGCCTTCTGCCATGAGTAAAAGCTCCCTGAGGCCTCCCCAGAAGCAGATGCTGCCATGCTTCCTGTACAGCCTGTGGAACCATGAGCCAATTAAACCTCTTTTCTTTACAAATTACCCAGTCTCAGGTATTTCTTTATAGCAGTGTGAGGACGGGACTAATACAGCTATCAACAAACCAGGTGACCTTGGTCGGATTATTTATCCTCTCTGAACTTCAGACTCATCTATAAATGGGAACAATGACACTACCATCGCAATTGTTGTGAAGGCCAAATAAGATAATGTCAATGAAGAGAGCCCTGTGAATCATCAAGAGAGACGTTGGCCTTTTAATGAAACTGAATGAATAAAGTATTCATGGTAGAAGTTTCAGGCATGAGCAGCGAAGATGAGGCTGGTGATGTGTCTGTGTGTACTCCTGGAGGGATCCCACCTTCAGGCAGCTGACCCCCACATGAAGCTTAGGGGCTTCAGGAGAATCAACACGAGAGCTTATACACCAGGGAACAGTATTAACTGCAATTGCTACAATGCCACACTTGACATATTCAAGCCTTGGAGAAAAACTGTAAGTACGGTAGATTCTTGTTATTTGGGTAGTTACATTCTATAAAGTCTCTGGGAACCCAGAATTAGCAAGTACTGACCAATTGCTCCTAGTGGAAATACAGGATTATGTTCTTGCAAGCCTGTGATCACAATGTTTTTTATCAATTTTTAAAATTAGTTTGTGACTGGGCATCGTGGCTCACGCCTGTAAGTAATCCCAGCACTTTGGGAGGCCAAGGCAGGCAGATCACTTAAGGCCAGGAGTTCGAGACCAGCCTGGCCAACATAGCAAAACCCTGTCTCTACTAAAAAATACAAAAATTAGCCGGGTGTGGCACATGCCTGTAATCTCAGCTACTTGGGAGGTTAAGGCACGAGAATCTATTGAACCCGGGAGGTGGAGGTTGCAGTGAGCTGAGATCACACCACTGCACTTCAGCCTGGGCGACAGAGAAGACTCTGTCTCAGATAGATAAATAAATAAATAAATAAATACATAAAATCAATGTATAACCTTGTATTATATGTGTTTCTGTTTAAGGACACCTTATTTAGGCATTGTGGCACTTGTCTGTAATCCCAGCACTTCAGGAGGCCAAGGTGAGGCAGGAGGATCCCTTGAACTTAAGAGTTTGAGACCAGCCTAGGAAGACCTCGTCTCTACAAAAAACTTTTTAAAAATTAGCCAGGCACAGTGGTGAGCACCTGTGGTCCCAGCTACTCAAGAGGTCAAAGTGGAAAGATCTCTTGAGCCTGACAGGTCAAGGCTGCAGTGAGACGTGATGGCACCAGCTCACTCCAGCCTGGGTGACCAGAGTGAGGCCCTCTCTCAAAAAAAAAACAAAAAGGTGTCATATTTAATATTTATTGTTGATTCACTAACATTGAACTCACAGCCAACAGACTATAACTCATACCTGCACAAAGCTTATCTAACACATAGATTTTCTCCACAAGGCACATCACAGCCTTCTTGCACTAAGGAACGCCAGACAGCACTTCAGCACTATGCTTGGTGGCAATTTTGAACAGTAAAATCACCAACAAAAACCACAGATATGAAAAAAAAAAAAGGCACTAAATAGACCAAGAAAAGGACCCTTGCTTACTGGATGAGAACTGAAATGAGAAGCCAAAGTGTCATCTTATTTGTCTCAAGTTTTTTGACACTCTGTATAGCTGCCAGCGATCACAGCTCCACAAGTATTGATGTGGGGGTTACAAATAAATTTCAGCAAGTACACTCAGTTGCAAATATGAAATCCACAAATAACAGGGACCAACTCTGTTGCTCTCATCATTCTACAGAGCAAGAAACTGAGGCTTATCAAGATAAACATCTTGCACCCAGCCAGCAAATGGGAGAGCCAGGATTCAAACCCCATACATGAAGCTTCCACGCCCAGGATGTTAGCACTATTGCACACTATTGCTTCTTATTTCACAAATAACTCCCTGAGGCCCAGAGAGGTTGCTGAATCACCTAAGGTTCCACAGGTGCTGGGGGCAGTGTGGGGGCTGATCCCAAGCCCTGGATCCATGGACCCTCCCTTTCATGAACTGCCTGACCTGCCTGTGTTGTGCCATCTCGCCTCTCATAATCTTTCTCTCCGCCCCCACCCAGGGACCCTGGGAACAGTTTAGGGAGTGGGGAGCTGGGGTCAGACGAGTCATCCTGTGGGATGGAATCTGACTGCTCCTTAAGCAGCTCAGGCAGACATCTAGGTGGGTGAGTGCAGGTTAGGCCACCAGGGGGCAGCCCCACCCTCCCCGCACCCTACATCCGGCAGCTCCCAGCACACACAGGGCGCGCCTCGACCGCCAGAGTGGTCCAAGAAAAGGCGAAAGGACAATGGGGTAATTGATGCAAATGCACCATGAAAGACAAATTGTTCAGATGAAGTGCATTCCGGGCTCCTGCCAAACGCCCAGGGTGTGTGGAATTTCAAGGAAAAGCTGAGTACATTTAGGCCGTCTGGCTGGGCCACTGTGCCCCCTGACCCAGCTTCCAGCCTGAGCCACAGCTCCCTTCCCTGGAATGTTGCAGGCTTGGCCTGGGCTCCCAGCGGCTGACCCTGGCATGGGGGTGGGGGGGCAGTGGGAAGGGACGGAGCAGGTGGTGTGATGGGAGGACCCTGACCTTTACTGCAAAAAGGACCCTGGCACCCACGCTTTCAGACGGCCTTCGGGCCTCTCGAATAAATTCACCACACATACTCCATCCCCACTCCCAGAGCTGCTGTGAATGCTGGCACTTCCTCTTACTCCCTGGGTGGCCTCAGGTAAAGCCTTCCTTCTCTTTGAACCTGTTTTCTCATCTGTAAAATAGGGGTAATCATCTTTTGCATTTATACCCTACAGGGTTGTGAGGATCAAATGAGAAAGGTCAGGAAACTTCTGTTCCTTTCTATTCAAAGAAGGCCACTTCTCAAGCTCCACAAGAAGCCACCCAGAGCAGCCAATCTCCTGCCTCCCCCAGACTCCAGAAACCCAAAACTTGCTACCCAGCCTCACCCCTGGCTCCCTGGAGACCTCTGGGTGACCCTGGCCCCAGCACTGGCCCTGTAGAAAGACTCTCAGCCTCCCTCCCATCACAAGATCTGAACTTCCGACCACCCCCCAACGCAGAGAGGGTGGAGCAGGATCTGAAGCTGAGGCCTGCACAAGGGCCCCTTGTCCTGCTGGGCAGCCTGGCACGATCTGTCCTGTCCCAAGGAGGCTCGCTGGGACTATTGTCTTTGTGTTGTGGCTTGGGGGAGGGGCAGATCATGGTTCATCAGGGCCAGGCCAGAGGGACGAGGCTCACACTCCAGCCCATCTCCTGGAGTGGCAGGTTTTGATACCTTCCTCCCACTCCACAATGGCCAGACATGTGCCAGGATTTGTTCTGGATCCTTCCAGGCTGCTGGGTCCCATTGTTAATCAAGGTGCCTCCGCACCCTGCTTCCTGCCATTGCCTGCCTGAAAAAGCTCAGTTTCCATCTTCTATCTTGATAATCCCCATCCCATCCTTGTTCCTTCCCTGTCTTTATTATATGAATTATTTACTAAATCATGCAATGCACCTAACAGAGTACTGACCCACAATTACCTTTCAACAAAATGCTAGTACTGCCCAGCTACCATTCCAAGTCACTCAGGATAAGGATTTATTTTATTATTATTTTTATTTTATTTTATTTTATTGAGATGGAATCTCGCTCTGTCACCCAGGCTGGAGTGCAGTGGCACTATCTTGGCTCACTGCAACCTCTGCCTCTGGAGTTCAAGCGATTCTCCTGCCTCAGCCTCCTGAGTAGTTGGGATTACAGGCACTCACCACCATGCCTGGCTAATTTTTGTATCTTTGGTACAGACGGGGTTTCACCTTGTTGGACAGGCTGCTCTCGAATTCCTGGCCTCAAGTGATCTACCCACCTCGGCCTCCAAATGTGCTGGGATTACAGGCGTGAGCCACCACGCCTGGCCGAGGATTTATTAGTAAAACTCCCAAGCCTTTGCTCTGGACCCCATATTCCCATTTTTGCTCCCTTTCCCTCCTGTTGGCCCTACTTCTTCTACGGTGCCTTCAGCGTCTTCCTGCAGCTGTGCCAGGGCCAGTTTTCAGGTCCCACAGACCTGAGCTCTGATCCCAGCTCCCACACTACACAATCTGCAATTTTGAGCAAGTTACATATTAAACTTCCCTGATTCTTAATTTCCTTATCCACAAAGTGAGAAGGGATTATCTCTGCTACAGGGGGCAAGTAAGATCAAATAAGATAGTGGTCATGAAAACCTCATGAAAATTTATTACCAGGCCACACAGCAGAGATTTTATTACAATCATCAACGTGCTAATGGATGGCCTTCCCACCCACCTGGAGATAAGAGTATCCTCTTCCAGCTTCTTGGAGACTATAATAATAATTATCCTTATTATTATTAGGTGTGTAATGACTTAACTTTACTGAGAATTTTCACACCCTTCAAAATGTTACAACATTCCCAAAGAGATCCTGTGTTAGAAGAGGTAGGGGAAGAAAAATAATTTTGGAAAGCTGGAAACTTCCAGCATCACTTGGGTCATTTACAAATAATTTGTTTTCTGCCAGAGATAACCAAGGTCCTCACATCCTGGACACTTACAGTCTAGCAAGGAGAGGGCTGCTAGATTTCAGCAGCCCCGCCCTGGGGCCAGTGTACAGTTATTTCCAGTGGGTCCGGCGTTCATCCCAAAGCCCAGTATAGTCTGGGGCTAGACAAAGGCCTTTCGGATGCCAGCGACGACCAAAGAGGAGGCTCATGCACCCCAGGCAACACCCTTCCTGCCCTGGTCCTGACAGCCACACCAAGGGTTAACCAGACCCAGCCCTTCCTGGCTACTGGCAGGACAGGCAGGCTTAAGTCCCCTCAATAAACAATAGTGGGGCCACTTGCCAGCACCACACACATGAGCAAAAACTCTGCTTGGACCTGAAGAGCCCCCTCACCCCACCCCTTCCCAGCTGCTCAGGCCCAGGGAGGGGTTCGCAGTTCTGGAAAGGGTTAAGTCTGCAGGAGGTGCCTGGGACCCAGCTGTTTCCTGTGGGCAGGGGCGGGGGATTTACAGCCTCCCCCACCGTGGGGCTACCAAGCCTGTGTTGGGGAAGGATGCCTCTGAGTCCTTGCTCTGAGGCCAGACTCCCGTCATGCAGCCAGGGCCTCCCACGCAGGCGCCAGCAGAAAGGAGGGGGCAGGAAAGAGGAGCCTCGGGATCCAGGAGAAAGCAGGCTGGCCTCTGCAGAACAAAATGGGCAGATGGGGAGCTGGCCCTGTCAGTCCCGGGCCTCACCTCATTTGGAGACGGTAGCCTGTGGCAGGGAAGTTGGTCTGGGAGTTCAGGCACTAGGCTTCCATTTCAGGTGAAAATGTGATGTTATGCTGCTCTGTGCCTCGGTTTCTTCCCTGCTGGGCACACCCTTGGTGGCAGCCCCCACAAAGTGTCCACTTCCTTTATTT
The DNA here is from genome assembly GCF_000001405.40 of Homo sapiens. Classification (NCBI taxonomy): domain Eukaryota; kingdom Metazoa; phylum Chordata; class Mammalia; order Primates; family Hominidae; genus Homo; species Homo sapiens. The sequence goes on from NC_000001.11 coordinate 201,451,507, forward strand.
CTTTTTTTTTTTTTTTTGAGACAGAGTCTTGTTCTGTTGCCCAGGCTGAGTGCAGTGGCACAATCTCAGCTCACTGCAACTTCCGCCTCCTGGGTTCAAGCAATTCTCCTGCCTCAGCCTCCTGAGTAGCTGGGACTACAGGCGCATGCCACCATGCCCGGTTAATTTTTGTATTTTTAGTAAAGATGGGGCTTCACCATATTGGCCAGGTCTCGAACTCCTGACCTTGTGATCCGCCTGCCTCCGCCTCCCAAAGTGCTGGGATTACAAGAGTGAGCCACCGCGCCCAGCCAAAGGGTCCACTTTCTAATCCCGGGAACCTGTGGATGTTACCTCATATGGCAAAGACTTTGCAAATGTGATGATGTTAAGGAACTTGAGATGGGGAGATTATTCTGGATGAGCTGGGTGGGCTGTAAAGTTCATCACATGTCTTTATTAGAGGAAAGCACATGGAGATTATAGACAGCAGAGGAGAAGACAATGTGACCACAGAGGCAGAGGTGAAAAGTACTATCCCGTAAGCCACAGGACACCTGGAGCCACCCAAAGCTAAAAGAGGCAAGACATCATTTCTCACCCAGAACCACTACAGAGAGCACAGCCTTGCCAACACCTTGACTTTGGCCCACTGATTCTGATTCCGGATCTTTAGCTCCAGAACTGCAGGAGAAGGAATTTTTGTTATTTTAAGCCACCAAGTTTGGGGTAATTTCTTACAGCAGCCCCAGGAATCCAGTACCCCCTCCTCACCCGATAGAACAGAGGAGAACATGTGCCCGGCCCTGGCTCCCTCAGGAAGGGGCTCTTTTTCTATGTTGTGTTGGAGAATTTCCTTTTGAAGGAGTTCATCTGCCCTGCCATGGGATAGCACTTTTAATTGGTCAAAAACGACACTCCTAGTTGGGCTTGGTGGTGGGCGTCTGTAGTCCCAGCTACTCAGGAGGCTGAGGCAGGAGAATGGCATGAACCTGGGAGGCAGAGCTTGCAGTAAGCGGAGATTGTGCCACTGCACTCCAGCCTGGGCGACACAGCGAGACTCCATCTCAAAAAAAACAAAAAACAAAAAATGACACTCCAGGCTGGGCGCAGTGGCTCATACCTGTAATCCCAGCACTTTGTGAGGCCAAGGCAGGTGAATCACCTGAGGTCAGGAGTTCAAGACCAACCTGACCAACATGGTGAAAACCCATCTCTACTAAAAATACAAAAAAAAAAAAAAAAAATTAGCTGGCATGGTGGTACATGCCTGTAATCCCAGCAACTTGGGAGGCTGAGGCAGGAGAATTGCTTGAACCTGGGAGGAGGTTCAAGTGTAAGTTGCAGTGAACCGAGATTGCACCATTGCACTCCAGCCTGGGCAACATGAGCAAAACTCGGTCTCAAAACAAAAACAAACAAACAAACAAAAAATGACATTACAGCCTCAGAACAGTCCAGGATGCCCTGAGGTAGGAAGGTAGGAAGTCCTATGCTAAGCAGGCCAGCTAGAGAAGGTGCATTGCCCAAACGGGAAGCAGAAAAACCCAGCTCTTCTTCCACCAGCTCTCAGTCTTTTGGTGACTCGCGTGGACTCCAAGACCATGGGGCTGAGCCCTGAGCACTTTCCCTGTGATAGCCTGGCCCCCTCCCAGAGCCCAGGGCACTCTGGTGCCTTCTAATAGCCAGTAATCTCAGGGTGACCTGCTCCTATTTTTTGAGAAGGCAAACTGCTAAATCTGGGGAAAGGTGGGGAGGTAAAGAGGGATAGAGATTCTATAATCTCAATCACTCAGCAAACACTGAACTCTTACTGTGTGCCAGGCACAGGGTTAGGCACTAGAGATAAATGGTAAAGAGAAGGTGGTTCCTACCTAGAGAGGGATATAAACAAGTAAACCAAGGCTATACCAGTAAGAGTGTGTAAAGGGTAATGACAGATGTATGCAGAGAAGGGGCACTTGGCTCTGACTAGGGGTAAGAGAAGAACCCTGGCAAGGCTTCCCAAAGAAGATTCCATATTAGTTACCTATTGCTGTGTAACAAATTATTACAAATTTAGTGGCTTAAAACAACACACACATATGGTCTCACAGCTTCTATGGGTCACAAATTAAAGCATGGCTTGACTAGGTCTTCTGCTTCAGGGTCCATCACAAGGCTGCATTCAAGGTGTCTGCCAGGATGGGGTCTCATCTGAAGGTTCAAGTGAGGAAGGACCTTCTTCCAAGCTCACAAGGTTGTTGGTAGATTCAGTTTCTTGTGGGCTTTGACCAGAGGCCACCCTGGCTACCCTCAGTTCATTGCCAAGTAGGCCTTTAAAACATGGCAGCTTGAGGCTGGGCATAGTGGCTCAAGCCTGTAATCCCAGCACTTTGGGAGGCTGAGGTGGGCAGATCACGGGGGTCAGGAGTTTGAGACCAGCCTGGCCAACATGGTGCAACCCCATCTCTACTAAAAATACAAAAAAAAATTAGCCAAGCATGTTGGCATGTGCTTGTAATCCCAGCTACTTAGGGGGCTGAGGCAGGAGAATCGCTTGAACCCAGGAGGCGGAGGTTGCAGTGAGCCAAGATCATGCCACTGCACTCCAGCCTGGGTGAGAGAGTGAGACTCCATCTCAAAGAAAAAAAAAAAACATGGCTTCATCAAAATGAGCAAATGAGAGAGTCAGGATGAGCAAGATGGAAACCACAATCTTATATAGCCTAACCACAGAAGTGGCATCCCATCCCATTCTATTGGTTAGAAGCAAGTCACGAGGCCAGTTCACTCTCAGAGGGAAGGGATTACACAAGGGGGTGAATTCTGGGAGACAGAGATTATGGGCAGGGGCATCTTAGAGTCTGCCTGTCACCGTTACTCTAGAACTCAGTCTCAAAGGAGCAGGAGGGACTAGCTAGGTAAACACAGGAACAGAGGCTCAAGAAGACCACAGAGTTCTATGGGAAAGACCATAGCAGAGAGGGCTGCCACCACAGAGAGCAGCCCAAGGAAATCAACAACGCTCTATCTGCCTATAGCCCGGGTTTACTTTTTGCTACATGCTTATTTGTGTTGTATTTTTGACCTTGTTCATGTATATAGTATTCCTGCAGGGAGAGAGGCTAATAGTTCCTATTCTATATTGATGAAAACTGACCCCCAGACCAGTAGGAGTGTGACCAGAAACCAGCTGCCCACGGAGCTCTCTTCTCCAGTGAATATTTGGATATGAATGAGACCTGACAAAGAAAATCACCAGACCAGTCTAAGGAAGACACAGGAAATGGAGGAATGAGGTTGCCCTTGTTGCAGATGGTGCTCCCCAGGACCCTGGCATGTGAGGCTAAGTGGATGTATATAAGCTTGCAGGGCGTGTGTGTGCATGTGTGTGTGTGTATGTGTAACACCATTCATCAGGCTTCATTCAATAAATCTCCACCAAGCACCTGCGCCCTAAACCCCAGGGACCAGGACAGCAGCCATAGTTTTTCGTACCCTGAGTTCTTGATGAATATCACTGTCTGAGATCATTAAGCATCCTTCCCTTGGGTTGGCAACTTCAGAATCACTATGGGGACTTATTAAAAATACTGAAACCTAGGCCAGCTCCAGAGGTTCAGATTCAGTGGGCTGCAGGTAGTGACAGTGTTCTGTGCTTTTAACAGGCACCCAGGAGAGTCTGACCATCTGCAGGATTTAGAACCTACTGACCTACTTCAACCTCTTTGCTTTATAAGTGAGGAAAGTGAGACCCAGCAAGGAGGGAGTTGTCCAAGGTCACAGGGCCGGGTAATGGACAGCCTGAAAGAGGGTACAGGCTGCCGGCATTCCTGCTGAGAGCCACTTAGGTGTCCTCTCAGTGCATTCCCCCCGACTGCATACCTGCCGGATTTCTTCCCGGCTCCACTCATCTGAAGTGTCCCAGGAGCTCCCAGGAGCCCAGCTCACATCCACCTACAAACAGAAAACACTTGCCCTCACAGCCGATAAGCCCCCAAGACAGTATTTCATACACACACACACAGGTGCACGCATGCACACTACCCACATGCAGAATTTCATGTTCATTCTTTCCACGAGTCTTTGCTGAGCATTCACCCACTATATGCCAGCCACTGACCTGAGAATCCAGCAGTGAGCACAAGAAAAAAAAAGTACAGGACCCTGCCCTCCTGCACCTTCCAGTCTAGGGCAGGGAACCAGGGGGCTGCTTCAAGTCAGTTCCAGCAGCAGGCTCTGCCCAGGCCCATGAGCAGCTGAGCAGAAGAGCAAGGGTTTGGCTGCTGGGGTCAGGGTGGACCCCTCACCAGACTGTGCAGGCAGAAGACCTCTCAGCTTTGGATCTGGGAGCTCAGAAGGCACTGGGAAAAGCAAAGTGGACCCAGGTCCTCCCACATCCTTCCAGGCACCCTGGATTTCCTAGTACCTTTATTTTGAAATATCTGTCCAGCAGTGGGCACTAGCAGAGGATCCTGACTGCAAACATGACTTGCAGGCTAAGCTGACAGGAGCTGCCAGGTACCTAGCAGAGGCCAGGAGACACAGCAGGGAGGAGATCCCCTCGCTAAATTCCCAACTGGCCAAGATGCCTGCATTCCACAGCCTTCAGCAGAGGGCCCTAGATGGGAACATTTGTCTGTCTTTTTTTTTTTTTTCTTTTTTTTTTTGAGACAGGGTCTTGCTCTGTCACCCAGACTGGAGTGCAGTAGCATGATCTTGGCTCACTGCAACCTCCGCCTCCCGGGTTCAAGCGATTCTTATACCTCAGCCTCCTGAGTAACTAGGACTACAGTGCGTGCTGGGCTAATTTTTGTATTTTTAGTAGAGACGGGGTTTTGCCATGTTGGCCAGGCTGGTCTCGAACTCCTGACCTCGAGTGATCCTCCCACCTCAGCCTCCCAAAATGCTGGGATTACAGGCATGAGCCACCACGCCAGGCCAGGAACATTTGTCTTTCTAACTCCAGACTGGGTAGTGAGATTAGGGACCCCACCTTAACCATGGGGAAGACACTTTACTTCTCAGAGCCTTAGAACGACCATCCTTAATCTATCAGGAAATCCTCCTACCTCTTCCAAACTCACAGGGCTGTTGTGATAATATGATGAGGTCACACCAGAGGGCTCTTTGAGTCAGAGCTCTGGAAAGAAACACAGCACTGATGAGGAAGCTTACAGAACTGAAAGGTGAAGGTGGGGGGAGGGGTCTTCCAGGAATCTTCCAGGGAGAAGCCTATGTTTTGTCCCACTGGAAAAACAGACCGGGCAGGACCCATGTGGGAGACCACCCAGACTGTGAGAAACATTCGTTGGTTATGTGTGTTTTGGAAATGGGGTAAGAGCACAGAGTGATCTAAAGTCCCCTTTGCATAAAGAGCTGACAATTCCAAACCGCAGCCCTGAACACCCCAGTCAAGTCTAATTAATAGATGCTGTTGGCTTTTTAGAGCTATTTTCACAGTTCAGTTCCTCTATCTGCACTGTCTCAGTTAGCATGGAGGCCCACTTTCCTCTCAGCAGAGTCAGCCAAGGGTTTTCCAGGGCCAAACTTGTGTGTTCTCCTTCTTGCTTGCTTGGTGACATGCTCTGTGAATGCAGACAAGTTGTGCAACCTACTCTCTCTTCCCTGGCAGGGGAGCAGGGCCTTTGTGTGTGTGAAGGGCCATGAGCCATCGGAATGGAGTGCAGTTAGCGGTGCTGGTGAGGAGAATGACAGAGCAGCACAACCCAATGACTAGGGGATCTTGACGAGCCGCGCCTGCTTTCTTTACCCTCAGTTTCAACCACGAAGTTCAAATGCCAGGGAGGTGCCATGAGGTGGTGAGAAGAGCGTTAGGATCCAGAGTTGGGGGCAGGAATCCACTCTAAGCCACTGGCTGGCTGCAGAATCTCAGGCAACTGCTTCAAATTCTGTGAGTTTCAGCTTCATCATCTGTAAAATGAGGACACTTGTGTGGAAGGAACATCAACCTAGCACAGTCTGAAATTTAGACCATTATGCATGAAGGCTAGAATTGGGATTAGGTAAAAGCACTCAGTAAGTGTTACTAATTTAAATTGTTAATTACGTACAGTTTTCTAAATAGGGATTAGGCAAAGCAGTTACTAGGAGGATGATTATACTACTGTAATAACAAACATTTATTGTGCACTATCTGTGTACTTTATCTACTTTACAGGCATTCTCTCAATTAATTCTCACAGTGATCCTAGGAAGTGGGGCTATCATCATTCCCATTTTAATGGCATGCCAAATAACTTGCCCAAGTCATGTGGTTAGTGTGAGACACCTTGGGGATTCATTCACGCTCAGATCTGTGATTAGAGCTTAAGTTTTTAACTGCTACTGGCAGGCCTCCTTGTACTTCAGTATCTCTCCCGCAGTGGGCATTTCCTAACTAGTTGCTCTCATTTCCTCCCACCTCCTCTTTCCATTACAGCCTCCGGTCATCAAGCTCTCATTAGCTCTACTCCTAACTCACTTCCTGCCTCCCAGGGTCTCCCTTCTCCATCACTGCCACCAAGGATCACCTCTGCCCACCCCACAGGGGGACCCAGCCATTCCACCTAAAGAATTACCCTGAAGATGGCCGGGTGCAGGCTTACACCTGTAATCTCAGCACTTTGGGAGGCCAAGGTGGGCAGATCACGAGGTCAGCAGTTCAAGACCAGCCTGGCCAACGTGGTGAAACCCCATCTCTACCAAAAATACAAAAATTAACTGGACGTGGTTGCAGGTGCCTGTAATCCCAGCTACTCGGGAAGCTGAGGCAGGAGAATCGCTTGAACCTGGGAGGCAGAGGTTGCAGTGAGCCGAGATCATGCCACTGCACTCCACTCTGGGTGCCAGAGCAAGATTTCGTCACAAACAAAACAAAACAAAACAAAACAAAACAAAAACAAAAAAGAATTACCCTGAAGAAACAACAACCGGAGACAAAAATGGAGATTTAAATATGCAAATGGTCATTGAAGCCTCATACGTAAGAGAGAAAGAATGAAAAAGAACATGAATGTCCAACAATAAAGGATTGATTTGCTATATAAATAATAGTAAAGAGAACAGAATAACATACAGGCATTGAGAGGCACGTAATGGTATGGCCTTATAACCACAATATATTGACACATTAAAAACCAGAATATGGGGGCCAGGTGCGATGGCTCACTCCTGTAATCCCCGCACTTTGGGAGGCCGAGGTGGGCAGATCATGAGCTCAGGAGTTCAAGACCTGCCTGGCCAACATGGTGAAGCCCTGTCTGTACTAAAAATACAAAAATTAGCCAGGCATGGTGGCATGTGCCTCTAATCCCAGCTACTCAGGAGGCTGAGGCAGGAGAATCGCTTGAACCTGGGAGGCGGAGGTTGCAGTGAGCTGAGATCATGCCACTGTACTCCAGCCTGGGACAGAGCAAAAAAGCAGAATATAATAGAGTACACAGTATGACCCCATGTATGAAAAACAATTACATATTATATGATTGCATCAAAATAGATGTAGAAGAAAATACACCAAAATGCTAACAAAGACTATCTCTGAGGGATAGAAACACAAATGTGACTGTTCTTTTTCTGTGCTTTCACATTTTTCTTCAATTAACTTATTTTTATAATAAAAATAAGGGGTTAGTTAAAAATAAATAAATAAAAAAATAAAAATAAGGGGTACATGCGTGTCTGTGTGTGTGTCTGTGGGTGTGTGTCTGTGGGTGTGTGTCTCTGTGTGTGTCTGTGTGTCTGTGTGTGTCTGTGTGTGTGTGTGTCTGTGTGTGTGTGTGTCTGTGTGTGTGACAGACCTCTGTGATGGGCTCCCCATTGCCTACGGAAAGAAGCCCACACCCCCAGCCCACTTCTTCTGTGTGTGGCTGTTGTTCCTCAGGTTCTGTGCACACCATTTTTGTCTCCTGTCCCATCTCACCTTCTCTGGTCCTGGCACCTTTGCACATGTGATTTCTTCCACCTGGAACGCCATCCCTCCTCTCTCTGATGGTCAGAATTATACGCTCCCTTAAAAGGGCCAGCTCAAATGTTCCCTGCACCTCCATCCTACCTCCTATAGTTCTGCCTGCACCTTACTGTCCTCCTCCTTTTGCATGCTGCCCTCTCTGGCTCAGTTACCTTGGGAGCTCTTTAAAGCCAGGGTCTGGGTGGGATGGGCTTATGCCCCTGTGCAGCAAATACTCACTCATGCTTAAGAAAGCACTGAAGTTGGGTTGAGTTAAAGTGAGTTGCAGTTGGCTTCCAGTAGGGCCCCCAGAGCTGACTGGAGAGCCCCCAAGAGACCCCTGGCTATCTTTCTTCTTTGCAGCTGGGGGCCTGGGTCTCTCCCCTGAGATGGCAGGAAATGCTGATGACATCTGAGTCACTGATGGGTGATGCCCCAGGGCTGTAGCGCTGTTGCCCACAGGCTTGTACTCTGTACGGTCCCATTCAATGGAGCCGAGTGCTGTGGGCAGAGCTGACTGGTGAGATCATGAGGATGGGTTTTACAAGGCCTCCTGTCCCTGGGGCAGTGGGTAGGGTGGCCAACTACCACAGTTTGCCTAGGACTGAGATGCTCCTCCGGATGCAGAACTTCCAGTGTTAAAACTGGAGAATTCCAGGCCAACCAGGCTGGTTGGTCAGCCAGCAAGCAGGGCATGAGTGCTGCCTCTAGGCCTCTGGGACCAGGATTGCCGCCACATGGGATCACAGCTTCTGATCCCTTGAGCGTTTGTCCCTGCAGGCTAAGGTGACCCTGTGCCCAGGTCCTTAGACAAAGAGCATCTCAGGCCAATACAGCGACAAGGTTCTGAACCTGGAACACCATTTATTCCCCCAGAGTTCTCACTGCTCCTTCATAACCAGGAAGGAGTCCATCGGCTCTTCTAGGCTATTTTCACCACAGGCCTAGCTCTCGTGAGCATGCACAGAGCCTCCCAGGTCATGGGGCACATCTCTGGGTCCTTTCCTGTAGTTAATCTCCACCCTTGTTTCAGGACTTGGCTCCAGTCATCCTCTCCATGAAGCCTCCCCTACCCCCAGCCCACAGACCATTCCCTTCTCTGCCCTCTCGGGGCTTGATCCTCACCAACTCTCTCTCTTCTGACCTCCTTTCTCCCAGCAAAATGCTGGGTTCATTCACTTACTTATTTACTCACAAACAGTAAGAATCTATTTGGTGTTGGGTTAAGAGCACTTACCTAGAGTCCCACTGTGACCACATTGACTCCTGGCTCCACCACTTAGCTGCTATGTGACTCTGAACCAGCCACTTAACTTCTCTGGGCCTCAGTTTCTTAATGTAAAATATGGGAGTCGTGATAATCGCACCTACCTCACAGGGTTGTTGAAACGTTACATGATTTAAGAATTGTATAGGCTGGGCATGGTGGCTCATGTCTGTAATCCCAATACTTTGGAAGGCTGAGGCAGGTGAATCGCTTGAGCTCAGGAGTTCAAAATGATGAAACTCCATCTCTACAGAAAATACAAAACCAGCTAAGCATGGTGGTGCACGTCTGTGGTCTCAGCTATTCAGGAGGCTGAGGTGGGAGGATCACTTGAGCCCAGCAGCAGGTCAAGGTTGCAGTGAGCTGAGATCATGCCACTGCAGTCCAGCCTGGGTGACAGAATGAGACCCTGTCTTAAAAAAAGAAAATTTTTTTTTACAGTTCTTGGGTCAATATCTTGCACGGAGTAAACACTATATACCACTTGTCATTTTTATTATTAGAATCTACTATTTGCCAGGTACTCTGAGGCACCAGGAATATACAAATAACAAGTGCAGAAACTGACCAGTCTAGTTGGACAGGCAGACGCATAAATCAGCAATCACAAGGCAGTGTGACTAATAGAGGAGGTATGGCAGCACAGAGAGAAGTGAGCAGTTACTCAGCCTGCCTTGTAGGCAGGGCACTCAGAGAAGCTTCTCAGAGGTGGTGACATGAGAGAGAGCTGAGCCAGTGATACAGAAGCATGTAGCAAGAGTGGGGGTACACTGGCCTGGCAGTGTGAGGCAGCTTTCCCAGGTCCTGGAATGGGGGTGGATTGCATGCTGGGGCCGGGCGTGGAGCACGTAGAGACAAACACTGGAGAGATAGCCCTGATAGTGGAGAGAAGACCCTTTTGACAAGTGGGCATCCTCCCAATGCAGTGGGGAAAGCGCTGGCAGTTTTAGCAGAAGAATGAATTGAATTCTGGACAGATCACTTCGGTGAACCATGGTGGACCCACTGAGGCAGGAGACTGAGGGAGGTGAAACCAGGGCTCTCTGTGCAGCCTTACAGTATGTTCCTGTATAGCCAGTCTTGCCAGGGTCCTTGGGTCCTGGCCCTGGTGTGACAGCTGCCCACAGTACCTATACATCCCCAACAGACTTCAGGATTGCACACGGTAACGCCCTGTCTATCTGCCCCTACTCCTTCCTGCTGCGATTCCAGCTCATGGACTCTCACTCTGGCTCTCCTCACTGGTCTCCATTCTCACCCTTGCAACAGGCTCACTCTTGCTAAAGCCTTAGCTCCCAACCCCAGCTCACCCTGACCACAGCAAGCCCATCCCTTCTCCCTCGGTCTCCCCACCCCACCTCATCGGACTCCCAGCTGCCTGGCTGAGACTTGCCCTGTCTCATGTTCCCATGGATGACTCACGTATCGGGTGGGGGTGAGGCCACGCTGGGGCTGCCGAAGCATGGGGAGAGTTGGTGGCAACAGCCCTTCCCTGGCCTCACAGGCCCAACTGAGCAAAGGTTTTCCATCTCATGCATGTCTGCTGGCACTATCAGAGCCTGTTTGTGCCCCCAAAGAGGTCTTGACCCTACTCTGAGGTCTAGCCAAGCCTTCCCGGGGTAAGGGCCTTTGCTCCTTCTTGGAAATTCAAAGTCATGAAAACCAGAGCAGTGAGAACACCCGTGAACCCAGGAAGCAGGATGGCCCCTCCTCCATCAGAGAGGCAAAGACTCCCCAAAGAGGTCACGGATCTTTTTTAAAACCTGGTCTTAGCCGGGCACGGTGGCTCACGCCTGTAATCCCAGCACTTTCGGGGGCCAAGGCGGGTGGATCACAAGGTCAGGAGTTCGAGACCAGCCTGGCCAACACACTGAAACCCCATCTCTACTAAAAATACAAAAAATTAGCCAGGCCTGGTGGCGGGCGCCTGAATCCCAGCTACTTGGGAGGCTGAGGCAGGAGAATTGCTTGAACCTGGGAGGCGGAGGTTGCAGTGAGCCGAGATCGTGCCATTGCACTCCAGCCTGGGCAACAGGGCAAGACTCTGTCTCAAAAAGCAAAACAAAACAAACAAAAAAGAAAAAACCAACAACAACAACAAAAAACCTGGTCTTGAACCCCAGACCTCTGTGCTGTGAGGGCTCTTAGGATACTCAGACAGCTCCCAGGCTCTTACAAATGATAGTAAATGATCACCCCATTGCAACCACCAGCCCCTACACTGCTGCATACCTAGAACTGCGTTCTAGGGTCTGTGTCAAGGGCTCTAACAGCAGCAGACTCTTCAAGGGGCTGGGACTCTCCTAGCAAGAGAAACGGAAGCTGGGTTTGGTCAAGAACCAACATACTTTAAACCAACAGGGCTGGTGTTCCAAAAAAGCAGAGTGCCAGAAACTAGAGCCTGCTTCCCCCTCCACCCTCCACCTGCCCTCTGCCCTTGATGTCTCTCATACTATACCCTACACTGCCCTTTGCAGCCAAGCTCTGAGAATGACCCCTAGTGCTGGACAGAGAAAGTATTGCCCAGTGCTCCCCTGGCGCCTGGTGGCCAGTTCTATGGGCACCAGTTAGCACTGACTGATGTCACCAGAACCTGGCTCCTTGAGGCAAGGACTGGATCTTGTCTTTCTCTTCTGCATCCCCAGAGTCGAGCACAGTGCCTAGCCTGTAAAGGCATTTAGTTTGCTGGATGTCTTGCCTCTCAACCCCATCTGTTCACTAACACTCCCCTATTTCGTTTTTGTTGTTGTTGTTGTTGTTGTTTTGAGATGGAGTCTCACTGCCGTCACACAGGCTGGAGTGCAGTGGTGCTATCTCCGCTCGCTGCAACCTCCACCTCCAGAGTTCAATCGATTCTCCTTCCTCAGCCTTCCGAGTAGCTGGGATTACAGTCGTGCACAACCACACCCAGTTAATTTTTGTAGTTTTAGTAGAGACGGGGTTTCGCCTTGTTGGCCAGGCTGGTCTCAAACTCCTGACCTCAGGTGATCCACCCGCCTTGCCCTCCCAAAGTGCTAGGATTACATGTGTGAGCCACCGCGCCCGGCCCACTCCCCTATTTCTGAGTGCCTGGATACGTCTTTTCCTTATGCCTGAACCCCCACCATCAGTTACCCTCCGGTTTGATTGAAGAGCAAAGATTCTATTTTTTTTTCTTTTTTTTCTGAGATGGAGTCTTGCTTTATTGCCCAGGCTGGAGTGCAGTGGCGTGATCTCGGCTCACTGCAAGCTCCGCCTCCCGGGTTCACGCCATTCTCCTGTCTCAGCCTCCCGAGTAGCTAGGACTATAGGTGCCTGCCACTACGCCCGGCTAACTTTTTTTGTATTTTTAGTAGAGATGGGGTTTCACCGTGTTAGCCAGGTTGGTCTCCTGACCTCGTGATCCGCCTGCCTCGGCCTCCCACAGTGCTGGGGTTACAGGCGTGAGCCACCGCGCCCCGCCCAAAGATTCTATTTTAGAGGCTATTTAGAAGCTGCTGTTATATAGGATGGCAACCCTCTTCTCTCCAGCCACGCCCACCCCCCCAGATAATGCCGCCATTCTCCCCACCTTTCTTCCAAAGCCCATGGCAGGCATCACCAATTGATCACAGCATTCTAGTTGAGCTCTGATCTTTCTCAGCACTGATTAGGGTTGCATAAACAGACGCTTATTTGCCATGGTGGGATTAAGCCACCCATGGACAATTGTACAATTGGATACAGTAAGTGACATATTTATAAAAGTTCTGTTGTAATTAACAAATTCTCATTCAACTGTGTGATGTAATTCACACATCAGATGAGCAAGTTGAACCTCTTGTGGACTCTGAGGGACTGGGGCACAGGACAGGGAAGTTTTTATTGGAAGGCGAGAGAAATCTGAACGGGAACAAAACAGGTTGGAAGCACAAAACAATTAAAGGGACTTCGAATTGCTGAATGGGGCCACTGAGCCTCCTTGCTCCCTCCAGAGAGACCCTGTAGTAGGCCACTGCTTTGCAACAGGGAAGGTCAGACATGGGAAAACAATGGAGGAAAGGCAGGCAGGGTCAACTGCTGGCCACAGCCTGGAAAGGTCCAGGGTTACCCAATCAAGTTTCTGTACAACTCCAGGCAGCTATTGTCTGTACCTGTTTTCCCGTTTTTTTTGTTGTTGTTGTTTTGAGACTGCGTCTTGCTGCTTTGTCACCTAGGCTGGAGTGCAGTGGTGCCATCTCAGCTCACTGTAACCTCTGCCTCCCAGGTTCAAGCAATTCTCCTGCCTCAGCCTCCCCCAGTAGCTGGGGCTATAGGTGTGTGCCACCTCACCTGGCTAATTTTTGTTTTTAGTAGAGACAGGGTTTCACCAAGTTGGCCAGGCTGGTCTCAAATTCCTGACCTCAGGTGATCCACCCACCTCAGCCTCCCAAAGTCCTTGGATTACAGTTGTGAGCCACCGTGCCAGGCCTTCACCCTGTTGAAATTATTCCTTTTAACCCTCCAGGAGGGAGAACTTACTGTGTAAATGTATAAAGCCTGAGAGTATAAATGACAGGGAGACAAACTCTGCCCAGAAAGCTGAGGCTTCTCCCAGGGTAGCAGGGGCAGGGTAGCCTCCTGTAGAAGAGACATTCATAGGGACTGAACTGACCAGCTTGACATCCCTCGGTCCAGAATCTATGGGCCCTCCTTCCTAGGACCACCAAGGCCCTGTCTACTGGGGTTTTAGTGTCTCTGCCTATCCAGGCTGGAGACTTCAGAATGGGTTGCAAATTGGGAGATTAAGGATAAAGAGAGAGATGCTCCAAGCCCTGGGTCTTTGTGGGCAAAGAATTTCACTCAGCAAACTGTGTGGTTACTGCCCTTTGCAGGGCATCTTCATTTGGGGAAAGACATGAAATGCTAATGGCCAAACCCCCCCTCACCCCCACCACCTTCAGGCCGAACACCGCAGTGGGGGGAAGATGCGTAGAGGTGGGGGAAGAAGTGTGCAAAGAAAGGGCCTGGATGGGTGGGGGTCCCAAAAGGACCTAAGCAGCAGGAGACCCCCAGGAGTGGGCTTTAGGCCCAGCAGCTCCCCCTTCTCAAGGTGAGTCCAGAGGCCATTCTGGAGTGGGCCTGGGTACCAGGCCCTGGGTACTCCTTTTGGTACCAGGCTGGCCTCCTGATTCCTGAGGCGTTGGCTCGGCACCCCATGGGGGACTGCCCTCCTCCAGGCCTGGCACAAAGCCAGGGGGCTAAGAGCAGTCTGCAGGACAGAGGGCAGGACCACAGCAGGGAGGGGGCTCCTATGCCAGCTCCCCCTCATGCCATATGAGGCCAGGCCTGTGGCTCGAAGCCCCTGAGCTGGGCATGTCCTGAGAGTCTGGGACCATCCAGGGGCTGCATCTTCATCCTCAGCCCTGCGTAGCCTTCTGCCCTCCTCCCAGGGCTCGTCCATTCCTTCAGCTCCAGCGCCTCCTCCACACGTCCATGCCTTCCACCTTGCCACATGGAGCACAGCCGTGCCCCCACAAGCCAGAGGGAACAACGAAGCTGGCAAGAAAGAACAGCAGTTAGAGCAGGGGCAACAATGGAGAAAGGAGTATCTATTATGAGCTTGGGCATTTTACACCAGCACTTCCCAGCCTTTTCCATAAACATGGAAAACATTTTTTGCATACGTACTGTGGTAAAGGAATCTGCTTCCTCCCAGGCCCCCAAGACCTGAGGGATCAATGTGGATCAATCCTCAGCACAGGGGGTCTGCCTTATACCCCACTTCTCAGCTAAACCCTAACTACAATGTGGGAGGGCATTAACAGGACCATCAAAGTGGGGTATGGCACTAGATGGGGCCCCAGGCTCACTAGGACTCTCTACTGTTGAAGACATCTGCAGGCGGGTAAGGTCGCCTAGGAGGTGGTAGTGGGGAGAGAAGGATCTAGGTTTCCACTGGAAAAATTAAGGCTAGAAGGAAGGCTAAATCCTTTCTCAGCCCTACTCCTACTTCTCACAAGAAGGGAGTGGCATCTGGGGAAGAGGGCACAGGGCTGAGAGCCAGGGCTTCCAGATTCTATTCCTGGCCCCTCCCCTGGGCCTTCCTGACCACAAATCCGCCCCCCACTCCCTGCCCTACTGCTCATAGAGGATTAAGACATCACAAATAACAACTCATGACCCCATCCTGCTGCACCCACCCACCCTGCCCCAGTGCCCCATGCCCTCCTCCAGCTTCTCCTTCCCTGGCCCAGCCAGGCCTGACTGGCACTCAGGGGCAGGTAGACAGCTAGGCCCCCACCCCTTGGCATCAGTGGCCCAGCCTCTGGCGCAGTTGCCTATCCTTCAGCTCCCTTGCTCTCCTAACAGTGAGCCCTAGGGCTCAAAACCCACTGTCAAGAATGGGGACCAGGTGTGGTGGCTTACACCTGTAATCTTAGCACTTTGGGAGGCCAAGGTGGGCAGATTGCTTGAGCTCAGGAGTTCGAAACCAGCATGGGCAACGTGGGGAAACCCCAAATCTACAAAAAAAAAAATTAGCCAGGCATGGTGGCGTGTGCCTGTAGTCCCAGCTACCTGGAGGCTGAGGTGGGAGGATCGCTTGAGCCCAAGAGGTTGAAGCTGTTGAGGCTGCAGTGAGCCATGACTATGCTACTGCACCAGTCTGGGCGACAGGTAGAGATCCTGTCTCAAAAATATATATATAGGCTGGGTGCAGTGGCTCACACCTGTAATCCCAGCACTTGGGGAGGCCGAGGCAGGCAGATCACCTGAGGTCAGGAGTTCAAGACCAGCCTGGCCAACATGGCGAAACCCCATCTCTACTAAAAATACAAAAATTAGCAGGGTGTGGTGGCAGGCACCTGTAATCCCAGCTGTTCTGGAAGCTGAAGCAGGAGATTTGCTTGAGCCCAGGAGGTAGAGGTTGCAATGAGCCAAGATCACACGACTGTACTCCAGCCTGGGTGACACAGCGAGACTCTGTCTCAAACAACAACAACAACAACAACAAACCATACACACACACACACACACACACACACACACACACACACACACATATGTAGAGGAGGAGCTGGATCCCTCAGGCCCAGTCCAGCCAAGGCGGCCCACTGAGGCCCCACCTTCCACTGAGGCCCCACCTTGGGAGCCGGACTCCTTGGCTCTATTTGCAACCCTTGATGGTGCCTTCGCCATCTGGGAGATACTGTCTTTCTACATCAATTCAATGCTCAAACTTTATGACAAGCATTCAACCTAGAGGGAAAGAGGGTCGGCCTCCACGATCCGCGTCCCCACCCTCGGTTGTCCTCAGCTGCCAGAAAGCCGAAGTCCAGGAGCCCTGCTCTGCGTGGAAAGCAGAGGCCCACAGCCTGGGGCAATGTGCAGGCCAACCTCCCTCTACTTCCTTCCACCTGAGTCAGGGCTGAACCAACTTGAAAGAAGGCTCATCTCACCCAGGTATCCCCCTCCCAGGGCTTCCATCTTCCTCTCACACACCTGGATCACATTCTGGACCGGCCAACCTGGTGCCTCAGGGGAAAGTCCGGATCTGCTGGGTTGGCCACTGGCCCAAGCCTCCCATGCCCTCAGTTGGCCCCAGGAACCTCCCCCCTAAGATGTCCGGCTCTGAAGTAGAATGCTAGTCCTCATTCTCTCTGTAGGGGAAAGAGAAGGGAGGGAAGGAGAGAAGAGGGCCCAGTCCCCCGGGGGCTTACCTGCCTTGACCTCAGCACTGAGGTGGTGGGTAGCATGAAGGAAAGATGGTGCGCCCGGTGGTTTAGGACACGAGGGTCCCGGTCCCGAGGCTCTGCCGGGCCCGCACTGTCTGGATGGCCTGCTGGTTCTTGAACTTGACCAGGCCTAGGGTGATCTGGGCGTTCCAGCCGGGATCTTCCAGGGGGCAGCGGAAGTCGATCTCGCCGCCCCCTTCGGTCACCAGCGTGAAGTAGATGTGGCGCCCGGTGCTCTCCACGCACTCCACGGCCTTGATGCGGGCGAAGCTGAGCTCCTTGGGCCGGCCGCCCGTGCCCTTGGCCTCGAAGAGCTGCAGCCCGCGTTCGGTGAGGACGCAGCGCTTCCGCTTCCACAGCTGCAGCAGCCCGCCGCTGCGCTTCTCCAGCACGCCCTCCTTGAGCACGGTAGCCGTCGCCGCCGCCGTCATGGGCGCCCCGAGGTTCGCGGAAAGCTCCAGGCTGCGGCGGGCGCGGCGCCCCTCTCGGCCCCGCAGCGCAGGATTCTGGCGCCCCGGGCTGGCAGGCCGTGCGCGCTGCCCACCTGCGCCCTGACTGCTCCGCGCACCCACACCGCGGCCCTCAGCACCCGGCTGCCGGTGAGGTGGTGTCGGTGCCCCCAGCGCGCTCCGCGCCCACCGCCCCGCTTCAGCCGGCACCCGCTCCTCCGCTCTACCCCAGCTGGCCCAGCCCGACCCGCCTCTGCCAGATGCCTCCGCGCCTCCCTAGGCCGTGAGCCCCACCGCCCGCCCGTTCTCTTGCTCCCCTGGGCTCTGTCTGCGCGCTGGGCGGCAGCTCGCGGGATGTGCCCTTACATGTTCCGCCGCTCGCCTCCTGCGCCGCCCGCCCGCAGCGCATTCCTACCCTGGCCGGCCCTCCCCTCCGCGCCGCGCACCAGCTCCGGCAGGGCCCCGGGGGCGGGGCCGCAGCGGGGGCTCAGTCACTCACTGGAGGCGCAGGGCGCGGGGCGGGGAGGGCCGGGACTGAGAGGGGGCTGCTTACTCAACAGCCCAAGCCTTCTGGCTGCCGTCTGCCGCTTCTCGGAACCGCAGCTCCCCCAGGCCTTGAATGAAGGGGGAGATGGCGGGGAAGGGAGGGGGAAGGCGCATCTCCTCGATTGGAGAGCGCGCTGCTAGCAAGGGGGTGGGCTTGCTTGGCGAACGCGCAGTGGCACCAGTTGCATGTTAGGCGTCAGACAGCTGCTGGTTACTTGGCACGCCATGGGGCCCCCAGCCTCTGCATCAAGCCCATGTTGGGTTCCTCCTCCATCGCCCGATTTCTCTGTGCAGCACCCAAGAGAGGCTGTCCATCGCTGCCTCTGCTTGGACAGTTCACCTGCTCCTACTCCTACCCCCATGCATTGCGCGGGGAGGCCTGTAGAGAGTAGCCAGTGCCAACAAAGGAGAGCTGAGGCTTGAGGTCATTCATGCCCTCCTCGTAGTGGGGGAGGAGGGACCCCCTCCGTGACCTGGGGATGCCACTGTCTGCAGTCCTCTCCACCGCACACTTGCAGGCGCCGACGCTGGACCGATGGCACAGCCAGTCCCAGGTGTAAGCGCAGCTCCAACCTTGCTCCTTCCGCTCCGCAGATTCTGTCCTCCCTCGGCCTTCCCCAAGAATGGACTTCTCCCGCATACAGAGCTGGAGGGGAACGCAGAGGGAGAGGTCTCTTTCTGTTCTGGCTAGAATATTGTGTAAACACAAGAGCTTTGCAGAGTTGAGTTCAAACCTCTTCTCCCTTGTTGGCTGTGTCCTGCCCACCTGGGGCAACTTTACTGACCTCCGTCAATTTCCTCATCTGTCGAATAGGAGGATTAATTTATTCTCATCTCATGGGGTTGTCCTGATGAATAAGTTGGATAACATTTGTGAAAGACCCAAGACAGGACCTGACAACTCTTGAGTCTCAAGAAATGTTCTTCCTCCCCTCTCCCCACTCTTATTCCCTTTAGAGAATGATGGGGGCCCTGAGATTAAGCCAGGCACTGGAAGAGGGCTCTCTTAGGTCCTCATTCTGTCCCCATCTTGATCAGTTCCTCCAGGCCCACAGTTTCTTAAAGGTCTATTCATCAACATGTTAATAATAGATTCTTACGGGAGTAATGATATATAATAATGACAGTAATAAGACCTCTTTGTACTTACACCCTGTGTTGCCATCCTCCTGCCCAAAGAGCAGAGCCTAACAGATACAGGGAAGGTCCTGTTGTGGGGATAGGAGTGCGCTCCTCTGCAGTCCCAAAGTTAGGAGATGAGAGAAGGGAACTGTCAGTGTCTCATCCATAACTCTTTATACACACACACACACACACACACACACACGTGTGACGACAACTAACTCCTAACTCCCAGAATGCCCCTCCAGGAGAGGGAATAGACAGTGGCATTAAAGAAAAGACAAAGACAGGTGTCTCCTGAGGCCCAGAGAGCAGCAGAAGAGGGAGCTCGAGGTGGCCACGGCCCTACCTGAGGGACCCACAAGGTCTCAGCCTGCCTGCCAGCCCTGCCCTCCCATGGCTCCTCCCCACCACTCCACAGGGGTCTCCTGGGTGCACCAACCTGGCACAGTCCTGCCATGATCCAAAGTTCTCTCTCTGAGGAAACAGGGCCCTAGATCAGGCTCTACCCCTAACTCATTTTTTTGTTTTGTTTTGTTTTTGTTTTTGAGACGGAGTTTTGCCCTCGTTGCCCAGGCTGGAGTGCAACGGTGCGATCTCGGCTCACTGCAACCTCTGCTTCCCAGGTTCAAGCGATTCTCCTGCCTCAGCCTCCCAAGTAGCTGGGATTACAGGCATCTGCCACCACACCTGGCTAATTTTTTGTATTTTTAGTAGAGTCGGGGTTTCTCCATGTTGGTCAGGCTGGTCTCAAACTCCCCGCCTCAGGTGATCCGCCTGCCTTGGCCTCCCAAAGTGCTGGGATTACATGCGTGGGCCACTGCTGTTTTATCTCTACCAGTTCCTCTTCTCCCCACACTGGGTCTGGGACTCATTCATGCTCTTTCCAGTTCCAGGTGGATTCACAGTTGTATGGGCTTCGTACAGAGCCCTCTCACATGTTGTAGATGCTCATGATAGACAGATATTATTATCACTGTGGGCGTTTTACCGATGAGAAAAATGAGACCCAGAGAGGTCAGATAATGTAAATGGCGTCACATGGCTTTGAAAATGGCAAAGTCCAGATGAGAATGCATGGTGGCTAACAGGGCCCAGGATCGTTTGATGATACATACCCATACTGCCCATACATGAACATCTGAGTCCACATAGTTCCTTTAAAAATGATCCAGTCACCCATACTTTTCTCTTCAGCTTACTGAGTTGCGAGGTAGCGGGCTTTTGGACACAGGAGAAGGGAACATTGGATAGCAAGAGTGAGCAGATAAAGATGGGGGTGGGGGGCCATTGGAGGAAATTTAGCAGGACATACTCTACTGCTGGAAGGGTCTTCATCAGCTAAGCATCCAGTTCCTAACACGACAACGTCTTCCTGGAGGCCTGAATGGGTCCTTGGAACCTGGAATCCTGTCCTCCAATCTCAAGACCTCTGGGACTAGGGGAGATGATTCATTCCAAATCTTTCCCTAGAACTGGCATCTTGCCTGGTAGCCACATCTGGGAGAGGCTCAGGCCCAGGCTGGATTATTTGGGCCATCAGAAGGATCAAGAAGAACTCAAAAGCCAGGGGAGCAGCGTGCAGAGAGGGCTGGTGCTGCTCCTCCCTTCCTGCTGAGGTATCCCTACCCATCCCCTGGAACAGGAGCTCTGACTTAAACTTCTTGGTTAAGTCACTGGGCTGGAGCAGTGCTGGGCCCTAGAGATACTTACCCAATTCTTTTTTTTTTTTTTTTTTTTTTGAGATGGAGTCTCACTTTGTCACCCAGGCTGGAGTGCAATGGCACAATCTCGGCTCCCTGCAACCCCCGCCTCCTGGGCTCAAGTGATTCTCCTGCCTAAGCCTCCCGAGTAACTGGGATTACAGGCGCCTGCCACCATGCCTGGCTAATTTTTGTATTTTTAGTAGAGATGGAGTTTCATCATGTTGGCCAGGCTGGTCTCGAACTCCTGAGCTCATGATCTGCCCACCTCAGCCTCCCAAAGTCCTGGGACTACAGGCGTGAGCCACCGCGCCCCATCACTTACTCAATTATCATTGACTTGTTAACTCCACATCTGGCTGATGGACAAAATGTCCCATGGTAGCAGCCCAGAGCTGGCTTCTCCCTCTGCCCACCCCAAAGAGAAAGCAGATCTGCACCGTCAGTAAATCCAAGTCCGGCTGGAACAGGCTAGACTACAAAATGGCCCCAGGGAAGAATGTGCTGGAAATGGTTCTAGCTAGGGCTGAGCCACACCACCTCCACACCTGTGTGAGAAGGAGGAAGTCCAAGTGGAGAGGAGGGGTCCCTCTGGGTGGCTACCCAGGACAAGGCGGAAAGAAAGATGGGAATAAGGCGGGTTAGAGGTAAGAATGAGACCCAGAGAGATGCAAAAAGTAACATAGCTTTTGTTTTCTATATTTACTTAATTCTTTTTTTTTTTTTTTTAGATTGAGTTTTGCTCTTGTTGCTCAGGCTGGAGTGCAATGGCACGACCTCGGCTCACTGCAACCTCCACCTCCCGGGTTCAAGCGATTCTCCTGCCTCAGCCTCCCTAGTAGCTGGGATTACAGGCGCCTGCCATCATGCCCAGCTAATTTTTTGTGTTTTTAGTAGAGACGGGGTTTCACTATTTTGGCCAGCCTAGTCTCGAACTCCTGCCCTCAGGCGATCCACCAGCCTCAGCCTCCCAAAGAGCAGGGATTACAGGCATGAGCCACTGCGCCTGGCTGTCTACTTAATCTTATATAAATTCTTCATAAATTGTTAGACTCAATCTAAAGAAAAGTGTTGAAGACAATTTATTAACAAAACAAGACGTACATTAACACTGCAAAAACTTTAAAACTAAGGATGATATCACTCCTTTGCTCAAAAGCCACCAGAGTCTTCTCATCTCATTCTGAGTAAAGCCAAAGTCATTGATGCTACCTGCAAGGCCCTCTAAGACCTGCTCTTCACTTTCTGATCTTACCTCCTGTACTTTCCTCTATCCCTGGCTCCAGCCACAGTCCTCACCATCCCTTGAACTTGGCAACCATCCTTCCTCAGGGCCTTTGCACCTGCTGTCCTCACTGTCTGGAATCCTCTCTCCCAGATCACCAAATGGTTCATTTTTTCACCACACTAAGCTGTGTTCACGTATTACCTTCTCAATGGGGTCTTCTCCCAACACTGTGTTTAAAGCCACAACCCCCTTCCATAGATGTACATACACACACTGTATCCCGTCCCTGCTCAATTTTTCTCTATGGCACATATTAGCATCCACAATTGTATTTTTCTTACTTATTGTCTATCTCCTTTACTTGTGGGCTCTATGCCAGCGGGGAGTTTGTTTTTTGTTTGTTTGTTTTTTTGAGGCAGAGTCTCGCTCTGTCGCCCAGGCTGGAGTGCAGTGGCGCGATCTCAGCTCACTGCAAGCTCTGCCTCCTGGGTTCACGCCATTCTCCTGCCTCAGCCTCCTGAGTAGCTGGGACTACAGGCGCCCGCCACCATGCCCGGCTAACTTTTTGTATTTTTAGTACAGACGGGGTTTCACTGTGTTAGCCAGGATGGTTCCAATCTCCTGACCTCGTGATCCGCCTGCCTCGGCCTCCCAAAGTGCTGGGATTACAGGCGTCAGCCACCGCGTCCAGCCTATCTGTTTTTTTTACCCCTGTGGCTCCAGCACCTAGAACATTGCCTAATACACTGTAGGAACTGAATGAATAATTATCGAATGAGAAAATGAAATGACAATGTACCTGACAAAAACTGGGAGGTGGAAAAGGATAATGCAGAGGAGGGGAAACAATCAATGCAATCTAGAGTTAATGAACTAATGAAAAGAATGTAACTGCATTATTTAAAACAATGGAAACCACTAGATGGTTAAAGGAGATTTTTAGGGCAGCAAGACTATTTTGTATGATACTATAATGGTGGATACGTGACGTTATGCATCTATCAAAGCCTGCAGAACCATACAACAAGAGTGAGTTTAAACCATGAACTTCAGTTAATAGTAAATGTATGAATCTTGGCTCATTCATTGTAAAAAATGTAGCACATTAATGCAAGATGTTAATAATAGGAGAAACTATGGGGGAAGGGTAGGTATGCAGGAACTCTGTTCTATCTGCTCAAATTTACTATACATCCAAAACTATTACAAAAATTAAGTATTTTAATTAAATACCAAAAATAAATGGTTTGCCTGTAATCTCAGCACCTTAGGAGGCTAAGGCATGAGGATCGCTTGAGCCCAGGAGTCTGAGACCAGCCTAGGCAACATAGTAAGATCTTGTTTCTCCAAAATCATTTTTTAAATATAGCCATAGTGGGGTACATGCCTGTAGTCCCAGCTACTCAGGAGTCTGAGGTGGGAGGATGGCTTGAGCCCAGGAGTTTGAGGCTACAGTGAGCTATGATCACACCAGTGCACTCCAGCCTGGGCAACAGAGCAAGACCCTGTTTAGAAAAGTAAATAAAAATTTAAAATAAATTGTTAACAGTTTCTCTAGGTAACAATGAAGAAGAAAGATAGAGACTTATTTTTTCATTGTTCACCAATCTGTATTGTTTGATTTTTTTAAATCCTGTGCATGCATTGCTTCTCTAAAAATCTAGTTAACTGCACAGTACATAAATGTTCATGCGGTGCAGCAGTTGAAAATACACAGATCTACAGGTCTTAGTAGGTTGAGATGCCTGAAATACGTTGTTTCATGGGGAAACATTACAGTACAGTGAGTTAATAAGGTATATAGCATGGCCACAATGAACAAAGTCCACCTCTGTTGTACAGGTTATATCTAACAGGATTCAATTCACAGTGATATGTTACTTATGGAATGTCCAGGATGGGGATGGGCAGTGTGAGAATGCCTGTCATTTTATGAGCATGCTTCAATATGGTTTGGATGTCATACTCATGTATTAGGCATATTTTTAAAATAAAATAAACACATAGGTATTACATAAGTTCTTGAAATAGAATTTCAAACGCAAGGGCTGGCTTCAGAGCAGGGGTTGATTTAGAGGCTTGAATGGCAGTTATTGGCCTCCAGGCATTCCCAGGATTCCCCAAGGTGGGCACATAGAGCCTCCTGATGTCGGGTGTGTACACTAGAACCGAGCAAACCCAGAGCTGAGCATGCAGCCCCTCCTGTCTCTGTAGTTCTGGAGAGAACTCCCCAACCTTGGGGAACACAAAAAAGGGGCTGGTTCCCCCACAGGACCCTGGGCACCTATTCCATTATCCCCTGGCAACTGGAGTTGGAAGGCTCATCTAGGCTGCCTCAATTTGACCCCCAGTCCAGAAAGAGGTGTGTGGCATAGACCAGCGCTTCTCAGACTGCAGTGTGCAAATGGATCACCTGGGGATCTTGCAAATGCAGATTCTGATGGAATAGGTCTAGGGTAGGACCTGAGATTCTGCACTTCTAGAAGCTTCCAAGTAACACTGATGCTGCTAGTCAACAGAACATACTTTAGATAGCAAGGGTCTAGAGCAGCGGTTCTCAAAATGTAGTCTCAGGCCAGCAGAGTCAGCATCAGCTGGGAACTTGTTAGAAATACAAATTCTAGGCTCCACCCCAGACCCGGGTTTGGAGCCCAGCAATCCGTGTTTGAACAAGCCCTCCAGGTGATTCTGACGCCCACGTGTGAGAACCACTGGTGTAGGGGAAGGAGCACTCAGGTAGGAGACAGGACACCCATGTCCTAGCCTAAGCTTGGTGACACCTTACACAATCACTTCCTCTCTCTGACCTCAGTTTCCTCATCTGTAAAATGAAGGCTGTCAAGTTCTATCTTGCAGATTCAGTGCATATTTGAAAAAAAAAAAAAAGCCTGGCTAGTTTATGGGAGCTATGTAACCCCTGTATAGGCAAGAAAAGAAAACATCACTACTCCTTCCTCAACCTGTTCCCTGGATTCCTCAGGCCAGGTAGTGCCTCCTCACCTAGATGGGGCATGAAAATGGGTCTGTTCACAGCCCTGCTCCTCCCCACCCTGCTTCTCCCTTCAGGCTTCTGCACCCACCCTCCAATCCACAGGTCCCTCACTGCTCTCCTCTCCCTGGGAGCTGGGGGCTGGGAGACCCACTCCAGCTGACCTCTCCCTCAGACTTCTCCTGACCTGCTCGCACCGCTTTGATGTACAGCCCTTTGTTCCAGGACTTTGGGGTTTCCTCGGATCTCTGTTTTTCTAAAGGGAAACAGAAGGAAAAACCCTACCAAGGTTTCAAGTCTCTGATGACTTGGGTTTTATGGGCACCATTGCGACAGACTTCAAGTGGGCAGCAACTCTGCAGCCGACCCGCCCAGGCTTGCTCCTGGGCCTGGCTCTCTCAGTGGAAATCCCCTCCCACGCTCAGCCCTTTAATCACTTTCCAGCCCAATAACTTTCCTGATTCACCAAGAATCCCTTTCGTCTTGAGAGCACCTACTGCCCCCTCTGATGGGGCTGAGTCTGGGCTTGAAGGCATTTGATCCCAGCGTGGGTCTTACAGAGATTGGACTTGTGGGCTAATGGTTCAGGTTGGGGCCTGCAGAATTTTCCTTTTTCCCATGCCATCTTGGCATCTGGGTGCCCATGTTGTAGGAAAAAATGGGCTGCCCTGGAATGAATCTCTTCCTTGAGGACACTTGACCAAGGGGCAATGACACTAGGAGGAGACTGACTGATACCCAGGAAACTAGTGGCCTCAACCAATATGCCAATAATAGCCATGAAACCCTTGACATAAAAGTTGCTTTCTCTTTTCTTCTAGTAATAATGTGCTTTAAATGCAAGTAACACTTGAATACATTTTTGTTGCAAAAGATTCAAAACATGACAGTATCTTTTCACCACCCTTCTAGTCCCCCAACCCCAGAGACAACAATCACTTAGCTTGGTTTGGGTCTTGCCAGATATTTGTTTTTACTTTTCACACATCTGCACCCAGACTAGTATAAAGCAGCATTCTCAATGGTAATGTAAGGGAGTTGGTTGAAGGATTCGTAAGTCCCCTTCCAGCTGTGCCATTTTCTGCATTTGTGGGTGGCTTTTCCCTCTCCTCCTAAATAGGAGACATTCATAGGCTCTCCCTAAAAGTATGGGGGGAGGGGGAATGCACAGAGGAAAATAGGAAAGGAAAGGTCACAGTGTCAACAGCAGTTCCTTCGAGGTGAGGAGATCATGGATGAGTTTTTTACCACTTGCCTCTGATTTTCAAATGTTTCATCATGAGAGTTATAAAGATTATTATTCGTGAGTATGACTTTGATAACAGGGAAGCTCCTATGCAGTGCCATTGTCAAGATCAGGCAGAGAAGGAGGCTGTGAGTTGTCCAGCCTGAGGCTTAGGTCAAGGAGAAATTAACAAATTGCTCAAGGCAGAGGGGTGTGTGGAGGGGCTTAGGGAGGGGAGGAAGGCTCATGGCATATTCTTGGATGTGATCTACAGGAAGATTCATAGAAAGGAACTTCAGAGTAAATCCCATTGTGTGTGAATTAAGAATTAAGTATTCTTAATTCTTAATTCAGGCCCTGGGCTAGACTTTAGGGACACAATGGCAAATGGGTGAATCAGAGTTCTCTACTTAACAGGGACTAGCAAAAGAAGGGGAGGAAGAGTTCACATCTTTAGGAATCCCACCCTACTTTTGCAAGAAGATATTCCTTCCTACTGAAGAAGACCCCAGAGTTAAGCATTAGATCTTTGACAGGCTACGATCCTGACTTTGTAGAAATATGGTCTCCATACTTGACTCGGCCTATCTAAGGTGATATTGGTATGTGTACTAGTTAGGATGGGCTAGGTTATGCTGTGCTAAGAAACTCCTCCCAAACCCAATAGCTTAACATAGCAAAGGTCTTCCCACTCATACCATATGTCCTACTTGAGCTGGCAGGGGAGGTATATCTGCTCCTTGAGATATACACATATCCAGGTTGCTGGAGGTTCCATCACACCTACTTCCACACTCTCCACAACAGGGAAAAGGGACATGAAAACTTACATCGTGCCTATTAAAGAAGTCTGCTCAGATGGCCAGGCACGGTGGCTCACGCCTGTAATCCCAGCACTTTGGGAGGCTGAGGCAAGTGGATCACCTGAGGTCAGGAGTTCAAGACCAGCCTGGCCAACATAATGAAACTCCGTCTCAACTAAAAATACAAAAAAATTAACTGGGTGTAGTGGCAGGCACCTGTAATCCCAGCTACTTCAGGAGGCTGAGCCAGGAGAATTGCTTGAATCTGGGAGGCAGAGGTTGCAGTGAGCTGAGATCACGCCACTGCACTCCAGCCTGGGCGACAAGAGTGAAACTCCATCTCAAAAAATAAAAAATAAAAAATAAAAAAAAAGAAGTCTGCTCAGAAGTGACACTTCTGGTCTCAATTAGAGGCCACAGCAAGCCACATCACCACATCAAAATTCAAGGGAAGAGGCCAAATGTAACCCTTAAATGTAAACGTAGATATTACTGTGTGTCCAGGAATATCTGTGAACATCTCTTAAAGGACTAGACAGTGTGATTGCCATGGGACTGCTGGGTACCCAGAAGGCAGAGCCACAGAGATACCTCTTCACTCCTCCAGCAGGGAGCAACAATCCCCCTTGGCCTGGGACCAAGACCTTGAACTCTCTTGAAGAGTCAGGTTGAGGTCAACAGAGTGGAAATGTAGAAGGTTCAGGAGCAGGTGCTTCTGAAAAGGAACTAAGGGCTTGTCCAGGCATGGAAAATGCCCACTAAAGGCTTTATTCACGATAATCTGCTTCCTGAATTTTCATGGCCTTTAGGGTGAGTCTTTCTAGGCCCATAAACTCAGGACATCAGAGTTGGGTGGATCCCCTGAAGCTTGGCTGTTCAAGTGTGGTCCCAGGATCAGCAACATCAGCACCACCTACCCCTGGGAGCTTGTGAGAGATGTCCAATTTCAGGCCCCACCCAAAACTAGAATCTGCATTTTAACAAGATCCCCAGGAGATTCATATGCACATTAAAGCTTGAGAAGCATTTCCTCAGAACTAATTTAGGCCAACGTCTTCACTTCGCAAATGAGGAGCCGACACCCAGAGGGGAGGAGGCAGGCCCAAAGTCACAGAGCTGGTTCCAATCCTGGCTCCACCACTTGCCAGGGACTTGAGTAAGTCTCTAAAATTCACTGAATCTCGGTTTCCTCTTATATAATAAAGGGATAATATAATTACCTCCTAGTGCTTATATGAGGATCAAATAAGAAAACATCTAGACCAGTGCCAGGCACATAGTATGTGCTCAATAACTGTTAGCTATTGCTATGGTCCTAACTCACCATTCCAGCACCAGGCCTCATACTCCCAGTACATAATTGTCTCCTCTTAAGGCAAGGATGTTAGGTATAGCACTGCAGCGATGGGACCTGGACCCAGCTGCCTGCATTTATATCCTGCTCAATTTGACCTTGAGAGGGTTGCTGAATTGTTCTTTGGTTCTTGGCTTCAGTTTGATCAGTTATAAGTGGGTAAAATGACAGCACCTACTTCATAGGGCTATTGTGAGAATTAAATGAGTTAATGCATTTAAGGTCTTCAAACAGTCTATAGCATATATTAAGCACACGAGATGGATGAGTAATGTGACAATTAAGTGAGTTAATACATTAAAGGTCTTCAAACAGTCTATAGCATATAGTAAGCACACAAGTTGGATGAATAATAATGTTTCCAAAATGTCCAAAAGAAGACTAGGTTGGAGGAAGTTGCACCCTAGAAAGGCAGGGGACAGGCGTTTCTCAGGGGGAGCTGCCTCTGTTTTTTCCCTTTGACCTATTGCAAGTCCCCAGTCTGTTTCTCTGGCCACTGGACGGCCCCCAACCCCTGGCTGTGTTTTTCCTCCTCCACTGGACTCACTGGGCTCCCTGGTGCCTCCATCAGGAAGCGCTGAAAGGCCAGGGGATCTCTGGTGGGGAGGGGCGGACTCAGGCAGCCGACAGCTGTCTTCAAATCTCTGAAGCGCTGTCATGCAGGAGAGGGATTAGACCTGTTCTGGATGACTCTAGGGGACAGAAATAGGAAGTTCCAGGAAGTCCTCTCTAATCATTAGAACCGTTCAGAGGCAGCCCCAGCTGCGGGGCGGGGCGGGGCGGGGCGGGGCGGGGCGGGGCGCGGAGCTGTTGGCAGCTAAGTGGTTGAGGTTGAGCGGCCGGGTGGAGGCCGGCACCTACTAGGAGGCTGGGCTGGTCCGCAGGTTCTCAAGCCCGGCTGAGCCCGGGCAAGCGTCAGAGAATCACCAGAGCAGCTTGTCGAATACAGATTCCCAGGCCCCACCCAGGCCAACCGAATCAGAATCTCTAGGGGTGGGGCTGGGAATCCATTTTTAAAGGCTTCCCCAATGATTCTCAGAATAAAGGTTGGGCTTGGAGGCGGGGCCGGGGCTGGGCGTGGCACGGAGGCGAGGCGCGGGGAGGGCCGGACCTTCCAGTTGTTAATCCCTGTGTTCCTCACTCCGCCACACTCACCTCCACTGATCTAAGTCGGGGGATCGTTCCTCGCTGGGTGCCCCCCTCACTTGATCTTAGCCAAAAGGTCGAGAAGCGATTGGGAGCCCCTCTCGAATAATTTCTGTGGCCCTTGATTCAGGGATCACTCCCACACTTAATAGCAGCTCTAACGCCCCCCAACCCCCGCTACCCAAGATCTCTATCCTCACCCTCCAGTCGGCCTCGTGGTCTTCCTGTCCCTCCCCAGCCTCTCAGGTGACCCGGACAATTTGCTAAGGCTCTTGGAGAAGGGCAGCCCGAGGAGGCTGGGCCTGCCGCCCATCGGGAGCGGCAGCTATTTTCCATCACATCCTAAAAAGCCCAGGGCTCTACCGCTCCTGCAGCTGGGCATAGCTCCCACCAAACACATTCTCCCGAGGTCGCCCTGGACGCCTTGCTCGGAGATGACAGAAACGAGAAAAGAAATACCTAAGTGGACATAAAGACCTAGCTCACCCTGGCCGGGTGCGGTGGCTCATGCCTGTAATCCCAGCACTTTGGGAGGCCGAGGTGGGCAGATCACCTGAGGTCGGGAGTTCTAGGCCAACTAGCTTGACCAACATGGAGAAACCCCGTCTCTACCAAAAAAATACAAAAATTAGCCGGGCGGGGTGGCTTATGCCTGTAATCCCAGCCACTCAGAGGCTGAGCCAGGAGAATCGCTTGAACCCGGGAGGCGGAGGTTGCGTTGAGCCGAGATCGCACCATTGCACTCCAGCGTGGGCAACAAGAGGAAAACTCTGTCTCAAAAAAAAGAGTCCTTGCTCACTCTTTGGTGAGGGTTTGGTATTCCACAGGGCCCCGAAGCGCGACAGCCCTCCAAGGAGAAGTGAGCGTCGGGGATTAGACGCGTGCGCTGTCTTGCGCAGGAGCTGAGTCCTCAGGGTCCACAGAGAGAGGAGGAGGGCGTGGGGTGCGCGGAAACGCAGCGCCTGCCTTTTGCCCTGACCCCACAGCACCACCTGGTGTCTCCCGGGACGGCGCAAGCGCCGCGCTTGCAGATGCTGGGCCCCCTCCCCGTCAGCCGACCCTCCTTCCCCAAGTGCCTCCCCTGCCTGGTGTTCCTCCTTCCTTGATGCGCCCCTCTGGCTGGCCCTTCACCGTCCAGTGAGTGCTTCCTGGCCTGGCCGCAGCTGGCTTACAGCCTACTGCCTTTACCCAGGTCTTATTCCCAGGAGGTGCGTCAGGGCCCCTTGCCCACCGTGGGGCTGCACTGAAAAACAGTGGCCCGGGAGCAAGACAGCTAGTGGTGCAAGGCACAGGACGGTCGCCGACAGGCCCTCCCGATCAGCCAGCAGAGGGCAGCCTCTCTCCAGCTTTGGGCCCCAAAGGCTCCCATCCGGGCCACTCCTGTAGGCCCCTCCCAGACAGAAGGGTCCACCTGGGTGTGTGGAACCAGCCGTCCTCCTGGCTGCGGAAACTTGTCCGGAGCACCTTTCGTGGGCCACCCCCTGTGCTGGAGCCAGAGGGGTTACCAAGATGGAGCCCTTGACCCCGATTGCAGAACTCCCAGCCAGAGCCCACCCTGGGCTGGCATTCCCTGAACTCCTCCAGCTCTTCTCCCGGTCATCTTGTACTTTTCTATTGCTCTGCACCATTGATGGGTGTTATGCATGCATAGGTGCCTTTCTCAGAGTCCAGGAGGGGCCTCTGTCAAGGCCACTGTTGGAGCTGGTCATCTGGGAAATAGGTACACGAGGCCTTGTTGTTATTAAAGCATCTGCTTTTGTTTTGAAAACTTAGTGTGGGCACATTTTCGAGAAGGGCTGAAGCAAAGCAGCACAGCCCCAACGCATCAGGCAGGTATGCCTAAGATGAAGGATGCCGCAACCCCTCACATGAACCTATTTCCAAAAAAAAATGTGGCCTTCCACGGACTTGCTGTGGGGGCCCTAACAGCACAGCAGGCTGAGCCAGGCCCCTCCACCACACCCCTCCTAGGTAGAAGTGAGCTTTCTAGATTTGACGTGAAAGTTCCTCTGGTTGAGTTTCCCTCTTAGGCTGGGGCTTTCCGAGCTGGGAGAAGTTCTGAGCACAGTTTTGGGGCCTAGCTGAGCCCCTCCAAGTCCAAAGTCCATGCAATTCCCAGGCCCAGATTTGGGGGTGGAGACCAGACAGGACAAGCCAGTGGTGTTTGGCTGGTCGGGTCACTTCAGACAGTGTGGTTCAGTTGGCATTGATACTGAGAAGTAATTGGTCCTTAGAAAAAGCAGGAACGAATCCACTTTGATTCATTTCCACCAGGCTGCCTGCTTTTTTTTTGAGACAGAGTTTCACATTTGTTGCCTAGGCTGGAGTACAATGGTGTGATCTCAGCTCACTGCAACCTCTGCCTCCCGGGTTCAAGCGATTCTCCTGCCTCAGCCTCCCAAGTAGCTGGGATTACAGGCACCCACCACCATGCCTGGCTCATTTTTTGTATTTTTAGTTGAGTCAGAATTTCACCATGTTAGCCAGGCTGGTCTCAAACTCCTGACCTCAGGTGATCCGCCTGCCTCGGCCTCCCAAAGCCCCTGCTAATTTGATTGCTCCCATTGAGTTCCCTCCCAGCTCCACAGACACAGGATTGGACACCAGAGTTCTGGTCTAAACAGCTTTATTGACCAGATGAGAAATCAGCTTGGGTACAGCCCATGCCTGCAGCCCTTTCAGTGGGTGGCTCCAGATAGTGTTGTCCTTTCAGTTGCTGGGAGCGGTGAGGCCCAGCCCTTTCCCCTTCCTCCCACCACTATTCCTAACCTGGGGCCTGGCAGGGGTGGAGTGATGTGATCTAAGGGTCCCTGGAGAAGGGTGGAGTGGAAGAGGCAGGGTCTTGGGTTAAAGGGAAGATTCTGAGGTCTCAGGGCAAAGGGAAAGGTGTTTGGATGAAGACTGAGGCAGTGCCTACCTCCCTCCACATCTGAGGATCAAGCAGGTGTGGCAAGAACAGAGCCCTGGCCTGGGCTCTGCTGGCCGCAGCCTCAGGAGCCAGGGTTAAGGCCAGAGATAAATGAAGATTTGAGCCATTGATAAATGCCAATATATGTTTCAGGTATTTCATTAGGATCCTCCCATCAAGCAGGGAACTAGATGTTTGAGAAGATCAAACAACATCCTGACTTTGGGGTCCTTAAGACCTGGGTTATTCTCCTCCCAGTCCTAGTGGGAGGCTATCCATTCCACAAAGACTCAAAGGCAAGAGGCCTGGAGAAGCAGGGGCTCCTAGGACCCTGCCTGCATGCCTCTCTGCCTCCAATAGTGACTCCCTAAGCTGGGACTCCTCAGGCTTACTCTGAGGGACACCAGGAAGCTCAACCTCTTTCCCACAGAGGAGAATCTCTGAGATCCAAAAAACCCAGCCTTCCCCCCTCCTCATCTTGGTCTTGCTTCCCTCTCCCTCCAGCCTGTTGCTGCTGCTCCTCTGGGTGCCAAGATGTGTCCTCAGGTGTCTTGGTCAGCTGATGATGGACACGCAGCACAGGAGGCTAAGAACAGAGCTCTGTGGGGCGAGGTGTGGG
Organism: Homo sapiens; assembly: GCF_000001405.40. Lineage (NCBI taxonomy): Eukaryota > Metazoa > Chordata > Mammalia > Primates > Hominidae > Homo > Homo sapiens. The sequence goes on from NC_000001.11 coordinate 201,484,448, forward strand.
GAGAGGGGCCTGCTCTCACCTAGACCCAAAACACTGAGGTCTCCTACTGGTGATGGTGTCAGATCCCAGGCCTGGGGAGCCCTTTAGTGGGGTGGGACCTCAGGCAGACCCCCAAACCAAAGGGAGCCAGATGCCCAAGTTCAAGTCATTAGTGATATGTGGCAGGGCTGACAGAGAAATAATCCTGGAGGTCTCCAAAGCTGCTGGGAATGGAATGGCGATGAAAAGCGCAGGAGTGGGCAGGGTGTGGTGGGTGATGGTGGCCTCACTCAGAGTGGACCAAGGCCCCAGCTCCTTGCCCAAAACCAAAGCCCTTGGGCCCGAAGTTTTTAGCATAACATCCTGCAGAGAGAGGAGAGAGATAAGGGCATGTTCTTCCTCCACCCCCAGCCACACCACCCACCCTCCTGCTGAAGATCCCCCACTCCTAGTGCCCAGCCAGACTGCTAGGGAAGGAAGGTCCACTGGTACCCCCTCACCTCCACAGCACCCCAATCTCAATAGTAAAATAGCGAAGAGGCTCTTGGTTGTACCCTGTACCCATTGCCCCTGCCACCAAAATTATAGAAGCATCATCTGCTGTAAGAACATTGGACTGGGAGTTAGGAAGCCAGGGTCTAGCCCTATGCCTGCCTCAATTTGCCAGATGATGCTGGCCAAGTTGCTTTCCCCCTCTGGTCTTGTTTCCTCATCTGTACAATGAAGGAATCATACTAGATGTTCAGATCTTGGATCCCAAGGCCAGGAATTAGTTTACATTCAGCAAAGGCAAAACTACTTAGCCCCCCTACCCCCTTGGGCCTCCTGACCCTCAATTAGAAGTGAAAACACCCACCTTTGCAGTAAATCTCGCCATCCTTGTCTGCCAGGGTGGTTGACTCAAGGCCTTTGCCACACTTGGCACATCGAAAGCAGGCCTTATGCCAGGACTAGGCAGGGAAGGAAATAGTTAATGGCTGCCACCAGTGATGAGGGTACCCTCCACCCCAGGCCCACTCCCTTTGACATAACCATGGTATAAGGGCTCAAGCCACTTCTGAAGTCTACTCAGCTGGTGCTGCTGGGAGGACATGGCCTATGGTGCAAGGCAGTAGAGGGAGAAGGCCAGGGACCACACGCCACCTCGCACCATCTTCCATGCTATGTTGCAATGGCCTGATGATTAGGGTCACCAGCTATACCACAAAAGGCAGGTGAGGGGGTGGGTTTAACACCAAAGTAGCTGTTACCCCACTGGCTGGGCCAGATGAGCCTTCTCCAGACCCATCTTGCCAGTAGATCAGTGGTGTGAGCCAGGGCTTTGCACTCCTCCTGGTACTGTCACTTAGTACTTGAACAGCCCTCACCAGAAAGACCTCTCTGCCCTGTGTTGCCTTGGGGCCTCTCATAGAGACCCAAAGGGTCTTCTGTGGCCCCTGGAGAAACTACTCCTTAGGACTTTCCCTGCTGAGTTTAATGCATTTCATAGACTTATTCTCCTTCCAAAGTGATACTAGACAACATTGACTCTGGCTTCCTCTGTGCCAGGCCCTGTGCCAGGCACTTTACACTGGTGAAGTCAGTTAGTGTTCACAGCTACCCAGTGAGGGACATACTGCCACCCTCCCCTCCAATAGCTGATAGCCTTTGGGCAAAGGAGGCACCTAATTCTAGAACTTCAGAGGCTGGGCTGGTCCAGGAGAATCCAATTACAAATACCTTCTCTGTGGCCAGGCATCATATGTTTAAATATCTAGTCCTCACATGCATTCTGTAACACAGGGCAAACAGCTGTCCCAGAAAAAAAGTGAGGCCCGAGTTTGTACACAGTGATGGGACGTTGCACAGACAGACTTCTCCGCAGCCAGTTCCCATCAACAGCTGGGCAGGCTAAGAGGCTGATGTGTAGACAGCTCTGCTTAACCCAGGAAAAGCAAGAGGCAGGCAGCAGTCAGATAAGACAAAACAAGGCCTTTTAAGGGCAAAGACACTCCCAGTGCCCAGGCTGGTGGATGAGAAAGGAAATTCATCCCCTCAGATTTCCTGGTTGCCTAACCTTGCACATTGGCTTCTCCTCCAGAGAGCTGAAATGGGGGGACCTGGGTCTAGGTCAGTGCTGGTGCAACCTCAATAGTCACCCAGCCTTTGCTGCCTCCTCTGTAAAGCAGGGGCTGCTACCCCAAGCTCTCTAGGCTGGAGAAAAACTGAATCACACCTAGACCAACACCTCTCCTCATATTTCCTAGCCACCTCCCTGCCAAAATAAGCTGAATCCCTTTGCTCATTCATAAGCACCCAAAAGTACTCCCAGCTCAACATTTCTTGAGCGAGGCAATAGAAAGGTGGGGCTTCTCCCTACCTTTTCCACTTGAATGCAAAATTCTCTTATCCTACTCCTTAGTACAGCCCTAACTTTACCTTATAGCCTGCCTAAGTAATGGAAATAGTGATTCTTAGCTATTCTTAATAATTTTCTATTCTCATAATGAGATAGAACAAAAAACCCAACTTAATAATAATATTAATGTCTCCTGTTTTCATATCCTTTAGTCAATGGCAAGGATCTTCATTGTGACCTCAAAATAATCCCTGAAAATAAACAACAATAATAATAACAATAGCAAAACTGTACTGAGGACATACCAGGCACTACATTGCACATTATACATGTACTATCTCATTTAATCATTAAAACTGCCTTGTTGTTGGGTGTGGTAGCTCACACCTGTAATCCCAGCACTTTTGGAGGCCGAGGTGGGTGGATCGTGAGGTCCAGGCTGGTTCAAGACCAGCCTGGCCAACATGGTCAAACCCCATCTTCACTAAAAATACAAAAATTAGCTGGGTGTGGTGGCGCGTGCCTGTAGTCCCATCCACTTGGGAGGCTGAGGCAGGAGAATCACTTGAACCCGGAAGGCAGAGTGCTAAGATCGCGCCACTGTACTCCAGCCTAGGTGACAAGTGTGAAATTCTGCCAAAAGAAAACAAAAACAAAAACAAACAAACAAAAAAAAACTGCCTTATTTGTCAGGGGCCATTACTTGGTCCACTTTGCATTTCCTCCACCATCCAGGCCCACTTTAGAGCTGAAGAACTGAGGCTTAGGAAGGCTAAATTTTCCCAAGTTCGCTCAGCCAATAAATGGCAAAACTAGGATTCAAAGCAGGCTGTCTAGAGTCCAAGCTCTTAATCACCGTGCTAGGATCCCCTCCCATTTTGCAGCCTTGGAAATGGGTTTGAAGAGGCTAAATGGCCCAAAGTAGCATTAACAGTAGTAACAGCAGTAAGAGCAAGGGCTTCGGAGTCAGACAAACCTGGGCTTGAGTCTGGCTTAGCCCCTTCCTAGCTAGCGGATCTGGGCAAATTATGTAATCCTCCTGACTCCCAGTTTCTTCATCTGTACAACAGGGATACTAATCCCCATCTCTGTCCAACCATGACTGTGAGAGTAGAGATTCTAACACTGGCCTAAGTGTTAATTGTTTAACATTTCTTGATCAATTCCCCTATCCCATTCCTCAAGGTCAAAAAGCCTTGAAAGCCAAAACCTGAATCCAGAAGAGATGAAGATGGGCTCCAGGCCCAGACATTCCATAACCTTGTTGTGTGATCTTGGCCAAGTCACTTTTCTATCTCAGGCCTCACGTGATGCTCCAGAATTCCTCTCTGGCCCCACAGCTGAAAGACATCTCTTCTGTGATTTTCTGACTGCTAATCTGACACTGCAAACCCCAGGGGCAAGAGTTCTGCCTCTTCTCTACTGCAGCCTATCTGAAGGAAGTGATCAGCTCAATTGGGAACTGTTGATTTGCTACAGTGATTCTCACTGTGCATTGGTGATTGGGGGCTACTGTCAGAATATCATGGGGGAAGGGCATGTGCGGCAATTCTAAACAGTGTGAAAAAAGCCTCCTAGGAGGCTCTGGTAGGTCTGAACCTTGAAAATCTCTGCCCTGGGGGTATTTGGATGGGTTTTTGGGAGTCCACATCCCATGAAACAGAATGTATATTTTTGGGATCACAAATCCTTTGAAAATTTAATAAAAGCTATGGATCTTCTTCTAAGAAACAGACAGGTTCCCATGAAACTTTGTATATAATCTTCAGGGCTTTGTGGACCCTCTGCAGCCCATCCACGTACCCTTACTTTCTGTTCTCCTATATTAGAGATACAGATTGATCATTGCCACTCCCTATGAATTGCCCATTGTCCATCAATGCTGGGGATGTTACTGCTCATGGCTGATATGAGCTCCTTGGAGACTGGAAAGCACAGGTACATGCAACCCACAGGGACAAAGAGAAGAGGTTAAACCCCAGTGCTCAGGCTGCCCTGAGCAGAGCTAGGTCACCAATTTAAAAGTTCTGGAATCCACATTTCAGGAAGATATCTCCCCCCATCCCTCTCATGCCCAGCAGCCACCTTACCTTCCCAGCACCAATCACCTTCTCCGCAGCATAGACTGCCTGGCTGCATCGGGGGCAGCGCTCGGAGCCACCAATCTTCTGGGCAAATTTGGATGCATTGGGGTTGGTGGTGGGCCTGTGGCCAGGGGCTCTGCATGGAGAAGGGCATGGGGTGAGGTGACTTACACTGTAAGTACAGGTGGGGCTGGCACTGAGAGGGCATGACCCTACCTTCATCTCATGCCAGAGCAGCGCGCAATTCTCTCTGCCAAAGTCACAAAGGCTAGGGCCTCTAGGGTCATCTCCCATTTTACAGATGGACAAACCAAGCCTCAGCACAATGTTATTTCCATTGTAACATCATACTTCCCTCGGTCACCCAGTTAACCCCAGAATCATTTAACACCCCATTTGCTAAGAATTGCCCTCCTCTGCCCCTCATTCCTGCAGCTGGTCTATTATCAGATTCTTTACAGGAGAAATCTGCTGATGAATCATTCCCACTGGGGCAATGACCTTGGCTGAAACTTGGTAATTCATCCATCATTTCCGTCCACCCCCCAGGCCGAGGAGCAAGCCAGGCTGACTGCCAACAGCCACCATTTACCCAGAGGCCAGGGAGTGCCGTGGGGTGAGGGGGGTGTGGTGGGGCTGATGACACCCTATGGCATTTCGAAGAAAGGGAAATGACTTCTTCTCAGTAGTGAGAGATAGCAGGGCTGAGACAGTGAGGCTGGTGTGGCAACGGTGCTGCCCTGAGCCCCTGATCTGGCTCCGACACTCACTAGCCGTGGGACCCCAGGCAAGTCACTGAGCCTGGGCTGGATTTTCTCATCTATAAAAAGAGGAGGCAACATGGTGAAACCCTGTCTCTACAAAATACAGAATTAGCTGGGTGTGGTGGCACATGCCTGTACTCCCAGCTACTCGGGAGCCTGAGGCAAGAGGATCACTTGAGCCCAAGAAGCAGAGGCTGCAGTGAGCCAAGATTGTACCACTGCACTCCAGCCTGGGTGACAGAGCAAGACTCCCTTTCAAAAAAAAACAAAAAAAGAGGAAATTGGACTAAGTGATTCTTGGGGCCCCTCCCAGCTCTGACTCTCATACAAATATAGAATGCACGCTCCTTGCAGGGAGGAGCCCAGCCTGTTTTAGTCCCTGCTGCATCCCCAGCTCCTGCAGCAGCCTGACACATAGACACTGCTCTGTGACTGCCTTTTAAATAACTGGTTTTCTGAGCCTTCCATTGCTTACCCAAAAATGGTTGTAAATACACATGAGGCCTAATACAGGGTGGGGGAGAGAGCTCAAGAAAAAGGTTGGGAGGGGATCTTTTACTCACTCCTCGTGCTTGATACCCAGCGACTCCCCCTTGTCAGTGCTGAGGGTGCCTGCGCCCTGCCCGTAGCCATAGCCTTTGGGCCCATACTTCTTGCCGTAGCAGGACTTGCAGTAAATCTCCTCACCATGCACGGCCACAGTGGTACTGTCCAGATTCTTCTTGCAGACCACTGTGGAGGGGAAGGGGAAGCGGACGCATTGAGTTGAAGCTGGGGTGACCTTCTTGCTCATTGCAAGCTTCTTACAGCTGAAGCTCTCTGGCCTCTTTGCATACATAATATCCTGATCTTTCAGGAACTGTCTACAAATGGAGGCAGGCGGGATGGCCAATGGGTGGGAGGACAGAGGGATGGGATCTGCATATCCGACTCTAGAAATGCTGGCCAACACCAATTCCTCTTCCAGGAATCCATATGTGTCTCCTTTGGTCCTCTGCACCCCTAAACTTCCTCAGGCTGCAGTGCAACACAGGGTTCAGAGGCAACAGCCTAGGCTGACCCCAAGCCACAGGACGCCTGTTGAGGTTCCTCACTCTGCCCTCAACAGAGACCATATGTCCCAATGGGGGAGGAGGAAAAAGAAAAGAAGGGCAGTTTTCCTGCCTTCAACAGTGGAATCCAGAAGAGACTATCTGTGCATGTTGGCAGGGAGCCAACGGGGGGAGATGCAGGTGATGTGATACCCCATAAGAAATGTTTAACATTTATTAAGTGCCCAACATGGTGGGCTTTGAAATGGGATGCAGCTCATGCTAATCACAAGAGGATTTGAAGTTTCTAATCTCAGAAATCACTTTACCACAGGAAGAAGTGAGGGTCAGACACAGAAGAACTTCCTGACTCCTGGGGTAAGAGAGAGTGGAACGGAAGGAACTAGGGATTGCAATGGTCTGAGCTGGAAAGGCTGTGGGCCTCATATTTCGTCCTGTTAATCTCAGAGGGGAGCTATGCCCAGCTATCCAGAATAAAACAGTTTGGGCTGGGTGCAGTGGCTCATGCCTGTAGTTCCAGCAGTGGGAAGCCAAGGCTGGAGGATTACTTGAGCCCAGGAGTTTGAGATCAGCCTGGGGAAGATGGCATAACCCTGTCTCTATTTATTTAAAAATAAATAAATAAATAAAACTTTTAAAAATAAAAATAAAGTTAAAGCAGTTCAGAGCCTGGGGTCATGAAGAGTCAGACTGCCCAGAATCAAATCCCAGCTCTCTCCCTTTCCAGCCATTTGCAAGTTTTTTTTGCCTTTCCAGCCTCTGTGTCCTCATTTGTAAATGAACATAATAATGTCTGCCCCAAAAGCTGGTGGTGAGAATCAAATGAGATCTGACATGTGAAGTACTTGGCATAATACCCTGCATACAACAAATGCATAATAAATGTTGGCTACTCTTATTAGTATTATATAAAGTTAGTACCATCGGGAGACAAGGAAGTGGGAGGGACAGGCCCCAGCTTCAAGAGATCATTGCTTCTAACTTTCACATACTCCTCTCAAGAGATTCAACTGCATTCTTTTTCTTTACTTGTCCTGTAATCCTAATTCGGTTTGATCATATTCCTTAAATATTGGAGTTCAGCATCTCAGTTGGACGCATCCTCAAACATGTCCTGAACATAGAAACCGAGGGATACCACTGGAGAAGCCACGCCTTTTACCACCCTCGGAGAAGCTCTCAGCTCCTTTCCTTGCAACTGCCATCCTCTTGCCTTTAAAGGGTCCATCCCTCTGCCAGCTCCTCTCTCACCCTAAGCCCCAGGTTGGAGACTTCAGACTAAATAAGGACCCTCTTGTCCTGCTCTGGAGATCTCCATCTCATTCCAGCACTCTGGGCCATCCAAATATGGAACTTCCCACCATTTCCCCCCGGGACCAGCTCCCAAGAAGGAGGGAGAGGGAACCACAGGCCAAGGGCTCCAACATTCCCTTCTAGGGTGGGAAGTCAGGAATTGGCCTGGAATTGTTTTCCTGTAAGATCCCAATTGAACTGAAAATTCCAAGACCAGAGAGAAGGCAGAAAGCAAAGAGTGCTTGGGGGAACAGAGGTGTATTTTGGCTGATCTCTCCAGTAGGAGACCCAGGAACTCAGCCCAGGGCAGACCTCAGGGCCTGCAAGTTGACATCTTCCAGATGGCTCCCCTGCCGAGGACCTCCCTGCTCCTTTCTGCTTTGCCTTGGCCCTTCTGTTCTCCCAGAGGCCCAATCCTGCCCATCGTGGCCCTCTGCCCCTCTACCTCCATCCAGGTGATATACTGAGAGACTCTGCAACTCACCAAAGTCTTTGTAAGATCCACCAAAGACTCAATCAAGGGGAATTTTAAAGGCAGGCCTGAATAAATTTCTACCATATCATGGTAAGCCAATAAGGGGAAAAGAAAAAAAAAAGACTGGATTTGTTGGAAACACATACTTCCAGATGCCACTTTGGTGGGCCCTTGTGATACTGCTTGGAAATAAAGGGAAAAGGCAGCCCCAGGGGAGAGGTCAGAGCCCCCTTGCCCCACTCAGAAATAGAGAATGATTCTCTGCTTCTGGAAGGAAAACCGAGGCCCACAAAACAGTTCCAGATCACGTGTTGGCCAGATGCAGGGCCAGGCCAGAACCCAGCCCCTGACCTCCAGACCTGGTGGTTTTCTGCCAGCCATTGCTCCCCTCCAGTGGGCCACACATGTGGGGCCAAGAGGGTGAAAAGTGTCAGTAAGTCTCAGCCTGCAGGTGAGGAGACGCTGGTGTCAGAAAGTGTGCAAGGCTTCCGTGAGCTTCCCCTGTGCTCTTGGATTCTAGGGAACAGCCCAGGGCCAACCTGTGGGGCCCTGTTCCATCGGCCACCATCACAGAGTTCTTCTTTCCTCAGGGCTGGCTGCTTAACCCACCTTCCCCAGCAGGGAGCTGGGTACAGCTCAGAGATGGGCACATAACCTCAGGGCAGGTTCCCAGCCACGGAGCTGAGCTTTCCCACCAGCCTCTGAACCACCACCTGCTCATAGGATCTGGCAGCCCCTTTCAAGACCATGGGAGTATACTGTAGGCCCTCTCAGTCCCTGGTCCCAGGCCAAGCCCAGGGTGGAGGTCATTCTCCCCACCTTTGCCTATGACATCATCATGTCTTCCTCCCGCCCATTCAGACACTCAGGAAAGGGCACTGATATGGTTTGGCTGTGTTCCCACCCAAATCTCTCCTTGGGCCAAATGGAGATAATTGAATCATGGGGGCAGCTTCCGCCATACTGTTCTTGTGATAGTGAAAAAGTCTTACAAGATCTGATGGTTATATAAATGGGAGTTCCCCCATACAAGCTCTCTTGCCTGCTGCCATGTAAGACATGCCTTTGCTTCTCCTTTGCCTTCTGCCATGATTGTGAGGCCTCCCCAGCCATGTGGAACTGTGAGTCCATTAAACCTCTTTCCTTTATAAATTACCCAGTCTCAGGTATGTCTTTATTAGCAGCATGAGAGTAGACTAATACAGGCATGTAGGTGGGCAAGCTGAGTAGAATCTGGAGCCAAGAACCCACATGGTCACAACTGCTTTTGGGGACCCAACCAGGCCTGGCCAATGAGGGAGATGGCCCTTACTGCCCTTGGCCCAGACCTGGCTAGCCTCTCCCTTCCTCGGGAGGGAAAGTCCTTTGATTCAGTGGGCACCCTGAATGGGGTGAACACTTATCACCCACTTCACTGGAAAAGAGAAATGATGTGCCTTCCATTCATAAACAAATCTTTGTCAGGAACCCACTTTGTGCCAGGTGCTGTGTTAGGCATGATGAATGAGCAAGTTGTGGAGATGGCTCAGCCTGCTGGGACATGTGCAGTGCTAGGGGGTCCACTTGGTGCTCTGATATCCAATAGCTGCACTGGCCCTGAGACCCTAGCGTGACCTGAGACTGCTTCCTGCGGCTGCTCATTGCATAACACCCCCGCACCCCGCCAAGAGCCCTGCTCCCCAGCCTGACTTTCTACAACTGTTTCTCATCCGCAGCGCCCCTCACACCCTGCCCCAGGCCCTGTTCCTTCCTTCCTATGCCACCCCCTGAATTCCTGACTTCCCTCAACCCTCTGACCGACTACTCCTCCGTAAACAGGTCTGCAGGCAGGCACCCCCGCCCACAGCTGACCCCTTATGGTCAGTGATTAAGCAACATCTGAGAGCAAAGAGAGGGGCCCTTAGGACCCCAGCAGCCTAGACCCCCTTCCCAGCCAGCACCAAGCTCTCTCTTATTCCCTCTGGAAAGATAAACGGCTTGGAAATTCCTAAGAGTAGTGAACTGCTGATAACAAGACGCTGCTGTTTCTGGCCTCCTTTGCAGGCTGGAAGCCAACAAAGCTCCACTAAACCTTGTTTACTCCCCATTCATCAGACGCAGCCCTGGAGCTGTCACTCCAGGCCCGGCTGAGCAGGATGTGGGGCCCCTGCTGCCCTGTGCGGGGTGGCCTCAGGTGGGTCTACCTAGCGACAGGCAGAGATGCAAACGTCCATTGAACAGGTGGCTCTTGGCCCATCTGTATCCTACTCTGGAGCACAAATCATGAAACTTTGCTTCGTGTAATGCAGAACAGACAGGACCCCATTCTTGGATCTCCCCATCTTCAGGGGCCTCAGACCCTGGTGAGGGCTTCTTTGTATCACACCATCTTGCTACAGATCCCTCAGCAGTGTGCGTGTGTGTGTGTGCGTGTGCACGTGTGTGCGCATGTGTGTGTGCATATCATTTCTTCAACACTCATAATCATTTTAAGTGCTTTGTCTTACAAGCTTCTTTCATTTTAATTCTCACAACAATCCCATGAGGTAACTATTATTACCTCCTCCGTAATAATGAGAAAACTCAACCAGAGAGAAACTGAGTAACTTGTCCATCATCACACAGATAATAAACACCGAATCTTTTTTAACTAAGACATTCTTCTACCATCCATTCTGCCTACCATCATGGGGAATGTACCTTGGCGGGCACAGTGGCTCACACCTGTAATCCCAACACTTTGGGAGGCTGAGGTGGGCAGACTGCTTAAACCCAGGAGCTCAACGCCACCCTGGGTAATATAGGGAGACCCTGTCTCTCTAAAAATTTTTTTTAAAAATTGGCAGAGCATGGTGGCATGCATGTGTAGTCCTAGCTACTCAGGAGGCTGAGGTGAGAGGATCATTTGAGGTGGAGGCTGCAGTGAGACACTGCACTCCAGCCTGGGTGACAGAGTGAGACTCTGTCTTAAGAAAGAAAATGCACCTTGCTGAAGTTGCCTCTTCTTCTAACCCAGACCTTCTGCTCTGATCACAATGAACCAACTCATTTAGGAACCTGAGGAGAGGCTTCACCAAGTTGCCACATCCTGGAAACATCACCTGGCCCAGGTACCAGTGGGTGCAGCATCACGGTGTCAGGATCCCTGGGTCGACCTGACCTCTGTCAGTTGCTTGGTATTCTTTTGTCTGATTTCTTACTCATCTAGGCTTATGACTGGAGCAAACCTTGCTCTGGCTTCTTAGGAGTAGATATCAGGGAACTTTGTACTCCCTCTTCCTCTCATCCCAGGCTGAGTGGGAATGGGAAGTGAAGAACTGAACAGGCCAGCCTGCAAGGGGCTGAGGAAGGAGGAGCCCCACTCTTCCTCCAGATTCAGCTTCACCATGAGGTTGTGGCCTCTGTTGCCTTTGAACAAGAGATAATTAGGGTGCAAAGGGCTGAAAGTGTTTTCCTCTGAAATGGTGAAATCATGACAGGGAGAGAGAGAAGAGAGAGCTGAGTGGAAAGTTTTCTTAACCAAGTCTTTACAGCTTGGCTTTCAGCCCCTGAACGCCTGCCACCCCGACCCGCTCTGGCCAGTTCATCCCTTAGAAAGAAGCTTCTGAACGGAACAAAGAGGCCCTGAAGTGTTTCCCTGCCCAGCTGCGCTTCAGCCAAATGTCAAGCTGTTTACATCCCATGGGATCAGTTCCCTGGGGTGTTGACAGGCCCAGCCTGTGGGGGCAGGCCCGTCCAGGGTGTCCAAGGCAACAGCAATAGGGCCTGGGGCGTACTCACTGCACAGGAAGCAGGATTTATGGAAGCTGTTGCCTTCGCACTGAACCTCTTCGGCAAAGTAAACCGTCTTCTGACACACCCCACATTTCTTGCCTCCTCCCCAGTTCGGCATTCTGAAAAGGGACACAGAAATGGGAATTAATTTTACAGGGAGATGGAAACATCTCAGATTGTCCACGACAGAAATGCAACAGCCAGATCCAGAGGAGAGAAAGACAAAAGTAGAATGCCTGGGGGGCCACCAGGCCTGGCAGAGCACTTTCTGCTAGCTCTCGACAGCAGCCTCGCACGTTCTCGGGGATTTCCTCCCCCCAATCTAATCAACAGGTCTTTACAGAGCAGCTGCTGCATTTTCAGCCCTGTGCTAGGCACTCTAAAGGATGTGGATCAGCAGAAGAAGCAGGCTTTATAAAGAAGGCTCCAGCTGCAATAAAAATGGACTGCCTACCCCTACACACGTCAACATGGACGGATCTCAAAGAGAATGTGGAAGAAGCAGACAGACCAGAGCTGGGAAAATGCAAGTCCATTTGTAGGAAATTCACAAATGGGCTAAACTCATATTGCCAAGGGATGGACATATAGGTGGAAAAGTTACTACAGAAAAGCAAGGGAATGATGATCACAAGCTTTTACCTTAGAAGAGTTACCTCTAAGAGAGGGAAGGGACCATGACTGGGTTGGGAGACCAGGGAGGCTGGTAAGGCACTGCCTGGCAATGCTCTCCTTCTTAACTCAGGGTGGTTGTCATATGGGGGCTCACTTTATAATTATTCTTTGAACTGTACATGTAGGTTTTGTGCACACTTTTGTATATAAGCTATAGCTCACCACAAGAAAAAAGTTTTTTTTGTTTTGTTTTGTTTTTTAAATGCAGGGCTGGGCATGGTGGCTCACGCCTGTAATCCCAGCACTTTGGGAGGCTGAGGCGGGCAGGCCACCTGAGGTCAGGAGTTCCGGAGTTCCAGATCAGACTGGCCAATGTGGCGAAACACCATCTCTACTAAAAATACAAAAATTAGCCAGGTGTGGTGGTGCGCCCCTGTAATCCTAGCTACTCTGGAGGCTGAGGCAGGAGAATCACTTGAACTTGGGAGGCGGAGGTAGCAGTGAGCCAAGATAGCACCACTGCACTCCAGTCTGGGCAACAGAACAAGACTCTGTCTCAAAAAAAAAAAAAAAAAAAAAAAAAGGCAGGAGGTAGGCACACAGGGCAGTTATCAAACTTCAGAGTGAGGGGCTTTTGCAAAATCAGATTTAGTAACACCACCCCACATCTAATGAATTATAACCTCTGAGAATGAGATACTTGAGAGAATGAGGTACTTGAATCTGAATTTTTAACAAGCACCCCAGGCAAACAAAGCAGGTGGCCCAGACCAACTTTGAGATGCTCTAGGTGTTGGTTCAGAGCTGGCGTCCTGATGCCATGCAGGTTTGGCTCAATCTTGATCCTGCCACTCATTAGCTGTGTGACCTTGGGCAAGATAGTCAGTCTTTCCAAACCTTGATTTCTGTATCTGTTAAATAAGGATAAAAGCTGGGTGCAGTGGGTCATGCCTGTAATCCCAGCACTTTGGGAGGCTGAGGTGGGCAGATCACGAGGTCGGGAGTTTGAGACCAGCCTGACCAACATGGTGAAAACCTGTCTCTACTAAAAATAGAAAAATTAGTGGGGCGTGGTGGCACCTGCCTGTAATCCCAGCCACTCAGGAGGCTGAGGCAGGAGAATCGCTTGAACCTGGGAGGCAGAGGTTGCAGTGAGTCGAGATCGCGCCATTGCATTCCAGCCCGGACGACAGAGCAAGACTCCGTCTCAAAAAAAAAAAAGGATAAAAATAGCGACTTCACCGAGTATGTCTGGTGATTAAATGAGATATGATATGTCAAAGGCAAGGCACAGTACTTGGCACATATACAGCACACAGAAGTCCAAGTGATGCCTCAGGTCAGTGCCCACGTGGCCACAGAGCAGCACGGAAGGTAACACTAGTGAGTGTGGAGAACAGATGGGGCCTGCTTCTCTCCTTCCATTTCACTCGCTCACTCAACAGACGTGGCTGAAGGAGGAAGACCACCCTTCCAGCTCTTTCAACAGAAGTTCATGAGGGAAGGGCTATACAAAGCACCACCTACAGTGGGTACAGGCTTGGTGCCGGGGGTTGCCCAGGACTTGGTGAGTAAAGGACACAGGGAGGTGCCGGGAAATAAAGGGGCTGGGAGTCAGAGGGATCTGTTGCCTCAGGAGGCAAAGGAGCCTAAGGAGAGAGCTCACGGAACCTGTCACATGGAAATGTTGAAAACCGGGATGTGGCAACGAGAGCCCACCCTCCTGGTAACAGGGCTTGCACCAGCAGCTGGAGAGTCAATGTCAAGGGCAGAGGGAGATACAGTCTCCATTACTGGAGAGCTCCCATTTGAGGGTGACACGGGCCTCAGCTCAAGAAGGGATCCAGGTCACGTTCACCACTCTGTCCCCATGCTCTGCATAGCACTTGGCACGTGGCTGTTCATATAGGTGGCCAGGAAATAGCTGAGGAATGAATGAAGGATGCACTAATATCGAAAGCCACAGCTTCTGGGGCCATTTTCTCTGCATGGTGAATCTCTGCAGAGCCTGGCTCCTAGTGGAGGTGCTTGGTAAGCGTGTGCAGGCTGAGAGGCAGAGCTTACTGTGGGGAAGTGGTGTTAGTGATGCTGGGGGATCTAGGTAGACCATGCCTGCTGCATAAGCCCAGTTCTCCCTTTCCCAGGTTCTGGAGCAGCCGCACTTCCTCAGGCTCCCACACATCGCTGACATGCCCCGCAGGAATTTCTGTAACTGCTCACATCCCCATCTCTGTCTTCCTCAGATAACCCATGCGGCCTGAGCCCCCAGATCCAGGGACAGTCCCCATTCCCAGCCTCTGATGTTGCACTGTTCCTTCAGCCTCTTTCTGTACTGAGGACTGCTAGCTGCCCTTGTCAAGCAAAGGTTTGGAGCTGAAAACCGTACGATGTGAAGGACAGTTAGACAGGAACAGCAATCAGCAATGTGTGTTATGGTCGGCCTGATCATCGGCCATTTCCCCCTTCTTCCTTGCTACAAAACCCCGATTTTATTCAGGCCATTGAATGACTGGGGAGATGCCCCTTCCCCAGATGGAGGAACAGAGCCTCTGTCCCCTAAGCCAACCATGGAGATTCCATTCCCTTGCCAGTGGCTGGATCAGGAACAGGCTGAGACCATTTCTGGCCAGTGAGATGTGAGGGGAGGTCTGCTTGGGAAGCTCTTGTGAATAATGTATCCAGTTGTACAGACCCACACAAGCTCTCTTCTCCCTCTGATAAGGTGACTCAATGTGACCCTTGGAACTCAGCCATGGCACCCACACTGCCATGGACTGAATGCCTACTATGCATCAGATGGCTCATCTGCATCATCCCATTTCTTTATTTTTTCAAGATGGAGTCTCACTCTGTCACCTAGACTGGACTGCAGTGGCACAATCTCTGCTCACTGCAACCTCCATCTCCTGAGTTCAAGCAATTCTCATGCCTCAGCCTCCTGAGTAGCTGGGATTATAGGCGCCCGCCACCACCACCATACCCGGCTAATTTTTGTATTTTTATTAGAGACAGGGTTTCACCATGTTGGCCAGGCTGGTCTTGAACTCCTGACCTCAAGTGATCTGCCTGCCTCGGTCTCCTAATGTGCTGGGATTATAGGCATGAGTCACTGCTCCCAGCCACATCATCTCATTTCATCCTCATCATCCGAAGATAAAGAATGTATGCCCACCTTACAGACAAGACAAGCAAGGCTCAGAGCGGTTAGGCAAGTTGCTTATAGTCACACAGCTGGAAGAGATAGACCTGGGATTCTAATGCAAGCTCATCTATTTCTGAATCCTCTGGGTCCCAGTCACCATGCTGTGGCCCTTGCATATTTAAGAGGGGCTGCTCATGATAGGCATACAATACATCAGTGCTGGCCCTCTTCCTCGGCCTTCTCCTTTTCCAACCCCCTGAACCAGCAGGGGACATACTCAGGCCCCTAGGAACACCCCTAAGGGAGGAAAATTCCCCTAGCCACATGGTTGGGAGCCAGTTCCAAGCACTGTTTTGTTACAGACACAAAAGCCCTTCTCCCTCTGGGGGAGACCCACAGCTCCATACAGGCCTCCCCTTGTTTTCCCTGGCTCCGTGTCAGGGGCCCACATCCAGCAGGGCCCCAGGGAATCAAGAACATGGGCGGAGAAATGGGTGAAACCCAAGGACCTGCCAGTAAGGAAAATCTGCTCAGGACGTCTCTTAGCCAGGCTGCTCTTTTGAGCCTGGTCATTTAGTTAGGGCGAGGGTGGGGGGTCTCCCCTCAAGAGCCCAGTGAAAGGACAGGGCTCTATTGCCTTGAGATGAAAAGTGATGACTCTATCCCTAGCCAGGAAGGGTTTCAGGCAGTGCCTGTGGATGAGGTCCTGTCCCCCTCTGCCCACAAGAGGACCCCTCCAGGTGACCCTGCCTGTGGGGAAGAGGCTCAGCTGGAGGGAACCCTGGCAACAGGCAGGGCTCAGTCTTCACTCCACCTCCTCCCTTTCTGCCCTTCTCTCCAACAGCCAAATTCTGCCTGTAGGGAGGCCGAATTGCCTTAAAAGGAAACCTGTTTCTCAGAGTTCATGGAGTGCCTTAGAGGGACACTTGGCTCCTTCTTAATTGCCTTCCCAGCTCTCCGGCACAGAGGCCCTGCAGAAGGCTGGGACAAGAGAAGTTCCCAAGGTCAGAGTTCAGGCTGTACAGGTCAATGGTTAGGAAAACAAGAGCTGGGATTCGATCAATATGGATTTACCCCTTCCTAGCTGAATGATCTTGGGCAAGTTACTTTCCTTTCTGAGTGTCAATTTGCTTGTCTCTAAAATGGACCGTATATGGACTCCCTAAAATTCAGCTGTAAGGATTAAATGAGGAGGTATGGAAGTGATGGCCAGCACACTGTAAGTGCCCGCCCCTCTGACTACCACTCACACGACTGGACCAGTCATACGTCGACTCCACACTGCTAGATGTGGGCCAGCCATCCACATGTAGCTAGTCCACATATGGAAGGAGCGAGGCTTAAGAAGTACCATGCCAAATAGGGCCAGGAACTCCTGATTCATCTGCTAGCCCAGCGAATGAGTCTGGGACAAGTTACTTGCCCTTCTTTGGGGTTTAGCTCCCCCCAGCTGTCTGTGATGTCCCATTTCACTCTGTTGACCATCTCAACAGAGAACAGAGCTTGAATTTTCTACTGAATGGCTGGAAACACCTGGTCAGCTGTTTTCCTGAAACGGCTGGCGGCTAGAAGCCTGCTGTGTCTGCTGCTGCATCTTCCTAGCCTGGCTGTCCCATTAGGACTGTACCCAGATCCCCAGTTAGGACTGTACCCAGATCCTCAGCCTTGAGACAAGAAAGCCAAGGTGGCAGCTCTTACAGCAGCAGCAAAAGGAGAAGAAAAAGGTCACAGACTCTCAGTCACCCCAAATCTCATGAAAGTCAGGCTCGGCTGGGTGTGGTGGCTCACGCCTGTAATCCTTGCACTTTGGGAGGCTGAGGCAGGCGGATCACTTGAGGTCAGGAGTTCGAGACCGGCCTGGCCAATGTAGTGAAACCCCATCTTTAATAAAAATACAAAAATTAGCCGGGTATGGTGGCGGGCACCTGTAATCCCAGCTACTCCGGAGGCTGAGGCATGAGAATTGCTTGAAACAGGAGATGGAGGTTGCAGTGAGCAGCGATCTTGCCACTGCACTCCAGCCTGGGCAATAAAGCAATACTCAGTCTCAAAATAAATAAATAAATAAATAAATAAATAAATAAATAAAGTCTGGCTCAGGTGACAGGTTGAAGGAACCATCGCAGAGATGTAAAATCCCTAACTGCCAGCCACCAGTGTCTGAAGGCAAGCCCCTTCTTATCAAACCCTTCAAAACCATCCCATATCTTTATTTCTACAGTGGAAAAATCCCATCTCTCCCATTCCAAAATCATTTATTCCCTAGGGCCAAAGAGTGACTGACGGCACAGGGTTAAAGTCCCCATCCACTTGCTCCAGTAGAAACCTGTCAGATGTTTATCTAGCTCCCTCGCATTAGCTGAGCTGCTTGGTATCTGCCAGGTGGACAGGAGGGCTGGCATCCCTTCCAATCTGCAGCTCGGCTTTTGCCTCCACGCCCCAGTGTCCAGAGAGCAGCTGAGGGCAGAGAGAGGAGGGGGCTGGGCTGGTCAGGGCTCAGAGCCAAGTCTTAGAAGTGACACCTGAGAGCTCAGGAAATCAGCCTCTCCTGAAGCTCAGGGTCACGGGTAGGGGGAGAATGGCTGCCATGGAGATGGGGCAGGCTTGGCCTCAGCTTTCCATGTCCCACCTCATGTTTCCTTCAGAACCGTGCACATGACCCGCCTCTCTGAAAAGGTAACCAGCATCACTGAGCTACCATCAATCCAGGCCCCATGGGCCTCCAGAACTTGACTGTCATTCTAGGTCAGGAATCCTTCTCTCTATTGAATGAGCTTTCTCTTTTCAAATCCATGTCCAGTGGCCCTTGTGAGACTGTGAGCTGACAAGGGCGGTATATGTCTCTCCCTTTCCCCACTTGCCCCCAGTGCCTTCTAGAGCAGAGCTCCCTACTCTTGGAGTTCAGAAGTTTGCAGGGCGCAGTGGCTCATTCCTATAATCCTAGCACTTGGGGAGGCTGAGGTGGGTGGATCATTTAAGGTCAGGAGTTTGAGACCAGCCTGGCCAACAGCGTGAAACCCCATCTCTACTAAATATACAAAAAAAAAAAAAAAATTAGCTGAGTGTGATGGTGCACACCTGTAATCCCAGCTACTTGGGAGGCTGAGGCAGGAGAATTGCTTGAACCCGGAGGCAGAGGTTGCAGTGAGCCAAGATCGTGCCACTGCACTCCAGCCTGGGGGACAAAAGCGAAACTCTGTCTCAAAAAAAAGAAGTCTGAAGGTCAACACAGGTAGAAATGGAGGTCGATGACTTCTTTGTAGTATTTCAAAACTTCTACAGGAAATCCTGTATTATAATAAAGCCTCATAGACAAATTAACAGATGGGGTTTCCTTGCTTTTATCCAGATCTGTAATGATGTTGGTTATTCCATGCTGAACAAAATGGTCTGAATGATTTTTCTTTGATTAATTTTTTACAAGTTAAAACACATTAGCACTTAGGCCTTAAAAACACAGGTCGTTTGCAGCTGACATCCCAGGAAGCACCAACACACGCCACCCCTGCATAAAGAAAGCCAGGCACACAGTCGGGGGTAGGGGGTGCTGGCTGCCTAGCTGGGGCTGAGCTCCAGCTGCTAACCTTCCATTTCTTCCCCTGTTGTCACCGCTGAAGACTCAGACGCTGCCTTCTGGCCCTGGGGAAGCACTGGAAATACCAGAGTCTGGAAATGCTAGCTGCCCCCGTATTTACACACTTTACCATACATGGGAATTACTCAGTGCTGGCGTCAGACACATTCCTGGGTAGCTGCGTAGTACAGGCACGTCATTACCATATAAATTCTTGACAACTAGAAACAGCAGTCGGAACCCAGGACCCCTCCACCTCACCTTCTCTGCCCTCCCCTCAAGTTTTGCTAGCTCTCTCTTTCTCAAGCACGCTCTTTTCCAGGCTTGTTTTCTTTCTGCAAACCTGGCTCTGAAACTCAAACATGCAGAGCTGGTGAAAGCATATCCATTAGTGGCTGGGAACTAACTCTCAGGGGTCCCCTCTGCTCCTACCTGGCCATGCAACAGACTGAAAACCCGGAGGTCAGGAGTTCTAACCCTGATCCATCCAAGTGAAAGATATCTTCCTTAAATAGTTTATAAGCCACTGTAAAGCACCTTGTAAAGCTGATGTGTTTCACAAATGGCAGATATTTCCTTAGTGAGTTGATCTGGAAAAAGGAAATGTAGAGGAGCAAAGAAAAATAATAAGGTAGTGACTGAGCATACGTTTTGGAAACAGTCAGCTTATGTTTGAATGGCAGCTCCACAACTGATCAGCTGTGATCCTGAGCAAGTTTCTTACTACCTCTGAGCCTCAGTTTCTCCATTTGTAAAATGGAGAGCATCAGTAGCTACCTCATAAATTGTCCAAGATAACACATGTGAAGTATTTCTCACACTGTCTGGTACACTGCAAGTGCAGATATCTGGTTATCCTTATCTTAAGGAGAGGCCAACTCTAACACTTATCGTTCAGGTTTGTATCTCTTTTGATATTTGACAATATGCCCTGAGTAATGCCAAATGGCTGACTTGGAGGAAAAAGTCTTATTCTCACTAGCACCTCTTTGGATCCCAAAATATTTAACGCATGTGTCTTCATCTAGCAAGCCAACGTTTCACAATAAGCTAGGCTTACATACATATTTAAAACTTTAACAACCTGCCAGAAAAGCCTTCCCAATTTGCTTCCCACACCAGGGATGGACAGTGAATTAAAAACTATGTTGCTAGGCGCAGTGGGTCATGCCTGTAATCCCAGCACTTTGGGAGGCTGAGATGGTGGTGGGGACAGGGAGGGGATCACTTGAGGCCAGGAGTTCGAGACCAGACTGGCCAATATAGTGAGACGCTGTCTCCAAAAAAAAAAAAAACACCAGGCCGGGCGCAGTGGCTCATGCCTGTAATCCCAACACTTTGGGAGGCCGAGGCAGGTGGATCACCTGAGGTCAGGAGTTCAAAAACAGCCTGGCCAACATGGCGAAATGCCGTCTCTACTAAAAATACAAACAATTAGCTGGGCATATTGGCAGACACCTGTAATCCCAGCTACTTGGAAGGCTGAGGCAGGAGAATCGCTTGAACCCAGGAGGCAGAGGTTGCAGTGAGCCAATGTCACGCCATTGCACTCCAGCCTGGGTGACAGAGCAAGACTGCCTCAAAACAAAAACACACAAAAAAGCCCAAAAAAAACCTACGCCTTTTTTCTCTCACCTGCTTGTCAATCTACCCAAGTGGAAAAACTGGCTAGTAACTATTTGCAAGGTTTATGAGTATCCCGTAGGCCAACTCAGCTGAAAGACCATTGCTACCCCACTCATTCATCAAATGTTTGCTGATCACTCAGTCAAGTGTCACTACACTCCCAGGCTGCAACTCTGGCCCAGTCAGGACTCACTAGCTCCAGAGGCAGATGCACATGTGTGCAATTAAAAGAGCAAACACCTGGGCCAGGAAGGCAGGTGCTAAGACAGACCACAGGCAAATAGGCCACAGCACCCCTGTTTTTCCCATTTTATTAGCAGGCCAATTGCAGAGTTGATGGGCCTTCTCTTTAGTTTCTCTCCTGCTTCTTCTTCCCCATACCCTCCATCCTGGGCATCTCAGGCCTTGCAGACAGTTCTCTCCTCCCTCTCCTCTAACCCACACTACACCCTCTGCAGGATAAACTTCCTTCCTCGTCTGACTGCCTCCGCCCCGGATATCCTCTCCAAGGCAAAGAGTCATTCACTGGAAGACCGTGAGCAGGAGGAGGCTGGATTTAGGAAACAATGGGTAAAAGCTGCCCTCCAGCAGCTGAGGGCTGAGGACAGTCTCTCTCAAAAGAGGTAGCCAGAAACCAGCTGGAGAGTCAGGAGGCAGCAGTTGAGTGAGAGCAGTTGAGGGGAGGCTCAGTACCCATCCCCAAATCCCACCTGGGGAAAATCCCCAACATGCAGTCTGAGAGGACAGAGGGAGACAACCAGCACCTCCAGCCTCCTTAGCTTCTGGGAGGAAGGCAAGGGATGAGGGGAGGACAAGAAAGACAGTAACTGAGAGATCACTCCTGTGTTGGAGGTTCTGTGTAATATGCTCCCCAAGTAGCATCCCTGAAAGAAACTGAGACATTGAGAAGTTAAATAGTTTGTCCAAGGAAACCTGCGCGTTAAGTGGCAAATCCAAGAGTCAAAACTCTGCCTTCCAAACAATCCCACCAAGACTCCAAGCCACCTCTTCATGATATACTGATATACTTTCTACCAGGGCCCAGTGGATTTCCTCGGTGCCACTGTGATAGTATCCCAGCGTGGGGAGAGCCTGCCCATTCATTCACTCTCAGGGAGCAGCTGGTGGGTGGCTGGAGCCCAGGGCTCTAGGCAGAGCCTGAGCCCACTATTGCTCCAGCCGATTCCTGGGTCCTGGTTAGTTCACAACAGCACCAGAACCAGAAGCATGCAAAATATTCTCTAGTCTGTACCAGTAGATACAATACCTGCCTCAGAGGGCTGATTGTTAGCTAACACATTGTGATTTGCTTTAAATGTGCTCAATACCAGCCCCTTTATCACTTCCCAGCTTTCAAGGACTGAGGCCACAAAACACTGACTGCAGGCTCTTTCAGGTTTCAGTAACCATCACCACCTAGCACCAAGATTTGGAGTGGAGAGGTTTCCATGCAGTTATTTCACAAGAGGGAAAACTCACACCTGCGCTCAGGGACACAGATGTCCAAGGTCAGGCCCAGATGTTTGCCCCACCCCGCCCGCGGGCATTTTCTCCCCAGCAGGAGGGTGAGGGAGGGGGTGGCACGGATGCCCTCATCTCTCTGCCATACAATGAGCGTCAGTGGCGCGCAGAATCGCCGATTGTTCTGCCCGACTTGCAGGCGGTTGCGGGGAGCCGGGTCGCCCTGGGTCACGCACACGCGGAAGTCAACTGTGTCCAGGAAGCCCAGGAAGGCCCGGGATGGGGACGGACCTAGTGCCTCCAGAAAAGAGCAGCACTGCCCGGGCTAACTGCGGTCACTTCTCACAGTTCCCCGCCTGCGACAGCCCCGGGGCTGCGGCGGGGCTGGCAAGACCGGGAGGCGCTGAGTGCGTGCCCAGGCGCCCCTCCGCGGCGGGCAGAGCCGCGCGACTCAGGGCGCACTCACCTGGCAGCTGGCTCGGCGGCGCAGGGGCGGCAGGCGCTCTCGGAAGTGGCGGCTGGGTGCGCCCGGCCTGCGCGCCGTTTTGTTCCGCTCCGCGGAAGGCGTGTCCCGGGCCACGCCAACCAGTGGGCTTTGCACACTGCACCACTCCAGGGCTGATGTCATGGCGCGAAGCCCGGCGGTGCTGCCCTCCTAGGCCCCGGGAAGGCCGGCCGGCAGGGGCGGGGGCAGGAGTCGCCGACTCTGGGGGTGCTCCGAGCTCGTGCTGCGGTCCCACTGTGCGCCCTGTCGCCGCCACCGCGGAAAACGTCTTGCACGTGCGAGGGGCATTTCAGGAGTTTCCTGTCTGTCAGGTGAGAAGGCGGAGATATGACCTTAGAGGTCAGACCCATGATAAACTTGAGCCCCTAACGAAAGGGTGTCTCGAATTTACTTGTCCTGGTGGCAGAGGGTGAGGGACACATTTTGGGCGCCAGGGTAAGACAGACCCTTCCAGGGCAGGTCTGATTCTGCCCATCCACTCACTAGCTGGGCCCTGGGCCTAGACAGCCCTTCTGGGTTCAGGGTCATCTGTGAACGGCGTGTAATCTACAGGGATGTGAGGGGCTAAAAGGAGATCCGGTAGGACCCGCAGACCTTCAGCAGCACCCGGCATGTAATAGACACTCAATAAATGTAACTCCCCCCTCCAACAGCTCTTGCCCCTCAGTTTTTCCCAGTCTTCCCTGCTACCCTAAGGACAACACCTGGAAAAAGGTGTTCTCCCGCAAAAGCAGCAGTTCTGAAAAGTGGGTGCCTCCATAGAGGCTTTTCTCTGGGGCTCCAACCTTCAGTAGGACAGACACAGGCTCAGGCCACTCAAGCTGCCCCTGGGGCAGTTTCCAGGGGACATTCTGTCCACACCTCCTCACCCAGTCCCCAGCCCTTCCTGAGTGCCCCGTGCAGGCATTTCAGGGAGCAGAGAAGCTCACAGCCTCCAGCTGGTCACCCTACACCCCAGGTGGCCCATAGATGCAGCTGCTATGTCTTCCACCCTGGGCAGGTGTCAAGGGTTCAGGCCCCAACCGGCTTCACTTAAAGCCCTGGTTTGCTGAATCAACTTTTTGCCAGGAATAAAGTTAAGCATCTTATGATCTAGAAAATGAAGTATTTGGCCAGGCACTGTGGCTCACGCCTGTAATCCCAACACTTTGGGAGGCCGAGGCAGGCAGATTGCTTAAACCCAGGAGTTCGAGACCTGGTGAAACCCTGTTTCTACAAAAAAATTAAAAAAATTAGCCAGGCGTGGTGGTGTGTGCCTGTAATCCAAGCTACTCGAGAGGCTGAGGTGGAAGGATCACTTGAACTCAGGAGGCAGAGGTTGCAGTGAGCCAAGATTGCACCACTGCACTCCAGCCTGGGCGACAGAGCAAGAGTGTTTCTCAAAAAAAAAAGTGTTTATCTAGGTTTTTCTTGCTTTCTACCATAAGTAACATCTTTCCTTTGGCCAGGTCCATCCTATAAACAAGGCCCTCCAAGATTAAAATGTCTAGAAGCACACAACCAGTGTTTCTTGCAGATTGGGCCATCTTCATCTGACCCAACCAAGATGAAGGAGGAGAAACCAGAAGAATTTCTGGTCACGGCTGCACTGACTAAGCAATAGTTAAACAGGTCCATTAAACTGCAGAACCACCATCAGTGTCAGAGACCAAGGGCTTCCGCCCAAAGATGGCGATCCCATGGGATTTCCCCCTCTCCTTTCAATTCTCAGTATCTTGGAGAGATGAGCCTCGGAGTTTTGCCCAGGATTTTACAAAAGGGCAAACTCCTACATTACCTTCTTTGGTCTGGGTTTGTCCTCTCTGGAGTCATGGGACTGTTGATAGATTTCCCTGTGAGGACATGCCAACCTGTGCTGTGAAATGGCTTTAGGGTAGATCCAGAAAAAGAAGAGCAGTCACTGCAGTCACACTTGGATTTCTCCCAGATCTTAAAGCACCTTATAAACAGAATGGCTGTACAATGTGTCATCTAAACCAGAATGCTTTGGATAGTAAGTGGTATGTGGTAGTATTCGTAACTACACTAAGGCAACAGGACTATCTCAGGCAGTCCAGGGCAGATGGTCACCCCTCTTTTCCACCCAAAGACTGTCAGGTCACTTGTCTTAGGAGCTGTCTACGCAGAGCTACAGATGAAGCCAAGTAGGACCTGCCTTGTTTGGTGTTTTTCCAGAACCTCTCACCTTCTGACTATATTATTCTCCCAGCCTGCTGCCAGTTACTTGGGCTTGGTCTTAGATAGCACATTTGCAGATAAAGAAGACTTGAGGGATGAGGAAGGGCTTTGGGATTGAGTTGAGTCAAAGGTGATGCTGGGGTTACCCACCATGCAAACAGGAACAAGCCTGATGTTGAAATGACAGAAAAATCAGTAAACATCATCAATACTTGGGACATCCTTAAGGCAGAGATTCTCATTCTGCAGAGGTTCTCATTCTGGCTGACCTCATTTATATAACCATATCTAGACTGGCCCGAGCTGGTCAGCAGCACCCACATCTGCAGAGACAATGCAGTCAGAGCTCATCACCAATAAATTATCTGCTAGGGGTTCTAGAAGGAGGCTTGGCACACTTAGGGGCTTACCTGCTTCTCAGGACTCTCACAAATGTCTAACCTTTTCAGTATCTTTATGTTCTCTCTGTGCACTCTATTTCCCAACACTTCTGGGTTGGTATTTGATGGCTGCTAGGAATGAAGTGGGGCCTGTTACAGGCAGGAAGTAGGGCCCCTGTCCTCCAGCTTCCAACTTTGTCTGCTGCTTCCTCTGGCATCTTTTCTTCTCTTTCCTCCCTCATCAGCATCCTGATGCTACATCTTCTCTCTCCTCTCCTGTGGTGAAACCCTTCTTTTCCGCATTGATCCCAAGTGAAGAGGACCTGAGTGTGAGGCTGAGGAAAGAGTAAGGGAATGTGTCTGGCTTAGCTCTGCTCATCATCCCAGAGAAATTAGAGATCCAGTCTGGGCTGGAGATCTTCTTGTCCATCCTTCCATCCATCTGTCCATCCATCCATTCATTCATTCACCCATCCATCCATTTGTTCATCCATCTGTCTCTCCATCCATCCATCCCTCCCTCCATCCATCCATCCATCCATCCGTCCATCCACCTGTTCATCCATGTATCCATCCAACCATTCACTCAGAAGACATTTATTGGGGCCCCACTCTGTGCTGGTCTCTAGGTTCTGGGAATACAAGGAAGCCTATAATTTGGATCCTGACCTCAAGAAGTTTACTCATCTAATGGTCTAAAAAAAGAAAAAAAAAATCCAGCCCTAAACTTGCAGTTTGAGTCTCAGCTCTGTCATCTATGATTTAAAATACTAATGATGGCTGGCGCAGTGGCTCATGCCTTAATCCCAGCACTTTGGGAGGCCAAGGCCAGCAGATCACTTGAGGTCAGGAGTTCAAGACCAGCCTGGTCAACATGGTGAAACCCCATTTCTACTAAAAATAGAAAAATTAGCCGGGTATGGTGGCATGTGCCTGTAATCCCAACTACTGTGGAAGCTGAGACAAGAGAATCGCTTGAACCTGGGAGGTGGAGGTTGCAGTGAGGCGAGATCCAACCACTGCACTCCAGCCTGGGTGACAGAGTGAAACTGTGTCTCAAAAAAACAAAAAACAAATAAAATACTGTTGATAATGAGGAATAATTATAATTATTAAGCATTTACTACCTGTCAGGTACTTTACACAATTGTCCCCTTTAATCTTCGCAGTAGCTGTATGAAGTAAGGACTATTTTTACCCCCTGCTTTGCATGTGAGGAGACCAGGGCTTACAGCAGTAGCTAACTTAGTAGCTTTGTGACCATGGCCTAGGCCTCAGTTTTCCTCATGTGTGAAATGGGAGGTTGGACTAACTCAGTATTCTCCAAAATTTCCACTGAGGTACCTCTGACAGCAAAGAAGTAAATGTAAGGAACCCACAGTGTTGTCAGAATCAATCCACTCCCAGTCCTTGAAGTCTTGGGGTTTATTGCAAAAATTTATTTGAATTTTGCATTCTCCTTGGCACATAACTGTATTTGTCTTCATAAAAAGATAATGTTTAAAATGACTCACTGGCCAGGCACGGTGGCTCACACCTGTAATCCCAACCCTTTGGAAGGCTGAGGCAGGTGGATCATTTGAGTCCAGAAGTTTGAGACCAAGTTTGGCAACATGGTAAAACCCAGTCTCTACAAAATATACAAAAATTAGCTGGACATGGTGGCATGCTTGTAGTCCCAGCTACTAGGGACGCTGAGGTGGGAGGATCGCTTGAGCCCAGGAGGTAGAGGTTGCAGTGAGCCGTACTATACTCCACTGTACTCCAGCCTGGGTGATAAAGTGAGACCCTGTCTCAAAAAATAAATGAATAAATAAATAAAATTACTTACTGTTCAGAGAAATGGAGTTCTTAGGAAATGTATCGTGCTTGGTGGGTAGTATCTCTGTGGGCCCCTGGGAATATGACTAGGCCCGCCTACCCACGTGGGTGATCTGCAAGGCTCTCCCTGGCTCTGGCACTGTTCGGCTGTGCCTAGGCTAGGATGAGGCAAGTCAAAGGGGGCTTGTGGAATAAGGCCCAGCATTTGCTTTCAGTCCCTGTATTCATGTTTTCTAAGGAAGATTCCTAGAATCTCTCAGGGTTTGCTGGAGAAATGAGCTTGGCAGCCAGAGGCAAATGAAAATCGGAAAAGGCAGTGTATACATGTTATAAGAATAAAATGCTTAGAGGCAAGAAAAGGAGAAATCCATTTAGAAAGGAACAAAATAAAAACTCTAGGGGGTTCCTGATCCAGAAATCTCTTCTGATTTTCAGGCTGAAATTTACACTGTGAAGCTCCAGGGGAGCTTGAAAGGTGATATTCAGAAATGCACTGGGGTGGCTCAGGGTTGGGTCCTTAAGAACACTGTGAAACAGTCTAGATAGGTTTTTAAATGACCACTTCCTCTTCCCCTCCCCTTGGCCTGAAATTGATGTAAGGTCACTTCCCTCCTGCTCCCTCTGCAGCCACTGCCTCTGTCCCAAACAGGCAAAACTGTGGAGTGGCTCTCACAGCCAAAGTGTGGGGAGGGGAAAGCAGGAGGAGCTGGGGACTCAGGGCGGGAGCAGGCGGCAGGGAGCTCCCGGGCAGCTGGCTGTGCATGGCTCCACTGTTCCGAGCCTGACAGGCTCTAGGGAAGTGTGGCCACAGGGAGCTGGCTGAAGGCTCAGGAGAGGCTTTTCTGACAGGCCCAGTTCCAATCACGCCAGCTCCTAATCTACTGATCAGTTTGCTTTCCTCCTGCTTTAAAATCTCTTTCTCCCTGTTCTCCTGGTCCCTAGCCACACCACCTTCACTGCTCTGATCTTATCTATGATCACCTGGCCAATCTACTTAAAGCAGTGAAGTAGACTGAAAATAACCAGACTTTCGGCAAAACTCTTTTTTTTTTTTTTTTTTTTTTTTGAGACGGAGTTTCAGTCTGTTGCCCAGGCTGGAGTGCAGTGGGGCGATCTATGCTTACTGCAACCTCCACCTCCTGGGGTCAAGCGATTCTCCTGCCTCAGCCTCCCAGCCTGGGACTACAGGCATGCGCCACCACACCCAGCTAATTTTTGTATTTTTAGTAGAAACCCTGCAACACGGCGTTTCACCATGTTGGCCAGGCTGGTCTCAAACTCCTGGCCTCAGGTGATCCGTGCACTTCGGCCTCCCAAAGTGCTGGGATTACAGGCGTCAGCCACTGCACCCGGCCTTGGCAAGACTCTTGACTCCTCTCCTCCATCAGGGTCGATTATATTAAATTACACTGACAGAAGAAAGGATTGGATGACTTTTGAAGAACTATTTCAACCCAAAGACAAGCTAAGGAAACATTGAGTTCACTCACCTGGAAGGTCTTGGAGGGCAGGAATTGTAGCTTACCCTCCTTTGTAGCCACACAGAGCCTTACATGGAGTAGGTGCTCAGTATTTTATGAATGTGTGCGTGGATAAATCCATAGTTTGCAAGAAACCACGAATAAGCTTGCCACCTGCTGGTGAACTTGTGAAAGACACCTCGCCGCACCTCGGCTCCCCCAAGTGGCCATACACTGTAATCCTAAGAAAACCCTCAGCTTGGACAATCCTTTCTTTCCAAGGAGCCCTTTGTTACAGGAAGTCCCAATCCAGACCCCAAGAGAGGGTTCTTGGATCTCACGCAAGAAGGAATTCAGGGCAAGTCCATAGAGTAAAGTGAAAGCAAGTTTATTAGGAAAGTAAAGGAATGAAAGAATGGCTACTCCATAGACGGAGCAGCCCTGAGGGCTGCTTTTTGCCCATGTTTATGCTTATTTCTTGATTATGTGCTAAACAAGGGGTGGATTATTCATGCCTCCCCTTTTAGACCATATAAGGTAACTTCCTGACGTTCCCATGGCATTTGTAAACTGTCATGGCACTGGTGGGAGTGTAGCAGTGAGGACAGGTCACTCTCGTCGCCATCTTGGTTTTGGTGGGTTTTGGCATCCTTCTTTACTGCAAGCTGTTTTATCAGCAAGGTCTTTATGATGTGTATCTGGTGCTGACCTCCTATCTCATCCTGTGACTTAGAATGCCTTAACCGTCTGGGAATGCAGCCCAGTAGGTCTCAGCCTTATTTTACACATCCCCTACACAAGATGGAGTTGCTCCAGCTCAAACACCTCTGACAACTTGATACTTATTCATAAATCCTTTTGACTCTAACTCATATCCTACATTCTTAGCAGAGAAGCCAAAAATGTCCTAGGACACTAGTCAGTGAAAAAGGCCTTTGAAAGCCCTGGAAGCTGTTTTGCAACTCAGGACCCTCTCTTCTCCACTGGTAGATGTTCTCTCCCCAAGATCCCTTTCCCTATCCTTCACGCATCCAGACAGAGAAAGCCTGTATTGAGCACCCACTATGTGCCAAGCACTGGGCTAGGTGCCGAGAGATATGAATGGAGAATGGAGACTTTACAGGGAGGGGAGAGCTGAAGTGTGCACCCAGATGTGGGAGAGGAGACTGGCACAGGAAGAGCACCGGGAGTTCAGACAGGGAGAGAACTCCATTGTGGGGATCAGAGAAGGCTTACATGGGAGATGACAGGCTAATGAGCTGGGCCATAAAGGGTGGTTAGGCTCATAATGTATGGAGATGGACAGCATTCTGGTTACCTATTGCTCTGCAACAAACCACCCCAAACTTGGTAGTGTAACAGAGCGGTCATTTGTTTTTCTCTCTCATGGTTTTAGGGTTTTCCCAAGCTCAGCCGATTGTTCTTGCTGGGATCTCTCCTGTGATTACAGTCAAATGAGAGCTGGCTGGATTCTTCACTGAGTCTCCCTTACTCCTGTGGCTGGAGGCTGATGCTGGCTGTCAGCTGGGACCTCAGCTGAGGCTGTTAGCCAGAACCCCTACATGTGGTCTCTCCATGGGGCCTGGACTCTCTCACAGCATGGTGGCTGGTTGCAAGGAGAAGCATCCCAAGAGATAGCAGGAGAAAGTTGTCTTGCCTTTTGAAAACTGGCTTCGCAAGGCCCATAGCAGATCTTCCCCTGTGCTCCACTAGTTGAGACAGTCACGAAGCCCCACCCAGTTTCAAAGAAGGGGACAGAGACTCCATTTCCTGATGTGTGAGTGGCAAGGTTCTGGAAGAGTATGTGGAATGGAAAGCATTATTGCAACCATTTGGGGAAAATACAACTTGCTGCTGGCAGGAAGGTCATTTCAGGCAGAGATCTTCATTGATGGTACCTTCAGAAATGCATTTTTAGGAAAGAAAGTGGTTTTTACAGACTTGGCATTGCTAAGGGAAAACATAAGGTTTTAGAAGTATTTACTGAGCCATCTTCACCAAGACTTATGAGAAACATTTCTTCGAAGAGAAGATGCTGAGGAAGAGGAAGATGACTTTTGAAGTGGACTCCAAGGGGCAGACAGGAGGCTGGGATGGATGGCAGCTCACAGCTGGCAAAGGCAGTGGACTAGCAATCATGGGTGAAGGCCTACCAAGACTGATTCTTAGAGGGGGGAGAATTGACTTTGTGTTCTTATAGCAAGTGACCAGGAATAACCAGATGCTGTGTCCAAGCTGAGTCCTCAAAAACAGTAGTAGGCAGGGGCCAAACCAGAAAGCAACAGTTAACAAAAACTGTATTGTAGCAAGAGAGATAAGATAAGCACACAAGTGTAACCACCCAACGGGTTCACCTTGTCTGCTGCCTAGACAGAGCCGATTTATCAAGACAGGAGAATAGCAATGGAGAAAGAGTAATTCACGCAGACCCGGCTGTGCAGGAGACTGGAGTTTTATTATTACTCAAATCAGTCTCTCCGAGCATTCGGGGATCAGAGTTTTAATTTGGCAAGTAGGGGCTTGGGAAGTGGGGAGTGCTAATTGCTCAGGTTGGAGATGGAATCATAGAGGGTCGAAGTGAGTTTTTTGTGCTATTTTCTGTTCCTGGGTGGGATGGCAGAACTGGTTGAGCCAGATTACAGTTCTGGGTTGTGTCAGCTGATCCACCCAGAGTGTAGGGTCTGCAAGATATCTCAAGCACTGATCTTAGGTTTTACAACAGTAGTGTTATCCCTAGGAACAATTTAAGGAGGTTCAGATTCTTCAAGCCAGAGACTGCGTGACCCCTAAACTGTAATTTCGAATCTTGTAGCTAATTTGTTAGCCCTGCAAAGGCAGACTGGTCCCCAGGCAGGAAGAGGGTCTTTTTGGGAAAGGTCTATTATTAATTTTGTTTTAGAGTCAAATCATGAACTGAATTCCTTCAGGGCAAAGTTATTTCCACCTATGCCCAGGAATGAACAAGGACAGCTTAAAGGTTAGAAGCAAAATGGTTAGGTAGGTCTGATTTCTTTACTGTCATAATTTCCTCAGTTATAATTTTGCAAAGGCAGTTTCACAAGCAACCACAAGGCATAACAGCTATCATTTGGGGGTAATACAGGGAAGCAGGGAGCAGTCATCATGCATGAGCAAGAGCTGGGTCAGAGATAAGACACAGCCCCAGGTTAGAAGGCAGCTTCACAGAGATGAATAGGGAGTGAGATCAAGGACCACAGCAGAGGTTGACAGCCCAAGGCCCTTGATGGCACTATGACCTGAATGTCCAGGATCTTCCATGTCAACCACCAACTTTATAGGAAAGGGTGCACGAGCCAGGAATAATGGTGGTCAAGCTTGGCTGTGTGGGAAATAGGGAGTTTGCCTGCCTGGCAGCTGCTGAGTGTCTCAGTAGTGAGCTTCCAGCTACACAATATCTGGACCCTGAGACCCAAAGAGGAAGGAGACTTTGGCTTCCTTTACTATGGGCATTCTGTGACCCACCCTGGCAATGAGAAGGACTAAAGAACTACAAGATATTAAATCTACCTTATGTTTTTCACTTGCTTATGAGCACTGGAGCTCCATCACCTGAGCCCCCACTAAGTGCAGATGTATGTGACTTTAGAAAGGTTAGATTTACTCTTCATAGCTCAGGGTATAAAGAAGTGGTCCCAATAAAAGTTTCCTTTGCTACAGGGGGCTGAGGACAATCATGAGGTTGTGAACTCTTTGAGGACAGGATTAGATCTTGGTCAATATCTGTATGCTCAGTGCCTAGGGTAGCATCTAGTTCATGCAAGGAAGGAAAGGAGAGAGGAAGGAAGGAAGGAAGGAAGGAAGGAAGGAAGGAAGGAAGGAAGGAAGGAAGGAAGGAAGGAAGGAAAGAAAGGAGGGAGGGGGGGAGAGGGAGGGAGGGAGGAGAGTCAGATAATACAGAGAGGCCATACCATGAATTCTTAGTCATACCTGACCTGGCCACTCCAGGAGCGCCAGAAGAGTTGCTGGAAGCCCACATAGACATATGGTATATGATAACATTTTTTTTTAAAGAGATATAATTCACATGTCATATGATTTTCCCTTTTAAAGTGTACATTTCAATGGTTTTTGGTATATTTACAGTTTTGCAATCATCGCCACAGACCATTTTAGAACATTTTATTAACCTAATAAGAAAGCCTGTACCCATTTGCAATCACTCCTGCTTTTTCCTGCAACATCCCTAGCAACTGAAACTGTCTTTGCAAAAATTACAGCAATGAGAAAATTATCACAGTGAAAGAGATCCGACCTAATTGACTCCATCTTGCTTCTAATCTCCAAGCTGCCCTTGTTCATTCCTGGGCAGAGGCTAAACTAACTTTGGGAGGAATTCAGCTTATAACTTAACTTTGAAGCAAAGATGAAAACAGCCTTTTCCCTTAACACAGCCCCTTCTTGCTTGGGGACCAGACTGCTTGTGTAGCACTAACAAATTAGCCTCAAGATTAATGCTGACAGTCCGGGCGCACAGTGGCTCAGGCCTGTAATCCCAGCACTTTGGGAGGCCGAGGTGGGCAGATCACCTGAGGTCAGGAGTTGGAGACCAGCCTGCCCAACATGGTGAAACCCTGTCTCTACTAAAATTACAAAAATTAGCTGGGAGTGGTGGCGGGGGCCTGTAGTCCCAGCTACTCGGGAGGCTGAGGCAGGAGAATCGCTTGAACCCAGGAGGCGGAGGCTGCAGTGAGCCAAGATCGTGCCACTGCATTCCAGCCTGGGCGACAGAGTGAGACTCAGTCTCAAAAGATTAATGCAGACAGGCCACGAGATTTTGAACCTCCCCCATTGCTCCGAAAGATAACATCACTATTGTAAAACCTAAGATCAGTGCTCCAGACATTTTTCACACTGCATTCTGATGCACCAGCTGGCCCCACCCAGATCGGTAATCTGGCTCAACCAGTTCTGGGATCTCACCCAGGAACAGAGGACAGGAAGAAAAATCCCACTTTGACCCCCTATGATTTCATCGCTGACCCAGCCAATCAGCATTCCCCACTTCCTGGCCCCCTACACACCAAATTATCCTTAAAAATTCCAGTCTCCAAATTTTCCAGGAGACTGGTTTGAGTAATAATAAAGCTTCTATCTCTCTTTCACCAAGTTTTTGTAAATTAAACTCTTCATTGCAATTCCCCTGTCTTGATAAATCTGCTCTGTCTGCGTATCAGGCAAGGAGAAGCCATTGGGTGGTTACACAAGTACTTATCCACTTTATGTTTCTATAAATTTGCCTGTTCCCTGTTCCGATTTTTTTTTTTTTTTTTTTTTTTTTGAGACAGGGCCTGGCTCTGTCACCCAGGCTGGAGCACAGTGGCGCAATCACGGCTCACTGCAGCCTCCACTTCCTGGCCTCTAGCAATCCTCCTGCCTCAGTACCCTCTACCCCCTTGCCCAGTAGCTGTGACTACTACAGGTGCAGGCCACCAAGTCTGGCTAATTTTTATGTATTTTTTGTAGAGATGGGGTTTCGCCTTGCTGCCCAGGCTGGTCTCAAACTCCTGAACTCAAGTGATCAGCCCATCTAGGCCTCCCAAACTGCTGGGACTATAGGTGTGAGCCACCGCGCCTGGCCTGAACATTTCACATAAATGTAACCATACAATATGTGGTCTTTTGTGTCTAGTTTATTTTATATAACTTAAGGGAAAGCTTCCTCTTTGCCCTCTGAAGGATCACTGAAAAAACAACTGATGAAAGGCAGATTAATTGGAGACAAGGCATATAAATTTATCAACATGCACGCGGGGGAGTACTGCAGAGTTACCCTAACCTCCCAGTGGGGTATAGGAGCTTACATACCATCTTTTTTTGTTGTTTTTTTGAGACAGGGTCTCACTCTGTCACCCAGGCTGGAGTGCAGTGATGCAATCTCGGCTCACTGCAACCTCCACCTCCTAGATTCAAGCAATCCTCCTGCCTCAGCCTCCTGAGTAGCTAGGACTACAGGTGTATGCCACCATGCCTGGCTACTTTTTGTAGTTTTTGGTAGAGATATGGGGTTTCACCCTGTTGGCCAGGCTGGTCTCAAACTGCTGACCTCAAGTGATCCGCCCGCCTCCGCCTCCCAAAGTGCTGGGATTACAGGCATGAGCCACCATTCTCGGCCCATACCATCTTGAGGTTACAAAATGAATGGGGACTCAGAGCATGGCCAAAAACAGATTATAGTGGTAAGCAGGTTTTAGTGGCAAGACACCTTATGGGAGGGGGAAAAGATGAGGCCTGGCTAGCATAAGTGGTCTTGTTAGGTAGATGAAATCTCACAGGTAGCAGCCCTCAGAAAGAATTGATGGTAAATACTTCTTTTCGACCTTTAAAGGTGTCAGAGCCTCAGTTAATTGTTCCTAAATCTAAAGAGAAGCCCCACATAAGTGAAGATTTTATCCACTGATGCAAATCTCTCCCACCAAAGACAGCTTTGCAGGGCTACTTCTGTTTGCAAGGCCCTTTGAACAGCTGTCTCAAAATATGTCAAAGAAGGATATTTTAAGGTGAAATATTTTTATT
Organism: Homo sapiens; assembly: GCF_000001405.40. Classification (NCBI taxonomy): domain Eukaryota; kingdom Metazoa; phylum Chordata; class Mammalia; order Primates; family Hominidae; genus Homo; species Homo sapiens. The sequence goes on from NC_000001.11 coordinate 201,519,482, forward strand.
TCTTTCACTAACGTGTATAAATACTTCATTCCTTTTTTATTGCCAAATAATATGCACGGACATAGGACATTTTATTTATAAAGTCATCGGTGCTGGGTAAGGTGTCAGAGCCCCGCGTCGAATAGTGGTTGACTCGCCGCTCGCAATGGCTCACACCTGTAATCCCAGCACTTTGGGAGGCCAAGGCAGGTGGATCACCTGAGGTCAGGATTTCCAAAGTTCCAGACCAGCCTGGCCAACATGGTGAAAACCCGTCTCTACTAAACATACAAAAATTACCCAGGTGTGGTGGTGCGTGGCTGTAATCCCAGCTACTCGGGAGGCGGAGACAGGAGAATCGCTTGAACCCGGGAGGTGGAGGTTGCAGTGGGCCGAGATCGTGCCATTGCACTCCAGCCTGGGCCACAAGAGTGAAACTCAGTCTCAAAAAAAAAAAAAAAAAAAAAGGGGGGGTTGACTCATGGGTTGGTAGGAAGAATTTACTGACAACAGTATAGGTTTGAAAAAGGAAAGTTTTATTAGAAAGAAAGAACGTGCCTTTCCAGCCCCCCACCCGGACCCTACAGCCACCGAGATGTTGATGCCTAAGAAGAACTGGATTGCCATTTATGAACTCCTTTTTAAGGAGGGAGTCATGGTGGCCAAGAAGGATGTCCACATGCCTAAGCACCCGGAGCTGGCAGACAAGAATGCGCCCAACCTTCGTGTCATGAAGGCCATGCAGTCTCTCAAGTCCCGAGGCTACGTGAAGGAAGTTTGCCTGGAGACATTTCTACTGGTACCTTACCAATGAGGGTATCCAGTATCTCTGTGATTACCTTCATCTGCCCTCGGAGATTGTGCCTGCCACCTTACACCGCAGCTGTCCAGAGACTGGCAGGCCTTGGCCTAAAGTCTGGAGGGTGAGCGACCTGCAAGACTCACAAGAGGGGAAGCCAACAGAGATACCTACAAACGGAGTGCTGTGCCCCCTGGTGCCAACAAGAAAGCCGAGGCTGGGGCCGGGTCAGCAACCAAATTCCAGTTCAGAGATGGATTTGGTTGTGGACGTGGTCAGCCACCTCAGTAAAATTGGAGAGGATTATTATGCGATGAATAAACTTACAGTCAAAAAAAAAAAAGAAAGAAAGCTGCAGAAGAGTGCAGTGAGGTGCCTCAGCATGAGAAAAGTAAGTGCGCCACGGCAGACTTTTCCTTAGGGGTATTTATGGACCTTAAAGCAGGAGCTTAGGAGTAATGTGGACCATATTAGCCACATAGGTCATGATACGTGATTACATTTGTAGATATTTTGGTGCCTTAATGTCAGCAAGGGCTGCACAACGAGTTTCAACATGCATTTATTCAGGAGATGTACAGAAATCCTAGTTACTTAAAAAATTTTTTAAAAGCCTGGTACCAGATGCTTGCTTTAGAATAATAGGGACATCTAATTACTTCTAAATTCCTCAGATAAGAAATGTTGCCTCTGGATGGTCAGCTTGATGGTCACCAGGTGATCTTTGCTCTCCTCAATCAGTTTTTTTGTTTTTTTGTTTTTTATTTTTTTTTGAGATGGAGTTTCATTCTTGTTGCCCAGGCTGGAGTGGGATGGCGCGATCTCGGCTCACCACAACCTCTGCCTCCCGGGTTCAAGTGATTCTCCTGCCTCAGCCTCCCAAGTAGCTGGGACTATAGACACACACCACCACACCCGCTAATTTTTGTATTATTAGTAGAGATAGGGTTTCACCATTTTGGCCAGGCTGGTCTTGAACTCCTGACCTCGTGATCTGCCTGCCTCGGCCTCCCAAAGTGCTGGGATTACAGGCGTAAGCCACCGCGCCCAGCTATTTAAATCTTTTACTTATTTTATATTTAATTTTTTTCTCATGACGCAGCCCTCAGGAGATCTTGAGAACATGTGCCCCTTTTTACCTATTTTTCTTTCTTTCCTTTTTTTTTTTTTTTTTTTTTAAGAGACAGGGTCTCGCTCTGCCATCCAGGAGAGAGTGCAGCGGTGTGATCATAGCTCACTGTAACTTGTAACTTCTGGACTCAAGCAATCCTCCCACCTCAGCCTTCCGAGTAGCTAGAACTACAGGTGTGTGCCCCTATGCCCAACTAATTTTTGAATTTTTTGTAGAGACGGGATCTCAATATGTTGCCTAGGCTGCTCTCAAACTGCTGGCTTCAAGCAATTCTCCTACCTCAGCTTCCCAAAGTCCTGGGATTACTATGCCTCGACTTTACCTATTTTTAAATTATTTGCCTTTTTATTATTGTATAAAATTTCTTAAACTGATGTTCCACAAATGTAGTATCTGGAGACCTGTGTGTTCTCAGTCAGGTTTGTTTAATGTGGCTCTTTTTTTCCTTCTTTCCTTCCTTCCTTCCTTTCTCTCTTTTCTTTTCTTCTCTTTTTTTCTTTTTTTTTTTTTTGACAGTGCCTTGTTCTGATGCCCAGTCTGGAGTGCAGTGGTGTGATCTTGGCTCACTGCAACCTCCACCCACTGGGTTCCAGCGATTCTTCCACCTCAGCCTCCTGAGTAGCTGGGATTACAGGTGAGTGCCACCATGCCCAGCTAATGTTTGTATTTTTAGTAGAGACAGGGTTTTGCCATGTTGGCCAGGCTGGTCTCCAATTCCTGACCTCAAGTGATCTGCCCCCATTGGCCTCCCAAGGTGCTGGGATTACAGGCGTGAGGCACTGCGCCCCCGGCCCTGTGGGACTTTCATTTTAATGGACATCTGCCTCTGGCAAAGATGGAGTAACAGGTATCTTCCTGCTTAAAACAACAACAGAGGGCAAAATATATCAAACAACAGTTTTCAGGACACTGGAAATAGGCAATAAAGGAGAGTGGTCTATGAGAGATGAGAAACAAATGAGGCGCCCTCTGATTGTCCCAGCTTTCCATGTGAAAGAGCTTCCAAGCTGTGGCGCAGCAGAAGGAACCTAAGCAAAGCTCAGAGATTTCCTGAATTGAGAAGGAGCTGAGTCTGGAGAGATCAGAAAGTATAATAAATTAGCGGTTTCTTTCTACAGGGTCAGAAAGTAAGTTAGCAGTTGTTAGGGCTGGGGTGGGGGCACAGAAGAGTGGAGAGTGACTTGTAATGGGTACCAGGTTTCTTTCTGGGGTGATAAATGTTCTAAAATTAGACTGTGGTGATAGTTACAGAACTGTGTGAATATACTAAAAACTATTGAAATTCATTAAGTTGTATATACTAAATATGTACAGCTTTTCGCATGTCAGTTATATCCCAATTAAGTAGTTTTTTTAAATCATTGAGTTGTACATTTTCTTTTCTGTGGGGGTGGGGCAGGGCAGGTCTCACTCTGTCACCCAGGTCGGAGTGCAGTGGCGCGATCTCAGCTTATTGAAGCCTCAACCTCCTGGGCTCAAGCAATCCTCCCACCTCATTTTTTTGGATTTTTTGTAGAAATGAGGTCTCATCCAGCCTGGCCAAAATGGTGAAACCCCATCTCTACTAAAAATACAAAAATTAGCCAGCCATGGTGGCAGGTGCCTGTAATCCCAGCTACTTGGGAGGCTGAGACAGGAGAATCACTTGAACCTGGGAGGCAGAGGTTGCAGTGAACCAAGACTGCGCCATGGCACTCCAGCCTGGGCAAGAAGAGCAAAACTCCATCTCAAAAAAAAAAAAAAAAGGTCTCATTACATTGCCCAGACTGGTCTCGAACTTCTGGGCTCAAGCAATTCACCTGTCTCAGCCCCGCAAAGTGCTAGGATTACAGGCACGAGCCACTGTGCCCAGCTGAGTTGTATATTTTCAATAGGTGACTTGTTTGGTATGTAAAGTGTATATTAATAAAGTTGTTTTAAAAATTAAAAGTGAAATAAAGACATGTTCAGACATGTGAAAGGGGAAATAATTCACAACAAGCAGACCCCAATATAAGAAATGTTTAAAGTAAGTCCTTAAGGCGGAAGTAAAAAGAAGGAACAGAGATAAAGATGATGTCTTATTTTTCATTGGAAACAATACAAGCAAGAAGACAGCAGAGTAACATTTTTAATTTCTTTTAAAAAATTGTCAACAAAGAATTCTATATCTAGAAAAAATATCTTTTAGAAATAAAGAGTAGAAGAAATGGTAGCTACATGGTTAAAAAATACGATTTTAAAAAAATTATTTAAAACTGGCTGGGTGCAGTGGCTCATGCCTGTAATCCCAGCACATTCGGAGGCCAAGGCGGGCAGATCACTTGAGGTCAGGAGTTCAGGACCAGCCTGGCCAACATGGCGAAACCCCGTCTCTACTAAAAATACAAAAATTAGCCAGGTGTGGTGGCGGGCGCCTGTAATCCCAGCTATTAGGGAGGCTGAAGCAGGAGAATCGCTTGAACCCGGGAGGTGGAGGTTTCAGTGAGCCGAGATAGCACCACTGCACTCCAGCCTGGGCAACAGAGAAAGATTCCGTCTCAAAAAAAAAAAAAAAAAAAGGAAAGAAGAAAATTATTTAATACTTTTAAAAAGATAGTTGACTATTTAAACAAAAATAATAAGAATGTATTTCAGGGTTTATAACATTTGGAAAAGTAAATGCATGGTTATAATAGTATAAAGGTCAGGAGGAGACAAATGGAAGCACATTATTGCAAGGTTCTTATACTATGCATGAAATGGTATAATATCACTTGAAGGTAGATTTGGGTAAGCTAAAGATAAATAGTATGAATCCTAAAGCAACCACCGAAATAACAAAACAAAGAGTTATAGCTAATAAACCAGCAAAGGAGATAAATGGAATTGTGAAAATACTCAATTAATCTAAAGCAGAAAAAGAGAAAAAATTGAACAAAGAACAGATGGGACAAATAGAAAATAAACAATGGAGCCAGGTGTGGTGACTCAAGCCTGTAATCCCAGCACTTTGGGAGGCCAAGGTGGGCGGATCATTTGCGGTCAGGAGTTTGAGACCAGCCTGGCCAACATGGTGAAACCCTGTCTCTACTAAAAATAAAAAAATTAGCCTAGTGTGGTTGCACGCACCTGTAATCTCAGCTACTCTGGAGGCTGAGGCAGAAGAATCTCTTGAACCTGGGAGGCAGAGGTTGCAGTGGGCCAAGACTGCGCCACTGCACTCCAGCCTGGGTGACAGAGTGAGACTCTGTCTCAAAAAAATTAAAAAATAAATAAATAAACAGCAAAGTGATAGACTCAAATCCAACCACATCAATAATCACATTAAATCTAAATGGCCTAAACACTTCATTTTAAAGGCAGAGACTATTAGATGGATTTTTTTTTAAAGTAAGACTCAATTATTTGCTATCTACAAGAAATGAACTTTAAATATAAAATCTTTAAAAGGATAGGAAGAATATACTATGCTAACATTAGTCAAAAGAAGATTGGAGTTGCTGTATTAACACCAGACAAAGTTGATTTCAGACCAGTCTGGGCAATATGGTGAAAGCCTGTCTCTACAAAGAATACAAAAAATTAGCCAGGTGTGGTGGTGCAGGCCTATAGTCCCAGCTACTTGGGAGGCTGAGATGGGAGGATCACCTGAGCCCAGGAGGCAGAGGTTGCAGTGAGCCGTGGTCATGCCACTGCACTCCAGCCTAGGTGACAGAGTGAGACCCTGTCTCAAAAAACAAAAATGAAATGAAACAATAACAACAAGAGTTGTTTTCAGAGCAAAGAATATTACCAGAGATAAAGAAGGACATTTCATAATGATTAGAGGTCATTTCATCAAGAGGATGTAATAATCCTATGTTTATGCACTTTAACCACCAAACAGAAGGAAAAGCTTCCACTCCCTGAAAAATGGAAACAAAACACAAAAATTATACTTAAATCTCTACTGCTAACCTCTACTGCTATTTCACACACAGGGTACAGAATACAAATTTTGTGTGACATATGAAGAAGTAGAAAACTATGACTCATAATCACAAGACAACAAGACCATCAGGTGATCTAGTTATGAGAATCAGCAGACAAAGGCTTTAAAACAACAATTATAAGTATGCTGAAAATTTTAAAGGAAAAAAAAACACACAATAGGTAAAGAGATAAGGTATTTCAAAAGAAATGGAAATTCAAGAACGAACTAAAGGGAAATTACAAAATTGAAAAATACAGTGTATGAAGACTTACTGGATGAGCTTAACAGCAAATTAGACACTGCAGAAGAAAAAAATAAGTGAATTGAATATAAGCTAATAAAAATTATCTAAATTGAAGTGGAGAGAGGAAAAAATGGTTGAAAAAAATGAACAGAGCATTAGCAAATTGTGGGATAATAGTAAGCAGTCTAACATACATGCAATTAGAGTTCCATAAGGAAAAAAACAATAAGGCAGAAAAATATTTAAAGAAACAGTGGCTTAAAAGTTGATGAAAAATAACAATCCACAGGTCCAAAAAGTTCAACTAACCCCAAGCAGGATAAACTTTTTAAAAATCATACTTGGGGCCAGGCGCAGTGGCTTATGCCTGTAATCCCAGCACTTTGGGAGACCAAGGCAGGCAGCTCATTTGAGGTCAGGAATTCAAAACCAGCCTGGACAATTTGGTGAAACCCAGTCTCTACTAAAAATATAAAATTAGCCAGAGCTGGACGTGGTGGCTCACACCTGTAATCCCAGCACTTTGGGAGGCTGAAGTGGGCAGATCACCTGAGGTCAGGAGTTTGAGACTAGCATGGCCAACATGGTGAAACCCTGTCTCTACTAAAAATACAAAAATTAACCAGGAGTGGTGGTGGGTGCCTGTAATCTCAGTTACTGGGGAGGCTAAGGCAGGAGAATCATTTGAACCCAGGAGGCAGAGGTTTCAGTGAGCCGAAATCACACCATTGCACTCCAGCCTGGGCGACTGAGTGAGACTCTGTCTCAAAAAAAAAAAAAACGAAAAAAGAAAAAAAATCACACTTGGTACATCAGAGTAAAATTGCTGAAAACCAAAACTAAAGAGAAAATCTTAAAAGCAGCCATAGGGGGAAAAGACACATTACATGCAGGGGGTAAAATATAAATGTGAGAGTTATTTCTCATCAGAGATCATTAAGCCAAAAATCCATTAACTGGTAAATAAACAAAATGTGCTGTATTCATACAATGAAATACTACTCAGCAATAAAAAGAAAAAAAAACTACTATAGCTATACCGAAATGAACCTTAAAAACATAATTCAAAGGCCAGGCGCAGTGGCTCATGCCTGTAATCCCAGCACTTTGGGAGGCTGAGGTGGGCAGATCATGAGGTCAGGAGATCAAGACCATCCTGGCTAACAAGGTGAAACCCCGTCTGTACTGAAGATACAAAAAATTAGCTGGGCATGGTGGCGGGCGCCTGTAGTACCAGCTACTCAGGAGGCTGAGGCAGGAGAATGGCGTGAACCCGGGAGGCAGAGCTTGCAGTGAGCCCAGATCACACCACTGCACTCCAGCCTAGGCGACAGAGCGAGACTCTGTCTCAAAAAAAAAAAAAAAAAAAAAAAAATTCTAAGTGAAAAGAGCCAGATGCAAAAGACCATAAATTAGATTATTTCATTTATATTAAATATCTAGAAAAGAAAAATCTATAGAGATAGAAAGCACATTAGTGGTTGCCTGTGGCTGAGGGTGAGATTGATTACAAATGGGTAGGAAGAATTGCTTTGGGATGTTATAAATGTTCTAAAACTAGGCTGTGGTAATAGTTACACGACTCTTTAAATTTACTAAAAATCATTGAATCATACCTTTACCATGGGTGAATTTTAGGCTATGTTAATTATACCTTAATAAAGCTATTAAAAAGGTGCTGAGACAGAAGCCACCAGTTTGGAAAGGATAAGAGAAAAACATGTAACAGAAAAAGGGCAATTGGCCACACTATAGAATTATTATATATCCAAGAGAAAATAACCAACAATATAATTGGAAAAAGATTAGGAAATAGGAATAGAAGGCAATTCTAATCTGAACAAACTTATGAAAAGATGCTCAATCCTATTAATAGTTGGTGAAATACAAATTAAAATCATGATAATCTACAATTTCACATCCATCTGGTTGTCCAAAAAAAGGGTCTGACAATACCAGTGTTAGGATGAATATGGTAAAGTTAAAGTGTCCAGGCTCTGCGGCCATCAGTTTCACTCCTGGGTAGACTACTGGAGAAACACAAATGTACACAATAAGATCTTTACAAGAATTTCCATAGCAGCACGGTTTGTAATCGCAAAAAAATTAGAAACAATAAAATAAATAGGCCAGGTGCAATGGCTCATGCCTGTAATCCCAGCACTTTGGGAGGCTGAAGCAGGCAGATCACAAGGTCAGGAGTTCTAACCAGCCTGGCCAACAAGGTGAAATCCCATCTCTACTAAATATACAAAAATTAGCCAGGCGTGGTGGTGGGCACCTGTAATCCCAGCTACTTGGGAGGCTGAGGCAGGAGAATCGCTTGAAACCGGAAGGCAGGGTTGCAGTGAGCCGAGATTACGCCATTGCACTCCAGCCTGGGCAACAGAGTGAAATTCTATCTCAAAGAAAAATAAAATAAAATAAATAAATTAGAATGTAGTTGTACAATGGAATATTATACAGCAGTGAAAATGAGTAAACTAAAGCTATATGCATTAACATGGATGAACTTTACAAATTTGTTGAGTCAAAAAAGAAAATTGTAGAAGAATATACACAGCATGATGTTATTCATATAGTTAAAATGCAATGCATATAGAGTGTATAATATAGTAAAAAAAAAACATATGCATGGGAATAATTAACTCCAAGTTCAGAATAACGTTTCCTCTGGGGGGAGAGAAAGGAATGCAATAGAGGAGGAGCTTAAACTATATTTGTAATGCTTTATTTCTTTTTTTTTTTTTTTGAGACGGAGTCTCGCTCTGTCGCCCAGGCTGGATGGAGTGCAGTGGCACGATCTCAGCTCACGGCAAGCTCCACCTCCCAGGTTCATGGCATTCTCCTGCCTCAGCCTCTGGAGTAGCTGGGACTACAGGTGCCTGCCACAACGCCTGGTTAATTTTTTGTATTTTTAGTAGAGATGGGGTTTCACCGTGTTAGCCAGGATGGTCTCGATCTCCTGACCTCATGATCTGCCCGCCTTGGCCTCCCAAAGTGCTGGGATTATAGGCATGAGCCACCGCACCCGGCCGTAATGCTTTATTTCTTAAACTCAGGGCATTTACAGATGTGATGGTTAAATTTTATGTGTCAACTTGTCTGGGCCAAAAGATGCCCAGATATTTGGTAAAATATTATTCTGGATGTTTCTGTGAGGGTGTTTTTGGTTGAGATTAACATTTAAATCAGTAGAATGAGTAAAGCAAATTGCCCTCTCTAATATAGGTGGGCCTTATCCAATCAGTTGATGGCCTAAATAGAACGAGAAAGGCTGACTCTCCCCTAAGTAAAAGCGAATTCCTCTTGCCTAACTGCCTTCAAACTGGGACATTGGCTTTTTCCTGCCTTCAGACTTGAACTGAAACACTGGTTCTTCCTGGGTCTTGAACTTGCTGGCTTTTGGATGGGAACTACATCATCAGCCCTCCTGTTTCTAAGGCCTTCAGACTTTGGACTGGAACTAACATGCTATAGACTCTCCTAGGTCTCCAGCTTGCTGACTCACCCTGCAGATCTTGGGACTTGTCAGTTTCTACAATTGCATGAGCCAATTCCTTATAATAAATCTCTTTCTCTCTCCCTCTCTCTATTTCTCCCTCTCCCTCCCGCCTCTCTTTCCCCCTCCATCCCCTCCCTGTCTATCTATAGTGTACATTCTATTGATTCTGCTTTTCTGGAGAACCCTGACTAATGGAACAGATATGTTTGTTATATTATTCTGTATACCTTTTGCAGGCCTAAAATAGTTCATAATAAATTTTAAAATAAATAATGAATGAATAGACGTTAAAATGTCAGATGCTATAGAGGGCAAGTAAAATGAGAACTGGAATATGTACATTAGATTAGCTATTAAGAGGCCCATGATTGCCTTTGTAGGAGTGTTCAGAGTGGAGGCCTAATGGTGATGGGTTGTAGAGTGATAGGGGGTCTACACACAATTCATGGAGTTTAACAACAAAGTGAAAAAGAGCTCTGGGTCTAGAGTAGGGTGCAAAGGAGAGAAAGGGTTGTGTTGTTGTTGTTGTTGTTGTTGTTGTTGTTTGAGACAGGGTCTCACTCTGTTGCCCAGGCTGGAGTGCAGTGCAGTAGTGCAGTCTCGACTCACTGCAACCTCCGCCTCCTGGGCTCAGGTGATCCTCCCACCTCAGCCTCCCGGATAGCTGGAACCACAGACATGAACTAATTATTTTGTATTTCTTATAGAGATGGGGTTTTGTCACCTTGCCAAGGCTGGTCTCGAACTACTGGATGCAAGCAATCTGCCCGTCTTGGCTTCCCAAAGTGCTGGGATTACAGGGTCAAGCCACCATGCCCAGACAGAGAAAAGAGTTTTAATAATGGAAACACTTCTCTGTGCTGTGGGGCTTCCATACTAATTCTGTTGGAATTATCAGAGTCCTGGTCCTCCTTTGGTCGCTATGACTATTCCAGTAGAGATTCTGGAAGACTTGAACTTCGTCTCTGTGGGTACAAAGTGATTTTTTTTTTTTTTTATGTTTCACTCTTGTCACCTAGGCTGGAGTGAAGTGGCACGATCTCGGCTCACTGCAACCTCTGTCTCCCGGGTTCAAGCAATTCTCCTGCCTCAGCCTCCCAGGTAACTGGGATTACAAGCACCCACCACCACACCCGACTAATTTTTGTACTTTTAGTAGAGCCGGGATTTCGCCATGTTGGCCAGGCTGGTCTCGAACTCCTGACCTCAGATGATCCACCCACCTAGGCCTCCCAAAGTGCTGGGATTACAGTCGTGAGCCACCACACCTGGTCTTAGTAAAGATTTTTCAAAGAGCACAGTGCTACTGTCTCTCATGGAAAGAAAAGTATTAAACCCATGATGATTACATCTTAGTCTAAGGGGAATATTAAACCCACAATAAATTAAGCTAAAACTTCACAAAGACTCTGCAAGGCGTTGGGGCAGGACAGGGGGTGGGTAAGGAAGGGGTTGATTGTAACTGGAAAATCTTGGGCTACTTGTGGATGGTGTTTTTTTTCTTTTCTTTTCTTTTCTTTTTCTTTCTTTCTTACTTTTTTTTTTCCTCCTAAAGGTTGAGCTTGGCTAAAGGAGTGTTGCTAATGGTTTCCCAATTTAGTTTCAAGGGGATTGGCAGCAGGGTTTTCCAGGCCACAAAGGCTGAAGGGGGACATACTATTAGTCTGTCTCACTCCTCCCAGAAACTCAGTCTGGGTTTACTGTAATTTCATCTTAGTCTCGTCAAAGGCACTCCAGATGAGGAGATTCTGAGCTGGGGTATTTCTTCCTACCCCTCCCAGACAGATTGCAAGGTTTTTCCAATACTGCATTCTCCCTGGGGCTCTCCCTGGTTGGCGTGGAGAGAAAAGCGCCAGCAGGGGTCAGCAGTGTCCCACATCTGGCCGGGAGCTGCTTGCCACATGTGCTGTTTCTTCTGGCACGGCACTGTCAGAGATACTGGGGAAATTGGCGAGCACCGTTCCATTGAGGCGTTAGCATCATTATGAGCATCGCAGGCTCAAGATTCCTCTCCCTGAAAGTGGGGTGGGCTGGATGAGTGGAGGGTGTGTTCTTTATAAGCACTATGTGGGGTGTGGGTGTAGAATCCAGACATCAGCAATGCCAACTCACCATCTGGTTTTCTATCGGGAGGTTTTTATGTGTATTGGCGTGAGCAATATATTGTGTCGGTCTGGGTGTCAGAGGACGCGTGTCAGAGTTGCCTTGTTGAAATTTTCCCAGGGACCTGGGATTTCTGGATTCACCCGGTATCCAGGCTCTCCCAGAGCGGCACTTTAGCTGGCCAAGGCCTGGAGCAGAGTGTGTGCAGCGCTCCCACGGCCGCCTGCCCGGGCCTGCCCCCGACACATGCTTAGTGGAATTCTCCCGTGGCAGCCCAGAGTCTCCGGAACGAAGGTCTCCACAGCCAAAGCCACGCAAGAGGCTCTCCTGCTCTCATTTCCAGACGCACCCTCATCCTTGGCCTCTCCCTGCCTCAGTTCTCTTTGACTCCTCCGGTCCTTGTTGCTGCTCAGCTCCAGGGCACCCCCACCTCCCAGGACAAGTCCCCTGACTTTACAGCTTACAGGCCCAGAATAACAGATGGCCAGAGGCATCCCATTCAAGACTCCCCGCCTCCTTCCTAGCTCCTCAGTCTCTCCCACCCCAATGTGGTGGTGCCCAGGGAGGGGGTCAGGAAACCACAGAGGGCCTGTGGGAGGCGTACAGCTGGGGACAAGCGTGGGCTGGAAGAGGAGCCCAGTCTGTAGCTGAGACTCCCAGGGCCTCATGACCTTCCAGGCAGCCTCCACCGCTGCTATGACAGGCAGATGCCCGACTTTCCACCTGCTTTCTGACCTGGCTTTGGCAAGGCCTGAGCACCTGGCCTGCTTTCCCAGGAGTACAGTTACAGCAGCTGATCTAGGGAACAGGTGTGGGCTCCGTGTCACAGCTGCTGCTGAGCACATCTGTACCCACAGTGAGGAGGCTGCAGCTGCAGCAGGGCCTGTCAGTCACTCATACTCTCCCCGGAGTTGGGCTGGGGGCACTGAAAGGGCCAGGGGTGGAGAGAATCTGAGATAAGCATTCACAGAGCACCTTGCTCCTAGAGATCCCAAAGTGTGACCCCTGACAAGGTTTTCCCACAGTCAGCCTCACTGGCACCAGCAGCGTGGGAATTAGGGCTGGATTCTCCCCTTCTGCCTTGCTTCCCAGCCCTTGGGCCACAGTCAGCTCCTCCTCCTTCCTGGCTAGCTCAGCTCAGCTTTTGCAGGATGGAACTCTGAATCCTGGCTTCCAGTGGCTCTCCCAGAAAACTAGGAGGGAAGTGCTTGGAAGAATGGCTCTTTATTCATGCAAATGATTTCTTGCCATTTAAGAGCCTCAAACCACAAAATCAATTAAAGAGAAAAGGGGAAGATTTGGGGGTCTGTGCCAGCCACTGGATGCAATGCTTTACCTCCATCATCTTATCAAATCTTCCCAGCAACCCTACTGCATAGCTATTATCAAGATCATTTCTGTTTCCCAGAGGAGAATTCAAGGTTACACAGTTAGGATGCAGTGAATCTGGGATTTGATTGCCGTCCTGACTCCAAAGCTTGCACTCTGACCACTGGGCCACACTGCCTCAAATCTCCCATTCTCTGTTAAATCCAACATCTGAGCCCCATTCTTTCTCCCTTGCAGGGAATCACCTGCCTACCTCCACCTCATCCATTTCTCACCACAGCTGGATTCACCTCTACAGCCTTTACCTCCAGTCGTATTTGGCAATTCATCCTTTTCCAGCTCCTATCATCCTCCCCTACCCTCACCAAAGTGGACATCGCAGCCTCTAAATCTGAACGGAGCTGACACCTAGCACCCACCCTCTCACCAGCTACCTCTGGGTTCCCCCACCCGGTATTCCCTTCCTCACATCCAAGCCTGTTCCCCTCAGGCCCTGTCATGGCCTGAAATAGTCTTTGCCCCTGTCTACCACTCTCCAGGGTCCCTCTTGACACCTACTTCTGCTTTCCCCTCTCAAGACACCTTTTCTTGGCATTTTAAGACTATTTACTGACTATTTATTGATATAGGAAAATGCTTACAGAATGTATTAGGAGTATCTTACACTTTTTTAATAATTATGTATGTAATACATGAATAGATTCTCCTTGTAAAAAACAAACTCAAACACACAGAAAAAGTTAATGACTCCCTTGATGACTGCCAGTTTGAAGTGTTTTTCCAGACCTTAAAAAAATATACTTTCATACAAGCATATGTACATATAGAAAGATATACTTTAATGGGGCATCTTTCATCATAAATTGGATCATAATGTGCAAATTGTTTCACAACTTTTATTCTCTGTTTGTTTTCAGACAGGGTCTCACTTTGTTGCCCAGGCTGGAGTGCAATGGCACAATCATGGCTCACTGCGCCCTCCACCTCCCAGGCTCAAGCCATCCTCCTATCTCAGCCTCCTGAGTAGTTGAGACAACAGGCATGTGCCACCATGTCTGGCTAATATTTTAATAAAATTTTTTGTAGAGACAGGTTCTCCATATGTTGCCCAGGCTTTGATTCTTCTAATGCTCGGTATTAAGACTCTATGACTGTGTATTATACATAGAGTTTACATGTGAGTAAGTTCTGGGTGGAGAGACACTATTCCTTGCTAGGGCCTTAAGAGTCTGGCTGCAGCTCTGCTATCACATGGGCAAAACCAGCTACATAATTTACAAGATCCAGTGCAAAATAAAAATGTGACATTTCTTGTTAAAAATCATTGTGAATTTCAAGATGGCAACAACAAAGCATTAAACCAAGCAGGGGGCCTTTCTAAGCTTGAGCCCCCGTGTGACTGCACAGGTCATATGCCCATGAAGCTGGCTCTGCAGAGACTAGCTGACCGTTGGACTGGCTGTGTCCTGGATTCTTTTAGTTAATGCATTCCGTGTTCTGACAATGGACATTCCTGTCTCAGCCTCCACATTGGATCTGGTCCCCTGATTCTGCACCCAACATTCCTCAGCCACATTCCCTGCTCCAAAGCCAGAGCTCTATGTATTCCAGCACAAGCAAAGTCCCAGGGTCCATGCCTGCCAGTCAGCATTGCTCTGGAGGCACCCACAAAGATGGCAAAGATGGGGGGTGAAGGGGGTATTGGACAATGATATTCCTGTGCCTCGAGTGGAAAGTCTCTCAGGAGATAAGAGAGGACTGAAGTACCAACCAAGAAACCCGGGTTTCATTCCCAGCTCTGCCACTAAATTTACTGTGTCCTTAATTGGCAAGTTGCTTAACATCTTGGCACTGTTATCTCTTTATCTGTTAAAGGAGAGAGTTTGATTAGATTGTCTTTAAGACCATTCCCACTTCCAGCTCTAAAAGTCTGTATTTAAGTGACTCTAAGAGACTGTAATAATAATAGATAACATTTGTTGACCATTACCTTATGCCATTTACATGTTGATTTAATGCTCATAACAACCGTATGAGGCAGGCACTGTTATTCCCATTTTACAGTTGAGAAAATTGAGACTCAGTTTAAAACATGCATGGGGAACAAGGTAGCTTTTTGGGGTGGTGGAAATGTTCTAAAACTTGGTTCTGGTCATGGCTGCAGAACTCTGTAGATTTAGAGTTGTATATTTCGAGTGGGTGAATTTTATAATATGTAAATTGTACCTCAATAAAGCTGTTGAAAAGAAATAAAGAAATGTGCTGAACTAGTACATGATCAAGCTCTCCACACTGCTATGGAGACTATCAAGACTCCTTTCCTCTGCATATATGTAGTATTTGAAAACATGGACTCAGGAGCCAGACTCCTTCAGTTCAAATCCTACCTCTATCACTTACTAGCTGAGACCCAGACAAGACACTTGACCTCAATTTCTTTACCTGTAAAGTGGAGATAAAAAGTGGTACAGATTTCATAGGGTTGTTGTGGAGATTAAATGGGTTAATATATGTTAAATGCTTAGCATAGCAGTTGGCACACAGCAAATGCTATATAAGTAGGGACTATTATTATCTTCCATACCACAGGATTGCCACAGCCAGAACCAGGCTTCTTAAAGGGGCAGGTTTTCTCCCTGCAAACCCAACCCCTATTCTCCTGGGCCCCTTAAAGAAACACCTCCTCTTCAAAGGCCATCTTTGGAAAAACACCACGATGGCTTTCAGTACATCTCACTTCCTGGTAACAGAGAGAGAGTGAGAAACAGCATCTTCCCGATAAGGCAGTGACTCGCTCACTCTCGTAAAACATTCATTACTCTGACAGCTTTTCCCCATGGACTCTTTCTCCCAGGTCCCTGTAAGCTCCAACAGTCAACACAGAGGGCCCTTCTTAAAGGGGGCCCAGGGCCAGTCATGAGGCCCGAGTGGCCAAGGATGGAGATGCCTGTTTTGCCCATGTCCAACCCCATTCCACTAGCCTAGGAAACCCCTCACTGGTTAATGAATCAAGCTAGAAAGGACAAGGATTTTTAGTGGCCAGTCAGATTTCTATCACTGAAAAATGGGTTTTCAAGCACTGAGCCCATAACCACAGTGAATTTGACTGGGGTGGGGAGGTGGGGCGGGGTTGGGAATATGAGCTGATGCTTTCTGTTTGATAATCCCACTTCTGCTTATATGTGAGCAGCACTGCAGAAACCATTTTCTCCTCCATGATCTCACTGAATACTCACCATGCCCTTGGTAGGTGGGTATTCTTGTCCTCTGGGTGTCAACACTCCCTTTTACTGATGAGCAAACTGAGGTGATGCACTTCAGCCAGCATCAGAACCAAGGCATGGAGTCAGGTCTTCTGAAGCTGGGCCCAGTGTTTTTCCACTGTGCTTCAGAGGAGGAAGTCAGAAGCTGCCTCGGACTCCTCCTTAGAAGCTCCAGTGACGCTTATTAAGTGCTCAAGAAAATAAAGCAATGTGCTATCTTCATATTCCTGCCAAGGACCTTACAAACTGCTCTGGGAGCCCCAAACAAGACAGTCCGAAGGATAAAGACAGTCTCCCTGTGGGCCACGTGGAACGCAGGAGCTGTGAGTGTGTTCAAATCCTCAAAGTCCCATGTCAGATAACCCAAGAAACAAATTAGCATTGGTCCACAGACCTCAAGGCGGCAGGAAAACAGGCAAAGCCCCCAAAGAAATCAGGCTGGGGCTGAAAATGTCACTTGCCATACTTCCTGGGGTTCCCAAAACTCTCATCTCGTCGGAGGCCGGATCTGATACTCTATGGGAGTGACAGCAAGCTTCTGGGCTGATTTTTTAAAACTTATTTGTCAGGTTGACATTAATCCTTTCGCTACCCATCTTGTCCCAAAGCAGGATTGGCTCTAAGCTGTGGAGGAGGGGAACAGAGGGGCTGTTGGGTTTTAAGGAGCCTCAGTGAGGCCAGCAGGTCCTGGAGGCCACCTTCTCGGTGGGGAGTGGGGGTACAGGTGACTATGCCAAGGGTCTCCTGCAGTGAACCTGAATCTCCCTCCTTCCATCACTCACAAATCATTTCACGCCCCAGCACCTCTCCCACTCTCTCCATCCTCCCCTCCCCACAGCGAGGTCCTTGCCTTTACCTCTTATTGATTTTCATATTTAAGGAAAATCCATTTGCTAGACTCAGAGCAACTGAGTCATCACTGTGTTCAGACAAAAACTACTCACAAAGTAGGCATTTGGCAGAGGCCACTTCTGGGATGGGCGGGACCCTGTTTCTTACCCAAACAGTGCTCTGTCCAGAGTCTCTTCTGGCTTCTCCTCCCTGCCGCTCTGTCCTATCCACTTTCTCTTTCAGTAGCTTTCATATCCTCTGCCTGTCACCCCAACCAGACTGGCCCCTTTACTCCTTCCTCCCTCAACCTGTCCATATGCTATTATGTTTGCCTACACATACAGGTTCACTGTTGGAAATCTGTGAGTGGGACATTTTTCTGAATTTTTATTTTAGATTCAGGGGGTACATATGCAGGCTTGTTACCTGGGTATATTGTGTGATGCTGAGGCTTGGGGTACAAATGATCCCGTCACCCATATTGATTGGGACATTAGGAGCAGGGTGAGGGAGAACTTGTATGAGCAGCCACTCATAAGTGGGAGAGAAATATTGATCCTGTGTACTGATAGAAGAGATCTAACCCTTACGAAATTATAGCTTTGGCTTTCTTTTCCATTCTGGGTAGCACCCAAGGAATGACATCATCCCAGCATTACCAATGTGGATGGGGGCTATGCATCCAGCCTCACAATGGGTCAAGGAGTCATTTCACCTTCTGATAGTCATTTGCATACCTACTGTGTGGTCCTTGGTCCCTGGGGTCCCACCTTTTGAGCTCTCAAGAAAGGACAGTGCTTCTTCTTAAAGGACTAGGCTCCCCTTTGCAGGACTGGGAAGAGCACAAAAGGATTCTAGCTAGCACATCATTGAATGCCAAACTGGGCGCAGAGTTACATCTCCAAGAGTTAGATCTCCAAGAGTTAGATCTCCAAGAGTTAGTTACTCCAAGATCAAAGTAACAGCTAATGTTCACTGAGCATTTACTATGTGCCAAGCACTATTCTAAGTGTGTCACCTATAGTATCGCATTTAATCCTCCCAACACTCTTAGGAGATAGGAACCATTATTATCCCATTTTACAGATAAAGAAACTGAGGTAGCTAGAGGTTAAAGAGTTCAGTAAGTTCCCATGGCTAAAAAATCATTGATCCAGGATTTGAACTCATGCAGTCTGCCTTAAGAGCCCACACTTCTAGTCTTTATACAGAGGGTAAGGGTGTCACTCTGCAGTCCACCCCCTTATCCCGCGCCAAAAGGCAGTTCACTCCCTTCATGGACAAAAATCATACAACAAATCTTTTTCCCTGATCAGTTGGGAACTTCTTGAATGTCACTGCTTGTCCATTGTCTGGTGTCTCATCTCTCCAAATTCAAAGCCACTGTGGCCTTACTGACTGTGTGGGGCGTTCAGGGAGGACTCAAGGGCTCTCATCCTGACTCTGCTCACACTGATTTTGCTGGCAAAGAGCTGTGAGACCTCCCAGGGAGTAGGCAGTTTTGCTTTCTATCCATCAGTCCTCCAACTTGCAACCCCATGGCCCTGGGAATAGATCAGTCCTCTTATTTGTTGGCAGGAGCAGGGGAATCTGCTGGGTCCTTGGCCACAGCTACTCCCTTTCCAAAGCCTGCTTCAAAGCTCAGGTCATCTGGCTTCCTTCTGCCTTCTTCCTGCAGACCCTGGAAGTCCCCAAGCCAGGAGGCAGGGGGCTTGCACTGCTTCTGCAGTAGGTTCTGGCTGAGGGCCTTCCTCCCATTCACTCTCCTCAGGTCCTGTCATTTCCTCTCTCCTCTTCTTCCCCCTCCTCCCACTCCCAAGTCCCTGGAAGAAGGAGGAGGGGCATCGGCTGTCTGGAAGGTGGGGAGAAGTCACTTATTTTACTGAGCACCTACTATTTGCGGGGCACTTGCGGGGCCTCCCCCTCCTCTAAGACAGCTCAGACAGCATGACAGTTCAGTGGGGTGGAGAAAGAAAGGAGGTGGGTGCCCGGGGTCAGAAGTCGGGTGGAGAGGCTGGCCCATCCATCTGTCCCCTTCTCCTAAAGAACTGCGGCTGAACCAGCGAGCGGTACCCGGACGACATGTGGGGGAGGGAGGAAACCCGGCCTGGAAGTGGCGGTGGCGGGTCCCCGGGCAAAGGAAAGGCTCAATTGTGCAAAGGCTTCCTGCCCTGCCAGCTCGCGGGTCCGCCACCGAGCAGCCGCCTTTCTGCGGCCAGCCTGGGAGGCGGGACGGGAAGGCGAAGGCAGCAAAGGGTTACGGGAATAGCTTTCCAATGACAAAGTCTGGAAGGGACCCATGCCTCCGCCCCTCTGCGGGTTAAACTGGCACAGTGCAGGGGGAGGAAAGCCAGGGCGATCGGACGGATTCTCTCCTCCTGCCCGCCCCCCGGCCGCCAGGCACTCCCCTCCTGGGCCCGCCGTGGAGGCAGCCGGCGTGTGCCTGGGGCAGCGGGTCACGAGGCTCCGCCCCGGCCGCCGTTCCCGAGGGGACGGCACTTTGTTCAGGATGCCGCCTCCCTCCTCATTGTGGGGCCGGGGCCGGCGGCTGCCCTAGTGCGGGGCCCGAGGCTGGAGTGCGCGGCGGACGCCAAGCCTGGTGCGAGGGGCCGAGGCGGCCTGGGGAGCCCCGGGAAACTTTGTGCTCGCGAGAAGCGGACCCCGCACCCGCGCTGCCCTTGGGGATGCGCGACTCTGCGCGGCTGCGGCGCGGACCCGGAGCCCGGGCGGGCAGGCGCTCCGGTGAGTGGCCGGCGCGGGGCGGTCGCGCGGTCGCGGCGCTGAGGGTCTGGCGCTTCCCGTTTTGCGAGGCTTGGCTGGCAGGTCCTGCGAGGCCGAGACCAAGTCTCGGGGTAGGGGAGGTTGGTGCCCGAGGGAGGCTGTGGGCTGGGCTCGGGAGAGGCGCTGGAATAAATAACAACCAAGATGCTCGCGGCTTCCCGGGAAGGTGTGTGCCCTTTCGACCCCTATGGGACTGACTGCGCGTTTGATTCTAGAGTTGACTCTCCGGGGGGGCTGCCTAACTTCAGTCCCTCTGAGCCTCAGTTTCCTTGTTGTGAAATACCCACAATTTAAAGTGCGTTGAGATCTTATCATGAGACACCAGGTGCTGCGTTCTTATACTCGCACCCACACGGCAAGCACACACCCTACCCGCACCTCTGCCTTTCGTTGAAGCAAGAGTTAACTCCTCCCATCCCAGCAGGAGCCAGAGGAACAGCTGGGGCAGGTGACCTCGCGGGCCGTTCCAGAAAACGTTCCCCGCACCCCCGGGATGCGCCGGGAAGCGCCCTCCCGCCAATCTCCCGGAGGCCGTCCTCTCTGGCGCCCGCCCAGTGCGTCTGGGAGCGGAGAAAGTGGTCCCGGAGGAGAGGGGAGAGAGGAGAACGCAGAAATTGGGTGATCACGGGGAGCTCACCTGAGCGCTCCCGAGGCTTGGGCTCTGGTCCCTGCTAATCCCCAGAGCCGATAAAAACTGGTCATAGGATAAAGAAGCAGCTAAGTTTGCAGCGGGCAGAGGGGAGGCAGGAACTGGAGAGGACGCGAGTGGCGGGTGGCGGGGGCGGTGTGTAGGGGTGACGTCCACCCGGCAGAGAGGGTTCCTTGTCCCCTGGAGCCGAACACAGGAAAATCAGCTGGTGAGTCAATGGGACTTTGTTAGGATAGTCACAGGGCGCAGCTGGCGCCGGCTTAAGGGAAGAGCTGGATCCCCCCTTGATAACATGCTGTTTATCTGGCTTCCTGTTTCAATGATTGGGATACCATTGGCTCGTTCAAATTCAATGCTGAGAAGCCTGTGGGCACGTTCGTTCACTGTGCAAAAGCAGAGGGCTTGCCTGGGTTTTCATCTGTGGGCTAGCTCTTGTTCCCCCTACATGAAGTCCCCGGCAACTCACTTGTAATGGGACTGGAGACTTCGCAAAAAGAATGGCCTCCCCAGGAGGAGGATCTGACGATCTGACACTGCAGAGACCTTGGCTTCCTTTAGGCCAGAGATATATATGATTCCAGCTTGCTTATGACATTTTTTTAAATCCTGCTTTGACTTTTTGTTGGTGTGTCTTTGGGATTGACCTAAGAAGGGAGACAGAGGGAACAGCTCTATGGATTTTGTCTTCTAAGATGAGCTTCCTAGTAGTATGTGCTTTCACCATCAGTTTTTAGGGGAAGTTTTCAATCATCAGTTTGTAGTTCTCTATCTGGCTGTGTTGCTAACCACCTGGATGATCAGAGAGCAAATAATTCCTCATGTCTCTGTCCTGGTTTTCACTTCTGTAAAGTGGAGCCAGGAAAAAATCGCTACGGTTGGAAGAATAAAGAAGGTTTTTCAGATTTGGGCTCCAGCCCCTAGGGTCTATTTCCTGAACTTTCCAGGTGAAAGAGAACACCAGGTGAAAGAGAACACCATTTCCGGGTGAAAGAGAACAGCCCCTGATCTGAACTTCTTCAGCAGTTTATCTGATTTCCCTTGGGGCAGGTCTCACATTCTGCTTTGCATTTTTTGTTTTTGTTGATTGTCAGTGTGCCATGCTTTGTATTTTAGATATTTGGGTGTTTGTGCACATGCCTATCTTCCTGTGAGTACCTTCCAGCCAAACACCCTATCTGACCACCCACAACACTCAGCACACAGTAGGCACTTTATAGATGCTTGCCAAACTAATAGAATTGGGGAGAAAAACTAAGTAGCATTCAAAGGCCTCCTATCTCATTTAAGTGCCATTTATTCATTCTTTGGGAGTTAATTTGCTCCCCCAGACCCCCTCTACTTCTTTTTCCCTCAAAAGCAGTTCATAAAAATGTTGATTTGCCCATGGGTAAGTAGGCAAGCTTTGAATATTTGGGCTTTTTCTGGGATCTGGCTTCTTTGATAAACCTTGGCCTGGGGAAACTGAAAACAAGAATGCTGTTTTGGCCAGGTGCGGTGGCTCATGCCCGTAAGAGGGGCGGATCACCTGAGGTCAGGAGTTCGAGACCAGCCTGGACAACGTGGTGAAACCCTGTCTCAACTAGAAATATGAAAATTAGCCGGGTGTGGTGGCAGGTGCCTGTAATCCCAGCTACTCGTGAGGCTGAGACAGGAGAATTGCTTGAACCCGGGAGGCAGAGGTTGCAGTAAGCCGAGATCATGCCATTGCACTCCAGCCTGGGGGCCAAGAGTGAAACTCCATCTTTTTTTTAAAGGAGTGCTGTTTTTCCTTTCTTGCCTAATCTAGCCCCCTCCTGAGTCCCTGTGAACCTCTGGTATCAACTCAGTTTGGGCCCAGTAGAAAGGAGTGGCCTAGAATAGAAAAATCTCCTATCCATCTTTTACAATTTGTCTCTATTTTTGCCTTCCTATTTCCAATCAGTGTCACTTCCCTCTTCTTTTAAAGTTCTTTTGACTTCTTGAAGGGTTTGGCCTTTAAGAAAAACCAGAATGTCAAAGTTAAAAGGATCTCCACTCCTCCCAACCCCTGCTCTTCTCCCCTTTACAGGCAAGAATCAAGGCCCACTGAAGGGAAGGGATGGGCTCAGAGCTACACAACTGGGGTACTGCAGAAGCCCGCCTAGAATGCAGGGCTCCTGGCTTTCAGTTTAGGGCTCATTCCCTTTCAGCAAATCACTGGGAATTTTTATCTTCCTAGCGTTTCCATCTCAGCAGATGTTACTTACCTCTTAGCTAGAGAGAGGAACAGAAACATATTAGGGTCAAGACAGCTATCTCTGTGATGGAAGCATCTATCAACTTTTCGAGTCTCTGGAACATGGAGAGCTAAGAAATGTGGCAATACTTGGCAAACACTTCGTCTTTCTGGCCCCTAGTCACACACAAAAAATAATAATTAAAAACACTTTTAGTTCCTTCTTCAACTTAAAAATACCCCTCCAACTAGTCTAGCGAAAAACACCCTCCACAGTAAACCGTTTCCTGGGCCTCATCTGTTCCCTTAACCTCCTGGGAAGGCTGACTCAGGCCTGATTTCCTCCGAGAGGCCTGCGATTTTGCTTCCCAGCATCCTGTGACTCTTGAGACGTGAAGCGAGGCAGGATGGCTGAGACCCAGGCCACTCTGACCTGCCTGTGGATGTGGTTCAGGTTCTTACACATGTCCTGTGCAGTTCACACTACCACCCCATCAAATCTATTTGCTCTACTTAATTTTAATATGAGATGCACTAATATGCATATAAAATTAAAGGCTCTGATGCATGTGCCTCTGCCAAGGACCGTTACTAACAAGATGATTCCACTTCAAAAGACTGCAAGACTGTTCTGATATCCAATCCTCAGATGCTCTGAAAGCTTTCATAAATGGAATTGTTTCTTAATTTCCTTTTTGGCTTGTGTATTACTGGTGTGTAGAAACACAGCTGATTTTTGTGTGTTGATCTTGTCCCTTGCAATTTTGCTGAATTTATTAGCTCTAGTAGCTTTTTTGTTTCTGGATTCTTTGGGATTTTCTATACATAGGATCATGTCAACTGTGAATAGAAATAGTTTTACGTCTTTCTTTCCAATTTGAATGATTTTTATTTATTTTTCTTGCCTAATTGCTCTGGCTAGAACTTTCAGTATAATGTTGAGTGGCAGTGGTGAAAGCAGACATCCTTCTCTTGTTCTTGATCTTAGGGGGATTTCTTGATTTTAGCCTTTCACCAGTGAGCGTGATGTTAGCTGTGGGCTTTTCATAAATGTCCTTTGTGTTGAGGAAATCATCTTCTATTTCTAGTTTTCTAATCATTTTTTTTTAATCACAAAGGGGTGTTGAATTTTATGTCAAATGCTTGTTTTCTGTATCACTCGAGATAATCCTGTGGCTTGTTTTTTGTTTCCTTCATTGTGTTAGTGTGGTGCCTTACACTGATTGTTTTTCTTAAGTTGAATCACTCTTTTAGTCCTGGGATAAATCCCTCTGAATTTTTTTTTTTTTATCTGCAAAGTTTCATTTTTTTTTCCCCTGTAAAAAGACAACAAAATTTGACTAAGTGCTAACATTTTACATTAGGATGGGTTGATGTATTTAATTATACTTTTCATTATAATTAGTGTACTTTAAACATCTAACAATTATATTGTGGTAAATATGTATAACCTACAATTTACCATTTTAGCCACTTCTAAATGTACAGTTCAGTGGCATTAAATGCATTTGCATTGTTGTATAACCATCACCTGTAGCCATCTCTGGAACTTTTTTACCTTCCCAAACTTAAACTCTGTACTCATTAAAGAGTAACTCTCCATTCCCCTTCCCTCCTCCCCAAGGCCCCGGCAACCGCCATTTTACTTCCCATCTCTATGAATTTGTGAACATTTTTTAATAACTAGAAGTTAGGCATTAAAGGGTTAAAGGGCTGTATCTTCCTGTCTTCCAGTTTCCCACCAACTCCCTCCAGCCGGAGGGGCCACCACTGGCCCTGATGCAGAGATGAACTGATTGCTGGTCATCCTGAGACTCAGAGGGCACCACGCCCAGCCTCAGCGCGGGCTTCATTTCCTCTAGCTCAGGGATTCTCCATCTTGGTTGCACATTAGCACCACCTGGGGAGCTTTTAAAAATGACCAATTCCTGGGCCCATCCCCAGAGATTCAGCTTCACTTGGTTTGGAATGTGGCTTCAGTGTCTGTCATTTTTAAAAGCTCCCTAGGTGATTTTGATGCACTGTGAGGGTTAGAACTACTCAATGGTTGAGCTGATTTACTCGCTGGAACCCTTGACTGGTCACAGCTTTCAATGACGCAATTCCCTCCCCATCTGGTCGGTAATACTGACCCACTTTACATCCCTTCCCTGATTTTAAAATCCATTTGTAAATAGAGTAAATACCAACTTCTGTAAAATGAAACTTTCAAAGTTGGAAAGAAACTTAAGTGTCATGTAGCTTTTTCTATTCCAGATACATCAAATCCCCCTAAAACATCCCCCTCAGAGGTCATCCAGCTTGGACACCTCTGTTGCTGGGGCATTCCTGCAACACTATGTTGAAATCATCTTATTCTATATTTGGACAGCTCTGTCTCTCAGAGTTCCTCATTGTATTAATCTGTCAGGGATATGACTTCCACCCATCGCTGAAAGATCCCAAAAGCTTAGTGGGCTTCACCAAAATGCATCCCTGAATAAAGTGGAGGATATTCAAAATAAGTCATGCAGAATAAGTGTGATTGCCTACAGAGTGTCAGCCTTTCAATATTTGGGAACAACTACCATGCATCTGTCCCCATCTTTTCTTCTCTGGTCTCAGCAGCCCCACTTCCTTCAGATTTTCACTGGATGTGTCCCCATGTTTTTTCAAGGAAGGTTGATATATGACGTAATAGCAAGATTGTGGACCATGACATAACTAAGACTTGAACTCAAGGTTCAAACATTGACTTTGCACCTGAAGTCCTTAGCGAGATGAGCATTTAGGAAATATTGGCAATTGAAATTATATCCTCCACATGAGCATCATCGCTACACTCTGTGTGACCTTGGGCAGGCCATGGAATCTCTTAGAGACTCTGTTTCTTCCCCAGGAAAAGTGGAATGAAAATGCCTTACTCCTGGGACAATGTTTTCCAACTTGCCTCAGCTTTCAGTCCTAACCTCTTCCTTCTCCTCCTCGTCATTCCACAACCCCACACCTGCATAGATTCCTATGATCTGGCAATTTCAAAAAATACAGTCAAAGAGTGATTGCATGAATCAAGTGAGACCATGTCAGACCTGACTCAGTCTCTGGGATGCTCAATGTGTGTGCTTAATAAATGCCAGATTTAATCTTTTTTCTTTTCTTTTTTTTTTTAATTAATTTATTTATTTTTATTTATTTATTTTTTATTTGAGACAGAATCTCTCTCTCTGTCACCCAGGCATGTAGCTTTTTCTATTCCAGATACATGTTGGCCAGGCTGGTCTCAAACTCTTGGCCTCAAGTGATCTGCCTGCCTCTGCCTCCCAAAGTGTTGAGGATTACAGGCGTGAGCCACTATGCCCAGTCTCATCCTATTTCTTACTCACCTTCCTCATTATATGCATCACCCTTTAAATGCTAGTTTCTCTTCTTTGAAGGTGTCATGTCCAGAGTGAGGTGCACCACTCCATTTATGAGCTTACTGGCACAGGTTAGCCATAGGCAGATCACCTATTTATTATCAGATAGACAAAGCAGATTTTCTTTTCAATTTGTAGATTGCCCCTGAAAACCAGAGAACTGGGCTGATGCAGAAGGGATAAATGAAGGCATAAAGGAACGAGTCTGACTGTATCTTTGCTCTTTACTGTTTGTTGTTTAGTTATTTCATCTGGTTTTGGTGTTATCTAATTTTTTGGTAGACTTCAAGCATAGCATAGAATAGGTCCATAATAAAGGATTTCAAGAGTCAGTTACCAGTGCCTTTTTCCCAGTTCATTGGTGCAGATAATTGAGTTGACTGGGAAGGAGTATCTGGGTTCTGGGTAATGCCAAGATACCAACTGCTCTCTTCCTGCTTTTCCTTTAACAAAGGAGAGACAGCTGATGAGACACACGGTTAGGGGGCCCCAGCCAGGACCCATACGAAGCAGCTGCCTGCCTTTGTCTCTCATCTGGGACCATTCTGTATGGCCCCTCTGGCTCTCCTTCCCCAGAGCTTCAGGAAGAGGGCTGGATTGCACGGCATACCCTGCACTATTGCGTGCTGCCCGTTGGACCCTGGCTTTTTGTGCTCTTCATCGCCCTCTGGGTATAGTTCGCTTTACCAAGTAGATTTAGAAGGTGTCAGCCACACTTACCCCTACCTCACTGGGTGAGTCTGTGGAAGCTGCACCCTCAGGGCCCATGCGCAGTTCCCAGGGGGAGGGGAAAGGGCCACATGACAGTTAAGGTGCTTTCCTATGGTGCAAGTTCCCCCACACACAAGGTTTTATTTTGAAAACCGTCAGATAAGTAGAGAAGGTGAAAGACTGACTAGTACGATGAATGTCTACATTCACTGATTGTTGACATTTTGCTAGATTGCTCTGTATATAGATCAATCTATATAATATTTTTCTGAGCCACTTAAGAGTAATTTGTTGCCAGGCCCAGTGGCTCACACCTGTAATCCCAGCACTTTGGGAGGCCAAGGTGGGTGGGTCACGAGATCAGGAGATCTAGACCATCCTGGTCCAACATGGTAAAACCCCGTCTCTACTAAAAATACAAAAATTAGCTGGGCATGGTGGTGGGTGCCTGTAATCCCAGCTACTCAGGGGGCTGAGGCAGGAGAATCACTTGAACCCGGGAAGCAGAAGTTGCAGTGAGCTGAGATGGCACCACTGCACTCCAGTCTGGGAGACAGAATGAAACTCTGTCTCAAAAAAAAAAAAAAAAAAGTAATTTGTTGACATCATGATACTTAACCCTTCAACACTTAAGCATGTTATTTCCAAAGAACAAGGACATTTTTTTTTTTTTGAGATGGAGTTTCGCTCTTGTTGCCCAAGCTGGAGTGCAATGGCACGATCTCAGCTCACCGTAACCTCCGTCTCCCGGGTTCAAGCGATTCTCCAGCCTCAGCCTCCCGAGTAGCTGGGATTACAGGCACGCGCCACCATGCCCGGCTAATTTTTTTGTAATTTTAGTAGAGACGGGGTTTCTCCATGTTGGTCAGGCTGGTCTCAAACTCCCGACCTCAGGTGATACGCCCACCTCGGCCTCCCAAAGTGCTGGGATTGCAGGTGTGAGCCACCGCACCCGGCCAAACAAGGACATACTTCTATGAAGCTACAGCACCACAATCATACCCGTTAGTACTGGATTTAACAGAATTGTTTAATATATGGCCAGAATCAGATTTTCCAGTAGTTTCCCAAATGCCTTTTTGAGAGTGCTGTATACTTTTTCTCAACCCACAGCCTGCTCAGTTAAGGCCTAAATTGGAATTTTCTCTCTCAGCAAAAGGGAAATAAGGTCATGATCCCTAAAATTGGGATAGTGAACCACGGGAGGAGAAGCACTTTGACTTATATCATTTCATGTAATCGTTCCAACAACTTAGCGAGATAGGTACTAGTATTCTCTCCATTTTACTGGTTAGGAAATTGCAGTTCAGAGAGTTATCTAAGTTGCCCAAATAGTATGAGCCATTATTACCACTCCATGCTGCATGTCATATGTAATGATAGAAAAATAAGAGATTATATTTGTAAAAACCTGCGTCTTTTACATTCCACACATTCTGTATCCTCTTCACTAGGTCTTTTTTTAAATTACTATTATTTTTTGAGACGGAGTCTTGCTCTGTTGCCCAGGCTAGAGTGCAGTGGCATGATCTCGGCTCACTGCAACCTCCACCTCCCAGGTTCGAGCAATTCTCTGTCTCAGCCTTCCGGGTAGCTGGGATTACGGGCACCTGCCACCATGCCCGGCTAATTTTTGTATTTTCAGTAGAGACGGGGTTCCACCATCTTGGCCAGGCTGGTCTGAAACTCCTGACCTTGTGATCTACCCACCTCGCCCTCCCAAAGTGCTGAAATTACAGGCGTGAGCCACTGTGCCCAGCCCACTAGGTCTTATGAGGTGTTAGCACATGCTATGCTGTCCCCATTTGACAGAGGAGGAAAGTGAGGCTCTAAGGCTGGGATTTAATAATATTTATGTAGTCATGATCATGTAAATGACATTTACTGATAGTCTTTATGCAGAGCTCAATATACTTAGTTGTGGTTGCTGGGCAGGCTGTAAATAGCTATCAATAAAGGTGTAACTGCCAAGGCAGGAGGATTTCTTGAAGCCAGAATTCAAGACCAGCCTGGGAAACCTAGCAAGACTCACCCCCCAATCTGTACAAAACATTAAAAAATTAGCTGGGCATGATGGCACATGCCTATAGTATGGTCCTCCTGCCACAGCTACTTGGGAAGCTGATATAGGAGGATCGATCACTTGATCCCAGCCAGGAGTTTGAGGTTGCAGTGAGCTATGATTGCACGACTGCACTCCAGCCTGGGTGACAGAGCAAGATCCCATCTCTTAAAAAAATAAAAATAAATAAATAAGTGAATAAAGGTGTTATTGACTGAAGAAGAGAGGTAGAAGAGGGAAAAGGAGGGTCTCTAATACTCTCCTCTTCTACTGAGGGGATTCAAGAGTCTGTCAAAGTGTTAGAAAACAAGAAACCAAATTTTAAGATCAAAGGTACAAGATAACTCATAAAAGTAACTAAAATCAAATATTGGGAGGAAGAAAAGGAGAAAGAGAGTCGGGTTTAGTGTAAGTGCTCTAAACTTGTCTAACTCCTTTGGTAATGATAGATATTGTCTACAGGTGACAAAACAGGGAATAGTTATTAGTATGTTATCTAGAGTTTACGTGGATAACCACCAAAGGAGCTAATAACAGAAAACTATTTGGACAATAGAATGGAGTTGGGAAGAGGTGGGACAGGAAACTGTTGCTTGTTATTATAAGGTCTTCTGTACAATTTGATGGTGACCACCCAAAACAGTAGTGAGGAAGGCAGGCTTTAAATTCAGATATTCTAGTTTTCTCTTTCTTTCTTTCTTTCTTTCTTTCTTTCTTTCTTTCTTTCTTTCTTTCTTTCTTTCTTTCTTTCTTCTTTCTCTCTCTCTCTTTCTTTCTTCCTTCTTTTCTTTCCTTCCTTCCTTCCTTCTTTCTTTCTTTCCTTCTTTCTTTTTTTGACAAAGTCTCACTCTGTCACCCAGGCTGGAGTGCAGTGGAACAATCACAGCACATTGCAGCCTCAACCTCCCCAGGTTCAGATGATCCTCCCACCGCAGCCTCCCGAGTAGCTGGGATTACAGGCATGTACCACCACGCCTGGCTAAATTTTGCATTTTTTGTAGCGAGGGGGTTTTGCCATGTTGCCCAGGCTGGTCTCAAACTCTTAGGTTCAAGCGATCCACCTGCTTCAAACTCCCAAAGTTCTGGGATTACAGGCATGCGCCAACGCGCCTGGCCTTCTGGCTTCTAAATACACAGAGGTGAGCAGGACAAAAGGCCTGGCCTTGGAGGAAGGAAATCTAAGGCTGGGATTTAATAATATTTATGTAGTCATGATCATGTAAATGACATTTACTGATAATCTTTAAGCAGAGCTCAATATACTTAGTTGTGGTTGCTGGGCAGGTTACAGCCTGCCCAGCAACCACAGAGAGGACTGTCTTAAGACCTGGGTGCCGGCCTGGCTCAGTGGCTCACACCTGTAATCCCAGCACTTCGGGAGGCTGAAGCGGGCAGATCATGAGGTCAGGAGATCGAGAACATCCTGGCTAACAGGGTGAAACCCTGTCTCTACTAAAAATACAAAAAAATTAGCCGGGTGTGGTGGTGGGCACCTGTGGTCCCAGCTACTTGGGAGGCTGAGGCAGGAGAATGGCGTGAACCCAGGAGGCGGAGCTTACAGTGAGCCAAGATCTCACCACTGCACTCCAGCCTAGGCGACAGAGCGAGACTCCATCTCAAAAAAAAAAAAAAAAAAAAAAAAAGACCTGGGTGCCCGCCGGGCATGCTCACCCAGAAAGAGCTCCAGGACGCAGCATGCCCATAAGGATGCACCCAACACCCTACATCCCACATGAATTGCTAAATATTTGTTGTAATTTAAAAAAAATTATAATTTCACTTTTTTTTTGTTTTTAAGAGACGGGGTCTTAACCTGTTGCCCAGGCTGGAGTGCAGTGGCACCAATGCAGCTCACTGCAGCCTTGACTTCCAGGGCTCAAGTGATCCTCCTGCCTCAGCCTCCTAAACAGCTGGGACCACAGGCGCCCGCCACCACACCCGGCTAATTTTTGTATATTTTGTAGAGATGGGGTCTCGCTATGTTGCCCAGGTTGGTCCCAAACTCCTGGCCTCAGGATTGCTCCCAACCTTGGCCTCCCAAAGCATTCAGATCACAAGGGTGAACCACCATCCTTGGCCTATAATTTCACTTTTAAAAGTATTTGGTTATCAGCAATTCATTTATTAATAATTTTAAATTGGCTATTTCTTGGTAACCCTGAACATATGCAGAAATTACTGGATCAGAAGAAAAATTTTATCTGTAAGTTATTTTCAAATAGAATGCATTTTTGTGAAAGCTAAAGTTAAGTATTGAAGAAGTTGACACAATGTTACATTTTATAGATGTTTGATTAAATCTTGATTAACTTCAATTTTGTAGTTTTATGTTTGTATTTGGGAACCCAGGGCCTCTGAAAAGCTCCTCGGCTCTGCACTTTCTGTCCTGGGAACATGTGGGGTGGGTGGTCTATGTATGGCCCTGAAGGGCCTCTCGGCAAATGTTTGAGACCCACACCACTCTGGAGCAGTCACCTGACCCAGAGGATGGAGGTTGGCTTGACTGAAGTTCCATAACCTAAATCCCATCCTGCTATCAGAGTTCTTCCTCAGGCCTTCACTGCAAAGGTTCCTCTGGTCTACTCTATGGTCCGTGCTGAATGACTTCATATCCATCCTCTCGTTTACTCTTCATGGCAACCTTATGAGGTGGGCAGGACAAATATTTCCCTTTCTGTAGATGTCAAAATCGGACTCAGAGAGGCTAAGTAACTTACCCAAAGCCACATAACTTTAGGGAATGAGTTGGGGAACCCAAGTCTTCCAGCTCCTGGTCTTTGTCCTTTCCAATACACTCCAGGGTCATGTATAGCAGAAGGGGCCAGTGGACTGGTGTCTTTCTTTTTTTTTTCTTGAGAAAGGGTCTTACTTTTTTGCCCAGGCTAGAGTGCAGTGATGCAATCATAGCTTACTGCAGCCTCAACCTCTCAGGCTCAAGCGATCTTCCCATCTCAGCCTCCTGAGTACCTGGGATTACAGGAGCACACCACCACACTTGACTAACTTTTACATTTTTTGTAGAGACAAGGTCTTGCTATGTTGCCCAGGCTGGTCTGGAACTCCGAGGCTCAAGTGATCTTCCCATCTCGGCCTCCCAAAGTGCTGGGATTACAAACATGAGCCACCTCGCCCAGCGCCACAGTGTCTTTAATGGCTCATAGAACTTAACCACAGACATCATGTCTGTTATACAAATGCAGAAATCATATTGAGCTTTTAAATTTACTTTGCTATCACATTTATTTTGACAAGCGCTTGAGATTTATTTCTCAATAAAAGCTACTTTAAAGTACACCACCAATTTTATCACTTCTGCTCATTTTTACCCAGTCAAAAAAATAACGTAAAAGTGTTACGTTTTGAGGTTCTGTTTCTCATTTTCTCATCAGAGTTGAAAATTACCATTGTGCATGAATTTAGGCCTGTGTTAGGCTGGCAACCCATTAAAACTCCTCTGCTTTTTAGCCGGTCTGGAGCTAATAAGCCGGCCCCTCCCAATTTACACATCTCCTGTGAGATCCAGTGTCTCTCTGTCACTCATTACCAAGCTCCTTACTAAATGTCATCACAAAGATGCCACATCACCCCTCTTAGTCATCTCCCCACTTCCTCTTGCTGGCCATGGCCAGAAAGAAATCAGGGGCCGTAGGGAGGCCTAGAAAGTGACCACAGAGTTGGGGGTGGCTGTGGGAAGTGGATGGGAATGGCCACTGCTGAGCTGGCCACAGAGACTGTGACAAAGACAAAGGCCTCTGTGTTTGGGATGGCAGGGAGGGGGCCAGAGGCCGAGTCAGGGCTGGCATGCTGATAGTCTGGGAAAGGCCTCCCAGGGCAGAGGAAAGCCCACAATGCCACTCTGAGTTGGCCGCTCTTAGCACTTGGAAGTAGCTTAGTTGGGTCCTGATACACAGTAGGGGCTCAGCAAACATTTGTTGATTGATTATTTGGCAGGGTGGCGGGGTTGGGGGTAAGGGATGCCTTTAAGCTGAGGTGGGTAAAGGGAATGTCCTTTCCCTTTCTCCTGCCCACGGGAGCGCTGAAGGTGCTGAATTTCCCTGGCTTGTTCAGAGGCCACCTCTTTGCTTCCTTGACCTCTCCCTGACATTGGGCTCTGACGCATGTGGGGTAATGCACAGGCTTTGGAGTCAGCCTGACCCGGGTTCCTACAACCTCCCTGAGCCTCAATTTTCTCGTCTGTAAAATGGGGGCAATAATACTCAGGCCAGGGAATTGTGAAGATCATCCTAGAAGGTGTTAAGCACCCTCTGGCCTAGAGCCAATGTTGGTCATTCTTATGGTCCTTAATTTGGATGCCCCGTGGCTCGCTGCACCCCCATGTATAAAATAAATCCTTGATCCACCGAACGTACACCGGACAGGCAAAGGGATGGAGCGAAGTCAAGGATGCCTCATTTAGCCCCAGCCATGCAGACTATACTTCGGGGTAGATTTATCCCCAAATGGATGTTTACGTATCAGACAGGGGATGCTTCCCTGTCTGAGGGTCAGATGGACGGGTGGAAGGGTTATCTGTGGTGCTGGCTCTAAGATATATGGTCCCTCAGGCCCCTCTGGGCTCCAGACTGCAGGCCTCCAGGGGACGAGGGGGGCAGAGTGGCCTGGGGTTTTGTTTGGCAACACTGGCCTATTATCTGGCCCAGGCTGTGTTTCCAGGGCATTGTAAATAGCACCCGCTTGGCTCTGGAAGGAGGAGCCGCAGATGTGGCTGAGGCAAAATATATGGTAAGGTGGGAGATTTGAAATGATAAACTCGAGGCTTGTGAGCCAAAATACAGGCTGGGGCCATCTCCAGGCAATAGGACACCAGGGAGGGCTCAGCCTGGATACCTCTGTGGTGAAGGCCTGACTCACAAAGCCAGACAGAGCCTGTGCTCAGTGGCCCATGGGCCAGGGCTGCCGGCTCTGTTTGCTTCCATCTGCCTCTTTGTAGAGAGCCTGGGCTGCTTCCTAAACTCAGCCAGAGGAGTGAACAGAGCTTGAGCCAGATTTCAGGTCTAGAGAGAGAAGCAGGAGAAAATGTGAGGGTATATTCACCTGCAAAAGGCCAGCCACTGTGTGTTCCAACCGAGAAGGAGGGAATCCTTTTCTCTTCTTTTATTCTATTGTCTTCTATTTTAATTGAGGTATAATTTACAAACAGTGAAACACACAGATCGATGTGTTTTTGACAAATGAATACGCCCATGTGACCCACACCGGATCCAGATATGGAACATTTCCATCAACCCACAGAATTTCCCTCCTGTCCCTTTTGTCAATGTGCTCCCACCCACTGTCTCCGTGTTCTGATTCGTATCATCATAGATTAGTTTTGCCTGCTCTTGAACTTCATATAAATGGAATCATGTGGTAGGTTCTATTTTGTGTCTGGCTTCTTAGCTCAGCATAATGTTTTTGAGATTCATCCATGTTGAATGATGTATTTTGCTTCTTTTAATTTCTGACGTATGAATGTGCCACAGTTTGTTTATGGGAGGAAACTTGAGATTCCTTTCATTGCGGTAGGATTCACATCTATCCAGCATCAATAGAGTATCTGCCAGGGTTTTGAGAGTTAAGCTGGTCGGTCCTTAGTGGATGTTTAAAGTGTTCAGTGTCACCTTCTTTGTTCCCAGACAACTTCCCCATTTCTGTGTCTTGCTGTAAAAGACCATAATGCCTTTTCTTCCCTCCATGGACTGGAGCTGCCTTTATCTCCTGGAGCTGGGAAGTTCAGATCATTTGTAGAGGGGCCCCTGGTTTCCCCATAAGACAGAATGTTATTCTTTAATCTGAATTGAGCTGACACGTGTTGACAGACAGGGGTGTCTGGCCCTGCATGTGGGAAACACAGGTCCACGTGCAAGACTGGAGCCTGTGGTGGGGAGACACTGGTGACCCGGAGCCAAGAAGTGACATGATGAAGCTGTTTTACCAGCAGGACGGCCCTAATGGCAGGGACCACGTCTGTTCTGTTCACCGATGGGAAGCCAGCACATAGCACAGAACCTAGCAAGCAGTGGGCATTCCATAAAGAGGTGTGGGACCAACTAATGGCTTGGAAGAGGGAGAGTTGGGCCAGCAGATGTACTGTCACGTTCCTGACATGCAAAGTCTGGGCTAGGGCGGCCCTGCTGGGGAAGGAAAGGAAGAGCCGTGGGAGAGACTTTTTACAAAGGAAAACCGAACAGGACTGGATGACTGTGGAACATGGGAGGGACACAACAGAGAGCAGAATCCAAAAGTCGTGCAGTCTTTTTGGAAGAGCACTGGACTGAAAGTTGAGTCCCTCCTGCACCTTTTGGCATATAACCTGGGTAACTCATTTAACCTGTCTCAGTCTTAGAGTCCTTATCCATCAAATGATCAGTTTGCTAGGGCTGCCATAACAAAGTACCACTAAGTGGGTGGCTTAATGAAACAGAAATCTATAGTGTCAGTTCTGGAGGGTAGAAGTCTGAAATCGAGGTGTTGGCAGGGTCATACTCCCTCTGAAATTAGTGGAGAATTTTTCCTTGCCTCTTCTAGTGTCCGGTGCTTTCCGACAATCCTTGTCATCCCTTGGTGTAGAGACACATCACTCCGATTTCTGCCTTCACCGCTGCATGGCCATCTCCTCCCTGTGGCCTTCACATCCTCTTCCCTCTGTGTATGTCTATGTCCAAATTTCCCTCTCCTTATAAATACAGCAGTCATACCAGATTAGGAGCTCACTCTACTCCAGTATGACCTCATCTTCACTAATTACTTCTTCAATGACCCTATTTCCAAATAAGGTCACATTCGGAGACACTGGGAATTAGTACTTCAATTATCTTTTTTGGTGACACAATTCAACCCATAACATGCCACCTGCCACAAGATTGAATGAGGCAATCCTTTGTCATTGTTGCAGGTAAGGCAAGAATCAGGGGAGATTTTGGCCAGAGACCTACTTTTAACATTCTATGTGACCTCGTTCAAATCTCTTCTCCTCTCTGGATCTCAGTTTCCTCATCTACAAAATGATCTGTAATGTCTTCCCTAGATGTAAATCCCACAACTCCTTGACTCTGAAGCTCTGAGGTTTTGAGTCTGGGGGCCTGGGAGAGCTGTGGAGCTACTAACAGATATGGGGAAGTCAGGAGGGTAAGCCAGTCTGGGGATCAGAAGCTTCCTCTAGGTTCCATCCCTCATTTGGGAACTCAGCCCTCTTCTCCTGGTGGCCGGGACCCTGGAAAGTCCCAAGCATCTTCTATCCCCATCCCCTGCGCCATCACCCCTACCTTAGTGAGGCTCAGAAGGAGGGAGGGCTGCTATAAATAGCACCCTGGAATCAAAAGGCCCTCTTCCTGTGCAGGAAACACAGCGGCCTAATGGAGGCAGGAAAAAGGTGTTTCCGAAAGAGAGGCCAGAAAAGGGAGGGGCAGTGGGGATTCGGGAGCCAGATGGGTTCCCGGGTGCTGGAGCAAAGGTGCTGTGAAGGGAGATGGGGGGCGGGGGGCGGGGCAGATTTAATAACAGCTTCTGGGGTACTACTTGAGGTCGGCCTATCTGGAACCCCAAGAGAACAGTCTGTGGAAAAGGCCCAAGAGGTATTTGAGTTGGGAGACTTAGGATTTCAGGTCCGAAAGTGGGGATTGAAAATGCCACATTCATTAATTCACTGATCCATTCATTCATTCACTAGATATTAGCCACAGCTTAGGACTGTCCTAGGTGCTAAGGACAAACAGTATAACGCTCTTTTATAAAAAATAGTCTGAGACCTGGAGCAGTGGCTCATGCCTGTCACTTTAGAAGGCCAAGGTGGGTAGATTGTTTGAGCCCAGGAGTTTGAGACCACCCTGGACAACATACAGAGTCCCCATCTCTACAAAAAATAAAAATAAAAAAATTAGTCGGGCATGGTGGTGGGTGTCTGTAGTCCCAGCTACTCGGGAGGCTGAGGCAGGAGACTTTCTTGAACCTGGGAGGCAGAGGTTGCAATGAGCTGAGATCGCACCACTGCACTCCAGCCTGGGGGACAGAGGAAGACCCTGTCTCAAAAAAGAAAAAAAAAAAAAGGTCTGGTAAGCAAACCAGTGATTACACCCCAGTTGTAATAGCTCAGGACAGTGGGGGGACAGTGGAGGGACTGTAACCCCTGGAGGGGCAGGAAGGGCCTCTTGGGAGGTGAATTCCTCCTCCTGGGCTTGCAGGAATTAAGTCAGGCAAAGACTGGGTTGGAGGGGAGGGAACTGGGGGGCCTTCCAGGCAAGGGGAGAAAAATACTTGGACTCTTCCCCTCTGCTGTCCTAGCCCCAACCTTAGTCCAACCTGGGCCAGCAGCAGAGGTCTAAGGACCAGCCCTGCCCCCTCCATAGAGGCTTGCCACCAGTCCTTGGGGCCCTCTCTGGAGAAATGCCCCTCTCCTCACCAGCAAAGAGCACCATCCTCCAAATGCCTGTGTGGAAAACGGGTCTCAAGTGACCTCTCAATGGAGAGCCCTAGAAAATCATTAGTGTTCCCCCTGTAAAAACAGGGGCTTAATTCTACGGGCAAATATCTCAGGCAAAAGCTCAGACCAGTAGACTCGTCTCTGGTGCAAAGGAGGAAGATGAGTCAGCCAGGGTCCCGGGAACCCTGACTCCATGATCCTGCCAGACCACAGGGCCCCCACTTAAGGCTTGGAGGGGGCTGAGATGAAAATGATCTACTGTTTCTCTTAGGAAGCCCTAGGGAAGTCCAGTTTGGTGTCAAGTTGAAGATTTCTATGCATTCCCACGGCACCAACTGTGATGGTGAAATGCCACATTTCAGCCCCAATCATTCAGCCAGATTGGATTGCAATTAGTACCTGAGGCAGGAGCCCAATGCCCTCTGAGGTGCCTGGGTGAATTTCAACTTCTGTGCTGCTCCTTTTGTGAAACAATGCAAGAGATTCTGGAAGAAAGACAAAGGGTTGGGGGATGTGCTTGTCCAATGTCCTTCAGCACAGCCCACAGGACAGCCTTCAGACGTGTCCTGAGGCTTGTGTGCCCAATCACACATGCAAGGAATTAGGGGCCTGCCTTAGGGCTTGATTCCAGGACATTTACTCCCCATGGGGAGATCACTTACAAAGCTGCACTGTGGCCCCAGAGGTTCCCCTGGGCTAGTCTTAGAGAGAATTAAAGTCAGAAACCACCCAGCCTCCCCAAAACACTTAACTACCACCTCCAAATTAGCACCGTCCTTGGCTGGTAATCAAATTCTAGGAGATAGTTCCTGATCTTCCCAGTTTTCAGGTGGGTTAACTGAGGACCGGCTTGCCCACACCACTTAGGCTAGATAGAACAAGTAATTAAAGCCCAGAAATAGCTGGCTGAGATCCAGCCTGTTTAATGTAATAATGCTGAGAAATGTCAAACGTGGTTTTGTTCCAATAGGAGTGGAAGGGATGAAGAGAGACAGGAAGAAAGCACTCTATGTAGTTTCTGGAGTTGGCTGTAGAAGGACGAAAGGACTCCTCAGGGGCTGCGGAAAGGAAGCCATCTATGTGCTGGGCGGTGACTGAGCTGTGCATGGAACCCTGCGCAAGGGGCTTGGAGGGGCAGAAAGGAGGAGGCCTGGACTCCAAAAAACAAAAACAGAAACCAGGGATAAGAATAAGGGTGAAACAGAACTGGGTTTCTATCCTGCTGCCTCTTCCTAGCTGTGCGACTTCGTGCATATTATTTATCCCCTCAATGTTTTCGTGCTTTGTAGGAGCCAAGGGAAAGCTTTCCCACCACCCTCTGAAACTTCACTGAAAATAAACTGACGATATGTAGATAAAAGGCAGATAAACTTATTTAACGTGCATAAGCTCATGGGAATCACAGGAGAATGGTCACTCCATAACCCAGTGAGGTCCAGAGGCTTATATACCCTTCTACATAGGGGAAGGGGAAATGCGGGCCATATGGCCATTTTGAAGAGTAGGCAGTGATTTTTCGGGGAAATGAATGAGCCCAGTGCTCAGATAATGGTTAGTAAATCATTCTCTTTGGGAATTGAATGGAACCAAAGAACGAACACTGGTTTGGGACAAAATTTGTCTGGGATCTAGGTGTGGTGTTTTTTGTTTGTTTGTTTTGAGATGGAATCTTGCTCTGTCGCCCAGGCTGGAGTGCAGTGGCACAATCTCGGCTCACTGCAACATCTGCCTCGCGGGTTCAAGCGATTCTCCTGTCTCAGCCTCCTGAGTAGCTGGGATTACAGGCGCACACCACCACGCTGGCTAATTTTTGTATTTTTGGTAGAGACGGGGTCTCACCACGTTGGTCAGGCTGGTCTTGAACTCCTGACCTCGTGATCCACCCGCCTCGGCCTCCCAAAGTGCTGGGATTACAGGCGTGAGCCACCGCGCCCGGCACAGGTGTGGTGTTTAATTTTCAGTCTCTTCCTCTGTGATATGAATTTTAATCTTCTATGGTTAATAAAACTTCAGGGAAGGAATCAAAAGCAATTGTGTTCCTCTTTGGGGTCTGGCTTCTAGGGAGATAAGAGAATTCCAGAGAATAGTCTCATCCTGTGCTTTGAGAAAGATGGATGATTGAGAGGCAGGAGTTGGGGTGGGGGAAGTCAGAGGTACCTTGAGTCTGCTTCTTTAGTTCAGCATGTCAAAAGGCCATATTATGGGGTATCGTTTTCTGAGCCCCAACACCTTCATCTGTAAAATGGGAATAATTTTAACCTAGCTCATTGGATAACCTTGTTCACAAGGATTGAAGGAGATAACGCGTATAACACCTTTAGCATAGCGCCAGGCATATGGAAAGGGGTTGTTGATAGCTCTTGGCCTTCTGGAGCCCGTTTCCCCTCTGTAAATTGGGGGTTATTTATGGTCCTTACGGGCCTGCCGAGAGGCTACCATGAATTGTGGTTATAAAGGGCCTGGCTATGAAATAGATGCTCAATAAATGTTTCCTGCCCTTGAGAAGCTCCCCATCCATTTGGAGAGACCAGAAGCACACCCTTGGAGGATCTGACACTGGAGACTCGCACATAAACCACCAGGAACAGTGCTCTTCCAACAGTTGCTGCTTTTAAGTCTCTTGTAGGTTGGGGGAGGCTGAGGGTCCTTAGAGTTACGACTGGGAGCAGGGTTTTGATGGAGGTGAGAAGCTTTGTCCGAGATGATGGTCGAGGTGCCATGCATGTGGGCAGAGGGCAGCAAAATTGTCCATTGAAGCACTGATCGCTGAAGCTGGAGTGTGAGGAAAGGGAAGGCCTGTTAGCCCAGAGCTGTGGAAGGATTAGCCTCCTTTCTCCTGTGCAGGTTTCATTTAGCAGCCCTTAAGAACAGTGCAGTGTCCATCCACTTCTCTTTGGACAGAACCCCGTGCCATCCGCCAATAGGTGCTTAATAAAGGCGGTGTAGAGGGATTCTGGGAAGGAGGAAGAATCTGGTTCGGCCTTTGTCTGCATGGCCTTGCATCTTCCTGTTGCCGCCACCAGAGGGTGCAGTTGCCCAGCAGAACCCAGCCCGATCCCCACGCCCTCCTCTCCTATGCAGGCAGCTCGCAGCTCTGCATCTTGTGGGCTAAGGAAGCAGGTCCCACAGGCACGTGTCCCCTCCTTCTCAGACTGGAAGAAAGTTGGGGTGAGAGGCTCAGGCTGGGGCAGTCCTGCACTGTGCGGGAAGCCAGGCAGGGTAGGGCGGCCGAGGAAGTTCAGAGGATGGGAAGAGCAGAACCGTATCTGTCTCTCTGTGTTGTGTTTGCCTCTGCCTTGCTGGGTGGTATCAAAAAACTCTCCTATTCTTGATTTAGGTTCCATCTTCTATAAACCACACCCCTCCTCAACAAAAACCAAGATTCTTGCTTTCTCTCATGTAACTTTCATTTTTTTCAGGATGTAAAACCCATTAAGGATCTTGGGTGATAGAGTATGGGACAGGCTAGAATGCTATTTGATGGCAAGAGCAAAAGGTCAATAATTTTTCAGCCTGGCTGCTGCTTCTTATGGAATCTTCTTCCCTTTGGGTTATGGACCCCTTAGCCAGCGCCAGCTTCCCCTCCACCATCAGCATATCCCTCCTGCCAGGCCAGAACAACTTGCCCCATTGAAGATCCCAAACTACTAGTGGTCTAGCCTTGGCCATCCTGGTGTGGTGACCAACAGGCAAGAGCCCAGTGACCCTGCATCCGGGGTGTTTGGGGTGCCAGAGAGAAGCAGAGGAGGAGCTGGAATTGGCAATGGACCCTAGGTTCCTTGCCAGAGCTCTTGCCCCACAGCAGGCCCTGAGAAACAGGATATTTAATGAAATCCTGTCTCCCAGTCCTTCAATGCCCAAGTCACTGTTCCCGTGGAAAGACACTGATGTTTGTACAGATGTGCATCTCTGTTGCTGCGTGGCAGCATTTTTATCTCCTGTCTCTGCAGAGCCCCTTCCCTGGGACTGAGGAGCCACAGAAGGCTTTGGGATCTGTGGATCCTTGCCATGAGCCGAGACCTCCCAGAGCTCCAGCACAATGACGGGAAGGCCAGGCTGCTATTCCAGGCCAGCCCTGGGTGCCACAAAGCAGACAGTGGGCTCAGGGAACATAGTCAGCATTTCCGTTGCATTTGCCACCACCACAGGCTTTCCAGTGGCGTGCAGCAGTCGCTACTCTTTCCACAGGTACCAGGGAGTGTGTTCATCCAGTGACTGGCTTGGGACCAACCTGGGGTGGGGCTTTGATTTCTGAACCTTTTCTCCATGAGACCCCAAGAAGCCCCTGCCTTGACCACAGCTTGCCTCTGTGGTGGGTGGGACCCCTTGCTAGTGGAGGATGGGAGCTCCTTTGTGAGTCCTTCTCTTCATTTTAAAGGGACAGAGTCGGCAGTCCCTCTTGCTGCTGGGACAGTGGGATATTGTCAGTCAATGAAGTAGTCCTAAGTGTAGTAATTTTTAGTGTTGTGAGAATGGTGATTTGCAACAGGAAACAAGAACTAGCTCCCAGCCTAAAGGGTGATGTGGGAAAAGAAGGTAAACGAATCTGCCCCATCACACATGGTGTTACGCAAAAACAGGATGTGGGAGCTGCACAGATCTGAGTTCAAATCCTGATTCTGTTACTTACTTACTTACTAGCTGGGTAACTAAC
Source organism: Homo sapiens (assembly GCF_000001405.40). Lineage (NCBI taxonomy): Eukaryota > Metazoa > Chordata > Mammalia > Primates > Hominidae > Homo > Homo sapiens. The sequence goes on from NC_000001.11 coordinate 201,561,466, forward strand.
CAGGGTGCTTTAGTTTCCTTGACTGTAAATGAGGTAATTGTGAGAATTAAAGAAGATTAAATCTGTATAGTAGCTGGCATATGCTAGACATTCAATAAAAGTTAGTTTCCTTCACTTCCATTATCCATGTTTCTAGATTTTTCTTCTGAGTCCTTTTTTTCTGGACATTGGAAGCTCCCCACAGATACAGAAGTTTTTCCCTATTAGGCAGTAGGCTTCCTGGGGGCAGGGTTCTGTCTCTTCCATTAGTGTAGGATCTGGTTAAGGACAAGGCTGTGTTTGGCTGTGTTCCCTACTCAGCCTGGGGCCTCCATGAGATTAGGAACTGTGCCTTGCCCATCAGCCTGGGAACTCCCTGCAGGCTGGGGCTCTGTTCCTCCATCAGATCCCCCATGTTCAGGGCCCTTAGGCAGTAAGCTTGGTCACAGCATGAGACTATCAATGGTTGGAACAAAGGCACCCAGTTAGGTTTAGGTTTGAGAATCAACCAAGGAGACCAAGGAGGTTCTGAAGGTATTTTTTATTTATTTATTCCTATTTATTTTTCGGTTTTTTTAGAGACAAGGTCTTGCTCTGTCACCCAGGCTGGAGTGCAGCGGCACCATCATAGCTCACTGCAGCCTTGAACTCCTGGGCTCAGGCGGTTCTCCCACCTTAGCCTCCTAAGTAGCTGAGACTACAGGCACACACCACCTTGCCTGGCTAATTTTTTTTTTTTTTTTTGTAGAGACAGCTGGGTTGGGAAGTCTCACTATGTTGCCTAGGCTGGTCTCGAACTCCTGGGCTCAAGTGATCCTCTGGCCTTTCAGCCCCAAAAGTGCTGGAATTACAGGCATGAGCCACCAAACCCAACCTGAAGGTATTTTTCTAAGGTCAAGTATGCCCCCCGACCTTGGGTCCTAGTTGGTAGAAAGCATTTCCGAAGTGGAGACATCTGGATGGCAGATGTGAAGTTGGCTGGGATGGGCGAAGGTCTGGAAGGCTTCAGATTCCAGGCCCCATGACTCACTCCTCCATCACAGCAACCCCTCAGCAGCTGGGCCTCCTGAGCCCTGGGCAGGACAGGGTTAGTGGGCCAGGCCCAGGTGGGCAGTGGTCCTTTGCCTTGGACACTGTATGGTCTGAAAGGATCCCGGCAGGACTGATCACTTTTGAAACTGCTTTCTGAAAGCTCCAAGCTTCCTTCTGAGTGGAGCTTAAGATATAATATTAAGCAGGTCATTCTAGGACTGTATGAGAGCAGAATGTGGCATCTCTTTCTGTTTTAGCTTGCAGGGTACTTCTAGGCGGTTGGTGCTCTCTCCTGGGCCTGGTGGATGGAAGGGAGCAGGCAGGGAGGGGTGGGGCAGGCCCTGCCTACAGAGCCTGTCAGTAGGGAACCAGTGAGTCACCAGAAGTCCAATACCTCAGTCCAGATCCTGGATGCTGTTGGATCACGGGATCTGTCTGAGCATCAGTTTCCTTTTCTGAAAAGTAGGGATGATAACAGCCTAGGACGGTGGGTGAATCAGTGAGGTAATGCACAGGAACACGCATAGTAAATAGTTTTTGCCAGAGTGGGTGGTTATGAGTATTTAGAGTGGCCTGAGCCTCCCAATTGAAATATCCTGGCCTTTTGTCAAGTCCTAAGAGAGGATGTGTGGGGGAAGCTACAGACTAATGAAGAGGTGACCGGATCGTCAGAGGGTGCAGACATGCTTAGCAAGCTGGTGGTGCGACTCAGGGCTAGCTGCCCCTGGTCACGCTCCCCCTGTGCATCCGCGGCAGCAGGAAACATTTGTCCTCAGGAAACAGCCCCTCGAAGAGCGTCCGGACGCCGGGACCCAGCCTGGATGGCAGAGGGGGCGTTAACTCGTCCCACAGGTGCCACTGACCCAACACGATTTTTTTTCTGGTGTATCTTTCTGGGAGATGTATCTTTCTGGGAGATGTTGGAACTGGGCCCAGAGAAAAGCATACGAGACCACAATCCCCAAGACACTGCTTGGTGGGGTACCCCACATGTCTGCTTCAAGTGCCACAGGTACAGCAAGGAAAGCCTGCAGGATCCCTCCACATCAGAGGTAAGGAAGAACCCAGAATCTGGAATTGGATGCCAGGAGCTTGAGTTCTGGGCCTGATATGACCACCTGGGGGCCCTTTGGCTAACACCCCACTTCTCTGAGCCTCAGTTTTCTCATCAGCAAAATGAGGGCATGGATCCCTATTTCAGTGTGTTATTGTAGGGGTAGAATGAGGTAACATGTGAAAGACCTGCGAAGGCAGAATGCTGTGGCCCTGACAAGCAGAAGCTTTGCAGGCAGGCAGATCTGGTTGGGATCCGATTCTCTTTGGACCGTAAATTCCTGGCCAGAAGTGGTGGCTCACACTTGTAATCCCAACACTTTGTGAGGCCAAGGCAGGAGAATCACATCAGCCAAAGAGTTTGAGATCAGCCTGGGCAACATAGCAAGACCCCCGTCTCTACAAGAAATTTAAAAAATTAGCCAGGCATGGTAGTGTGTCCCTGTAGCCCTAACTACTCAGGAGGCTGGAGTGGGAAGATCTCTTGAGTCCCAGAGGTTGAGGCTGCGGTGAGCCATGCTAGCACCACTGCACTCCAGCCTGGGTGACAGAGCAAGACTGTGTCTCAAAAAAGAAAGAAAGAAGAAAGGAAAGAAGGAGGGAGGGAGGGAGGAAGAAAGGAAGGAAGGAAGGCAGGCAGGCAGGCAGGCAGGCATCCTCGGCCCTGGCACAGGGTCTGGCTCATTGTAGATGGTCAGTTTGTAGGTGTGAAAGGAATAGTTCAGTCTCACCTCCTCCACTTTGTAGCAGTGTGGCTTTAACTTTTCTCACCTTTAGCGTCCTTACCTATTACAGGGGAATGGGGCCAGGCACGGTAGCTCACGCCTGTAATCCCAGCACTTTGGGAGGCCGAGGCGGGCAGATCACTTGAGGTCAGGTGTTCGAGACCAGCCTGGGCAACATGGCGAAACCCCGTCTCTACTAAAAATACAAAAATTAGCTGGGTGTGGTGACACACACCTGTAGTCCCAGCTATTTGGGAGGCTGAGGCAAGAAAATTGCTTGAACCCTTGAACCCAGGAGGCAGAGGTTGCAGTGAGCCAAGATTGTGCCACTGTACTCCAGCATGGGCAACAGAGTGAGACTCTGTCTCAAATAAATAAATAAATAGGAATTGATTGGTTTTCTAGGCTGCTGTAACAAATGACCACAAGCTTAGTGTCTTAACACAGATTTATCTTACAGTTCTGTACAGCAGAAGTCTGACAGGGTGTCACTGGGCTAATTCCAAAGTGTCAGCAGGGCTGTGTTCCTACCTGGAGGATCCAGGGGAGAATCTGTTTCCTTGCCTTTTCCAGCTCCTGGAGGCCACCCTCAATCTTTGGTGTGTGGCCCCTTTTTCCATCTTCAAAGTCAGCAACAGCAGGTCAGGTCCTTCTCATGCTGCCATCTCGCTGCTTCTCTGCAGCTAGGAAAGGTTCTCTGCTTTTAAGGACTCATGTGATTAGATGGACCCATTTGCATAATCCAAGATACCCTACCCATTCCAGGGTCCTTAATCTTAATCACATCTGTGAAGATCCTTTTGCCACTTACGGTAACAACTGCAACTTCTGAATAAAAGGGAATGGGCATCTTTGGGGTCCGTTATTCTGCCTACCACAGAGAACACTAATGGTTCCTATCATACTGGATTGTTGGCAGGAATAAACATATGTTTTAAAAAAGGTAATAAATGTAAGGTGACTGGCACATACTAAGTGCTCATTAAATATTTAGCTACTGCTATCATCATTACTACATAAACCATGTGGTGCCTTATAAATGCTAGTTATTGATGCCAATTTTCTAAATAAGAAAGTACAGGGCCTGGTTTCTTCTGGGCTCATTGTCAGTCTCCCTTCCTGTGCCTCGGTTTCCTCCGCCATCAGAAGAGAAACTGACCCTGCTCTTGGCAGCTCACACTCCAGGCCGAGGAGGCACACAAAGTTTCCCTTGTGCTATGTGAGGGCGGCTGCCAGCAGCGGGCATGGGGCCCGGCCCATGGCTATCCCAGGGACGTGGTATTCACTGAGATCACAAGGGAACAGAAGGGCCCCTTCTTTGGAGGGCAGAGAGGTTCCAAGTGGATCCCTGCAGGAACTGAGCCCCCTCTGTGGGAAAGAATTGCCTCCGTTGTGAGGCAGTATCGCTATTTGCAAAGCGTTTTGCAATCATTTTTATTAGCAGAGCCCCTGAGACTTGAGGATAATAGAAGGGCTGTCACCCACCCCCTGCCTCTCTGGGGGAAACTGAGGCCCACACAGTTGAAGGTGGGACCCCAGGCCACATGATGAGGTGGATTTGACCTCCCAGGGGCCTTGTGGCTTCAGGCCAGCATTTTATCCCTGGAGGCGCCAGACATTCCCCCAATCCCTAGTCACTGAACTGAACCAAAAATTAACACCCAAATGCCCTTCAGCGCCTCCCTCTCAGACTTTTCTTTAAAAGACCAATTTGAAATGCAGCCACCCTCTTCCATGTCAAGGCTGGCGCTGGTCCTTTCTTTCAGATCCTGGCTGCTCCTCCTTCCCTGCCAGCACTGAGCTCTCCCCATCACTTCCAGACTCCTTCCTGTGGGCTCCAGGGGCCTCCCCCACACTCTGCCCCATCTCCCAGTTTCCTCCCGACACATACACCATTCTGATGGTGACGCTTGCCCACCTCTTTCAGAGAGAGGCAGGCCACTTCTCCTGGGCATTTCTCTTGCAGGCTCTGAGAACCACTCCCCAGACCCCCATGAAATGCCGGCAGCTCCAGCCACACCCCAGCTCACTTTGGAGGCCTGCTCGAGGCTCACCGCCTCCAGGAAGGCTTCCCCCTGAGCCCACCACTGTCACCCACCCCTGGTGCCCTCTCCGCTTGGCTCCACCAGTACCTAGTGATATTGCTCAGGGTGCACACCCTCAGCCGTTACAGGCCTTTCTCCCCTCCCTCAGCACTTAGGTTGTGTTCCCCAGGCAGGGGCTTTGTCTCTCCCATCAGGCGAGAGCTCCCTCGGGAATACTCCAGAACACAGCCCCTCGAGTTCTAGGGCTGTATCAGAAGTCAGTACTTTCTCTCCCTGCCCACTCACAACACACACAGAACTCTTCTTCCCTTGGGATGACGCTGTTGGATCACAGAGGGCACAGGTGCCCCATCCATGGTTCCTTTTTCTCCCTAAATTTTAACTAGTGTTGTTTTTTTCTTCCTGATTAACAAAGCTTATCATAGAAAAATAGAAAAACTTGAAGTAGCCATAATCCCCCACTCCAGAAGCAAACACTGTTAACATTTCCTTCTAGGTTGTTTTTTTTTTTAAAGGCAGGTTTGTCTACCTGAGATCATACTCGGCCTACCATTTTGTATTTTTGCTTTTTTGCTTAATATTATCTCAGATGTTTTTCTGTATCGATCAAATCTCTGTACACATCATTTTAAATATTATTTCATATGTATGTACTGTAATTTGCTCAACTATCTGTGATTCCCTCCTCACTTATAATCCCCAAACCACAGGGTGCTGACTTCCTTAGGCGGTGTTTTGGAATAGTTTGTCCCCTCCCACCCCCCATCCCCAGCCACCGGAAGACAAAAAAAATGACCAGCTGCTCTTCACAGGACTCTGATTAGGATCTTGAACTGGGTGGCGGTTGGAAATCAGTATCACAACCTCCCCACACCCTGTCCCTTCCTGCCTGACAAGATGGGAAAGCCATCAGCTGCAGGGGGGAGTGGACAAACATCCCCACCCTCTTCATGGGGAACAGGCTTCTGTTGGTTCAGGGGGTTGCCTCTGTTGTTTTTTCTGATGGGGCTGTCCACAGGTACGAGGGCATTGGCTGGGCCAGAGGGGCCTTGTCCTGTCAAGTTACCGGGGTTGGAGCCCGCGCTGTAGGAGCTGGGCCACTGGGTGAAGTGCTCAAGAGGCTTGAGAGCTGCACTGGGATGGAGTCTGCACAACACCCAGCTGGAGGACTGAGGCGAAGCGAGCCAGAGCTCAGCCACCCCTCTTGGTTCTACTGAAAATATTGCTCAGGGAGGCATCTCAGGGATCCATATGGTCTAACTGAATCAGTAATGAGACTCTACTGTGTGTGTAGACAATATTGATGTGCCCAAGGCTGTCAGAGGCACAGGGAGATGGAACTCACAGTGCCCTGGGGTCTCTGTTCCAATCCAGTGTGGCCAGGGTCTACCTGCCGCTGCTTTGTGGAGGAAGGTGGAGACTGTCTCTCCAACAGCACAGACATGTCTACCCATGAGAGACTATGGCTTTCTCCCAAGCCATAGGTACCTGCCTCCCCAGTTGTGTCGGTACCCAAAACCCCAAAGCCTTGTGTGTATTATATTTGTGAGACCCCTGCCTGCACATCGAGAATGTCCTTTCTCTATGTGGCACGGAGCAAGGGTAACTGACCCAATTGAAGATCAACCCTAGGAGACAGAGCCTCATGGGTGCTTTAACCAGCTGTGTGTCCAGCTGTGTGCCATCATCTCCCCTTCGCCAAGACCCTGCCATGCAAATTGAGTACATAAACCACCTGTGAGTGCCTAGGACCACGTAAGCATAGGCTGCCTGGGCTGTGTACCTAAGGAGTAATTGGAGTGCGGGCATCCTGGGCTGACAATAAAAGGAGGCTGTGGGCTGGGGTGAAAAGGCAGTGGGGGGCAGCTGTGGAGCACTTCCCACTGCTCCTCCAGCTTGGTGATGGACTGGCATCAGAGCAAGCCCCTTGCCCAGTTTTAGTCTTGTGGGCAGCTCTTCTTGTCCCTAGCTGGCAGTTTCCTGTGGGTAGATCTGGGTTGCCAATCCCAGAATCCTGGAACCCTGGCTTGTCTGTTTCCTGTAACACCCAAAGCCTATTTGTTAATGGAGTGTCAGCACTCCATTGCCACTGCCATCACCGCTTCCCGGGGCTGCGTCCTGAATTCTTGTTGGGTGCTGTATCTGTTCCCTCTGAGTTTTGGGTGGTGGTATGTCTGGCCACAGCTGGGCCCACTGCAGTTCCTGTGAGGGGTGGCTGCATGTACACACATGACCCCAAACATGCTGGCTGCCTAGTGCCCCCAGGCAGACGTGAGTTTGATACCGACTGTGGCAATTAGGCGTGTTGTTTTACCTCCTTGGGCCTCAGTTTCCTCATCTGTAAAATGAAAATGTTAAGCACTCCTACCTCATGAAGTTGTTGTAAGGATTCAATAACATAATATAATATAATATATAAACAATGCGTGTTTGCACAGCGCCTGTCCCACAGTATGTGCTCGGGAAAGAGGGCTCCATTGCAAGGGTCTCTCGGTCTTCAGGCTGCTCACCGACTCCCTCTTCTTTCCCAGGGTGTCTGTTTAGTCTAAAAGTTCAGATGTGCCTCATGCATGCGCAGAAGTTTGCGGGGGTCCTCTAGGTCAGTGGGCTTGAATGGCAGGTCCTAGGGAGGAAGGTCAGACTGGGAAGGTCAGACTGTGTGGTCCAGGAGCCTGAACCTCTGTGCAAGGTGGGGCCTTCTCAGCTCCCCACTCCTCCCGGCTGCTTCCTGTTAGCAGGACACCCAGGGAGAAGCGTGTTTCCTTCCTGCTCTGGGCAAACCCAGGCCACTCCCCCAGCCCCTAGAACTTCTGTTCAGAACCACCAGCAGCCCTGAGGACAGTACAGAGCTGACCAAAGTCTCATCCAGGTGTGAAAAGCCACCCCCCTCCAGAGGTGCTCAGGCCCATGAAGGTCTGGGCTGATCTTGGGCTGGATCCTGTGGCAGCTTCACTCCAGTGCAAGTCAGCCTGGCCACCTCCTGGTAGGCAACCAGCAGCTGCAGCAGTTCACGGCTATAGCATGAACTCCCCTGATGCCAGGGCAGCCCAGAGCTAGCTTCGATTTATGAATGATTTTAATGTCCGAAATTAACATCATCTTCAGCTCTTGAAACAAATGACTCCAGGGATGTCAAAGCACACTGGTTTACCCAGCACCAGGGACACTGGAAAGGTGTCATGGACCCTGAGGCTGATCCTTGCATCCTTCATCTCTTCACTTTAGAGGTTCTCAAAGCCATCTTTCTGCCATCCTTCCCAGCTGACATCATATAAGATGCTCCAGGTTGTCAAGGGTATGTCTGCCTTTAAAAAATGATCTAGGGAAGGTACAGTGATTCTGGGAGTGCCCATCTCTCTGCATCACTTTGCTGGGGCTGCACACAGAGAGGGGCCCTGTGATCATGGGACTGCAGGAGCTCAGGAGGAAGCAGTTAGTAACCCCCTCATGAGGAAGCCCCTCGCAGTATCCGCTGGTCCAGTTCTCTCCCTTTGCTCACCTGGACACCTTCTTCTAAGGCCACAGAGGAGTGGGAAGGACAAAGGCTCTGGAAGCAGACATCCAGCTCTTAGGCTTCTGACTAGTGTGTGATCGTTGACAAGTCAATTTACTTCTCAGTTGCTGTTTTACTTGTGAAATAATGAGAAAGACAACACCTGCCCTGTCCAGCTCCTGGGGTTATTGTGAGGATCAAATGAGATGACGGATGTGGAAATATTTTAACTGTAAAATACCATTTTCATTTTATTTATTATGATTAAGAAGAGGCACTATAGTCATCCGGGGTGAGCGCTTCTCTGGCCTCTTGTGTGCCCTGATTAGGCTGACCTGAAAAACACCAAACAAAAAAATCAGAGCAGGTGGAAGGAAGCAGACTCTCTCCCCACCTGGTTGGAGCCCATGGCCCACATGTAGGCTGTGCCCAGGGCTGCTCTTCCTTCCCTTCTAGGGCAGACTCAGCAGACCCAAAGATCAAGCAACTGCCAGGGTCAGGCGCCTCCTTACAGCCGTCAGGAGAATGCTTGGCAAGACAGCCCTGAATTCTGTTCCTCTCTAGTTCCAGGGGCATCTGGTCACCACCCCCAACCCTTGCCTCTTGCCCTGCAGGCCCAGCCAATGAGAAGTACAGGTCTGCAGATGGGAAAGGGCTCTCCAGCCAGCCAGCAAGCAGGCCTGCCCTGGGAGTACCTGTCCTTATGCGAGAATAGAGGATAATAGGTCCTCAGGGCTGGGTGTGGTGAAACAACCAGAGAGGCCAAGGAGATGCTTGCCTGGTGTCCCACCAGTGAGAAAAAAAAGCTTTTTCTCCCTGTTACAGCCTGGCCTATACTGAAGGGTCTTCCTGAGCTGGCTGAGGGCTACGACCAGGGCCAGGGCCAGGGTATGGGGGAAGCCCAGCAGGCAGTCTCCCTTTTCTGCTCAGAAGAGGCACCAAGCACATTGAGTCTTCCTCACTTGGGATCTATTCTCTCAATGGAGGAGGCCTGTTCCCAGAAGTCCAGGTCTAGGAAGAAGGCTGCCTCCACACATTCTCCATCTCTGGAACCTCAGGCCTGACAACATGGCCTATTTTCTACCATTAGCCCTGCAGCTGCCTCTGCTCTGCCGCTGACCCTGGTCGCTCATTGCTAAGGCAACAAAGCTATCTCATTTCCTGAGCTTCATCGAATCTCAGCACCCATTTCCGCTGTGTCCGCATCCACCCCTGCCAGGGTCGAGGTGTCCTGTGATTGCTTTTGTCCCTGCCAAGGGCTGTATCAGCCCCGCCAGGTCTGGTGGCCATTGATTTTGAAAGAGCAGAGTAGTCAGCATCCACTGTGAGCTGTGTGGACTCGCAGGCCCTGGCTCCTGGATCTCTGGGCTAGCCAGTGGGACTAAGCACAATTGCCATCATGGTGTGATGAAGGAGAAGTCAGACTGACCTCTCTGAGTCTCATTTTCATCAGAAAGGGGAGGTAGTGCTGGGAGTTGCTGTGAGAATGACATGAGATAATGGATGTGATCATGTGTGCAGGGTTCCTAGAACAGTGCGTGACACATAATTGGTGCCCAGTGAATAAATGACAGCTCCCTTTCCTACATAGTCATGGCTTAATACGCCTTCAGGCCAGGGTAGAAGATATATATTGAGCACCTTCCATGTTTGTTCCAGGTACTGCCAGGCTCCAGGCACTGGGGAATGCAGTCCCTGCTGTCAGGGAGTTTGTCACACAGCTGGGAAACCAGTCCCCCACCATGATGAGATCACAGACAAAGGGGACCACAGAGTGAGCACTCTGGGGCTGTCCCTAGGTCTCTGGCTATGGGTGCCCAGCAGAACTGCAAGGGCCCCTTCAATTATCCACAGTCAAGAACTGGAAGCCTGGCTAGGCGTTCTGTTTTGCCTAGAATTGCTTATTATGACCTTTTTTTCTTTTGCAGCAAATTTCCCTTCCTAATTTGGTTCTGTTTATCCCATTATTAAAGTGGGATTACATAGGAATTTAACTGAAGTAAATGATCATCAATGTGTACAAAGATCTAGCTGCAAGAATGTTCTTGGCAAAATTGTTTATCACAGGGGAAGGGCACAAACAATTTGAGTGGGTAAAAGTACCACATATGTTAATGATACTCTGGTATAACCATCTATTAATAGCGGAAAGGGGAATACCTAATGTGCCTAATGCACCCATAAGGAATTATTAACACTTCACTCACTCAGTCATTCACTCATCTGATCGCTCATTCCACTCACAGTCACTGAGCACCTTCCAGACAAAAGGTCCTATATGAGAGAGTGTTTTACTCAGGTTCCTCAGAGATGAGGATGTGATCACAGATTAAGGGAGAAGTTATGGGATTCATCATGGGATAGCGAGGAAACTGGGCAGCGGGGTTTTTGGTCCTCCAGGCTGAGGCATGTGACAAGCATGGTGGGCTTCTGCAGGGGCCACAGCATCTCCAGGCTACAGAACCCTGGATCCTAAGCTGGCTTCCATAGTTCCCTGAGAGCAGCATTGTGTGGTAGGCCAAGTTCAAGATTTGGAGTCAGGAGACTTGGATTCTAATTTCTTTTCTTTCTTTCTTTCTTTTTTTTTTTTTTTTGAGACAGAGTCTTGCTCTGTCACCCAGGCTGGAGTGCAGTGGTGCAATCTTGGCTCACTGCAACCTCCACCTCCCCGGTTCAAGCAATTCTTCTGCCTCAGCCTCCCGAGTAGCTGGGACTACAGGCACGCACCACCATGCCCGGCTAATTTTTGTATTTTTAGGAGAGACGGGGGTTTCACCATATTGGCCAGGCTGGTCTCAAACTCCTGACCTCATGATCCACCCGCCTCAGCCTCCCAAAGTGCTGGGATTACAGGCGTGAGCCACCGCGCCTGGCCAGATTCTAATTTCTTTTAGCCTTTATCACCATCAATGAAATGGGGATAGGAATGACTGTCTTATACCTTACCAGCAAGTCATCACAAGACTCAAAGGAGGCAGCTAAGTGGCCTGCTCTAAACTGTGCAGGTGTTGACAACAGAGATTAATCCTCATTGCTCAAGTAGATGCCCTGGGGTAGGGGGTGGTTTCCAGCTGTGCTCTTCTTGGGAATTACTTTTCTTTCTGTCCCCATAGCCATCTCCTCCCATGCTGTCCAACCCTGCTCCTTCCTACTCCATCTTGCCCCTGCCCATCTCACCTTCTAGAAGCCTGAGCCCAGCAGCCCAAGGTCAGCTCCATCTGAAACTAGTGTCATCACTGGAAAGGTTGCATGGAAGAGCCCTCCTTCAAAAGTAAATAATCAAACTTTGTTTAAAGGCCTGACAATGTTCATTTGTGTTGATCAAGCTCAGACTGAATTATGCATAGGCACATGGCCTGTGCCTGAGGAATTTACCATGTAGGCCAGACACCCTGACTGATTCAAAGGATGTACAGACAGCAGGACATCAAGTCGAGGCAGGCCACAGGGAGCTGACCCTGGAGTGCTGATTTCACAGAACGTGGCTGCTAAGTCCAGATAATGTTTCATCTCCTGATATGTGTGTGTGTATGCGTGTGTGTGTGTGTGCACACCTGTACCGTATTCACACTTTTTCAAGGGGAAAGAAGAAAGGAAGGAAGGAAGGGAGGGGAATAAAAACAAATCTTTTTGAAGTGGAGCCATGTGACCCCAGGTAAACCCTCAGGGAGCCCCTGCCCTGCCCTGCCTCTGCACCAGTTCTTCCTGACAGAGAGCTTTGTCCCCTCCCCTACATGTCTGTCACACACCCCCTCCCTGCCTCCTGTTTTGCAGTCAGGACCCTCCATCATGACAGAGGGAGGCCCAAATTGTCTTCTGCTCCAGGCCTGCCTGCTGTACCTATCTCCCAGGGATCTTGTGATGATTAAGAGAGCTAATACATGAAAAATATATAAAATGGTGCCAGGTACCTAGTAAACACTCAACAAATATTATCTATTACTAATTGGTTTGGGGTCATGGACCCTTTTTGGGAATCTGATGAAAGCTGTGGGCATTGTGTCCAAAAAATGCATTACATTCAGCTCAGCGGGTGCCTGGACCCCAAGTTAAGAATGCCTAGTCCCAACCTGGGCAACATAGAAAGGTCCCATCTCTAAAACAATTTTAAAAATTAGCCAGGCACGGTGGCACGTGCCTGTAGTCCCAGCTACTTGGGAGGTTGAGGTGGGAGGATCGCTTGAGCCCACGAGTTTGAGGCTACAGTGAGCTATGATAGTGGCGGCACTGCACTCTAGCCTGGACATCAGAGTGCAGCCCTGTCTCTAAGAAAAAAAAAAAAGAACGAGTCTAAATAAACTGAAGAGTTCTATTTATAAGCATTTACTGAGCACTCTTCAGTGTAGAGGACTGGGCTGGGTACAAGGGAGAAAACAAGAAGTGACCTCAGCCTCAGGACACTCACCATGTAGTAAGGGAGAAAAGTAATACACAACTTTCTATAATCTAAAGTAGGAAGTGTTAAATCCCCACAGAGAGAGTCAGGTAAAATGCTGGGGAGTGTTGACGAGAGAGACATTCATTCTCTGGAGAGATCCAAGATTGCTCCGTGGAGCAGGTGGCATGAGAATTGGACTTTACAGGATGATGGGTTTGGGTCGAGTGGTTGTTAGCTGTGGGAAAGCACCAGGCAGAAGGAGCAGCATGAACCCAGCACTCGGAGTCAGGATGGGCCACCCAGAGCCTGTGGTGGTCAGTCCCACCCTGGACCTCAGGTTTCCTGTGAGCAAGCAAAGGAACTCAGCCCTGCTCAACCTCATAGAAAAAGAGCTTGTTGGATATCCCAGTAGCTTACTGAGCAAGTGGGAAGGCTGCAGAACCAGGCTTGGGAAACCTGCAGCTTCCAAGGAAAGCTGGTAGCCAGAACCACAGCCCAATTCGTGGCACAAGAAGCCTGCTCAGATCAATTCTGTTGCCACTGCCAGAAACTAGCTGGAGCCACCATTGCGCCTCCTACCACCACCGTCACCAGCGTTGGGAGCCCTGACCCTCCCTGCCTCTGTTTATCCTCTGCACAGACAGATTCAGTGTCTCAGGTGGAAGGAAGGAGAGCTGCGGGGCTTGTTGCCCCCGCCACACATTGCTCGGCCTCTGCTCAGACTGGGGTGCTCATGGCACTTGGCTAGGGAGGCATGGAAGACAGACAGTGCCAGAGGCCCCACACTCTCTAACATGGGGAGAGGAAAGCTGCAAAGTGCCCAGGCCATTGTCTAATCCTTGCCTGGAAAAGCCAAAGACTTTCCAGCAGCTGACACAAAGGGCCCATCTTCAACCTAGATGGTGCTTTCTCCTTTGAAGTCCTGATGCAGAGTGGAATGGCTGAAAGTGACTTAACTTTTCTTTGTTCTGATGTGTTTCTAACCCCTGGGACTCTCAGTGCTTCCCTTTTCCTGGGAATTAGTTTGGGAAGCAGCTGGGGAGAGGACCAGAGACAGAGACCTAGAGAGAGAGAGATGTGTCTTCTTCAGGGTTCCTGGTGGACCCCCCAACCTGGTCCTTACTATCTTTCTACCCTTCTTGCCCTTCTTTCTCCTTGATCCTTTGTCTCTTAGTCTACTGGCCTATGAACTGCTGAGCTATAGGATCTAGTCCTGTGCATGAGGGAATTTATAGCATGTCCAGTTCAACTCAGCCAGTATTTATTGACATCTATCTTTGGGAACACCTAAATTCACTGGAGTTGGCAGATCTTGTATTGAATTCTGTTGCAGTATTCAGAACTGCGTATCTACATCAGGGAGGCGTGTCCAATGGGATGATGAAGGTGTTTGCCCTTAGGCTGCCCCCAGTCTGTTGGAGGAAATGTTCAGGGGCCCCTTAAATTGGAAGGAAAATCCAAATCCAAACAAGGACAAATACCTAATGTCAAAAATGAACATGAGTCCTGGAGGAGCACGGAGTGGTGACGTAACAACATCTGAGGCCAATTAAGGACAGTTTCTTTGATAAAGTGTTTCTCGAGTTTATTATGAAGGAAGGAGGGAAGGGACAAATTATGAAGAGAGAGAGACTGTAGGCTAGAGCATTTATTTGCATCTTGGTCCTTGATCACCAGGCATGGGGTATTTCTTCCCTGATTTCCTGTGTTCTTTCACTTACTCAATTATTTATTCGTGCATGCTTTCCACAATTGTTGACTTTTATTAAACTTTTAATTCTGAGACATTGTAGATTTGCATGCAATTGTAAGAAACACCACAAAGGGATCCTGGATACCCTTTACCCAGCTTCCCCCAGTGTTAACATCTTGCAAAACTGTAGTACAATATCACTACCAGGATATTGGCCCGGCTGCTGTAAAGACACAGAACAGTCCTGTCACCACAGGGATCCCTCATGTCGCCCTTTTAAAGGCACGCCCACTTCTCTCCTGCCTCCACCCTTTCTTTGACTCCTGGCAACTACTAATATGTTTGCCATTTCTATACTTTTGCCATTTCAAGAATGTTATATGAATGGAATCATAGAGCATATTCCTTTTGGGAACAGTTATTTTTCACTTAGCATAATTCTGTGGAGATTCATCCAGGTGTGTGTATCAATAGTTCAGTTGTTTCTGTTGCTGAGTAATATTCTATGATATGGATGTACCATAGTTTGTTTAATCATTCATTATTGAAAGACATGGGTTGTCTCCAGTTTGGGGCTATTAAGAATAAGCTGATAAGCTGGGGATGGTGGCATGTGCCTGTAATCTCAACTAATCAGGAGGCTGATGGAGGAGGATCCCTTGAGCCCAGGAGTTCAAGACCAGTCTGGGCAACACAGCGAGACCCTCTCCAAAAAAAAAAATAATAAAGCTAATATATTCATTCGTGTAGAGGTTTTTGTGTGAACATAACTCTTCATTTCTCTGAGATGTACAGTTGTTGGGTCACGTGTTAGTTGCAAGTTAATTTTTTTAAGAAACTGCCAAATCACTTTCCAAAGTGGGTGTACCATTTTACATTTCTACCAGCAATGTATGAATGATCCAGTTTCTCTGCATCTCACCAACATTTGGTGTTGTCATTGCTTTAAAATTGTAGCCATTCTAATATGTATGTAGTAATATCTCCTCATGGTTTTAATTTGCATTTCTCTAATTGCTAATGATTTTGAATTTCTTTTCACGTGCTTATTTAGACATCTCTTTGGTGCTATATCTCTTCATGTCTTTTGCCTATTTCCTAATTGAATTGTTTGGTTTTTGGTGAGTTTTGTTTTGTTTTGTTTTGAGACAGAGTTTTGCTCTGTCATCTAGGCTGGAGTGCAGTGGTGCCATCACAGCTCACAACCTCAACCTCCTGGCCTCAAGCAATCCTCCCATCTTAGCCTCCCAAGTGCTGGGATTACAGGAGTGAACCACTATGCCTGGCCTGACTGTTGAGTTTTGATTGCTCTTTCTGTATTATAAGTGCTGGTTCTTTGCTGGATATGTGGTTGACAAATATTTTCTCCTACTCTGTATGTCTTTTGTAACATTGTAACAGGGTCTTTTACAGAATGAAACATTTTAATTTTGAGGAAGTCTAATTTATCAATTTTTCCTTTTATGGATTGTGCTTTTGTTATCAAGTCTAAGAACTCTTTGCCAAAGATTTTTAAAATATTTTTTCCTCAAAGTTTTATATTTTTATGTTTCGCATTTAAACACACAATCCATTTGGGTTAACTTTGGCATAAGGCCTGAGACTTAGATTTTTTTTTTTTTTTTTTTTTTTTGGCTATGGATGTCCAATCACTCCAGCACCATTTGTTGGAAAAGCTGTTTTTCCTTTATTAAATTACTTTTGCACCTTTGTCAAAAATCAGTTGGGCATATTTGTGTGGGTCTGTTTCTGGATTCTCTATTCTGTTCCTTTCTGTTTGGAGAACTTCCTTTAGCTATTCTTTTAGAGTAGTCCTTCTGGCAACAAAGTCTCTTAGTTTCTCTTCATCTGAGAATGTTCTTGATTTCCCCTTTATTCCTGAAGAATATTTTTACTGGGTATAGGATTATGAGTTGACAGTTCTTTTTATTTTCCCCCCAGCACTTGAAAAATATTGTGCCACTTCCTTCTGTCCTCCGTGGTTTCCAATGAGAAATCTACTGTCATTTGAACCCTTTCCACCTGTAGATTAAGGTTTCCTGTTTCTCTTCCTGCTTTCAAGATTGTTTCTTTGTCTTTAACTCGCAGATGCTTAATTTGTGATTTCTTTAGGTCTATCTTGTTTGGCATTTGCTCAGATTCTTGAATCTGTGGGTTTATGTCTCTTGCCAACTTTGCAAAGTTTTCAACTATTTTTTCTTGGAGTACTTTTTCAGCACCATCCTCTTTCTTTTCTCTTACCAGAACTTCAATAACACGAAAGTTAGATCTTTTGTTATAGTCCCACAGGCCCCTAAGAATCTGCTCTGCTTTTTGTTTTGGTCTATTTTCTTTCTGTTGTTCATATTGGTTAATTTCTATTGTTCTATCTTCCAGTTCTCTGATTGTTCTCCTTAATTCTACTGTTGATCCCATCCACTGAGATCAACACTTCAGTTACTGTATTTTTCAGTTTAAAATTTTCCATTTGGTTCTTCTTTATAGCTTCTGTTCTTTGTTCTTCATTACCCCTGGGCTAGGGGTAGGAGTTCCAGCTCCCTGCTTGGTTTCCAGGGGAACTGAGCTGAGGGTGGCTTATCTCTGGGTAATGATGAAAGTTCTGTCTCTCCACTAGGCCTCCTCTTATACCACACTGTGGGAAGCAGGAAGGGTGCCTTATTACTGCTAGGTGGGGGTGGAAGTCCAGGCTCCGCATATGGGCTCCACTGATAATGAATGGCCTCATTACCAGGAGGAGGGGATGGAACTTTGGGCTTGCTACTCAGCCTTCTCTGACACCACCCTAGTGGGGTTGTTGGGCACTTCATCATGGCCTGGTGAAGGTGAACTCTAGGCTCCCCACTTGCCCTTCGCTGCCCTGGATGAAAGTGGGAGCACAATTTTTCCTATGGCGTTTGGCTGGAGTGAACTATCTATCATCTAAAAGTTTGAACAACTATCATCATTCAAACTTTATCATTGAACAACTATCATCTAAAAGTTTTCTGGTCCGGGCATGGTGGCTCACACTTCTAATCCCAGCACTTTGGGAGGCCGAGGTGAGTGGATCACCTGAGGTCAGGAGCTCGAGACCAGCCTGGCCAACATGGTGAAACCCCATCTCTACTAATAATATAAAAATTAGCCAAGCATGATGGCACACACCTGTAATCCCAGCTACTCGGGAGGCTGAGGCAGCAGAATCGCTCGAACCTGGGAGGCGGAGGTTGCAGTGAGCCAAGATCACACCGTTGCACTCTAGCCTGAGCGGCAAGAGCAAAACTCAGTCTCAAAAAAAAAAAAATGTTCTGTCTTTCTGGGCTGCCACTTTCCTGGCCTTTGGCTGGAGAAAGCAGGCTTTTGTTGAGGCTTCTTTTGTTTGCACCCATTGGCATTTCTGGGTTGATGACTTCTTCAGCTCCAAGTCTGGAATTTATGAAGAAAAAAACAAACAAATGAACTCAGAGACCTCATCGCCATGTTGTTCCTTGAGTCCCAAGGTCCCTACTTCATCCACCCTTTTTTTATTTTGAGACAGAGTCTTACTCTATCACCCAAGCTGGAGTGCAGTGGCACAATCATGGCTCACTGCAACCTCTGCCTCCTGGGTTCAAGCAATTCTCATGCCTCAGCCTCCCGAGTAGCTGGGATTACAGGCATGCACCACCACGCCTGGATAATTTTTGTATTTTTAGTAGAGATGGAGTTTCACCATGTTGGCCAGGCTGGTCTTGAGCTCCTGGTGTCAAGTGATCCACCCACCTCGGCCTCTCAAAACGCTGGGATTACAGACATGAGCCACTGTGCTTGGCCTCAGTCTACCTTTTTATCTCCACCTTTCAGAGTCTTCTTATGTTTGCTTTATATATAATGTCCAGGGTTTTTAGTTGTAAGTACAACTATTGGGAGGAATAAGGAAAAGTACTTGTATTAGGGTTCTTCAGAGAAACAGACCGATAAGATATAAAAATAGATACACGAGAGGGGATTTACTATGGGAATTGGCTCATGTGATTTTGGAGGCTGAGAAGTCCCATGATAGGCTGTCTGTAGGCTGAAGAACCAGGGAAGCCAGTAGCATGGCTCAGTCCAAGTCTAAAGGCCTCAGACCCAGGCAAGCCAATGATGTAGTTCTCAGCCCAAGGCCAAAGGCCTGAGAAACTGGGGGGAAGGGTGGTCTCTGGCGCAAATCCCAGAATCCAAAAGCCAGAGAACCTGGAGTTCTTGATGTCCAAGGGCAAGAGGAGAAAACTGTCCCAGCTCCAGGAGAGAGAGAGCAAATTCACTTTTTTGTTCTGCCTTTTTGTTCAGCCTGGACCCTTAGCAGATTAGATGGTGGCTGCCCACATTGGGTGAAGACAGATCTTCCTTACTCAGTCCACTGACTCAAATGCCAATCTCTTCTGGAAACACCATCACAGACATACCCAGAAATAATGTTTACTAGCTACCTGGGTATCCGTTAATCCAATCAAGCTGACAGCTAAAATTAACAATCACAGTACTCCAGCTTCCAGAATTTTTCTTGAACACCTGTTCTGTGCCAGCCCATAAAGACAAATAAAATTTTTTTTTGGTTCTCAAAGAGTTCAAAGCCTAGCAAACAAATAGATCAATACCATCCAAGTATTTAGAACATGAGGTTTTCAGCCAGGAGTGATGGCTCATGCCTGTAATCCCACCACTTTGGGAGGCTGAGGCGGGTGGATCACTTGACGTCAGGAGTTCGAGACCAGCCTGGCCAACATGGTGAAACCCCGTCTCTGCTAAAAATACAAAAAATAGCTGGGCGTGGTGGCGCACGCCTGTAATCCTAGCTATTCAGGATGCTGAGGCAGGAGATTGCTTGAACCCAGGAAGCAGAGATTGCAGTGAGCCGAGATCCCACCACTGCACTCCAGCCTAGGTGACAGAGCAAGACTGTCTTAAAAAAGAAAAAAAAAAGAATATGAGATATTCTGGAGGCTTAAAGGAGGTGGGAGTCATCGCCCTACTTGGGATGGGGTTGGGGGAAGAATGGTTTCTTAGAGGAGGTAGGTTATGCTTGAGCTAAACTTTGAAAGATAAATGGATTTCTGGATGGACACGATGGTAAAGGGCATCCCACCAGGCAACACAGCAGCTACAAAGGCATAGAGGCATCAGACAACAGGAGGGGCAGAGTACTCACTGCAGGTTGTTCGTGGGGGCCGGTGCATGGCATAGGGAAAGGAAGACAAAACAGGAGAAGTTAGCAGAGGTAGGGAATGGGGTAGAGACTGGATCATAGAAGGAGTTGTTTGCCATGCTTACCCTTAAAGGCTTTCTGAGCAGTCATCCTGGGATGGACAGGGCAGGGAGTGGAGAGACCAGCGAGCAGGTTTTTGTTACGGTTCGAGTGAGGGTTGAACACAGGCAGTGGTGGTGGAGATGGGTTGCAGGGATAATCTTGAGAGAGATTTAGGAGACAAGATTCACAGGTTGGAATGGATGTGGGAGAAAGGAGGAGCTTAACGCCTTGGCTTAGTAGCCCCATCTGAGAAAATGAGCATCAGATTTTGAGAGGGAAAGAAAGAAACGGAGTTTAGCTGTGTTGACTGTGCGGAGTCTGTGAGCATCCCAGTAAGGATGTCAGGTGGACAAGTGTCTCAGTGGAGAAGTTAAGGCCAGAGAGAGGCAGATTTGAGAGTCATTACATAGAATCAGTAGTTAAAAACAGAGCTCCGGCCGGGCGCGGTGGCTCATGCCTATAATCCCAGCACTTTGGGAGGCTGAGGTGAGCGGATCACCTGAGGTCAGGAGTTCCAGACCAGCCTGGTCAACATGGCGAAACCCTGTCTGTACTAAAAATACAAAAATTAGCCGGGTGTCGTGGTGGGCGCCTGTTATCCCAGCTACTCTGGAGGCTGAGGCACAAGAATCACTTGAACTCCGGAGGCAGAGGTTGCAGTGAGCTGAGATTGCACCACTACACTCGAGCCTGGACGATATAGCCAGGCTCTGTATCAAAAAAGAAAAAAATAATAAAGCTCCCTGATAAGGTTCTAAGAATTTTTTTAAAAATGACCAGAAACACCATCCTGGCTAACACGGTGAAACCCCGTCTCTACTAAAAATACAAAAAATTAGCTGGGGATGGTGGCGGGCGCCTGTAGTCCCAGCTACTCGAGAGGCTGAGGCAGGAGAATGGCGTGAACCTGGGAGGCGGAGCTTGCAGTGAGCTGAGATCGCGCCACTGCACTCCAGACTGGGTGACAGAGTGAGACTCCGTCTCAAACAAACAAACAGACCAGGAACAGAGCTGCCATGTTTCACAAGTGGTCAGCAAAAGAGGAGCCATGCAGGACACCACAAATGAGACTGAGAAGGGCAAGGAAAGGCCAGTCATGAGTTTGTATCAGTCATTCTTACCAGAAACCACTTTTCATATTTGCAAGAGAGGAAATTTAGTGCTGAGAACTGGCTACATGAGAGAGAGAAGAGCTGACGAGTCAAACAGGGGAGGAAGCAGCTGCCACTCCCAGGCAGAGGCAACCAAGATCCTGGGAATCTGGAAGCACACAGGACCAGTATGGGAAGGGCTGGGCCTCCAAAGGGACTTGGATATTGCTATGACACCTCCTGAGGTAGAGGGGAAGAGAGAGGAATCCCCTGGCTTCTCCTTTCCTCCAGTGCCTCCTGTGGGCAGAAGCCAGCCAGAAACCAGCTGACTCAGGACCCTGGGACAGTCAGCCTACAGGAATCAGCCAGCCAGCTCCCCCACACAGAGAAGAGCTGGGGAATGGTGAGGAATGGATGGGAAGGAAAGGTCCAGGACAGGCCCAGAGGCCAAGGGGTGAGGAAATCCAACAAGGGAGCATGATTCTGCAGTGTCTGGTATCTCAGAGAGGTGGGCTTACGTGAGGAAGCCTGTCCTCGGGAATGGGAGAGTGGGAGAGCACTGGGGACCTAGTGAAAGAAAAGTGCTAAGGTCCAGTCCCAGCCTGGTCAACAGCCCCTGCCTGCTGATTGCAAAGCTGCTGGCTAGGAGCCAGGTCTATTACACCCTTCAACAAGCTAGACAGGATCCCAAGCAGACTGCTCTCCTTCTGAGATCCAATCACACCCCACTCTCTGATCTTAACTGTCATCCTTGCTGCTCCCTGTTCCCCTAGTCTTTGGAGAGGCTACAGGAGGCTACTGTGTATACGGGATCCCTCAGCATCCGCTGCCATAGCCCTGAGGGCTGGACCCAAGGCCTGGCATTGTGCAGCTCAGCCCATCTTCTGACTGTCCAGGTGTCTGAGTGGGGCCAACCATGGCGGCTCTACACCCTCTGGGGCTTGGCCCATTTGGTGATTTCTTAGCCTCCTCCCTGCCTGGCTGATTTCTTTGTGTGCCTCGGCTGGGCTCACGCTGCGTCAGGCTCGCCCGTGTTGGTATAATAGCCCTGATCGCTGTGCTTGTCGGAGAGGAGACAGCAGGGGCAAGGCCCCATCCAGGGCTCATCAGGCCCTGTACCCCAGCTGTGTTAATTGTCCAAGCCCTCCAACAAGCCAACCCTTTTTCCCATCTGCAATTAAGACAAAAAGCTCGTTATCTCTCCCGCTCCCATTATCTGTAGACTCTGCTAAGGGGCTCTTTCTCAAGAGCAGCACCTGCAGAGGCCAACAGAGGTTGGCATTAACTCCTTCCCTGCTGGAGATAGGAATCTCTGAGTGGGTGAAGGAGGCAGCTGAAGCTGGTAGGAATGGCTCTGGGACAGAGGGTGGCACTTGGGGCCCTGGAATGGTTCTGTTACAAGCTTGCTGGGTGTCCTTGGGCAAACAATTGACCTTTTTTGAGCCTTTGAAATCCTCTTTCTCCTTTCTTCCCAAGGAAGCCATGGAAATAAATAAGGAGCTGTTGAAGTTGCCAGCTCCCTGGAGTAACTGTGTAAACCTCCGGTCTTCTATTCTCATGGCCAATAGTGCTTCCACTGGTCAAAACTCAAGCCTCAAGATAAAGCATGTAAATAGCTTAAGAAGAGCAGTGCTGGTGCCTGGGGGAGAGGAGCCAGTCAGGACCTTCAGCTTCCCAGGGAAACTTGGATTGAGTAGAATGTAGCAATCTCACTTTGCAGCGTGTCCTTCAGCAAGTCACTTACTCTCTCTGTACTCCAACTTCGTCCTCTGAAAAATTAAAGAATCCAACTGGATCATCTCCAAGATCCTTTCCAATTGAGAAATTCCATCACCTGTGATGATTTTTCTGTACAATGCAATTTGGGAAGGACACTAGCATTTATGGAACCACTGATATGTGCCAGATCTTTCACATGTGTTGTTATTTCCACTTTAAGTGTAAGAACAATATCAAGTTCAGAGATGTGAAAGAAGTGGTCCAAGGTCAATCATCCAGTACCTGGAGGACTCTAGATTCAAACCCACATTTATGAGACTGTAAAACCATTGCTCTTTTTCATGATACCATGTTTTTAGGGACTGCCCATCTAATGGTTCCTTACAAGACAGAGCTGCATATAGAGGGGGAAATGTAACCTACTCTATATGCAGCTATAAAAACAAAGAATCTGGATTCTAACCACTTAGATTCTCCAGAGTCATAATGTGTTAGGAAGGAGTGAATGAGAAATAATTTTTTTGCCCCTCTGGTCTCCCATGTGACTGAGATTGCCTGAGATGTGTGTGCAGACTCTCAAAGAAAAAGTTGTATAATTGTCAGGCATTGGATCTTGTTTTCATCTTGGTAAACCAAATCCTGGAGATGGAATACAGCTGCTATCTCAGCAGCTGGTTCCAGCTTGTGATGTGCCTGTGTCCAGCAGAGCCCACGGCAGCCTTATGAAAGCCCTCCTCAGTCTGTTTCTAGAATCTCCTCTGAATCCATAAGAAACCGCCCAGAGCTTAGCCCATCAGCCCTGCTGACAGGCTGGGCCAGTCCAGATGCTCCACCAAGGCCTGGATTCTGGCTCTTTCACTCAGTTCACTCATCTGCCCCTGAGTCATCCAGAGAAAGGGGTTTGGGGAGAGTCCGGAGCAGACAGCAAAGCAGGGAATCAAGGAAGCTCTTGACCAACTGGCAGGCAGCCCAAGTCCTGGCATCCCACGGGAGAGGAGAAGGGCCCCTGCCTTTCCAAACCAAAGGCTCACATGAGTGAAGGATGGGCCTGAAATCCTCACTCTGGAAGCAACTGACCAAGGTCCTCCCACCCAGCCCCAACCCCATGCACAACTAATAAGACAAATGCTTCCTGTCTTGAGTTCCCCATTCGGGTAGTTTTCGCAGGGGCCTGATCTTCTCCCCAGTCTCCCAAGCTTTGGGCAGGTCATTGGGCCCTCATCCCTGAAGTCAGGCACTGGGCTGGATCTATTCTGGTTTTAGGGTTCTGAACGTGTGATGACTCATCTTCTGCTGAAGGGTTTTTCATGGAGTACTGAAAACCCTTAAAGCAGAACATTTCAGAGTGTGTTCTGTGACTTGCAAATTATTCTGTGAGAATACGATGATGGGGGAGGCACAGAACTAGGTTTCTGTGGTCAGCTAAGTTGTGGAAATGCAGTAAGATCATCTGTCTTTTGGAATCTTGATCTACATGAACATAGGAAAGGCTCTGAGAAGCTCTTCATTCACAGACACACACACACACACAAATAGACAAATCGGACTTCAACAAAATTAAAAACATTTGTGCCTCAAAGGAAAATATTGAGAAAGTGAAAAGACAACCCACAGATTAGGAAAAAAAATTTGCAAATCTTATATCTGATAAGGGTCTAGTATGTGGAAAATATAAAAAACTTCTACAATTTAACAATGACAAAAAAAACTGATTTTTTAAATGGGAAAATGACTTGAATAGACATTTCTTCAAAGAATATATATAAATGGACCACAAGCATATGAAAAGATGCTTAACATCACTAGTTATTAAGAAATGCAAATCAAAACCAAAAGGAGATACTACCTCACACCCAATAGGATGGCTGCTATCAAAAGCACAGAAAGTAACAAGCATTGGCGATGATATGGAGAAATTGGAACAGAATCTGTGTGCAATATTGATAGGAATGTAAATTGGTGCAACAGCTATAGAAAGCAGTATGACAGTTCTTCAAAATATTAAAAATAGAATTGCCATATGATTCAGCAATTCCACGTCTCAGTAGACACCCAAAAGAATTTGCAAGCAGAATCTCAAAGAGATATTTGTACACTCATGTTCATGGCAACATTATTCACCATAGCCAAAGGTAGAAGCAACCCATGTATCTGTTGACAGATGAATAGATAAACAAAATGTGGTATGCAATGAAATATTATTCAGCCTTACAGAGGAAGGAAATTCTCATATATGCTACAACATGGGTGAACCTTGATGAAATGCTAAGTGAAATAAACCAGCCACAGAAAGAGACAGTCTGTGATTTACTTCTCTGGGTTACCTAGGGTAGTCAGATTACTAGAGACAAAAAGTAAAACGGGGATTGCCAGGGCCGGGGGAGGGAGAAATGGAGAGTTATTTTTTAATGGGTACAGTTTAAGTTTTGCAACATGATAAGAGTTCTGAAGCTAGATGGTAGTGACAGTTGCACAAAACTTTGACTATACTTAATCAATACCACCTGTATTAGCCTGCTTGGGCTGCCATAACAAAGTGCCACAGACTAGGTGGCTTAAACAACAGAAATTTATTTTCACACAGTTCTGGAGTCTGGAAGTCCAAAATCAAGGGGCTCAGGTTGGTGCCTGGTGAGGTCTGTCTTCCTGGCTCACAGGTGGCTGCCTTCTCCCTGGGTCCTCACACAGCCTTTTCTCAGTGGGCAGGCACACATGGGGGTGGGAGAGGAAGGGAAGACAGAGAGCAGGGAGAGAAGGAGAGAGGGAGAGGGGGAGAGAGAGAGATCTTTGGTATCTTTTTCTCTTTTCACCCTATTGAATTAGGGCCCCACTGATATGATCTCATTTAACCTTAATTACCTCTTAAGACCCTATCTCCAAATATAACCACACTATAGGTTATGTGGGTTAGACCTTCAAAACACAAATTTGGAGGGTGTGAGATATACATTTCAGTTCATAGCACCTCTGAACTGTGCATCTAAAACAGTTAAGATGGTAAGTTTTAGGCTGGGCACAGTAGCTCACGCCTGTAACCCCAGCACTTTGGGAGGCCAAGGCTCACTTGAGCCCAGGAATCTGAGACCAACTCTGGCAATATAGCAAGACCCGCCCCCTCATCTCTACAAAAAATACAAAAATTAGCCAGGCGTGGTGGTGCGCACCTGTAGTCCCAGCTACACAGGAAGCTGAGGTGGGAAGAAGGCTTGAGCATGGGAAATTGAGGCTGCAGTGAGCCACGGTTGTGCCACTGCACTCCTGCCTGGGCAACAGAGCAAAACCCTGTCTCAAAGAAAGAAAAACAAAGATGATAAGCTTTATGTTATGTGTAGTTTACCACATTAAAAAAAAAAAACAGAAACCTTTTATTTTTCAAATGATACTGTCAAGAAAGTGAATAACTCAACTCAAATAATGAGAAAACATATTTGTAAATCACATATCTGACAAGGGTCTAGTATCTAGAATACATGAAGAATGATTGCTGGACATGGTGGCTCATGTCTGTAATTCCAACACTTTAAGAGGCCAAGGGGGGTGGGTTGTTTGAGTCCAGGAGGTTGAGACTATCCTGGGAAACACGGCAAAACCTCATCTTTACAAAAGATGCAAAAATTAGCCAGGCATGGTGGTGTGCCTGTAGTCCTGGCTACTTGGGAGGTTGATGTGGGAGGATAGCTTGAGCCCAGGAGGCACAGGTTGCAGTGAGCCAAGATCTCACCATTGCACTCCAGCCTGGGCAACACAGGGAGACCCTACCTCAAACAAACAAACGAATGAACAAAAAAGAATGCTTAAAATTCAACAATAAACTCAAATTAAAAGTAGGCAAAATATTTGAATAGATATTTATCCAAAGACAATACACAAATGGAAAATATGCACATGAAAATATGCTCAACATCAATAATCATCAGGAAAAATGCAAATTGGAACATGAGATACCACTTCCCCACAACTAGGATGGCTAAAATAAAAAAGACAGGCAGTAACAAGTGTTGACAAGGATGTGGGGAAATTGGAACTCTCAGAGATTGTTAGTGGAAATGTAAAATGGCGCAGCAGCTTTGGAAAACAGTTTGGCAATTTCTCAAAAAGTTAAACATGGAGATGAGATACACTTGAGCCAGCAATTCCACTTCTAGGTATGTACTCAAGAGATATACTCAAGAGAGTTGAAGACATATGTACACAAATGTTCATAGCAGCAAAATTCATAATAGCCAAAAAAGTGGAAATAAGCTAATGAGTGATAAATGGATGAACAAAAATGTGATATATCATACAGTGGAATCTTATTCGGCTGTAAAAAGGAATGAGGTGCTGACACATGCTCCAACATGGATAAATCTTGAAAACATCTTGCTAAGTGAAAAAAGCCATACACAAAAGCCCACGTATTGTATGATTTTATTCATATGAGTTTTTGTTTGTTTGTTTTTAAGAGATAGGGTCTTGCTCTGCTGCCCAGGCTGGAGTGCAGTGACACAATCATAGCTCACTGCAGCCTCAAACTCCTGGGCTCAAGCGATCCTCCCACCTCAGCTTCCTGAGTAGCTAGGACTACAGGTAGGTGCCACCACACCCAGCTGATTAATTTTTTTTTTTTTTTTGTAGAGACAGAGTCTTGCTATGTTGCCCGGGCTGGTCTGAACTCCTAGCCTCAAGTGATCCTCCCACCTCAGCCTCCCAAAGTGCTGGGATTACAGGTGTGAGCCACACACCCAGGTATGAGTTTTGGCTAATCCACAGGGACAGAAAGTAAATTAGGGGTTGGTAGGGCTGGGGACAGGAAAAATAGGGAGTGACAACTATTAGTTATGGGTTTCTTTTGTTGATGGTGAAAATGTTTTGAGATTAGTAGTGATGGTTGCATACTTAGTGAGTATACTAAAAACAAATCAATTGTACAATTTAAAAGATTGGATTTTTTTTTTCTTTTTTGAAATGGAGTCTCGCTCTATCACCCAGGCTGGAGTGCAGTGGCATGATCTTGGTTCACTGCAACCTCTGCCTCCTGGGTTCAAGCAATTCTCTTGTCTCAGCCTCCTGAGTAGCTGGGACTACAGGCACACACCACCACGCCCAGCTCATTTTTGTATTTTTAGTAAAGACAGTGTTTCATCATATCGGTCAGGCTGGTCTCAAACTCCTGACCTCAGGTGATCCACCCACCTTGGCCTCCCAAAGTGCTGGGATTACAGGCATGAGCCACTGCACCCGGCCCAAAAGTTTGGATTTTATTATATTTGAATCATATCTCCATTTTTTAGAAAGAAATCTATTCAGCCCCACACTTCTCTAACTTATTTGAATATGGAGCCTTTTTACCCCAGAGCACCCATTAACATGCAGCAGAAACAGAGTTAAAAATAGAGAACGGTTGAAAATTCCCATGTTACAGATAGGGAAAGGAGAAGCAAATTGTCATCTTTGCCTCAATTTCCTCATCCATAAAATGGGGATAGTAATATTTAGTACCGTGTAGGGAAATGTTAAATTAAGTTAATATGTGTAAAGCACTTAAGCTAATGCCTGCTCAGTAAATGTTGAATAAAGTGTTTTTTTGTTTTGTTTTTCGTTTTTTTGAGAAGAGGCCTTACTCAGTCTCCTAGGCTGAAGTGAAGTGGCATGATCTTGGCTCACTGCAGCCTCTGCCTCCTGAACTTGATTGATCCTCCCACCTCAGCCTCCTGTGTAGCTGGGACCACAGGCGCACACCACCACTCCTGGTTATTTCTTGTATTTTTAGTAGAGACAGAGTTTTGCCATGTTGATCAGGCTTATCTCGAACTCCTGGGCTCATGTGATCTGCCTGCCTTGGCCTCCCGAAGAGCTGGGATTACAGGCGTGAGCCACCGTGCCCGGCCTGTTATTTGTTATTGTCTGAGCACATATTATGGGATGACCCCAAAGTTATGTTATGTAGCTTGATTCTCACAACCATCCCATGGGGAAGACATTTTTCTTTTTTCTTTCTTTTGTTTTTGAGATGGATTCTCGCTTTGTCACCCTGGTTGGAGTGCAGTGGCACGATCTCAGCTCACTGCAACCTTCGGCTCCCAGGTTCAAGCAATTCTCCTGCCTCAGCCTCCAGAGTGGCTGGGATTACAGGTGCGCACCATCATACCCAGCCAATTTTTGTATTTTTAGTGGAGATGGGATTTCACCCTATTGGCCAGGCTGTTCTCAAACTCCTGACCTCAAGTGGTCCATCTGCCTCGGCCTCCCAAAGTACTGGGATTACAGGCATGAGCCACCATGCCCGCCCAGGGAAGACAGTATCTCCATTTCACAGAAGCAGAAAGTGAGGTAATCAGGTGAATGGTAAGCACCCAAGGCCATGCCACTAGTAAGCGATGGGGTAGGAAATGTAACCAGGGCCCTCTGATCTCAGCCTATCCCCTTCCAGGGTCCCACCCGCCTCTCAGTTCCATTCCAAAATCTCCCCAGCTAGGTAGTTCCTGCCTTACTTTTTTCCTTTTTTTGGCAGCTTTATCTAGGTATAATTTACATGAAATGAAATTCAATGAGTTTTGACACATGTATACAGTCGTTTAACTACCATCACAATTATGATTTAGAACATTTCCTCTCTCCAGAAAGTTTCCATCAATCCTCTGCTTCCTGGTCCCTGGCAACCCCTGGCTTTCTTTTTCGGACACAGGTGTTAATGACTGCATGCTGCGAGGTGCCCAGGCCCAGCTGAGGAAGGGCTGCAGGGGAAGCTGCTGTTTGGGTGGGTGAGGCTTGCGCGCGGGGCCAGGAGTCAGAGCATCTAGGCCAGGAGCCAGTGGGCTGGCTTAGCCGAGTCGGCCAGGCCTCTTGCCCGTCTGAGAACTCTTTTTGCCCCATTTTCCAGCCCAGAAAAGCAGATGGGAAGGAGTGGCTGTGTGGAATGGGGTGGGATAGGTGTTAGAAGGGCGGACTGTACCTCTGGTCCTGTTAACCAGCTTGTCGATGACTGAGGATCGCAGACAGTGAGATGTCTTTCTAATGGCCATGTCACCCCAACCTGGTGCTCCTTGCCTCTTCTCTCATTTTATCGTTCAGCATACTTAGCACCATCTAACCTTCTACCTTTCTTTTTTCTTCATGGCCCCTCTCTCCAACACATGCAGTCAAGCTGTTAGAGGATGACTTGGGGCTATTCTGTCCCCTGCTGAATTCCTGGCCTTTAGAGTGGTGTCTGTCCCAAAGGAGGCAACACGGAAAGATTGACTGAATTAACTGAGTATTCAGCCCTTTCCTTTGCCTCTCCTGTAAAACAACGGTATTGGAGTCAAAGATCCCTAAGGCGTCTCTCCAGCTCCACACAGATTTTCTTCTCATCCTTAATGTGCGATGGGGTCACCTGGGGGAGACGAGGCAAGGGAGGGAGGCTGCAGTCATTGTCACCCCTTAGCAGTGACAGGTTGGCACCATAGGAGATCTGTGCTCAGAGGGCCTCTTTGTCAAGAGGTGAGGAGAGGAAGGGCTGTTCACACAACCTCCCCGAGTCAGGGCCCCTCCCAGGGCTCAGTTGCCTTTGAGTAGCCCCAGGTGCTCCCAGCCAGGTATTGTCCTGCCTGGGCTGCAGGGGCTGAGCAGGCCTGGCATATAGAAGGAGGGTGTGAGGAGCTAGGTTGGCACTGGGACAGAAAATAAGTGTGTGTAAATGTATGCAGATGTATGCAAATCTCTGCAGTTCTGCAGCCTGCTGGCTGGCTCTCTGGGTAGGAGACCCATCGCTCCACCCTGGGCCCCACCCCAGCTGCAACATCTCCTTCTGGCCTGTGAATTGCTGCTGCTTGCATCTCCCTCTCAAGAGCATCTTCTCCCTCTCAGCGGCATTGTCCCTCTTCTGTGCCCCCCAAGAGGTCTGGGAAGGTGAGAAAGCTGAATCGTGAGACAGGGAAAGGAAGGGACATGGACTCAAACTGAGGAGGACAGCACCCGAAATGACAGAAGAGGGCCACCAAACCCGGAGCTCTTGATTGCAGCCCCTACTCAGCCTTAGATATCAAAATTGCCACCTGGATAGAGCAACCCTGCTCAGGGTCTGGAACAATCTAAGGAAGGGCTTAGCGATGTCTTTGATGAGGCAGCCTGTGCAGGCTGCAGGCTAGACAATGCGAGGACAGTCTGCAGAGGTGTCTTCTCTCCCTCCCCTCTCAAGCCCCCACTCTCCTCTCTTCCTGAAGCAGGGCTTCTGTGGTGTGGGAAGCTGCCCCACCTGCATGGGAAGCACCAGCCACACCTGCATGGGCCATTAGCATTTTAAAAAGCTGCCTGTCTCTCCTCTCACTGCCTCCCGCTAGCACACACATCCACCCATTTGCCATCAGCAAGTCTTTGTGGAATCAGCAACAGCAGACACAATCCTGAAGCAGAGAGGGAAAGACAGTCCCTGCCCTGGGAAAGCTCATAGTCTGCTGGCAAAGGGTGGGGTGGGACAACAGCTGACAGAACAAGCAGAACTCCATCACCCACAGGCTCCTAGCACCACCCCTCATTTTGTTGAAGAAACAGATTCAGAGCATGCAGGTGATTTCTCTAGAGTCACACAGCCAAGGTGGCAGTGCTGCGGCCCTAACCAGGGTTTCCCGACTTCCAGGCTGGTGCTCTGTAGGCAGCACTTTGCCCACTTATTCCATGTAAGGTGGAGAGAGTGTCAGTCAGTAAATCGGGGTCATTAATTGAAGAATGGGGGCCCTGGCACAGAAGGCTTCCTGGGGGGAGGTGGTCTTTGGATTGTGCTCTAAAGACTGAGATACATAGAGAGTGGCAAGGAGGAGATAATCAATTGTACCCAGCAGGGAATGGGAGAAAAGCACAGGTCTTGGGGTCCAGGTGGCAAGATGATAGCACCTTGCAGAAAGGGGTGGAGGGCCTCATAGCCAACTGGGAGGGGACCCAGTCTTTACCTCCCAGCTCAGAGCCCTACCCGTCAGACCAGGAGCGAGTCCAGGGAGGATTGGGATGCGGTTCGTGGCCCTCTCCTATCACTCTCAGATACTACCATTCTCAATTTGGGGCTACGTCCTCTCCCAGTCACATCTCACTCCCTGTTCCTGATTACTGGGGGCCTCTGTGGACGTTGTTCAGTCTGCATGAGGCTCCTATCACCAAAGATGTTGCCAAGCCCTGCCTTAGATTGCCCCAGACACCAAGCAGTGTTGCCCCATCTGGCAGGTGGAAGTTTTGATATCTGGGGCTGAGTAGGGGCTGCAACTGTGAGGTTGGGATGTGGGGTGGGAATAGGGGTATTCAATCATGGCTGCCGCCACTAGCTTCATAAAGCCTTAGGTAACTGATGCCTTTTCCAGCCCCATCGTCTCCAGCTTCAGGCCCTATTCATCTATCAACCCCACAAGCCTGTCAGCAAGTGGGGCTACTTGGGTCCTCGGGCCTCAATCCACTCCTGGCCAGAGACAACTTCCTCTCCCATGGGAAAGGCTAACGCATGCCCATAAATTAAGACATTTGCTCTCCCTCCAAGCCCTGGAAACCTGGGACTCTCTAACATCTACCTCTGTTTTCTTTGGCTGCATTCAACTTTCCTGCAATTAGTCTGGCCCTGGGGCAGCAGTTAGACGACAGATGAGTCAGAGGATTGCAGAATCTAATCCAGAAGGAAGAGTTTATCCAAATGTTGGTGGCCTTTCTCTTTTGGCGCATTCTCTTCTGGTTCTGTCTTTTCTCAGGAGTCCTCTGAGCTTCCATGTACTGGGCCCGCACGATATGTGCAGTCATTTGTATGTTGCAATGATTGCAACATTGTCATGGGGGAAGGGAAGGGGGCAGTTTAGCATGTGTCTGAGTACATATTCTTTTTCCTCTCCCACCATCAAACTGTGGCTCCTATTGGCCTCAGCACAGGCTTCTTCCCAACTCTGAGCCACTCCCCACTTTCAGTACTATCCCTTCTGCTTTTGCTCTAGTTGCAGCTGCAGGGAGGATGGATGAGCCTGGGGCCATTGGAGGCTCACCAGGATGGGGATGAATCAAGAGCAGGTGTTAAGACTCTGCCTTCAGGCCCTGAGGGGTCAGGGTAGTGGGACCACCATCAGTGCAGGTGGGAAGAGGCTGAATGTAGCAAGCCATCCTGAGAATAGCACCAGCCATGAGCTGAGAGCCAAGAAGTCTGGCAGCAGGCAAGGGAGTGGCACTTTTTTTTTTTTTTTGAGTGGTAGCAAGGTTTATTGTGAAGAGTGAAAGAACAAAGCTTCCACAGCGTGGAAGGGGACCCGAGCGGGTTGCCCGGGAGTGGTACTTCTTTGCCCATTGGTAGATCAAAAGGCCATTTTGGGCCCAAGCAACCCCTATACCTGGGCTAAGGGAGTGCATCATGTGGGCAGGGCCTTATTTTGGCCTCACTTGTTCATTTCATAGCCTCTTGGTCAAGGCAGGGTTGGGGCTCAGCATGACCCAGGAGAAAGGGAGGGGAGGAGGTGGTTGCTGGAATGGAAAGCTTGTGGAGCTCCCAGGCTGCATGGGGTCTGCAGGAACCTGCGGGAGGGAGCCTTAGGAGCCAGCTTGAAGAGAGCCCTGTAATCAGAGGTCTGTGGACTTTGAGTAGCCAGAGGCGAAGCCGGGTTAGTCTTTGGTGGCAGAGCTCCCCATGCAGGCCCCATAAACTCTCTATCAGCATAGTTGAGGACTGGCTTTGCTGGGTTACTCTAAAAGGATGGGGAGAGGAGGACAGGCAGGCAGCAAAGTAGCATTATCCCTTGAGGCAGAATCGGAAATAGGTTATCTCTGTGATACATGGGTCGTGAGGTGAAGTGAGTGAGGGGCTGTGGGGTTTACGGGGAGCTGGCCTTTCTCTGGACAGCCTTGTCTGTGTAGAGCCCTGGGGCAGAACAGCAGGAAGGGCAGGCTCCACCCTGAAACTGGGGCTCTGGGAGCTGTCCAGCACGGGAACCTGCTGAAGCCCCCTCGCTGCTCCAGGATTCAGAGACCAGTTTAGAGGGTCAGGCCTGAGAAAGGGAGCACTGAGCAGGGAATATTTGAACCTTCTCTATGCAGGAGGGCATCTGGGCTAAGCATTAGGCAAGGGCAAGGTGCTTTGCTCTTGTGCCTAGCACAGCGAGGAGGCCGTTGAGGGGAGGGATGTGAAAGCAGCTGAGGATTGCTTCATGTCTCTAGTGTGGACCTGCCACGCCTGAGGACTGTATCCAAGCACACCTCCAAGGCTGAGAGTCTGGGCTGGTCCTGAGGCACTCCCACCACCAGTGGGACCCCAGTCCTTAGTACTGATAACCCAGGGAATCTCAGGCCGAGCTAAGGTGTCTGCCTCTGCTGCAAAGCCTGCTTATTTGGGTTCAATTTTGTCAGCTCTTCTGTGGGCCCTGACAGTGTGCTAGGCACAAGGATGTGTAAGGGTAGTAGTAGGCACCTCACCCTGACTCATGCTTAGAACTGAAGACTGCTTTGCTTCTCTTCCTTCATTCAACAAATCCCTTCCTTTCAACTAAAGCTTTCTCAATAAGCCAGATCTTCAGAGGCTCCAGCCAGCTCTCTCTTTCCCATTCTCTGGCTCAGTGGCTATCCTTTCTTCAAGTGCTTCCTGGAAGCCTCCTCCCTCCCCCAAGTGCCAAGGGGCGCCGAGTCTGTTTCTCACCTCTGCTCACCAGGTCCCTCCTCTCCAGGCCATACCAGGTTTCTGATCAATCCGAGGCAGGGACTGGGGGCATAGTGGGGCCAGGGTAGGGGCAGGCAGGCACAGCAGTGTGCACTGTCACAGCAAGTGGGCTGGGTCTGGGAATTTCAGTTGGGTTTAGAAGCTGGCCTCCAACATGGCCACTGTCTTCCAGCCAAGGGAAGGGAGAAGAAATTCCATCTCTCTGCCTCCTGGCCGAGTTGAAAGCAGATTTTCCTGTGCTGTCTCAGTCATCACTTACGTGTCCCCTGCAACCAAGGTGCCCTTCTTCTGCCTCTTCCACCAAGCCATGTCCTTCCTGATGCAGCATTCTCCTCCTCTAGGATGCTCATTAACTAACTGTGGTTAACTTCGCTTCGGGACTGCGTCCTCTTCAGTTATGTGCATCACTCATACCAGAGATGCTGTGGAGTCATGGTTTAGAATATCAGCTCTGGAGCCAGCAGCCTGGGCTTAAATCTTAGCGACCCCACGTCTTGATTGTGTGATTAAGGCAAGCGCCTTAACCTCACTGCATCTCAGTTTTCTCACCATAAAATGATAACAACAACATTATCTACCCAATGGGGTTTTGTGAAAATGAAATGAGTTGATACACATAAAATGCTGGAAGCAATGCCTGGCATGTGGTACGTGTCCATCAGTGTTTGCTGTTATTATTTCTCTCTTGAGCCTCTGTCCACCTGTAGACCCCATCTCTCCCATCAGGCTGGGAAATTGCCAAGGGCACCTTCGTGTATCTCTCATTAGTCCAAGGGCTTCCTGATGACAGGGACTCTCTTCCCTTCTTTGGGGTACCCTAACCCCAGCCCTGAGGTTAGCTCAAGTTAGCCCAGGGTTTTGGATGCACTGAAGAGGGAGCTTGGTCAAGCCAGTCCTGTTACTGGCTGGGCTCATGTGAAAGAACCACAGCAGCTCATGGGCTGGACTTTCAAAGAACTCCTCAGGACTTTTTGTTTGTTTGTTTGTTTATGGATCAGGAAAGGGCAGACACTGTCACTCTCTGGCTCTGTCTTTGGCCCAGACTTAGTGCCTGGTCATGAGATTCCCATTTCCATCATTCTCCAGTTACTTCCTGTGGCCACTTATTCCACCATATTTATTGAACATCTACTATATTTACAGGACTGCACTAGGTGTGGGAGATAGAGTGGTGAACGAAATATGGTCCCTGCCCCAACAGAGTTTCCAGCCCAATGGGAAGATGTTGGACAAGCAGGGCGGGTTGTTTTTTTAGTTTGTTTGTTTTTTGTTTGTTTGTTTGTTTGTTTGTTTCTGAGATGGAGTTTTGCTCTTGTTGCCCAGGCTGGAGTGCAATGGCGAAATCTCGGCTCACTGCAACCTCCGCCTCCTGGGTTCAAACAATTCTCCTGCCTCAGCCTCCTGAGTAGCTAAGATCACAGGTGCCCACCACCACACCCAGCTAATTTTTGTATTTTTAGTAGAGATGGAGTTTCATCATGTTGGCCAGGCTGGTCTCAAACTCCTAACCTCAAGTGATCCTCCTGCCTCGGCCTCCCAAAGTGCTGGGATTACAGACGTGAGCCACCGTGCCTGGCCTGGCAGGGTGGGTTTTAACAAGGGAGAAGCAACGAGAACATTGGTCTAGTCTAGGAGGTTAGGGAAATGGTCACTGAGGAAGCGATCTTGTGATGAGAAGTTAAGGACGAAGAGGAGAATCAGTGAAGGGGGTTGAGGAGAGGGAGCATTCTAGGTCTTCTGCAGTCCCATCTGGCTTCCCAGCCTTCACCCAGCTAAGGCACCCAGCATTTCTCAGGATTCACACACATTGGCCTTGGCCAAATACCCCCCTACACTCTCCTTCTTCCCCTCCGGCCTCACTCTGAAGACAGCTAAGCTGTCTTCCTGGGGGCTTCCTGGTCAAGGCTCACTGTGCAAACTACAGACTATCACATAATCTCCTAACATGCCCCTGGGGCCCGCTGGTTAAAGCCTGAGAAGAGGATCTGCAAAGATCCCTTCCCACAGGCTGCAGAGCCCGTGCTCCACCGGGCTGAGGGCCAAGCTGGGAGTCCATAAGGACCCCTTCCCACAGGCTGCAGAGCCCCTGCTCCACCAGGCTGAGGGCCAAGCTGGGAGGACCTGAGGCACAGGAGCCGGGTTTCCTCCCTCACACTCCTGCGGAAGCTCAGCCCCCATGCTCCACCTGCTTCCTGTTCCGCGGGGAAGATTTCCTGGTCTGTTTCCTTGGCAGCTGTGTCTCATTTCCTCCTGCTGTGCCCGTGATGTCCTGGCCCAGTGTGACGAGGTGAGGCAGGCCCCTCCCCTGTGAGGTGTGCCATCTCCTGCCCAACTCCATTGCCCCAGATTCCAGAGAGCAGAGTCGGGGAAGTAGGCCCCACCCACCTTGGCCAGGGAGCAAGGGGAGGGAGTTCAGCTGCAGGATGCCTGGGCGTCAAGATGTCGTCAATGCCTCCAATATATACTGAGTGTCTACTACGTGCCAGGCATGATACCAGGCGCCAGGTGGCCAAAGCTAAGTGTTCTTCAAGAAGGCAGCTTTGGAGATGAGCCAGGTATACCTGGTGACTGAGCAGCCAACGCTATGTACACAGTGCTCTGGCAGCTCAGGGCCACTTACAGAAGGTCAGAGAGGCCTTCCTGGAAGGGATGACGTCTGAGCTGAGCTTGGAGGATGAATAGAAATTAGCTAAGGATAAGCTTGAAACCTCGTGGTGTGTGGATAAATGATAAACTATTCAGTAAAACTTGAAGATAAAGAATGAGGCAGGGCAGAGAGATGAGTCTGGGAAATAGGGAGGAATCAAGTGCTGGAGGATCTTAGAGGACCCCCAAGAAACTTGATTTTACCCCGTAGGAGGGTCGTTATCAGAACCACAATTCGATCAGGTCTTTTTGGCCTCAGGGTGGAAATGGTGTGAGTGGGCCATGCGGCGTGGGGCCGGGAGAACAAAGTGTGTGTCCTGGTGAGGAATCGGAACTGCCTGAGTTAGGGTGGTAAGACCAGAGAGCAAGGGCCAAGAAAACTGGCAGGACCACAGGACCAACTGGATGTGCTTCGCCTGGAATAGGAGCAGGGGGTGGAGCTGTGACCTTGGACAATCTCTCACACTCTCCAAACCTCAAGTTCATCATCTGTCAATTGCCTTCCCCCGACTAGAAGGAGCTGAGCTAATGGATGCAGTAAAAGCAGTGGGTGAGGGCAGTCATCGTGTTGCCATTTTAAAAAGGCTGTGAAACTACAAGCTGGTAGGGTCCCGGCCATGAGGAACCCGAGTCTTCAGTTTGGGGACAGAAGTAAGTGGGAGGGGGGTGTTATTGTTTTCTGTGGCTTACCCTGGAGCTGATAGGCTATACAGAGGCCATGACATCCCTCCCCCTGCCTCTGGACAGATGATCATTATCAGGTGGGGCATTGGCATCAGGAAGGAGCTGCCTGTCATTCAGAAAACATTTCTGGAGCCTCTAGTGGGGACAGGACTTTTGTTGGCCCCACTTAGCATATGGGGAGGCATAAGGCCAGATCTCTGCCTGCTGACAGTCACCCACCCTGACAGCCTCCCCACTTGGGCTTAGCTGGCCAGGTTGGGCCCCCCAGGAGGCAAAACCCTGCAAGGAGAACCCTCTGGGACAATGAGGTCACACTCTCTTTGGATCACGTGATTCAAGGTTCCCAGCTCCTCCTCATGTCATTTTCTTGTATCCAACCCCAATCTTTATGGCTAGAGGAGGACTTCCTTTTGCAGGGCCTGTTTTCAGTGGGAACAGAGAACAAAGGCATTATATCTGCAAGGTCCATGAGCCAGCCTCCCTTTGACCTTCACTCTGGAATCAGCCACCCTAGTCCATTAACCTCTCCTTGGACGGCCCCTTCCATCCCTTTTTCCCAGATGCAATTCCAGTTCCCTGTGCGCCTTGTAAGCACAGAGCACAAAATGAATTTGTTAAGGGTTTCATGAGGTCCTGACCCACAGGTGGTACAGAAGAATGGATTCTCTGGCAGTTCAGAGTCTGTGGCAGGCAGCCAGCGAAATCCAGGACTTAGGGCCCACTTCGATGCTCAAGTCATGGGAGCTTCTCTCCATGAATTTTGCGTCTGTCATGAGCCCCTCTTACTAGGAGGGGGAACCATCAGGCAGGCTTCCGAGCGCCTGCTCTGATTCTCTTCAGCGCCACTCACGCAATTGCTATAAAAGAGACCAGGCTCAGGGACAGGGGGAGGGAGGGATGGCGTCTGTGTCATAAACAAGGAGAGATATTTAGTGGTTTTTAAGCACCATAGGCATCTCCAGGGAGAGTTTGAGGGGGAAAAAACAACACTTTATTTGGAAACAATTCTGCTGAGATACAATCTTGTCTCAGCTTCACTTTCTCTGCTATTTATTATGAAGTGCTATGTGCTCAAAAATAGGGGCTGAGTTTTAAAGTCACAGGCCAAGCTCTGGGCTCTGAACCGAGGAGACAGCTTGGGCCCGGTTATCTGCCCTAGAGAGGAAGGGTCTTAAGCAAAGCGGCTCATCTGTGACTCGGGATACCTCATTCTTCCAACTCCTGGGACGTAGGCCCCAGTCATCCCTGAAAGCCTTTGTACAGTGAATGACCTCTGTACCAGAGGGGTCCCCAAGGCTGGAGCAGAGAAAAGCCCCAAAGGAGAGACTCTCCAGGTCTCTCCAGGTTGCTGAGTGAGCCTCCTCCCTTGACTTGCTTTCTCTGTTTCTCTGTGACTTTCTCTTCCTTTTACTCCTGCCCCATGCCCTGTGTGGTGCTATCCTGCTCTGAACCAAAAGTGGACAATAACCCCAACGACTTCTCCTTTTCCCCTGAAGCATGGTGGAGACAGGCTGGAGTTTTCAAAAAGTTTGTGTCTCTTCAAACATGGATCCTGGAACAGAAAAAGAACATTAGTGGAAGAACTGGTGGACTCCAAATACAGTCTATACTTTAGTTAATAGTAATGTGCCAGTGTTGATTTCTTAGTTTTAGCAAATGTACCGTGGTTATGTAAATTCTAAAATTAGGGGAAACTGGGTGAAGCGTAGATGGGAACTCTGTACTATCTTTGCAACTTTTCTGTAAATCTAAAATTACTTCAAAATAAAAACTCAAAAAAATAGGTGAGGGAGTGACAAAAAAAAAATGGACCAAGATGAGTCAGAAATTTCAAGCCTGGGGAGGCTTACAACACTAAGGTACCTGATCCCTCAGTCCTAGTAAAAGAGCAAAGGACTCTCCTGAGCCGAAAAGCCCTCAAGATCAAGTTTGTCCTGGGATCACAATCCTCTAGCACTTGAGAGATTCCCTACCTGAAGTCTGGCTCTGGAAGTTTCATTTCCTTAGTTCTAGGAGCCATCTCCTGGGGAGGTTTGCCCTTCCCTGGGTCTCTGCCAAAGCTGTTCAGTAAACCTGCTGTTCTCTTTTCCTCTTCCCAAGCTCTTGGATACTCCAGGTTGTCTCCTGCTCTGGCTTCTGGTCAGAGACAGACTTATGGCAGCCATAGCAGTCACCCGTCTCATCTAGCTCCAGGGAGCTACTCAGCTGGAGGAGTCTTCAGACTTATTTCAGCTGGGGACCACATAATTTACCTCAGCTCTAACATGGATAGCTGCTGTTGTCTGCATGTTTGTGTCTCTTCAACAATCATGTTGGAATCCTGGCTGGGTGTAGTGGCTCATGCCTGTAATCCCAGCACTTTGGGAGGCTGAGGCAGGAGGATCACTTGAGTCCAGGAGTTCAAAACCAGCTTGAGCAACACAGTGAGATCCTGACTCTATCACACACACAAAAAATTAGCTGGGCTTGGTGGCATGCACCTGTAGTCCCAGTTACTTGGGAGACTA
This sequence comes from Homo sapiens, assembly GCF_000001405.40. NCBI lineage: Eukaryota > Metazoa > Chordata > Mammalia > Primates > Hominidae > Homo > Homo sapiens. The sequence continues at coordinate 201,601,385 of NC_000001.11, forward strand.
AGGTGGGAGGATCGCTTGAGCCTGGGAGGTTGAGGCTGCAGTGAGCTGTGATCACACCACTGTACCCCAGCCTCGGTGAGGGAGTGAGACCTTGTCTAAAAAAAATATTCTAACCTCCAGGGTGATGGTATTAGACAGTGGGACCTTTAGGGGTGATTTGGTCATGAGGGCAGAGCCTTCTTTGTGAATGGGATTAGGGCCCTTATAAAAGAGACCTTAGAGAGACTCTTCACTCTTTCCAACGTGTGAGGACAGGGCAGGAAGGTGCCATATATGAACCAGAAAGCAGGTGCTCACCAGACACTGCATCTCCTGGCACCTTGAATTTGGGCTTCCACCCTGTGGAACTTTGTGAGAAGTATATTTCTATTGTTAAAAGCCACCCAGTCTGCAAAATTTTGTTAAAGCAGCTAGAACAGACTAAGAGAAGGGCCAATATTTAAAAGAGTTGAACTTGAAGCTAGATAAAGCAGGAGAGTCCCCTAGCCCAGCATCCCTTTCTACTCCCTCATGGCAGCCTCAGTGGTGGTGTCGAGGAGGGGATCCACAGGCCCTTTGGAAACCTCTGAGTTCCAGCCAGCTCAGGTTATCAGCTGCCCCCTCTCTGGAGCACCTCAGGATGGGTTCCGCAGGTATATTTCCCATACCCACCCTTCCACTGACCCACCAGAGAGAATGGTTTTTCAAAAGTCCACCTTTTAAGGGTCTAAAATGAAAAAAAACACCAATCCAATTAGAACATGCCACCAGCATCAGAGGACTTCTTTCTCCACCAAATCACTGTCAAGGCCACCTCCTAAAGTCTTTCCTAAGTCTTTCTTGCTGCTGCAGTTTCAAGCTCTTTTCTTTATGTTTCTTCCCAGGGCAGGAGAAAAAGAATTGGACCCCACTGGGCCTAAAAAACTCCTTGTTCTTAAAGTTGCAATTCGGTTCTTCTCTAAGTTTTTTTGTTTTTGTTTTTGTTTTTTCTTTTTTGAGATGGAGTCTCGTTCTGTCACCCAGGCGGGAGTACAGTGGCGCGGTCTCGGCTCACTGGAACCTCTGCCTCCCAAGTTCAACAATTCTCATACCTCACCCTCCTGAGTAGCTGAGATTACAGGTGTGTGCCACCAGGCTGGCTAATTTGTTTTGTGTTTTTAGTAGAGACAGGGTTCCACCGTGTTGGCCAGGCTGGCCTCAAACTCCTGACCATCTCAGCCTCCCAAAGTGCTGGGTTTACAGGCTTGAGCCACTGCACCTAGACTTAAGCTATGTTTTTTTTTTTTGGTTTTTTTTTTTTTTGGTTTTTTTTTTACCATGAGCTCATCCAGAGTTCTTCAGCCTTGGGCCACAGAGCCAGGCCTTCTGCACCCCTTGAGAGCTGCTCTTGGCTGGGGCATGCTCCAGGGGGACAGGGCTGGAAACCAGCTACCCCTCAGCTCCTACTCACACTCCTGCTGACTTTCACCAGTCCCCCTCAGCCCCCTCACCCAGCCTCCCCATCCTGACAAGCCTGGCTCAGGCCAAGCAGAAATGGTAGCAGCATTCCTCTGATGCTGTTGGTATTATTGGAAAAGTCAGCTTCAAAACCACAGAGGGATTTAGAGTACTGGGGGCGAGAGCTCGGGAAGGAGTGTAGACAGTGAGACAGCTGAATTAAACAGTGTCGGTGTGAGTCACTGCTCTCCTGCCTGCCGCCCCAGTCCTGGCGTGAACCTAGAAGCTGGTGAGACAGTTATCTTCTCAGTGAGTTAAATTGCTCTCTGAGTACAGAACCAGGGAGACTGGACTGAAAATTACAGCAGGAAAGGTTTAGGCTAGACATCAAAAATAATTCTCTGAACTTCATGGGTCCCAAAAGATTTTACGGTTTCCTGGGAGGCATCCAGTATTTTGCCAAAGCTCCACCTGCCTGCAGTAACTCAAGTCAATCCTGCCACCTTAAGTATCTCTTCTATGACTTGGTGACTCTCATGTTCTGAAAGGACCTCATATAGTCTCAACATGGAATTGCTGCATCACTGTAAAATTTACAGGAATGGTTGTTGTACGTTTTCATCTGTAACTAGGGTCAGGACACCCTACTGCCCTTTGCTTCTGGTAACAGAAGTCATGACTTTGGCAAAATTAATTTGCCTGAAAATTAGCCTGGAGGATGTCCCTTTGCTTTGTCTTCCACATGCCTGCATTTTCTTTCACTGTCTTCTACATGGTCACGTAGAATTGGGGTGCTTGGAAGGGCATCCAGGTATCACTGAACCCTTCCCTTCCTTGAAGGTGGAAAGTAGCCCCACTCCAGACAGTAGGCCAGGCAGGGAGTTGGGATGGGAGTATTCAGCATTTAGGACATCTACCGGGTCAGTGAGGGAGAGATTGTTATCCCCATTTTACAGATGAGCAACTGAGACTTAGGTTAATCATTTGCCCATGGCTCATAGAGAGTAGGTGCATTACTCTGGATGGAAGCCAGGTCTTTGGGCATCGGGAACAAGGTTCTTTCCATTTCATCGCATAGCCTTTCAATTCTAGTCATAATAATGGTGATTAAGATAAAAACAAATGGTTGGTCACAGAAGGCCAACAAAAATAACCGTGTGATTGAGCACTTCCTGAGCTCCCACTCTGTGCCTGAGCTCATCACTTCATCTCATTTTTCCTTGAAACAACCCTGTAAGATACATGCTGCTATTCTCATTTTGTTTATTTATTTTGAGATAGGGTCTCGCTTTGTCACCAGGCTGGAGTGCAGTGGCACGATCACTGCTCACTGCAGCCCTGACTTCCCAGGCTCAAGGATCCTCTCACCTCAGCCTCCCGAGTAGCTGTGACTAAAGGCATGTGGCACCACGCCTAGCTAATTTTTAATTTTTTTGTAGAGGTGGTGATCTTGTTATGTTGCCCAGGCTGGTCTCGAATTCCTGGACTCAAGTCATCCTCCTGCATTGGCCTCCTAAAGTGCTGGGATTACAGGTGTGAGCCACCGTGCCTGGCTACTATTCCTATTTTATAGATAAGAAAACTGAAGCTCATGGGCCGGGTGTACAACGGCTCACGCCTGTAATCCTAACACTTTGGGAGGCCGAGGTGGATAGTAGATCATTTGAAGTCAGGAGTTCGAGACAAGCCTAGCCAACATGGTGAAACCCCATCTCTACTAAAAATACAAAAATTAGCCGGGCATGCTAGCACGCACCTATAATCCCAGCTACTCGGGAGGCTGAGGTGGTAGAATCGCTTGAACCTGGGAGGCGGAGGTTGCAGTGAGCCGAGATCGTGCCACTGCACTCCAGCCTGGGTGAAGAGCAAGACTCTGTCAGAAAAAAAAAAAAAAGAAGAAGAAAGAAAGAGAAAGGAAAGAAAGAGAAAGAAAGAAAGAAAGAAAGAGAGAGAGAGAGAAATAAAGGAAAAGAAAGAAAAGAAAAGAAGGAAAGAAGGAAGGAAGGAAGCCAAAGCTCAAAGAAATTATACCACTTGACTGGGTCACCCATCGAGGAAGGGGTGGAGTGAAGGTTCAAACCCAAGTTTTTGACACTAAAGCCCACGCTCTTTCCCCTGTATGTAGTATTTTCTTGCAGAATTTTTCTGCCCTGATATTTAAGAACTTCTTTTTGTCTAAATATTTATTCATCCTGCTACAATGTAAACACAGCTATGCAAATATATTAATGGATATTTGTTTTGCTTTGTTGTTTTTACTGAGGGCACCCTAGCACATACACAAACGATGACCCAGCACCAGGGAGGTTGCTTGTTTTCTGGCTTCTGCTTTTTTTTTTTTTTTCCTTCCCCCTGATCCTGTCTTCTGCTTCTCTCCCATGCCTTTGTGTTGCCCCTAGGGTGTTTCTCTACTTTCCACCTTCCCTCTCCATCCTCTCTGCTCCTTTAGACCTTGGCAGCCAATCCTGTACCTCCAGCATCTCGTTGCCTAGCAACCGGCTTCCTACCTGCCCCATTGTGTTAGAATCTCCATGACAACAAGTATTGCCAAAAGAGAGAAAAAAAAGTTAGGTGGTAGCAGGAGGTGATGAGACCCTTTATTTTAGGACATTTGTGCAGTTTTGCCAGCAATAATTTGCTCACTCTCAGGATTCCCCAGAGGGTGTCACAAATGGACTGAACCCAGACCTCATGAGATAACAAGTCACGAGACTGACAGTCTGTCTGTGTGTGGGGATATAAACTCTAGCATAGAGGCATTCATGTGAGGGGCAAGAATGAGAGCCACGGGCATTTTTTGTTTAGACAGATGGGACTGGGTCACATGATCCCCTTTCTGTGGGTCAGTTCAGGAAGGCAGCCTGAATGAGGGAGGATTTTTTAATAGTTGCACAAGTAAGGTAAAGGAGAATACTTTCCAATAAGCCATAGGTGTGGGTGCATCTGAATTGGGCCATGCCTGGCCAGCTGCATCTAGGGGAGGGCTAAGGAGAGGGGGAATGGGAGATACCATAAACAAGATTTGGGGCAACACAGTCTCCTGCCTAAGCACTGTGGGGGGGTGTGAGCCCCGTGAGATCCCTGCTCTGTCCATCTCCAGGCTGTGGTTGGCCTCAGCAGCCTCTGCATCCCTTCTGCTTTGCCTAGAGGGAGACTGCAGGGAAAAAGAGGGAAAGAGGAAGTGGGAAAGAAGTCCAGACCATGTTAGATTTCCAGGTGCGTGGGCTTGTGTTCACAATGGGGACCCTGGCTCTTTCATTCACAGCCTCTGAAGGCCTGACATATATTCACCACATGGCTATGGGATCCACCTAGAAAGGGGAAGTCAGGTGATGTCTTAGAAAGGGGAGGCACTGAGAAGAAAGGTGAGACAGCTGGAGCAGGTCAGAGCACTTAGGCACTGCCTTTCTGGACATGTGGCCAGGGATCGACCAGGACCCTTGTGAAGGCAAGGACTTGCACATTGCGAAACCTCCTCTCCTGTGGGCAAAACAGGGGGCTACCTGGTCTGTCTTTATTGTTCAAGGTAGACAGTGCATGGAAGACCTGTCCCCAAGCCAGTATCTGGCACTTATAGCCACTCAACCTACCCACCCAACCATGCTATTTTGCTGGCACTTTCCTCACTACTACTGCCATGTGAACTGTGAGGCTGTCCTAAGGCCACGGGTCATCTTGTCATCCTGTCCATGCACCTGGCCCTTGAACTTCACAGGCAGAAGAGCATCTTTGCGTCTCCAAACTCCAAACAGAAGGACTAGAAAGACTGCAGTCCTGGTATTCTGTATTTCTGTCCTCTTCATGGACAGAAAGTTCTTTGTAACCTCTAACTTAAATCCCTGAAGTAGAGCAGTTCACTTGTTATTATCTGTGTTCATTGGGGAAGAACAGAACAAGATCTGCTGGCTATGGGGCCACCCCACACACACATTTTCTCCAGCTTTGCTCCCCTACTTGGCCTGACTGTTCAAGGCCCCCAGCAAAGGCTACATTCCCACTGCTGAGCAAGGCCATTTAGATGCAAGATACTAATTGCTAAAACAGATGTAATGAGTCAAATACCCTTAGACACTATTGGAGGACAAACAACTCGGTTAATCTTTTTGACAAGCAATCTGCAATTTGTAACCAAGAATCTTTATAAGATTCTCCTCTTGGACCCAGTAATTCTCCTTCAAAGAATTTAGCCTGTGGAAATAATCAGAGTCCCAAGCAAAACTATTTTGGATGTTTGTCGCACTGTTATACATAATAGTGGAAAATTGGAAACAACCTCAATGGCTAGTGGTGGTAAAGTGGTCAAATAATTTTTTTCTTTTTTTTTTTTTTTTTTGAGATGGAGTCTCCCTCTGTCACCCAGGCTGGAGTGCAGTGGCAGGATCTCAGCTCACTGCAACCTTCACCTCCCAGGTTTAAGCGATTCTCCTGCCTTAGACTTCCAAGCAGCTGAGACTACAGGCGTCCACCACCACACCCAGCTAATTTTTGTATTTTTGTAGAGATGGGGTTTCACCATGTTGGCCAGGCTGGTCTCTAACTCCTGACCTCAAGTAATCCACCCACCTCGGCCTCCCAAAATGCTGGGATTACAGGTGTGAGCTGCCATGCCAGGCCAAATAATTTTTGTGTAATGCATTCACATAATTGTTTACTATCTACTAACAAGTATGTTTTTAATAATTTTTGAAGACTTTATTTTTATTATTTTTGAGATGGAGTCTCGCTCTGTCTCCAAGGCTGGAGTTCAGTGGCACGATCTCGGCTCACTGCAACCTCTGCCTCCCAGGTTCAAGCAATTCTCCCACCTCAGTCTCCCCAGTAGCTGGGATTAGAGGCATGCACCACCATACCCAGCTAATTTTTGTATTTTTAGTAGAGACAGGGTTTCACCATGTTGGCCAGGCTGGTCTCGAACTCCTGACTTCAAGTGATCCACCCACCTCGGCCTCCCAAAGTGCTGGGATTATAGATGTGAGTCACTGCACCTGGCCTGAAGACTTTAAAATGAAAAGTAAAAATGCTTAATATATAGTGAAAAGATATAAATATATAGTATAATGATAACTTTATTGTGTGTGTGTGTGTGTGTGTGTGTGTGTGTGTGTGTGTGTGTGTTATGAACAGTAAAAACCCTGGAAGAACCCAAAACCTACAAATGCTAATAATTGACTTAGTGGGGTGATAACTTGATAGGTGATAGACATTTTCTTTTTTATGTTTTGAGATTTTCCAAGTTTTTTCTAATGCACATGTTATTTTTATAAGTAATAAGAACTACCCTTTTTAAAGGACTTACCATGTGCTACTGTACTAAACATTCTCCACACATTATTTTTTTCCACCTCTACAGCAATTCAGTGATGTAGGTATTCTCGTTTTTCAGATGAAACAACGAAAGCTTAGAGAGGTTAAGTAACTTTCCCAAAACTGCACAGCTTATAAGTAGAACCGGATTCTGAACAGAACTCCCCCAAAACTTATAAAAAGTGAATGCTGTCATTCAGTGTGGCGATGAGAGCTGATAAGTGGTATTGATCTGCACGGCCTGCGAGTTTCTGATCCAAGTCTGCGAATGCCAGTGGACCCCACCTCAGATGCCCCTCTTGCTGTAGCTCTACTTGCTGGGCAGCCTCGGTCTAACCTCCTGATCAGCCCTTCAAGGCAGAGGCGACCCCGTTCAGAGATGTTGTGTGGGGACTTACAGGTCAGTGAGGCACCGAGTACAGGCAGAACGGAGGCAGTTGCTCTCCTGGGTCTGCCCAGCATGACAGGGAAACAGAGGAGGCACTTTTCCAGCTTTGCTGACAGAAGTCTCCCATAAGCTCACCTGTCAGCCTCCTGGTGTCTGGCAGGATGCTGGGCCTTGGGCAGCTACGCCCTGGAGCCTCACAGCTCATGGGACTTTTTTTCTGAGATTGGGGTCAGCTGGGGGAGGAGGGTTTCTCTCCTGCAGCCTGGCGCTGGGACCTTGGGCAGTGGCCAGACCTGGCCTCTCCCTCCGTGCGTGACTACCACACGAATGTGCTGCTGCCGAGATCAGGGAGTCACCCTGGCTTGGCAGCGCTGTGCTGGCAGGAATGGGGGCTCAAGCACAGTTTTAGCTTGGCTCTGAGGGAGGCTGCTGGAGCCAGCAGGACAGGGGAACTCAGCTTTGCTGGAGAACAGAAACACATAAGCAGCCGATGGAACAAGAGAGGGCAATGGGACTGGAATGATCTTCAGTGCTGGAATTGCTTGCCCCGCTTTTCAGATGGCAAAGCTAAGGCCTAGGGACTGAGTAACTCGGGAAGATGCTTAGCGCTGGAGTCCTGTCCAGTGTTCTGACTCCTGGGCTGCATGTGACTGCTGGGCCTGCTGCCAGACCCTAGCTCAAGTTTCTGATCCCCCAACCCTACCCCTCACACATTCTGAGCTGTTGGGGAGAAGGAAGAGCTTATTGCTAGTGTAGCCAGCCTGGAGCTGCCTTCACTTGGCAAGAGGTCTGGTCTGCACCTCACAACATAGTCCCACTAACAGGTTTGACTCTAGGTCCAGCCCTCTCCAAATGCCAGGCTCTGCTGTTCCAGGCAGGAAACCAGCCCACACACTGCAAAGTGGCCTGGGCCTCTGGGCTGGAGGGCTTTAGGAACAGTCCGTAATCCCCACGATCTCTCCTGTCCCGGCACCAAGGACCCTTCATCCCTTGCCCCAGACCAGTGGCCCTGGAAGTATGTGGGATTTGTTGAGTGATACTACCTCCATCTGCCTGGCTGGAAAACCCATCCATGCAGAAATACTGGAAGTTTTAAGATAGGGGAGAAAAATAATAATAAAGCAAGTGTGAGAAAGATGGAGCTGACAGGTCTGGTGGGAGACGTGGTCATCTGGCTGGCGGCTTGGGGGTCTTCACAGGCTCAAGTTTCTGTGTCTGCACTGAGCTCTCCCAGCCCCAAGGTTCCGCTTACCTCTGCTCCTCCCTATTCAGCAGCTCCAGTGTCCATCAGGAATCTAAGCTATTGTTAGGGAAGCCAGACTTCTTGTAACTCTGGCCTGGAGGAAAGTGTATATATATAGAGAGAGAGAGGGAGGAGGGAGAGAGGGAAACCTGGATGGAACAGGGATTGTCTTCAGGGCACTTCCCCAATGACCTAGATATTTATACCCTTGTGGCTTAGAACTCTAAGCTCTGATTTGCATTGCAGGGGAGCATGCCAATTGTTGGGGTGTTTGGAACTGAGGCCTATGTAGCAGGAGGTATCCTGGAACAGAAGAAGGAGCAGAGAGAAGGGAGGGCACCTTCTCTGCTCTACTCAGGGTGAAGGAAGCTGTGTGCCGGCTGCACCTGCTTCCCATGCCAGCTCAACTTCCTGGGAAGTATTTATAACTGAGGCCTCCAGCCCCCTGTGATTTGTGGGACAGTTTTAAACCATTGATTTTCATTAGCACTAAATCATTTCTCTTGGCTAATTGAAAAGGAACTGGGGATACTGAAAGTGGAGTCATTCACGTGGACCAAATCAGCGAAAGATGTCAATATGCTGAAACAGCACAAGTCTTCAGTTGGACGGCTCTGAGTTCCCTCCCTGAAGCTCAAAATTCACTTCTCTCTCAGAGGTCAGAGGTTGTGAGAAACAAGCCCCTAGAATGGAGAACCAGGAAGTGAACTTGGATTCTTAGCAGGAGGGATGGAGGTTAGACACTTGGAAGAACTTCCAGCCTAGGGTGATAGGATGAGAGATTCTGAGGGAGGTGTTGGAGGAATGCAGTGAACATCTCCTCTGCAGAGGTGTGTTTGAGATCTCCATGTCCTGCCTCTGTCCGCAGGCACAGGTGCAGGACGCCCTGTCTGGGGAAGAGCATTTGTCCTTCTCTAGACACAGGCTGGGGTGGTGGAGTTGCTCTGGGAATGCCAAGTCTGGGAAGTATGGTGTTCAGAAGCCTCTCCTGGGGAATGGCTGGGCTAGGCTTGGAGTAAGAGGTGAAATCTTTGCTATTGCTTGATCACTTAACTATAAATAACAGGAAGCTTAACGATCTGATCTTACCTGAAAGTAACACAGCCAGCCCCATCTTTTGTCTGTAAGAACACATTGCCATCTGGCCAGAAAGGAGGCCATGCCACAGTCTAAGGATAAGGACACTTCTGGAGGTGTTGGCAGAGCCCTGGGCCCTGGGGGTGGCGAAGGGGAGGGGAATGATGAGTCCCACAGCTTGTGGACAATCCTAATCCCCATTCAGAGCCAGGAGCCAGCCAGGCCGGCGCTGGGGATACTGAGCCCCACCCCCTCTGCTAACAAGTCCCAGCCAGTAGACCTCAGCTTCCCCTGCTTCCTGCCAAGGCTCTGCCCACTCTGCCCATGCCCACTCTGATGGGGCACCACCACTGGCTGCCCATCCTTGTCTTTCTCTTGACACAGACTGGGGTGATTGCATTCTCTGCCAAGGACCAGGCCCAGCTGAATGGCCCCCAGCTGGTTTGCTGAAGCCTGAAGCCAGGGTCTACAGGCAAGAGCTTGGGGAAGGAGGATGGGCTCAAATCCTTTTACTATGCGCTCCCCACCACGACATCTCAGCTCTTCCTCCATTTCTGTCCTGAGAGGTTGGCAGAGATTAGAGGCTGGACAAGAAGGATAAACATTTAGTAAATGACTATTGCAGTCCTGTCCCCAGCCCTGGGACCTCCTCGCAATGCCCAGTCTGGAAACACTGCGGCCTTATGCGGAGAGGGGGCTGTGTGGTGTGGGGGAAGATAACTGGAGTGGGGGAGTCACCCCAGGCTCTCCTGTTGCTCAGTGGTGTGACTTGGGACAAGTTACTTCCTCTCAAGCATAGGAATATTGTGATTTGCCTTTATACCCTCACCCTTAGCTCCATGTGTGAGCTGAACAAGGTCTGTAAACCACAAATATTGGAAGTTGTGTGCCCAAGGTACGGGTGTTGGGGCTCATTTTTCCAGGGAAGCCTGTGAGCACACTGCTGGAGGCCTGGAGCCTCTGAGATGAGCGAGGATCGGAGGACACAGAGCACCTCCTCACCCTGGGCTGGGTGGGAAATGGGCCAAAGGCGAGGGACAGCAAGGGACAGGGAGGACAGGTGGGAAAGGAAGCTGGAGATGTGTGTGTTTGTGTGTTTAAGAATAAGCATGAGTGTGAGTTGCATGTATGATGTGTGCGGTGCGAGTGTGTATGTGTCAGTGTGTGAGCACGTACCTGTGTGTCTCTGTGTGAATGTGTATATCTGTGTGTATCAGTGTGTATATGTATTTGTAGGTTGTGTGTGCATATGTCTATCTCTGTGTGTCAGAATGTGTGTGTGTGTGAGTGTGTGTGTCTTAGTCCATTCAGGTTGCTATAACAAAATACTTTAGACTGGGCAATTTGTAAACAACAGGCCAGGCATGGTGGCTCATGCCTATAATGCCCAGCACTTTGGGAGGCTGAGGCAGGAGGATTGCTTGAGTCCAGATGGAGACCAGCCTGGTCAATATAGTGAGAACCTCGTCTCTACAAAAAATTAAAAAACAAAATTATCAGGCATGGTGGCATGTGCCTGTGGTGCCAGCTACTCGGCAGGCTGAAGTGGGAGGATTGCTTGAGCCCAGGAGGCTGAGGATGCAGTGAGCAGTGATAACGCCACTGCACTCCAGCCTGGGTGACAGAGCTGCGACTCTGTCTCTAAAAATATAAGAATTAAAATGAAACGTCAGAAATTTATTGCTCACGGTTCTGGAGGATGGAAGTCCAAGATCAAGGTGCCAGCAGATTTGGTGTCTGGTGAAGGCCTGTTCCCCATAGATGGTGACATCTGTGTGTCCTCACGTGGTGGAAGAAAGGGGCAAACAGGTTCCTTCAAGTCTCTTTTATGAAGGGACTTAACCCATTCACAAAGGTGTAGCCCTCATGACCTAATCTCCTCCCAAAGGCCCACCTCTTAATACTATTGCATTGGAGAAGTTTTCAACATAGAAATTTTGGAGAGGACACAAGCACTCGGAGCATGGCAGTGTGTATCTTGTGTCTTGATGTGTGAGTGTGCTTGTGTGGGAGGGTGTGAGTGAGTGTGTGTATGTCTGTGTGTGTGTGTGTCACTATGTGTGTATGGTGTTGGTCTGAGGGGTGCAGCAGTACGAGTCATATCTTCAGAGTGGCACCAAGGGACACACTTCTCTCTTGCCTGAGGTGAAGCCCAAGTTGAGATTTGGCCCTGGGAGGAACTAACCAGGATTTCCAGGGCGGAGGGAGGGTACGTGTCAGATGTTGTAAGAAAGCTTGGAAAGAGACCTGTGTGGGGTCCAGGGATTCTGTCCGTGGCCTCTGGACTCATGCAGGTCATTCTGTCCATTTCCTGTCTCTGAACAGGTTGCATCTAAGTCATCTTCATGTACTCAGGAGTGCCTCAATTCAGAAGGACCTCTATGAAAAGAGATCTCCCCATCTTTCTTACTAACCCATGCCACAGTCTTAAATGTATTTATTTTGGAAACTTGGCCTGCTGTGTAATTTGGTTACCCTCTCCCCGCCTCCCCCCCGCCACCAACCCCATATAAATGGACTGTCCTATTTGTACTCAAATAAGAAAACATAAATTTACGTTAAAGGTGAAACATTCTGGTGACAATGTTTCTGCTATTCTGACTGAAATGGCTGACAAAATTTACTAATTGGAAATTTGGGGCAGAACAGAGAAGGGAGATACAAACTGTGCTAATGACTTGACTTAATGATAACTAGCTAGTATTCAGTGTTTATTATGGACCAGGAACTGTCTTCCATGATTTTCCTCTCATAATTCACTTAGTCTTGGCTAGGTGTGGTGGCTCATGCCTGTAATCCCAGCACTTTGGGAGGCTGAGGCAGGCAGATCACCTGAGGTCAGGAGTTCGAGACCAGCCTGGCCAACATGGAGAAACCCCATCTCTAATAAAAATACAAAATTAGCCAGGCATGGTGGCACACGCCTGTAATCCTGGCTACATGGGAGGCTGAGGCAAGAGACTCGCTTGAACCTGGGAGGCAGAGGTTGCAGTGAGCCAAGATCACGCCACTGCACTCCAGCCTGGGTGACAGCGCAAGGCTCAATAATAATAATAATAAATACTTCACTTAGTCTTTATAGCAACACTTTAAGGTAGATATTGTTATCATCCCTATTTCAAAGATGAGGAAATAGGCCAAGGAGGTTAAGTAATTTGCTCAGGACCACAAAGCAGGAAGCAGCAATACCCAGATTTGTACAACGGTCTGAGGGGACTGGGTGGGGGTTGGGAAGATGGGGCTGGGGGCGAGTGGGGAGAGGGGGTGGTTCTGGCTCCAGGACCTCTGTTTTTAGCCAACACTCTGTGCTGTGCAGTGTCCGTATCTCAGTGCGTGAGTTCAGAGATACTCCAGCCCTTTACTGTAAATATTTTCCTTGTCCTCTTTCTTTCTTTTTTTGGCATATCCAACCCCTAGATGCTCTGGTTAAAATGTTCTGACCTTTTCGAAATGGGTATATTCAGTGCATTCCCAAACGCAATCGCGGCCCCTTTAACAGGGCCACTGCAGGAGGAGCTGTCCTATCAGCACCACGGCCGCCGCCCAGTGTGCCCCCAACCCCGGCAGCTGCTGCGGGCGCCTCAAGGGCAGGAAGGGCGGTGGAGAGCGGGGCCAGGAACTTGCGACTGGCCAGTTCTCCAGACCGGGGAGAGAGGGACCGCCGCCGAATACTGGTGCTCGCCTTCCTTTCCCCTCGCCCCCATCCTGGGAGATCAGAGGGAGCTGGTGCTTAGGCTCTCACCACCCTCTGAGTCAGAATGAAATATTTATAGGCCCAAAACACTTCCTTGCTCTGGGGTTTGCAGAGCTTTAATGGCCAGGTAGCCTCCATTTGTCCTGATGGGGCGGGGCCTGGCGCTGGAATGAGGCTGAAAGGCTGGAAGATTGGGGTGGAAAGGAGTTAGGGCTGAGGCCTGGATTTAGGCTGTGAAGTAAGAAGCACAATGTCTGGAGCTAGACTGTTTGGATCTAATCTTGACTCTGCCATTTACTAGCTGTGTGATCGTGAGAAAGTTCCTTAGCCTCTCTGTGCTTCAGCGTCCTTGCCTCTGAAGTGGGAATGATAATAATAGCACCAACTTATAGAACAATTACAAGTTAATATAGGCAAAGCACTTAGAACAGTGTCTGACAGGCAGTCAGCAAATGCAACTAAAAAGTGTTTGATTTAAAAATAAAGTACCAGGGTGAGACTTAGACAGCAGACAGCTGTGGGATGTAGACTGGAAAGGGAGGAGAGAGAAAAGTGTGTTGGATGTGGCTGATACATCATGTTCAGGGGCAGGGACTGTTCCACTTTGCCTGGGAAGCCACCAGCCTCTCAACTCACCTGCCATCCACCAGACTGTCCCATTCTGTGTCTGAATTTGGCAACTTCCCTTTGGGAGGACGGAGGAGGTATGGCTGTTCTCCTTAACATAATTTCTGCCATTTCTTTCTTTCTTTCTTTCTTTCTTTTTTTTTTTGTTTGAGATGGAGTCTCACTCTGTCACCCAGGCTGGAGTGCAGTAGCGCGATCTCAGCTCACTGCAACCTCTGCCACCTGGGTTCAGGCGATTCTCCTGCTTCAGCCTCCCGAATAGCTGGGATTTCAGGCACCTGCCACCGCACCTGGCTAATTTTTGTAATTTTAGTAGAGATGGGGTTTCACCATCTTGGCTAGGCTGGTTTTGAACCCCTGACCTCGTGATCCACCCACCTTGACCTCCCAAAATGCTGGGATTACAGGCATGAGCCACCATTCTTGGCCAATTTCTGCCATTTCTTGAGCACTTCCTATGTGCCAGTCACCAAGCTAGGTGCCTTATCTTTACTCTTTCATTGCTTCTTTATAAAACCCTATGACTACTTATTGCAGATGCGGACTCTGGGCTCAGAAAACTTAACTTTTCTAAAGCCACATAGCAGGAAGTAGCAGAGCTAGGATTTGAACCCAGATCTTCCAGATTCAAAAGCCTTTACTCTTTCCATGACACATTTTTCGAGCTGTCTAGTTTCCTACCCTTTCCACTGTGAGCATTTGGGTGTTATTGTGTGAAGCATGGACAATGTTGTTCCTGTTGATGCTTCAGGTTTCTGATCCAGACCTGGCAGGTGTTCTTATCCTCTTCTGCTCTGCTGGAAGCTCAGGAGAATGAGGCAGCTCAGCCTCTATCCCTGGGTACGTGGGATGGAGGGACACTTGAAAAAGAAGGTTTTTTTTTTGTCTCTGTGATCATAATAAATAACAGAAATACTTGTTGGTCCTTACTATGTGCCAGACACTGTTCTAAGCACTTTCTGTTCATTAACTAACTTACTCTTCACAGCAATCCTATGAGTAGATCCTGTCTCAATCTCATTTTACAGAGGAGAGAACTCAGAGGTTCCGCAATTTGCCTTAGGTCACACCACCAGCAAATGACAGAGCCACGCTTTGGACCCAGGCATTCTGGCTCCAGAGTATATTCTTTAACCACTGTACCACAGAATCTCTTTAAAGAGCAGGAGTCTGTATTGGGGCACTGACGGATAGACCCAGGGGCATGAGGAGTTCTACCATCAAATCCACTACTTCCCAGACCTCAAACCACCAACTACCAACCTGACTGCTCTTCCTAAAAGCCTCCCCAGATCCTGCCTCACTGACAGATCATGACAACTAAATCCCCATGGTACTCTGTTTTGTCTCTCTCTCTCTTTTTTTTTTCTTGAGATGAAGTTTCACTGTTGTTGCCCAGGCTGGAGTGCAATAGCGCAATCTCGGCTCACTGCAACCTCCGCCTCCCAGGTTCAAGCGATTCTCCTGCCTCAGCCTCCTGAGTAGCTGGGATTACAGGCATGCGCCACCACGCCCAGCTAATTTTGTATTTTCAGTAGAGATGGGGTTTCTCCATGTTGGTCAGGCTGGTCTCGAACTCCTGACCTCAGATGATCCACCTGCCTCGGCCTCCCAAAGTGCTGGGATTATAGGCATAAGCCACCATGCCCGGCCTGTTTTGTCTCTCTTGATGCATGCACTGCCTGCACATGTTACTTGTCACGAGTGTGCATGTGTTTCTTCCCCACCAGATTGCTAGCTCCTAGAGAGCAGAACCTGGGTCTCAGCCATTGCAATTGCCACAGCACCTGGTACATGGAAGGTGCCCAGCCAAGGTGTGTGGTTGTTGAACAAAGGGATCCTGCCATGAATCCCTTTGTAAGTGCAATGTTCTTTTGAAACAGAGAGTACTAACTCCCTAGTGTAATTTATTGAGGACTGGGATCCCCAGGATGAGGGAACTAAAGAGCACTGAGGCCCTCCTCTTATTCACTGAGGTTAAGTGAAATTTCAGATCAGGGTACTTAGAAGGAGAAAGAACAAAGAGAGCATGTTTGGAGGTGGAGGATCTGATAAGATTCCCCAATCTCTCTGTCTCTCTCTCTCTCTCTCTCTCTCTCTCTCTCTCTGTCTGTCACACACACACACACATAAACACACACACACACTCCCATAAGAAAGAAACACTCTCCTTGCTTGCACCTCCAGCTCTACCCCTAAACTTCTGCCCTTGAGACTCCCCAGACACATTGCAAAGTTATCACAAAGGATGATTGATGCTGACAGGCAAGCTCTTTGGCTTGAACAGACCCTTGTTTAAGACGCATAAGCTGGGCACGGGAGCTCATGCCTATAATCCCAGCATTCTGGGAGGCCAAAGAGGCAGGAGGATTGCTCGAGCTCAGGAGTTTGAGACCAGCCAGGGAAACATAGCAAGACCTCATTTCTACTAAAAATAAAAAAATTAGCCCAGTGTGGTGGTGTGTGTCCTTATAGTTTCAGCTAGTCAAGAGGCTGAGGTGGGAGGATCACTTAAGCCTGGGAGATTGAGTCTGCAGTGAGCTATTATTGCACCACTGCTCTCCAGCCTGGGCCCTGTCTCAAGAACAAATAAAATGAAAGAGACGTAGATTGTCCTGCTTCTCAGACACATTTTTGTCTAACACTGAGATCCAGGAGATGAGGGCCATTGTAGCTAACATTATGCATCTCAAGACAGCAAACATTTTCCTGACATTATTTTATTCAATCTGCTCAGACAGAATATGAGGCAGTAGAGAGTGAGATGGGGCAGAAAAAGTTCCCCTCATTTCAGAGGAAGGGAAACAGAGCCTCAGAGCAAGCATGATGTCTCCCAAATCATTTGGTCCATTAAGAATGTAAACTGGGTGCTTGTAGTCAGCAGGCATGTCTAGGCCCCAGGAGAGAAGACCTGTGCAAGAGGCCTTACCTTTCAGCTTTGGAGGCATCATCATCCATGGGCCTCAGCCCAAATCCTACTTCCCATGTGTATTCTCTCCCCTTTCTTCCCCAGCCACCCCACCCCTGCTGCCAGAGACCTGAAATTCCAGTCTTCCTCCTCAATCCCCACCCCAACCCAGGTGTGCCACTTGCCACCAACTAGGCATATTAAACCTGCACCCGGGCTGGATGAGGCCTATCTTTTCCCCCTCCCATGCATGTTGCCTACAGTGTCACATGGGCAATGCCCCTGTACCATGCTGACCTACAGTACCACCGAAGGCAAACAGCGTATGAGGTGGTTGGGGAAAACTAGCTAGATCTCCAGCATGTTGGGAGAATAAGAGAAGGAAAAGAGCCCTCCCCAAGAGCTGCCTATGACTGATCTTCTCTTCTGGTTTCCACCCTGTAAATTGGATCCCCACTCCCCACCCCCAACTCTATCTCTGGAAGGCCCCATGCTCCAATCAGAGCAAGGTCAGAGTTGATCATGGAGGTTGGGGGTGTGTAGGCAGAGCCCGGATATGCTCTCGGCGGGTGTGGCCAAGGGGATCCACCCTTGAGCCTCAGAGTCCTGTCCATCTGCATTTGAGTCACACCACTCTGCCACTTTTTAGCTGTGTGTGTCCTGGGGCAGCTCACTTAACCTTCTCCACCTCATTTTCTTTACCTGTGAAAGGGGTACTAAAACTTACTTTGTAAGGTTGTTGTTAAGAACTAGAAACAATGTCTCAATACAAGGGACTGTTACTCTGTCTAGGGCAGAAGCATCTGCCAGGTGTCCTTAAAGATGCTGAATACCTGTGGGTTCTCACTCCGAAGGCAAACCAGGAAAACTTCATGACCCCTTTCTCACCCAGGCTAAAATAACTCACTGTTTGGGGAGCCCTCCTCCACCACCCAAAGATGGTCTGATCCTCCCAGGCTCCCACCTGGGGGCAATCCTGTGTGCATCCTCCTCCCAGTCTAGATGAGGGCTATCAAGTTGCGGAAGGAGGAGAGAGCAGGGCCCCCACTGCAGTGGAGAGGGAGGGGTAGGGTTCTTGTGACCTACCATGGGAATGTTTTAAATCCTCCTCCCATCGAGCTTTTGAAAAAATCATGATCCAGGAAAAACAGCAACTGCGTCTGCTCCATTAGCAAGCGAGGGAGACGCAGCCTCCTCAGCCTTAGGGCTCTTTTAGCTGGAAATTCAGCCAGCCCTAGCCATAGGGACTGGGGGAAGTCTGAGTCAAGGGGCTGGGAGCCCAGGGATGCATGGAGGACAATGTAGGTGAGTTGGGCTCTTGGTTGGGGGTGGTTGTTGGGCAACACAACCTGAGTTGGGGAGGAACTCCCAGGAGAGATGAAGGTAGAGTCAAGATTTAGTTCTGGATTATCTCACCAATATAGCTCCCAGAAGGGATGGTCTAGGGTGCATAATTGGCTTTGGTCCTCATTTTGCAGACTGGACATGGAGAGGTTGAATAATTTACCCAGATTCTCACAGCTGCAGGTAGTACCTGCTTACACTTTCCGAGTTTCCTTTATGAAAGTCCTTTTCTGTCCCTTCTGTGGGGTTGTCCTTGGCATGCTGGGGCTGGGAGCTGGATAGGCTTCATGGGAGACTGTGGGCAAGTAGAGGATGACTCACAGGGTCTCCCAGTCTGTGTCCTGGTGGGTGGGCAGGGAATGGCATGAGCTAGATGAGGAAGAGGCAGGAGGCAGGCAAGCCCTGGGTGTGGCCCTCCAGGCCTAGACCATGGGCAGCCACTGGAGAAGCAGAGGCAAGCTGGTGATAATTCCCTGGGCACACATGGCTTTGCTGCCCTTCTTCTGCTGGGTAGGATGGGGGTTGCTTTAGCTAATCAAATAACGGTATCAAGTCATTAAAGTACAAATTAGAGAAAAGGATGAGGGGGTCATAGCAATTCCCTTGTAGAATAATTTCTTGTGGAAATTATTTCATTTATTGCAGAGCAATCCAATAAGCCCTGGCTCTCATGGTCACTTCAGACTGGAGTTTTAAAAATCCATTAATGCTTAAGGGTCTACATTGACTTCTTATAGCTTAGGCTGTAACTGGTCCCAGACCACAGAGTCAAAGGTCAGGGAAAGGTCAGCAACAGCCATAAACAATTCCTGTGGTTGCTTACAGCTTTCTCCACAATATGGAAGGGGGGATCCCAGGGATCTCAAGAGAACCGGCCATGCTTTGGTGGTCTTTTCTGTCCATAATGTCCTTTGTCTTCATCTTCATCCAATGCCAATTCACCCTTTGAGAATCAAACTGAGTATTTTCATTGTACATAAATCTTTGCTCCCATCTGTAATCATTTTCCTAGCATACATTTTTAGATTTGGCATTGTTCCCACAGCAGTGTATGGGAGACATATACTCTTTTTTTTTTTTTTTTTTTTTTTGAGACAGAGTCTCGCTCTCTCGTTCAGGCTGGAGTGCAGTGGCGCAATCTCGGTGCACTGCAATCTCTGCCTCCCAGGTTCAAGCAATTCTCCTGCCTCAGCTTTTTGAGTAGCTGGGACTACAGGCATGTGCCACCACGCCCAGCTATTTAGTGTGTGTGTGTGTAATTTTAGCAGAGATGAGGTTTTGCCATGTTGGTCAGGCTGGTCTCAAACTCCTGACCTCAGTTGATCCGCCTGCCTCAGTCTCCCAAAGTGCTGGGATTACAGGTGTGAGCCACCGCACCCAGCCTCATGGCCATATACTCTTACCAACACTGGATATTTTAATTTTCTGCGATATAGTACATTTGATAGCAACAAATGATAACTTATTTAATTTGCATCTCTTCAATTTCTAATAAAGTCTTTGGTTTTTGTTTTGTTTTGGCCAGTTGTATTTATTCTTTTGCAGTTTTCTTGTTCACAGGGTCTCACTCTGTCACCTAGGCTAGAGTACAGTGGCATGAGCTCAGCTCACTGCAACTTCCACCTCCCAGGCTCAAGCGATCCTCCTGCCTCAGCCTCCCAAGTAGTGGGACTACAGGCACACACTACCATGCCCGGCTAATTTTGTTTTTGTTTATTTTTATGTTTTGTAGAGATGTTGCCCAGGCTGGTGTCAAACTCCTGGACTCAAGGGATCCTCCCCGCTCGGCCTCCCAAAGTGCTAGGATTACTGGTGTGAGCCACTGTGCCCCACCTGCCCTTTATTCTATGGGATGTTTGCTTTCAAATATTGATTTGGTAGAGCTCCCTATATGTAAAGGTGTTAATTCCTTGTTTTTCATACTTGTTGCAAGTTTTCTTTTCTTTCTTTTTTTTTTTTTTTTTTTTGAGACAGTTTTGCTCTTGTCACCCAGGCTGGAGTGCAGTGGTGCAATCTCAGCTCACTGCAACCTCCACCTCCCAGGTTCAAGTGATTCTCCTGCTTCAGCCTCCCAAGTAGCTGGGATTACAGGCGTGCCACCACGCCTGGCTAATTTTTGTATTTTTAGTAGAGACGGGGTTTCATCATGTTGGCCAGGCTGGTCTCAATCTCCTGACTTCAGGTGATCCACCTGCCTCAGCCTCCCAAAGTGCAGGGATTACAGGCGTGAGCCACTGCGCCCAGTCTGTTGCAAGTATTTTTATAGTTTATTGATGTGTCAAACCTTTTGAAAAGGTTTTTTGCCCATATAAAGATTTTAATTTTTATGCATTCACATCTATCAGTGTTTTAGTTTATGATTTCTGCCTTTGATGTGGTACTTAGAAAGGCCTCTCCCACAACAAAATTATGGAAACGTTCATGCATGTGTTCTGAACATTTTTTATGGCTTCATTTTTTAACCTTTAACTCTTTAATCTATCTGGAATTGATTGTATGTATCTTTGTAAACTGCTTTAAATTCCCTTTGAAATGGAAGTGATTAATTCATTAATTAACATGGCAAGGAGGGGAAGCTGGTGAAGGGGGAAGGGTTGAAGATACAAGAGAGAAGGGGATAATTAATGAGTCAAGGTCTGGAAGAGACAAGATCAAGTGCTGTTGACAGGGCCTGCACAAGGAACTGCCTTGAACCAAAGGTGGGACACTCAGTCTCTTTTAGACGAGGGTGGCAGGAGGTGGCAGAGGTCAGTTTTGTCATGGGGGGAGGTGGGTAGGGAATGGGCTGGAGAGGAAGACTGTGAGCCAAGTGACAAATGCCCAGTGACTATGGGGGTGGGGACAGCAGGGAGGGCCCAGGGAATGGCAGGAGCCTCAAGGGGCAGCATTTGCCAATTTACAAGTTTATGATCTGGGGGGACTGTGATTGGCCCTCCCACCCTTGGGCCCCAGCAGCATGTGGAAGAAGGTTGCACTGCACTGGAGAGTGTCCTATGAAGAGAGCCAGGGGTCAGCTGCAGTGATGAGAGGAAGGAACATGCAGGGCAGAGGCCGAGAGCATGAGGAAACTTGTTTAGTGTGGAGGACATTCTAGACTCGGGGTACTAGGAAAGGCCTGAGGGGGAGGAGCTGTGAGAAGGAGAGTCTGTCCCCAATCAGTGAACAGGAACAGAGTCAAAGAAAGTTAAATGAAGCCCATTTGTACAGCACATTGCAATTCACAAAGCACTTTCCCATATGTGCTTGCAGATGAGCCTCATAACAGCTTTTCAGAGCAGAGAGGGAAAGGGATTTGCCCAGAGTCCAGCGGGTAGCCAGTGACCCAGTCACAATGCGAACCAGGAGTGCCAGTGCCCAGTCTGGGTGCTCGAGCCTCCCCACAGACCCCAACATCCTCTTTCTACACTCAAGGATGGAAGCTTGTGGGGATGTGCCTGACGGTCTTTTTTTGCCCTCTCTCCCTGCAGGACAGTAGCCCACACTTCCAGCCTTGCAGACCATGAATGGGATGGCCAATGTGAATCCCGCCAGCCGCCCTCACTACGCCTCCGCCATCCCGGTGCCTCGTGCCTCTTCCCAGACCAGGATTCCTACACCGGGCGCTTCTCCCCAGCTGCGGCCACGCCAGGCCGGCCTGGCCCTGAGCCCACAGAGAGCAGCCTCCCCCAGACTGGGAAAGGCTGCAGGTCCTTCTAGAAACTCCTCTCCTAGGGCCTTCCGGGGGAGAGGCTCTCCCAAGTTTGCTGGGGCGGTGAGGGAGTCAGCTGAGGATGGGGAAGGCCCCTTCAGCTCCCCATGGAATAGTCCCAGGACAACCCCGAAAGCAGCCCTCTCCAGCCGGGCTGGATCCGGAAGAATTGGCGAGAGACAAGGCACCCAGGGAAAGAAGAAAAAAGCCCAGGAAGGGACTCCAGTCTGCCAGACCCGGGGCAGAAGCCCTTCTCGGACGAGCTTTCACGGAGAAACTCAAATACCAGGGGCTCCGGAAGGTCGGAAGCCTCCAAGCTGCCCAGGAAAAGACCAAAGAGATATAAACTACAAAAGTTCTGGGACCCCCAGGTCTTTGGAGCCTGATGAGGGGGCAGCTTCGTGGGCTTCCTCTCCAGTCTGCAGCCCAGTGCAGGGCAAGCGCCCCTCTCCCTCTCCGGGGGCCATTAGCTTCTCCTCAGTCCATCAGCAGAGTCAGCCAGTCACAGCCACGGTGGCCCCCTTCCAGTACAGGTGAGCTGGGGAGCAGGCAGGGAGGGAAGGGGGAAGAGCCATGCTGGGACCAAGGGGCAAGCCGGAAGAGGACAGGGACCCTGGTGATCAGTGGCTGGTAAAGACCAGAGGGCCCCAGGCGATACAAAAAGAAGTTAGGTAGGTGGAGGCCTACAGAGTTGGGGGCTTGGAGAGCTGAGATGGGATTGGGACCATAAAAGGGGACGCTGACTGAAGCTCTGATCTTTCTCGACTGTGGGGAATCCACAACAAAAAGAGTCTCATAAGGAGGGTACCCCTAAAATGTCCATTTTTGCTCTCTGGAACAATATAAAGATTGGGATGTCGTGGAAGCTTAAGCAGCTAGATACATAGGCAGTGTCAGTCTCACCCAATTCATTGTGGGACATTTGCCAACATTGTGAGTTAGACCAACTCTATTGGCTTGGGCACTGCGCCTTTACTTAGTAAGTAAAATCTACACTGCTTGTTGCACTCATACCTTGTACCTGTCTGTCTGTCTCTCACTCGTTTGCTCACTCCATTTGCTATAGTGCCTTGTGCATATCTGCTTATGTGCCTGGCATATCAGGAATTAGTAATGCTTTAGACAGACAGGTGTTGACATCCTTGTTGGTGGAGGTGGCCAGTCCAGTATTCACAACAAGATGGCCAACAAGCTAGTACATCCAGCTTTTTTCAGACACTGCAAGTTGATTGCATAGAAAAACAAACGCTTAGTCAACTACGCTTTTTTTTTTTTTTTTTTTTTTTTTGAGATGGCATCTCACTCTATCGCCCAGGCTGGAGTACAGTGGTGCGATCTCGGCTCACTGCAACCTCCGCCTCCCAGGTTCACGCCATTCTCCTGCCTCAGCCTCCCAAGTAGCTGGGACTACAGGCGCCCACCACCACACCTGGCTAATTTTTTTTTGTATTTTTAGTAGAGACAGGGTTTCACTGTGTTAGCCAGCATGGTCTCGATCTCCTGACCTCGTGATCCGCCCACCTCAGCCTCCCAAAGTGCTGGGATTACAGGCGTGAGCCACCGCACCCAGCAAACTATGCTTTTTTTAAAAAATAAAAATATAATTATACTAAAAAGACTTCAGTAAGTACACTAAATTTTAATTACTAATTATTATATAGTTTAGAAATGCCCAAATGCAAATTAAGTATCTTCCTGACTAAACTAACTTCCTATATTTTTTCCCCTATGCTAATGGAAGGAGAAACTCTCACTTATATTTTGGGCATAGAAAAGCTTGTACATCATCCCTTACACACCAGGGACCTCTGAGGCATCAGAGCGGCTGGAGGTGGGGGTAGGGAACCACTAGGAGCTTTAACCTTCAGCAGAAGGCAACTTGTGTATCTTAATCTCTGAAAAATTGAATGCAATTTAATATTACAGGACTAGGCCTTTGGAGTTCAGGACAAGGAAGTGAATGGTCCCAATACACTCTGCACATGTTTAGGCTTCATTTAGACTGTTACATTCAGTTGTGAACACCACGTTTTAAAAGGACATCGACATACAAAAACACATGTAGAGCAAGACTGACACGTTGCTGGGGGATCAAAAAAGGTGTTATAGGATGATGAAAGGAACTGAAGAAGTTTGCTTTGGAAAGGAAGGCTTAGAGAGGGTCTGAGCACTGTTTTCAAATATTTGAAGGGCTGTCATGTTGTAAGATGAATTAGATTTACTTGGTGCAGCTCCAAAGACCTGACTCATCACCATGGTGGTTAGAAGTTAGTTCAAGACAGATTTGAGGCTCAAGAGCAAGAACTTTCCAAAAAGTAGAGAGGATTACAAATTGACCGGAAGGCAGTGAACTCCCTGTTATTGCAAGAATTCTGACTTCACAGCCAAAGGGAGGTCTTACCAGGGTGACCCCTGGCTCTCAAAGCATATCTTCTGCCTGACTGTACTGCCTGCAAAGTGCACTGATGCTTCTTTTCCTAAGGGGCAACTCACTTACGTCCCCTTGTGACTTTCTTTACTTCGATTCTGAAGCTGATGAGAGAACTCAAGAAGCAGAAATGCAGGGCAGGCCTTCCTTTGAATGGCCTTTTTCCAATTAGTAAAATGTTTCCCTGGTGACTCTTTGACTTTCTTCTCCTACCTGATTCCCTTCATTTTGAATTCATTCTTTGGGAAAAGTGTCTAGGCATTAAATTGTTTAAGATTTTACATTATCTACCTTACAAGTCCCTTGGTATATTCAGAACCTGACATTTTCCAAAGAGCTCAGAATTCTTCATTCAAATATTTTAATGCAGCTTAAACAGAACCATGTTTCCTTCATTCAGCAAACATTTATTGCATGTTTGCATTTTAAACAGAAATGGAAATGTGTCACACCACCCTACCTCCTAGACCCTGCCCCTTTCAGTCTCTGGATTAGGGTTGGAGAGAGGGTCATGGCACAAAGACCTGACTCATCACCATGGTGGTTAGAAGTTAGTTCAAGACAGATTTGAGGCTCAAGGGTGCGATTAGGACCAAGGACACTCCGAGATGCTGCACGCCAATGGGCAGGCACCCAGCACACTCTGCAGGGCCTAGAGCTGCTGCCATGGCAGCTCTGCCAAGGGCCAGGCTGGGCCACCCTTCAAAGCTTCATAGCCAAGGAGGTGCCATCTGCTTCCTAGAATCCACAGACATTGTGTTTTTGTGGAAATCTCTCCTCCCTCCCTGCCACCCGCCCCAGCACCTCAGCCTTCTGCAAAGCCCCAGTGGAATGCAGAAGCAGAGGTCACCTGCTTCCCTCCCCATCTCCAGCCTGGTCATGCCTGACCTGCTTCTCCAGGGAATGAATCTTGCAGCCATCTTCTCCCCTGCCCCATCCTCCACAGCCCTCTCTTTTCAAGGGCCTTGGTGTGGCCTTCCCAGTGAAGCTTGTCTCCTCTCATCCATCACTTCCCTTTGGACCCAGAGAAGGTGCAATCCCCTGTCCGCTCTCAGGAGACCCTGGTCTCACACATCTAATTCCATCACATCCTCAACCTCATCCCTCTCTGCTATCCTGGAAGAGAGCCACAGCAGCTTCACCACAGCCCTTGCTGACTTTTCCCAACTGCCAGTGCACCCTTTACCACCTCCCTAACCCCCAACAGTTCTCTTCTTCCTGCATTGGGTGGGCCTTGGGTTGGACTTCAATTGGAACTATGGTTAATGGTATCAGGAGCGTAGGGTTACTGGTGTCACTACTGCAATTTTCTTCTCTCTGGTTCAACCTCTGCCTGACTTCTGGCATACAGAGTGCTGTCCACTCAGGCTGAGAAGTGAGGGCGGACATGGAGGCCTGGCCATGTTTGGAGAGATGGAGGCAGATGTGGATAAAAATACAGAGCTGACTGAAATTAGAGATAAAGCCTGCCTTCCTCAATGTTTCTGCCATTGGAGTTTCTGGCCCATATGACTGATGTAACCTCACCCACTCTTGCATCATATTAATGGCAGCAACAATCGTGACTGTAACTATTTCTTTTTTTGTTTTTAGTCTTTAATTTATTTACTGGAGACAGATTCTTGCTTTGTTCCCCAGGCTGGGGTGCAGTGGCACAGTCATAGCTCACTGTAACCTCAAACTTTTGGGCTCAAACAATTCTCCTGCCTCGGCCTTCCAAAGCTCTGGGATTAACAGTTGTGAGCCACCACCCTGGCCTATTCCTATTTTTCTTTTTCTTTTTTTTTTTGAAATGGAGTCTCACTCTGTCGCCCAGGCTGGAGTGCAGTAGCACGATCTCGGCTCACTGCAACATCCACCTCCCTGGTTCAAGCGATCCTCCTGCCTCAGCCTCCCGAGTAGCTGAGATTACAGGCATGCACCACCAAGCCTGGCTAATTTTTGTATTTTTAGTAGAGGCGGGGTTTCGCCATGTTTGCCAGGCTGGTCTCAAACTCCTGACTTCAAGTGATCCATCCGCCCCGGCCCCCCCACCCTAAGTACTGGGATTATAGAAATGAGCCACTGCACCCGTCTGCCTATTCTTATTTTTAACACTGGTTATTGCATACCTGCTCTGGCCCAGACGCTGTGCTTAGCTCTTTACATATATGATGTTAATCAATGAAACAGTTGACACATTATATAGAATTCCCTCTCCCCAGTAGAATTTTCTGTTACTTTCTCACCAATATGTTGCATCCCCTACTTCAAAATCCCAGGTCCATTCTAATTTCTTCCAAGAAACCAACCAACCCCAGTCTTTCTTTATCCCCTTGGCACTTGTGTACTTGGACAGACATTTAATTGACAATAAGAGCCTGGTGCAGTGGCTCACACCTGTAATTCCAGCACTTTGAGAGGCTGAGGTGGGCAGATCTCGAGCTCAGGAGTTCGAGACCAGCCTGGGCGACATGGCAAAACCCCATCTCTACAAAAAATATGAAAATCAGCTAGGCGTGGTAGCTTGAGCCTGTAATCCCAGCTACTTGAGAGGCTGAGGTGGGAGGATCATTTAAGCTCAGGAAATCAAGGCTGTAGTGAGCCTTGATCATACCACTGTGCTCCAGCCTGAGTGACACAGTGAGACCCTGTGTCAAAAAAAAAAAAAAAAAAGAGAGACAGTAGTACATGGCGATTGTCCCCATCATACCAAGCACCCCCAGGGGCCAGGATGAGGCCTCCTGCTTTCTCTAACGACACCCCACCCTGCACTATCCCCATCATTCACCTGAGGGGCCTGAGATACAAAAGAGCTCAGCACTGCCTAAATAGCTTAGAAAAAGCTGAGCAGAAGCAGCAAACACCTCACAACCCTAGACTGTAAAACAGATCCCAGCCTTGAGGGGCATCTTTTCACCCCATGATGGAAGCCGGACCCAGAGAGGAGAAGAGATCTACTCCAGGTTATACAGTGAGTTAATGGCAAAATTGAGCCCAGAGTCCCGGCCATCTAGGCATTGAAAAAAGTGAAAACTGGAGAGAGAGAAAGACAAATCTCAGTGGCACTGGAGACTCTCAGGGTTCCATGGCCCAGCCCTTCAATTTCCCCTCCTGCCTGCACAGCCCTCCCCTCCCCCTCCTGCCAAGCTGCCAAAGTCTCCATTTAGCTGGAGACAGCGGGCGGATGGGTGGGCGGGCCAGCTCCCAGAGCCTAGGGTAATTGCCTATAATGAAAGCTCCCACAGCCTTTGTTCCTGGGAGCAACTGTACGGTTGAGGTTGTGCTCAGAGGTCTGTGTGCACTTGGGAGCTGGTGCCCAGAGACCTCACCCTTCCTTCCTGCTACCACAACGGGCCCAGCAAGAGACCTGTCCTCCCGGGAGTCACTGTGATTGCAGCTGAGCCTACTCCTCCTTCTTTCCTGACCTACAAGCTGCCTGGACTACGAGCAAGCCCAAAGCCTGTGTGCCCCCTGAGCTACCAGGAATCAGTGACTTCAGCTTCAGAGGGAGCTCTTCCCTGTGTATATGTACATGGCTGTACATACATGCTCATCCTGAGGGCAAGGATCCTGGCAAGACAAAGGACCCAAGGCCTGGAGTTGCTAGGGTATCCCTCTGCCCTATAAGTGATAACGTTCCTGGGAAATGGGTAGACTGTAGAATGTCAAGGGGTGACAAGCATCGGGCATCCCAGTATCCTCTGGGGCTCCCTGCCTGGCGCAGCTTTGCACAGAAGGCCTGCTGCCTGCTGGAGGGCAGGCATGTGCACATACCCATCAGGGAGGGGCTGGCCCTGAGTGGTGCAGGGCACTATCAGAGAAGAAGAACCAAGTTCTAAGAGGGTTTTCTTAGCCCCATGGAGGGGCTTAGAGACCAGGACATCTCTACCATGAGTGACTACCCTTTCTTGGTCCCACAGGTTGCAAACTGACCAGAAACCTGGCCCCCTCTCCCAGGGCAGCTGGCCCCTTGATGGCTATGCTGAGCCCCTCCATGAGACTGAGGAGAGCTTCTCCTGCATGGGTAAGTGATCTGGGGGAGACTTCCTCCTAGGGTCGGGAGGCCACTGTGCTAGAGCTGCCTAGATGGAAGAAGAAGTGACCTAGGCTGGATGGGTCCATCTCTTGACAAGGAGACATCAACCTGTGAATTGCACTTTGAGTTTTCATCATGCTTGACTCAACCCAGGGTTGGTCCATCAAACCCAGGAGCCTTTTAGGGGCAGCATAGGGAAGTGGCCAGGGGATGCCCAGGCTATGGGAGTCACTGCATGTGTGTGTCATGTGAGAAGTCCTGACACAAAGGTAACAAGCTGGGAGTGAGAGCCAGGTTCTGAGTGGTGCCCAGGTTGAAAAATGAAGGTGCTGGAATTAGGGAGGCAGGCCAGAGCCATCTGGCTTGCTGCCTGACAACACTTCCCCTTCCAGGACCACTTTTAACAGGCCACTCCCACACATGTCCCCTTCCCCGTGTCATCCTGTAGTCATGAGATATCACCTGAGGCTCAGGCATGTGAGATTCACCAGGAAGATCCCTAAATTTCAAATACAGCAATATTCAATAAGGGCAGAGACCCTGACAGTCTCAGATGCATCTTCAGGTGCTCAGTGTCTCTGAATAAATGAATGATGCATGGATGAGTGAGTGTCTTGGGTACCATAGGTCAGGCCCTAAGTGGGTCAGATTCAAAACTCAGCAGCACTTACGGACGTGTGCTGATTTTCCTACAACATTAAAAAAGTATCTAGAGGATGGCTATGATTCACACCAGGGGTACATGAGGCTGCACACTGCAGGGAACCAGGTCAATCCTTTACTTTCCCAGACAAAGGGAAACTTGCCTCAACAAAGTAATAAATTTCCTTTTCACAAACCTGAGATTGTCCAGAGGGCTTGTCTCCCAGCTTTGTCTTGGTGCCCTGCTCCAGCGGGCCAAGCTGGGGCTTAGAACACAGCCTGACCCTGAGATCACCGGACAGGATGGTATACTGCTTCTGTCTTCTCTGTGCCCTGCTGGGCAGGTGGCCAGATATCCCTTCTTGGCCTGGGAGCTGGGACCTTTTGAGCCCTTTCTAGGCCTGGTCTATAGCAGTGATCTTGGAGCCACTGCAACCCTAAAAACAGAGCAGCAACACTCATTCTTCCATGACAAGCCTTGTGGAGGAGGGTTATGGGTTAAGGACTCAGCATTTGCAAAGCAAGCCATCTCCTTCCACAATAAATATACATGCAAGAGAACCAGGGCATGGCAGGGGACAAAAGGAAACCAAATTTCTCTGGCACCGAAAAGCCATCAGAATTAGAATGTGGTAACCAGGAAACTATGTGGAGCTCTATTTTTACATTTGCAGTTTTGTTAGTGTAATGGCTTCCTCATGTGGATGCCACATTGTTAGAGCCTAATGATCTCCATGCACCTAACCCAGCGCTCGTTCACGATTATTATCCGATGAGTTGATGAGAGGTCTTTTACTTTTAACGTCTGTTGCAGACTAGCATTAGGAATCCCCCAGGCTTGTCAGCTGGAAGACCACCCTCACTGGTTAGATGTGAAACTGTCTGCTAGATCACGGTTGGGTACCTCTGGGGGGACAGAGTGCCGGGGAACATTTGGAGGAGGGTTTTACCAGAAAAGTGAGAAACACTGGCTTTCTCCAAGGCTCCTAGGGAAGAGGAGCAGGGTTCACTGCACTGCCTCTGCTCTGGTGCTAGCTAGTTGTCATGGTGACCCATCTCTGCCGAGGATACGCCGAGCTCTTTGATGGGTTGGATGGGGAGAGAGATTTCGGATTTGCCTGCCTTGTGGAAGAGCCTGCGCTCTTCTGAGCTTGAAGAAAACAGAGAAGAGAGGAAGAGAGGAGGCAACTGAAGGATTTCATTTTATGCCTTGCCCTCTCACTCCCAAAGTCACTTGGGGCATGACATGACTCATTCATTCATGTATTCTTTCATTCAATCTACAAACCATCAGTGAGTGTTTGCCTTGTGCTGAACACTGTGCTTGACACTGGGGTAAAAGACAAATAAGACTTTGACCTGCCTTCAAGATGTTCACAGCCCAGGGATTCACTCCAGTGAGACTTATCTAGAGAATTTGTTGGGATCCCAGAAGCTGTGCCCAGTGACCTGCCCCTATAGGGGTTGACAAGGCAGCCAGTCAGTCCTGCCTCCCTCGCTAGGCCCCATGGCATAAGGAGGGCACTGAGCTTATTATCCCATTTATAGAAGGATAATTGGGTGCTTTGGAGAGTACTCCATCAAATATTTATATAATTCACAGAATCCAGCATAGTTATTTGACAGTTATTGATCATGTTATTTCCATATCAATTTGTAGATGGCTGGGGGTTTGGGGGCTTTTTTTTGAAGCTCATGTATCTTCCCTTCCTGACCATGAACTCATCTTGCCCCCCATCACCTAGCACAGTGCCTGGCGGTCAGGGTTTGGTGAAGGTATGATTTGAATGAATGAGTAAGGAATCCAATGTAAGTGGTTGTAGAGCTCTAAAATTTGTCCTCTATCAGCCTGTTTCTTCTCTACCAGCTGAGAAAGACCAACCAGTCTTTCTCTGCTCCTTTCCCAATGTGCTTCTCTCTGTCTTCCAAGCTCACTGAATGGGTTTGGGGGGTGAGTGCAGAGTCTTTGAGCGGAGCAGGAGAAGGCCAAAGAGCTTTCTCAGCCTTGTGCCACTTTCTTAATCTGCTTGGACTCTGGGCATAGAGTCCAAACAAGGCTTTCTAGTATTTATATAGCAGGAGAATTTCCCATGATGACTTGCCTCCAACCTGGGGCACTGGGGATGTTCTTCATATATCCTGAAGGCCATCCACCAGCAGCTGCTCCTTCTGCCTCTGCCCTGGGGCAAGTGTGGAAATGCCCAGCCCACTGATGTTTGTACATGTGCCCTGACCCTCCCTGGCCCATCTGATTCTGTTGGTGACAGCCCAGCACTGGTCCCATCTGCTGACTCTCCCTTTGGTTGCAGTCAGCACTGGGTAGTGTATAGACCACCATCAGATCTTAATTTGGACAGCCAAGAGAAGCCAAGGCTGACGTTACCGCGTGCCCACATGTGTGAGGCTGTGTGCAGGAGGACTGGGAAAGGTTGCCCCAAGGCTTATGCAGATTCTTTAATGACTTCCACTTTGTGGCATGTTTGAATGAGCACTAAGTGGACCCACAATGAAGGGATCTTTTTCTCATCATAGTACGTGTTATCAGGAAAAAGCCAGAGCCTCCTCCCTGCCTCCTTCTCACACGAGGGTTGATATATAGAGAGAATGGGTGGGGCAGTGTGGAGTTTGGCCTCATACTAGGGCTGTTTTGCTTTTCTTCCTCTTTCTTCTCCCTTGTTGAGCTGGCTCCATCTTTAAGCCACAGTGAAGTTTTTCATGCCTTATGGATTTGAAATAGAGCAGGAATAGAGTATTCATTCTAAGAGAACTTGCAAAGCTAGTGTGCCTGGGGCAGGAGCAAGGAATGGTAACTACTCTCTGGGAGAGAAGTTTGTTCTGGGGGTTTCAAACCAAATCCAAGTATTCCTGGACTACAAATGACTTGCATCAAAGAACATAGGAAGTCAAAGCTCTAACAAACTTTATAGATCTCCCAAATTTGGCCTCCTTTTCAATGAGGGAGAGATGAGACTCAGAGAAGAGAAGTGACTTGCTCAGGACTGCATAGGAAGTTAGCAGGTGAACTAAACCAGGACCACTGCTTTCTGACTCCTTAAACACTAAAAAGAACTAAATGGTAATAATGACTATCACTTATTGAATACCCTACTATGTGCAGGGCATAGTGCCAAGTGCTTTACATAAAGTCCTTCATGAATACCTTATATAATCCTTTGAAGGTGTTATTATTACTCTGTGTTATGGATAGGAAACTCAGGCTCAGAAGGGTTATATAAAACCTGTCTGAGGACATCCAGCTAGGAGGCTGTGCCAGGATTCCATCCCAGGCTTGTCAAAAGGCCACACTCTTCTCTTACTCCCTGCCTTCCCAACTGCCGCCAGTACTCACTCAGTCGCACACTGTCCAAGCTCAACTCAGTCTCCCTTAGCCTCTGCCAAGCAATGAGGAAGGAAATGGGATCAGTGAGCCACAGTCCCTGCTCACATCTCCCTCAATCTGAGCAGGTCCCAGGATGCCACTGGCATCCCTGTCACTCCAAACCTATGTCATTTCATGCTGAGTTCACACTGCTGTGTTCTTTGCCCTCTGGGGACCTCCAGGCCAAGATGAGCCTTATGTCCCAGTCATCTGTGGAGAGAAGACATGCAGACAATTGACTAGAAAGTAGAAACAGTTCAGGGGCAGATGATATTAGCCGTGTTCTCAGAGCTTGAGCAGGTTGGTGCTGTTGTGGGGCAGAGGTGGCTTGGGAGTGCGAGGGTCTCTGGAGACTCTGTTGGATAAACAAAGCAGCAATCTAGGACCTGGTAGGCTTCCAGGAACTGGGACGGGAGGTCATAATAGCACTTGTAGCAGCAGCCGACACTTACCGTGGCTTACTGTGAACCAGGCATTGTTATAAGCACCTTTAATCCTTCTAACAACTGCATGAGGTTTGGAATCTAACTCCCTACTTGCCTTGCATCACAGCTTCCTCACTTGCTAGCTATGCAGCCTTGGGGAACTTATTTAGTCTGTCTGTGCCCCTGTGTCCTTGGTTGTAACCAGGGATGATAACAGTGCTTTCCTCATAGGGTTTTGTGAGAATTAAATGCATGGATATTGGTAAAGCGCTTAGAAGAATGGCTGATACATAAGAACTGCTCAATATGTGTTTGGTGTTATTTGTTATTGAGGCAAGTGATGTTATTATCACACCCACTTTGCAGATGAGGAAACTGGGATAGACAGGTTAAGTGGCTTGCCCAAGGTGGTCTAGCCAGGATTTGAACCCATGCAGCTGGTCTTCAGAGGTCATGCTCTTAACCATACGTTCTATGACCTCACTGGAGGGGAAGATGACTCAAGTCTGGGAGTTCTCCCAGGGAGGCCAGGAGAGGCAGTGGGATCACCAGCCTGGCTCTGGGAGGGGCTATGAAGGAAGAGGCCAGATAAGTAAGGTCATCCGAGGTACCTGCTGGAGGGGTTTGAAATAGAAACTGTAGGAGTCTGGATGCTATTTCTTTAGAGGAGTACAGGAGGAGGGAGGAGATTGACTTTTCAAGACAATATTTGGCTGGGAAGGGGATTTATCTCAAGGCAGTGGATTTGACCCAATGTTAGCCATTTCAGTGGAGTGGCAAGAATAGCAGAAGCTGGTCAGCTTGGAGCCTCTTTTCCCCGTGGCTACCTTGGACTCAGGCCCTCCCACTCTAAAAGGTGTGTGAGTGATTCTACGTGGTTTTTGCAACTATGAGTGCTCCACATATAGTACAAATCCCTTGCTCTCCAGATCCTGATTGTGGTCCCAGAAATCAAGAAATCTTGGCAAGACCCAGCTTCCCTGTTTCTCGCTGCACCAAGAAAACCAGGACCTCTGCATTGCCCAACTCCAGAGGAAATTCATATCCAATTGACAATTTTTGTTTTGTTTTGTTTTGTTTTTTGTTTTTTTGAGACAGAGTCTCACTCTGTCACCCAGGCTGGAGTGCAGTGGCACGATCTCAGCTCACTGCAAGCTCCGCCTCCTGGGTTGATGCCATTCTCCTACCTAACCCTCCCAAGTAGCTGGGACTACAGACGTCCACCACCACACCTGGCTATCTTTTTTTTTTTTGTATTTTTAGTAGAGACGGGGTTTCACTGTGTTAGCCAGGATGGTTTCAATCTCCTGACCTCGCGATCTGCCCGCCTCAGCCTCCCAAAGTGCCAGGATTACAGGCGTGAGCCATTGCACCCAACCCATTTGCCAATTTTTTATAAAGCACTTACTGTGTTCCAGGTGTTATTCTAGAAGCTTGGAATACATTTGTGGACAAAATAGGCAAAGACTTCTACACTTGTGGGCCCTTTATGATGTAGCCTAGAGCTGTGCAGTGTACAACCTGTGCAGCTGTACGTGATCTACATGGTGGCCCTGGAGAAGCCCCAGCTCTGGAATATGTCTCCCACCCTAAGGAGCAGGAGCAGAGCTTTGGCCTCATGACATTCCTGGGACTATAAGCAACAGCAGTCTGTGGGCCACCCCCCTTCGCCCTGAGTGCTTGAATAGATGAGGAAGGTGATAAACTTTCCCCTGTAGTTTTCCTAGAGAATTACCCCCTATACCCAATACCTACCTGTCCTTGACTTGGCAGCCTCTTAGCAGATTTTTAGAGACTCCACTCTCCAACCTGCAGCGATCTGCTTCAGCTCCTCCTAGGAAATCCCAACCCCTTGTTTAGTTCTCCATGTGTCTATGAGCCATGGACAGGTTCTGGGAAAAAGGACACTGAAGGAGAGGTGGCCTGGTTGACAGGAATCTCTCCAGCTCAGACTGCTCCATACAGCTTTAGAGGTTGTTATCCAGGGAGCTGTGGAGCAGTTACAAGTTTCAGCTATGGGAGGCGGAACTATTTGCTAAACTTCCACCACTGCTGCTCCCTACTTCTCTGGCCAATCCAGGTAAGCCTCACCTCCAGTGCAGCTCTGAAGATCTGGCCCCTCAGATCTTTGCCCCATGCCTGGGCAGAGATTGGCCAGCCCTCCTTATAACTCTGAACTATTGTCTCCCTGGGAAGGCCCAGGGCAGACAGAGAGCCTGCAGAGGGGGCTTTATCTCAAGAAGTGCTGGCTCCATGCCAGTCTTGGCCAAGGCTGAAGTCTCCCTCCAGCACCACTGAATGGGCAGAAACTGGAACACACCATCCCAAGACCCCCCAAACCCCTTTGTAAGAGGATTAGGGTCCCCTGGTGAGAGACTTCCCTCCCCACTATAAGGCTGCGGGCAGGCTTACACAGAAGGAGCTCTGGAGAGAGGCAGTTGAAGAGAGAGGTGACACAGACACAATAGCCAGAGAGATTAAGTGCTGAGAATTACCCCAGCCACAATATTCATCCTTTAAAAGGGCGGAAGGAATAAAAAACTTGCCTTCCTGGGTGGTGGGAGTCCCAGGCTTCAGAGGGAGCTGAAGATAATTAAAGGTCAGGACATAGGAAGGTTCAGCAAGTGTGGAGTCATCCACGTGAGACCAGATGAGCCCAGGGAGGAGGGGAGAGCGGAGAAATGCTCAGTTGTCCCTTCTCTCAAGAAAATCCTTCCAGGAGAAGGAAATGAGAGTGTCCTGTGGTATGAATGACTGAGGTCAGATAAATAAGAGAACTTCCTGGCAGGAGGAAAGCTCAGCCCCAGTGGAAGTGGAAGGAGAACAGCCTGAGGTTCATATAAACACTGGCACAGTCCAGGGGCAAAAGCTGACCTCATGAGCTCACAGCATCCTTCCTGCTGAAGAATCTGAGGTTGCATGCAGGCAGGAGGGAGCACAGAGGTGGCAAGCCCCTTGTGATGACATCAGGCCCTGTGAAAGGCAACGTTCTCATCATGGCATTGGAACTCCCACCTATCACGCCAATGAATACTCTTAACATTTGCAGAGCAATTTTTATATGCCAAGTAATTGCCAGTGATTATTCTATTAAAATTCATTGAAATATGAGTCCATGGCATTCCTCTGTGAGGTTTAATACCTCATTCAAAAACCTAACAAAACTCTAATAAAGCACAGAAGTACCAACTGAGAAAATGAGTGCAGCCACAAAATGGGAATATCTTTCTCTCTAGGGTAGTAAGAAGGCCAGGTTTCTTTAAACCATCTGTCCCAGCTGGTTCAGACTAAGATGGGTAAAAGCTTCTCATTACTTTCGCAGTTGTCTTTACTTTTTTAGAGTCAGGAATCTCTTTAAGAATTTGACTGATATTACAATATATCCCCCCAGATAAATGGACATATTCACAGTATTTGGCTTATGTTTGATGGCTGGTACTGTGGACCTCCAGAATCCAGTCTGTGAACATAGATTAAGAAGTTCTGTTCTAGGGTAGTGATGTCATCACTGTGTTGACAAGGTCACCACAGGTTTGGGCCTTGTGCTTTTCCTCATCAGGTTTTTGGGTTTGTGTGGCCCACAGTGAATTAAGAGGATTTATTACAGAGTAAGACTATCTCCAAGGTCCCTCTTAGTGTTGTGATTTAATGACCTTAAAACAACCAATTCTTCATGGACAGGTCAAATTAAACTCTAGATTTGCCCATCCCGAAGGACACATGCTCACACAAGGAGTTTGCTTGTCCCCATCCAACACATGGGCACAGCCACAGGCACACACCCTACCCTCTCCTTCCTTTGCCTGCCTGGAGTTTTCCCTCACCGGCCTGCAGTTGCCATGACAACTGATCTGGGTGGGTCATGGTCTAAGGGCGATGTACCTGGGTGGTGCAGAGCTCTGCTGAGGCCCAGTGTGCAATATCCACCCCAGTGGTGTGTATGGGACAGTTGCCATGGCAACATACAGGAAAAGCACATGTGGGAAACATCTGGACTTCTTATCCTGGGCTCTTTATTAGCCTGAGGAGCACAGGGATCTGATTTTAAATGAGTACAGTTTCAGACAGAGTACCCTAGATTAGGTGTTCTTCTGCCTTTCCCTACTAGAAGCCCCTGAGCAGAGGGAGCAGAGATTCTCTAGCTCCTCCCTCCACCCAATTTCTTAGATGACCAGCTGCATATATTCTCTTAAGGCCACATAGCAAATCAAGAAGACAACCCAGAACCCCCAAGGCTTGACATTAGGGAAGTCCTCAGAAGACCCTGACTTGTTGGGACTGTCAGGTCCACTAAAAGTGGACCAAGACCCCAGGACATAGGTCATGGGGCTGAGCTATGAAGCGACTGGTGTTGCTACAGACCACCAGCTCTGTCTGAAGGATTCTCCTCTGCCACATTCTCACTCCCAGGATTCTGTGGGGCAGTCTTAATGTGACTGCAGTCCTAGATCATGCAGACTTCAGGTGCAGCAGATGTCTGGGTTACAGGAGCTCCTCAGCAGGACAGGCAGGAGAGTCAGGGCCCTCCTTCCCATTCTTCACTCACCCTTCTAATACCCAGTCCCCATTTCTCTGCCAGGATCCCAGACTTTCCTGCTGTGGGGTTCTATATGTCTTGGAATCACATGCAGTTATTATATTAAGCAAGTCTCTAGAAATAGCTGCATGGTAATAGCATGAAGTTATGGGAAGATGTGGAACACACACAGACCTATATTCAAATTCTGATTCCACCAGCAGCCTGCTGTGTGGTCTTGGGCAAGTGTATGTCTCTATAAAATGAAGATAATGACAGCCCCTGCTTCAAAGGCTTTTATGAAATGATGAACATTACATGTCTAAGAGGGTCCCTGGCAATAGGAGGTGCTTAGTAACTGTAAGATCCCCTGTCTTTCAGTTCAGCAAGGATCAGTGAGCCCTTACTAACTAACCTATGTAGGGCACTTAACAATTCAGCTGGCAGAAGAGGATATCTCCGTGGGATATAAGTAGGCAGAATGTGGGTACCCAGCCCCTGACTATAATCAGTGGGTAGGAAAGGCAGAGCGGTGTGCGATGGGGTAGTCATAAGGCCTCCTGGAGGAGGTGGCTCTGAAGCTGGGCCTTGAGGGGAGAATTGGATTTGAATTCATATAACAGAAGGCATTCAGGAAAAGGGCAGAGCAAAGCAAAGGTGCAGGGGTGGGGTCAGGCCTGGAGCAGGGGCATTTAGAGGAAAGCATTAGAGGTCAAAGTTGTCAGCAGGTGAAGCCAGAGTGGGGAAGGGCTTGAGTACTGCGTGTTGGCCAGCACTGGCCTCTAAGGCAGCCAGATAGCAGAGGCCAGGGGACTGTCCTTTCCTGGGAAGCCAGCGAGGTCATCAGGTCAGAGATATGCTTCTCTGCAGGACATCATGGAGTTCTGGCTTTAAAAGAAGGAAGGTCTCAATGCTTGGAGATCTGGACCCCACTCCCCAAGGAGGGGAAGGAGAAACCCCGTGCCTTGTTGTGCACTGCCAGGGCTCCTCTGCTGAGAAACCAGTCACGAGAAATAGAAGTCCTGTGTTCTAGCCTGGGGGCCGGGACACTTGGGAGAAGCAAGTGTCCAGCCCTGAGAAGAAGAAGCCCAGCCCTGAGTCAGACCTCCCTAGCCCCCTGACTTTCTAGCTGAGAAACCCTTGGCTGAAGGAGGGGCCAGTTTTTTGGATTCCAGCCCCTATCCTCCCCTCCCACGTCTGGAACAGGCCCTCCCAAGAGCCTTCAACCAGTTTCCACTCCCTCCAGGACGACAAAGCCCCGAGAACCCTGCCTCTGAAGGGAGAGCCTGTGCCCCGTCCCCATCCCAGCTTGGGGGGCCCCGGCCTCCAGCTGGGGACATGGGCTTCAGGCTCTGGTCTTGTTTACTTGTGTGACTAGAGGTGACTTGTTTTCCTTCTAAGGGACCTCATTTCCGACCCTGTCCTTTCACACGGTGGGCAGGCTCATCCCTGCTCTATCCTTGCCCTGTTGGTGTAGAAATTTGTGTCCAGGCAGCTGTGAGCTCCAAGGAATGTGAGTTGTAGCTTAGAATTTCTCGGCATTCCCACCCTTCTGGAAGCTCCCCCGAGACGGTTGAGCTAGAGGGCAGACCGAGGCCCATGACCTCTGGCTCCACTCCCAGCCTCTAGTTTTCTCTGCCTCATTTTCCCCAATAGACAGGAAGACAATAAATCTCTCTCTGGAGCCCACACACCTGATCTGTAGCCCAGAGGAAAAATCCCCAACCACTGAACTCAGGGAGTCTTCTGGGGCCAGAGAGGGTGAGCCGGGGACCTGCAGTGTCCACAGAAATATCTCAACTACCAATGCCCTGGAGAAGCAAAGGCAGTGGCTGGGCTAATGGACCAATCTAGGAAGTCTTCCTGGATGAGGTCCTGGAGGTGTGAGCCACTCAGAGCATCCATATTGGACCACTGTGTCTAGTGTCTCCTTTTTTTTCAGCAAGTGGGAGTGGGGGATGGGGCTGAAGTCCCAGCTGGGATTACTGCCTGGGCTGTGAGGATACCTTGCCCACTTTTCCCCCTGTCTCCCAGAAGTGTGGTGAAACTATCCCCATGCCTCTGGACAGAGCAGAGATTTAGGGGCAGAAGAGGGTCTCAGCCCTGAATGCCCCAAGGTCATTCCTCTGAAGAACTGGAGCTTCCTTCAAAGGAGCAAGGCAAGGGTCTACTGGCCTCACTCTGGCCCAGGGCTTCAGGGAAGGGAGAAAAGATGCTGCTGGGCCACCATCCCAGAAGCTTGGCTTCCATTCCACACACCAGCTGCACTGTGTCTTGCCACGGGGTATTAAGAGGTCACTGCTGTTTACAATTCCCTACACATCTGTTCCGAGTCACGCATTCATTCATTTAATCAATCGTCATTCACCAAATATTTTTGAGAGCCCACTGTGTGCACAGAGCTGGGATGGGTTTTGAGAAAAAGTTCAACTGAAGATGAATCCTTGGGAAGCACCAATAGGTGAATGACGAATGACAGCCCTGAACATTAGGAAATGATTAAAGTGGCTGCAGTGAACTGCGTGGGGAGAGTCAGGGAAGGCGGCCTAGAGGAGGCGGATTTGGCCTCAAGCGGGGCCGGGGAGAAGAGAGGACTCTAATTCTACCTCCAAAACCAGCTCCTCCTGAAGCCTTCCCATTTTGCTTGATGGCAACTCCAATCTTAGAGCTGTCCAGGCCCAAATCCTTGGGGGACATTCTTGGTTCCTCTCTTTCCCACACACCCACATTTGGCCAATAGCAAATTCTAACAGCTTCAAAATATATGCAGAGCCTGACCACTTCTCACTACCACCACAGTCACCGCCCAGTTCCAAGCCACCATCATCTCTCACTTGGGTGACTGCAACTGCTTCTGCCCTTGAGCCCAGCAATTTGCTCCCCAAATAGCAGCCAAAGTGGCCTTTTCAAGAGGGAAGCCAGGTCATGTCACTCTCTGCTCCCAGCCTACCAAGGCTCCCATCTCACTGGAAGTAAAGCTTTGGGTTGCTTAAGAAGTCCCATGTTTTGGGTGCTCAAAAAGTCCCTGCTGATAGCTGGAATGACATGAGGGAATGACATGGTGGAGAAAAGGACAAAAAGAAGTGGGGAACAATGGCTAGAGGGCTTTCCACAAAGGCAGGGGTGTTGGCATCTGCTAGGCAGGTGATGAGGAGACCTTATGGTAGGCATCTAAGCAGAGAAAACGTATAGAAAATGCTTGTCACTGAGTTGGGCAGTGACAACTCCATGCTGGTCCAGAGTGAGTGGGCTAGGCTTGAAGAGCCATGTGGCTGGGTTCCCAGCCCTTGCTCTCCAGATCCTGACTGTGGTCCCAGAAATCAAGAAAAACCTCCCCTGCTCTGCCCTTAACCCTGGAGGAAGCCAAGTATGGGCTCATGTGCCCCCTTCTCCCTCCCGCAAATCTCCCCTTCTCCCAAGGTCACCTTCCTTCATTCCTTCCCTCCCTCCCTCCTTTCTTTCTCTTTTTCTTCCCTTCCTTCCTTTCTCTCTCTCTCTTTTTCTCTTTCTTCCCTTTATTCCCTTCCTTCTCTCTTTCTTTCTCTTCCTTCCTCCTTCCTTTCCTTCCTTCCCTTTTCTTTCTTTTTTTCCTTCCTCCCTCCCTCCCTCCTTCCTTCCCTTCCTCTTTCTTTCTTCCCTTTCTTCTCTCTTTCTTTCTTTCCTTCTTTTTCTTTCTCTCTCCCCTCCCTTCCTTCCTTCCTTCCTTCCCTCCTTTCTTCCTTTCTTCCTTCCCTCCTTTCTTCCTTTCTTTCTCGGAGTCTTGGTCTGTCGCCCAGGCTGGAGTGCAGTGGCGCGATCTCGGCTCACTGCAGGCTCCGCCTCCCGGGTTCACACCATTCTCCTGCCTCAGCCTCCCAAGTAGCTGGGACTACAGTCGCCCGCCACCACACCCAGCTAATTTTTTGTTTGTTTGTTTGTTTGTTTTAGTACAGACGGGGTTTCACCGTGTTAGCCAGAATGGTCTCAATCTCCTGACCTCGTGATTCACCCAAAGTGCTGGGATTACAGGTGTGAGCCACCGCACCCGGCCTCTTTCTTTCTTTTTTTCTTTCTTTCTTTCTTTCTTTCTTTCTTTTTTCCCTTTCTTCCCTTCCTTCTCTTTCTTTCTTCCTTCCTCCTTTCCTTCCACCTTCCTTCCCTTTCCTTTTCCTTCCTTCCTTCCTCCCTCGCTCCTTCCTTCCCTTCCTTCCCTCCCTCTCTTTCTTCCCTTTCTTCTCTCTCTTTCTTTCTTTCTTTCTTCCCTTCCTTCCTTTCTTCCCTCCCTCCCTCCTTCTTTTCTTTTCTTTTCTCTTCTCTTTTCTTTTCTTTCTCGGAGTCTTGCTCTGTCGCCCAGGCTGGAGTGCAGTGGCGCCATCTCGGCTCACTGCAGGCTCCACCTCCCGGATTCACGCCATTCTCCTGCCTCAGCCTCCCAAGTAGCTGGGACTACAGGCGCCCACCACCACACCTAGCTAATTTTTTGTTTGTTTGTTTTAGTAGAGAAGGGGTTTCACCGTGTTAGCCAGGATGGTCTCAATCTCCTGACCTCGTGATCCGTCCGCCTTGGCCTCCCAAAGTGCTGGGATTACAGGTGTGAGCCACCGTGCCTGGCCTCTTTCTCTCTTTCTTTCTTTTTCTCTTTCTTTCTTTCTTTCTTCCTTCCTTCCTTCTTTCCCTTCCTTCCTTCCTCTCTCTCTTTCTTCCCTTTCTTCCCTTCCTTCTCTTTCTTCCTTCCTTCCTCCTTCCTTCCCTTCCTTCTCTTCCCTTTTCTTTCTTTCTTTCCTTCCTTCCTCCCTCCTTCCTTCCCTCCCTCTCTTTCTTTCTTTCTTCCCTTCCTTCTCTTTCTTTTTCTTTCTTTCTTTCTTCCCTTCCCTCTCTTCTTTCTTTCTTTCTTCCCTCTCTTCTTTCTTTCTTTCTTTTTCCTCTCCCTTTCTCCTCTCCCTTCCCTTCCCTTCCCTCCTTCCTTCTTTCTCTTT
The DNA here is from genome assembly GCF_000001405.40 of Homo sapiens. Classification (NCBI taxonomy): domain Eukaryota; kingdom Metazoa; phylum Chordata; class Mammalia; order Primates; family Hominidae; genus Homo; species Homo sapiens. The sequence goes on from NC_000001.11 coordinate 201,643,437, forward strand.
TTTTTCTTTTTTTTTGAGACAGGGTCTCACTCTGTGGCACAGTAGTGCAACCTCAGCTCACCACAACCTCCGCCTCCCAGGCTTAAGTGATTCTCCTCCCAAGTAGCTGGAATTACAGACATGTGCCACTATCGCCCAGCTAATTTTTGTATTTTTAATAGGAACAGGGTTCCACCATGTTGGCCAGGCTAGTCTCGAACTCCTGACCTCAAATGATCCACTTGCCTCAGCCTCCCAAAGTGCTGGGATTACAGGCATGAGCCACCAAGCCAGGCCCCAAGGTCACCTTTCAAGGTCAATGAGCTGGGGACAGCCTTCCCACCCTCTCCTCTCTTTGGCTCTCCCTGACCCCCAGTTCTCCTAACACAGTCCCAACTGACAGATTCCCCAGACCCCCCACAGACACCTGGGTTACATCCGTTTCTAATCACAGGGGTGTGAGAATGTGATATCACACAGCATGCGTCTCCTTGGCTGTATGCCTACATCTTCATTCCTCAAATTGCTTTAAGTTATCTGTCAACAGATGTAGTCAAATCACTCATCCTATCGCCATTCCAGAAACTACCAATGACTTTGGAAAGAGGAGTGGGATGATGAGCTGGTCTTTGGGGCGCTGAGGATTGGGGACTTTCATGTTCCAAACCAGCCTCTTTCTGCACCTCCCCTTTAGAAACTTGGTTACTGACTTCACCAGCACCCACTGCCTGCCCAGCCAGGCCTCTCCCTCATCACATAACCTCTTCATTGATCATTGATGGTAGAATCTCTCTTCAGAGGACAATTTGAAGCCTGTCATTCTAGAGAAGGGGTAAATGGCCGAGTGGGAGGGGCTCAGGGCTGGGTTTGGAGATAATGTGACAGGGCAGGTCCTTCTCTTTTTAGGAATCACTCGAGGAACCATTCTGCACATACTGGTTTTATCAACTGATGCTGGAATGGCTGTTGCCACAGCAGCAGAGTGCTCCCACTGCAGTAGAGGATAGTGGGAAACTCATGGGATGTGAAAAGAATCAAAAAAGAGCCAGATAGAGGGAGAGGTCACATTAGGGAGTGTCAGAAACTTCCTGGATGCCAAGATGGCTATTTAAAGGGACCACCACCTGGCCATAGCAAGACCCTTTAAAGAATGACAGTGCACAGAGACTGGCACTCAAGGGGATTGGCACTGAATTAACCCATGAGATGTGCATAGAAGGTGTCTTCCATTTTATAAACTGACAGGTGACATTTCATGCAGGACAGAGTGTGGAGCACTAGGTTTAGGTGGTAGGGAGGAGGCTTCTCTTATTGACAACACTTTTTTCTCTTCTCAAAAGAAGCAGAATTTCAGGAGCCATTTATTGAAGGAAGGGAAAGGACTTGGGATTTGGGGAATAGGATATCCCATGAGAGCATGAGACAAGGTACAGAGGAACAAAGAGGAATAAAGACAGGGGAAGGGACCAGGCCAAAACACCAGATCAAATGAGACAGCAAGATAACCAGGAAGGCAGGAAGGAAGATCTGGCCCTGGGGAGGGGGCATAAGGTGACAAGCAAATGCAAGTGGACAGAGCAACAAATGGAATCATGTTTCGCAGCAGTTCTAAAGAATTTGAGAGCCCATTACTGGGTATATACCCAAAGGATTATAAATCATGCTGCTATAAAGACACATGCACACGTATGTTTATAGCGGCACTATTCACAATAGCAAAGACTTGGAACCAACCTAAATGTCCAACAACGATAGACTGGATCAAGAAGATGTGGCACATATACACCATGGAATACTATGCAGCCATAAAAAATGATGAGTTCATGTCCTTTGTAGGGACATGGATGAAACTGGAAACCATCATTCTCAGCAAACTATCGCAAGGACAAAAAACCAAACACCGCATGTTCTCACTCACAGGTGGGAATTGAACAATGAGAACACATGGACACAGGAAGGGGAACATCACACACTGGGGACTGTTGTGGGGTGGGGGGAGGGGGGAGGGATAGCATTAGGAGATATACCTAATGCTAAATGACCAGTTAATGGGTGCAGCACACCAACATGGCACATGTATATGTATGTAACAAACCTGCACCTTGTGCACATGTACCCTAAAACTTAAATTATAATAATAATAAAATAAAATAAAATAAAAGGATTTGAGAGGGACTAACCTACAGACATGGGTGTCAGAGATGAGGGACCAAATTAAACCATGGGAGAGGGCACCAGGTTTTGCTCACAGCAGAATACACTGGGTGGAATGTGTCACAGTGAAAATAAGCTTTCTCAGCCAGGATGGTAGCCAGTGAATTTCCCTTTGTCTGCTAAGGAGAAGATGAATTTACATGCAGAAAGAGGATATAGAGACAGCAAGTAAGAGCAACTGTAACCTGGTAAGTCAGAGAATAGGTGTTGTCGGATTCTCAAATTGCTATTTTTAGGAAAGGTGTGGTTCTCATGTGATTGAATTAGGGGCATCTTGTATAAATTAGAGAATGACCAATGAGTAAGGATGAGGACTGTAGAAGTGATGGCTTGTGACTTCATTACAAGTACCCTGAAGGATGGGGTAGGAAGAGCATGGTCATGCTTACTCAAAGATTTGGCACCAAAGATGGGGCTTGATCCCTTGCTTGAGCTGGGACCTCATGTTTGGACATAAGCATGGGTACTTCGTGTGTGCCCAGAAAAGAAAGTCCCATGATTGGCCTCATCCTTTGGGCACTCTCTGTGCCTTGGCCAAGTTCTGGCATGATACCACTCACATTCCTTTAACCAGTTCTTCACTGCTTGTCATTTCCTATCTGGAACCACGAACCCTAGTTCCACCCCTGAGTTTCCTAATGCTCGACATAAGCCTCTGAAGCCAATCTGCATTGTGCATTGCAGATGGTACAGAATCCTCTTGTAAACCTGTCCTCCACTCCTCTTGTTATTCTTATAATTGGAATATATACACCCATGTCCGTCTACCTGAGATGAATGTGTTGATGTGTGTGACATTGCTTTTTTCACAGGGACAGGATTATTATTTTCCCAAGTCTTGTATTGTCTACCTTGTATTCCCTGCCAGACAGGAAATACAAGAGTCCAGAGTTCCTCAAGGACAGAATCGCCACCTTTTTTTCTATGTCTCCAAGACAGCCAAGAGTCCATGCTTCTTACCAAACACTTCTCTGCTTGAGAACTCTATATTCTCGTGCCACTTATCCTTTCTGCTATGATCCCTGTCACGGCAGATTTTATGGCATCTCAATCTGGAAGGCAGAGAGTCCTGAGATAACACCAGAACCCAAGAGTCATGCAGGGTACAAACCCAGCGTACAGTGCTCAGGCCTCCAAATCCATTTAACCAACAGAGTTGCAACACCTGCTCCATGCAAGGTGCTGAGTGACACAGTTCTACACCCGGAGAGATCCTGCGCTGGCGGGGGAGACAGATAGAGACACAAATACATTTCACACCAGGCAGCAGGTGATGATTAGTGTTAGGAGAGTGTGTGAACCATGAGACTCACACACAGCGTTCTTCAGATTCTAGGAGAAAGGGAGGAAAGGAGCTAGAGAGATGGAGGTTGGGTTTGGGGTGGGGAGATAATCTGATGGTTAGACATTCTGGCAAAAAGTTCTTAGGGCTTTATAATCCCTAGAGTGTGGCTCCACCTGGGCCTACCCCTCCTGGAGCAAGCTTTGCTTTCAGAGAATTCCCCTCCACTTTCTCCTGAGAGCCTTTTGCTCAGGCAACCTGGCTGTGACTTGGGAGGCCATTTGAGGATGGGCAGTGTCCCCTCTACTGAGGTACAGTCCTAGGCAAACTGCAGACTACTCCATCTGGCTCTTGTTCCCCCTCCACCTCATCCCTGTCCCCTGGGTCCAGTTAGGAGGAAAGGAAGAAGGGCTTGGGAAACATCTTTTAAAAGCACTCTGCTGCTCTGCTTAACTCTGGCAGGCAAGGGACCCAGTGCAAAGCCTCCTCTTGATTCCCTAGGTTTGACACAGGCCTTTACAGTTCCAAAGCCCTTCTACCTGTGAAGCTGGTATTATAACCACTATAAAAGAAAACAGAACCAGAGGGGTTCAATGACTTTGACAAGGTCACATTGCTAATTGGAATAGAAACCCAGTTTCCTGATCTCAAGAGTTACTCCTTCCCCTACAAAGCCCTCAGCCCCCTCCCCAGTCAACGCTAGGCCCCTTCTCTCCAAGCCACCCGTGTCCTACCCCCATCCCCTACCTCCTGGGCTCAGGAGGGCAACCTTGAGCCTCAGAGACTGAAGTAGGGCGGGACTGGGAGTTTCCTGGGGGAAAACCAAAGACGGTTTGGGGTTGGGGGAGGGGAATGAGCACCCTGGATACCATTCCTCCACCCCTCTCCCGACATCTCTCTCAGGCCCACGGGCCCACTTTCCCTCCCGCATTCTGAGCCGCCCTCCCTCCGTCTCTTTTACCTGCACCTCCACACCTCCTCAACAGATCTTTATCCTGGACACGGCAGGGGGTCCCCGTGCCCTCCGAGAATCCAAGAACCCGCCCCGCTTCTACGCGGAAAGCTGGGAGAAAAACTGCTTTTCCTTTATTTCCCCCTACCCCCCACTCATCCGCCCCTGGAGCTCCGCTCGCAGATACCTCCCCCTCCCGAGCCAGAAATAGACACACTATCTCTCCCCCACCTCCCTCCCCGTGCGCACACTCGCTCCCCTCCTCCTGTTTGCTCCCCGCCTTCCCCTTCCCTCCTTCCTCTGCTCGGAGCTGCAGCCTGCAGCCTCGACTCGGGCTGGCTGGCTGGCTGAGTGCGGCCGGGGCGCTGCCCGGCAGTGCGGTGTCCACGGGACTGACAGGCAGGCAGGCCGCGGGCTGGGATCCGGACACCAAAGCAAAAGCACCGCTGGGCGCCGGAGGAGCCGCGGGGCTTCCATCCTTCCTTTGACTGATTTTTAAATTTTAATTTGTATTTTCCCCGCCGCCCCGCCCCTTTTCCTCCGACCCCGCCCTATCGCTCCCCGGCTTCCCTGCTCTTTCCTTTTTCCCGGCTTCCTTCCTCGCGTTTCTTTCCCCTGCGCCCTCGGCTTGCCTCTCTCCCTCCTCCCTCGCTCTCTCCCCCTTCTCTCCCCTTCTTCCTCGGTTTCTTCCGTCCTCTCTCTCCCCCTCCTCCTCCCCCGCCTCCTCCTCCTGCGCTCCCGCCCCCTGCCCCCTCCCCCCGTGCCTGCAGACGCGCGGATCGTCCATGCGCTCCTCGCGGGCAGAATGCTGGGCAGCAGCGTCAAGAGCGTGCAGCCCGAGGTGGAGCTGAGCAGCGGCGGCGGCGACGAGGGCGCGGACGAACCGCGGGGCGCCGGCAGGAAGGCGGCAGCGGCGGACGGCAGAGGCATGCTGCCCAAGCGCGCCAAGGCGCCCGGCGGCGGCGGCGGCATGGCCAAGGCCAGCGCGGCTGAGCTGAAGGTCTTCAAGTCCGGCAGCGTGGACAGCCGTGTCCCCGGCGGGCCGCCCGCCTCCAACCTGCGCAAGCAGAAGTCACTCACCAACCTCTCTTTTCTCACGGACTCCGAGAAAAAGCTGCAGCTTTATGAGCCCGAATGGAGCGACGATATGGCCAAGGCGCCCAAAGGCTTAGGCAAGGTGGGGTCCAAGGGCCGTGAAGCTCCGCTGATGTCCAAGACGCTGTCCAAGTCGGAGCACTCGCTCTTCCAGGCCAAGGGCAGCCCGGCGGGCGGCGCCAAGACCCCCCTGGCTCCGCTCGCGCCCAACCTGGGAAAGCCGAGCCGGATCCCTCGAGGACCCTATGCGGAGGTCAAGCCGCTCAGCAAGGCGCCTGAAGCGGCCGTGAGCGAAGATGGCAAATCGGACGACGAGCTGCTCTCCAGCAAGGCCAAGGCGCAAAAGAGCTCTGGGCCTGTCCCCTCTGCCAAGGGCCAGGAGGAGCGCGCCTTCCTCAAGGTGGACCCCGAGCTGGTGGTGACCGTGCTGGGAGACCTGGAGCAGCTGCTCTTCAGCCAGATGCTGGGTAAGTCCTGCCGCCCCGCCCCGCCCCGCCCCTGGCTTTCTCCTAACCAGCTGCTGGGGAAGGTGTGGGGAAAGCGAAGCCCCCTCCCCTTGCGCCTTCCCGGAGGGCCCTCCTGTTCACGATCAGGCTGTGATGGGCATTGCGCCCAGATGTGCTGAGCTGGCCCACCTCCAGATGCGCATGGCTCAAGTGTACCTTCTTAAAGACATTACAGGCGGGAACCCGGGCTCGACTCTGGCCTGCCCGAGGTGAGGCTGGACAATGGGATGGGGGGTGAGGGGGTTACAGGCTCTCAGAAATAGAGCCAGAATCCCAATATGGCAAAACCTGGGACTGGTGGAAACCTCCGTTGTGGTGTGGCCTGCGCTTGACAGGAGCATCCCGCATTGCAAGGGGAGCGTCCAGCGAGAGCCCGGATCTAGAGGACAGATGTGGGAGAGCAGATGTGAGGGCTGATTGGCCCCGGAACACAGCTGAGGCTCCACTTCCTCTGTGGATCCCGAGTGGGAGCGCAAGTCGGATTTCCCCGCGGTGTGAGGATTCTGGCTAAAAGAAGCGTCTAGGGCCGGGGGCGGGCGGGCTGCCAGCTGTGCGCATCTGGGCGCATGTCCGATACCTCAGCCCCGGCTCTGGCCCCAACCCCTACACCCGCAGGTCTTTTAGGGCGTGTCGAAAGCTCTGGGCGTTAGCGCCGAGACTCCTGTTTGACCGGGAAGCCTTTGCCCTGTGGCTAATGGAAGCCGAGCAGGCGGGAAGGGAGGAACAAAGCTTGCTCGAGTGGAGGAAGCGCGCAGAGCTGTTCCATTGTTCTCCGTGCCTGAAGAGTCTATGCAAAAAAACCCGAAGCGGGCCCCGGAACTGCTCTTTCTCTCCCCGGAGAGCCCCTGCCCTCAGAGAGGAATAGATCTGGGATGTGCCGGACGCCAGGCGGCCATGCCTCGGGAACTGGCACGGGCCCTCTTGGGGCCACGGAACAAGGACGGTGGGGCCTGGTGCCCAGGCGAGCTGCTTTGGCTGCGCGGACTTGTTGCGGTGGCTGGGTTGTGGGTCCTCCGGCGCCGAGGGACCCGAGCTTCCTGGGTACCCGGCAGGCTGCCCGCCCGCTGGGGGCTGGGAAGGGGCGTGCCAATGCGCGTGTGAAAGGGCGGGGCCGAGTGACGGGCTTGGCGGGTGGGGAACATGCAAGAGCTCGCCGGGCGGCCCTGGAGAATGCGAAGCCGGAGGAGACCGGTTCGGCCTGCTGCAGTCTTCCTAGGAACCCTCGACTCCTGTGTGGGCTAGGATGAGGGTCCTCTGACAGGGGCAAGGATTTGGGCCTTTGGAGAACCGATCCTTACGCAGGAGGCCGCAAATGGGCTTTGCAGGGGCAATCAGGAGACTGGACAAGGGCAAAAGAAGAGCAGCCTTTTCCCCTGGGAGCCCCTCCTGAAGGTGGGGATGGCTGGGTGGGTGCGGAAGCTGACCAGGCAGCCTCACTCTGCAAAGGGAATGTGCCACCCGGTCCTCAGTGTGGGGCTGAGCCTGTCAAAGGCCCTGCCTCAGTGAATGGGGCAAGAGAGACAATAAGGGAAAAAATTAATAAATTTTTGGCAGGCACCATGGCAGGCACCAAGGAGGGATATGGACAAAATGCAACTGGCCCATGTGATAGAGAGCCCTGCTGAGGGACTGAAAGCAGGGTGAGAGAGGAAGGGACCGTGTGTGTGTGTGTGTGTGTGTGTGTGTGTGTGTGTGTCAGACTGAGAGAGGGACTTGGCGAGGGAGGGCAAGGGAGTATCGGGGCACAGAATAGCAGAAGGCACAGAACCCTTTTCAGGGTCAAGGCTTTACTTGTTGGGGATAACTTAGCTGGTCTGGGTCCTCTCCAGACCTGGATGCCCTCACACTGTCCCAGAAGCTGACTGCCCATTGAAGCCCTCTTAGTTGCTCCTCAAGAGGAGCCAAACAGGTCTGAGCTGGCTAGGGAGATGGGAGGAGGGGCAGGAGTGGGGAGGAGGGCAGGTGCAGGGAGGGCGAGAGAGGAGGAGAAGCTGAGCTGTGGTCCCTTATTCCTGCTTAGCAGTTGTCACTTCTCAAAGCACACTGACACTTTCAGTAACCTCGGAAGTGAGGAGAGAACACCTCCACTTCCCAGTTGGGGAAATGCAGAGTCAAAAGCATTGAGGGCCTTAAAGGCATCTATGAGTTCATGGTGGAAGGGAGATTCCACATTGATCTCCTGAGGACTAAGTCGCAGCTCTTCCTAGGAGACCTGATTGAGAGAGGAAGAGTCAGCAGGCAGAGGGACCTGCCCAAGGCTATGTCTACTGGGTATGGGCCACCAGAACTGCCTCGATGACCCTACAGAGGGCTGAGGGGCTTAGCTCTCTGGGGTGGGGAGAGAAGGGTGGAAACTCCCAAATCTGCCTGTCTCCAGCTGAGAGGACCCAAAGTTGGGGGGTGGGGAGTTGGTTCAGGCTGTAGCAAGGCAGAGCCTGGTGTCAAACAGTGGTAGGGAGGAAAGGAGGGGAGTTGGTGACCTCCAAACTAAGCTTTTCCCTGTGTGAAGGGCAGAGGGTAGACTGCCTGGGGGAGGGGTAGAGGGAGAGGAACTACAGAGGGAATTCGTCTTCCAGAGCCAATGATGGTGGTGTTCAGGTATCAGACAGGCCCTCAGTGTACAGCAGGGTGGCCTCTGGGGAGAAGAATGGTGACTTGATGTTTCAGGATTGTGATTGAAGACACTGGGCATTTGTCCCCACCTCAGTGGGGCTCAGTGTCCAGTTATGTTCACTCCATAGTACCATCCTAGATCCAAGAGGCTGCCAAGAATCAATTTCTGAGGCGGAGGGAGGGGGTGGGAGTGAGGCAGCTTCAAGTCAGAGCCTTTCTGTAATAAGAGGGAAGGACTGAAACCTGATCATCCCCTTCCCAGAAATCAGCTGGGGTCCCAGATGGTCTAGGCAGGCTCCCTGTCCCTTCGCTAACCTTGGAAGCTGCCAAATAACTAGGGCCCCACTGGGGAACCCTAGCAACTTGGAAGACTGAGGAGTGAGTACCGAGGGCAAATGGGCTAATTCCAGGAATTAGATGCCTCTGGACCCTGGCCCGATACTCACATCAGGCAGTTTGGCTCCGGAAGAAAGGCCACAAGGCCCTTGGCCTGGGTCTGGGGGCTAAGCTGGAGGCTGCATTCCTGAGTTCTCTGTGTAGAAGTCCTAAGCTCTGTGACCCCCTCTGGGACTCAGTTTCCTCATTTGTGAATGGAAGAGACCCTCCCATGGCTCATCCTTACCCCCTAGGGATGGGAAGGGGGTGTAGATTAAGGTGATCAGACCTGGAAAATGTTCCAAGTGGCTTAAAGAGAGCCTGTATTAATACAGCGCAATAGAATACAGATGCACCTCAATTTATGATGGGGTTATGTCCCGTTAAGACCATTGTAAGTTGAAAATATTGTAAGTCAAAAATGCATTGAATACACCTCACGTACCGAACGTCACAGCTCAGCCTAGCCTACCTTAAACGTGCTCAGAACACTTATATTCACCTACAGTTAAGCAAAATCATCTAATATAAAGCCTATTTCATAATAAAGTTGCATATTTCATGGAATTTATTGAATACTATACTAAAAGTGAAAAACAGAATGGTTGTATGGGTACTAGAAGTATAGTTTCTACCAAATGTATTACTTTCATGTGATCATAATGCCAAAAAAGCAGAAGCCGAACAATCACAAGTCGGGGACTGTCTGTACTATAGTAACACCCCAAATCTTCCTACCTCATCTTCCCTGGACCTGAGGATCTCAAAGCAAAACTAGTCTTTTGACACTCCAGGTGTTCATGTTCCTTCCTTCTGTCCTCCAGGAAAAGGGGGCAAAGTGAGACAGCTAAGACTGCCCAAGGTCAGGGAGTAAAAGAACCCAGGAACCTGGACTTCCTAGTCCCTCTTCATCTCAAAGGTGTCTGGACCCACACAAGCGGTTGTCATGACAACAGTTAGGCCTTCTGAAGTGCAGGCCAAGTAGAAATGAGGAAGAAAGGCAGGAAGCTATTCATTTCTAAGCCAGTTGATTGATGTGAATTTTTTGGGGGGGAGGGGCAGTGCAAGGGGGTCGCTCCAGTGAATGTGCTCTGGGATACTTTGAGTAGCAGGAGAAAGAAATGTGTTCACAAATACTTCGTTTTCCTTTTTATTCAGTGCATTGTGGGGCTGGGGTGGGTAGAGAATTCTCCAAAGAACTGCCACCCAGAACAGATAGGTGATATGTGGAAACTTATCCAGCACCCTCAGATTCCCTGAGGCCTAGCAGGAGAGTGAGGACAAAGCTCACTCCTGCCCTTCCTCTGGGCAGCAGCAGTAGTGATGGAGGATGCTTGTGGAATCACAGGCAGGAGGAAGGGCTGTGGCAAGGTGCAGCAGCCTGCAGGTTTGTGTGTATGTGTGTAGAGAAGGCACTGGCACAAAACCTTGGAGCTGTGAGGCCTCCTGCCTTCCTCCAGGTTGGTACCAATAATATTTCTTTTCTCACCGTGTCCAGAAAGTTTTCTTCCAAGGCTAGGCTTGGGCCCCCACCCAGGTCATGTTCCTCTCCTTTGGGCATTGCCTTGTTCTGACTGCTGCAGTCAAAAGCTGTTGGCTTTGACTCACAGCCCATGGCTCTGCCTCTGAGAGTACCGCATGGATGAATAAGTAGGTCCTAGGGGCAGTTCCTCTGCCCTGGGGAGAAGGTACAGATGGAGGAGAAGTACCCAGAGCTACTCTGGCTCCCTGAACCTTAAGCCAACCCAGGGAGATACCCTTTACCATCCATCACTGATGGCTCTAACCCCAGGCCACAGGCCCCTTCTAGACCTGCATTGAATGGGTAGCAGGACCAAGTCACCTGGAGTCCTGGGATGTTTCCTGACACTTTCTTCTTGTTTCACCCCTTCCCACTTTCTCTGCCCAATTTGATACTGTGGCTGCAAATGCCCACCCCCTACCTCCCACCCCCTACCACCCACCCCCATCACAAGCTGCCAACACCAGATCCTTCCCCTTCTGCTGACCTCCAATCTTGCCTTTCTCTGCAGCTATCCTTCCACACACATATACCGCACCTCACAGCCTCTGACCCTGAGGGTGAAGGTGCAAGCTGCTCCACGTGGTGCAAGGGAGAGCCAGTGCTGTATGGAGCAGGCTGAGCAGAGCCCTCAGGGTCCATAACTGCAGCTTAGCCACCTCTGCAGCACACTGCAATGTCTTCCTGGATAGCCAAGTCCCTTTCTCTCTGCAGAGCGCTCCATCTCCCTCACCCTTCCCTGAGATTTCATAGAATCCTAGAATGGAAATTGTCTAGTTGAGCCACTACCTCAAGCCAAAATTAATCCCACTATAGCATCATAGGCAGGTGGGTGTTCTGTTTACACTCTCCTAGTGACAGAGGGCTCACTACCTTATTTTCCAGGAAAGCACTCATTATTAGATAGATATTTCTTCTGTTGAGCTTTGATTCTGTCTTCTGAGAATTTCTACCCGTGGGTCTGAATTTGCTCTCTGGATGCTTACAGATGAAGCTAGCCTGCGTTTCCCAGGATCCCCTTTCTTATATTTGGGGTCAGACACCTATCTATGCTCCATTCGTCTTTTCTGCTTTTGCCTCTTCCTTCCATTTTTCTTCCATTTCTCTTCTTTTGGAACAAGACCTGATAGGAGATGTCTGACCTGTTCACCCTGACTCACGGGCCCAGTGGAGTCCAGCTCTCCACCTGGACCCCACTGTCTGCATCTCAGAGTGGCTCCCTACCGGGGACCCACAGCACCTGGCTGGTCTTTCTCCTGGCCCAACCAGGAAGCTCTCCTCCCCAAAGCCCAAAGCCCAAAGCCCAAAGCCTTCTCCCTCTGCCTGGAAAGCCTGAGCCAGCCAACAAGGGGAAATGGACGCCACATGTTTCTCATTTGCGCTGGCTGACCTCCCCCCACACCCTGTTTGGATTACCCAGATGTGTTTGATGTCCCAGAGCCTGCGGCCTTTTCTCTCATGCACAGGAAGGGCCGGGTGGGGAGGTAGGGGGGGCCAGGCCCAGCTCACTGGCCCTGCGTGGGCAGGTTCCCTCCTATAGGAGGCAGACATCACCTCCCACACCTTCCCCCACACTGCTGCTTCTGGGGACTGGGCCTCCTGAAGGAAGCAGGACACCAGCGCCTTCAGGGTTCAGCTCCCCCTTGTTCAATGAAGGCAGGTCTTTGCTTCCTTCTGACCCACAGAGATCGGGGGCAGACTGGGAAGATGCCCCAGGAACTGTTTTGATCTCCCATCTGGAGGCTGAGGGAGGAGCAGAGTTGCACTTAAGGTGTGTCTGGCATGGCTGTCCAGTGTGGGCACAGCAGCGTGTGCCTGGGATAAGCAGGGTGACCCGCTTTTCACCATGGTGCTTTGCACCTTCTATAAGCACCTTTTTTTTTTCTCAGACTTGATGCCTTTGGAATGTGGAGGGGTGTGTTGCATAGGTGGGAAGCTCCCATTAGGGGAGAATGAGGACCCATTGGGAGTTTCCAGATTGCTCCAGCCCATTCTGGTGCTGAGGTAGAGATGGGAGGGCATGGAGAGCAGCCCATCTCCAGGTTCACCCCCTAAGAGCTTTGGCTCCAGCAGGCCCCAGGCTCTCCCTGCCAGCGCTGTTGTATGTTGCGTGTTTGACACACACTTCTCCAACTCAGCTCCAGCCAAACCTCAGCAAGGCAGCCAGGGCTCGGCAGGGTCTGGGCCTTGGCCTGAGCCATCCTGGAATCTATTTTAGACATCTCAATGATACATTTCAGGGCCACTGGAGTGGGTGGTTTCTCCACAGCATCTTCTAATTTCTGGGCGACAGCTTTCACTCTGGGCTTCTCAGGGTGCTTTCTCCTGTGAGTTAGAGGTGTGGAAAGCAGGGACAAGTGCAGTCCCAAGCCCCAGTATGCTGTGTGTGTTCCCAGCGTTGGTTCTTATGGAATCTCAGAGTTGTGGTCAAGGTTATCCAGTTGAGGTGTTGCTGTTGGGTGTGGTCTGGTCTGAAAGGTTGAATGTTATAAGCTCCAGGTGTTTCCATGGAGAGCTGGGCTCATAAACTACGACCTTGGGCTGAGCAGGAAGATAGCGAATGTTGAGAAAGCAAGACTGAGGCAAGTATGACGAGAGCTATTGGGTTAATAGGTTGTATGGCACATGGCACAAACCCCTAGAACTCGGGTGAGGTTGGGTGTCAGGGTGTGAAGACTAAGTGTGCAGTGAATGGCATGTGTTCACATGGATCAGTGCATGTAAACAAACTCACCGGCTTGCAGCACATATGCACATACTGAAGGGACATTTGCGTGCATGTATATGTAACAGCTGGGCAGGTTTAAAAGAGTCTGAAATATGACCCTGGTGGAACAGCTTCCCCCAAACAGACCCCTAGGCAGAGCCCGCTGGGGTTTGGACTCCTTGGCTTCTTTCCCAGAAAAGCACTGTAAGTGCTGGTTACTCCTCAGACTCTGAGGACACAGGCCCCTTTGCCCTTGGTGACCCACTAACCAGGCCCCTCCCTTTTGGGGAAGCTGGCAGCCACCCAGCAGGCCCTGCCTTCTCTCTGTAGGATCCCTAAACTGTCATGGGGTCTAGGATTCCAACATCCCCAGACTGAGGCTGCTTCCTAGGAGCTCCTGGGACCTGATTATCCCAAGGGGGAAATGAAAAGCTCAAGAATCAAAAGAATCAGTAATCTAATGGTTATCAATAACATGTATCAATCACTTGGTAAGTGAAAGTCATTGTTCTTGTTCCTCAAGCCAAAATTAATCCCACTATAGCATCATAGGCAGGTGGGTGTTCTGTTTACACTCTCCTAGTGACAGAGGGCTCACTACCTTATTTTCCAGGAAAGCACTCATTATTAGAAAGATATTTCTTCTGTTGAGCTTTGATTCTGTCTTCTGAGAATTTCTACCCATGAGTCTGAATTTGCTCTCTGGATGCTTACAGATGAAGCTAGCCTGCATTTCCCAGGATCCCCTTTCTTATATTTGGGGTCAGACACCTATCTATGCTCCATTCGTCTTTCTGCTTTTGCTTCTTCCTTCCATTTTTCTTCCATTTCTCTTCTTTGGAACAAGACCTGATAGGAGATGTCTGACCTGTTCACCCTGACTCACGGGCCCAGTGGAGTCCAGCTCTCCACCTGGACCTCACTGTCTGCATCTCAGAGTGGCTCCCTGCCGGGGACCCACGGCACCTGGCGGGGCTTTCTCCTGGCCCATCACTTAATACTCACAATAATTCTATGATCCTGGCACTTACAAGTGAGGAAACTGAGGCACTGAAATACAGGTAATCTGGCCAGGGAAAGTGGTTCACACCTGTAATCCCAGCACTTTGGGAGGCCGAGGCAGGTGGATCACTTGAGCTCAGGAGTTTGAGACCAGCTTGGGCATCATTGCAAAACCCTGTCTCTACTAAAAATACAAAAAATTAGCCAGGAGTGGTGGCTCACACCTGTAGTCCCAGCTACTTGGGAGGCTGAGGTGGAAGGATCACTTGAGCCCGGGAGGTGGAGGTTGCAGTGATCTGAGATCACGCCACTGCACTCCAGCCTGGGTAATAGATCAAGACCCTGTGTGAATACAGGTAATCTGCCCAAAGCCAGTAAAGCAAGCGAGCAACAGAGCTAGGATTTAAACTTAACCCCTATGGTAACCTGCCTCCAGGAGCCTCAAGACTCCCTCAAACATTGAGTCTGATTCCATTTAATTCAGGAGCAACTTGTCAAGAAGTTAGTGTCGGCAGAGCACTGTGCTTCCTGAGACTGAAGTTCTGGGCCCTGCTTACTAGGTTCTGAAAGGCTGGATGAGGAGATAGAAGTGTCCAGGCTCATTCCAGTACAAGCAGAATGCAGCATGCTGCGAAGAAGCCAGAAAGGGCAACTGAGGGCTCGGCCAGCTGGAATTGGCATCAGTGCATAGGGTGTGTGGGGGCACATGTGAGATGGTGGGGAGGGGACATGCTACAGAAGTGATGTGAGTTTTGATAGAAGGGTGAGATTCTGGCAGTAGAGGTAAAAAAAACTAGAAAAGGAAGGGAGGAGGAACTGTGGGCTTAATGGCAGGTAGTGATGAGTCCTGTCTGGCTTAGAGAGATGGAAAAGGTGGTGAAAGAGGAGATGAGATCAGAAAAACAGGTTGGGGTGGGATCATGGCTGATCCGACATGGAGTGCACTGGGACTCAACTGTAGGCTCTGAGCAGATATTTGAGTGGAAGAGACCAATCAAAGTTCGTCCCCAAAGGATCCCCAAAAGAGTCCTGTGCCCGCTGGTCCTTGGAGATGTTGCTGATCGATGAGATCAGCCAGCCAGGGCCTCTCAAGTTTCACATCTGTCTGCTCCAGGGAAGATTATTCTTGCAGCCTATGCAGTGCCCACATGGGATGGATGGAGGGAGAGGACTCCTTCAGCCTCCATGCCCAGAGGTTGGCCCTCTGAGAGGGTAGGGGCACCCCTTATCCTAACTCTTAGCCTAAACTCAAGTCTTCATCTTCCTCTGTTCCTTTGGTATGCCACCAGGCTGTTCCAGTTGCCATGCCCTGGGAATTGATTAGGCCCTACTGTGTGAGGTGCAGTGCTCTGCCCTGACCAAGAGTTGTTCCTCCACTGCCCCAGCCCTGGGAAGTGCTCTGCTGAAAACAGTCCCACAACCCACAGCAAAGCTTGAACCAGACTACCTATAGCAGAACCAAGACATTAAACCAATTTGGGACTAGACAGGGGAGCTTTTCAACTGCACGCTATTCAGTGGCAGGCATAAGTGGTGTGGTGCCACGTACTAGCTCTAGCTTTATTGTTTGATCCAAGAAGCCTTCCTGAAGGAGCCGGAAGTTGGGGAGGAATTTAAAGGAGTTTTAAAGGAATATTTATAGGAATCAGAGGCTGAGCACAGTGGCTCACACCTGTAATCCCAGCACTTTGGGAGGCCGAGGTCGTAGAATCGCTTGAGCCCAGGAATTCAAGACCAGTGTGGGCAACAAAGCAAGACTACATCCGTACAAAAGAGGTTTTTAAAAATTATCTGGGCATGGTGGCTTGTGCCTATAGCCCTAGCTGCTCAGGAGGCTTAGGTGGGAGGATCACTTGAGCCTAGGAAGTTGAAACTGCAGTGAGCTATGATTGGGCCACTGCACTCCAGCCTGGGTGACAGAGCAAGACCCTGTCCCTAAAAATAAATGAATAATAAATAAAATAAATAAAGGAATCCAAGACACTTGGCACAATGGGAGAAGACATTCCAGTTATCCAGCTTTGTTTGTTTGAAGGTAGGAGAACTAGATGGGGACTAGCTGGCTTGGAGCCCTCCGAGCAGATGGTCCTTCAGGGAGTGAAGACAGCCGGCTGCGCTGGGGTAGGAGAGCCTGTGGGGAGTGAGGGTTTCCCTTCTCCTAAACTCAAACCTTCATCTCTCTCTGTTCCTTTAAGATGCCACTGGCTGTTCCAGTTGCCATGCCCTGGGCATTGCCATGGGATTCCATTGCTGTAGGAGTGAGAATGTTTTGCCATAGAGGATCTGGTTTTGCCGTGGAGTCCAGGTGTCCCTAGGAGCTATTGTCCTAGAGTTCACAGGTTGCCATGGGTGTAGGTACTGTCCTGCTGTCTTCATGCTCCCACAGGGCCTTGATGGTGACGTGATGTCCAGGGGTGGAGCATTTACAGCATGGCCTCCCTGTCATCCTGCCCATGACTGCAGCACCCGGGAAAGAGAGTCACAACAGCAGGGAAGGCAGCAGAGCCTATTTGGGGTGGGGGAGCAGGCAGGCCAGTGCTGCTGCTGCTCCCACTGCCACAGTGGATGGCAGCAGACATGAGAGTGGCCTTCCTCAGCTGTAGTGGCGGGGCTGAGACCCTGCACTGCCTGACACTCTGCCTGCCCAGTGGGGTTTGCTTGCTGCTTGACAGGCAGCATCGAGAGGCTGTTGCTGCTCCTGCTGCCACCATCAAGGGACCCACTGGGCTCCTAGGAGCACCAGCGTCAGGCCTCCCTACTTGGCACCCCAGGACTCTCTGAGGTTTCCCAGCCCAGCCTGTAGCTTTGGGACCACTGAGGGCCTGCTGCAGGGTCTGGGCTCCTTGGAAGGGAACACTTAGCCCCTGAGACTCTAATCGAGGCCATGCACTCCACAGATAGTTCAGGCATCTTCATCCTGAGGACCCGTGGGGGACCATTTAACACTCACAGACATGTCTGAGTCACTGGAAATCAGCAACAATAAGGACTAACATTTATTGAGCACTCACTGTTTGCCAGCTGTGCTAGCGCTTTGTTTGCGTAAACCCATTTTATCCTCACACTGAGATATTAATCAAGGATCATATGCAAAATATTTGACAACCCTCACAGGTTTCAGAGCTGGAGGAGTCCTGGGGGCCCCCTGTTAACTGTGGTTGCTGGATTGTGGAGGTCCCAGAGGAAGGGCCCAGGTGGCCAGGGTGGCAGGGGGAGCACATGAGGGCTCAAAAAAGCACCTATTTGACTACTGTAAGGAAGTGTTTCATATTTTTTAGCAACCAATATGGCCTTATTGGTGCATGCTTGTTGACTTGTTGACACTGTTATATAAGATTTAGGTATAAGGAAGCTTAAGGAAGCCTAAAGGAGGCTAAGCAACTTACCCCAAAGGAATGTGGCAAGTTCACGGTCAAGCTAAGCTTAAACAAGGCTTGATTCAGGCTCATGATTCAGCCGCTAGACTCTACTGCCTCTTGCACAAGTAGCAACTCACTGCTCTCCCTGCCCTCTTGATGTTCTAGAACCCTTGCACTACATCAGTCTAGCAATGGTCCTTAGAGCCCAGGCCTATAGGAATCGGTTCTCTCTTGCCCTCCTTAGCATTCCTCGAGAGTCAGTATCTGCCAAGTACCCTTCCTCCCAAGCCTCTCACTGTCTAGTGTAGGAAGCAGACCCACAGAGGGGTGGTTAGGATACAGTATCGTGGCTAGTGCTGGACAGAGCAAAGCCCTGGAGCTTCAAGAAGAGCCTCCCCAGATGTACAGGAAGAAATAGGGCCAAAATGGCTGGGATGAGGATAACTAGAATGGTCTGGAAGAGTGGGGGCCTGAAATAAGCTGTTTGTCTGCCTCTTTTTGACTGGGAATGCTGGCTCTGTCACTCACTAACTGTTGATCTTGAATAAGCCACTTAACTGCCTGGTAAAATAGGGATTAGACTCCCCAGCTCCCAGATCTGGGAGACTGGATGAGATGCTGCATGGGAAAGGACTGGTGCAGAGGCTGGCACATGGCTGGTTCTGCAGATGTCAGCCCCATCAGCATTTCAGGGAACGACTTCCCTTTTACTCTCCCCTCCGCTCACCCTCAGCCTGTAGCCCCTGATTTCTAGACTAGATTTCCCAGAGTGCTGCATCTAGCGGAGAAGTTAGCTTCTTCATGGAAGATTTAAGGACTCGTCATAATATCTATCATTTATTATATGTTATGCACCAGGCACTGTTCTAAGCACTTTACACGTATTCAGTCATTTAATCGTCACAACAACCTAGTGGGTTAGGTACTACTCTTATCCCCTTTTTAGCAATGAAGAAACTGAGAGGTTAAGTAATTTCCCCAAGGTCACACAGCCACGAAGTGGAGTCTGGGTATGACCCCCAGGCAGTCTGGCTCCAGTGACCTGCCTCCTTAGCCACTATGCCATGAGGCCTCTCTCCAGTGGAGAGCACTGGCATTCTTGCATCCCACAGGCATCGTAAGCCCTGTTGGGCAGCAGCCCAGATCTTTTATTCTAAACAGGGTGGACCCACTCTGACGTTTCCTATAAGAGTTTAGTGGCACAGGGAACTGAGCCTAGAACATCCCTGGACCCACTTGGGTACCTGCCGCAGGCTGAGGACAGTTTGTAGGATCTATGGCTGATGCACTTTTACCACTATCTGTGTTTAATTCTGCATTCTGCACACCTATCCTTTAGGTCCCAAAGGGCCAGTATGTCTGCTACAGGGGATAGGTGTGCACCAAGACTCTGGTGTCTGGCCTTGGCCTGGAGCCCTAGTGTCTCTGAGTCCCTGACTGCCTGGGGCGATAGAAGGAGCACCAGCTTTGGAGTCATGCGTGTGAGGGTTCAGATCAATTCCAGTGCTTACCAGCTGGCTGTCCGTAGCCCTCTTTGCACTTACTCCTCATCTGTAGAATGGGGCTTGTACCCACAGCAGGGGGGGTAATTATATGGATTATCTAGAAGAGTGAGCATAGAGCACCTGGCACACCATAGATGACCAGTAAAGCTAGTTCTATTTCCACTTCTCCTGCAGGCCTGCAGACACCCTGTCCTTCCTCACCCTAACCACCATGGCTCTGGAGAACCTAGAGGCGACTAGTGCTCACAATGGGCTTCATTCACAGAATGGCTCCAGCCACTGACTTTGTTTCAATTCAGCCCTGATACTTTAGCTTAGACTCTTGGTTGTGCATTTACAAGCCCCCTGGAGCCAGCTTAAACAAAAGGGAGAGTTTATTAAAGGAACCAGCCATGTTTCCAGGGGAAAGGGACGAAGTTTTCTATGCCTCTTCACATGCTCTGCATTCTTGCTCCCTCTGTTTTTCTACACATCTGATTCTTCTCCTCTTGTACCACAGACTGGCTGCTTCTGCCCCCGGTCCATGTGGCGGAATAGGGATGCCCATGGTTTCATGCCTCCTCTGTCCAAGACATCAGCCAATTCCCCCTGGGGCGAAGGGGAACGGTCTCTGATTGACCCACCCATCACAATGAGAGAAGAAAACATTCTCCAGAAGTTGCCTTTGGCAAAGGTTTTAAGGTTATATGTCAGCCCAGTGGTTGTTTAGACTGTGATGAAAAGAAAATAGAAGAAATAATATGGAAAAAGTCAACAGACCGTGAGATGTGGAGAAGATTATCAAAGGGTAGCACCTTATGTTCGAGCCCATGACCCATTTCCAATCCTTAGCCTGGGCCTGGCTCCTGTTGAGATCAAGGTGAAAACTGGCCATGTCCTCATTTCTGGGCAGGGATGAAGATTCAGGCCTGACCTATAGCTTTACCTTGGATTTGTCATTTCCCTCTCTGTCCCGGGTTCAATGAAACCACCTGCTCTGTTCACAATCTCTCCATTGGCCAACAAGCCCTCTGGTGGTCCTCCATGCTTCCTCCCAGGGCTGAGGCATAAAATCTGCCTCAGTGGCCTGTTATCACACAGCTGGGAGGACATCTGGGGAGGAACGAGGCCAAGACATCCTGGTTCCTTCTCTTCTCTCATGGGGGAACAGGTGGATGGGCTTGGTGCTGATCCATTATTTCCCACAAGCATGGGGCTGGAGCTAGGGTATTGGGTTGTGGGGAGGGTCCCCTGTTTTTGCCTTACAGGGTGGGATGTTCCATGGGGGAGATGGGAAAAAATTTGCCAAAGAGGATCTAGCCCTGCTTCTGAGCCAGAGGAGCCCAGCCTGGACCTGGGCCTGGGGCAGGGGGTGGATTCCTGCCATTTTCCCACACTCTGCATAGAGATTGGATTTCCTGTTGAAATTGTATCTTTGGATTACAATCGTAAAGTTCCC
This sequence comes from Homo sapiens, assembly GCF_000001405.40. Lineage (NCBI taxonomy): Eukaryota > Metazoa > Chordata > Mammalia > Primates > Hominidae > Homo > Homo sapiens. Next base: position 201,663,986 of record NC_000001.11, read on the forward strand.
AGCTTCTCAACTCAAGCTGTTTGCAGCAGCTCTGTGTAGCCTAAGTCATCGTCATTACTCTATTGGGTTCTGGGAGGGAAGATCCGGAGTATAGTGGCCAAATGCACAAGCTATGGGGTCAGAGAGACCCGAATTCAAATCCTGATTCTGTTTGAGACCAGCCTGGCCAAGATGGTGAGACCTCGTCTCTACTAAAAATACAAAAATTTGCTGGGCGTGGTGGTGCGCGTCTTATAATCCCAGCTACTCGGGAGGCTGAGGCAGGAGAATTGCTTGAACCCAGGAGGTGAAGGTTGCAGTGAGCTGAGATCGCGTCACTGCACTCCAGCCCAGGGACAGAGCGAGACCATGTCTCAAAACAAATAAACAAACAAATCAAATCCTGGCTCTATATTAACTAGCCATGAGATTCCGAGTCAATTAACCTCCCTGAGCTTCAGGTTCCTCATCTATTAAATGGGTCAAATAATATCTGTCTCATAGGATTGCTATGAAGATTAAATGAGATAATGCATGTAACACACTGAGCACAGTGCCTAGCAAATGAAAAGCGCCCCAAAATTGATTGTTTTATATTACTATCTCATTGTTATCTACCCACTCCACTATGTGGGTTTATAGAGGAAGGAGTCATGGCCTCTGCCCTTGGCAGCTCCCTGTCCTGATGGAGGAGACACAGTGCTGCACTCGACAACCCACTGGTTGGTTGGAGGAAACATGGGTCTTGCCTCAGGGAGCTCCCATTTTAGTGGAGGAGATGAGCCCCAGCCTGTTCTTCCTGAGTCCTCTATTTTCCTGGATCCTTGCTCATGAGCCGTGGTATGCCCTCAGCCTGCCCCTCTGCCACCAGTCCACCCATCTCCTCCCTTTTCCCCTGCAGCCAGGCCTGCCATCTCTAGAAAGCCCCCATCTCTCCTTTCTGTGTCCTTGGGCCCAGGTGTCCTTGGGTTACTGGGTGACTTGCTTTTCAGGTCCTGCCTGTGTGTGCCAAGCTTGTTCTCAAGAAGCATCTCCCCAGGATGCTAGTTCCTCTCTAAACACCGCCCAGATTGCAGACACAAAAATTAGACCTGTCGGTTTGCACGCTGTCTGCCTTAAATTTGCATTTGATTAAGAAGCACCAGCGTCCTCCCACCCATGGTTCTTCCTTCCCAACCTTCTTCTCTTTGAAGTGCTCCCCCCGCACCCTGCCCCACCATTCTCCCAGCTCTCTCCCTTTGCTGTGCTCAGGAAATCCTCCAGTTGGGCTCCTCTCCGTTGCCTCGGCCACTCCCGCAGATCTGCTTGGCATTCTCTGCTTCTGGCCTCTTTTCCGAGGCCAGCTCTGCAGAGTTTGCCTGGGTACAATGTGTTCTCATTGTGCCTCCAACAGTGTCAGTTCCTGGAGCTCACTGTCAGGAATCCAGCAGCTGGCTTAGAAATCAGCTGCCTTTGCTGAGGGCTCATGGAGATGGGGTGAGGCCTATCCTCCATTTCTGTCCGCACTAGCCACAAGCACTAGCTCATGTAGGAAACCACTAGATGCAGAATAATCTTTGAAAAGCCCTCTCCTCTACTCTTCCCATCTCAGTCTCTCTCTGGAGGGGTGAGGGCAAGAGCACCCCACCCCCCCCACTGCCCACCACCTCCTGAGGTCAGCTGGATCACCTTCACTCCTCCCTTGGCTGAAAGACAAAGAGAGGGTAAGACCAGGGTGCTTCTTAGAACACCTGGCTCCTTTACTGCAGACACACCTTTGGAGAATCATCATTAAGATGACTGAATTGCCTCTGCCTCCCTGCCCACTCCCAGCCCGACAGTAAACCTGCTGCTGCTTGGAGTTTTTCTACCATCTACGTTGCATCCTCCCTCATCTCTCAATTATCTGTGCTAGTGTTAAAAAAAAAAGCCATTCCATCTGCCTCAAACTGCTCTTCTTAAGATTTTGGGATAGCAGTTTTCCTCTTCTGGTTTCCAGTCACTTTTGACTATGACTGGTACCCATTTTGATTCCTTGAACTCACGTGTAAAGGAAGTGAAGGAGCAGGGAGCTCCGAGGGAGTGGGCAGCTGAAGGCCACTCACCCATCGGTAAGTCCCTCTGAGGTCAGAGGGAGCGGGTTGCCAGAGGGAATGAGCCCCAGAATCCCACCATTCTCATAAACAGCCCACCGCTCTAATCGCTCCTTCCCCAGCAACACTGGGCCTCCGATCTGCCCATGGAGAAGGCTGGGAAGCCAGCACCTCCTTCTCCATCTCTACCTCCCTCTTGCTTCTTGGCTCCCATATGTTCAGGGAATGCAAACTGACACTAGTATCAGCCTGAGCCAGGCATAATTGGAAAGGGAATCTTTCCCCACCCCCAACCTTGTCTTGCCTCCCTCCTTACAAAAAAAAAAATAAATCATATATTATCTCAAGCAGCTCTGTTATGTAGGAAACATAAGTCTGGAAGAAAAGACAGATGGGGTGGGGGATGGTTTATGAGGGCGGTCGAGCAACTGTCCTTTATATCCACTGAGGAGAGATCAGGAGAAAATGATAGTAACAAGAAGAGCAAGAAGGACTGAGGTTAGACTTTAAGAACTTGCCTTTATGATAAATAAGAGCCAGGAGTGATGGGCGGAGGAAGCCAGGGCCATCTCCCTCCATGCCTATCTCCCCAGCAGCCCACATCCTTGGCTTACTGCCTGCCTGGAAGATGTTGCCTACCTGTACCCTGGGGGAGAAAGAGCAAGTGGGACAGGGCTGCTGAATATTCTGCCTTTCTCCTGGGTGGGAGCGGCCTTCCCTCACTCTCAGCTCCCTCCTGGCCTGCAATTTCAAGGGCCTGCAGATTCAAGGACTTGGGGTTTCTGGGAGGCAGGGAAGTATGGGGCTCTGTGTGGGCTCCTTGGCAGAACCAGCAGGCAGCCACCCTCCACCATGTTCCGTGGTAGGATTTCTCTCAACGGAATTAAAAAAACAAGAGCCAAGAATAGAGGCAAGGACGCCATGCTCCCTCTCCATGAAGCCAGGCCCCCAGAGAGGTTCAAGACACCTCTGGGTCAGAATTCACCTGAGAGTGTGGGCGCAGCTGAGGCTGAGGATGTCCCCTCACCTCTGATTTTAATGGCAAGCCACAACATCACAGCATCAAAGCTAGATGAGTTCTGAGAGATTAAGTGCAAACTCTTTCATTTTGCAGATGAGGAAACTGAGGCCCAGAGAAGAACAGAAACTTGCTAAGGATCACCTGGGGCTCCCCTGACTCCTGGTGCAGTGATTTCCCCACTAAAGTTTAATTAAGCCATCCCCTTCCTTAGGCTGTAAAGTTAGGATGCCCTGACTGGGCACACACAGCTGGTTCTTGAAACAAAGGAGTGGGCTAAGTGCTGTTCCCACCCTGGCAGATGTTCTCTGGAGCTGATGGTCTCCTACAGACAGGGAAGGAGTGGGTGGGACCATGTCAGAGCCAGGTGGGATCATCATCCCATCCCATCTGACAGATGAGGAAACCGACATGCCCAAAAGCAAAATTTGCCCAAGTCCACCCAGCCGGTGAGTGGCAGATCAGAGACCCCAATCCAGGTCTCCTGCCATCTATTCCTATCCTGTGATTCTTCTTGGTTCTTATTTTAGACAGTGGACCCGGGGAGGAGGAGGATGCGCTGCCTATCACAGTAGCACCTCAGCAAACAGCTGCTGTTGGCCTGACCCATGAATTTTTAAAACTGTCTGAGGTTTTAGGGTCAAGTAACAAACTCACCTCTCCCTCCCTGTGGCTTTTAAGCCTCATAAATATGCTTTTAAAAGTCACTCCGCAGTTCCTCCCACATACAGAGACTCACATCATCGCTCAGTGAAACCTGAGGGGTGGTCAGAGCTGCTTTCTATGGCTGAGGGTGGTGGTTGAGGGATCCTCTTCTGGAAGATGCCCCAAGTGTAGGGACATGCCCAGACCTTGATGTTCCAGGGTGGAGGCCCTCACCACGCATCTGATGGGCCAGTCTCACTGGCCAGAGTCCCATCACAGGCCATGGCCATAGGCCCCAGGAAATTCTGGGTCATTGGTGTCAGCTTGAGGCACTTGAAACCATAGCGCCCATGTCTTCCTCCTGCTGAGGGATCCTGGGGCCCGGGACTGCCTCAGGTTTCCCCTTGAGAAAAATTAAGGTGGTGACAGCAGTGGGCAGAGTATGAAGTCATATCTGCCAAAGTCCAAGCCCCTCTCTCAAAGAGCAGGCCAGCAAGGAGGGTTTGGGATTTCAGCCCCAGATCTAGGAGGCTCCCATCCCTCCGCCTCCTGCCACCCCCTACCAGCTTCCTGGCACCCCTAATCTGATGGCTTTAGCAGGCTTTGTACTCAAACGGGAGTGAGCTTTGCTTCCACACCTCTTAAAAGGTGATTTTTTAAGGATGAAATGTGATGTTCGTTAATGGGCACCTTAAAAGCCTTGGCACAGAGAACCGTGTGCCATGGACTGGGGCATGCCAGCTCCATCCACTCGCTCATCACTCCTGTCCACTGCCACCCATGGCTTTCCTCCTAGGGTCTCTCTGCCTGTGTCCTAGCCCCTCCCCATGGTCTCAGCACCGCTTACTTGTATGGGGTGCCGCTGTGGAAGGCACCTTCTGGGGACTGAGACTCCAAGGGTAGAGAGGTGGTGCTGGGCGTGGGTCGATGCAGCCCCCCACCCCACTGCTTGGAAGGTTGGAGCATGGAAGGGTGAAGGCTGCCGAGAGCCACCTCTGTAGTGTATAAAATTGACACTGGTTCCTAGTCTCGTGGGCTTTTAACGGTCCTGCCTGCCTGTTCCAGACCCCATTGTGTGGACAGAAGGGGGCCTTTGGGATCCTTCCCTCCACCTTCTCACCTCACCTCGCTCCTCTCAGCATCTTCATTAGCTGCGTTGGGGTCACTCCTGCAGCTTGCTTCCTTTTCCTAACTCCTCTGTTGAGCAGAGCCATGGGCGGTGTGCTGAGAAACAGCATCGGGTCCTTGGATGGGTTTTCTAGGGAAAATGCATGACCAATGGCCTAAGCGTGGCTGGACCTAGGGTAGGAAAAGAATGGAAGGTAGCTGAGGATGGAGCTTTGGGACCCTGTGTAGCACTGTGGTTAAGATCTCAGGCATGGTTAGCAACAAATGGCATGGGGATCCTCAACACCTGTCGGGTATCTACTATATGCCAGTCTAGGAATTTCAACAATGAACAAATAGACCCATTCCTTCTCTTCATGGACTTACAACTTTGTGGGGCAGATGGTGTGGAGCAAATGATCACAGAATCCTCAACTCACATTGGGTACATGTTATGTAGGGAAGTAAAGGGTGCAAAGATTTGGATTAGAGAGGCTGGGCCAGGGAGGGCTTCTCTGAGGAGGTGAGCCTTCAGCCAGGGCTCTGAGGCTGAGCAGGAGTCAACCAGGCAGAGGGACAGTATGTGTCAGCACAGAGGTCCGAGGAGGCTCAAGTATTTGAGGAAAGTGGAAGAAGGCCACCGAGGTGGCAGTGGTGCAACATGAAGCTGGGAAGATGGGAGGGTGAGAGGGTGGGCTGGGCCAAACAGGGCCTTGTAGATGAGGGTCAGGATTGTGAATTTTATCCCTACATCCAGTGGAAAGACAAGAAAGCTTTTAATTGGGGAAATGACATCAGGTTTGTGTTTTTCCAAAGTCACTGAGGCTGCTGTGGGGAGAGTAAGTGAGAGAGGCAAGAGTGGTGGGTTCCTGGAAGACACTAGAAGCTGTTAGAGCCATCCAGGTGACACCACAGTGGCCTGGGTAGGGAAACATCATTGCAGATGTGAGGGTTGGAGGGGCAGTAAACAGATTCCTGCAGGCTCCAGGGAGGGAGCTGAAGTGGAGAGGCTGAAGAACTGACCAGGGATTCCCCGGGAAAAGAGACAGGGACTTGTGGGCCTGGTGCACTGTGTTCCCTGAGCCCACAGTGAGGTTTCTGGTGACACCAGGATAAGGCTTCTGAACCCCAGGAGCATCTCTGATCCTGTGCATTGATTTTTTTTTTCATTTTTACTTTTTTAAAAAATAAAAGTACTTCATTTTGCCTAAATACAAAAGTTCCTTATGTATAAAGGAAATAAATTTGATAACAAAACCCTTTAGTTTTCTAATAGGGATACCTTTTTAAAAAGGTAAGCTCGGGCCGGGTGCGGTGGCTCATGCTTGTAATCCCAGCACTTTGGGAGGCTGAGGCTGGCAGATCACGAGGTCAGGAGATCAAGACCACGGTGAAACCCCATCTCTACTAAAAATACAAAAAAATTAGCCGGGCGTGGTGGTGGGCACCTGTAGTCCCAGTAACTCGGAGAGGCTGAGGCAGGAGAATGGCGTGAACCTGGGAGGCCGAGTTTGCAGTGAACCGAGATCATGCCACTGCACTCCAGCCTGGGCGACAGAGCGAGACTCCATCTCAAAAAAAAAAAAAAAAAAAAAAAAAAAAGGTAAGCTCATCTCAGCTGTACTTAGGGCACATGAGATTCATATAAATTTTGAGCTCAGGAAAGATGGAGGAGCAACTAGAGTGTCCTGAGCAGGCAGATGTGGTGGTAACTGTGGCAGCAGCAGTGATGGTGGCAGTGATGGTGATGGTGGTAGAGATGATGGTGATGGTTTGATGATAGAGATGATGGTGATTTTTTGTTGATGATGGCAGTGATGATGGTGATGTTTTGGTGATGATGACAGAGATGATGTGGTAATGCTTTCTTTGATGATGGTGGTAGAGATGCTGGTGGTGTCTCGGTAATGCTGGTAGAGATGATGGTGATGTTTTGGTGATGGTGGTGGAGATGCTGGTGGTGTTTTGGTGTTGGTGGTAGAGATTATGGTGATGTTTTGATGATGGTGGTGGAGATGCTGGTGATGTTTTGGTAATGGTGGTAGAGATGCTGGTGGTATCTTGGTGATGGTGGTAGAGATGATGGTGATGTTTTGGTGATGATGGCAGCAATGATGGTGGTAGAGATGACGGCAATGGTTTTGGTGCTGGTAGCACCAATGGTGATGACTAGAGCAGTCATCCTATCTGCAACTTCAGAGGCAAGGTTAGTAAAGGACACTCACTGTTATGGCAGTTGTGATGCTGGTCATTTCTGCCCCAAGTGTGCCCAGTTATAAGAGCTAAAGATGATGTCTAAAGGACCTACTTACTTCACTTCTTGAGGCAAACGGTATTACCGAGCCCAGGACCGTGCTGGATACTGTGGAGTTCTAGAAGAAGGGTAGAAGTGGTCCCTGCCTTCCGCGAGGGTATTATCTTCCCCAGGATATAACCAAGTGCTAAATCTCAGTGTGCCATCTCCCTGTATGACATTGATCCCTCTTCATATGTCCTTTTTACGGGCTGAACTGAGGAGCTCCAGATATGTTAAGGTGCTCCCTCTTCAAAGCCGACACCTCCCCTCCATACCTGCTTCCTGCCCCACCCCACCTACACATACCTCTGAGCAGGTATGAGACAGGTTAGAGTGGGCAAATGGAACTTTGTTGGACCAACAGGGAAAAATGTGGACACTGAGGCTAACAGTGCTACAGTATGACCTTGAGCAAGTCATTCTACCTCCTGGGGCCTCAATTTGCTCATCTCTCCTAAATAGAGAATAATATTTGCTCTACCCTTTCTAGCTCAAAAAGCTGTGCGGAGGACCAAATGAGATCATGAATGTGAAAACTCCTGCACTCCTAAGCGTTGGGTGGACGTCACTGGGAGATGCAGACCCTGGGCACGCTGGGTCTCTAGGCAGTGGGCATTTCTCACAGAATCTCCTAGCTATCTGGTCAGCAGACCTGGCCATAAGGGGCTCTGGTCTGGGAGTTCCCATGGGGAACCATGCCACTGGTCACAATACCGATGCTGGCTTCTATCTCTGGTGAGTAATGTCAGGCTGTCTCGAGGTTAAACCTTAAAAGAGAGGCTCCATTTCTCCACAAGGAGCAGGCCCAGCTTAGGGTAAAATGTCAGAGATATAAGACTCTCTCTGCCATCCTGATCCTCCGCATCCCGGCCTCTCTCCCACTCCCACTCTATCAGCAGTGTCCCGTCTCTCCTCTTTAGCCTGCCAAAGCTTTCCTCTCTCTTCTTCCTTCTCTACTTTCTCTCAGGACTGAACCAAGAACTCACTCACACTGAGGCCACTACTAACTGACAACAGCCTAAAGCACTGTATTTGAAACGTTTTTTCTCCCACCTTGATCCTCCAAGTCAGAAATACATTTTTCAGCAAACTCAGTACACACATACTGAGTCAAAAGTTTTATGAAACAATACTATGCACAATATATTTAAGTTTTTTGTATGTGTGATTTCTTGATTGTATTGTATGTGGTCTAATTTTTTTTCAATTGCTGGTTGCAATCCACTACATTGATTTCATGATCCACAAATGAGTTACAGCCTGCAATTTGAAAAGTCCCTGGCCTAAAAGAACCTTCTTTCTAAGCACAGAAAGTCCCTGGGAACTGGTTGTCAAGACAGTTTACCCAGATTTTGGATAATAGAGCAATTTCTTTGTGCCAGGCCCTGTTCTGGGTGCTTTATGTATAATAGTTCAGTGAACCCACACAGCCCTTCTATGAGGTAGATGTTATTGTGATCATCATTCACATTTTATGGGCCAGGAACCTGAGGCAAAGAAAGGTTAAGTTCCTTATCTAAGCTCTTACTGCTAGTAAGTGGCAGAACTCAAGACGCCGTGTGTTTAACCATTGGGCTCTGCTGCCTTTCAGGGTGTCATAGAAATAAGGTGGCTTTGCAGAGGGATATACATGATGCTCTAAGAAAGCCTATAAGAAGTCCCTGTGGTCAGAGCAGGACTCAGATGCTTCTGGAAGGCAAGCTTGGTTTGCATGTTGTAAAAAACCTGCCAAACAGACTGGGCTCTGAGAACTTACCGCCCAACAGACGCTCAAGCTCGACTGCCCTGTGGACGCACATAGACTGATGGCGATGCCAGTGGGGACGACTGAAGCCCTTGGGGTGCATGTTAGGCCCACATGTAGAACTCTGCCCACTGGCCAATCAGCAAGCAGTACCGAAGAAAAGCCTGACTCTGGTCTTTACAAAAAAAAATACTGCCGTTAATTTTAAACACACCTCTTTTTGCAGGCTAAATAGAAAAGTGAGCTTAATCTACACTCTTGCTGTTCTTTAATGAATTTATTGTTTTAGGCTCTGTGAGAATGCAATAAAAGTTAAAAATGTATTTCAGAACACAGTGCAAATGTGTCTCCGCATTTGATGGATTGCTTTTGAGTCCAACACTTCCGGCCCGTGGGCAGGCAGGCCCCACAGATGGGCCGCGGCATCTACGAGCAGAGCGAGAGTGCGTCTATAAGGGATGGTCGTGGGAGGCACACACTTATCAGATTTCATTTCTGTTCTCTTCTCTTGGCATAGTAGCTGGAGAGTGGTAAAATGGGAGATGGAGAGACAGTGAAACAGCTGAAGTAGCAGCCTCAATTATTTACAGACCAGATTGTCAGCCTCCCAAAAAATGAAAATTGACCTCACATCTCTCTTCTCCTTTTCACAGCTGGGAGGGTCAGGCACATTACTATTGGCCACTCTCAGCATTGGCCATTCTCACCTCCCCATCCCTCTGCATCCTCAGCTAAGCTCAATGCAGAAATTCAAACGCAAGGAACAGGCCCTGCCCTCAGAGAGCCCCCATTCTGATGTGGGAGAGAGGGCAGAAGAGTTCAAGACCCAGATCGTTAACAAGGGAAGGCACAGGCATAGGACAGAATGTATGTAGCCGTGGGCACTGTAAGGGGCATAGCAGTTGAATAGCAGCCTTGTCTAGAGCCTAGATGTGGAATATTGCCCAAGAGTTGCACTTTGTAAACTGAGTCTATAAATACCAAGAGAATGTCGAAGAGAAGCTATTGAAGCCAGGTAGAGTTAGGGAAGGATTCTTAGAAGAGGTCAAACGTGAAGGGCAGCAGTCATGGAGAAGGTGCTTCATCTGAAGGTAGGGCCCAGTCAGTGCCTTGAAGCGGCAACCAAAGACTAGGAAAGCCTAAGCCAACATTTCTCAGTCCTGTTGGGGACTGCGCCAGCCACTGCTCTAAGACCTCGCTGCCAGGCCTGGCAGGTGGCCAGCCCAGGTGTCCAGGTGCCCAGATGCCCCACAGCAAGCCAAGGCCTCAATCCTCCCTTCACTTGATTTTCTGTGAGCCTTGCTTGCCAGCTAAGGTGTAGGGCCCTCCTTAGCTGTGGACGCAGAGCCAAGTTAAGTCGCCATGGTAACCCTCTGGCTGATGGGGACTTGGGTTGCCATGGAAACTTGTCTAAAATCAAAAAGTATTTTGGAAGAGGGGTTGCAGCAGAGAGGAAGGGTGGTGGGGGATGTCTGCCGCAGTGCCGCACTACCCATGATTCTGTTCTGTGCCCTTCTTGGGTTCCTCCTGGAATGAGTGTGTGTTGGGGGGGGTTGTCCAGGGCCCAGCCCAGGGCTTCTAAGAAATAGTCATTGCTGGTACCAGGAGCCCTCCTGGAGGCCCTCCAGCAAAACATGTATGTTAGGCCATTCTTGCGTTGCTGTAAAGAAATACCAGAGGCTGGATAATTTATTTAAAAAAGAGGTTTAATTGGCTCATGTTTCTACTGGCTGTATAGGAAGCATGGTGCAGGCATCTGCTCAGCCTTCAAAGGAGCCTCAGGGAGCATTTACTTATGGCAGAAGGTGAAGTGGGAGCAGGCTTGTCACATGGTGACAGAGGGAGCAAAAGAGAGAGTTGTGGGGGTAAGTGCCACACAATTTTAAATAACCAGATCTCACGAAAACTGGCTGGGCACGGTGGCTCACACCTGTAATCTCAGCACTCTGGGAGGCCGAGGTGGGCAGATCACTTGAGGCCAGGAGTTTGAGACCAGCCTGGCCAACATGGTGAAACCCAATCTCTACTAAAAATACACACACACATAGCTGGGTGTGGTGGCGCGCACCTGTAATCCCACCTACTCTGGAGACTGAGGCAGGAGAATTGCCCGAACCTGGGAGGTTGAGGGTGCAGTGAGCGGAGATCGCGTCACTGCCTGGGCAACAGAGTGAGACTCTGTCTCAAAAAAAAAAAAAAAAAGAACTCACTATGGCAAGGATGGCACCAAGCCATGAGGGATCCACTCCCATGACCCAAGCACTTCCCATCAGGCCCCACCTCTGACCTGGGGATGACCTTTCCACATGAGATTTAGAGGGAACGGCCTCCAGACTACACCAGGTACCAATCTGTCCACCACCATGTCACACCAACATGTCCTCCATTTCCTTGGTGAATGCTTGACAGTATCTTTCAGTGCCAAATCTGCTCCTTGACAAAACCATAAAAGCCACAAAGTTAATGTCCTACTGCTGCCTGTCCCCTGCTCCTGAGATCCCTGCCCCGGGATCCTCCATGCTTATCGTCTCCTTTCTGACCGGGCACTTCTTGTCACAAGGCCAGGGCTGGCCAGCCTCGTGTAACCTCAGCTTCCTCTTCACCATGGTAGAGAGATAAAAGTCCCTGCTTTTAGACAGTGCACTTAGCCTGCTCAAAGGAACTGCTCCATAAACACTACTATTACTTACCATTAACTTACAACAAAAAATGAACCAGGCACTTGGTAAGGTGTTTGTATTTTACTCATCCCAGAGGAATTTGCACATTTAAATATCGTCTCTTTCCCTCCATCTTCTTCCCCAAGTTACCTTTCCTGAAAGTGGGATGATGTTTAAAACAAAGCGATGGAATTTGAGGGGTACAACCCCTACAGTTCTGTCCAAATTCACTTCTCTAAACTCATGTTCTCCCTCCACTCCACCCTAAACCCTGGCCTCCTGAGGCAACGAAGTTTGCCTATCTGGAACCATTTTCTGAAGCTGGATGGCAGACGGGGAGCCTCAAGAGGGAAGAAAAGAATGGCAAACTTTTCATTGGCCCAGTGGCCGGCCTCATAAATCATCATTCATAATTAGAATTATTTATTCCCAAATCACCATCCCAAGCCCCAGTTTCCCCTGTACCTAAAGCTCTTTTCACTTCTAGTTCAAGAGAGTCTTGCCCCCTCTCTGCGTCTCAAAAGTGATCTCTTCTCTTCCTCTAAACTCACCTGAAGCTTTCACCAAGTATGCTGGCCGGTTCTGCTTCCTACCCTATTGCCTACCAAAAGGAGATAATTCCAGCCCCTCTTTCTGAGATAGGGTGTTAATGAATCCTTACTGAGGCACAGACCTCTGGCCTCCTGCAGAGAGGTCCTCCTGGAAGTGCCCTGGGGACTCTGGAGACCTGGCCTCCCAGCAGCCACTCCCTCTGCTTTTAAGAGGAAGCTTTAGCCTGAGAAAGTTTGACTCCTTCCTGAAAGCTGCACTTATTTCAGCCAGGCTGGGCTCAGGTTTCAGGGCTCAGGGACTCTTTCTCTCCCTTTCTCCTTCCCAAGACTGAAATGCAGCTGCCCAGAAGTGCTGAGGAGGACACAGAGTCGGCTTCCTAGGCACAGGCCCAGCTCTGTCCCCTTTCCTTGTGCTGGGACCTTCAGTGGAGGGGAGGAGTCAGGGAGCCTCAGGGAGGCAAAGCAGGCCACACAGCGAGGGAAGCGGCTGGGGAGAGCTGACTCGCAGGAAATAGTTTCACCCCAGTGGTCCAGGCTGGGGTTCCCGGTAGCTCCTCCACCATTCTCCCCGCAACACCCAACCAGCTCTGCTTTTAAAAGGTGAACACAATCTTTCAGAAGCTGCAGCCCAAGCCCTTTCTGGCCCTGGCGAACCTTCCCCATTCCCCTCTTGCCAAACATTTTTATACCAAAATAATTAGATAATTAATAATCATGTCAAATACTGTGTTTCTGGCACTCCATACTTTTTAAGCTTTGGAATCTGTGTGTAATAGATCTAAATAGCAGCCCACAAACTTGGCCAGGCAACAAACATCCCATTCTTGATTGTCTTTAAACCAATGTAATTCTACTTCTGAGCCCCTACCCTCCTGAGTGGCAAGACATTTCAAGTCAGAATTACTGGGGTCTGGTTGGGCGCGGTGGCTCATGCCTGTAATCCCAGCACTTTAGGCGGCTGAGATGGGTGGATCACTTGAGGCCAGGAGTTTGAGACCAGCCTGGCCAACATGGTGAAACCCTGTCTCTATTAAAAATACAAACATTATCTGGTTATGGTGGTGCGTGCCTGTAATCCCAGCTACCCAGGAGGCTGAGGCAGAAGAATCGCTTGAACTTGGTGGGTGGAGGTTGCAGGAGCCAAGACTGTGCCACTGCACTCCAGCCTGGGCGACAGATTGAGACTCCATCTCAAAAAAAAAAAAAAAAAAAGAATTGCTGGCGGCTGGCATCCTTTCCCCCAACCCCAGGCTCACCCCAGGTCCAGAAGGTCTGAGCAAAGCTTGGAAAACAGGAAAGGACCACTATGTTGTGATCCCTGCAAGTTTCCTCAGTGCCTCTCCAGTTCTGTGCCATGGGACATGGACTTCTTTGCCAAGGCCAGCAGCCTCTGCCCAATGTCCCTTCCTCCTGTTTACCCCACCCCGTCCCCCTCAGGGTGTGGGAATGCATCTGACTGCTTGCTCCTGGGACTCACGGTGCTTTTTTCATTTCTAGTTCAGGAGAGCCTTGCCCACTCTCTGCTTCTCAAAAGTGGTCTCTTCCCTTCCCCTAAACTCACCATCTTTTTTGTTTGTTTGTTTGTTTCATTTCTGAGATGGGGTCTCCAGCCCAGGCTGAAGTGCAGTGGCATGATCTCCGCTCACTGCAACCTTCGCCTCCCAGGCATGGGCGACACTCCCACCTCAGCTTCGTGAGTAGCTAGGAACATAGGCATGCGCCGCCACGCCTGGCTAATTTTTTTTATTTTTTGGTAGAGATGGGGTTTCACCATGTCACCCAGGCTGGTCTCAAACTTCTGAGCTCAAGCAGTTTGCCCACCTCGGCTTCCCAAAGTGCTGAGATTACAGGCGTGACCCACCATACCCGGCCAAACTCACCTTCCTAATAGCCTGAAGCTTTCACCAAACATGCTGCCCCATTCTGCTTCCTATTCTGTCCAATGTCCCCGAAGTTTAGAGTTTTGAAACCTGGTGACCTGCTCAGAATGGGAGCTGGGGAGTGGAATTACACAGAGGGAGGCACCATGAATTAAACATCTCAGAAATGTATCCTGCCAAATGTGATTGCATTTTCGCACCACCCTGATAAAGTAGGTAGGACAAATATTAATATCCCCAAAAGGTAAATGAGGGAGCTACGTTATGAACTGACTTGGCAGTGAGTTTGTGGAAATACTAGAACACAAGTCCGGGCCTCCTACCTCTCAACGTAAGCTGCTGCTGCCAAAGCAAGCCTTTCTGAACTTTCCTGAAAGCTGCTGATAGCGCTCCAATGGCTGGTGTGTTTCAAGTGCTTATTGTGTGCAAGAAACTGAACTAAGCACTTTATGAGTAATAGTTTGATCAGTCTTTACTCCAACTCTTTGAGGTAGGTGCTCTTGTCCCCATTTTACAGATGAGGGTGTTGAGGCACAGAGAAGGCAAGGACTCCGCTGGAAGTCACAGAGTTGATAATTGCCACAGCCAGGATTTGAAACCTGCACTCTTAACTCCTCTCCTATAGTGAGTTTCCTAGTAACTTCAGCCCCTTCAGCGAAGAAGAAAGGAGTGATAAAGGAGTAACTGTATCAGCAATTTTGTTTAGCTTTCTGACTTCACCCAGCCTCCAACAAAAGAGGCTGCTTTCCAAAGTCCCAGGCTGCATTCATCCCTGCAAATTCATTGTTTCTTACCACCCACTCACCACCACAACGAATCTCCCCACAAGCTCAAACTCAAGGACACACCTCCCTCTGTCTGTCCCCCCTCCCAACCCAAACTCAACAGCATCAGCTCTGAGAGAAAAAGTCGAAGGAGGAAGGCTCCCACCAGAGAGCCCGTGAGGCATCCAGTGGGGTGGAGAGGGGTTTGGCAGCCCCTCCCCTCCATCTGCTTCCAGCTGGGACACAGGATGCTAGGGAGGGGAGGCTCCCGTGGAGACAAAGGTCGGGGAGCCCAGAAGGGAGGAGGTGGTTAGGATGCTGGGGGTTTGGAGGTGGGGCTATTTACTGGGGGGGAGACAGCAATGTGCAGGAGTTACCCAAATGAAGCCCCCTCCTGCCTGACTGCAGCGGGGAGCCAACCTCCTGAGCCTGCGGGCAGAGAGGCCACAATTAAGGCAGAGGGAGGCCAGCTGGCCCTCAAAGCACCTTTCTCTTCACAAAACCGGCAGTGGTCTCATTTACAACTCATCTCCCAAAGGGCTTGGAGGTGCTTGGAGAACCAGAAACCCTGGTCCTCTAATTACCGGTGTGCATCTGGGAAAGTGAGTCAGCCACGTGAAAATGAGCAGCCCAGAGCTCCTTCCACCCCTAAAGGGCAAGGTCCTGATTTTTCCATCTCAGACTGCCTGGCACCCCTGAGGACCCCCTCTGCTGAAAGCTGTTTGTAGGTAACCTTCTCTGTGGTTTCTATAGACCTCCTCCTTCCTCTCAACATCTCCCTTCTGAACCCCTACAAACCAGTTATTGAAATGTATGGTGCCCTTACTATGTACCAAATACTTATTCTATTTAATAACTCTGCACATTGCTGTCTTCCCCCAGTCACCAGATACTTCACGTGTCTTAAGTCCTCATGATAGGCCGACAAAGTTGAAATTATTTTTGTCCTCCTTCTGCAAATGAGGAAACTGAGGCAGAGAGGTTGAGTAACTTGCCTGAAGTCATCCAGCTAGTAAGTTTTGGAAAGGGGTTTTGAACAGGTGTCTGGTTCCTGGCCACTGCACTCTGCTCTCTCAGGGAGGCTTTGCTTTGGAGTGATGCAAAGAGGGATGTGGGGCATGGAGCATAGGTTTGTCATTCCTATATAAATCATAATACTTGTAAATTATTTGGAATTCTTCTGTATGAGAGACTTGTCTGCTCTCCCCCATTTATTCAGTGATTGATTTATATCACAATGTACTCATGGGAGTGTTTATCTTATACTCTGAGTTATAATTCAGTACTATGTATGTTAGTCTGTTCTGCATTGCTAAAAAGGAATACCTGAGGCTGGCCAGTTTATAAAGAAAACAGGCATATTTGGCTCATGGTTCTGCAAGCTGTACAAGCAAGGCACCAGCATCTGCTTGGCTTTTGGTGAGGCCTCAGGGAGCTTTTACTCATGGCAGAAGGTGAACGGGGAGCGGGTGTGTCACACGGCAAGAGAGAGAGGAAGGAAGTTCCAGTCTCCTTTAAAGAACCAAGGCTGGGCGCGGTGGCTCACGCCTGTAATCCCAGCACTTTGGGAGGCCGAGGTGGGCGGATCACCTGAGGTCAGGAGTTCGAGACCAGCCTCAACATGGAGAAACCCCATCTCTACTAAAAATACAAAATTAGCCAGGCATGGTGACACATGCCTGTAATCCCAGCTACTCGGGAGGCTGAGGCAGGAGAATTGCTTGAACCTGGGAGGTGGAGGTTGTGGTGAGCCGAGATCGCGCCATTGCACTCCAGCCTGGGCAACAAGAGAGAAACTCAGTCTCAAAAAAAATAATAACAAATAAATAAATAAAATAAAATAAAGAACCAGATCTTGGGTGAATTAATAGAGTGAGAACTCACCCATTATAGAGAGGACAGCACTAAGCCATTCATGAGGGATCTGGCCCCATGACTCAAACCCCTCCCACCTCCAACATTGGGGATCACATTTCAACAGGAGATTTGGAGGGGACAGAACAGCCAAACCATATCACTATGTTTTTTATTTTGTTGCTCAAATTAAATTTATTTTGTTGCACCCTTCGCCCAGTGGGGGTCTGGAGGGTGCTGCTCTAGCCTTTGGGACAGAGAAAGGAGAATGGTGGGCAGGGCTCCACTGCAGACCAGCTGGGCTGGCCTGTCTCCCCAGCTGTGATCGCAACGCCACACTTCTTGCGCCCATGCTTCTTTACTTCTCTGTACCTGACCCTCACCCTGGTTCAATCGCAAGTCTTGTTGCTTCTGCCTCTGAAATATTACATTGTCTTTCGTCCCCAGCCATTGTCCTATTCACACCATCATCTCCTTCATGAATGTTTCCTGACTTCCCTCCTTCCAGTTCACCCCCATACACTCCTCTGGGGGTGCCTTCCTAATGCACAGCTGAGACCATGTCACTCCCCAGAACAGAGGCCTTCAGTGGCTTCTGCAGAATAACATCCTGATTTCGCATCCAGCATTTCAGGCCTCCACAATTGCACTTTCTCACCTTTCTAGCTTCTCCTTTCTCTTCCCTACCCAAACCATCTGCCAGCATTTCCCTGAGGGAATTCTGTGAAACTTGTTAATTGGCATTACTTAAAAATAAAAGACCCTGTGGTCAAATAAATCTAGGAAACTCTGGGTTGAGAAAGGTTAAACAGATTTTCTGATTTGGAGTCTCTGAGACTTTGTATACTAATGGGGTTCGTGAGTCCCCAGGAATGGGTTTAAAATATGCAGAATCTCCCCAGCGTGTTTGTCCATGGGATCCTGCTTTGGCAGAACACTGGTAGGGCCAGCAGTCCACGAGGCCATGTGGGAACATTGCTTCCTGTTCGGTCCAGCTGGACTCCTTGCTCTCCCCCGAGTCAGCCTCATTTTCTGGCCTCTGTGTCTTGGATTAAGCAATATCCCCAGCCTGGAAACACCTACTTCCTCCATCTTCACCTATAAACATCTTACCCATCCTTTAAGAATATTTTTCCAGCCAGGCGCAGTGGCTCACGCCTGTAATCCTAGCACTTGGGGGGCCGAGGGGGGCAGATCACTTGAGGTCAGGAGTTTGAGACCAGCCTGGCAAATATGGTGAAACCCCATCTCTACTAAAAATACAAAAATTAGCCAAGGGCCGAGTGCTGTGGCTCACGCCTATAATCCTAGCACTTTGGGAGGCCGAGGCAGGTGGATCACCTGAGGTCAGGAGTTAAAGACGAGCCTGGCCAATGTGGTGAAACCCCCATCTCTACTAAAAATACAAAAATCAGCTGGGTGTGGTGATGCACATCCGTAATCCCAGCTACTTGGGAGGCTGAGGCAGGAGAATTGCTTGAAACCGGAAGGTGGAGGTTGCAGTGAGCCAAGATCGTGCCACTGCACTCCAGCCTGGGTGACAGAGTGAGACTCCATCTCAAAAAAAAAAAAAAAAAAAAATCAGCCAGGTATGGTGGCACATGCCTGTAATCCCAGCTACCTGGGAGGCTGAGGCACAAGAATCACTTGAACCCGGGAGGCGGAGGTTGCAGTGAGCTGAGATGGTGCCATTGCACTCCAGCCTGGGCAAAAGAGCAAGACTCCATCTCAAAAAAAAAAAGAAAGAGAAAAATGTTTTCCCCATGGTCCCCCACCCCTACCGCAGCCACCAACCTCTTCTGAGGTTCTTTTGAACCTTTGTGACAATGCCTCTGATGGCATTCACTGGCTGAAACTATTTTAGCTTTTTTCTCCATTTGTCTGACAGCAGTCCCCCACTCTCCCTGGTCAGGCTCTAAGAACCTTGGTGATAAGGGCAGTGTCACTCATTATCTTATTTTCTTTAGCATCTACTACATATTGTAGTTCTCCTTGGCATACTCAAGGGATTGGTTCCAGGACCACTGACTTATAACCAAATCTGTGCATAGTCAAGACCCGCATTCAGCTCTGCAGAACCTACGTGCTATGAAAAGTTGGCCCTTGGTGTAGGCAGTTTTCACATCCCGGGAATACTTTATTTTCATTACATGCAAGGTTGGAAAAAAAAAAAAGTAATGTGTAAGTGGACCCACTAAGTTCAAGTCCATGGTGTTCAAGGGGCAACTGTGTATCAACCTGGCTGTGCCTCAGAACCATCGATGTAATTTTTAATTTCTTACTAAACTTTTAATATTAGAATAGTTTTAGATTTACAGAAAAGTTGCAAGGCTAGTACAGAGGGTTGACATACCCCACCCCCGTTTCCCCTGTTGGTAACATCTTACATTATTAGGGTACCTTTACTGCAATTAATGAACCAATAATGATAAATTATTATTAACTTGGAAGTCCAGACTTTATTTGGATTTACCTGGGTTTTAGCTCATGTTCTTTTTCTGTTCCAGGATCCCATCTAGGATAACACATTACTCTCAGTCATCAGATTTCCTTAGGCCCCTCTAGGCTGTGACAGTTTCTTAGACTTTCTTTGTTTTCGATGACCTTGACAGTTTTGAAGAGTACTGGTCAGGTATTTTGCAGAATGTCCTGCAGTGGTTTTAACTGATATTTTTCTCATGGCTAAACAGGGATTATGTGTTTGGGGGATGAAGACCACAGAAGTAAAATGCCATTCTCATGACATCCTATGAAGGGTCTATACCGGCGATCCCCACCCTTTTTGGCAACAGGGACCGGTTTCATGGAATACAATTTTTCCACGGACAGGGGTTGGGGGATGGGGTGGAGATGGTTTTGAGATGAAACTGCTCCACTTCAGATCATCAGACACTAGATTCTCATAAGGAGTGTGCACCCTAGATCCCTACAATGCGCAGTTCACAATAGGGTTCACCTTCCTATGAGAATCTAATGCTGCTGCTGATCTGACAGGAGGTGGGGCTCAGGCGGTCATGCTTGCCTGCACACTCATCTCCTGCTGTGCGGCTAGGGTTCCTGCTGTGTGGCATACTCACCTTCTGCTCTGTGGCCAGTACTGGTCCATGGCCTGGGGATTGGGAAGCCCTGGTCCATGCTACCAACATGACTTATCACTGTTGATGTTGACCTTAATTATCTCGCTAAGGTGGTGTTCATTGAGTTTCTCCACGGAGTGTTACTGTCCTCTGTCCCCTCCCGCCCTCCCCCATTTCCATAGTGTACTCTTCAGAAGGAAGTCACTGTGTGCAGCCACGTTCAAGGAGGGCTTCACCTCCTGGAGGGGGAGCGTCCACCTAAATTCTTCTTTATGGGAGATTTGTCTCTTCTCCCCCATTCATTCATCATTCATTCATTCATTTAGATCAGTATGTTCTTGTGGATGTTTATTTCATACTTTGAGTTATAATCCAGTTCTACATTTTTTATTTTGTTTTCAAAATTGTTTCAGCTTTGGCTGTTAGGGGAGCACTTTTAACTGGCATCTGTGTCCCTTTGACATACTCCAATCTTTATTTACATATTTATTTCCTTGCTTTTCGGCCCTACAAGATGCTCTAGGTTCATTTTGCACATTCCCTGCCCCAGTGCTCCAAGAATCAGCTATTTCTCCAAGGAATCTTAGTTCCTTTAATGGGAGGAGGTTTAGAATCTGAGATCTGAGTGCTGGGTGTGCCTATTGCTATCACTGTGGTGCATAGACCTAGGAATATATGTGTTTATATTAACCCATGTATGTAAACATAGCTGTCTATCTCTCCATATATATGTGATATATATGTAAACTGTGTGTGTGTAACTAAATATTAGTTAATACTGATGTCTGCAACGCTAACCTAATAGCACGTGGTTCATTCTAAACTTTCTTCCTTTATGCAGCCTTTTTTTTTTTTTTTTTAGACAGAGTCTCACTCTTGTCGCCCAGGCTGGAGTGCAATGGCTTGATCTCGGCTCACTGCAACCTCCGTCTCCCAGGTTCAAGCGATTCTCCTGCCTCAGCCTCCTGAGTAGCTGGGATTACAGGCATCTGCCACCACGCCTGGCTAATTTTTGTATTTTTGTAGAGACAGGGGTTTCACCATGTTGGCCAGGCTGGTCTCGAACTCCTGACCTCAGGTGATCCACTCGCCTCAGCCTCCCAAAGTGCTGGGATTACAGGCGTGAGCCACTGTGCCCAGCCTATGCAGCTTTAAAAAACCCCAATTCTTAATACAAAAAATTAGCTGGGTGTGGTGGCGAGCGCCTGTAATCCCAGCTACTCGAGAGGCTGAGGCAGGAGAATGACGTGACCCCGGAAGTGGAGGTTGCAGTGAGCCACGATCATGCTACTGCACTCCAGCCTGGGCGACAGAGCAAGACTCTGTCTCAAAAAAAAAAAAAAAACCCACAACCCCAGTTCTGGCCGGGCGCGGTGGCTTATGCCTGTAATCCCAACTGTTTGGGGAGGCCAAGGTGGGTGGATCACTTGAGGTCAGAAATTCGCACTGGCCAACATGGTGAAACTCCATATCTACTAAAAATACAAAAATTAGCCTGGCATGGTGGTGGGCACCTGTAATCCCAGCTACTCAGGAGGCAGAGGTTTCAGTGAGCGGTGATCACGCCACTGCACCTCCAGCCTGGGCAACAGAGTGAGACTCTGTCTCAAAAACAAAACAAAAAAAACCTGGTTATTCTGAATCACAGTCTTTTAAGGCTGGGCCAAAGGCTACACTCCAAAGGCTGAGAAACACTGTAGCAAGCACTCAAATGCTTGCTAAATTTAATTGAGTTTAGAGAAACTCAGACCAGCCCCATCACAGATGTGCAGGATTTCCAGCCTTGGGGCTGTAAGGCAAATGAGCTCGCACCTTCCCCCAAGTGATGCTCTGTAGGAAACAGCTTGTAATCATTGAGAAGGTGTCCATTACCCCATGTTTGGGTGTTTCTGCTCATTTCCTCTGTATCTGGTTCCCTGAACACCTGATATTTCCTGATGTGAGGCCAGACTAACTGGGATCCGTTACCGCCTGTGGCAGAATCTTCGGTGACAGTCCCTGCCTGTCCCCCTTGGCCCAGCAGCCAGTACATTTTTCCTCTGTGGTGATAATCAGGGCATGTATGTGACTCTAAACCAAGTCCACAAGACTTGAAATGACTTACAGATCATTTTACAAATGAGGAGCAGGTCCAGGAAACATAGCCAGCTAGTGGCAGAGCAAGTAGAAGAACCTAATCTTCCTGTGCTCTTCGTATCCACGCTGAACCCCGTCCATTCTTCTGAATGCCCTGGGCTGGAATTGTGATGATACATGATGGATACATGGGAAACTCCTGAGCTGCATGTCTTTAAGGCCACTGTGAACTAAAATACCCCTGAATGCAGTCTTGGCTTGCTTTCTGCAGAATGTCCCTGTAAAGGGTACCTGAGACAGCTGCAGATCAACATGACAAGATGTTCTCAGCTCACTGCTTTTATTTCACACACATCTGAAGCTCCAGAGCCAGAGAAGAGGCTGTGGAGAGATGCACACCTAATAAGCACCGAGGGACAGCTGCCTGGCCCTTCTAGATGGAAGGGAGTCATGTTGGTCCTCAGAGAAATCCAGGCACCCATCTTTAGCACCTTCACTCCTCCCCCAACTGCATCTGCCCCTCCTCTCAATCCCCCATACTCACTCCCCTCAAGCTGCCCTCTTGCTGCCTTCATCCCTGCCCCCTCAGTATTCCATCCAGACCAGCCCTCCCCCAGGGTACCATGCTCTAACATTATCTCTCACACCTTCCCCAGGTCCCCATCAAAACACCCATTTCTTTAGTCAAGGTGTTTGGACAGCAGTCTGATTAAACTATAGGACAAATTGCTTCAGAAATTCAGACTTGTCATCCCACTTTGAATAGGTGGGGAGCAAGCCCCTGACTCTAGGCATTTGGATGCCCAGTTGTTAACTGCACTGGTAGATACTTTGTCTCTAGTGTGTCCCAGACATTTCCTGACCACATTTCTTTATGCTGAACTGAAAATCTTGTGATCTTGTTTCAAGATTGCATTGATTTGCATCTATCTCCTATCCCCCACTCCAACCCATTTGCTTATTTCCATAGTTTCTGTAGGCAGGTTTTCTCTTGCTAGTTATCTTGCCACCTTTGCCTCCTAAAGAGCCCTTAAATTGGCTTCCGGGCAGCAATCTATCCTTTTCTTTCTGGAAAATAGCCCAACCCCTGCAGCCTACCTCTCCTACCAGCCTCAGACTGCACTCACCTTCCCCCACTGTCCACAGCAGGAAGGACAGATGACAGGAGGAGGCTCACTTTTGCTGCCATTGCAAAAACCTCGAGCAGCAGCTGCTTTGTCACTCAATTCAGAAGCTCCTTCCTGGTGTGAAAGGTATTTTGCAATTATGCATAGTTACTCACAGTTACCCATTAACAGAAACCTTTCAGCTCCTTGCCAGCTTCATCTTAAATGCTTTTTCCTTTCTCCCTTCAGAAGTCTTTATAAGCATACGGTATTTAGGAAGGTCTCCTTTGCCAATATATACAGTATTATATAAATTACAACATGGAGTGACTAACTAGTGGCTCTCCCTCTAAGGATTTTACCACCGAATCCAAATATATTTCACTGATTGCATCTAGGCAGCTATAGGAGTGTTTTATAGGTTGCTTTTTTTTTCCCCCAGGGGGAAGTGGCTGGAAGGTGGCACAGGATATGTTCTCTCTTAAATCATATTACCACTCAACCAAGGATACATCTATTGTGTATCCAGCCTCCCACCTCCTTTCCTTCAATGGGAGGATTGGTAAGAGCTTAAAGCTGAGGCCCCTCTGGAGACCCCTAGGTTCGTAACCAAAAGGGACCAGGATGGATGGGGTTTCCCACTTATGATAATAATACCAACAATAACAACTATGATATGAGTGCCTGCCAGATACTAGGCACTGTGCTAGCACTTAACATACGTTATCTACTTTAATCTTCCTAATAGCCCTTAGAATATACATAATTATCTCTGTTCTACAGGTGGAAAAAAAATGAGACTTTTGAACATAAAGACTCTTAGTTAAGTTTGCATATTTCATGGTAGAGCCAAGACGCCAACCCAAATCTGTCTGATTTTAAAGCTACCACCCACCTACCCTGGATATTGGTTCGGAGTCAACTAGGGCCCTAAAACTAGTGAACATGGTGCCCCACCCTTTCCTGAAGCCTGGCATTTGTGGCCTGGGAACTGATGGGAGAGTATGAACATCTGAGGGCGGGCAAGTTTCTCCAAGGCCCTCCCTCAGATGGGGGAAGATGGGGAATCAAAGGTTCTCATTTTCCCTCCAACCACCTCCAGCAGTGTCATCCCAAACACGCCTGATTCTGCTGTATGTAATTAACGAGGAATGACTGCCCAGCCATTTGATTTCTAATTGCCACATAACATGAAAGTGACAATGCAGATGATTACATGTGTCAGATGAACTTGGTTGTAAGTTTTATTTAAACACTAAATTCTTTGGCTGTGCACTCAGCCTTTGTATTACTCACGTAGCAAGGTTGTCGGCTCTTCATTTAAAGAGGAAGAGATGGCAGGGGTGCCGTCAACTGTTCTGATGAGAGCAGGTCCTTCCTGGCTCTCCCTGTGTGCCAGGCCTTGGACCCTGGGCTCCTTGGTGGGGTGAGGGTGGTTAGGGAGGGTGGCACTGGAGCAGAGTAGACCATGGCAGGTTAGTGCTTATGGACCAGGTAAACCTCTTCCCAGGAGGGACGTGAATCTGCACAGCTTGTGGTCTCCCTACTCCCATGGAATCAAGGAGAACTTCCTGGGGAAAATGGGATGTTTTGAAGAATCTGTTGAATGAAAGAGTGAAGAAGATGATCTGGGATATTAGAAATGATAAT
The DNA here is from genome assembly GCF_000001405.40 of Homo sapiens. Lineage (NCBI taxonomy): Eukaryota > Metazoa > Chordata > Mammalia > Primates > Hominidae > Homo > Homo sapiens. The sequence continues at coordinate 201,688,465 of NC_000001.11, forward strand.
ATTTCTCTGAATAAAGGTTTTACACACAAAATATGGGCACCACATAACCTGATCAGAGCTGAAACTTAGCCATCCATGATATTTACATCCTGCCCACTGTTCAAAACCAGGAATCCCTTTTTGCGGGCTTTTCATTCAAGGGAAGAGGCTCAGATATCACACAGTTATCACTGACACCCGCCCCCATCGAAAATAATTATTCAGGGATTCTGAGAGCCAACGTAATTAGTCCAATTAATCTCTAGCGATGAATTATTCTGTCCGATAATCGTCTTCGGAAGCAAAGGATTCATTAGCGTCTCTGGCTGACAGCAGGGAGTCAAATGTCCTTTTATCTCTCTTCCCTGTCCCTGATATGATAGAATGAAATTGGCTCTCACTTTGATAAATTCTGTCTCTATTGAAAAGGAGGTTGGTTAGGGCAGCAGCAGAGGCTGGGACCTAGGTTACTAGACGTGTTGCCTGCTCCACATGCACTGCTGACCTTGAGTTTAAGGCCTCAGTTTATCCCATGGAAACATGGGGAGACTTGAGTGCAAGCTTTGTGATCAGTTATCAAATTAACCAGGTACCTTCATGGGCTTCCAAGAGGCAGTTAATCCCAGCACACACCCTGGAAGAACATGCCCTTCTCTGCTGAGCATTCTCAACGAATTCTAAAGAAGTCCTCCACCTTTTTGTAGGAACTTACTTTACATAATTTAGTCATATTGAAGGCACTAAGTGATGAGTAGAACCCAAGGTGCCTATTGAGGTGCCCATCAAAATTCCAACTTTTACTGCACAAATTATAGGATACGAATCCAATTATGAATCCAAATGTATTTCACTGATTGCATCTAGGCCGCTACAGGACAGTTTTATAGGTTGCTTCTTTTTTCCCAGGGGGAAGTAGCTGGAAGGTGGGACAGGATATATTCTCTCTTAAATCATGTCACCACTCAACCAAGGATACATCCATTGTGTATCCAGGCCCCAGCTCCTTTCCTTCAATGAGGTGGAGGATTGGTAACAGCTTAAAGCTGAGGCCCCTCCAGAGACTCCTAGGTTCATAAGCAAAAGGGACAGGATGGACAGGCTTTCCTACTTACAAGAGTAGCATTCTTGCCTGTTCTGGGGGTTGTTTTTAATTGTCTTGCTGGAGCACATATACCCTTTCCTTATGGTACATAAGCCCTGACTCTAGGGGTAACACATATGGAGATCTACCTGTCCTGTGGCCGCCCAAGACCACGCTTCTGTTTGTACCTTCCCCTAATAAAGCACCTTTTATTAAATACAACAACAACAAAATCTCAACCTAAGCTTTGAGAGAGATGTGCGATTGGGGGAGTGCGGTGGAAGCTCTCCTAGGGGCCTCAGAGCAGCTGGGTTGGAGATTCTGCTCCCCAGAGTGTGTCTATTTCCTCCATGGCCTGTCTGTGGCAGAGTGCTGGCTATTTCCTCCGTGGCCTGTCCGTGGCAGAGTGTGTCTGGTTCCTCCGTGGCCTGTCTGTGGCAGAATGCTGGCTATTTCCTCCGTGGCCTGTCCATGCAGTGTGTGTCTGTTTCCTCTGTGGCCTATATGTGGCAGAATGTGTCTATTTCCTCCATGGCCTGTCTGTGGCAGAGTGCTGGCTATTTCCTCTCTGGCCTGTCCGTGGCAGAGTATGTCTATTTCCTCTCTGGCCTGTCCGTGGCAGAGTATGTCTATTTCCTCTCTGGCCTGTCTGTGGCAGAGTGCTGGCTATTTCCTCTCTGGCCTGTCCGTGGCAGAGTATGTCTATTTCCTCTCTGGCCTGTCCGTGGCAGAGTATGTCTATTTCCTCTCTGGCCTGTCTGTGGCAGAATGCTGGCTATTTCCTCCGTGGCCTGTCCATGCAGTGTGTGTCTGTTTCCTCTGTGGCCTATATGTGGCAGAATGTGTCTATTTCCTCCATGGCCTGTCTGTGGCAGAGTGCTGGCTATTTCCTCTCTGGCCTGTCCGTGGCAGAGTATGTCTATTTCCTCTCTGGCCTGTCCGTGGCAGAGTATGTCTATTTCCTCTCTGGCCTGTCTGTGGCAGAGTGCTGGCTATTTCCTCCATGGCCTGTCCGTGGCAGAGTGCTGGCTGTTTCCTCCATGGCCTGTCTGTGGCAGTGTGTGTCTGTTTCCTCTGTGGCTCGTCTGTGGCAGAATGTGTCTATTTCCTCTGTGGCCTGTCTGTGGCAGAGCGCTGGCTATTTCCTCCGTGGCCTGTCCGTGGCAGTGTGTGTGTCTGTTTCCTCCTTGGCCTGTCCGTGGCAGAGTGCTGGCTATTTCCTCCGTGGCCTGTCCGTGGCAGTGTGTGTGTCTGTTTCCTCCGTGGCCTGTCCATGGCAGAGTGCTGGGCTCCAGGTCAGCAGGTCTTTGCTTTCCTGGTCTCAGGCTCTCTTCCCCAGGAAAATGAACATTACACATGGGTACGAGATTTTGCATATCACTTCAGTGAGTTTCTAGACCCTCTGTTAACCCTCTAGACCCTCTGCATGAATAACTCCAGATATTATAATACATTGATCCTGTTCTTGAGGAACTTAAAATCCAGGAAGTGAAGCTTGGGGAGGGGGAGTTGTTAATGTTAACGGTTCAGCACAACAGAAAGGAGGTGGTGTGATAATGGAGTGGGTCTTAATGGCATTTTGGGTCAGTTAATTCTTTGCTATAGAGGGCTGTCCTGGGCATTGTAAGATGTTCAGCAGCATCCCTGCCCTCTACTCACTAGATGCCAGTAACACCCCCTCCCAAGTCATGAAAGTCAAAAATGTCTCCAGACATCACCAAATGTCCCCTGAGGGGCAACATCTCTGTTGAGAACCACTATAATAGAGGCACCGTAGTATGCTGAGCCTCAGCGGAAGGTGTGGTCATTTCTGGGTGGAAGGACCAGAGAAGCCTCCCTGGAAGAAGTGGTCTGAGGTTTAGGAAGCAAACCAAAAGGCAGACTTTTTTATTTTGTTTTGGTCAGCTTTTTATCCCTAGAGTCTAATATGGTGTTTGGCACATAGAAAGTGCAGAGAATGCTCATCAAGTACGTAAACAAACAAATGAATGAGGAAGGGTTGAACATGCAGAAAATGGAAAGGGAAATGCATTCCAGATTAAAGGACTAGCATCAGCAAAAGCTCAGAGGTGGAATGAACAGGTGTCTCTAGGGAATCACAGGCAGCCCAGTCCCTGTTCCATGGATAAGGAACAGAATAGCGGCTTGTATGACCCTGGCTTAGGACGCCGTGGAATCGCCTTTTCTGGAGATGCTTAAGAAAAGTTCTGCCTGAAGGAAAGGAAAAGGAGTGGTTTATAGAACTGCCCACTAATTGATCACAACTCCGTCCTGATAAACATGGCCATGGTCTTGGAATATTTCTCAACACAGCCCTCTAAGAAGTTACTACCAGTCATTTGGAGTTGGAATGCCAGTTGCACCTGTTTAACTCCCTGACTGTGGTCTAGAGACCTCATGTCAGAACTGGGGGCTGCTGTTCTGCTTGAAGCCAGCCCAGAAAGGGAGGCATTAGCCTCTCTTGGTCATTCTTCACGCTTTGTGTGTGGCTCCATTTTCCAGGCCATATCTCTTTTCCCTTTACCCTGCCCCATTCCTTCTCTGCTGTTGAGCTGCCTTGTGGCTGAGTTCTCGTCTCCCTGCTGTCTCACCCGTTATTCAACGAGCCTGTGTTATGTGCCCTGGAGATACAGCCATGGACACACCAGAGTTGCTGCTTGTCAGGTGTGGATATAGAGAAGCAGGCAGGCAATTACATTACAACGTGGTGAATGCTGAGTTGTGGGTAACAGAGGCTGCTGTAGGGCAGAGCAGTGTCACCTAACAGCTGGTTGAGGAAGGCTTTGGGACCTTTTTAGGAAAAGACCCACTGAAAGTAGGGTGCTCAGGTGGAGTGACAGATAGCTCCAGTTTATAAATCTGGAATGGTGAGTTTTACTGTAGTTTTTTCAATGTGTGTTAAAGAGTTGTGTGTCCAGTAAAATATATATGTCTGCCTTTCCAGGGAAAATCACTGTGACTCCTTGGTAACAGGAGTTTGTAATGGTCTGGAAAATGCAGGAAAATCTTTAGAGTGAGTTCCTGGTCTCCATTAAAAGCATTTATGGTGTCTGGGGAGCCATTTCCCCCTGATTTGTGTCTGACAGGGGAGCACTGAGGCTGAGATATCAGGGAGGAAGACAAAGGCTCACATATGTGACAAGTCAGGTGTTCACTGGGAACACGGCATGGAACAGGGCTATCTCTAAGTCTGTCTGTAGGTAGGATCAGAGGCAGAGCCCTGCAGTGGGCACCTACAGAGAGAGAAGAATGAAAAGCATGGCCTGTGCCTCCAGGGAGTCAAGCCAGACACTTACCAAATCAGGAGAAACTGGCAGAGATAGTAGCTGCTGGTATTTGAGAGGCAGAAGGCAAGAGTTGAGACAATAAGCCAATAGGGAAGTGGGGTGAGAGGGATTGCATGAGATTTCCCAAAGGAAGTGAGCTGTAGAGATGGGATGGAATGGGATGGCAGGGCAGGAGAGAGAAGGCTATAGGGTGGCAAATGGAGACATGAGGCTGCCTCCCTGTCCATCTCTTAACCAGAGGACTGGGAGGCGGGACAAGTATGGCAGGTGAGTGGGTGGAGGAGGTGCCATCTGACTATGTGCCCAGGGGATGCATTTGTTTAGCAGGCCTTTATGGAAGGCCTACAACATATCAGGCACTGTGCCAGGTGCTAGGCATTCAAAGATAAATAGCATATGGCCTTTGCCCTGAAGGCAGATGGATGTGTAAAGAGGTGTGGGTGATCAAGTGATACGCAGGCTGTGGTAGAAGTCTGTTACAGGCTGCAGCAGGGACCCTAAGGAAGGAATAGTGATTTCTACCAAGAGGAGGGGCCAGATGAAAGGCAGCCTGCATTCTCCATGGGAGGAGGCTGAATGGAGGCTGCTCACTCACCATCACTCGGGCAGCATTTCCTGGGCAGCTGCTGTGTGCTGCCCAGTGCTGCGAGGGTGTGGATGGAGCTACATAAGGGATGTAGTGTCTAGTGGAGGAGACAAGACCAGCAGGCAAAAGGAGTTGTCACTGCAAAGGCAGTATGTGATCGTTGATGAGAGGGGCTCAGAGATCAAATGTTCCAGAGCTTGAAGGGGAGTGATCTCTGGAGTGGCCAAGGAAGGCTTCTTGGAGGAGGTATGACTGGAATTGGGCATTGAGGGCTGGGGAGAAGTGCCCCAGCAGGGACGGTCTTTTAGATGGAAGCCGTAGGAGGGATGGAGGAAGCAAAGATGCAGCCAGGCATCGGCCTGAATGGGCAGGAGTATGTGGGACACTCATGGAAGATCAGGCCAAAAATGTCTGTAGAGGGTCTTGTATGTCAGGTCAAGGACTCAAATGCCATCTGAGAGATGCTGAAGTCTCATGGTGCAGAGACTCAAGTTTGCATGGATAAGATGTGCTTTTAGACACCTTGGGGGCTGGGGGCTGGGGGCAGGACCTGTCTGAAGCCATCTCAGCCATCCCCCGGCCTCCAGCCAGGGCTTGGTGCTCCTGTACAAAATTCTGTCTCCACAGTGTGTCCCCCAGTTTGGCTTCCTGGTGGGGGAGGGGACACACACAGACATCAATTCAGTCAAGACTCTGCTCACGCCTGTCCCCAGGAGCAAAGCCTTGGCCCGCTGTTCCCATGGCAACCGCCAGTCAGTGCTGAGCAAAGGAGGGTGCCAGAACACGGAGAGCTGGAGGGGACCAGCAGCCCCCTAGTCATCACAGTCATCACTGAGAACTCCCCCAGTTGGGGTGTAGAGGCATAGGGGAAGTCAAAGCAATGGCTGGGAAACCTTGAGGGCAAAGGGACTCCCTTTGTTCTTTGAAGGAGGGAAAGGAAGTGCTGAATGGAGCCAGGCAGCTGATTTCCCATCGCTTCTCTCATCCCTCCTTCTGAGCCTAGGGTGCCCCCTTTGCGTCCTCTGGCTCATTAAAGATAGATGACCCTGGGGAGGGTGAGGGCCGGGGTCACCAGCTGCTGGGGCTTCTTGCCCTGAGTTAGGCTGGGGATCATTTGCAGGGAGAATGCAGCCAGGACCACCAGCCCTGGCTGCAGAGGGAGGAGGGTAAGTCTGGGAAGCTGGCCCCAGTGGGTGATCAGCAACATGTCCCTAAGAATAGGTACATGCTATTGACAAAGATGAGAAGTGAACCGGGAGCCGTAAATAGCCAGGAGCCTGTGTTCTCTGGGCTCTGTGTTCTGTCGGTTGCTTATTCATTGAAAGTCAGGGATGGGCGAGATGCAGTCTCCAGAGTGACGCAGTGGGACGAGCCCTGGAGCTGGAGACAGAGAAGCTGGGTTCTAATCCCAGCCCTGCTGCTTTGTAACTGAGACCTAAATCAAATTGCTTATCAGTCTCTTCAGCTGCCAAACGAACCAAGAAGCTGCCTCACAGGATTACTGAAAGGCTCACACAGCAGGAGGAATGTGAAAGAAGCTGGCACACAGTAGGCATTTGCCTCCTTGCTTCCAAATGTAGAGGGACAGTAGAGATCGTCTGCCAAAAGGGTTCATATATCCAAAAGGCAGGGTTGGCCAGACCCTGAGTGCTCATGTCGCTTGTCCACTGCCTCCTCTGGAGAGCCTCTGGCTAAGCCTAGCTTTGGCCCAGCTCTTAAGTTGCCCCGGGACCAGCCTCTTCCATGCTCAGGCCTCTTGGCCCCCCTGGATGGGCTCAGGGCAAAAGGTGAACAGCAAATGCCATCAGGCTTTTCCCTGTGTACCCAGAGCCATGCTCTCCCCATGCCTGCTCCTCCACCGAGGGCTCTCTTAACAGCTTTCTCCTCTCCGGGCCCTTAGCTTAGGGCCTCACTTCACCTTTGCCCTGTGTATAGTTCCGGGTTCAAGCTGAACTTTATTCAGCACACGAGGTGGGGGCTTCCTCCTGTCACCCCACCTCTGCCCTTGTCCGAGGGCTCCAGCCATGCTGGGTTCTTCCCAGAACTCCAACACATTTGACCAGCCAGGGGGAAAAGGGGGTATGGGGAAGGCACTGGGGCTCTGTCCTGGAAAGATGTGTTGTCGCTGAACTCAGGTGCAGCTTTGTAGCTTGGCAGACCTGGAAAATCTCTCTAAGGCATGTTTGTTTCCTGGGAATTTGGCTCTATTTACTTGGGGACCAATCCGAAGGTGCCTGGTGACTGCAGCATGGTGCCTGGGCCACCGTGGGCTGGATGCAGGCCCTGGAGGGCTTGGGCAAGGGCTGAGAGAAGGCCTGGCTGCCTCCCAGGCATTCCCTGACCTCCACTCCATTGCCTCTTCTTGTACCTTCCTGGTCTCACTTTGATAGGGGTCCAAAGGCTCCCCAGAGCAGTCCCAGGCCTGAGACCCCACCCTGCCACCACCCCGGCAGGAGCTCCGGCTGCACCGCTGGTTCTGGAGAAGGCCCAGCACATCTCCTCCTGCTCATTCCCTTTGCTTTCCTCTTCGTATCCCTGCCCTACTCTCAGGAGAGCAGAAATGGGGCTGATTCCTTCTCTAAGAAGGAGAAACTGAAGCCCACAAAGGCTGAGCGGCTTGCTCCTGGGCATCGGAAGAAGCGGGGACTGGAATCCAGGGGTCTCTGCATCCAGCCTTGCACTTCCCTTCCAGATACATGGGGGCCAGGTAGTGGGGACAGGGCAGACTCAGGGAGTGGGAGTGGGAGCCTCCAGTCCCACACATGTGTTACCCATGAAGGAGAGGGTGGGGTTGGGAGAGGATGGGAGCAGGAGAGGGTGGGAGCGGGAGAGGGAGTGGCCCTGAAGCTCTGCTTTTGGCTGCAGCTGGTTCCCAGGCTCCTGCATTGGAATCGGGCGGAAGAGGAGGATTCTGAATGATCTGATTAGGCAGTCGAGAGCAGCCATGGATCTTGGCAAGCAGGCGACACAACCTGCCTGCCAGACGCTCTAGGAAGGTTCTTCCGAGGCCAGAAGCTTTACAGGTTTCAGAGCTGGGACAAAGCCCAGTGAGGAGAAAGGGCTCCCTCGAGGAAGCATTGGACAGGAGCAGTGACTGCCAGTGAGGCCTGGACTGGCTGGCAGCCCGATGTCTTGGAGGTGGAGAAATGCTTGGCCTGGCTGGTGGCCCATGACTCCCTGTCTTCTGGCAGTTCTGTATCTCATTCATTGCCTGCAGTGGAGGACAGGCTTCATTCTGTGAGCTGTGAGGAGCGTGATTCCAGCATGAGTCAGGAAGGGCCTCCTGGCGTCCGCCTCTGTTGTCTTTTTGGTCATGTATCATTCATTTTGGAAAAAGCACGGACTTCAGAGAAGACTGGGATTCAGATCCCTACCCTACAAGCCGTGTGACCTTAGGAAGTTAACTGACCTCTCTGAGCCAAACATCTATAAAATCGGAGTACTCATACTTACCTCAGCCGCTGCATTGCAAGGACAGAATACATATTCGTGTTTCGCACCATGCCTGGCGCACACTCGGGAAATACTGTCTTTTTTCCTTTTCCTTCCCTTCTTGCCTCAGAACATTGCCTGCTTTTCTCACCTTCTGATGCTCACTAAACAAAAAATTTTTTTAAATGCAAAAACTCTTCAGCACATCTTATTAAGTCTCACTGTAGGAATTCTCTGCCTTCTTAATTGGAAGTCTCCCTTAAAGCTAACCTAGCTCCTTCTTGTTTCAATTGATACCCAAGCCCTGGAGGGAGTTCCGGGGCCTTAGTCTAAGCCGAGTCCTTTTGGTGAGCAGTGGAACCATCCTGGAAATGGGGGGGCATGTTGGTGGCAGATGGGCCGAGTCACAGGGTCCCCAGTGGTGGGCAGTAGAGGGGTGAAGGGATCAGTGACACAGCAGGCTTTTCCAGAAATAAGAACCCTCCAGGGAGGCAGCCAGGCAGGGTGGATGTCAGCTTTTTGATGGAGGAGCAGATGCTGTGCAGGCTGAAGTGGGGCAGGGGAAGAGGGAGGTGTGAACGGCAGAGGGAGCATCGCCTTCTGGGCAGCCCTACCTTGCTCATACCTTGCCCCCAGCTTTCTCTCTCATAATCCTCCTCAAAGCTCAACCTTTTCCTCTTTATCCTCAAGCCTGGCTCTGAGATCAGCAGGCTGTGTCGTCTTGAGCAAGTCACTGCTATTCCAGTGCGCCTCAGTCTCCTCATCTGTGAAATGACCTCTGAGGCTTGTGCCAGCTCTGACTTTTGATGAGTTTTAACATTCAGCCTCTTCTGGGCTTGCAGCAGGGCTGTCTATACTGGTCCATACACAGGCTGGCCAGACCTTATGCCAGCAGCCCAGTCACCCTGCCATATCTGCTTTGTCTCCCATTCCATCCCATTCCCATCCCCAAACCACACCTCTTCTCCTACGGTGTCACTTTAAAACAATGTGTGGAGCACCCACTGTGTTTGAGGTGTCAGAATGGGATTTGGAATGAATATGCCAGGTCTCTGCCCTTCAGGAGGAGAAAGACATGAAATCTAAACAACAGCTCAGCTGTTATTTCATTTTATAGGTGAGAGAACTGAGGCCCAGACATTGAATACCTTGCCCAAGGTCACAGGGCATTGAATACCTTGCCCAAGGTCACAGTGGTAAAGCTGGGATTTGACAAAGACTCTCTAGCTCCGTGTCCTGTGGCCTCTCGTCGTCTGATGCCCAGAGCCAGTCCTTCCTCTCTTGTGGCTCAGCCTTTGCATAGGCTGTATCCTTCCTGAACCTGAGACTTGCCCTGTTGCCTGTGGTCAGATTCATTCTTTCCCTTCCTTTGGTTTCAGATCAGTGGTCACCTCTTCCAGGACCTCCCCTGTGACTCCTCTAACCCACCCACCTTATCACTTTTCTAGTCAGTCCCCAACAGAAGCTCTGGCCCCCATGCACGGATGATGCCTGACCACAGCTGCACATGCCAACCTCTTGGCTGCAAGCTCCCTGAGGGCAGCCCCTATTGTATGGGTGGACTCAGAACCCTCAAGACAGTGGCTAAGTGGAAGCCAGTGGCTGCTGGTCAGGGCACAGCCCGGCATGATCTGGTGGATAATCAGTGCTTCAGAGGCGGTGATGTTCACTCATTTGATGTGTCTCCCATTTGAAATGCAGCCACTTCCAAGGGAATCACGTGGGATTCACATCCTACATAGAAGACTGCAAAGGCCTGGTTTGGAGAACTCAGGAAAGGTCTGTAGCCAGGAGACCTGACCCCTTGAGTTCTGGTGCAGGCAGGAGTGTGATAGGCAGAACTACTCCCATCACAACAGTGGCATCTTCAGATAAGGTGCCTTTTGTCACTTGGCCACTGGTAGGTTCTGCGAAAGGAAGTGATGTCAGGGATTTAGGGACAGGCCTGGGGGTGGAGGGCTGCACAGGAGTGGGAGTGGGCAGGTGGGTGAAGTCAAATGACAAAAGCCTGCCCTTACCTTTGCTACTGGTTCTCTTCTGCCGCTAACTCAAATATATATCATCTGGCAAGTCTCTGTCTAACTCATTCTGGGCCTCAGTGGCAGGGCCCCAGAAACCTGAAGACGGGCCCGCTCTGTAAAATGAACTTGAAAGTGCGCCAAAGGCAAACACTTTATAGAAGAAGAGCCAGTGATGGCACAAGACAGGGATGCCCTCTCTCACCGCTCCTATTCAACATAGTGTTGGAAGTTCTGGCCAGGGCAATCAGGCAAGAGAAATAAATAAAGGGTATTCAATTAGGAAAAGAGGAAGTCAAATTGCCCCTGTTTGCAGATGACATGATTGTATATTTAGAAAACCCCATCATCTCAGCCCAAAATCTCCTTAAGCTGATAAGCAACTTCAGCAAAGTCTCAGGATACAAAATCAATGTGCAAAAATCACAAGCATTCCTATACACCAATAACAGACAAACAGAGAGCCAAATCATGAGTGAACTCCCATTCACAATTGCTTCAAAGAGAATAAAATACCTAGGAATCCAACTTACAAGGGATGTGAAGGACCTCTTCAAGGAGAACTACAAACCACTGCTCAATGAAATAAAAGAGGATACAAACAAATGGAAGAACATTCCATGCTCATGGATAGGAAGAATCAATATCCTGAAAATGGCCATACTGCCCAAGGTAATTTATAGATTCAATGCCATCCCCACCAAGCTACCAATGACTTTCTTCGCAGAATTGGAAAAAACTACTTTAAAGTTCATATAGAACCAAAAAAGAGCCCACATTGCCAAGACAATCCTAAGCCAAAAGAACAAAGCTGGAGGCATCATGCTACCTGACTTCAAACCATACTACAAGGCTACAGTAACCAAAACAGCATGGTGCTGGTACCAAAACAGAGATGTAGACCAATGGAACAGAACAGAGGCCTCAAAAATAACACCACACATCTACAACCACCTGATCTTTGACAAATGTGACAAAAACAAGAAATGGGGAAAGGATTCCCTGTGTAATAAATGATGCTGGGAAAACTGGCTAGCCATATGTAGAAAGCTGAAACTGGATCCCTTCCTTACACCTTATACAAAAATTAATTCAAGATGGATTAAAGACTTACATGTTAGACCTAAAACCATAAAAACCCTAGAAGAAAACCTAGGCAATACCATTCAGGACATAGGCATGGGCAAGAACTTCATGACTAAAACACCAAAAGCAATGGCAACAAAAGCCAAAATAGACAAATGGGATCTAATTAAGCTAAAGAGCTTCTGCACAGCAAAAGAAACCACCATCAGAGTGAACAGGCAACCTACAGAAAGGGAGAAAATTTTTGCAATCTACCCATCTGACAAAGGGCTAATATCCAGAATCTACAAAGAATTTAAATTTACAAGAATAAACAAACAACCCCATCAAAAGTGGGCAAAGGATATGAACAGACACTTCTCGAAAGAAGACATTTATGCACCCAACAGACACATGAAAAAATGCTCATCATCACTGGGTCATCAGAGAAATGCAAATCAAAACCACAACGAGATACCATCTCACGGCAGTTAGAATGGCGATCATTAAAAAGTCAGGAAACAACAGGTGCTGGAGAGGATGTGGAGAAATAGGAACGCTTTTACACTGTTGGTGGGAGTGTAAACTAGTTCAGCCATTGTGGAAGATAGTGTGGCAATTCCAAGGATCTAGAACGAGAAATACCATTTGACCCAGCGATTCCATTACTAAGTATATACCCAAAGGATTATAAATCATGCTACTATAAAGACACATGCACACATATGTTTATTGTGGCACTATTCACAATAGCAAAGACTTGGAACCAACCCAAATGTCCATCAATGATAGACTGGATTAAGAAAATGTAGCACATTGCCGGGCGCAATGGCTCACGCCTGTAATCCCAGCACTTTGGGAGGCCGAGGCGGGTGGATCACGAGGTCAGGAGATCGAGACCATCCTGGCTAACATGGTGAAACCCCGTCTCTAATAAAAATACAAAAAATTAGCCAGGCGTGGTGGCAGGCGCCTGTAGTCCCAGCTACTCGGGAGGCTGAGGCAGGAGAATGATGTGAACCCGGGAGGCAGAGCTTGTAGTGAGCCGAGATCCTGCCACTGCACTCCAGCCTGGGGACAGAGTGAGACTCTGTCTCAAAAAAAAAAAAAAAAAAAAAAAGAAAGAAAAGAAAATGTGGCACTTGTACACCATGGAATACTATGCAGCCATAAAAAAGGATGAGTTCATGTCCTTTGCAGGGTCATGGATGAAGCTGGAAACCATCATTCTGAGCAAACTATCACAAGGACAGAAAACCAAACACTGCATGTTCTCACTCATAGGTGGGAATTGAACAATGAGAACACTTGGACACAGGGTGGGGAACATCACACATGGGGGCCTGTTGTGGGGGTGGGGAGCTGGGGGAGGGATAGCATTAGGAGAAATACCTAATGTAAATGACAAGTTAATGGGTGCAACAAACCAACATAGCACATGTATACCTATGTAACAAACCTGCACATTGTGCACATGTACCCTAGAACTTAAAGTATAATAAAAAAAATAAAAAAAGAAAAAGAAAAAGAGCCAGTAATATTAGCACAGACCAACTCCAGTGGCTCTAAGAGTGCTCCAAGGTGGTGGAAACTTCTATATCTGTGCTGCAGTAGCTACGAGCTGGTGTAATGATGTGGCTATTGAACACTTGAAATGTGGCTAGTGCAACCCAACAACTGAATTTGAAACTTCATTAATTTTAGTTAACTTAAATCTAAAAGATGCTCAATATCATTAGGCACTAGGGAAATGTAGATGACACCTACAGTGAGATACCACTTCATACCCACTGGATGGCTATCAAAAAGAGACAATGACAAGTGTCAGTGAAGATATGGAGAAATTGGAACTCTCATATACTGCTGATGGGAATGAGAAATGGAGCAGCCACTTTGGAAAACAGTCTGGCAGTTCCTCAAAATGTTAACTATAAAATTACCATGGGACCCAGTATTGTACTCATAGGCATACATTCAAAAGAAATGAAAACATGCATCCATATAAAGGCATGGACGTGAATTTCATAGCAGCATTATTCATACTAGGCCAAAAGTTGAGATGACCCAAATGCCTATGAAATGAATAGATAAACTAAATGTGGTATATCCATACAATGGAATATCATTCAGCCCTGAAGAGGAATGAAGTAGTGATGCTTGCTACAACATGGAGGAACCTTGAGAACGTTGTGCTAAGTGGAAGAAGCCAGATGCAAAAGGCCACATATTGCATGATTACATTTCTATGAAATGTCTAGAATAGGCAAACTCACAGAGACAGAAAGTAGATTGGTGGTTGCCAGGAGTTGGAGCAAGGGGAGAACAGGGAGTGACTGCTAATGGCCACAGGGCTTCTTATTGGAATGATAAAAATAGTCTGGATTAGATAGTGATGATGGTTGTACAACTGTGCAAATATACTAAAAACAATTGAACTGTACATTTTATTTGTTTTTTTTATTATTATTTTTGAGATGGAGTTTCACTCTTGTTGCCCAGGCTGGAGTGCAATGGTGCGATCTCAGCTCACTGCAACCCCTGCCTCCCAGGTTCAAGCGATTTTCCTGCCTCAGCCTCCCAAGTAGGTAGCTGGGGTTACAGGAGTGCACCACCATGCCAAGCTCATTTTGTATTTTTAGTAGAGATGGGGTTTCATCATGTTGGTCAGGCTGGTCTTGAATTCCTGACCTCAAGTGATCCACCAGCGTCGGCTCCCAAATGAACTGTACATTTTAAAAGGGTGAATTTTGGTATGTGAATTCTCTCTCTCTCTCTCTCTCTCTCTCTCTCTCTCTCTCTCTCTCTCTCTCTCTCTCTCTCCCCATTCTGACTAGTGGCGACAATATTGGACTATGCGCTCTAGAGTCAGACTATCTGGATTTGAATTCTGGCTTTGCCATTTGCTGTTATATGTCCTTGGACAGCTTACTCAACCTCCCCAGGCTTCCGTTTTTCTCAACTGTAAAATGGGGATAATAACTGGGCTCTCTCAAAGAGTTGTCCTGAAGATTAAATGGGCTAATATACATAAAGCTGCTAGAATAGTGCCTGGTACCCAGCCCTGTAGAAGAGTTAGCCAATACTAATCTTACTAGTGTCACAACCAGAAATCCCCCAGGGCCTCCTCCAATTGTCATCCACACCTGGACTCAGCCCCTCCCCACTCCCGTCCCCATTTGCCTGCAGATGGTTCTCTCTGCTGTGTAAACTGTTGCCATAACAACCACTCCCAGCTCCCAGCAGCAGTGACTTCTTTGGAGCAGGGTGTCACATGAAGGGTCTGGGCAGGATCACTAATGGAAAACATTTTCAGTAAACCTTGAGGTTCACTGGGCAGGAAAGTCAAGGCCTGTTGGGGAACAGAGGGCCACGTCTCCAGGCTGAGACAGGCAGGCCACCTTCTGCAGGAGGCCAGCCCTCTGAGCCCAGCCCGGAAGTCCAAGTCTTTAAATGAGAGAAGACAGAATATGTTCGAGAGTCTGCTATCTGATCCTATAACCTATCATTCTGATCCTATAATCTAACATTCACAAGGAAATGGGGCAGGGAGGTGTTTCTCCTGAGGTGGAGAAGTCAGGATAGCAAACTAGCACTCCTTCCAAACAGGGCTCGAGGCCAGGCACCCTCTCCTGGTCCCACAGTCCTCCGCATGGACCACCCTTGACCTTGGCAAGTCCTTTCCTAACGTGATCTTGTTGCTAAATATTAGTGGCTGTGGAGGTATTGCTTTCTCCTGGAACTTTAAGCTCGTCTCCCCGGCCCAAGTTTGCTGCCAAAGGCTGCACTTTTGCACACGGCTGAGCAGGGCTGAGCTGTCCTGTGACAGGCTGTGGCCTGAACTAGCCATCCGCGTGGGGCTGCCCTGTGGTCACTGCCTGCCCTCAGCTCGCTGCAGAGAGAGGCTGCCACTCCCCAGAAAGGGTCAGCCTGGGTGTGGTGGAGGGGGTGGGGTGACTGTCCTCCCAGCTCATCAGGCAGCTCCCAGCCTCAAGAACACTGCGGAGGAGCAGAGGTGAGGCCTCAGAGCACAGATCTGAACCCTGATCTATTTAATATTTCCCCAGGGGACTGGAGCAGAAAGGCCAGCTGGAGCCTCTTGGAAACTTTGGCCCTGAATCAGAGCTTGCCAAGTGGGGCTTGTGGGTCCCCAGAACCTCCCTGGTGCCGAAGGCTGGTTGGTTAATCCCAGAAGCCAGGCCCTGCTCCCTCTCCCCAAGAACCGGGTGGGCTCCCCGTCATAGATACTGCAAACTCAGGCTGTTCTCCCAGCCTGGCCACGAGGCCTAGGGTTGCGGGAAAGATGTCAGCCCTAGGAGTGCAGAGTCCTGGGAGGAAAGGAGCTGTGCTAAGCAGGAGACTGAGGGAGAGAGACCTGGGCGGTGGCTCCCGAGCCTGAGCGAGACGCTGTCCACCTCGCTGCGCTGCAGTCGCAGCAAGGCCACAGCCGGCTGAGGACCGGCAACGCCCCCTTGTGGCCATTCTCAGCAACAAGCCCCCAGAGAGCCTGGCGGGGGCTGGACTGGGGCTGGGTTCTCTTGCTGCAAGGCTGAGGTGGCTAGGTGACTTCTCTTATCCCAAGCCTGGAGATGAAGGAGGCGGCTTTTCCTGAGAACAGACTTGTGCCTGAAGAGTAGATTTGTTCTGAAGGCCAGGGACACTTTGCGTAGCCACTTGGCATCAGGAAGTCAAGCCCTGGTTTTGTAATGGACATCCAATACTGGTGGTATGCAATGAGATGTAAGGATTTTCCAAAATGTGGCCTTATGTAGCACACCCTCCACTGTGGGGGTTTGCAAAGATGAGGCCCCATCTCCATCCTGTTGAATCAGAAGCTCTGGGGGGTGACACCCTGGTATCTGCCTTTTTAGCATACTCTGAGAGAAAAGATGCTTTTATGGGCTTCAGCCAAGTACAAAACCATAGAACCAGACTGTCAAAGCTGGGTAGGGGCTTGGGTATCCTCTACTCCCACTCCCATATTTGTAGATAGGGAAACTGAGGCCCAAAGAGGGGAAGTAATTCACCCTAGCTCCCACAGCTAAGTCATGTGTGCCCCCAAGCTAGAACTCTAAAAATTATTATTTTTTATAGTGATGGGCTCTTGCTGTGTTGCCCAGGCTGGTCTTGAACTCCTGGGCTCGAGGTATCCTCCCATCTCTACCTCCCAAAGTGTTGTGATTACAGGCATAAGCTACTGCCCCTCACCCTCTTTACGTGTTCTAAGTTGTCCACCCGGCATGCCCTGCTTTACGATTCCTCTTAGCCCAGTGCCCAGTGGAGATGCATTACCGAGGGTCCCTAATCCAAGCCATCTCACTCAGTGAAAATCAAAACCGTAGGTGATCTGGAAAGATACCTGCCTGGCAGTTCCAGGCTGAGATGGCCGTGCATGCTCCTCTCTCTGGCCCCAGATTTGCTTCTATTTCCTAGTTTTTCTTTCCTTGCCTCACACACCCATGTGGCCAACACATTAGTCCTTTAGTCCTGGCTCTTTCTGGGTATGTGTCCCCATGCAGCAAACAACAGGAGTGCCATTGAGCGCTGGGCTCCAGTTCAGCCCACTCGCTGATTGAGATGGTTCCGGATTCTCTGGGGTAAGGATGAAAACCCTGGGAGCTCCCCTGGGGAGCAGGAGCACTCAACTACGAGAAGCATGAGATTTGCCATGCTGCGGGGGTTCGGTGACAACTGCCTCTGACAATATTGTGACTTAAGTGGGGGAACGAGGGAAAGATAGGATTAGTAAGAGAACAAATAGTCCCCTGCCTGCATCCTCCATGGAAATGGGGTGCCTCTGGTGTGGGGGCCTGCCAGCATCTGTTTTAGAGCTTCTCGGGTCATCAGATGGCGAAGAAAAGGATAGAGAGAGGGGATGGAGTCACTGTAGGGACAGTTACTGTGCTCTACCTGAAGGCAGAGGGGATTTGCTTGCTGGGTTATCTGTCAGTTTTCCATACCTGCCCCCAGCCACACTGTAGGATGGAGCCTTTGCAGTGAATCAGTGCAAGGTCACTGGATGCAAGAACCAGCAGAACCCTCCTAGTCCAGCTCTGAGCAGTGGGTAGAGACCTGGAGTTTATCGTTAGACCAAGGAGTGCACTGAGGTGGGCCTGCAATGCTCTCCCTGGCTGGAGTTTGAAGGTTTGTGTCCTTGAGTGGAAGAGAGGAATAAAAATGATTCCCAAAGACGTTTGACTCATTGTAAGCACCAGACGATCATCAACAAATGCTGGTTGTGAGATGTGCAGATAAACTCCCACTGACCTGGGCTTCACCCTAGGGATCTAACAGGGTCAGGAAAGATATTTTTCTCTCTCTCTTTTTGGGAGTTATTAAGAAGGGGTGTGTGTGTGTGTGTGTGTGTGTGTCTGTGTGTTGTGTTGCTTATGTTGCTTAATCCTTCTTGTTTCCAGATCATTTAGCCTAGCCTGGATTTGGGACCCAGTCCCAAACCATCCCACATGATTAATTTACATTGCAGTTCACCTCTTCTGGTGATACATCTCTGTGTGTTTCATCCCCAGCCCACAGCATGGAGTGCTGGTCTAAAGATCCCTGGGCCAAGAGTGATAGCTACCATGCCATTCACAACCTGGTGACACTGGGCAGGCCCCTCCCCTCTGGACCTGAGGGATTGTTGTTCCCCCACCACCACCCTGAAACCGCCGTGTACAAAATGAGATCCTTTCAAGTTCTGAAGTGCCATGACTTGAAAACATTCTTTCTTTGGCTCACTTCCGTTCCTTCTGTTGGTTCCCACCTCATCCAGCCACTCACAGCAGAAGCCAGTCTAGAAGTCAGGTGCAAATGCAGTCCTCTGTGGCCTCTGCCCTGAGCCAAACCACTAATGTGGGATTTGAAACACTGGTGGAAATAATTAAGATTTCAACAGTTATTCAGTTTACTTAATTGTCAGCCAATAATTAAAATTTTATAGAACTTGGGGAAATTTGACTGCCGGGTGATGGATTCCCATGAGTCTCCTTCTTCCTGAACGTCTCTGAATTTTGGGGGGTTATTACCCTCGGTTGAAGGCTCTCCACCTATTACTACATCAGATTTTAGACTGCAGGCCAGAGGGGACCCCTGAGGTTCACGATACTCCACAGCTAAGATTGGCCCCAAGAGAACGGGATTGAAGATATTGTATTGCCTCACAGCAGTGAGAGAGTGGTAGTCAGGCCTGATGACACAGAAACAAGGTTTTGTTACTACCTCATCCACCCCTAACTCCAGGTATGAGTGAGGGTCTCACCTAGCCAAAGCAAGGTTCCGGAAGAGAATGTCAGGTCCGTTGAGCTGCACCCTCCAGGGGTGTGCACCACGCCCATCAGCAAATGAGAGACAAGGGGCCAGCCTCAGTGCCAGCCCGAGGGTGCACCCGTTGTTCACCCACCTCTTTGTGCCTTCTGACAGATAAGAGCCACCATTTATAGAGCACCTACTCTGTTCCAGGCACCGTACTATAAGCATGTTTGTGAATTAGCTCTTTAAGCCTCACAGCAACCCCACCAAGTGGGTATCATGCCCATTTCCCAGAGCGGGAAACTGCAGTGAGGTGAGATGACTTGTTCAAACAAGCTGGGAAGGGGGCAGTACCAGGACCTGAAGCACAGGTCTTTCTGAATCTAAGGACTATGTTCTTGCCACTACATCACTGTCAGTTTTGCCCTAGGGTCCCAATCTCTTGATGAGCAATTTCGTAGTCCTGCCCTCCTGGGGAAGCCTGTTTCCCCTGTTCTGACACTGGAACAGAGAGAAAGACCCTTTTTACATCATCCTCACAGTGCACCCTGGGCTGTCCCTTAAATTACTTCTCTTCCTCTAGCAACGTTTTAGTCTTCTTGCTTCCTCCCCATACAATGGGAGATGTGTCCACAGAAATCTCTCTATGCATATGTCTGCAGAATTGCAGAGTTTTATGAGGGTTTCCACAAACTACAGGCTAGACCACAAGTAGGTGTGTATATCTGGAGGCATGTGCATGTATTTTGAAACACCATATTGTAGTGGAAAGAACAAGGGCTTTGGAGTCAAAAAGACTTGTGATCAGTCCCCTGGCTCAAATTAAATAACATGGAAAATGCCTCGTGGTGAACATTGAGTAGCTGGGCATTATTTGATTTGTGTGTGCATGCACCTGTCTGTCAAGTGTATTTGATTGCTAGTCCTTTCCCAAAGACCCTTGACATGGACAGTATGCTCTCTCTGTGGTCTTGCATAAGAGCCAACAGTGTGTAGAAAGAAACACCATCCTACTCTGCAGATGCCCCAGTGCATGCTGGGACTATGCTGCTGTTTGTGGTAACTGTGAATTGCCGTGGTGATGGCTGGGTTGGGAGAGACTTGCATCTGTTCTGAGCCTGAGTAGCACACACATTCTCTCCCCAGTTGCTCCATTTTCAGGGAAAGGCTTGGAGGGCAGCCCAGGATAACATCATGAGCTCCTCCCCATAGACCTTGGTGTCGCCCTGGGGCCTGCTAGGAGCCCTACCTGCCCCCTTCCCCCCTCAAACCCTACTTGCGCGCACACACACACACACACACACACATACACACACTTCACTCTTGCAGCTGGACCCTGTTCTGTAGGAGCTAAGACAGCACGCACTCCCAGGCCCCCAGAGTAAGTTTTGGAGGGTGGCATCCTGGCTGGTATCATGTGAAGGAGAACGCTGTACTCTACTAGGACCTGGCTAGAGGTGGGTTGGACTGGAGAGTACCTTGTTCTAATTTGCACAAAGGTGCCACGTAAGATGGGAGTATTCTGAGCACGTCCTCCACTTAGGGGTATTGAGGAAGGGGATGGGCTACCAAGACTCCCTCTGCATCTTTGCCATGTCTGGGCTCTGTTTTGTCCCCAGGCCTGTCCCACACCCAGAGCAAAACATTTGACAGAGACACATGGAGGCAGCCTCCAGGGCATCTCAACTTAGCCAATAAAACAAGCCATTAGCCAGGCACGATGGCACACACCTGTAATCCCAGCACTTTGGGGGGCTGAGTCAGAAGGATAGCTTGAGCTCAGAAGTTCGAGACCAGCTTGGGCAACATGGCAAAACCCCGTCTCTACTAAAAATGCAAAAATTAGCCAGGCGTGATGGGGCATGCCTGTAGTCCCAGCTACTCAGGAGGCTAAGGTGGGAGAATCGCTCAAAACCAGGGAAGTTGAGCCTGCAGTGAGGCGTGATCATGCCACTCCATCCCAGGAGACAGAGTAAGACCCTGTCTCCAAAAAAAAAAAAAAAACCATTGAACTTTTAGGTTACTTTTCTCATTATCACAGAGTAGCGGAAGCCCTAGATACCTTCACCCCATCCGGGATGCTCACCCTCACAGGAGATGGTGAGAAAGGGGTGAAGCTTAGTTATGGGTTGGTGGTCAGAGGTGGGGTAAGGTGAAGATCAGGAATGGATGAGGGTTGAGAGGTGAAGTAAATTCCCTTGGAAATGTAACTTACTCATATTTTTAAGCTAAAATATAAAAATTCACCTTCAGGGTCATGGGTGTGAATGTCAGATTGGCTCCTCAACCTAGGCCCCCTCTGCAGCCTCTGGAGCTCTGGAGGCCTTTCTTTTGTACACAGGTAAGTCCTCTTGGCCTGAAGCTGTGGCTGTACCACCCCGGGAATGTGTCTGTCACCTAGCAATGTGGAGGAAGCCAGACTTACCAGGGGCCCCAACCCTCCAGACCCACCCTGGGCTGAGCCTTGGAGAAGCAGAGCGGCATACCCATGATGGCCACCAGGGGCCACTGCTGGGGCACAGAGGGAGCTGCAGGGTGTAGCCTCTGCAGGGCCCCTCCAGCCTGGTAGCAGAGACCAGATCCTGGTCACCCCCAAGGAAACCAAACCCTGCCCTAACCTCCTCCCCTGTATGCCCCAAATCTATACCTGTGGGGAAGCTGCCTGGAGTCAAGTGTTCTTCCATTCGCATCTCTGTGATCTCCAGCTAGTCCCTACTTCCTGGACCTCAGCCTCCCAGCTCTCCAGAGACACAGCAGGATTAAGTGACTTTCAAGGACTCTTGTGGTTTGGCGACTCTGGGAGACTCTGAAATAGTCCCACCACACTCTGCTGATGTGGAATTGAGGAAGGGGCTAGGATAGAGGTCTTTGAGGGAAGAGATATGGAGAAAGAGGGTCAAACCTGTGACCTAGATGTCTATGACTCCCATCTGGAGCATCTGGGGCATTAGGGAATGCAGCATGACTCTCCTGAGGCTACTGTGTGGTTTAAACATTTTTCCTTAAAAAAAAAAAAAAAAGACATTTTCCTAACGTGACATGTATGTATCCCTTTACTTTTTTTCATGGGTTTTTGGAAATTTTAAAAAATTGTGGTAGCATCCATTCTTGAAATGTTCACTAAGCATCTTCTTTGTTTTTTTTTTTGAAACAGGGTCTCACTCTGTTGCCCAGGCTAGAGTATAGTGGTGTGATCATAGTTCATTACAGCATTGAACTCTTGGGCTCAAGTGATCTTCCTGCCTCAGCCTCCCAAGTAGCTAGTATTACAGGCTTGAGCCACCTGGCCAATTTTTTTATTTTTATTTTTTATATAGACAGGATCTCCCTGTGTTGCCCAGGCTGGTCTCAAACTCCTGGCCTGAAGCGATCCTCTGGCCTCGGTCTCCCACAGTGCTGGGATTATAGGCATGAGCCACTGCTTGCAGCCTAAGCGCCTCCTATACAACAGTCACCATGCTTGATGCTAGTGGTGCAGAGATGCCCTGTGATATATCAAGACAAGTATGAGTTTCTTCCTGGGCTCAACTCTGCCTTGTGCTACATGCTAGGTGTGTGACCTTGGGCAGTTTACTTGTTCTCTCTGAGTGTCAGTTTTCTCATCTGTTAAATGGGGCAGTAGCACAAATCTCCCAGAAATGTTGCAAGGATTCAAGTAGATAATGCATGCAAAGGGTCTGGCACACACAGAAGTCTCTGAGTAACTCTTGATCACCTTCCTCTTTGGGAATACACACCCCTTGGAGATGTGTGTGCCTGTCCCTCATGTCTGCCAAGCCCATAAAAAGCATCACCCTGGGCCAGAAACCCACACCTTGGCACCATGTTCTTAGTCCCCACATAGGCATTTTAGAATTCAACTTTATTTCTTGGCGAGTCTAAAAAATTGACCCTGTCTGTGTTTCATGCCAAGCCATCAATTAAAGCCATGGAGCAGCTTACAAGGTGACACTTGCCAGGATAAATAGGCATTGGCGGCCACGGAAGTGATGCCAGGACTGGGGATAGAGCTTAGGCCACTGGCATGGTGGCCTGCCATTTGTCCCTGATCCTTGCCACCAGCATGGAGGCCTGGATTCATGGTGCTGACCATGAGAGGATGTGGGGGTGGAGAAGCTCCCCCTGGGAGGGGAAAGGAGGGATGGCTGGGCTTGGGTGTGGAGCTGGTTCTCAGAAAAGGTGCCCAAAAGGCTCTGGAGAGGGCATTGCAGGCTCCCTGCCCGCCCCACCCAGCCTCCCCTCCCTGACAAGACAGTCAAGCAGCTGCCTGCCAGCCGGCCTGAGCTTAGTCTTGGGGGAATAAAAACCTCTTGAAGAGATTCAGAAATGTTCCCTTTGGCAGCTAAAAAAAACCTTACACTCCTGCTGAGTCTGTGGGCTGAGGAGGGACTGAGGGGGCGTTTGGCCTCTGCAGCAGCGGCAGAAGGCTTGCGGATGGAGGGGAAAAGGGAGCAGCCTGGAGAGCCAGAGTTCTTGGGTTTTCTCTGTTGTTTTGCCATCATCTTTCTGTCACTCCCTGACTCTCTCCTGCAGATTGTCTTTTAGGGAGGTACTGGGGGACTTGGTTCCATTCATGACTTTAGGTTCCAAAATGAAAGATAAGCCATGGGGCAGGGCCAGCTTCTCTTCATTATACTGTCCTTAGGGCCCAGGGTGGTGCCTGATGTGAAGTAAGTGCTTGATAAAGATTCATTGGATGAACTGAAGGAAGGAAGAACATTCTTTGAGTTCCTTCATGCTCAAGCACCTCTCAGTCATTTGGACGTTATTTTCACCCTGTTTGCTGTTGTAGATTCTCATCCGTCCAGGCTAATATCTGGACACCAGGGTTGAATACAATGGCTCTTGGTGATTTGGGATTCTGAGGATTGGGCCACACCCATGCATCCTTCTCACTCAGGATTGCACCACTTGTGTGGGGACTGCCCAGAGCTCACTTCAAGCTCCAGAAAATGACTGCTCATCCCTTCCACCTCCCACCAGCCACCTCACCTTTAGGAGACTATATCTGAACTAACTTCCTGGGACCCCATAGAGCAACCCCAGATATTACCAGTCAGTGCCTGGGTTTAGGTGTACTGAAGCCAGCTTGTACCAGTTCCCCAGAGCCAATTGTTAGCCCCTCTTCCTAACTCTGTGGTCAGTGACATCAGATTGGTAGATTGAAAGTGGCCATGATAGGAGGCTTTATACCAGGGAAATTGGCAAACACCACACATCGGTGTCCCCTTCCTCCGAAAGCCAGTTGTTAAACATTTACCAGCACAACCCTGGATAGGGGGTTTCAGGCAGATGTTCCAGCTCATCTCAACCACGAGAAATCTTGCCCAGGACCTCTGCTATGAGAAGCAGGGCCTCCCCAAAACAAAGCCAGAGGTAGAGGCAGTTCCTTGGGGGCTCTGAAAGGAGTGCACAGACACAGAAAGCCATGCCTGTACCCCCTGCCAGGATCTGGGGTTCAGAGGGCTCAATGGCACATGTCCAGGGCCTTTGAGAGGGCCCATTCTGTTGGTTGTCTTTGGGAAAGGGAGGAGGAAGGTGACTATCATGGCCCAGGGACTAGCCTCCTGGGGACACTGTCAATCTCCACTTCCTGACCCCCAGGATCCCAGCATTAAGTTCTCTTCACTCACCCAGCTCTTCCTTCTCTCCCTACCAGACCCAGAGTCCCAGAGAAAGAGGACAGTGCAGAATGTCCTGGATCTCCGGCAGAACCTGGAAGAGACCATGTCCAGCCTGCGAGGGTCCCAGGTGACTCACAGGTAAGCTCGAGCTGCAGAGAGGGTCATGCCCTCTGCCTTCCTGGCTCTCCACCCCATTCTGGAGGGCAGGGCCCCCGGGTCCCTCCACACCTCTGCCAGGTCAGCCAGGTGGCCTGATGCGTGGAGCCACTGCAGAAGGAGGAGGAAATCCATTTATCTCAACAAGAGAAGCTTGGCTTTGTCTTCTGTCTGCTTGTGCCTGAACATTTCATTTCATTTCAGCAAATCAGCTTGAAAATCACTAGCTTAGGAGCCAGGAAGTGGAAGCCATTACACAGCTCAATGTGTGATCTTTGATAGTCAGTCTCCTTCATTAGACCTCTGTCTCCTCAATCTGTCAAGAGAAGGTTTACTAAATGCTCTCTTCCTGTTCCTAAGTCTCCATTAAACTAGGGGTCTAGAATCAATTCCCTTCTCAACACCTGGGTCTTTTCACTCTTGTGTCAGTTAGGTGCCCCCTGGCCTCTTCTACGAGCCACTGAGGGAGGCTTGAGTGCTCAACAGGGCCCACACAGTGTCACCCAGCTCCATGCCCTGTTAGGTGTGTCCCCCTAGCCCACTCCCTGCAGAGACCTCATAGCCTCCAGCTGCATGGGGCACTCAGCCTTCCCACGGCACCTCTCTCTGGAGCAAAGTCCTGGCCACAGGCTCTGCTGTGACTCAGAATTTCCCTTGCTGGCTCCTTGGACTGCCCAGATGAGCTCATGCTGTCAGCTCCAAGTGGGGCAGAGGGCTGGGCTAAGCTCTGGGGACAGCGGGAGGCAGAACAGACAGCCAGATTGGGAAATCATGGGGGGTGTGGGGCAGGAAGGCTGTGTGAGGGCTAGGAAGCCTCCCCAGTTAGACTGGAAGTAGATTCCTCTCCAACTCCTGGGGCTGGAAAATTAAGAGCAAAGTTGGGACACAGGGGCAGTGGAAAAGGACTTTCTTTAGCCCAGGGTGTGGCCATTTGGGATTCTGAGGATGGGACCACACCCATGGACATATTTACATACCACCAATGACAAAGAACTCATTACCTTTCTTTTTTTATTTTTAACATAGGCTTTTTAAAAATATTTTGTTATTATTTTTAAAGACCGAGTCTCATTCTGTCGCCCACTGCCTCAGCCTCCCGAGTAGCTGGGATTACAGCTGTGTGCCATCACGCCCAGCTAATTTTTGTATTTTTAGT
This sequence comes from Homo sapiens, assembly GCF_000001405.40. NCBI lineage: Eukaryota > Metazoa > Chordata > Mammalia > Primates > Hominidae > Homo > Homo sapiens. The sequence continues at coordinate 201,714,094 of NC_000001.11, forward strand.
AGAGATGGGGTTTCACCATGTTGGCCAGGCCAGTCTCAAACTCCTGGCCTCAAGTGATCCACACGCCTTGGCCTCCCAAAGTGCTGGGATTACAGGCGTGAGCCACCGCGCCCGGCCAACTCACTACCTTTCAGTCACCCCGGTGCATTGTGGGATTGCAGCAACTCTGATGTGGAACTGCACTTAGTCTTAAGTAGCTTTCAGCCGTTGGCTGTAGTTCTTCCTGCTTAGATGACCCTTCTCCTTCTCCTTCCTTGTACTACTCCTCCCCCTATCCCCAGCCCATGCCCGCATCTTGGACACTCAGCCCTTTACTCCCAGACATCTCGAGTATTTTAAATGGTAAGATAAATCAAAACTCTCTGGGGATTACCTCTGCTCAGGCCAGCAGAACCCTGACTACTGAAAGGGAGGTGACCAAGGAAGTCCTGGAAAAAGGTGGATGGTGGGGGCTCCAGGACCCCCTTACATCTGTCCCTTACTGCCATCCCTCATAGCCCCAAGCCCCCAGCAGGAGCCCAAGTGAAGCAGGGATCTGGCAGAGCTTGGCTTATCAGTTTAGGACCCAGCGGATGAAATCTTGGACATCTGCCTTCCCCCATCCAAGGAAATTGTTGGAACATCTCTCAGCACCAAGTCACCCACCAGCCTCATGCCAAAGACACCAGAAAGTGCTTAGTTGCTGAGAGGGCCACACCCCAAATGACTCACTCACAGGAGTAGGAGAGAAGTAGCAGCTCCAGCCTCCTGGTGCCACTGACTCAGAGCAGCCAGCCCCCAGTCCCTCCGTTAAGCCGGACAGCTTGACCCTAGGCAGGCGCTATTGGTTTTCTGCTTCTAGTGGGAAAGGGGAGGCTTCAATCAAGCCTTTTGCATAATGCTGACTGGTTTAGGGGGAGCGTCTAGGGCCTCTGGCTTCTGCCTCCCTTTATAGGAAAGGAACCAAGAGCCCCGGAGCTGGTTTTTCTGTTTACTGTGGACCTAGAGCCACTTCCTCTCATAGGCTTTGGTTTATATTATTCCTGTTCCACACTGGTAGCCAAAACAATGATTCCCTGACTTTTTATGGCTCTTTTTTTTTTTTTTTTGAGACAGAGTCTCACTGTCTCCCAGGCTGGAGTGCCTTGGCATGATCTCAGCTCACTGCAACCTCTGTCTCCCAGGTCAAGCGATTCTTCTGCCTCAGCCTCTGAAGTAGCTGGGACTACAGGTGCGTGCCACCACACCGGCTAATTTTTGTATTTTTAGTAGAGATGGGGTTTCACCATGTTGGCCAGGCTGGTCTAGAACTCCTGACCTCAGGTAATCCACCCACTTCGGCCACCCAAAGTGCTGGGATTACAGGTGTGAGCCACCACGCCCTGCCGGCTCTTTTACTTTTTAAAGGGCTTTCTATCAATGAGCCCTTCCCTTAGCCCTGGAAGTAGACAGGATATATACATACTCCCTGGGTTAGAGAATGAGGCTGGGGGCAGGGAGGCACCTGCCAGAGTCACGCTGGCTGATGAGGGTAGGTTCTGTACTCTGCATGCTCAGAACCCATGCCAGCTGTGTGCCAGGCACAGCGCTGGGCACTGGCTCCCCAGAACACACACAAGCTTCATCCTCGGAGCTTATGGTCCAGTGTGTGCTTCCTGCAAGGCTGTTTTCACCCAGGAACTCCCAGGATAACTGGATTCCATTCCTTTTCAGAAGCCTTTACTCCTGTGCTGCTTCCTCAATTTCTACTGGTTCATTTCCCCCAGCGAGGAGAGTCTGGGTCAGACTGTGGCTGGAGAGGAAATGAAACTGTGTCCTCCCCAGAGAAAGGCAAGCCTGAAGGGTGGGTGCAGGGCTGGAATTCAAGAACTGAGGATCTGAGCTAGAATCCCCCTCACCAAGCTTAAGTCTAGAGATGTCTAGAGATGTGTTTGGGGGAACTGAAAAAAAAAGAGAGAGCTGTGGAATAGGGGAAGAGGCAATTTTAGTACAAATAACTAAACAGGGGCAGGCCAGGAATAGAATTGAGGAACCCAGATGCTGAGTGCAGCCCTCACTCCCACACTAGTATATAACCATGGTGTAGGCTAACTACCCAAACCAGCTTCCCTGGAGATCCCCGCCACCCTCTTAGTATGGTTAGCATCATCCTCTTCCTCCCCTGTCTCATCCCATGGTCAAGGTCAGCTTGCTTTTATCAAGCACTTACTGCACAGGGCGCTGGACTGAGTTTTCTGATGAGAACTTCCTTGCTTTTTACTCACACATCCATCGTGGGTTTGCTCCTCTTTGATTCATTCTAGAGCACCAGCTCTAGGCCAGGTGCCATGCAAAGTGCTGAAATACCGTGGTGAGTGAGCAAGGCAGACAAAGTCGCACCATCACTACAGTCTCTGGCTTCGGGGCACATCGGTTTCTGTCCAAGGAGATGTGATGTCTAGGTCCACAGTAATTAGAAGCCGAAACAAGACACTGTATGAGGCAGAGCTGCAGAACACAAAGGGGTTCCTAAAGGGCTGCCAGAAGCAGGGTGCAGTGGCTCACGCCAGTAACCCCAGCACTGTGGGAGGCCGAGGTGGGAGGATTGCTTGAGTTCAGGAGTTCAAGACCAGCCTGGACAACATGGCAAAACCCCATCTCTATAAAAAATACAAAAATTAGCCAGATGTGCTCATGTGTGCCTGTCGTCCCTGCTACTTTGGGGCTGAGGCAGGAGGGTCACTTGAGCTCGGGAGGTCAAGGCTGCAGTGAGCCGTGTTTGCACCACTACACTCCAGCCTAGGCAACAGAGTGAGACCCTGTCTCAAAAATAAGTAAATAAGTAAAAAGAGTTGGCAGGGCCAGGAGGGGAGCCGCTGGGCATGGACACGGTCAGGAAGCCCTCCAGAGGGCCAGAAGCAGCTGCCACTGATTGCCCTGACTGGCCAGGGCCTCCCCCATCTTGCCCACAGGACTACTGCCAGGACCCCAGCACACTCAGTTTCAAGAGCGTTTGGATCCCTCAAGTTCTGCTGGTTAGAAAATAAGACCGTATTTTCTCAGGTCCAATAGAGACAACTTTGGAAATTTTTCTTCTTTTCAAGGAACTTGATAGAAACCAGAATGGAAAAATCAATGTCCCACTCCCATTCCAGCCCCCAAAGTGGCTAAGCAATGGATGTGTTCACAGAGCAGTGATTGCTTGGGCTCATGTAACTCATGTCCAGCCACAGATTGCCTCAGTTGCCCCAGCTTTCTTGGCCACCAAACCCCGTTTCGCTTACTTAGTCCTGTCTGGCTTAATTAGGATAAGTTATGGAGACCCTGCCTGAGGCTGATTTGGGCTGGCCCCACTGCTAGGCTAGATGGAATTATGGGTCTCAGCCTGAACCCAAGTCCAAGCCACCCCTTCAACCAGATTCCAGTTGTATTTCCTCTCTGCAGCCCGCCTGGCCCTATCTCCTTCCCTAGTCCCCCAGGTTCCCCTAGTCTCAGGCCATCCAGCACTCACCTGGGCATTGCTCCCTTGGCCTGGTCTAGCAGGGCCTGAGGCTTGAGACTCTGGACATTTGGCTTCACCCCCATGTCTGGTTCCCTGTGTCCTCTCCTTTGTCCAGTTAAGGCTGCTTCTATTCTCTGGGGAGGCTTATTTCCCCTGCTGCCCTAGGCCTGTGGCTTGGACCAGTCTTACTGGGGACCTGCCATACATCCCAGATTCCCAAAGCTTTTCCTATACTCTCTGCACTCTACTTCAGCTTTCCTATATATGATGTTTGGGAATCAGCTAGCCCTCAGCTAATTACTAGAAGAGAGGTGATGGACACACCATTAACAAAATGACCAAGGCCTTCTAAGCTCAAGTGACCAGTCTCTCCCACTTGCCTCCAGGTCTGTTGACCCCTTCCATATACCAGGCACTGTGTTCTGTCTGTACATATGTGATCCTTACAACTCTATAAGGTAGATGTTATGCCATTATCCCCATTGTACAGATGGGGAAACTGAAGCTTTAGTTATTTACTTTCCTTGGGCTCCTTTACTAACCAATACCAAAAAAGAATTCAAACCTAGGTCATATTACACAATCTAGGGTCTTAACAGTATACAGGATTTCTTCCCTAGCCACTTAATTAAGATCATTTCCTTTGTCAAACAGATAACGTATCACAAAGGTAACACACAACCAGAGGCCTCATGGAGGAGGTGGAGCTTGGGCAGGTGGGGAGGAGGTGACAGGGCCTGTGGGTGGAGGGGAGGCATTGCTGGGGTGCATGTGAGGGGACAGGGCACACGGCGGCTGTGCCAAGGACTAAGTAGTGCCTTCTGCTCTCCACCCAGCTCCCTGGAGATGACCTGCTACGACAGCGATGATGCCAACCCACGCAGCGTGTCCAGCCTCTCCAACCGCTCGTCCCCTCTGTCATGGCGCTATGGCCAGTCCAGTCCGCGGCTGCAGGCTGGTGACGCGCCCTCTGTGGGTGGGAGCTGCCGCTCGGAGGGGACGCCCGCCTGGTACATGCACGGCGAACGGGCCCACTACTCCCACACCATGCCCATGCGCAGCCCCAGCAAGCTCAGCCATATCTCCCGCCTGGAGCTGGTCGAATCCCTGGACTCGGATGAGGTGGACCTCAAGTCCGGCTACATGAGCGACAGTGACCTCATGGGCAAGACCATGACGGAGGATGATGACATCACTACCGGGTAAGCGCAGGGGCTTCTTGGATGGCGGGGGAGGATGGTGGAAAGACCACTGGGATGCGACGCCTTAAAAGTGGAGTGGAACCCAAAACGGGTTTTGGTTTGCTGTGCTGCTATGAAAGTACACAAAAGTGTGCTGTGTACACTTTGTGATTGCCTCTGAAATTCGATGTGGTTTATTCTAGACTTGGGTGTGGTGTAGGCAGGGCCTACATCCAAGGAGCTGATTGGTCAATGAAGGCGCCTCCCTCTCATTGGTCTCTGTGGCTGTCATTCTGTCACCCTCCTCCCTGGCTCTTTGCCCTCAATAAACTGGCTCAAAGAGCCTTGGAAAAGCATTTTATTCCCAGCTCTTATGCGAACTCTGTGTAGACCCTGGACAACTAAATCTGCTTTCCCATTTGCAAAAAAAAAAAAAACCAAAAAGGTTATTAACATCGTATCTGTCTACCTAAGAAGAGAAAATGAGAGCTTGTGGGTGAAATCGCTAGTCAAACAGTGAGTAGCAGCAGTAGCTCCACTTCCTTTGCCAGGGGTTCGTAACCCCTCAGTTCCCTATCCGACCCCTGTGGTCCTCAGTGTCTGCTCCTTGGGTTTCTTCCTGTGCAAACCTTCTACCAATCATGCAACTTCCTAATCCCTACCCAGCGTGTCAAATCCTTCTTTCCTGCCTTTTGCCCTGCAGGGACCCTCATCTTCTTATATTTTTCTGCCTTAATTGACAGAGTTGTGCCTATGCCTTCCAACCTTGGAAGAGTTGGCCAGGACCCCAAGCCCCCAGCACTTCATTCTTGCTGTCCTCTCCTGGTCTGGGAGGATAGAAGAGAGGATAGGAAGAATGAAGTGCTGGGCGCTTAGGGGGATCCTGGCCAACTCTTCCAAGCCCAGAGACAGGAGAGAGGCAGTGGTTCTGGAAGCTTCTCTGGAGCACCTCTTAGCCTACTGCCACTTTCACTCTCCCTTCTTGGTTTGCTGGTGCCCTCCTCCGCCAAGGGGCCATACAAGTAGCAGCAGCATCCCTTCCCTTCCTTCTCAGGGACTTAATATCTTACTGCCAGGGCCTGCCTCTCCCCAATAAAAATCCCAGACTTCAAGGGAGTGGAAAGTAGCCTCTCCTCGGAAAAGACGAGAGCCAAGCTCCAGGCCATCCACTGTTCCCCACCCCCATCTCCACCCCTGCAGAGAACTTGGAGGGATCTGGTTAGGGCTTGTCCAGCTGATGAGGCTGCTCTGGAGCAAAACAACTGACGCATGAATGGAGTTGTTTACTGCCTGTTAAATCCCAGGGGCCAGCCCAACCTCGCGCTCACGCTCAGATCCACCAGCCTGGAGCTGGGACCAGAGAAAAGCCATGCAGTGCACAGATCCTGAGCTCCTTCTGTGGTCAGAGGCCTGTGCTGGGCAGGAAGGAGAGCCAAGGTGTGTGAGGAGCTGCTCCACACAGCCTCTGCCCTAGGAAGCTGCCAGGGACTGCCTGAGGAAGTGTCAGGTCACTGCCCTCCTCTGAGAATCCCAGGAGGGTGCAGAGGGTGGCACAAGCCCTGCGGGGCTGAGTCTTTAGAAAGTCCCCCATGTGTTAGAAGAACCATAGCCCTAGACCCTAGGGAGCTTCCAGACAGGGGAAGTGATAGGACCCCTGCCCAGCACAGCTCCCAGATTGATGGAGGTGACGGGGCCCCTGCCCAGCACAGCTCCCAAACTGATGGAAACGAGATCCCTCTGAGAGCCCTTCACCCCACCAACCCACCTGATGGCCATGGCAGAAAATACCCCAAGTGTTGCAAGGTACAGGAGCCCTGCTTGGAGACGTCGCAGTCTGAGGAAGGTGGCAGGACTTCCGGCTCTTAACTAGCTGTATGAGCTTGAGCAAACTGGTTCACCTCCCCAGGCTTTCTTTCATTTGTCTATCTGTCAAATGCAGATAACAGTAGAACTTATCTCAGGGTTCTGATGAGGATTCAATGGGTTAATATATGTAAAGTACTTAGAATAATTCCTGGCTCATTGTAAATGCTCACTAAATGATAGCTATTATTTTTGTTGCTATATTATTTTTGTTGTTATTAGAGTCCCAGACTGATGGAGAGACATGATTCTTACCGTCAGGGGTGTGTAGTCTGACCAGAGTCCCACTTACTCAGCATCAGCAGCAAAGACAGATCTAGTAGCAGCTGGTCAATCCCAGGGGCATAGATAATAGGCTGTGGGGGCATGGAATGCAGGGGGAAAGGGTAGGAAAGACCCCCTTTATCCCCCCTCTAACACCCTTGCTTTATCCTCCTTCCTCTGGACAGGATGTGTGTTCCCGAATCCATTTTTTAAAAATTAGAGTTCACCGAGACTAGCATGAATAAGAACTTGCCTTCCCTGCACAGCCCCCAGCTGTAAGCCTTGGGAAGCCTGGAGTTTGCATGGGGAACACAGAATCAATTGTTGGCATGGCAATATCCATAAAGTGGACCTTCCTGTAAACTGTGATGCTAGTTTACAAGATCATTTCACATGCATTTTTTATGGTCAACCTTCAGTTAGCAGTAACCCTTAACACGAGTTTGTTAACTTCCCTGCTGGGACTGTAAACATGGCCATCTGAGAAGTCAGAGTTGAAGGGAATCAACTTATAATCCCCAGTAATTTAATGTAAACAGTCACTCCTCGATTATGGGTTTTCATGGTTAAGTGTTGTTGTTGTTTTAATTAGTAACAGGGCAACCTGGATTCCAGCGACTCTTTAAGTGAACATGCAAACCTGAGCTGTCGTTGCTCAGCCTCCTGTTGGTCTTCTCATCCCCACTGTGGTTTCCATCTAGATGTTATAATTTAGAAAATGTCCTATTTCTTAAAAAACTGTTTTTCTAGTCATTAAAGGGGTAGGACTGTTCCCTGTAGGGATAGCTTCAGCGCTTCCCTCCACACTGCGACACCCCTGCCCACCCATCAGCCTCGGCCCACTGCAATTTACTTTCCCACCTCCCAAGAGCTCCCAGCACTGGGCCAGCAGAAAAGCTGATCTTTCCCCACTGGGTGACATAATCGGCTCCAAGCTATCCGAGTGAGCCATAAAAGATGACAGTAATTCTGGCGCTTTCTCCACACTCTGTTTATCTGCGGGGGGATCATCCCTTTGACGGCTCTTCCCAAGCCCCTGTTCAGTCTCAAGTCAGCTCTCCCTACTCCCTCCAGTGACCAGGCCCCTTTCAGGTCATTAGTCAGCAAACCAAAGAAGGCAAATTCTTCAAACTGAAGTCAGCAAACTAGAAGGAAGAAAGTGACTCTGATGCTGCTACCAGAATAATCATACATGTTTTTTAAAAAGGATTTATTTTTAAAAATTGTGGTTATATATATATAACATAAAATTTACCATTTTATGTTAACCATTTTAAAGTGTACAGTTTAGTGGCATTCAGTACATTCACACTGCTGTGTAACCATCATCACGTCCATCTCCAGAATTCTGTCTTCTCCCCAAAGAGAAACTGTACCCATTAAACAGTAGCTACCCTTTCCTCCTCCCTTCAGCTCCTGGGAGCCACCATTCTACTTTTCGTCTCTATGAATTTGACTACTCTAGGTAACCCATATAAGTGGAATCATACAGTCTTTGTTGTTGTTGTTGTTTAATGACTGGCTTATTTACTTAGCATAATGTCATCAGGGAGCATTTATGTTGTAGCGTTAGAATTTCATTCTTTTTTCAGGTTGAACTCTATTCTGTTGTAGGTATACGCCACATTTTGTTTACCCATTCATCTGTTCATGGGTTGTTACCACCTTTTGGCTATTGTGAAGAATGTTGCTCTGAAAATTAGTGTCCAAATATTATTCAAGTCCCTGCTTTCGGTTCTTTTTGGGTATATACCTGGAAATGGAATTGCTGTATCATATGGTAATTCTATGTGTTTTTTGTTTGTTTGTTTGTTTGTTTGTTTTGAGGAACCACCATACCGTTTTCCACAATGGCTGCACCATTTGATATTTCTACCAGCAATGAATGAGGGTTCTAATTTCTCCGAATTCTCCCCAACATTTACTATTTTCTGTTTTGTTTGTATTTATAGTAGCCATCCTGGCCAGGCGCGGTGGCTCACACCTGTAATCCCAGCACTTTGGGAGGCTGGGTTGGGTAGATCACTTGAGGTCAGGAGTTGGAGACCAGTCCGGCCAACTGGTGTGGGGTGAAACCCCATCTCTACCAAAACTACAAAAACTAGCTGGCGTGGTGGTGCGTGCCTGTAATACCAGCTATTCGGGAGGCTGACACAGGAGAATTGCTTTAACCCAGGAGGCGGAGGTTGCAGAGAGTCGAGATTGCACCACTGCACTCCAGCCTGGGCGACAGAGCGAGACTCCAACTCAAAAAAAGAAAAAACCCATCCTGATGGAGGCGAAGTGGTTATCTCATTGTGGTTTTGATTTCTGTAGTGATTAGTAATATGGAGCAGCTTTATGTACTTATTAGCTATTTGTACATCTTCTTTGGAGAGATATCTATTCAAGTCCTTTGCCCATTTTTAAATTGTGTTGTTTAATTTCTTTTTGAGTGTTAAGAGTTCTTTATATATGCTAGATATGAACCTTTTATCACATGTATGATTTGGAGATATTTTCTTTCATTCTGTGTATTGGGTTTCCTTTTCATTCTGTAGATGTATCCTTTGATGCACAAAAGCTTTTTATTTAGATGAAATCCATTTTATCTGTTTTTTTCTTTTGTTGGCTATGCTTTGAGTGTCATATCTAAGAAATCACTGCAAAATCTAACGCCATGCAGCTTTTCCCCTACGTTTTCTTCTGAGAGTTTTATAGCTGATGGGGTTTTTTGGAAATACAAATTCTAAGCCTCAGACTTACCAATGCAGAATCTCTGCTACCCAGAAAGCCACATTTTTCTAAAGCTTCTCAGTAATTTTAGACTAGTCCATGTTCCTATCTAGTACAATAATCTTATCTACAGTATCCCTGACAGACAGTCTTTCATCCTTGGCTTGCATAGGCACAGTGATGGGAAGCTTATTCCATATCATACAGAATTAAGTTATAAGAAAGTTTCTAAATATTCAACTGAAATCTGTTTCGCTGTAACTTCTACCTATTGATTCAAATTCTGTCATCTGGGAAAAATAGAATAAGGGTGTAACTCTTCATCCAAATATTTCAACATGTTCTTAATATAGCTCAAATATTCTCTAGACCAAAAAGAAAAAGAAAAAGTCCCTAGCTTATTTCAGTACTTTTTTCAATGACCCAGTTTTTCGAACCTTTCATTGTCCTGGTCACCCTCCTCTGGAAGCTCTCAGGACGTCAATGACCCTCTTAAAATTTGGCACCTAGACTGATCACCCGCTTGACACTAGAAGTAGTCTCGCCAGGGTAATATCCAAATCATGACACTGCAGACAACTTTGAGTTGGCTGCTGACTGTCCTAGATGACAGCTCGGGCCATTTTTACCACTTGGAAATACAAAAGGAATTTGTTTTTCTAAAAATAGGAAAGTCTGGAATTTAATCTAAATAAGAAGATAAGTTTCACAGCCATCTGTCCTTCCATCCCTGGCATCCATTGGAGTGGGAGGGGAATAGAGGATGGGTACCCATACAGAGGTGGATGCAGGCACTGAGTAGAGGAGGCACACGTGCCTGATGGGAGGAGGTCAGAGGGCCCTCCATCTTCTCCCTACTTTAATGTGGGTTTCCCTCTCAATGTGTCCATTTTTGTGTATGTGAATGGGTGAGCTGTGTCTGAGCTGGGTGGCAGTAATGGATGGGGACTTGCAGGCCAGTGCAGTAACACTACTGCCAAGTCCCACAACTCCAGAGGGTGCCCTTCACATTACATAGAGGTGTGAGGTCCACAGCCCTGACAGGACTGCTGTCCTGAAACCTATGCCAAGGGCCACAGGGCCTTAGACAGAGTCAGCAGGCTCCATCTTGAGCGAGTGCTGTAGGCGTGTGTCGGGAACAGAAGGATTCCTTGGCGACTTCTGCCACACCCTGGCTCTCTCATCAGGTGGCTTCCTGCCCTCCGTGTGTGGCTGGATGTTCCAGTCTTCTTATTTTTCTCTTCACCGCCCCTTCCTCCACTCCCCAGCCTGTCCTCTTGAACTGTGCTTGGGGGCTCAGAACAGATGGGATTCGTTTCCTCTTTGGCTCTGAAGTGTCCTGACGTTGAAAAATGTCAAATAAAATAAACTGTAGGCCCCTGCCTTCTCCCAGGCTGGCTCTGTGCTCCCAGAATCAGCGAGCTCAAGCCTTAAAGAGACACTTCCAGCCTTGCTGACAGGGCCCCAGCCTCTGCAGCTACCCTCCTGAGAAGGAGCTGCATTCACTGCCCTCCCACTTGGCTCATGTCTGACTCTCAGACCTCAAGATACCCAACCCAGCCACCCTCATCGATAAGAATTCTCTTGCAATGAGCACTGGGTTTATGTGGTTTGTACAAAGAGAAGAGACCCCTTTTGAATTTGAATGGACAAGGAGTAGAGTTGTCCCACTTCTTATGTCTTCTTCTGCCTTTGCCTTCTCTGTTTCCTGGTAGGTCTTTAGGAATCCCGCCTAGCGGGACAGCTGGGCCAGGCCTAGTTTTTGCTCATGGAACCCAAGGATAGAAGCAGAGAGCAGTAGGGGGCCATCCTCGGGAGGACCCAACATTCAAGTTCAGGAAGGAAACTCAGTTTCTCTCCTGAAAGGACTTCAAATCTAAAAGGGAGGTAGGCAGCCTGGGCAACAAAGTGATACCCTGGGCATGGCAGCACGTGCCTATGGATAGTCTCAACTACCTGGGAGGCTGAGACAAGAGGATCACTTGAGCCCAGGAGTTGGGGCGGGGGGGCTACAGTGAGCTATGATTGTGCCACTGCACTCCAGCCCGGGTGACAGAGCAAGACTCCGTCTCTTAAAAAAAAAAACATGAATAAGTGGGCTAGGCGCAGTGGCTTATGTCTGTAATCCCAGCACTTTGGGAGTCCAGGGAGAGAGGATCGCTTGAGACCAGGAGTTCAAGACTAGGCCTGGGCAACATAGCAAGACACTGTTTCTACAAAAAAAATTAAAACTTAACTGGGCATGGTGGCATGTGCCTGTGGTCCCAGCTACTCAGGAGGCTGAAGAGGGAGAATCCCTTGAGCCCAGGAGTTGAGGTTGCAGTGAGCTATGATCACACCCCTGCACACCAGCCTGGGCGACAAAGACCCTGTCTCTAGAAAGTTAAATAAATTTTAAAAATTAAAATAAAATAGAAAGGTAGGGTACTTATTGGGTCCACAGTAAAGGAAGCAGTATGTAGTTGAAGTAGATGATAGCTGTTGCTTCATTGAAGATAATATCTAACAATTAGAATGCTGACTCCAGATTCATACACATAGCCTTGGCTGATGCTTCTTTGTGGTGTAGGGAAGAAGCACTGGGCTAATTCTGAGATCTGGAGTTCAATCCTAAGCACGGCTCTAACTTGCTGTGGCACTGAGAAAGCCACCTAGCCTCTCTGAGTCTTAGTTTGTTCATTTGTAAAAAAGGTAATCATTTTTGCCTTAAGAGGATCAAATGGAAAAGAATAGTAAGAGTGCTTTGAAAAGTATAAAGAGCTGTCAGTTTGAAATCTATTATTCTGGTTGGGTGTGGTGGCTTATGCCTGTAATCCCAGCACTTTGGGAGGCCGAGGTGGGTAGATGTCCTGAGGTCAGGAGTTCAAGACCAGCCTGACCAACAACAACATGATGAAACCCCATCTCTACTAAAAATACAAAATTAGCCAGTGTGGTGGTGCACACCTGTAATCCCAGCTGCTCAGGAGGCTGAGGCAGGAGAATTGCTTGAACCCAGGAGGTGGAAGTTGTAGTGAGCCAAGATCGCACCACTCCACTCCAGCCTGGGCAACAAGAGCAAAACTCCATCTCAAAAAAAAAAAAAAAAAATAGAAATCTATTATTCTGATCTCCATGTAATGTTCTCTTCATTTAGCTGATGGCTTCTGCCTTAATTAGGGGTGGCTAGAGTATCAAAATAAGATTTCTTAAACTTGGAAGATGAGGACATTAAATTTGGGCTTTGACTTAGGTTTCAAGGAATGCTTCACAACACGGTCTTGATATTCTTTTAATCCTGTAGTGTGCAGTTAAATAAACAGACTTTTGAGAACAGGCTTATCAACACAGGCATACCACAGATGGGCAGAGCCATAGCATGGTTTAGAGTGAAGGCTCACAGCTAGGCTGCCTGTGTTTGTGTCCTGTCTCTTTTCCTTCCTAGCTCTGTGAGTTTGGATGAGTTTTTCACCTCCCTCTGCTTGTTTCCTCAGCCGAAAACTGTGGAGAGAAGTGGTGCCTACTCTGTAAGATTAATGTGAGGATTAAATTAGTTAATACTCTTACGTTAGATATCATAAATGCTGTCTTATGTTAGATATCATACATGCTCAACAAATGCTGGCTCTCCTTCATCAGCCATTTGATGATAGACATTAGCAAGCTACTGGACCTAAGTTGTCACAGACACATTCTAGATGATAATACATTCTTTGACAAAGAATGTATTAACCTTCATGCTTGAAAATGATCTTTCTGATCCTCACAGGAAGAATGACATAATAAGTTGTTTGCCAAGAAAGATGGATTTGTTTTGACCCATTTTTACCTGTTCACACAATGTTCTCGTGCAGCAAATGGTGCCCATCTGTGGTTTGGGGTGAGTATAGCATGTGCTTATTGTGCAGATAGCTAAGCTCACTGCACACAGAGTCACACAAGTGACCATGACCTCTTTCCCATCATGACTTGGCTAATTGGGCTGTCAGTCCTTCACTCAAACATGTTTCTTGCCTATGAAGAATGTCTTGGGCCGGGCACCCCCAGAAGCTGACCTTGAGACAAGGATTTGGGTGCAAGTGGTTTATTTGGCAGGTGCCCAGAAAGTGCTGACAGGAGTGGGAAAGTGAGTTAGGGGAGAGAAGGAAGCCACTACAGGCTATGTTCATGTGCAGGTTACTGCTGTGGGCAACTGGGGCTTACGGATTTCTAGGAGATGACGTGGAATACACCTCAGTGTTGCCCCACCAGAAGGGCAAGGAAGCATGGGTATTTATATGTCAGCTCCCATTCATTATTGGCTGAGGGCAGCTCCTAGAGGGCATTGGGTCTGCGTTTCAAGCCTGCTGCACATAGGCTGAGAGGAATTCCTGAGTTCGAGTCACAGGCGCCCACAGTCATGCTCAGACAGCACATACAGGAACAGTGACTGCAGGGGGCATAGGTGGGACACAAATACCACCAGTTATAAAGAGGAAAGATGGGAAGGAAAGACAAGAGGAAGGTGTGGAGTTAGATTCCTGGGTCAGATGTGAACCCCTGGCTCTCAAAACACTCCTTCTTTTTTTCTTTTTCTTTTTTTTTGAGACAGGATCTCACTCTGTTGCACAGGCTAGAGTTCAGTGGTGTAATCAGGGCTCGTGGCAGCCTCTACCTCCTAGGCTCACATGATCCTCCCACCTCAGCCTCCTGAGTAGCTGGGACTAGAGGCACACATCACCACACTTGGCTAGTATTTAAATTTTTCTGTAGAAGTCCAGGCGCAGTGGCTCATGCCTGTAATCCCAGCACTTTGGGAGGCCGAGGCAGGTGGATCACCTGAGGTCAGGAGTTCAAGACCAGCCTGGCCAACATGGTGAAACCCCGCCTCTACTAAAAATACAAAAAAATTAGCCTGGTGTCGTGGCAGGCTCCTGTAATCCTGGCTCCTTGGGAGGCTGAGGTAGGAGAATCACTTGTACCCAGAATGTGGAGCTTGCAGTGAGCTGAGATCATGCCATTACACTCCAGCCTGGGCAAGAAGAGTGAAACTCCATCGCAAAACAAAAAAAAAAAAAAAAGAAAAGAAAAGAAAAAAAAGACATCTGTAGAGACAGAGTCTCACTATGTTGCCCAGGCTGGTCTCAAACTCCTGGGCTCAAGCAATCCCCGATCCCCCCTGAACCTCCCAAAGTGCTAAGATTACAGGTGTGAGCCACTACACCCAGCCTCCTTAATTCTTAAAATAGTGGGCAGCACCCCTCAGTCTGTGCAGCATTAATCTGGATAACAGTGTCTGTTCAAACCCAGCAGGGTTGGTGAAAGGTTGGAGTAAGCCAGGTATTCCAGAGGGGCTGCTGGAGGTATTCTAGTTGCTATGCCAACTAATGCTAGCTAAGGAGTGCTCCTTCCTCTAGTGTGTCCTAGTAACCTACAATTGAGCTGCTGGAGTTTTCACCTAGTGTGATGACATGCAATTTGGTTGACAATCAAGATGGGTAAGGATCAAGGAAGCTGTTGAGATGAGCTTGGCTTTTCCCCCACCAGCTCTGCCCACCTGTCTACCTGTCCACTGTCTCCCCTCTTTAATTGTCAACCTTTTCCTTATGTTCTGTGATAAGCCAGCTGAGCTTGTGTGGTGCCTGGAAATTCCATGTAGTCTGATATTACAGAAAGAACACAAGTTTGGAAGTATGACAGGCCTGGTGTTCAGATCCCAGCTCTGAGTCTTTGGAAAAGCTGTTTATCTATTTTAAGCAAGAATACGAATACGGCAATAGTATTGTTCTTAGCATGTAGTGAAATATAGTGTATGTAATACACTTGGTGGCCAGGCACAGTGGCTCACACCTGTAATCCCAACACTTTGGGAGGCCAAGGTGGATCACTTGAGGTCGGGAGTTCGAGACCAGCCTGGCCAACATGGTGAAACCCCATTTCTACTAAAAATACAAAAATTAGCTGGGCGTGGTGGCAGGCTCCTGTAGTCCCAGCTACTTGGGAGGCTGAGGCACGAGAATTGCTTGAACCTGGGAGGTGGAGGTTGCAGTGAGCAGAGATCGGACTCCATCTTAAAAAATAACACTTGGTGGCCAGGTGCGGTGGCTCACACCTGTAATCCCAGCACTTCGGGAGGCCGAGGCGGGCAGATCATGAGGTCAGGAGATCGAGACCATCCTGGCTAACACGGTGAAACCCCGTCTCTACTAAAAATACAAAAAATTAGCCGGGTGTGGTGGCGGGAGCCTGTAGTCCCAGGTACTCGGGAGGCTGAGGCAGGAGAATGGCGTGAACCCGGGAGGTGGAGCTTGCAGTGAGCCAAGATCGTGCCACTGCGCTCCAGCCTGGGCGACAGAGCAAAACTGTCTTAAAAAAAAAATAAAAGAATAAAAATAACACTTGGCATGCAGCAGGTGTCAGTAAATGTTACCTCCATCCCTTCTCTTGGTTACTCCTAGAAAACCAAAGCTATAAAGGCCATCATCTATGGCCAACTATTCCGCCTGGGTGGTGATGTCCAGTTGCCCACCCATCTTTGCAAAATCCCCTCCCTCCAGGGAGCCTTTCCTGATTCATCACACTGGACTCTGGGTTGTCCTGGAACTTGTGTGCATAATTCATACTGCAAGTAATTTGCACTTTTATGATTCTCTCGCAATTGCATAGCATGCATGGTTTGCACACACTAATATGGCATTATCTTATTTAATGTTAACAGCACTGTGAATTAGACATTCTTCCCCCCTCCAATTTACAAGTGAAGAAATTGGAACTCAGATTAACTGGCTTGGGAGGATCATATAACTCAAAGTGGCCCCACCAGAACAGAACCCAGGCCTCTGCCTCTGACATTCTGGGCACGTTCCAGTGCACCTACTGCCTCACCATGTGCTCCTTGAAGCCTTTCCCTCTGTGTGCAGCCCTTGTGTCCCTGAAGCCTGTGAGCATGACAGGGGCAGGGATCACAGGCCTTCCACTGGAGTAGGAGTTTCCCAAGGACAGAGACTCTGTCTTCTCTCTCTCTGTTTCCCCTCGACACCTAGCAATGTAGGTTCTCAGGCCATGCTGTCGACTGACCAATGAATCATTGTTAGAGACCCCCTCCTGGAATGCCCTTACATGACCTCTCCATCTTCCAGGATAGAGTCTTGCTTTGGGGAGCCACAAAGTGGCCACAGTCAGGAATTCTGGTCCAAGGGCAGAAGGAGCAACCCAAGCCTCTGTGAATACAAGTCCTTGTTTGACTCCAGCTCAAAGGCTGAGCTGTCCCAGGATGTTCATGAGGGGCCAGCTCTGGCCTCTGGGCTATCAGATGTCTCTGGCCAGGCAGTAAAAGGCCATTCACTGCAGCTGAAGAAAGGCCAGCAGGCCAGGCAGAGGGACTTACCTACGGAAGTGTTCAGGGTTGGGGGTCCAAAGATGCTGAAGGACTGAATGGTGGTCATCTATATATCAGTGTGACGATGGAACAAGCACAGGAAAAGGCATAAAAGTATAGATTTGCAAAGCAGGCCAGAGGAAAGAGTCAGGCCCATAGAGACCGAAAGCACATAGCTACATTGGAGGCAGATCGACACTCACTGAATATGCAGGGCAGGATCACGGAGAGACAAGGTAGGAGAGGCTGACACGGGGGCATGTGCGGTAGAAAAACAGAGTCAGCACGTTCGTGATGTGCACACCAAGCAGTGGAAATGAGAGACAGACAGATACTGTGTGAGACCCATCCAAACGTGTGTGAGAGGTGGCTGGATACAAAGAGGCTGTGTGTGCACAAGATCGACTGTTTGAGGACACAGGCCCGCCGATGTGCAGGGGGTGTGCGGCAACCAGACAGGCACAGAGAGTGTCTGAGAGGTGGAGGGACCCCTCCAGAGAAACAAGAGTGACCTTGTGCTCAGCCTGAGGGTTGGGGAGTGACCCAGAGCAGGGCGAGTATATTCTCACCAGCCTACCCCCCTTCTCCTTTGGCCAGCTCCTACTAAAAGGGGTCTGTGTCGTACCTTGTCTCTTTCTTGTGGGGCATCTCCAGCTTGGGAGACAGGAACAAAGCTCTGACCTAGTCCCTGCCCTCTTTGACTGCTCACCCTCTTCCAGCCCCTCTACCCAGCCTCAATCTCTCATTCTTCCTCTACTTTGAAGTCTGGCTTCTGTCTTGGCCCCTGTGGGTTTGATGACAAAGGGCAGTTCAGGAATGACACTATCTACACATACATGGCCATATGGACAATTTCAGGTGGTGGGACTTGCAGCAGCTGGGGTTCCCAGGACTGCTGACATTCTGCTGAGTGTTATTAGAAGATCAGGGACAGAGCTTATCATCTGGCTGTCACTGCCCCTTTCCAAGCCACAGCGAGCCTCCACAGAGGGGCCCTGGGGGATAGCCAGCTGCCCTGTGCTCATGCTGGAGTGAACTTTCCTCTGATCTTCCCTGTTTTCTGGATTTAGCCAGGGAAAATACAAGGGAGCTCCTTGCTCCCTGTGTGAGGTTCCAACTGAGAGATCCCACCCTTCCCAGCTCTGATCAGATACCCCTGAAGTTTGGAAGGCAACAGCTATACAATCTCTCTCTCTCTTTTTTTTTTTCTTCCCCTGAGACAAGCATCACTCTGTCACCCAGGCTGGGGTGCAGTGGCACAATCATGGTTCACTGCAGCCTTGACTTCTTGGGCCCAAGCAATCCTCCCGCCTCAGCCTCCCAAGTAGCTGGGACTACAGGCAAGTGCCACGATGCTATTTTTAATCCATGCTAAGTTTAAAATGTAATACAGGCTAATTCTTAAATTTTAAAATACACACTAATTTTTGTATTTTTTTTAATTTTGGTAGAGGCAGGGTTTTACCATGCTGCCCAGGCGGGTCTCAAACTCCTGGGCTCAAGCTATCCACCCACCTTGGCCTCCCAAAGTGCTGGGATTACAGGCATGAGTCACCATGTCTGGCTTATACACTCTCTTATATCTCCACAAGTCCTTGTGGTTAGTTTCCTGCTCTTGGGAAGTAGAGTAGCAAAGTAGATGGAACATTCTAGAGCCCAACTGGTCTGGTATAATTTTCAGTTTGCTACTCACTACCTATGTGCATTACTTAGCCTCTTTGTGCTTCGGTGTCATTATCTGAAAGGAATGCCCACCTTGTGATATTTGCTCATACATTCCACAAACACTTGTAGACCACTTAATATATACCAGACACTGCAGATGTGGCAGGAGGAAAAATAGGCATTGCTCTTAAACTCATGTATGAAAAGAAATGGCCAGGTGTGGTGGGTCACGCCTGTAATCCCAGCACTTTGGGAGGCCAAGGCGGGTGGATCACTTGAGGTCAGGAGTTCAAAACCAGCCTGGCCAACATGGCGGAACCCTGTGTCTACTAAAAATACAAAAATTAGCTGGGCATGGTGGCGCGTGCCTGTAATCCCAGCTCCTCAGGAGGCTGAGACATAAGAATTGCTTGAACCCAGGAGGCGGAGGTTGCAGTGAGCTGAGATCATACCACTGTACTCCAGCCTGGGCAACAGAGCGAGACTCTGTCTCAAAAACCAAAACAAAAAAGAAATGGCAGGGCCAGGCATGGTGGCTTATGCCTGTAATCCCAGCATTTTTGGAGGCCAAGGCGGGCGGATCATGAGGTCAAGAGATCGAGACCATCCTGGCCAACATGGTGAAACCCCGTCTCTACTAAAAATACAAAAAATTAGCTGGGCATGGTGATGCGTGCCTGTAGTCCCAGCTACTTGGGAGGCTGAGGCAGGAGAATGGCATGAACCTGGGAGGCAGAGCTTGCAGTGAGCCGAGATTGAGCCACTGCACTCCAGCCTGGGTGACAGAGCGAGACTCCTTCTCAAAAAAGAAAAAAGAAAGTAATGGCAGTGCTCGCTTTGGCAGCACATATACTAAAATTGGAACAATACAGAGAAGATTAGCATGTGCAAGGATGACACCCAAATCTGTGAAGCCTTCTATATTTAAAATATATATATTAAATTAAAAAAAGAGAGAAAAAGAAATGGCAAACAAGCCAACAGATAAACATGCAATAGGTTAGGTGGTGCTGTGTGTCATAAGGAAAAATAAAGCAGGGTAAGGGGCAGAGAGTGATGGGGTAGCGGGTATTTGAGAGTGGATAGTCAGGGAAGGCTTCTTTGATAAACTGTGCAGATAACTGGGGAGAGAGCTGTCCAGGCAGACAGAAGAGTATATGCAAAGGCCCAGAGGCAGGAATCGGCATAAGTTCAAGGAACTGCAGGGAGGTCAGTGTGGCTGAAGCAGAGTTAGCAAGGGGGCAAGTGGCCAGAAATGAGGTCACAGGTAGCCAGAGGCCATGTGTGCCATGCTGAGGACTTTGGCTTTTCTTCCAAGAGAGAGGAAGCTACTGGAGGACTTCAGGGAGAGGGACGATGTGATCCAACATGTTTTGCAAAGGGTCTGTCTGGCTACTATGAGGAGAGCAGACCACAGGGACACCAGGGGAACCAGGAAGCATGGAAGGGAGACTGCTGCAGTTAGCTAAGTGAGAATGGATGGTGGCTCACACCAGGGATAGAAGTGGAGGTGGGGAGAAGGTTTTGAGGATTAAAGAAGATAACATTGGCCAGGTGTGATGGCTCACACCTCTCATCCTAGCCCTTTGGAAGGCTTAGGCGGGCGGATTGCTTGAGCCCAGGAGTTCGAGACCAGCCTGGGCAACACAGCAAGACTCCTTCTGTACAAAAAATTTTAAAATTAGCTGGCGATGATGGCTTGCACCTGTGGTCCCAGCAACTCAGGAGGCTGAGGTGGGAGGATCGCTTGAGTGATTGGAGATTGAGGCTGGAGTGAGCCGTGTCCATGCCACTGCACTCCAGCCTGGGTGACAGAGCAAGACCCTGTCTCAAAAAAGAAAAAAAGAAGAAGAAGAGGAAGAAGAAGAAGAAGAGGAGGAGGAGGAGGAGGAAGAGGAGGAGGAGGAGGAAGAAGGAGAAGGAGAAGAAGAAGAAGAAGAAGAAGAAGAAGAAGATCATTTACAGTACTTTCTCAATACATTGTATGAGGTTTCATTTGTGTTTCCCAGAGATTTGGGATCCAAATTAGCAACGGAGAACCACTGGAGTGCAGTGGCATGGGTGCTTAAGCTGATCTGAAATGATTGCTCCTGGCCTCTCGAGGTGGAGGGTTTGTACACACACAAACACACACACACTCACACACACCCTGGCATCTGCCCAGTGACCCCAGGTGAGGGTCCATCAGGCCCTTACTGGAGAGACAGCCCCTCTCCCCTACCCCTTCCTATGGTCCTCTGTCTCATGTTCTCAGAAGCACACAAAGCCACTGATGTGTTGGGATACTGGAAGCAAGATAATCAGCTAGGATTACTGAGACGGTAGCTCACTATACAAGATCTGGAGGGTCTACCCTCTCTCCTGCCCCTCCCAACTGTGGGGTGGTGAGAAAGGCAGGTCTCCTCGAAGGTTATATAAATATTTGTTGAACAGTAACACAGCTGGGAGCAGGACCCCTTCCTCCAGCTGTCTGATTTGCTGCCCCAGAGAAATCTCAGCTGGGATTAGGGCTGAGCTCTGGAACACTCCACTGTGCATCTGCTGACCCCCAGTGCCCCCAGTTCAAACTCTCCCATCTACCTTCCAAACCTGTCAATCTGAGCCCCACACCAGGGAGGGAGTTGGCAAGAAGTGGTGCCATTGACTGGTAAAAAGAAGCCTGCCCCAGGAATCAAGACACCTGGATTGTGTGGAAGGATCTTGAGCTAGTCACTTGCCCTGTCTGGGCCTAATTTTCTCCTCTGTGAAAATGAGCGGTTTGAACTAGATGCTCTCTAAAGTCCTTTTTGGCTCAAACGTTCTGGATTTTCTGACCACATGAACTGGGTCTGATCCAGGGTACCTGGCATTTCCTGCAGGAAGGGCCTGGAGGTTGAGGAGGAAAGACAGCAGCCATGCTGGTCTAGGAAAGGAGAGAAGCGCCCCACATTCATGCATGAGGAACTCTGGAAGACACAGGCATTGCTAATGGTAAAGAAATCCATTGCCTGGACCTGGACCCAATGTCACTGTGGCTTCTAAACCTGTGGCCAAACAAGGCCACTCTATTATTAATCTTTCTTGCTGTTAATGTTCTAAAGCAAGTATAATAGTACCTGCCTCACCTTAGATCACTAGGTTATTTGAAAATAGAATAAACTCATGGATGTGAAAATGCTTTGAAAACTTCTACACAGAGACTGGAAATTATTTTCTTAGACATCTGTCAAGGTCACGACAGATGATTCCCTCAGGATTCAGTAGGGTCATTGGGGGATCTGGGAGCAGGTTTTTGAAAGCTGGGATTAAGGATGTGGCCAGGTAATTCCCCATTGATCCTGCCACAGTATGGAAAGGGTTAATTCACTGAAGTCCCTCTCCCAATTCCTTTCTCTTTCCTTTCCCTGCCCCTCCATTCTGGTTTAATTCTTTCTCTTTTTAATCACTCTGCTGTAAAATGCCCATTGTCCTGCTTCTGCCACTATGCTATCAACTAGGCCTGGCTAGGATGCAGAGGAGTCACAGGCCCAGCTATCACCCACAGGCCCAGAGGGACATTCTCTGACTGGCCAAAACTTGTTCAAGGACAGGCTTTTCCATCTGAGGAATGAAATAGCCTTATGATTGATGGGAACGAGAAGACATGAGGGCAGGTCAGTGGACAGAGTTGTGGATACCTACCTTGGGACCCTAATCCTCTCAAGGGTCTCATTTCTGGGGCTCACCAGGAAATCGGGTATGTGATCAGGCCCCAGACAGGTGACCCTGGAACCCAGAAACCCACAAGCAAGCAACACTGGAATTTAGAGCACACCAAACTGCTTCTCAAGTCTTTCCCTTTTTTTCTTACCCCATTCTAACCAACCACATCAACCTCTGAGATTATTGTCCAGGAGACAAGGAGAGCCTCCCATAAACTATCTTTCGATGTCTCTGTTGGAAATGAAACTTCAGCCAAAAGAACCTTGGGCCTCAGCCAAGGTGACTCCAGAGATCCTTTGAGGTGGGGAAGGTGTGGGAAGGAAGAGAGAATTACCCCCTCCCAGGAATCTGGCTGAGGGACCTCATGCATATTAGCCTGCATTCTGCCCTCTGCTTTGGACATTTCCTGGACTTTCTATGCCTCAGTTTCCCCCTTGTAAAGAGCTGCTGTGAGAGTGCTGGCACGGGAGACAAATGAGATCATGGCTCCTAAGGGCTTTTTGAAGAGAAGCCCCACAGGAGCACAGAGGAAGCCTATGTGAGATAGACAGGCCTTTTTCCTCTCTCCCTCTTTGGCTGGGTTTTCTTTCTGGACAAGTGCCTGACTCCCAGCTCCCTTTCAGCAGGTGTCATCCTCCTCTACCATGTGTCCCTCCGCTGCCCCCCACTCCCTGCACCCCAGGCTACAGTCATGCTCAGAGTCACCCCTTCATTGCCCATCCCCCACCCTCCACCTCCACTGTAGTCAAGACAACCGTGCCACCATATCCCTTCCACTCTGCCACACCCTCATGACAGGCAAGGTCAGGGCCCCTTCAAGCGCAGAAGCTCCCCATTGACAGGGGAGGCTGTGTTTTCATATTTTCACAAAAAACTCCCAGACAACATTTCTCTTCAGTGCTGCTGCCAATTACCCAAAGTGCCCTGACCTGAAAATAGCAGGTGCTAATTTGCATGTTACTTATTTAAGTAGCAACGCTTCTGGGATCCTGCTCCTTCCCCTATAAAAGCTCACCATAACCTCCACGAAGCAGTAAGGTAGACACTACTGTGGGACTTACCGTCCTCATCAAGAAGGAAAGAGGAACTTATAGCAGGAAACTTGCCTTCTGTTGGGTTCTGGCAGCTCAGGAATCAATCCCAAGAAGGAGGTGATTTAGAGACCCTATACCCCAGAATGTTCAGTGGGGACTCAGCTGAGAGCCTCTCCCCTGAGCTGAGCTACTGGCTGAGACTTGTTCTCTTTATGGTTTGCTCCTCCAGTCCCTGTGTGAGGTGAGACACACAGGGAGGAGGGTGGAAGGAAGGGTGGGCAGGCCTCCAGGTATGAGGATGAGGGATGGAGCCACATGGTCTCTGGGGGGCTGCGAGGGAATGTTCAGGAACAGCTCAGCTCCATGCACAAGACCCCTGTCCCTCCAAGTAAACCCCTGTGCCTACCCCTTTCAGGCCTCAGATCTCCCTCCTTCCAGGCCCTCCCTGCTGAGAAAACCACAAAGGAGGAAACCTTATGGAAAGCTTACAGCTAGATCTGGAGAAAAACATCCCCTGCTGATGACATTCCTTTGGCTGAGACAAAGTCATTTTACTCAGGATTCCATGCTGGCTGAGGCTAAAGAGAATCCCTTATGGCACGTCACTGTAAGCTGTTCCCCAGATGACCCAGGCCAGCTCCAGCACAGCTGCGTGGACAGAGCCTCCCTAGAGAACTCATTGTGCTCACCCCGTTTCGGGTGGTGGTGAGGATGGGAGGCTCAGGACATTACCAGAACAGGAGAGCCAGGATAGGGCTTGGCCAGGGACATCATCCTGGAATGAAATGGAAGAATATGTGAGAGAGAACCGTCTGCCTTGCTCTGATTCCCCCTCAGAGCTGGTCTGCTTGGGAGCTGGTGCATCTTTTCTAAGTCTTACTACCCAAACCTCTTAGAACAGAGTAAAGGGAATAAAAATCTGTCTGCCCCCCATGCTAGGGGGAAGTCTGAGGGATTGGCGCTAGGATCACTGCAGCTCTTTACTCCCCTTTGATCTCAAAGCATATTTGGAAAACTTGGCCACAATGTGCAACCTCAGAAACAAAGACCCTTCCTCCAACTTAAACTGTTCCATTCTCCAGAAACAGAGGTCCCTCTGCTGAGGTTTTCTGTCCTCTAAGAACTGTGGTTCATCACTCTAGAGCTGCAGCCCCAGGTCAGTGGCATTGGGCAGCCAGAGTAGTAGGGGCAGAGGGGCTGTACAGTTACCCAAAGTGCATTGACCTGTGGGCCGAAAATAGTAGGGGCAGCCTGCATTGCTGGGGGGCTTGGGAAAGGATTGTTCCTAGGACTCAAAGCACCACCCAGACCTCTTTAAAGGCAGTGAGAGCGAGGAGGAGGAGTTCAGGAGTGCAAACCTCTCCCTTAACATCTGTAAAAACTGAGGCCTGGAAAGATAGGCTTAAGAGAACACATGTGACCTGGATCTGTATGTGTGGCTCAGTCACATCAAACTGCCCAAACACTAGAGACTACTGCTCTGTGGTCCCAAGTCATCTTAGTTCAGCACTTTAGGGGGCTTAAAAAAATGCTACTGTTGTTTTTGTCGCTTAAAGAAACTGCAGGTATAATTTGTCCATCTCTAAAATGTAGGCTTCCCAGTTTGCCCAGTTCACATTGGCATTGGGACCCAACCATAGACACTTAGCCCCTTCCAGGAGCCAAGAGTGAGAACTGGAGGAAGCAAGGGTGAGGGCAGCAGGCTAATTCCCCCCACAGGGCTCCTTTCTCTGGAACCAGGAGAGTGAAGTTACCAGGAGGACCCTCAGGGGGGAGGAACCCAATGGGAGGACCCTGCTACTGGATCCCACTGTTTTTTTCCTAACCGGTCAGTTGAAAATGCATCCTGGATAAAGACACAGATCCTTGGGTGGCGTGAGCTGTTGTTTCTCTCCCACAATCTTCCCCCAGCAAGCACACCTCACCTAATCTGTGGTCTCCTGAATGCTGGAGAGATGTTAGGCCCCACCCCCTGAGGTTGTTAGGACATCGGAAGGTCGCGCCATCCTACTTGGCTCCCGGCTGTGAGCAGAAGGGTCGTGAGCCAACCTGTGGTAATATGCACCCCTATCGGACCTTCGTTTCCCACCACATCCCTCCACGGACCTTGTTTTAGGCAATGCACTGACCCATGCTCCGATTTTTAGAAATTTCTAAAAGCCTGGAAAGGAGCCAGGAGGAGGCCGGGAGGAAGCCCTCTATGGAGAAGGTTCTGCCCAGGCCTCCCCAACTCCTTACCCACCCGTGCCCCAGAGAGAAGTGGCTCGCTGCTCACACCCCCTCCTGCCAGTGCAGCGCGAGTAAGAGCGCCCAAGGGACCACAGCTGGCATCCCAGGGGTTAATTTCGGAGCAGCCCAGGTGGAGGTCGAGCCCCCAGCCCCGTCGGCACCTCCAGGCTTCCGAGGCCACCGGAACGGAGGAGGCTTCGGTGGCTCTTTGTCTACCTGCTCTGGGTGTTAAAGAGCCCGCTCGCAGCCTGCATCGCCGGGGCTCGGGACAGAAGTCAGCGGCGGGGAAATGGGGCTCTGTCACTTTAAGTACAGCTGGAGCCGTAAGTACAAGCCCTGGTGGTGGGGAGAAAAGGGAGCGGAGGGCAGGCGAGGGTTAGGTTTCCGACCCTCCGCGTGGCCCACAGCTCATACCTTTTCGGGTGTCCCCGGGTGTCAGGCGAGAGCGGTCCTGGGGGGCGCTGGGTGCCCACCCGGTGAATGGCCGCCTGAGCCGGGGAAGATGCTTCATCTGCCCCTGCCCAGATCCGGAAGAACGGTGAATTTCCCCCGCAGGTAAGCGCCCCCACCCCCCTGGCCTCACCGCCAGACCGCAGAGCTGGGGTCGGGTTTGTGGCACCCCCAGCCCCGCCGCAGCCCCCCAGTTCCGCCGCAGCTGCAGTCTCAGGGGCAGTGGGTGTGGGGTCCGCAAGAAGGAGGGTCTTGGCCGCGCTCGCTTTTCCGCCAGAGAGGAGTGCCTGCGCCGCCGGAGCCTCCGAGCTCCTGGACGTTTGGCTTACGGGCATCTGGGGCTGGGAGTGGGTGTGTGGAGGGCTCTAGGGAGTGGAAAGGGAAGGAAAGGAGCTTAGGCGCCCAGGAGACCTGGACGGAGCTGAGACAATAGCGCAACTTGATTGAACTTCGATGGTTGCGGCTGTGGCGCGTGGGGGCCCGGCCTGTGAGGGTCGGGGGTCCTGGGGACCAGGCGGGTGGAAGGAGGAGGGGCTTGCAGCCCCAGGTCGGCCCTGCCAAGGTCACCCTAGTTCCGGAAGCTCCGGGGGTCGTCCTGGGGTGAAAGGAGGTGGTGGGAGGCGGAAGGATGAAACGGGGGAGGGAGGGGACGTTGAATTTGTGACCGTACTGCTGGCTGGATACTTCCGAGAGAGAGTGAAGCCTGGTGCTCTACCCTGGGAAGGGGTGAAAAATCGGAGAGCCGGGTAATTTGGGGAGACGCACAGTGAGGGACTGGTCGTGTAAGGTGAGGGCAAGGCACAGAGGCTCCTTCATAAAGGGGAAGTGAGTGTAACCACAGCTGGCCCTGGGACTCTCTGAGCTGACTTGGAAACTGCACTTCCAAGGGAGAATTAGGAAATTCCACCGGCCTGAGAAAGGGGGCTGGGGTTTCTGGGATTTTTTAGCGGGGTGGGCAGGGGAGGCTTCCCATCTCACTATTCTCACCCCATATACACTCTCCTTCCCCTCAGCCTCCCGCAGACCTGGGAAGTTGGAGGTTGGGCCCTATGCCTGGTGCTGTGGCCACTCCCACCTCAAATCTCAGGCAGCCCAGACCTGCACCCTGTAACATGCTCCTGCGTCCTCATATTGCTCGAAGGGAGCCCCAAGTACCCTCCAGGGGCTCAATTACAACTGTGCACACAAAGGTCTAGGGTAAAAGCAAAGAATTGGGCAAGGCCTGAAACGAGAGGCATCTTCTGCCTCCGTTCCTGCCCTGCAAGACCATGGGCACCAGGAGCCCCTTGGAAGCCAGAGGCCCGCTGACTCCAAACTTTTTTCCCCTACCACAGTATGACAGAATGCAGCCCTGAAGCCCCCCTGGAATGTGACTTGGGTCCTTGGGGTCACTTTGCCAAAATGGCTGGTAGGTATGGTGGTGTCATAAAAGGAACCAGTTTATGAGCAGAGAATAAACCCATGTAGGGACCTCTTACTTCAGGTGAGATCCTGGGCTGAGTCCTGGACAGCTCACTGGGCCCTGGAGAAGGTGAAGGGAAGGAACTGTTCATAACCTCCTCTCCTCCCTCCACCTCTGCCACCCCAACTAGAGCCTACTTCAGATCCACATAGGGTGTGCCCAAGGAAAATTATAATTGCCACCCAAACAATATTTGCACTGCCTCTACTCTTAAATTCTTTGCTTCCCCAATGCCTGGAGGGTGTGCAAGTCCTCTAAGTGACCCCAATGCCCTTTCTCTGAGCCTATCACTCTTTCCTTCCTACTCAACAGCCTTTCTAGGCTACCTCATTCTTTCTTTTGAATTGATATTCTCCCCGCCTCCTTCCTTTACCCAACTCCATCTCATGGGAACCTGCCCTTATAAAGAGAGCTTAGTGCCCTATCCTGGGGCCATAGCTATTGAATACTCACCTAGCTCATTACCAGAAACAGACTTCTGGGCAGGTGTGCCAGGGCGGGTACCTGTCTGCCATAGCCCAGGTTGAGGAGCAGGTCATGTTACACCTACCCAGCCTACTAGGGTGGAGCTGGGTTAGGCCTGTGGTTTCCTTTCCATCCAAGCCCAAGACTTTCAGGTCAATTGCTATTGGTAGGCAAGGAGACAGGGGATGTTGTAAAGTGGAGGTCATTCCTCGAATTGCCACACTTCACATATAAAATTTAACTAGCCTGGCTCCAATTCACAGAGGGGGAGCTTAGCCCAAGCCTTTGCTCTGGGGAGGGCTCAAAACTTTCCCTGTAAATGATGTTAGGCTGAGGCCAGCAGGGATCAAAGAGATGCTTACCCTCCAGAATCAGGTTTCCCTTAAACTCCAAAGGAGGCAGCACTGGGAAGATGTGAGGGTATTTGGGTGAATGACTTAATTGGCCCTCAGGTATCTCCATGACCAGCTCTTGATGAGTGAGCTGTGATCAGTCCATGGCCTCTTCATTGTTTCAGAGCAGATGTATTTCTTCTCTGGATGCCTGGGATTCTTCCATCTATCATGGAAGCCTGTGCCCACAAGCACTGTTCTTGCGTATCTCAAACATTATGGTCTCTCCTGGAGACTCCTTCTCTTCCTGTCCCAGCAAACACTGTTCTTCAGTGTCTTCCAAGCATGAAGTCCAGGCATCTATCCCATTCAGCACTCCTAGACTCCCTCCTGGAAAGAACCCTTAGCTAGAGCCTGGGGATCAGTGGGAACAAGACTCGCTCACTACGGTTGCCTCACTCAACCCACAGAGACTCCCTGGGGCAGAGGGCTTCGGCTTGGCACAAACTCAGCCTCTGTGAGAGGACAGAATACCTAGGGACAGCCAAGCCAATGAGCTGCTTCTCGTTAGAGGATTTTATGGGACTAGGCACACACACCGCAGGCAAACCACACTTGCTGGATTAACCTCTTCCTGCAAAGCCCCTGCCCTGAGCTTGGGAGGAATGAGGGAGGGACTTAATCAGCAGAAGGCATCTTAATAGGGGGGACAGTCCGTGTCTAACATCTCAGCTAATCACCTTTTCTCATTTTAACATGAGGCTGTAAAACACAAGCCATACTAAGTGCTTTGTAACCATTTTTTCATTTAATCTTCACAACAACCGTATGAGGTATATATTATTATCATCCCATTTCACAGATGAAGAAACTGAGGCACAAGGAGGTTAAGTAAGCATACTAAAGATCACAGTAGTGGGATTTGTCCTCATACCTAGGTCTGTCTGACTCTAAAGCCAACCCCTAACTACTATGCTATAAGGAGACTATTCTTACCAATACCAGTTGAGGCCCCAGGAGTACTAAATGCTGAAGATGCAGAAGTTGAGAGTAATTGGAGGACTCAGCAAAGGTTTAGAGTTGGCCTGCGACTTTAGTTGGAATGAGGTGAAAATTATAATTGCCACCCAACCAGTGGGGAGTGGGAAGATTACTAAACTTGGAGTCAGCTGACCTGATTTAGAACTCACTCCACTACTAATTAGCTTTGTGACCTTACAGAGATTGCATAGCCTCTAGCCTCAGTTTTCCTCTCTATAAAATGGGTATAGCTCCTGACTGATCTACCTTACTGGGATGTAATGACAATGAGAAAATGTGAAGAGCAGAATGCTTTAAACATGTGGGCTTTGATAAGTGGAATTATGACCACGTGAAGTCATTCCCAGAAGCAAGAGTCTCTCCCAAATTCTTTAGATTTTTTTTTTAGCATCTTTTTCTTCCGTCTTACTAGGACTCTAATGAGGATGCCTATGAGTATAATACATGGAACAGTTCCCAGCTTAGAATATATCTCTGATTTTTACTTAAATTCGTCATTGCCCATATTCAGGTTTCTATTCAGTCCAAATTATATGCTAATGAGGATGGCATATTTATACATTCCTGGTTCGGATAGCAATTTACATAAAAATAGACCACTTTTTAAAACTTAAAAGATGATTTTTTTTGTTTTTTTGAGATGGAGTTTCGAGCCCAGGCTGGAGTGCAATGGCATGATCTCAGCTCACCGCAATGTGTGCCTCCCAGATTCAAGCGATTCTCCTGCCTCAGCCTCCCGAGTAGCTGGGATTGCAGGCATGCACCACCATGCCCAGCTAATTTTGTATTTTTAGTAGAGATGGGGTATCTCTATGTTGGTCAGGCTGGTCTGAACTTCTGACCTCAGGTGATCCACCCGCCTCGTCCTCCCAAAGTGCTGGGATTACAGGCATGAGCCACCACACCCGGTCAAAACATGATTTTTTTAAAAAGCAATTTTGTTCATTTAACCTTTCCTCCCTGACAACTTTGTGCCAGCCACTATGCTGGGTGCTGGAGAAACAGACAAAACCCTAAGGAGCTGACGGCTATGTATGTATGTATGTATTTATTTATTTATTTATTTATTTATTTATTCATTCATTCATTCAACAAACTCTAATGAGCACTTCCCAGATGCCAGGCAAAGTTCTGGGTACTGGCGATAGAATAGTGAGCAGTAAGGCAGACCGTAGTCCCTGCATTTAGGAGCTATGTTTTCTTACAATGAAAACAGATCAATCAATGTTAGCCAATACTTTAAATATATTATTTCAAACCATGAGAAATATGAGAGGGGATAATGCAGGAGGATGCAGTCTGGTTGAGGAGGCAGAAGGCAGCAAGTAACTGTGATACCAGGTCATATGTGCAGTAACTGAAAGCCAGCAAGCAGGGGCCATACTTTGAGTGGTCCTGGAGAGCTTCCTAGAGGAGGCAGCATTTTCTTTAGGGCTTTGAAGAGAAACTAAGAGTTTTCCAGAGGGACAAGAGCTTATTTGAGGAAAGAGGGGGAAGTTTTTCCCAATTGAGAGGTTCTGTGTCATCTTCCAACTTCTCTGCCTAGACCCATCATCACTGTGCCTTCATCAGTCACACAGACTTCATATCTAAGACAGAATCCTCTGAGACAAACAACTGAATGAATTTTTCACTGCTATCTGGAGGAATCCTATCTGGAGGTCTTTGATAGTGCCACTGGCTTGTTTGCTCTGGACCTGGGTGTCAGTGTCAGCTCACGTTTAGTTCATGGAATAATAGACTGTCTTTCAGCTGTCCTTGCCCTTGCCATTGAAGCAGAATCGAATAATTCTACACTTGTGGAGCATGTGTAGGATGTGAGAATTCATCCTCAGCCTAACTTTCTTGGGATGCTTCAGGAATTTCCTAGAAATGCTCAATTCTTGGACGTTTACATCTTAGGAAACCTTTATCCCATAAAGGCTCTGACTCATGATTGGGTAAGAAATATTGAAAAAGAAAGAATATCAAATATCCCTCCCACACACATGCATATGTACACACATACAAAACAGTCTGGCCACTGGTCCTTAAGTATTGAGCATAATCAAGGAATGCTTGATGTAACCCATGGACTTACAAAGGATATATAGCAAGTATGAATTTCCTCACGAACCAGTTTTCCTACTTAGTGTATTGTTGCAGGTGCCATTCGAATAATGGATGAGTTATTCAAAAGAGGGGAGAAGAGGAAAGTTGTGTACCCACCTCTGATTTCCTGGGTACTGAGCTGGGTGCTTTACAGGTGTTTTCTTTGTTATCTTATTTACTCTGCCAGTTAGCCTGAAAGACTGATGGTGACATGACCATTTTTCTGATGTGTGCATATGTTCAGGGAGGGAAAGTGCCTGTCCTAAGTCAGTCAGTAAGTAGTGGAGCAGAAATTCAAACCCAGCTCTGGCTGGCTATACAGCCACTCCTCCCTAGACTAAATGTAAATCTAAAGAGCTGGGTACTTTCTACAAGCTTGAAAATCAAGTTCCCATTTGGAATGGTCATTTCCTATAAAGAAGAGCTGCTAATGAGGTTCCCCAGCCTCCAGGGAAGTTAATTTTATTGTATTTATTTATTTATTTATTTTGAGAGGGTCTGGCTTTGTCACTCATGTTACAGTTCAGTGGCGCCATCTCCGCTCATTGCCACCTCTGCCTCCCAGCCTCAAGCAATCCTCCCACCTCAGCCTCCAAGCAGCTGGGACTGCAGGTGCATGCCACCATGCTCAGCTAATTTTTTTTTTGTAGAGGCCGGGTTTTGCCGTGTTGTCCAGGCTGTTTTCTAACTCCTGGGCTCAAGCAATCCACCCACCTCAGCCTCCCAAACTGCTGGGACTATGGGTGTGAGCCACCATGCCTAGTCTTGCTTTTAGACATATCTATATATATTTTCCCCATATTTACTCATCATATGGTGATAGTTTTGTCCAATTATAAGTTTCTAGGGGCCAGGGGATTTTATCCAAGTGCAGCATATGTGGAACTTAGTAATGATCTT
This sequence comes from Homo sapiens, assembly GCF_000001405.40. Taxonomy (NCBI): domain Eukaryota; kingdom Metazoa; phylum Chordata; class Mammalia; order Primates; family Hominidae; genus Homo; species Homo sapiens. The sequence continues at coordinate 201,746,263 of NC_000001.11, forward strand.
TTGATGATGACAAAAAATAGCTGATAGGATACCACTGTAAGAGCTAATATAGCTGTACAGCTTTGGACATACCATATTTATGCTGTGTCATGTCACACACAGAGCCCTTCAGATTAGGTTAAATCATGTCACCTGAAACATAACAGGTACATAAAATGGAAGCAAATCCACCAGCAAGTATTTATTCATTGCCTACTATGTGCCAAGAAATTCTGTTAATCACTAAAAACATAACAAAAGACAACCTATTCCCATTCCACACTATGATTAACTTGTAATAGAATTGGATATTTAACAGTTATTGGGGAATAACAGTAGCTGGAAATAGGAAGCAAGCAAGTCAGAAATGTAAGGGAAGATTTATGCCCAGGTCAAGGAGCAGCACGTTAGGAGCGCAGTGAGTGTGGGAAACTCATGGAAGTTCAAATGTAGACTGCATCAAAATTTGGAGAGAATGACCAGGTGCAGTGTCTCGTGCCTGTAATCCCAGCACTTTGGGAGGCTGAGGCAGGTGGATCGCTTGAGCCTAGGAGTTTAAGACCAGCCTGGGAAACATGGGGAAACCTCCATCTCTACAAAAAAATACAAAAAATTAGCCGAGCCTGGTGGCACACGCCTGTAGTTCCAGCTACTCGGGAGGCTGAGATGGGAGGGTCGCTTGAGCCCAGGAGGTCGAGGCTGCAGTGAGCTCCAGTCATGCCAATGCACTCCAGCCTGTGTGACCCTGTCTCAAAAAAAAAAAAAAATGAAGAAATTTGGAGACACTATTCAGGTAGAAGGGAGACTTTCAGGTATGAAGGAGGAAGGAGAAGAACCCTGGGCCTGAGATAAATCTTGAAGAGAATTGATGGGGCAGTGGATCAATAGGTAATGTATAAAGAAATCGGAACATATGGCCCATCCCACTCTGTCATCTTCACCGTCCTCCTGGGCCCCCATTCTCGTGGCTGTGCGGGCAGTTGCCCTAGTGCATGCACACACGGTCCTGCCTGTGTGCATGTGTGCATGTGTGAAACTGTTATTTTTCCGGCTTGGAACATTTTCCCATGGATTATTTTAAATAGTTCTATAAGACTATACTAGACTATCAAGTTTTGATTTTGGTGATCTGCCAACTGTACGATTTTAAAAATAGGTTTTTAACAGCTTTAAAACAGAAGTAGTATTTCTGCCAGCGGGTGGAATTGTGGCTCAAAGGCCCTGAAGGAGAACACATACTTGGGATTTATTCCTGGGTGCCATGGGTTTCTGGAATTTTGCCCCTAGACACAGTGGCGAAGACAGCAGAGGGTGTTCCAGGGTACACATCCTAGACCCTGCTCCTATTTATTCCCTCTGATACGTGGTTGAAAAGCAGTGCTTGAGTGGTTAATCAGATCCCTGGAAATGGATGCCTCACTCTTGTCTGGAAAAAGTTCCCTAATGAAATCTCTTGTTTACATTATGCTACACATTCATGTTCTGGAAGTTTTTGCCACTTCTTCCCATTTCCTATATTATATATGTATTTGGTGCCCATAATTGGTACTGTTTTTCCCCCATTTAAGCTTCTCTCTTCCTAAATTCTAGATAAACATCCTTGTAGTTTCCAGGCCCTGGGTTGCCAACTCAGATTCCCATGCTTGCTGTCACTGAGTGCTTATCTTGGGATCCTTCTTCCAGAACCCAGAGCTCCTTACGTCAACCCCACCGGAATGGGTCCCCAATATATGGGATTCATGCCGAACAACTTTGCAGACACCTTCTAGGCTAGTGTTGAGCTGACCCTGGGGAAGATTGTAGTTGCCTTTCCCTGGAAAGGCGGCTCTCTGAGTGAGAAAACTTCATAAAGACTACTCTTCTCAGTGCTCATAATGTGTTTTGGAATTATTACCTTTGCAGTATATGAGCAGTATGTTAATTTATTAATTTTCCTTGTCCCATTATTAAAAGGGTCCTCCTCTCTCACTCTTATGAATTAAGTGTGAAGGAGGAGGTATATGTAATAACACCAGCTTTTTCACGTGGTTTATAGCAATTGCTTTCATCTTTTATGGGTGCATCTCATGTTTGCCATGATATTTCAAGTTGTTTCTTTTCTGGGGTTCTCATATGGAAATCCCTGGCAAAGCTGTGCTCCTCCAGCATTAGCATGTGTGCAGTGTTTAGAAAGGGAGATGGAATCTGGGCTGCTGCACTGCAGTTACCTCAGCAGGGAACCTACCAGCCTCCACCAAGCTCTACCCCTGGCCTCAGAACCTCAGGGGGCAAAAGTGGCCAGTCACGTCCTCTGTCTGAGAAACTAGCCATGAGTCTCTTGCAGGAGGGAGGAAATCATTGCTTACTCATGCACAACCTGATTTAGGAGCATTCCTGCTATCTGAGAAACTAATTCTGGGAATTTGCACAGAGCTATTCATTGTAAAAGCAGCTTTGATCCCCAGAGAGTCCACAAGACCTTGGAAAAAAATTTACTGTGCCAGGGAGACAGTGGAGCCTATAGGAGCCCCCTAAAGAAGTTGGGACCCTTGGGTTTGGTGTCTGGTTTTGACGTAGTAGTCTGCTCAGGTAAGGCTCTTAGCTACCCCATGTCCCTTTTATAAAGTTGAACTAAGACTCTCTCTGGCCCAGCGTGGTGGTTCACACCTGTAATCCTAGCACTTTGGGAGGCCGAGGCAGGCAGATCACTTGAGGTCAGGAGTTCGAGACCAGCCTGGCCAACATGACGAAACCCAATCTCTACTAAAAATACAAAAATTATCCAGGCATGGTGGCAGGTGACTACAATCCCAGCTACTCGGGAGGCTGAGGCAGGAGAATTGCTTGAAACCGGGAGGCGGAGGTTGCAGTGAGCTGAAATCATGCCACTGCACTCCAGCCTGGGCAACAGAGTGAGACTCCGTTTCAAAAAAAGAAAAAGACTCTCTCTAACTGAGAACAATTCTACCTGCGAAATAATGTCTTAAAGTTAAATAACGCTGGCCATGTGATTTCAGCCCAATGATTCAGCAATAACAATTATTAGCCTCACTTCCTCATCCCCACTTAGCAAAAAAATTCAGAGGTGAAGCAAAGAGAAATATACTGAAAAGCAGCAAAAGTCAGAAGGGGAGCTGTGATGATGTCTTCAGCCTTGTGAATTTCACTTTTGTCTTTCCAAAATGGTTCTGGGCATCAGATAGAGCACAACCCTTGCACCAACTTGCTCACTATTCCCTCTGACTGTGTGCCTTCTGCACACGGAGCACAGGTTGCCAACAGGCTGCTCTCAAATGTGCCTGCATCCTTCTGCTCCACCAATCAAGTTGAATGCTTTCCTAGAATTGCATTTGCTCCCAAACCTGTTTATGCCAGTTGAACTTGGATAATATAATTATTACATAAATTGATGAAATATGAGCATAAAAAGAAAGTTGTTTCCATAAAGACTATATTGGAAGTTTCAAAAGGGAAATTGCTAGCCTGGGCAACATGGCAAGACCCAGTCTCTCCAGAAAAGAAAAAGCAAAATTAGCCAGGCATGGTGACACATACCTGTGGTCCTGGCTACTCAGGAGGCTGAGGTTGGAGGATCACTTGAGCCTAGGACGTCGAGGCTGCTGCATTGAGCCATGTTCACGCCACTGCACTCCAGCTGAGCAACAGAGCAATTCTCTCTCCAAAATGAAAAGAAAAAAGAAAAGAAAGAAAAGGCATGTTGCTGAGTTATATGTAGGACTTGAAAGGTTAGAGGAGATTATAAAACTCTAGAGGATTTTGCTTTCAGATTGCTTTATGTTGTTAAAATTTTGCTCCACCTTAAAGAAACTGACATTAGACTTGATAATGCACTGTAGGTATGGGTGTGAAGACTCAAGTTGGAAAAGCAGAAGTGTATCAGGAAAAATTCTATTGGTCCTAGTACTTTGAATGACACTGAGGTTCACTGGCAACTTTCTGTGTAATTTTTTATAACAAAGACCTACCGCTGCAAGGATTTTACATGTAATGAGTGCCTAAGGAAGGTATGAAAAACCCTTCCCTGGAAGTCTCCCAAAGCAGAAAAACACCCATTTGCGTGGATGACTTGGTGCATCAGTGATAGGGGAGAAATGACTGAGGTAAACTGTTCATGGTATGAGAGTTGACCAAGTCAGGGTGGGGAGGGGAGGAAGAGGGGCAGGTGGACTTGGTGACTCTGCCTCCCTTTCAAACAGAGCAGCCCTGTGTTTACCTGTTTCATACATTGAGGACTTCTGGTTAAAATGTTAGTAAAAACGATTGCTCTTCTTAAAAAAGGGCTTGCAAGCCACCAGATTAGGTCTTTTCCATGTCTTTCTTTCTCCAAATCTATATGAGATCTAAATAAGCTCTCCCCAAGTCAGACAGAGGACATATTTTTAGTGCTCAAGTCATAGCTTGTATTTACTCATTTTCAACTCTTTGGAGTAATAATTGATGAAATTTATATTTACTCACACCTACCACTTGGTTGATGCCCAGAGGGGCTGTCACCTCCCAATCTCAGAAAGGCAGGCAGGAATTTTTGGCCTGCCTGCCTTTCTGAGATCGGAGGAGGCCTGGAGGGTGGGGTGAAGTTGTGAGGACCCCTTTTCTAAATTGAGAAGTGGTCTGGATCTACCCTGTATCAGAACAGGATGGAAGAAAGAGCAGGATGTTTTTATTTCTGTCTATTGCCTGAAGGCATCTCCTCTAGAAACAAAACCAGTTTGATTTTGATTAACTTTCTCTTCTTTTAATTTCAGTCTTCCTTCTCTTGACTTCTTTAAGGATTATGCCAAAAGTCCTAGACTGATCATAAAGCCTCAGAACAGGAATTTCACTCATAGTTGCCCAAGAAAAGCATGTTAATACCAAAAGTAATTTCCTAGCCAGTCATTTCCTGTGTTCTCAAAATTGTTATTTTTCTCTAAGATATGTATCTTTAGATAACAAAAACTGTTCTGCCTCTCAACCTGGAGGAGGTGATGTGGCAAGAGGCATCTTGACGAAAGCATGTGTAAAAGAACATGTCAGAGAAGCCAGGAAAAGGATTGATGTCCTGCTAAGTATATGTTTGATATCCAGCCCAGGTTGGAGCACATTTTTAGCACTGAAGAGATAAAGCACCTAAAAATCTAATGCTGACTTTGTCACTGATTTGTTCCACGGCTGAGGGCAAATCTTCCAGCCTTAGTTTCCCCCCTTTGAAGAAGAATGAAGTTCACTGGCAGTTGAGAGGCACATAATGGGTATGAGACAGTTTAGAGAGAATGGAATTTTGTCTGAATGGAAAGTGCATCAGTAAGGATTTGCTACAGAAATATGGCAATCCAATCTCATGGGGTGTTGAAAGCAATAACCGGTTATGAAAATTGTCAGGTATTAATATTTGCAAAGCACTATAGATACTTCAATACCTGATTCTGTAAAAACTGAGTAGAACATCTGCCTTTCAAAAATGTTTGGTAAAGCTGGCATTTACAGGTTAAGGTTTGAGAAGTTTAAATCCTTTCAGTTCCCTGTTATTCTTTCCTCCATTCATTCTTCATCTGTAAGTGGGCAGGATGTCATGCCTGGGGCATGTCGTGAGTGGCTTTTTACCTTGCCTGAACACCTGTGTATGGTTTGTTTCTCTGGAATAAGATCTTTACTTCATCCAGTTATTGTTTAAGAATTAAGATTCCTTTTTCTTTTCGTTCTTTTTTTGTTCAAAGCTTTGTAATAGGTGAGAGATGTGCTTACTTTCACATGCATGGAAAACTCACCCATAAAAACGAAGGTCTTTCACAATGCATTAGCTGGGTTTTCTCTCCAGTGCTGACCTTTGACCTCCATGCACAATGTGGTATTCAGCTGTCCTGTTCTCTGAAGTGAAAACCTTCAGAGCCCTCAACAAAGATATTTCACCAAGAGTAAGCAGTCCATGAACTAAATGACTTAAGATAAGAAGGCGGTTAATTCTGAAATAAAGATGAAGGCAAGAGGTCTATAAAAATTACAAAGCCCTCCAAGGCCGGATCACTGATCCCCCCCATGGTGAGGGTGACAACTCAACCTTCCTTAAGACCCGAATTAAAGAGACAAGTGCACTTTCTATTCCATGGAATTTCTAAATGGATTTCTTTGGACAAACCTGCCCAGTGTTCCTTGGTTGTATTAATAAAAAGAGTAGAGAATCTTAGTGGGGGAGGAAGCTATTCAGAATGTATGAATTAAGAGGGCTTCTTGGGAGCACTTCTTTTGAAATCCTTAACAAGCACTCTTATTCTAAGGATCTCAAGCCCATTTATGGGCTGCTTGGCAAGAAAGAAAACTTCACAAATAACACATGGTCCCAGTCATCACCTTAGACAAAGTGCTAAGAAGGTAACGGATTACAGCTTTGCCTTTTTTTTTTTTTAATTGCTCTGTAGAAATGTAAAGAAAGACTTAGGCTTAGGAACAAGCTTTGGGTGTTTAATTGTCAGGTTTGTTGAGGAGAAGGAGACAGAGAGGCGAGGTAGGGAAAAGTCATAATTTGGTTTACACGAAAAAAATCATTTCTAAGGACTGTGTTCAGAATATTTGTCTGCCAATTGTGCAAAGACATCCAGATTTCCATGGTGTGAGGAAACTGTTCTTTACTGCATCTACCTCACAGTGGTAACTTGCAAATTTTTCCCCCATGAAGCTTTATTTTTGGTGACCACTGTAATTTACATGTTGGGACCTATTATTAACTGCTAGTTTTGCACTGTTATTGGAAATCTTCACATTAGGAAAGAATGTAGGGGTAGTTTTGGGGGGAACGAGGGGCTCAAATTAAAGGTTACCTTGTATAGTATCTCAGCTCTGTCTGGGATCCGAGAAGGAATTAGAAACTCACACCCCCTAAGCAAAGAAAGCTTTGGAAGGAAGCTTCCCAAAGGAAACTTCTCTAAGGAAGAGCATTCACATATCTTAGAAGTGGCTTTTCAGAGAAAAAACTATCACGTAAATGCTTTTAAAATGGTCTATTTTGGAGCCACTGTGGCATACATACTGCAGTTTATCCTAGGAGACAGGATTGATGAGCCCCTGTAAGAACTGCATTGCATATTTCATAAATGTAAAAAGCAGAGGCAATTGTGCTATATTAAATTTCAGCCCATAATTGGGTAACTAGAGAAGCCCCCATTTAATTAAATTCCGCTATCCACTGTATGATAGGAAAATTTGGTGACCTTATGTTTGACTACTGTCTGCGATTGAAGAGTGGTTAAAGTTGGTATAAGAATGTATTGTGTATCTTTCAAATGTCCTTATTAGAGAAACGGATTGGGGGTAATATTTTACCTTAATAGTGCTTCTCCAGTGACTCCTTCAGAATGACAGTGCTCAACTCAAACACCGTGTGTTTTCATTGGCTAGGATAAATGTTTTCCACAGAAATGACAAGGCTTCAGGCTCTCAAGAAGCTCTCATCATGAGAGGTCAAACGATTTTACACACAAACAATTCCACAGCACATTCTGCATCCTTCTTGCAATTTTTAAGCTGTGCTAGGCAAACTCCACATAGGAGCACATTCCAGAAACACACTGGGGGTTACATAAAGGGCTAGCTTCTGTTTGGTGGGTAAATGTGCATATGATTATTGTTGTTACACAAAAGAAGGGACCAATAAAGTCCTGATGTGACTTTCCCAACTACAGAAACCCAAGAAAATTCTTTGCCAGAAGTAGATACATTGTCATTCTGATGGCAGATGACTACCCAAAGAAGGGGAAAGTGAAGGAAAGCTGGAATCTGGGAACTTGCAATGGGATAAAGTTGCTTTGAAGAAAGCACTTAGCAAGTGTTTTTTTTCCATATTGCCTTCTTTCCTGCCACAGACCCTAAGATTCTCTAATCACCTCTGTTCCGGGGAAAATATTTTAATATAACCCCTTGATTCATTCAACAAGTATTTATGGAGAATCTACTCTGTGCCAGACCCTTCCACCCAACCTCTCATACCCTATACAGGAAGATACTCTGCCATCATGTTTGCCAATGGGACAGGACTCCCAAGGGAATAGGTAGAAGAGGAACACCAGTAAGTCAAGAGCCACATATAATGAAAGACCAAAGTGTAAAAGGTGGGCAGAGGAGGAAGAAGGAATCTGGATAAGCAGGAACAGAAAGAGAATGCTGTCACCGAGGCTAACAGAGGGAAGAATTTCAAGGAGTGACTGACAGTGTTAAATGCAACGCAGAAGTCAGAAAGGATGAAAAAGTCCTAGTTGAATTAGCAATGTAGAGATCTTTGGTAACCCTTGCCAAAGAGATTTCAGTGAAGCAGTGGAAATGAAAGCCAAGTTCCAATGAGTGGGGGAGTAAATGTGAGGTAAGGTGGAGAGGCGATGAGTGTAGTAGTTGAAAGGAGAGACAGCTGGTAGCCTACAAATGCAGGCGAAAAGTTCTCTCCATGTGGCTCATGAGTGATGAGGCAGCAGGATCAAACTAGACATAACTATCTCCTGCTCTATCTGCTTTTACCTTTTTAATCCTATGATCTATGCTAGAAAATTTTTTATTTTATGTTATTTGTACCACAGGATTTGATTTTATTTTGTCCTGTTATATTAACTAAACCAGTTTTTAAAAATAGGGAAATAATGCGTTTCATTCAATATGTACAATGGACCCTCCCAATAAATTAGCAATAAATTTACATAATTTGTCTCAAACAATGGAATTATGCTACAATGTTAAAGAATATGTCATATCAGGTATAATGTTTAAAAATGCCAGTCAGGAACAGAGGAATGACTTTAGATAATTTGAGATACAACTTTAGAGAAATTAGTGCCTTTAGACATCAGTAATAAGAATTCAGAGTAAAGACAACATGTTACTTAATACCTTGCCTTAAATATGCCCCAGTTGACATTTTGTACACATTTCAACATTTTTCAGCAACACTAGAAAGAATCAACAAATACTCTCTTATCTCTAAAATAACAATTAAATATTTTGCATAAAAACATTTAAAAACTTAAGATATTATCTTATTTCCCCTGCCTGGGCAACAAATTGAGGCCCCCCCTCTACAAAAAATTTAAAAATTAGCCAGGCATGGTGGCACAGGCCTGTGGTCCCAGTTACTTGCCTGAGGCAAGAGGAGGTCAAGGCTGCAGTGAGCCATGATTACACCACTGCACTTCAGCCTGGGCAACAGAGTGAGACTCTTGTCTCAAAAAAAAGAAGAAAGAGAAGAAGAGGAGGAGGAGGAGGAAGAAGAGAAAGAGGAGGAAGAGGAAGAAGATATACTTATTTTAGCTTAACTTAGTTTTTATTGTTATTTGAAAGGGCAGTAATGATTGGCTATCAACATTGCTGCAGGATAGGAACTAAACTGGTTTCCATGACCAGATATAGGCTAGGAAAACTTGCATTCTTAGTTCAATTTTAGTTAGAGGCTGCAAGACAAGAATCATAGTAGTGTGGTTTGTGAGATTTGGCAATTAATGCACTTACACATTAGTTGCTTTATGTCTGGAAAGACCTGGAAGGTGAAAGTCATTAAAATAAACCTCCTCCTTATGCCTGGCGTGGAGAAGAGGCTCCTAGAAGAAACACAGCTTTAAAAAAAGTTGTGGGCTGGGCACGGTGGCTCACACCTGTAATCCCAGCACTTTGGGAGGCTAAGGTGGGTGGATCCCAAGGTCAGGAGATCGAGACCATCCTGGCCAACATGGTGAAACCCCATCTCTACTAAAAATACAAAAAAATTAGCTGGGCGTGGTGGTGCATGCCTGTAATCCCAGCTACTCAGGAGGCTGAGGCAGGAGAATTGCTTGAACCAGGGAGTCAGAGGTTGCAGTGAGCTGAGGTTGCGCCATTGCACTCCAGCCTGGTGACTGAGTGAAACTCTGTCTCAAAAAAAAAAAAAAAAAAAAAGTGGTGTAGGGTGGGCAGAATAGATCCAGCATGAAAAAGTTGCCACTTAACAGTTTAATTACTACTAAGGAGCAGTGTTCCAAGTAACAGACTGAAAATTGGGGAAAAAAATAAACAAATATGGGCATAATGCAGAGCCTATATAAAAATATTTAAATCTTCAGTTCTCATGTGTTTTTCTAGATTTTCTGTAGTCTGTAGCGCTATAATCATATTTTCAGACATTTAAAAAGCTTAGTTCCCTGAATGCTTCATACTTCCTTGCTAATTCTGGAGCAAAACCATTTTACCAACTCTTCATATTGTTTTATGTCTCCCTACAAAATATCAACACAAGGCACAAGAAGTGTCTCAGGGCCCTCTACATTTTATAACTAAACATTTGGTCTCTCTGGCCAAATAGACTGATGGTGTCCTGGGTTGTTGCCAAGTAGGGAAGACTCTGCAGTCTCCTTCATAATGCCTTAAAATCCCTACTTCCTTGCTGCCTAGCTTTTTAGTCAATATTTTGCCTTCATGTGACTCAATATGTAGAAATTCTCTGCATTTTCACCCTGAAGAAAAATTCCTTCTCCAGACCAATAGGTTTTCTTCTCCAGCACATCCCACATTTTTTATAGTTCCTTCTCCAGGTGTCTGGAAAAGGGCAAAGAACTAATGAGCAATTCTCTTTCTTTCTTTCCTTCTTTCTTTCTTTCTTTCTTTCTTTCTTTCTTTCTTTCTTTCTTTCTTTCTTTCTTTCTTTCTTTCTTTCTTTCTCTGTCTTTCTCCCCACTACTTTGGCTTTCTTTGTGATTGATCAGAAAATGATTCACTCTTAGCCCCAAAAGTTTCCTTCTGTGGTCACAATAATAGTGGCAGGTCTGGCATAGGAGTATGTTAAAGTAGGCTGTCCACAAGAGCCCTACTGTTATACGGACCTATGCGGCACTTATGGTTCTAGCCATCCCACAGTGTCATAATGTTCAGACAAAGAAGCAATCCCCATTAACTCTCTGTTCAACAATCCCCATTAACTCTGCAGCTTGACTTTCATGTGGTACATGCCATTGAACATCTGAAAAAGCAGTCTCTCCTCAAGATCTCTGAAGGCAAGAAGTTTTTAGAGGCTTCTTTCAGTTTCTTTCTTTTTTCTTTTTCTTTTTTCTTTCGACTGTCTTGCTCTGTTGCCCAGGTTAGAGTGGAGTGCAGTGGCACAATCCATAAATCATAGCTCACTGTGACCTCTTAACTTCTGGGCTCAAGCTGTCTTCCTTTCTCACTTCCTGAACAGCTGGGACTATAGGTGCTTGCCACCACGCCCGGCTAATTTTTTAGTAGCGATGAGGTCTCACTAAGGCTGGTCTTGAACTCCTGGCCTCGAGCGATTCTTCTGCTTTTGCTGGAATTACAGGCATGAGCTGCTGCATTCTGCCTTCTTTCAGTTTCTATATTTGATATTCTGTCTTGATATAGATTGCACACTATTATAGTTCATACCATACTCTACATCTCCAGTGCTGTCATCAAATGACATTCCCCCAAATCAGCTGACCAGGGGCATCTGCCATTAACCTGGGAAACTATTCTGAGTTCATTTTCATCCAGCGAGGCACAAGAGGGTTGACCCCAAAGCCTAAGCTGTGGGGCATCAGAGCACTGACGTCTTTGACTCGGAAGACTAACCCAAGTCTGAAAAGAAAGACAGGGCTGTCCAAAGCAAAAGCATCACTGTTGCTACCTGGCCAGCCTAGTTGCGGTGGAATGAGACATCATGAGGATGATGCAGCTGGTTCCCAGGTGGTTGTGGAAAGCTGTTGGCTGCACCCACGCATAGGACCCCTCTTGGCCCATCCAACGCCCCCAAGAGCCACAGGGCCTCCTGCCCCCATCCATATGTCTCAGTATGGTGGCCCCACTTGTGGGGACTCATCCGGCATTTTTTTTCTTGTCCTCACCATGAGGGATTGATGTTTTGGATTCTTGCCCACGAGTTGCATAGACTTCCTTTACAAAGTAAGGTCTTTGGGGCCAGATAGGGTCCTTGATAAGTTTTCCTAAAGAGGAAAGATGCTAGAATGGGCAGTCCAAAAAGAGTGCCTGTCCCACCACATGTGAAGTCAGTTAAATTATCAGTAGCTGCTCTTCAGCTGACACCCTGACATCGATTTCTTTTCTTCCCATTCTACTGCAGGCATATGATGTTGACATTTTATTTGGTGGTGATCATATTTAAGGAAGTACACTGATTTGCCTTTGGAAACTGTAGGAACCAACCTGAGCAAATATGTAAGCTTTCTGTCAAGCTACATAGCCTATCCTACATTATTCTTTTTGCTAAAGCCCTTCAGATACTTGGAGCATGTCACTCTTTCAAGCAAATTGTGTTTTGGTTTGCAGGCTTTTTGAGGTCTAGGAACTAACCTCATTTCTTTTTCACAATTCTAAATCCCAAATGTCAGAAACTACTGAGGCGCAAGGTAGAAGTGACGGAGCAGACACAAATTAAATTTGACCTGGAGACTACCTTTTTGTGCAAAGAGTCCCTAGAGATGCATAAGTGATCTTCACCCTCCAGTGGAACACCGTTTGGAAAGCTGCCAAATAATGCACTGCAGAAGTAATCCCATATGGTCCCCAAGTGATCTGAGTAAATGCCTAATTTAGTTTTGCTATTCTGTGACCACCCCTAACTTCATTTATCTCTCTCGTAATGGAAGTATTTGTAGTATATGTAGTGGTTAAAAACAGTCTTTAGAGTCAGACAGATCTTGATATTACAATGGCTTTGTTTTCTTCTTACTAGCTGTGGGCCCTTGGGCATGTAACTTTATCTGTTTTAAGTTTCAGTTCTTGTTGTAAGTAAAATGGAAGCCATATCTAACTTGGAATTAATATGAAGCTTTAAATGAGGTTATACATGTATGTTAAGTGCCCAGCAAAGTGCTTGGCATACATATTTAGGTGCTGAACATATGGTAACTATTGTTGTAATAACAATATCTAGTGATGTTCCCCCCTCCCAAAAAAAGATTAGATTATTTGCATTGATTAGCCTACATCTGGCAGCTCCACTAGAAGTATAATGTAAAATGCATGCCCTTTTGTGTCATTATAAAAGGCAGCACATTAAAGATGCCTTTTAATAGCAAGTATTTAAGAAACACTGGGTTTCCACAGTGCATTAGTTAGTGAAGAAGTGGAGAAACTGCTTTGGTTTGATGCAAGCTTAGAGGCAGATAACAAGCAAACAAGTGAGCTAGATATTGCATCAACTTCACAGACTGAAGGAGGGCCATCACCCAGGCTTCAGCATATCTAATGTCGAAAAGTATGATGCAGAGGTCGTGAGTGTTCATTAATATCGTTTGGTTGCCTTCTCAGGTTCCTAAATTATTTAAGGTGGTTTTCCAGAGAGCCATGAATCTTTTCAGTAAAACTGCAGATTTTCCTTTGATTTCATGCAGGACACTGCTGCATGCTTGTCCAGCAATGCAGAGGTTATGCTGGTTATGCTTGACTGGATGGGTATAAGTAATAGCTAATGTTGAGTTGGATCCCAGCCTGCCTGATGATTAAGTGAACAGCATCTTTCCACAGAGCAGTCTCAGACTTCTACATGGATTGCTTTGCTACAATGGAAATCTTGACAGTTGAATTCACACAGATTAAAAACTGTTCAGTAATGAAGTGTGTCCTTAAATTCTCCTACCTTCTCGTGACCACTTCTTTTGAAATAATGATATCAGGGTGCTAGTTGAGGGATTGAATAAACTCCCCCAGTAACAAATTGGTAGGTTTCCCTTGCAATACATTGAAGCTCCTTCAAGTCCTGAGGTTATTGTTCTTTGTGGACAAGTAAAAAGAGAAAACTTATCATCTGGTACTCCTGCCCCTGTGGCTGCTTCCACCTATATCATTGCTATTTTTAGTTTTGAACTTAAACGAGGATGGGGCATCAAAAAGAGTTACAAAAGTTACTGGAATTAGGAAATCTAGCCAAGCCACTGAGATCAAAACTTCAAAATAATCCTACTAGGGATTGCTGAAGCTATATCAAAAGTTTATATAACCTGGTGGCTGGGCATGGTGGTTCACGCCTGTAATCCCAGCACTTTGGGAGGCCCAGGCGGGTGGATCGCTTAAGGCCAAGGGGTTCGAGACTAGCCTTGGCAACACGGTGAAACCCCGTCTCTACCAAAAATACAAAAATTAACCAGTCTCATAACCCGTTCTCAAAATAAATAAATAGATTAAACTTTTTTAAAAAAGAATATTATGTTTTAAAAGTTTATATAACCTGGAAAACAGCCTCATCTTTTACCTTATTGATGACTCTCCATAACCAGCCTGAAGTATTTCTTTTCCTCTGCATTTAGTGTAGGGACAAGAGTTCTTTTTGTGTGGTGACCCTGCTTAGATTTGTATTAGAGTAACATTCTTCATCCAGAGTTGTTCACTGACTTTCTCCCTGGGGACCTCAATAGGGTGTGAATTCCTGAGAGAAATGTTTGCATTCTGTGGTGAGTTGGTTTCTCAGTATTATTTTTGAAAAGGAAAATAAATCAAGTAGCTTAACTTGCAACAAATACTTCAATAACAGAGTGTTATGGTGAATCTGTGGATTTGGATGGGAGTCTCTTTATGTGCATTACAAAGGGTCATTGTGTCACATAACTTGCCCGTATCCTGAATAGATCCTCCCACATGCTCAAGCCTCTGGACCTAGAGAGGCACTTCTCTCTAACTAACATGGTACCATGTAGTTCAGTATAGTAGTGTGCAAGCAGACAGACTTGAGGAATTAGCATCCAATATTCTTCTCTTTAGGTTTTAATATTTGGAATTTGTGTTTGTTTCTGTTTTGCTGGCAGCTTTCCTTTCTGATGTTCCCTTTTGTTTGTTTTTAGTAGATTGAATGTGGACAGCATTAGGGTAGTTACAGCAGAAAAGCTTGCTTTTGCCCTCTATCTTGACTCAGGATTTAAAGATTTTGTTGACTGAATAAGGAGACCGTGAACAGAAAAAAGATGACCTCCTCAGCTTTTGTAGAAACACTAAAGAAGACGTTGGAAAGTGGACTTCTTATTTAATAAAGAAAAAAAGAAGGTGATAATGGAAGGCCAGGGATTCTGGAGTGAGAAAACTGAATATGATACAAAGAAGTCAAAAAGCGGGGAATAATGTGTTCAGAGGGAACGCCTGGCAATTCATTTGGTTTGTGGTGGGAAGCTTCATTCCGCGAAGAGAGAGTAGCTCAGTGGCTGGAGGTGTTTATAGCCAGATCAGCGTTTCACACCAGCAGTCTGGCCTGGGTCTTTTAGAGCTGCCAGAAACTGCTCAGAGTTGCACAGATTTCTCAGCCTAGTAGTATGAATTTGGGGCCTGATTCCTATCCCTTTTTCCTCTTTCAGTACTCACTTTGCGCTCACAGGGTGATCTGAGATCTGAAGATGAATGGCAACGTCTTCGTTTAATAAAGTAGACTTTTATTTGTTGCTTTATGCATCAGGAACATATACAGGCCATATACGTTCTATATCACTTCTTCCAACCTGTGTAGAAGAATTTGTGCTTCTGACCAAAAATGGTTTTTGCTTCTGTCAACCCTACATAAGTCATTCCATCCCACTTTAAGGCATCGCCTACTTCCAGAATGGAGGATTGGCAATGACGTACAAGCAGTACGAATGCTTCTTTTTTTCTTTTTCTTCTCTATTCTTTTCCAACCTCTTCCTTTTTTTCTGAGTCAAAACTAAATCAGAGGCCATGCTCAGTGATTCATGCCTGTAATCCTAGCACTTTGGTAAGCCAAGGCGGGAGGATAACTTGAGGACAGGAGTTCAAGACCAGCCTAGGCGACATAGTGAGAACTTGTCTCTACAAAAAAATTAAAAAAAAAAAATTATCTGGGCATGGTGGCACCCGCATGTAGTCCCACCTACTCAGGAAGCTGAGGTGCGAGGATCCCTTGAGCTCTGGAGCTTGAGGCTGCAATGAGCTGTGTTTGCACCACTGCATTCCAGTTAGGTGACAGAGTGAGACCCTGTCTCAAAGAAAACAAACAAACAAAAAACCCAAAAAACTGAATCAGTAGTAGAAAAATCTTGTTTTGACTTGAAAATTGAGCAGGTTAGATCAGAAGTAATAAAAGTGGAAATCCAAGAGGTCATTCTTAGCCCAGAGTTGCTTTTTTGCCCAGGACTTGTCAGTTACGGAATTGTTATTTCTTTTCATTTTTAGGGGTTCTTTTTTTGGTCTAGCCCCAGGGCTGGTGACCTTTGGCCTGCTTGGCCAAATCCAGTCCACTGCCTGTTTTTGTATGGCCTGCAAGCTGAGAGTGGATTTCACATTTTTAAATGATTGGAAGGAACAAAAGAAGAACAATATTTTGTGACACATGAAAATTATGTGAAATTCAAATTTCAGTGGACATAAATAAAGTTCTATTGGAACATAGCCGGATTCATTTGTTTACATACTATCTATGGCTGCTTTTGTGCTACAATGGCAGAATTGAGTAGTTGTGACAGAGACTTTATGGCCTGCAAAGCCTCATAAATATTTACTATCTGGCCAACCCCTACTCTGGACCCTTAAGCCAAACTTTTCCTACTTTTCGGAGTATTGTCAATTATCTCTTACTTCCTTATTGGTTTAGAGAAGGTGCAGAAATGCAGACACTATTCTACATTTCTTTTCAATTAGCTAGGGATTTTGGAATTGTGCAGTGGACTCCTAAGGAAACACTGCAGGAAGAATATGGGTGAGACAGTGGTGAGGAAGTAGGAATTATCTCATGAAATTTAAAATCAAATATCATTTTCATCCCTTTCCAAAAATCCTTAAAATGGGACATCTATGTGGGTTTTAGAAAGAGAAAAAAAAAATGTTGGTTCTGAACAGAATCCTACTGACTATTCTTAGAGCCTCCTTCAGGCCCTCTCCAATAAAAATATGGAAACTCAAAATAAGGTCACTCACATCAATTGACACCTTAATTTTGTGACTTTTTAGTTTTCCTCAAGATGTTTTCTTGACCAAGTTAAGAATCAAAATCATTTTCCTTGATGTTCAAACTTTCTAAAGATTTTGATTAGTGGGTGTTCAATTACCTGTTTATACTTGGGGAAATTGAGGCTAAGACAAGTACACTAACTCAACTGTAGTAATAGCGACTAGTAGAGATAGAAGTACATACTCAGTACTCCAGAGCTTGCTCTAGAGGACTGCCTTTTATCTTTTGAAGGTGAATTTGATGGTATCCCTGAGAATTTTTTGCTTTTCTTGAGATTCTCAGTTATCTTTCACTCTTTGAAGGATTTCAATTTCCTGACTTGGAAACATCTGAAAAAGAGAGGAAGGTGCCTTGTTTTTTCATTCCCACTCCTGTGAAAGAAGTACAGGAGGGGAAAGACTTGGGGCAGACAAAAAGGGAAATCTCTGAAACTAGAGAAAACTCAAACAAATTGTGGCCAGCCGAGTCAGCATTCCTCACCCACAGTTGGTCCTAATTAAGGAGACTCCCGTTAAACAGCTCAACTTTCTGCTCTTTCTTCTTGCTCTGGCCCTGCCAGCTGACATGGCAAAGCTTTAACCGACGGCTTGGAAACAGTCTCTCATGTCTTTCCTTCTATATTCTCACTTCTCTGTCTCTCCTCTACTACCCTGCAATTACCCTTTCCCACATTAAGATCCCAATAAAATATATTGATACCTCTAATCCAATTGCATCCATTTTGTTCCACAAAGTGCTATCCAAGCTGTTTGCAGGGCTGAATACTTGTGTATCATGTCATTACAGGAGCACATATAGAGCCTGATTTCATCACAGAAAGATGGAATTTCTCCGGGATTATTTCGCTGCCAAGTCCAAGCAGCAATGATAATTCCTTCCACTTTGCCTGACTCCTTGATTTTCTCAATCCATAGCTTCTACTGTGCCTAGCAGATGGATTCGGGTATTTAATTTTCCTATAATAACCTATGATATCATGATTTAAAAAAATCTGATGGCAGTAAATCTGAATTGAAAACTAGCCTGAATCATAGAGGTGGTCAATATCCAATGTAGTTCAATGGGGGATATTGACATGTAGATAAAATAAGCTTATTTTCGTAACTTAATGGTTGTGGTAGTCTGCTCAAGCTGACATAACAAAATACCACAGGGCAGGTGGCTTAAACAATAGAAGTTTATTTTCTCACAGTTCCGAAGCCCAGCAGTGCAAAATCAAGGTGCCATCTGGGTTGGTTTCTGATGAGGCCTCTCTTCCTGGCTGTAGACAGCCACCTTCTCACTGTGTCCTCACATGGCCTTAACTGTGCACACACAGAAAGAGAGCTCTCTGGTGTCTCCTTTTTCTTATAAGGACACGAGTCCTATCAGATGAGAGCTCCACTCTTATAAGATCATTTAATCTTAATTACCTCCCTGAACGCCCCATCTCCAAATACAGTCACTGGGAGTTACAGCTGTAACACATACACTTGGGGGGAACATAATTTATTCCATAACAATGGTCTAAATTTAAGAAACTCTCTTAACCTTAGGGCAAAAATTCAATGCCAGAATCAAGAAAGCAATGCCTAAAGCAGGGTGTTAGGAGGCAAGATGATAATTTAAAGAAAATTTTCTGAGTCATAGACACATTTGAGAATCTGAAAGTATGATCAGATACCAGAAGATTGCACATGCATAGAATTTTATGTATAACTGCAAGGGCATTCGGTTCTCCAGACCAGTTACTTTTCTTTTGCCACTGGCAAGATGGCGTCTGTGAAGAACAAGCACAGAAATGCATGGCTTTATTCTGACTGAGTGGGGTTCTGCCTAGGTCTGGACCTATGGCCCTATTGCCACCATTAAAAACACTTGAACCTTTATCAGAAAGGAGAGTGAGCTAAAGTGGGTATGCTGAAGGTGGCTAGAACTTCAGCAAGGAAGCCTTGAGGTGAACTAGATTTAGAACCAAGCAGACAAGTTTTCACACTTTTCCATTATATTAAGAATCATCAGAAATAACAGAAGTCCTTTCTCTATGGGCACATTAGGGTGGCCTTTTATATTCTTGGAGGTGCCATGTCCCTGTGTTTATTTGCTTTAACTCCTTTCTAAGTGCCATACAGAACTCTGTCAGTCACTATAACTGAGTGACTTAAAAGAAAAAGGCAATGGTGGAAATCTATTATTTCAGCATCGAACAGAATGATCAAGGTACAGTAGAGCATTGGAGTATAATTTTCTTGGATGGGTTTGATCTTCAGGAAATATTCTTTTTTTTTTTTTTTTTTTTTTCTTTTTTTTGAGACAGACTCTTGCTCTTTCACCCAGGCTGGAATGTAGTGGTGCCATCTCAGCTTACTGCAACCTCTGCCTCCCAATCTCAAGCAATTCTTGTGCCTCAGCCTCCTGAGTAGCTGGGACGACAGGCGCGTGCCACCACACCTAGCTAATTTTTTGTATTTTAGTAGAGACGGGGTTTCACCATGTTGCCCAGGGTGGTCTTGAACTCCTAAGCTCAGGCGATCCGCCCACTTTAGCCTCCCAAAGTGCTAGGATTACAGGCATAAGCCACCACACCCGGCCCAGGAAATATTTACAAAATTCGTGGTAGTAATCTTCATAATCTTCCCAGTTGGGTTTGAGTAAGAATTCATTACCTAGGTGTTGCAACAGATACTCTAAAATGGTAGCCTCCAAAATTGTGATGACTATTTTTTCTGATTTTTTAATAACGCCATGTAACCAGTCTGTAGGATTTAAATCTGAATTTGGGCTTCCCTAGCTATGGTCCATTCATTAAATTAGCTTCAGCATTTGAGAATTGAACAAATTAATCAGATAGTTCTGTGATTGAAACTAGAGTTTAGGAAATGTCTTTTAAAAGTTATTGAAACCATTTGTTTTCTTATAGGACTGGAATTGTAAGAGCTTACTGCCAATATATCAAGGGGCCAAATAAATTTTCCTGATTGCACATATCCTCCAATTTCATATAAGACTCTGATTACCTTGTTCTTTAAAGTCCTTTCTTCTTGGTGATTTTTACCCTTGATTAAGACTTGGCAAAGCCTTAACTCAAAAAAATTTACATTGGCTTCTTCTCTGCCCCACCCTCTCTTCCTCTAAATCTCTCACTCTGCGATTCATCCTTTCCTCCCATTGCCTGGCTTTGTTGGCCAGGTCAAGCTAGTTTGCTGTGATCTCTGCCAAACCACAGACATGTAATGAAGCAGACACTGTACTCCCCCTCGCTCTTGGAGTTCTCTAGGGCCACATGGGGATGAGGAGTAGGAGAGGTTACTGACTTTAAGAACTTTGGCAGTACTTGAACAGAATGTTGGTTTCTCTAGATGGTCTTGATTCATTTTCAAAACTGAGCATCACAAAACTGCCCAATTTCACTCTGACTCTTCTATTATCTTTTTTTTAAAAATCACTTATCCTCTTTAACCTCTTGAATGGTCTCCGAGGACTATGGCTCATAATTTCAATGTTTGCACCTAAAAATGTTACCACATTTGTTGCCATCAAAGGGATCAGCTGAAGTTTAACTGCAAACCGTAGCTTTCTCAGGTCATGGACCAAATGTAACTACTGTAGCAGCTAAAGAACTCCAGCTCTTTAAAGCGGACATTTCATTGACCAAAAGTTTCCTGTTTAGGACAGCGCTTTCCAACAGAAATCTAATGCAAGCCACATACTTTTTTTGTTTTTTTGGTTTTTTGTGTTTGAGATGGAGTCTTGCTATGTCGCCAGGCTGCAGTGCAGTGGCGCGATCTCAGCTCACTGCAACCTCCGTCTCCTGGTTCAAGCAATTCTCCTGCCTCAGCCTCCCGAGTAGCTGGGATTACAGGCACGCACCACCACACCCAGCTAATTTTTGTATTTTTAGTAGAGACAGGGTTTCACGATGTTGGCCAGGATGGTCTCATCTCCTGACCTTGTGATCCACCTGCCTCGCCCTCCCAAAGTGCTGGGATTACAGGTGTGAGCCACCGCGCCTGGCCCACATATGTATTTTTAAATGTTATAGTAGAAACATTTAAAAAAGTGAAACAAAGGCCAGGCATGGTGGCTCACGCCTGTAATCCCAGCACTTTGGGAGGCTGAATGAGCAGATCACAAGGTCAGGAGTTTGAGACCAGCCTGGCCAATGTGGTGAAACCCTGTCTCTACTAAAAATCCAAAAATTAGCTGGGCATGGTGGTGGGCACCTGTAATCCCAGCTACTTGGGAGGCTGAGGCAGGAGAATTGTTTGAACCCAGGAGGTGGAGGTTGCAGTGAGCCGAGATTGCGCCATTGCACTCCAGCCTGGGTGACAGGGCGAGACTCCGCCTCAAAAAAAATAAAAATAAAAATAAAAAGTAAAACAGGTAAAATTAATTGTAATATGTCTTATTTAACCCAATGTATTTAAAATATTATTTTAATATGTAATTAATATAGAAATTATCAAGATAATTAAGATATATTTTCCTTTTCTACTAAGTCTTTGAAAGCTTACTCCACATCTCAATTGGGACTAGCCACATTTCGAGTACTCATTAGCTACATATGGCTAGTGGCTACCATATTAACACAGGTGTAGGTCACCAACGTCTTAACAAAGGAGTCCACTTGCTGCAGGGACCAGAGATGGAACATCACTTGCTAATTTTCTCATTAGGGATCACATCTCCATGACTGTCTGAGTGACCTTTGGGGAAGTATGGATTATGAACTGAGTGGCTCACCTCCAGGAATGGGTCTGAAGAAAGCATAAAAGACCATTGAAGAATGGGATATCTTTGGAACTTTGGATTGAGGAAAGTCCAAAACATATTCCCTTGTTCAGATGTACCAAACTAGTCTTAGACTGGGACAGGTTGTCATTTCTTTCATTTGACTTGGATTTTTGTAACTTGGTCTCTCCCTATTAAGAGTTTAAGTCAGCTGGGCATGGTGGCTTATGCCTGTAATCCTAACACTTTGGGAGGCTGAGGGAGGCGGATCACCTGAGGTCAGGAGTTCGAGACCAGCCTGGACAACATGGTGAAACCCCATCTCTACTAAAAATACAAAAATTAGTCAGGTGTGGTGGTAATTACATGCCTGTAATCCCAGCTACTTGGGAGGCTGAGGCAGGAGAATCACTTGAACCTGGGAGGCAGAGGTTGTGGTGAGCCAAGATTGCGCCATTGCACTGCAGCCTGGGCAACAAGAGTGAAACTCCGTCTCAGAGAAAAAAAAAAAAAAAAGAGTAAGTACAGGCATGGTGGCTCATGCCTGTAATCCTAGCATTTTGGGAGTCCAAGGCAGGCAGATCGCTTGAGCTCAGTAGTTTGGAACCAGCCTGGGCAACATGGTGAAACCCTGTGTCTACAAAAAATTAAAAAATTAGCCAGGCGCAGTGGTGCGCACATGTAGTCCCAGCTACTTGGGGAGCTGAAGCAGGAGGATCACTTCAACCCAGGAGGTCAAGGCTGCAGTAAGCTGAGATCACACCACTGTACTCCAGCCTGGGTGACAAGGTGAGATCTTGTCTCAATTAAAAAAAAAAAAAAAAAAAGAGTTTAGAATCCACAACCACAGTTTTGTAGCAAACAAGTGCTAAAGTGTAGACCAAACACAAAAATAAATATATTTGATGTTGAATCATATGAAAGTGCCCAGGTTTGACCAATTTTTTACCTATAAGATTGGCAATTTCACGTGGTTTAACATAATACATTTTATCATAGATAGCAAGAGTATTCTTAAAGTAGCAAGCAAGGAAAGCTATATCTTAGCTTTAATCTGGTGTAGTTCCAAGAAAGCTATGGAAAATTTCAAGACTAGAGCAAATATTAGGAATGCATTCTGGTCTATAGTAGTGTATTCTTTGAGATCAGCTCAGTCCATTTCTAGCCAATAAGGTTAGCCTCTTCAAGAGGACAGATTAGTTTTGAGTCTGTATGTATTTAATTCTAACTTGGACTGATTCCACTTCCAGCTTTATGTGCTCTTTGCCCTGTCTCCTTAAAATTATCAAGAATAATTTGAGTATCAGGGGCAAATGTCATGAGATATCGCTGGCTGCAGAACCATCTAATGACAGCCTTATCTAAAACACTTGCACTATGAAAAATGTTCTTTTTATTTTGATCCATAGACATTCTAGCCCTTGGCAAACCTAGAACTGGGCTCATCACATTTGCTAGCCTCCTACTTATCTTGGTTTTCAGATTACTCTCAGTCCCTGGGTCAAATTCACACTTTGTCACTGTTGTCTATTTCACTGCCTAACCTAGGTCACCATCCATCAACTCTAGCAAGTGAGACAATATCAAGAGTTGTGATTATTGATGCTCTTTTACCGCTCTGCCCCATTTGATGTTTGTATATTTGATAGAATACAGTGCATACCTAGTTGGTATAGTGATGGGGACTGAAAAGCCCTCCAACTCTGAGTCTGGCTTTTTTTCATGATTGATTTGGGGATTTGTTTCCATGAAGTAGGGTACATTTTGTGGCCAAATAGCTTCCTGCTGTCTTGGAACCTGTTTCCAGTTTAGATGATAAAGTTAGTTATTCTCTTTCCTATATGAGGAAGCAAGAAGTCCTAGGTATCCCCTAGGCTTCCAATTCCATAAACTCTACTGGAAGTAAAAATAATTATAAGAGAAGAAAAAGAAAAAAAAGAAAACTCTCAGCTGTTAAAACCAGCCTATTGTACCGCAGATATTTCTCCACTCTCAGAAGAGAAAGTAGAGTTCCATGTATACAGCTCTTATGCATTAAGTAGTAAATAGAGAAATAGTTACTGATTCGCAAGGCATATATATTCTGGACAGAAGAACAGATTCAGTGTTCAAGTCTGACTTTTAAGAACCATGCTGTGCTACAGAAGCAATAAGGATTTTTTCCTATGTAGTCACAAGCTGGTCCACTCTTCCAGTTAGTTAGCCCACACCCTTGGCCCTCTGGCTGCCTGCAGGCTCCCTTGGCTATTCAAGTTCCATGGAATAGCTGGGCCTAAAATGTGGGGAGCAGACGGTGTGAGAGAAGTCTGGGAGGGGTAGCCAATCCTAGCCAAGAACTACGTTAGTGTTGGTGCTTTTCCCAGAGGGGAGGAGTGTTTCCTGCCCCATGCATTGCCACGTGTCTGCACAGACACAAACAGAGCAGTGTTCAGTTGAGCTGGCCTCTCCACAGTCCCTCTTTTCATCCTACAGAGGAGATGGATGCATCAGAGTGTTCCTTAGACTATGGTATCAGTGCTAGGAAGTGGGCAAGAAAACAAGAGGAGGAATCAGTTGCCATTCTTAGCAGCCCTAGATGAAGGGCTTTATTTATTCTAAGAGCACTCAAGGGGCTAATTTATTGAAGGGAATCGTATAGTGTCCTACACTATCACTCTCATCTTAACAACAAGGCTAAGCTGGATAAGCAACAAACATAACTTTTTAAAAATACAGATATCTAAGGATGCAAAGTACTCTAATTGAACTAAATTCCAGAAAGAGAAGAGCCATTCCTAGGAGAGATGGAATACATGGCTGTTTTCCTCCTAGGGTATGGCTAAGAGGAGCAAACCCACCATAGATGAGGATAAGGAGAAAATAGCTGAATTTCCTACAAACTTTTGAAGGCCACATGTAGGCTGGCCATAAGGAGCCCTAATTATAGAGCAAATAAGTACCCACCTACCCCTAAATCGTTCTCATGAGGGCTTCACTGAGTACACAGTGGCAGCAAGCTGATGGCTAAGGGCAGGACAGAAATCTGAGAAAGATCCCTGCCCCCACCCAATGTACACAGGACCTTCACTGATTATACAGCAGCAGTACAGTACAGTACAGTGGAACCTGAGAACAGGGCAGGAGGGTAGAGAAAGACCCCCTCCAAAGCACAAAAATCCTTCATTGAATGCACAGAAGTGGCTCACCAAGAGTGCAGAGAACTCCACAGCAGCCCAAAGCTGGCAGCTGGGCTGGATGGCATAGAGAGATCTCTGGGGACTCACTATGATCAGATCTTAAGTGCTACTGAAAGGACAGTCCTGATCCTGCCCTCAAAACATCTGGTGACCCGGGAGGCAGAGCTTGCAGTGAGCCGAGATCCCGCCACTGCACTCCAGCCTGGGCGACAGAGCGAGACTCCGTCTCAAAAAAAAAAAAAAAAACATCTGGTGATTTGGGAGGCTGAAGCAGGCAGGTCACCTGAGGTCAGGAGTTCAAGACCAGCCTGGCCAACATGGCGAAACTCCATCTCTACTTAAAATACAAAAATTGGCCGGGCATGGTGGCAGGCACCTGTAATCCTAGCTGAGGCAGGAGAATTGCTTGAACCCGGGAGGCGGAGGTTGCAGTGAGCCGAGACCACACCATTGCACTCCAGCCTGGGGAACAAGAGCAAGACTTCGTCTAGAAAAAAAAAAAAAAAAAAAAAACTGGTGAACTGACCTATAACAGAGCCCAAACCTGGCTCTATGACAGGCTAGACTGACTCAGCTCTCAATCCTAGCAGCCTAACAGCGGAAGGGACATGTCCTTTTCTGGATATACCTATTGCCACACTTTTACACACAACATCTGGCATAAAATAAAAAGTTACAAGACTCAGGAAGAAGCAGAAAAAATAAGACTGAGGGAAAAAATAGTCAATAGAAGCAGATCCACAGATGAGCCATATGTTGAAACTAACAGACAAGGATTGTAAAATCCTTTTTATAAATATGTTTAAGGATCCAGTAGAAAAGGTGAATTACATTTTTGTATAGATAGGGAATTTCAGCAGAGTACTGAAAGTTCTAAAAAGAGAATGTTAATAAATTCCCCCAACCCCAAAGCAAGGATTACATTTATAAACAAATTACTAGTTATTCTTGGAGAATATATAAATAGCAGCTCCAAAATCTTAACCTTTTTCCTGAAGTTATGCATTCTTGTTTTCATATAAGCAATGAGTGAGTGCCCACTGTATACAAGATATTGTATGAGGGGTACGAAGAAGCATAAGATTTAATCCTAACCTTCAGGGAAATATAGTCTAGTGAAAAGATGTGTGGACATAACTATTTCAAGGCAGACCACTCTAACAGAAGTATAGATATGTCTGTAGAAACATAAAAGAGAATGGGATTTTTCTGGCAAGGAGGATCATGGAAAGCCTCATGGAAGACTTGGCATTTGATCTGGAAATGGAAAATGCCTATGTGAAATATGAACAGATAGGGCTTATGTCCACTGATGTCAGATCCCTGGGATAATGCCAGGACTCCAGAGACTTCAGCAGCACACAGATCACTGCATAGTGGTGTGAGGACCGGCTCCTCATGCAGGTCTGTATTTCTAAAAGGAAATTAGGCAAGACAGCTGGTCACCTAATAGGAATCCTGGGGAACATAGGAAGTAGGAGTGGGATGGGAGTGGAGAAAAGTGGATAAAGCATTATGTTTATCAGTATTGTAACATGGTAAAGTCATATTTCTGGATTTTATTGGAGATGAAATCATTCCTTCCTCTGTATTGCTTTATGTATGTTGTCTATACCTCTGTCATGGATTTATTTCATTTATACACCTTTCTCCATCCTTGGGTTATACGCTCATTCTGGATAGCCACTTATTTTGAATGCCCATAGCAACTGATACCATGCATTATAAATACTAGGAGCTTGGGCCGGGCACAGTGGCTCATGCCTATAATCCCAGCACTTTGGGAGGCCAAGGCGGGTGGATCACGAGGTCAGGAGATCGAGACCATCCTGGCTAACACGGTGAAACCCCGTCTCTACTAAAAATACAAAAAATTGGCCGGGCGTGGTGGCGGGTGCTTGTAGTCCTAGCTACTTGGGAGGCTGAGGCAGGAGAATGGCATGAACCTGGGAGGCGGAGCTTGCAGTGAGCCGAGATCATGCCACTGTACTCCAGCCTGGGCGACAGAGCAAGATTCCATCTCAAAAAAAAAAAAAAAAATACTAGGAGCTTGATGACTGTTTGCTCAATTGAAGTTGAATTTAACCCTAGGCAGAGTTTATAGGGATTAAACTCAGGTAGTCTGGCTCCAACATCTGTGCTCTTAATCACTATACTACATTAATGATGGCTCATGAATAATCTTGATAAATGGGCTGTAGAATGTTTTTTAAAAAATACACAGAGACAGGGTCTCACTATGTTGCCCAGGCTGGTCTCAAACTCCTGGCCTTAAGCAATCCTCCCTCCTCAGCCTCCCAAAGTGCTACGATTACTGGTGTAAACCATCATGCCCAGCCAGGCTGCAGAATTTTTATTTTATCATGTCAGTAACAGAGAGCTAATGAAGGTTTTGCTAAGTGCCACACTTTTGGGTGATTAGGCTTCTGATTATATTCAGTGCATGTTAGAGGGAGGGAGGAGTAGAACTGATAAGAAGTCTTTCACAGTGGCTCAAGTGAGAGGACATTAGGCTCTGAACCAGAGCAAAGGCAGGGGAAAGTTAAAGGAAGAGACAGATTTGAAAGGAAAGTGGTAATACAATCAATGATGTGTTACAGTCTTGATGAGGAGGGGGAGGAAAAAGGAGTTGAAGACATACCTAAGTTTTTGATAGAGCAATGAGGGGAAAAGGTGATGCTTTTTAGTGGAAATAGGGAATGAGACGTGTAAATTTTGGAGGGTAGACTAGATGATATGAGGAGAATAGTAAGTGGGAAAATAAGTATCCCATGGAGAAAGTTCTTTAATTTACCTCTATAATCTGTTATAGCTCCCTTGAAATATCCGTTGACAAGGTTCTTCATCTTCATTGTCCTGTTATATCTGACTCAATCTCTCATATGCTCATTCAGACTCATTTCCTCTCTGTTCTGGGGGTAGATGAAAATGACAAAGTGCCATTGTTCTTATAAGAACTCGCCCCAAATAAAAACTTTTGACACCATTTCTGTCGTACATCAGTAGCCTGTTGGTGGTTGTTTGGATTTGTAGATTAGATTATACAGGGTTATTGAGGTCTCTGCATTCTTTGTTGTTTTCACCTCCTCGTGAATTTAGGCCTAGCTTGTTGTTGCCCAGCTCTCTTTTCTGTACTTGAGATCTATGTGAGAAACAAATATAAAGAGAAATGGGAGGGAGACAGCAAAATCCAGCTTAGAGTGAGCAAAGAAATTCTTTCTGCCAAACAACAGATGCAGTAGCCCTGCATAACTCTGAGCCCTGTCCTCTTTACTTTATTCTTTTTGATGCCATATTTAAGCTGCCTTCCTTTCTCCCTGCTATCTTGAGTGACCAGGCAGTTGCTTTGCAGTACTCTGACTGATGAACTGTAAAATTTGCAAACTCTTCTAAAGACATTCTATTCTTACACCTCAACCAGTCATATGTTTCAGGATGGACAGTGTCCATCCAGCCTTTTTTCTCCCACAGCTCTTGAGTCTTCAAAAAAAATCATCTAGCCCAGGTGCAATGGCTCATGCCTGTAATTCCAGCTCTTTGGGAGGCTGAGGCAAGAGGATCACTTGAACCCAGGAGTTCATGACCAGCCCGGGCAACATAGCAAGACCCCATCTCAAAAAAAATATTATCTAGATGGTTTCTTCTGCCTCTGTGTAATTTGACTTTGGAACTCCAAAGCTAATGTCTCGTCACCTCTCTCTACTCAAAGGCTACCCATCAGGATATCTTATCCAAAAGAGTCACTTAGGATATATTTCACATATTTCACAACTACCACAAAAGTTAAATGAAAATAAAGCGTTTTTCTTTTCATAAGTCATAAAACCACAAAGACAAAGAATAGGAGAAGAAAGAGATAATAGTGATGAGATCATGGGAAGCTGGAAATCAGACTGGCAAGTATGAACTGGTGGATCAGACTTAAAGTCGAATCCTGAGCCAGCAGTGGAGGAAGTGGGGCAGCAACTCAATTTGCACCCCAGAATCCTCAAAAAGCTTCATAATTGGTGGCATCAGGTAGGTTTAATAGGGGAAGAGGTAAGTCTAAAAACAAGAGGACTGGTTGAAAATTTATAGAAAAAACACTTAGACTCTCAGATTCTCCCCTCCATTCCCCTCCATCTGCTCCCAAAGGGGGAGCCCTTTCCCTCCATTAACAGAAGACTGGAGACATTTTCTGGAGAGAGTAAAACAGGTAGTCTCTGGACTGGTGGACTCCTGACACAAGTGAGGGCATAGATTTTAAACTAAAACAAGGGAGAGGGGAATAAATAAAACTTTGCATATTGAATGTTGAAAGCTCCAGGCTCTTCTCTAACTCAGCTCGTAGAATGCTGGTCTTACATGCTGCAGGCTGGAGTTTGGAAGACTCACCTCTAGGAAATCTGACCAACCCATGAGAAAAAACTTAAATGAATCAGTCCAATCTCATCTCCCTATACTGAAGCCATAGTTGACAAGTCCTACTGCATGTGCACAAAGGTTCTCAATAACTTATAATGAGTGTCCCAGTCTTCCATATAAGCAAACAGCCAAGCTTCATCACACATCTCAGAAGGTCTATAACACGAAGTCCCGCCAGTACAAACAGAACAAAGCAACTTGGAACCAGAAACTATGCAAGGACATTGGAAACCTGCCCCTCCAAATGAATGAGTGAATGAATGTCTCCGAGAGTTGAAAAAGAGATTGTATCCTTGAAAGAAAGAACAGTATGCTGTTTAAAATTTTTTAAAGAAGCCTTGGAAATTTAAAATATGGTAGAAGCCTGGGCGCAGTGGCTCGCAACTGTAATCCCAGCACTTTGGGAGGCTGAGGAGGGAAGATTGCTTGAAGCCAGGAGTTTGAGACCAGCCTGAACAACATAGTGAGACCCTGGCTCTACAAAAATTTTAAAGTTAGCTGGGCATGGTAGCACACGCCTATAATCCCAGCTACTCGGGAAACTGAAGCAGAAAGATCACTTGAGCCCAGGAGTTTGAGGCTGCAGTGAACTATGGTGCATCACCACACTCTAGCCTGGGTAAGAATACAAGATCCCGTCTCTAAAATATACATATACATATATACAATACCCATACATACATTTATGTGTATATATATGTATGTCTATATATTTATATGTGTGTGTACCTATATATGTATGTGTGATAGAAGAAATGAAAAACTTAATAGAAAGGATGGAAGATAAAATTGAGGCCATTGCTCAAAAAGTAGAGTTTAGCAGCCAGGCTGGCTCAAGCCAGTAATCCCAGCACTTTGGGAGCCCCAGGTGGGAGGATCACTTGAGACCAGCCTGGGCAACATAAGGAGACCCTGACTCTACAAAAAAAAAAAAAAAAAAAAAAAAGTTCGGGCATGGTGGTTCACGCCTATAATCCCAGCACTTTGGGAGGCTTAGGCAGGCAGATGACGAGGTCAAGAGATCGAGACCATTCTGGCTAACACGGTGAAACCCCATCTCTACTAAATATACAAAAAATTAGCCAGGCATGGCAGCACGCGCCTGTAGTCTCAGCTACTCAGGAGGTTGAGGCAGGAGAATCGCTTGAACCCAGGGGACGGAGGTTGCAGTGAGCCCAGATTGCACCACTGCACTCTAGCCTGGGTGACAGAGCAAGACTCCATCTCAAAAAAAAAAAAAAAAGAGTTGTTTTTTTTTAAAGGTACTAGAAAATAAGAGAGAAATGTAGAAAATCAGCCAAAAAATCTGTTAACTGAATTACAAATACTCTAGAAGAGAGAACTGAAAAATGAAGAGAAAATCATCAAAAAATTTTTGATAAAATTTCTCAAAACTGAAGGTAATGAGTGTGTAGATTCAAAGCATCCGGTAAAGTACCCAATACGATGGATAAAAAATAACTCCCACACCAAGGCACATCATTAGCGATGTTTCAGTGCACAAGAAGATGCTAAAAGTTCCAGAGGGGAGACAAAAAAAAACAGGTCACATACAAGGACAAAGAATCAGAAGGGCAACAATAGAAACAGACATAGAACAATGCCTTTAGATTCTGAAAGAAGATATTTTCAGCTTAGAATTCTGTGGCTACCCAAAATCTCACATGTAAAGATGGAATAAAGACATTTTATGACATGTAAGGTCTTACGAAGTTTACTTCCAAAGCACCCCTTTTCAGAAACCTACTGGAAGAGGTACTTCACTGAAACAAGGAGTAAAACAACAAAGAGGAAGACTGAGATTCCAGTTTAAGTCAGGTATAGAGAATCGCCAGGATAATGAAGTGTGGTCGCATAATGTCAACTATTCAGCAGATCCAGAGAGCAAACAGCTAGAAGATATATGCATAGGGATATTTTTGAAGGATGCACAGAAAACTGTTAATAATAGTTACCTTAGAAGTAAAAATGGGAGGGCAAAAAAGGAGCACTTTTCCTTTTTCCTTTATATAATATCTGGATCCTTATTAGAGCATGTACTATTTCTTTTGTTTTGTTTGTAGTGACAGAGGTCTTGCTTTGTTGCCCAGGCTGGTCTTGAACACCTGGCTTCAAGGAGGAGTTTTGCACCCAGCCTTTTTTTTTTTTAACAAAAGGTCTTGCTCTGTCACTCTTTAACTTTTATTTTTTTTTCAAGCCATTCAAATGTAATAGTGGGTTTTTGTTGTTGTTGTTGTTGTTGTTTAAAGAAAGAGGGCTGGGTGCGGTGGCTCACACCTATAATCCCAGCACTTTGGGAGGCCAAGGTGGGTGGATCACTTGAGGCCAGGAGTTGGAGACCTGCCTGGCCAACATGGTGAAACACCGTGTCTACTAAAAATACAAAAATTGCATACCTGTAATCCCAGCTACTTGGGAGGCTGAGGCACAAGAATCAATTGAACCTGGGAGGCGAAGGCTGCAATGAGCTGAGATTATGCCACTGCCTTCCAGCCTGGGTGACACAGTGAGAGGAAAGAAAGAAAGAGAGAGAGAGAGGAAGAAAAAGAAAGAAAGAAACTATGCTCTCTTCAGTGGAGCATCTCCAGTGGAGATGCTTAACTCTCATGTAATGACAACAGAATTTTCCTTTTCTTCAGAACTTGCAAAAGAATTTTGCTAGGAAGTATTTATATCCTCTAGCCAACCTTCCTTGGTAATTCTAGGCTTATACTTCCTCACTGCAGGAAAAGAGCTTGGGAAGGAATGTCTTTTGAGCAAGGAGGACCCAAACGCTCTCCTAGAAGATAAATCCCTCTCCTCCATTTCAGTATTAAACTTTCCATAAATGTGGGGCAAAGGAAGGTTTCTTTTGGATTTCTGAGCTGCAGCAATCCTCTTTTTGCGAGGGTCCTTCCATAAGAGCTTTCTTTGCCTCACGACCTTGATTACCAATAATTAATCTCAGATGAAATATTCAGTGCTACAGGCTTCCTCTGTCTTTGACTTAGAGAACATGCTGAGAATAGTTTGTTTGCTTGCTTGCCAAAGATCTTATCTTGACCTGGAAGAGCTGATAGGATCATAAAACCAGCATTGATCTTTCCTCAGTATTCTTTCTCTACAAAGTGAGGGGGTATGACATCTTAGCCCAGGACAAATGTGAGGTTTAATATACATCAGGAGGAGAAGAGGGGAAGAGGTTGATTGTCATTCAATAACGGCTATATTTCATAGTCATAAAATTTAAAGAACTCTGTAGTGTGTTCTAATCCCCATGCTTTCTTTGCTCTTTCTCAATGTATTTGGATAAATCACTACAGAGCAACAAAGCCAAAATGTCCAAACCACCCACTTTCCTATTCCCAGCACATGAATTAGAGGGAGCCAGCTGAGATCTGGGCCAACCACTTAGATGACTTGCATGTCTGATTTTTGTTCCATGATATGAAACTCAGAATAAATCAAAAAGAAAAATTTTTTCAGATAGCAGCTAATTCACACAAAAAAATCTTCAGCCTTTTAGTCCTTGCATATATGCAATGCTGATAAACAAACCTACTCTGCACACAGATAACAAGGATTTAGAAGTTAATTCCTACCGGCACAAACAAATACTCATGTATAGCAGTCTTACTGAACTTCCGTGTTCAGTTTTAGGCTGTAAAACTTGAGTGAAATCTGAAGAACTTTTTAAGGTCCAAAAGGAATTGAGAAAGACTTGGAAAACAGGACCTTTGAAGAAAGCTTACAGGAGACAGAATTCGAGCTTAGAAAACAATGCATGTGATCGAAAAGAAATGTGAATAGCAAAGATAGAATAAGAGGAAATTAATATAAATGGTAGAGGAGGCTAGTTTTGAGGCTAAGGGTAAACTTTCTGACTGAAACTTGTTAAACCCAAAAATGAACAGCCAGGCCAGGCACGGTGGCTCACGCCTATAATCCCAGCACTTTGGGAGGCTGAGGCGGGCAGATCACTTGAGGTCAGGGGTTCAAGACCAGCCTGGCCAACATGGTGAAACCCTGTCTCTACTTAAAAAAAAAAAAAAAATAGTAGCTGGGTGTCGTGGCGGGTGCCTGTAATCCCAGCTTCTTGAGAGGCTGAAGCAGGAGAATTGCTTGAACCTGGGAGGCGGAGGTTGCAGGGAGCTGTAATTGTGCCACTGCATTCCAGCCTGGGGCAACAGAGCAGGACTCCGTCTCAAAAAAAAAAAAAAAAAAAAAAAGAACAGCCAAATGAATGTTTGTAGAGCTCAAGCTACAAAGATATGGAGGTTGTAGTAAGTTCACTTAGTGCATGAAGTAGCGTTTTTGGATACAGATGTTTACAGATAAAGATGTTTAACAGCAGTATCTCCCTAATACCACAGACCTGATATTCCAAGCAATTGGCAGAGAAATGAATCCATTCAGCACAAATTTGGCCCCTCTACATGGCCACAGCACCTTAGATTTGGTTCACTTAACAGAAGAACAGTATGTTCTGTTTAGAAGCAGGACCCGATCCCAGGATAGGGTGAACTGCATAAACGGAGGCTCAATGAGAAATGATAAAAGTCTAAGAGGTTCTAGAAAAGAGAAATCTTTTTCTGGGCCTCATTACCAGTTATAGACATTTTTAGAAAAGGAGGGGGAGAATAGATGCAGAACGCGTCTAAAAATGAACAAAGATATGTTAATTTTAAGAATGGAGGTTGTTTACAGGGAGAGTAAATTGGTTTGTATAATTAGATTGATCCAAAAATTACCTTGCCTTTATAAAATACCTTTCTGTTAAGAAGATACAACGTTTTCTCTTGCCAGATAAAGGCAGAGTCTCTTCCTTTTGTAAAAGAACATCACCAAATTACAAGGAAGTTTAAGTCACACTTTGAGTTGCTGACAAACCTAGGACAAACCCCCAGGTTTTCTCCTTTTGGCTAGCCTATATACTGGTGCAGAGCCATTCTTGCATCAATGTGAAACATTTATTTTTTGCCTGGGCTTCTGTTTTAACGATTGACCTTCATCTCTCCTGTCCTGTAGCTGGGATGAAAGCAGCTCCATCAGTAGTGGACTCAGCGATGCCTCAGACAATCTCAGTTCAGAAGAATTCAATGCCAGCTCCTCACTCAACTCCCTCCCAAGTACTCCCACTGCTTCTCGCAGGAACTCAACAATAGTGGTACGTGAGTTTGCAAACACCCAAGCTGCCATCTCAAGATGAACCACAGGGCAAATGGCATTATCTGTGTATGGGGTTGCACGTACACACCCACTCCATGGGATTGGTTCTCATAGGCCTTTGGCCAGGTCATTTTAGAGTTGCCCCCACCCCCTCCCAAAAAAAGCTAAGGCTACTCACCCAAGACATTAGATGTTGTCATATTGTGTATACTTAGTGCCTACACCAATCTAGAGTGATACATGTAAGAGCTATTCCAACTGGAGAAAAAGAAACCCCGAGATATATGTCATCTGCTGTTGGAAACCCTAGGGGTATAGGTAGAAACCCTCAGTTTGACTTAATACTCTGAGATGAGCAGCGCCAGGTACTAACTAAAATCAATCCTGTCAGCTATCCAGTCTCCCATCTGCATAGAAGTATCTCACTCTGCCTTTTTCTCTTTTCTTTAGCTACGCACAGACTCAGAGAAGCGCTCACTGGCAGAAAGTGGGCTGAGCTGGTTTAGTGAATCAGAGGAGAAAGCCCCTAAAAAACTGGAGTACGACAGTGGTAGCCTGAAGATGGAACCTGGGACTTCTAAGTGGCGGAGGGAGCGGCCTGAGAGCTGTGATGATTCATCCAAGGGTGGAGAACTGAAAAAGCCCATCAGCCTGGGCCACCCTGGTTCCCTGAAGAAGGGCAAGACCCCACCTGTGGCTGTAACTTCCCCCATCACTCACACAGCCCAGAGTGCCCTCAAAGTCGCAGGTGAGCCTGGAATAAAGGAAGGTACAAGGGCAAAGACCTAGTTCTTTGGTTGCTCCTCTTCTTAGTGGTCATTAACCCATAGGATGATAGCAAACATTTGCATAGTGCTTTAACAGACATTATCTTATCTGGTCTAAGGACAGTCCCGTGAGTTAGGAAAGATGGGTGTTATTATTTCCATTTTACAAATGTGGAGGAAATAGAAACTCAAAGAGATTAAGTGGCTGGGCCAAAATCCCAGTTAATATGAGGTACAGGAGGAAGTATATTATGTTTAGAGACTAGTTTGGCCTCCTTCCAAACACTTCCAATGCTTGCTTTCTTCTTTCTCCCAAGTTAGTCACTCAAGGCACTTATTTTCATAGGATACAGCTTGACATCTCAGGAAGATCCTAAGAAAACAATAAATAAAATGGCTACAGCAAGAGAATTATAGTGCCCCCAAAGTTGGCCCCTTGGGTAACTTTTAGCCTTAATCAACATTTTCCTGTAGTCTCTAATTACTAAGAGATATTGTCATACTCTATTCCATTTGCTTCCCCACCTTTTTTTTCCCTTCCACAACTAGTTGTTAGATGGATATTCTTGATCATCTTTGTGTTTGCCTCTGCCTTTTTAATCAAAATGGACCATTCTACTCTGGGAGCAAAACAAAAAAAATTCCTAGCCTCCCCACCCCTCCCAGCCAGAGTCTTTCAGACAAGAAACTTTATCAGCTTATCTTGTACCTGTTTACCCAAATTTAGGCCTCTAAAAGTCTACAATACATGGACAATGTTCCCTTCTCCCATGGAGGGAAAGAAAAGGGTGGGTTTTTAAGATACTGGTCAGTTTCAGCTCTTTTCTCATTTCCCGTCCTCTTGCAGGCAAACCTGAGGGCAAAGCTACAGACAAGGGTAAGCTTGCAGTGAAGAATACTGGGCTCCAACGCTCCTCCTCTGATGCTGGTCGGGACCGCCTGAGTGATGCTAAGAAGCCCCCCTCGGGCATTGCTCGCCCCTCCACTTCGGGATCCTTTGGCTACAAGAAGCCTCCTCCTGCCACAGGCACAGCCACTGTCATGCAAACTGGTGGTTCAGCCACTCTCAGCAAGATCCAGAAGTCCTCAGGCATCCCTGTCAAGCCAGTAAATGGGCGCAAGACTAGCTTAGATGTTTCCAACAGTGCAGAGCCAGGATTCCTGGCTCCTGGAGCCCGTTCTAACATCCAGTACCGCAGCCTGCCCCGGCCAGCCAAGTCAAGTTCTATGAGCGTGACCGGCGGGCGGGGTGGACCTCGCCCTGTGAGCAGCAGCATTGACCCCAGTCTCCTCAGCACCAAGCAGGGAGGCCTTACGCCTTCCAGACTGAAGGAGCCTACCAAGGTAGCCAGTGGGCGGACCACTCCAGCCCCTGTCAATCAGACAGATCGGGAAAAGGAGAAGGCCAAAGCCAAGGCAGTGGCCTTGGACTCAGACAACATCTCCTTGAAGAGTATTGGCTCCCCAGAAAGTACTCCCAAGAACCAAGCAAGCCACCCCACAGCCACCAAGCTGGCAGAGCTGCCACCAACCCCTCTCAGGTACCCAATGTGGGCAGCCGCCTCCTTGTCTGTTTGCTTTGTCATTCTTTCGCATATCTCTGCCCTCCTTGGACTAGATGAGGCATGGCCTATCCACCGTTGTCTCTAGGCCTTTGCATGGCTCTTTCCCACCTCTCCCCCATATGCCAAGGTTCTGAAAGAATCTAGTTTCTGACAGTTCTGAAAGACTGAATCCCTCTTTCAAAACTTACCTCATTTGTACTATTCTCTGATCAATGCTTACCCTGTCTTCAGCACTTGTATGGGTGTTTTTACTGTTTATTTACACATATATACCTATTTGCATAAATTCACTTGTATCTCCCATGTGCATATGCTGGCCCCTTATCTAAGCTGAATGTGCCCCAAGTTGGGTATCAGATTTCCTTGCATTGTATTTCACAACAGCATTAGGATAAGCCTCTGTGCTTAGCAAATAGGCAGAAAACAAGACTGGATAGGATTTCTTTAAGGTCCTATCTGCCTCTCACTCTGTAATTCTATTATTCTAAATATTTCGTTTGATCTTCTCTCAGGGCCACAGCGAAGAGCT
The DNA here is from genome assembly GCF_000001405.40 of Homo sapiens. Lineage (NCBI taxonomy): Eukaryota > Metazoa > Chordata > Mammalia > Primates > Hominidae > Homo > Homo sapiens. The sequence goes on from NC_000001.11 coordinate 201,783,423, forward strand.
TTGTCAAACCACCCTCACTAGCCAATCTTGACAAGGTCAACTCCAACAGTCTGGATCTACCATCATCCAGTGATACCACCCATGCTTCAAAGGTCCCAGATCTGCATGCTACAAGCTCAGCATCTGGGGGCCCTCTCCCTTCCTGCTTCACCCCCAGTCCGGCACCCATCCTCAATATTAACTCAGCCAGCTTCTCCCAGGGCCTGGAGCTAATGAGTGGTTTCAGTGTGCCAAAAGAGACCCGCATGTACCCCAAACTCTCAGGCCTGCACAGGAGCATGGAGTCCCTCCAGATGCCAATGAGCCTCCCCAGTGCCTTCCCCAGCAGTACTCCCGTCCCCACCCCACCTGCTCCCCCTGCTGCTCCCACAGAAGAAGAGACGGAAGAGCTGACTTGGAGTGGAAGCCCCAGAGCTGGGCAACTGGACAGGTAGGTAGAAAAGACAGCAGAACCTCGGCCTGTCTCCGTGTCTTGGGCTCATTTTGCCATTGGCAATACTATCCTATATTTTATTGCCATTTTGTGACTTTTGACATTTTTTCACATATATTAAGTAATTTAATTTGCTTCACAACAACTCCATGAGATAGGTAAGATGTGTTTTTGTTTTTAAATTATTATTCTTATATTAAAAATGAAGAAACTTGTGCACAAAGAAGTTAAATGACTCATCCAAGATCTCATAATTAGGTTAACCTATCATCCAGAGCTTTTGCTTCCTAGTCCAAAATCATTTTGTTTTGTTTTGTTTGAGATGGAGTTTTGCTCTTGTTGCCCAGGCTGGAGTGCAGTGGTGCAGTCTTGGCTCACTGCAATCTCTGCCTCCCAGGTTCAAGCAGTTCTCCTGCTTCAGCCTGCTAAGTAGCTGGGATTACAGGCACTTGCCACCATGCACGGCTAATTTTTGTATTTTTAGTAGAGACCAGGTTTCACCATGTTGGCCAGGCTGGTCTTGAACTCCTGACCTCAAGTGATCTGCCTACATCAGCTTCCCAAAGTGCTGGGATTACAGGCATGAGCCACCACACCTGGCTGCCCAGAATCTTTTCTTTTATATCACATCCTAGTTTTCCCCTCCCTTCCCCCTATATGCCAAGGTTATCAAACTACCTATATGGTAGTTTTTACCTACCATAATACGATCTATTTTTTTTTTTTTTTTGAGATGGGGTCTCACTATGTTGCCCAGACTGGACTCAAAACTCCTTGGCTTAAGCAATCCTCCTGCCTCAGCCTCCCGGGAGCTGCAACTACAGGCTCATGCCACTGTCCCTAGTGCCATAATATGATCTTTTAAATAACTAACTATGCCTTAATTTCTTTTTTGTTTGTTTGTTTTTTGTTGTTGTTGTTGTTGTTTTGAGACGGAGTCTTGCTCTGTCGCCCAGGCTGGAGTGCAGTGGCGCGATCTTGGCTCACTTGCAAGTTCCACCTCCTGGGTTCATGCCATTCTCCTGCCTCAGCCTCCCGAGTAGCTGGGGACTACAGGCGCCCACCACTGCGTCTGGCTAATTTTTTGTATTTTTAGTAGAGACGAGGTTTCACCGTGTTAGCCAGGATGGTCTCGATCTCCCGACCTCGTGATCCACCCGCCTTGGCCTGCCAAAGTGCTGGGATTACAGGCGTGAGCTACGGCGCCCGGCCTAACCATGACTTAATTTCTAATCAGAGAAATAACATTTAATATTTCAGATAAATTTCCCAAGTTGTAAGCCAAGAAGCAGGCTATAGTATCTCTTGGTTTCTAGAGCTAAAGCAGGTCATAGTTTGATGTCCTGCGTCTAGGGTCTGCATACCTCACACCAATGGTCCTAAACTCTAGTTCCTAAGATGGACCCACATGCTTCTCTCTCTCTCTCTTTTTTTTTTTTTTTTTATCTCCACAGTAATCAGCGGGATCGGAACACTCTTCCCAAGAAAGGGCTCAGGTAACCCTTTAATGTGTTTTTTCTTCCCTATAAATGGGACTGCTGGTATGTATGAAAAATCATATCTCAACCTGTCCAAGGCTCCAGTCATGAATTTAGTCACCCTTTTAGCTGAATCATTTGTATGTGGTCCCATACAAGTACCACCTAGTACCTTGCCCAAGCTTAATATTATGTGAGTCAACTTTTACAGCAAGTGTTCTTTTTTTGGTGACAGGGGAGAAACAAGTTTGCACATGGGAATCATGCACTTACCTGTACTAGCCTATGCCATCCCAATCCTGGCTGAGCTTCATCTCTGTAATTTTCTTCCCTAAAAGTATGAGGGAGAACAGTCTGCTTCTTTGGTCACTCAGCTGGGCTAGGGGCAGGACCTACCTGGTCATCCACTGTTCTGACAGCACTGAGTTGTTCAGTTGGGTGGCAACTATTGCAACTTTTTTTTTTTTTTTTTTTTTTGAGACGGAGTCTCGCTCTGTCACCCAGGCTGGAGTGCAGTGGCACAATCTCAGCTCACTGCAACCTCCACCTCCCAGATTCAAGCGATTCTCCTGCCTCAGCCTCCCGAGTAGCTGGGGTTATAGGTGTGCACCACCAAGCCTGGCTAAATTTTGTATTTTTAGTAGAGATGGGGTTTCACCATGTTGGCCAGGCTGGTCTCAAACTCCTGACCTCAAGTGATCCACCCACCTCAGCCTCCCAAAGTGCTGGGATTACAGGCATGAGCCACTGTGCCTGACCGACTCTTGCAACTTGAAAGCCCACATGTGGAATCATAAGTCTCTGTCCTGAACTTCTGAGGAGAAGTTCTAATGCCTCCTCCATCACTTCTGCCCCCAGCTCAGGAACCCTTACGGGAATACCTGCTAGTCCTTCCACACCCTCTGGATGGTCTGGGAGAGGAGGCTGAGTCGCCACCTCTTACTCCCTCCTTGGGCAGCCCTGACCACTCCCTCTTTTCCATGTCCTGCTTTCAGAATCTCCTGGCTCCAGCCTAGTTCAGACACCCTCCGCACCAACTAAACCTCTGACCGCACTTGCTAGTCCCAGACTGAGTTCTTCTGCTGCTTCCTACAGGTACCAGCTTCAGTCCCAGGAGGAGACCAAGGAGAGGCGACATTCCCATACCATTGGTGGGCTGCCTGAATCCGATGACCAGTCAGAGCTGCCTTCTCCCCCTGCACTTCCCATGTCTCTGAGTGCAAAGGGCCAACTTACCAACATAGGTTAGTGTTTTCAGTCACTCACTGTGGCATGGGGTGAAGCAGGGGTCACCCTGCAGGGTGAGGCAAGGCAGGTGGGCTTTGGGTTTCATCTCATGTTTGACTCATGCTGTATTGGGTTGTTTCATGGTGCCTCAGTTTATCCACCCAAAGTAAGATTGAAGGTAGAGTACTTTGAGATCCTAAACTGAAAAGTTGCCCCTAGGCACAAGTTGTAGGGTCCTTTTAGCATCAGAGAGCCTGAATGGTGGCATGGAAAAGCTGTAACCCAAAGCCCAGAGATCAGACCAGTGCAAGAGCAGGCACATTGAACTGCCGGAAAGGAGCCACCACACCCAGTACTACTAGGGCCAGCTAATGAGAGGGCAATACTGAAATGTCAGGCCGACGGGGAGGAAGGAGGGAAAGGTTGTTGATTGCCAAGGACGAGATCTGCCTCCAAACTCAGCCAAGTCCAGATTCCTCAACTGCTCTGGCTGAGCCCAGGCCATCCTAACGCTGAAGGCAGGGCTGACTCAGATGTGTCCTGGCCACCCCCTTCCTAAAGCCTAGGGAGAAAGGAGAGCTAGGAAATAAGGAAGTGACTTAGAGACAGGGAGGAGAGGAAGCATCAGGTGGAGGGTCTGGCCTAGCACAGAAGCACACCAGCTCCGGTTCTGTGAAGCAGTACGCCATGATTGGCCTACTAGGAATCCATTCAGGAATAGTGCCTGGGATAGGCCTGTTATCTGCTTGCTGCATCTCTTTAAATCCATCTCTTCTTTCAGCTGAGTAAAAGAAATCAGTTAATAAAAGACAAGGACCTGTAACACACCCATGCAGTGACTGTGGGGAATTTGAGGAAAGACTAGGAATTGGGATCACTTGGCCTAGGGAAAAGAACCATTGTTCAGACAGGATCATCTGCCCTCTGAAGGGCTACTAAATGGAGGATGGGGCCAGCTTGTTCTCTATCTCCATTGAAGACCAAATAAGAAGAATTGCATTTATGCTGCAGAATGAGGGGCTGGGCTAAGCAATAATTACCTCAGGAATTTGAAAAGGTCAACAGAGAGGTGTGCCATCTTCTTCTGCACAGGTCTTTATGGACAGATTAGACATCCACCTGCCTGTATGGAGGCAGAAGAATAGACAAGGGAGCTCCTTGTGGGTATGAAACCCTGAAAGGCTGTAATCCCAGCAATGGGCAAAGGGGTAAGGCATCTGCAGGTTAACGGGATTCAGCTGAACCCAGCTTCAAAGCACATTCCACAAGCCTTACCTGACACTTTCACCTGCTCTGTCCATCTGACCTTCAAGCCGGGGCAATGCTAGGCAAAGAGGGCCATGTTTCTTGATGCTTTAGCGCCAACCCAGTCACTCAGAGTGACACTACTTTGTGGGGAGATTCTCACGCCCTTCCACAATGCCAGGGCAACGGGATCCCGTAGCCCAGCCCCCTTCTCTAGCTGGTGCTTTTTCATCATTCAGATCTGGGTCTTGGTTTGAATTTTCAGTCCTCCTGAGCTGGCAGTTGTGTTTTAGAGAACCACAGCATCTCATTTTCATCAGCACATCCGAGTGATGTGAAGGTCTCAGAAAAGCTGCCAGGCCCCCAGCCTAACCTTCAAAAGCAACAACTCTGAGGCAGGCAGGGTTGAGGGAAGGTCTTTATTCCAGACAGCAGGGTCCTTCTCCATTAGGGCTTGATCTCCCCAGGAGGGACCCCGCTCCTAACCACCAGCTGCTTGCACACTCCCACCACCGCACCTGCCCCTTCCTCTCCTGCCCTCTCCCCATTTGCCTCTCATGCTCCCGGTGCTCCATCCCCCAAGGGCCCGGAGAGCTGATGACCCTGCCTCTTTTCCTGCCCTCCTGCTCCCTCTCCTGTCCCCCTTCCCTCTGTCCTTCCAGTGAGTCCCACTGCGGCCACCACGCCAAGAATCACCCGCTCCAACAGCATCCCCACCCACGAGGCGGCCTTCGAGCTGTACAGCGGCTCCCAAATGGGGAGCACCCTGTCCCTGGCCGAGAGACCCAAGGGAATGATTCGGTCAGGATCCTTCCGAGACCCCACGGACGATGGTGAGACTTCATGCTAGCGCGGTTCACGCTCATTCCAGCTCTGCTGGGTCCCCTCACCCACCACCTCCACTCCCACCACTCCTACCACCACACACATATATGATTCACAGAACATCAAGTTGGGCCATTTCAGTTTTTTCTCCCCATCCCTTTGAAGGGTCTGGGGACCCAGAAACCTTGGGTGGCACATCTAGCACTGGGGCATTGGGATGGAGCATCCATCACTGGGGCTGGGGGAGGGAAATTGAGCATGGAAGGGTTAAATGGCATCCCTCAGGATGCTCTGAAAACCACAGCTTCTCTCCTCCTCATTCTAGCCATAGTCTTTCCTCCCCACAGTCTCTCAAATATATGAAAAGAAAACAGGACATAATAGTAGCTCTTAATAAATCCTTACAAATAATTAGGCATCTCATTTCTCTTTCAAAAATGTTCCAAAGATGAGCATCAGGGAGGGCCATCTGATTGTTGGTGGTGATCTGGGTGTTAGTACTGATCAGAGCTAGAAGACCAGGCTTATGGCAGGTTAGCTCTCCCATTATTATTTTCAAGATGGTCATTCCAGGAGGCATCTGCTACAGACATGCTTTAGTTCTCACCATAGGTTCTACTGAATAATCAGAATGCATATTCCTCACTTAAATATTGTTTTCATCTGAATGATCCCCAAGATCCTAAGCACATCCCCCAGTGCTGAGAGGAGGAGGCGCGGGCAGAATTTCAGTATTTGTTCTGAGCAACTCTGATGAGAAACTCCCCTCTCCTGCGGCTAAGGTGCTTTCCTGACTGGGAAGATAAGATGATGACTATCCATGAAAGTCTCCTTTCCCTTCTCTGAAACCCCGTGCCCCTCAGAGCGGGCTAAGCAAGGGACTGCCATACCCAGGCTGCCAGAGAATGTAGGCTGAAAGAGGAGGCTAGCTTGACTCAAGACCTTGCTTTGGGCTGTTTTGATACCAGCTGGGTTCCCTACTCTGTTCTTTCTGTTTGCTCCAGATGCCCTCCAGAATCACAATCCAAACTCCTGCCTTAGGGAGTCTTCCAAAAACCCCTTGTCCCTGGAACCCACTGTTAACTCTTTGTGTTCTCCTTCTCTTTCAGTTCACGGCTCAGTGCTGTCCCTGGCCTCCAGTGCCTCCTCCACCTACTCCTCAGTAAGAGCATTAACTTCTCTTCCCCTCTCATCCCCTCCCCTCTACCATCCCATGCTCCCTAGAACCTCCTTGGAGTTGGGTAACTGGGCGGGGGATGGGGGCACTGCTGGCTCTTCACTGTACCCATTGGGGTGGGAATGGGGGAGGCACCTAGAGCTTGTAGCATTCACTTGGGTGCCTCAGGTCCTCAGTGGTCTTTCTGGCCCCACCACCAGCTCCTGAGCAACTCTGGTGATTTTTGTTCCCCTCCTTTGAAAAATGGAGAATCCCCATGTTAGCAAGCCCTTTCTGTGCCATGGTAGATGGGAAGCTTTTATGAAGGTGAGATGAATAGATTTCTAGGACCCGGACTCCAGAACCCTAGAAGTGACCAAGTGTTTATTGTGGGGCACCAGCCACAGCATTTGGCTATTAGGCATTTCTTGATTTGTAGATTTGTTTTGCTCCTAATTCTTTACTCCAAGTTGCTGGCAATAACCGTTAGTTCTCAAACCAACCAAAGTCTCATTTCCTAGCCTTTTTGGCAATGACAAAGTTTGCTGGAGATGAGCTCCAAAGAAATCTTTTATTGAAACCCTAGTATAGATCTGAGCCGAGTCCTGTGAGGAGCCAGGGCCAGGAAACAAGAGTTTCAGCCTCTCTGCACCTCTGAGTCATGCTTCTTCACATTTCCTACCCTGCCACTGGGACCTGACTTCTTCACCTCCATAGTAACTACTTCCTTTCTCTCTCTTTCTCTCCTTCTGTGCTCCCTTCTTCAGGCTGAGGAGAGGATGCAATCTGAGGTAGGGTGGAAAGCCTTTGTCTCTGCTTGTTAACATCACTGCACCTCATTTTCCTTCCAAATCTTATACAGCTTCTGCAGCCAGTAGTTTGTATTTCTCTTCCTTTTACAGCAAATCCGGAAGCTTCGTAGGGAACTGGAATCATCCCAGGAAAAAGTGGCCACCTTGACGTCTCAGCTTTCTGCCAATGTGAGTGCCATGAAGTACGGAAAGATCAAGGCAGTTATTTTGACTATCGTTAGACAAGTTCAGCCAAGGGAGGAAAACTACCTGGTAAGGTATCCCCTGGACTGAGACGTCAAGGGCATGCGTCTTCTTCACAGCTCTATGATAGAAGACGAGGGGATTGTTCTTCCCCTTCTCTGAGCCTCAACTTTTATGAAGAACCATTTTGCTTCTACTCTAATTAATAGGTATGGATGAGTTCATGTCTGATGGGCTGAGCTCCCTAGAGAAAGAGAAGAAGATTGATTACCAGTGGTTCTGCATGGAGGCAGAAACAACCTTGCCATTGGCCATGGACAAAAGCAGTTATGGATTATAATTATAGGGCTCTTAGAGCCTTTCCACTGCCCTGGGGGGTGTTCATGTCTTTGTTCATGCCACGTAACTGTGCAGGCACATGATTGGTCATTAGAATTCTGTCTAGTGACCACGACACTACTGAGAAACCTAACTCCCATTCTGGTCTGACTCCTTCATTCCCAACTGCCTTTTCTGAGCAGTCTCCTTGGGCAGATGGTAGAAACAATCTGAAATTCAGGTTGAGAGCTAGAATTCTTTGTTTCTACTCTCAGTACCTCCATTTAGAACGAGTCTATTTCTTTAGACCTTAGTTTTTCTACCCTGTGACATGGGGAGAAATGAAGCCACCTCCTCTAACCAGGCTGTGGTACTTTCTCCCCTGTGACTGAGTTGCAAACAGAGAACATAAGAGCCATTTTCCCCCAAAGCTGTAAACAACAGCTGAGCCGGATCTGCAGGAGCTTTCCAAGTGTTTGCACAAAAGTAACCATGTCTGCAATTTCCGCAGTAGTTTCTGGTTTTCTCTCTGCCCTTCCTCTCTGGGGAACCCAGCTGTCAGGCCTGGGGTCTATCCGTCGGAATTAGGTAGAAGAATCTCCACCAAGATTCTGAATGTTTCCAACACATTTCAGCAGCAGTTCCCTCACCACACTAGTTATTCTCTCGATTCTCTTTTCCCAAACCCTCAATTCATAAGTTGTACCAGTTTGTTTGAAGCTCATGTTAAGCACTTTTTCCCACTCTTGGGGGACCCATAAGAATTGTAACATAAACAAGAACCATCTTTTCTCTCCCTTGTGCCACACCCACCAAAGCAAATGGCCTGGGTCACGTCCTGCACACCCCAGGAAATTCATGTCTGGGAGATGCTGGGGGGGAGAGGCGCCAGGGAGGCAGAGAACATTATTATGTCTGATTCATTTACACTGCAATCTGTCAGCCACCATGCTGTCAAGGCTGGGCTGAAGCCAAGAAATTGAATTTAGAGGGTGATTTTTCTTAGAACAGGAAGTTCCATTTGGCTAAGAGAGAACAAACTAAACACCCAGACACGGTGGGTTCTGCATCTTAAAGGCAGATTTTTGCCGAGGGTCAGAACCCTGCCCTCAAGCAGGAGATGGGATGCTGGGACTCTAGGAAGGTTCCACAGCTCTCTTCAGGATTCCGTGACTCCAAACCAAACTTTTGTCATGTTCCATGGAACTTCCTAGCCACTAAAGCTGAGGGCACACCCTAGATGTAGGGGCCCAGACCACTTTACCCCTCTCAAATGCTAGCCTTTCTGCAGCACCACTGCTTAGCCCTGAGGTCTTACAGGTACCCTAGTCTGGGGTTGGGATTAAGGGAAGGGTCAATGTAGGGAGAGGAAGTGTAGGGGAGAGCGGGGAGAAAGCCCAGCCAGAGCAAAAGGGTTCCCCTGGATGGGGAAAGGCAGCACAGAAGAGCATACAGGGGTTCTTGGGGCCTCTCATGAGTAGTCTTCCAGGGACTACAAGGAGTCTACAAGCAGACATGCAGGATGTAGAGAAGCAAACCAGAGAAGACCTGAGGTCAAGAAGACAGATGTTGCCTGCACAGTGGGTGAAAGGAAACTGCTCAGGTTGTGACATATTATAATCTCCTCAGAGCCCAGGCCTTGACAGATTTATAGTAAAAGTGCAAGAGGAGGCTCTAACTGGACTAAAGGGATTGCCTCCAGCCCTGGTCCTATGAAGTAGGCTCCAGACATGCGGAGCAGTGGATGAAAACTAGAGTTGACCCAACAGGGAGGGAGAATTGTAAGCCAGTAGGAGCCATGAGAGTGCCGTCGATTTCCTAGAGCTCTGCATGAAGGAGCTGCGCAGAGTATGCCCACTTCTTGCTAGGGTCACCAACTTGCTCAGATAGTCTCACGATGGCTATTTCTCCATCCCCAAGTGCTCCCCTTTCTAGCCCCCGGCCTCATTCCCTTTACCTTGCCTATACATCTTGCAGCCAGTTGGCCAGCTAGAGGTCAAACTATGCCAAACCAAGTGGCCTTAGCTCCTCCACTGAGCACCTTTCCGAACTAGCCTGCCTCTTATCCAGAGAGCCCTTTGGTATCCTTCACTCCTCATGAAACAGACCTGACACCTAGTGGCCAAACGGTGGAATGCCTCTGCAGTTTCCTTCCAGCCTTGCAAACCTGGAGAATCCGGGAACAAGGAGCAGCTGCAAAGCAAGAAAGGGTGAAGCAGTGGAGTAGCAGAGGAGGAAGAAACGCACCAAATAGTTTCTGCCAGGAGATTATTTGGTCCCTTGGGGGCCGGCCCACTCCACAATGCAGGAGTTAAACCAAAATAATAGGAACGACCCCAGAGGCTATGGCCCGCCTACCAAGTTGGCCACACCAAATATCACATAGAGCAGAGGGATAGTCCTACCTCTGGTAGTTGATAGGTTTTAGATCTCAAGTCTCCAGGAGCCTCTGGAAACCTGCCCTACCCTCAACCTGGCTTCATTATTCAAGAAGCTGGTTCCCACCAGAAAATTTCTTTGATTTCCCCTTTGTCTGCTCAGGAAAATCAATATTTTTTTAACCACCAAGAGGTTTGCTGGCATTGGTCAGCTCCGAGATACAGGAAATCAGTTAAAACTATTTCCCATTGTCAGTTATTGCCTTTCCCCCAGCCTTATGCAACTTAGCAATCTCTTTCTGTGTTTGTTTCAGGCTAATCTGGTGGCTGCTTTTGAGCAGAGCCTGGTGAATATGACATCCCGCCTGCGACACCTGGCAGAGACGGCCGAGGAGAAGGTGAGAGGCCTGGGAAAGGGTGGGAGGGGTGGGTGCGGCGAGGGGGTTCTCCTGGACAGAGAGGCCGAAGCTGACCATCTGTTCTTGCTCATGAATGCCAGTTTCTCCCCACCTCACTGTCACCCTGGATTCTCAATCTGCCCCCCAATACAGTGTGAGCATATTCCTTATCCCAATTCCTTGCCCTTCTCTATCAAGTTTTGCAGAATTCCAATGCCTCGCCCATTGCCTGACACATCATAAGGGCTCAGGGCTCCTGCTAATCCCAACTAATGACGCTGTTTTCTTTTTTTGAGATGGAGTTTCGTTCTTGTCACCCAGGCTGGAGTGCACTGGCGCGATCTTGGCTAACTGCAAACTCTGCCTCCCAGGTTCAAGCGATTCTCCTGCTTCAGCCTCCCAAGTAGCTGGGATTACAGGTGCCCGCCACCACGCCCAGCTAATTTTTGTATTTTTAATGGAGACCAGGTGGCCAGGCTGGTCTTGAACTCCTGACCTCAGGTGATCCGCCCACCTCGGCCTCCCAAAGTGCTGGGATTATAGGTGTGAGCCACCGTGCCCAGCCAACGCTATTTTCATTTCTCTCTTAGGACACTGAGCTGCTGGATTTGCGAGAAACCATAGACTTTCTGAAGAAAAAGAACTCTGAGGCCCAGGCAGTCATTCAGGGAGCCCTTAATGCCTCAGAAACCACACCCAAAGGTAGGACATCCAGCCACAGATTGAGAGGGAACAGGGAGCAGGAAAGTAAGAGTATTACAGATTTTTATCTGGGCCCATAGTATTCCAAGTCCTATATCAAGTCTCTAGAAGGTGAGGGCCTTTAGATACCCTTTAGTGTGATGTCTGGACTGGTCAGTGAGGAGTACCAGGGGCATGACCCCAGCTTCCTAGGGCATGAAGGCAAGTAGAGGAGACCTGTAAGCCCCAGGGGTCCTCTCCTTAACCTTTACCTCACGGCCAAAGAGCCATCAAAGACCATCGTTAAAATAGCCCTTTACATTTTTATGCAAATGTGTTGTGTGTCCACACACACACAAACAATCTTATTTGATCCTCACTTTAGTTCTCCAACTACTCTTCCAATGAAACAACCAAAGCTCACATAGGTTATATGGTGCTGAAATGGCAAGTTAGCCTGGACGTTTAGTAACCAGTCAAGCTTTGCTACAGAAGTCAAGATGGATGGGAGTCTGATGCCACAAAATCTGTGATCTCTAACTCCAGTCAGGTCTTCAAGATACCTTGGCAGTCCTCTTACTTGTCCACAGTCAGTTTTCTTTTTTATTCCACTACCAGTGATTCCCAGCTTTCATTGCTTTTTTCAAGCTCCTCATTCCACCACTGATTTGCCTTACTCTGAACATAGCTTTGGCGCCCCCCTTAGTTAAGAAAATGAACATTTTCAAGAGAGAACTCCATTGACTTTTCCCCACTCCATGCGTTTATATTCATCCAATACTTATTTATTTGTCTCCATTTTGTTGGAAGGATTCATCCCTTCTGGCCAAGAGTGACCGCTTATCTAATGTTTTGGGATGCCCTCTTTAGCAACCATACAACCCCCCTTTACCCAACACATGCCCTTTTCTACCTCTCTAATCTCTTATGCTCTATTCATTCCTTCCCTGCTTATAAACCTGCCAAAGGCTCTTGTATGTTAAAGGGGAAAGATGTATCAATCTATGTTCTAACTATAATCTTATTTCTTTGCTTCCTCCAGTCGATCCTACATTTCCACCTCCCTTTCACACCTAACCCCACTATAATTATGCTTCTGTCACCATCATTCTACCAAAAACACTTTCACTGCAGTCACCAGTGACTCCCATTTTTCCAAAATCCAACTTACAATTTTTAGTACTTATTTTCCTTTTTTTTTTTTTTTTTGAGTCGGAGTCTCACTCTGTTGCCCAGGCTGGAGTGCAGTGGCGTGATCTCAGCTTACCACAGCCTCCGCCTCCCAGGTTCAAGCAATTCTCCTGCCTCAGCCTCCTAAGTAGCTGGGACTACAGGCGCATGCCACCATGCCTGGCTAATTTTTGTATTTTTAGTAGAGATGGGGTTTCACCATGTTAGCAAAGTGTTTTTAAGACTCATCCATGTTGTGTCATGTATCCACACTTCATTCCTTTTTGTGGCTGAATAATATTCCATTGTGTGGATATACCACAGTTTGTTTAGCTGTTCATCAGTTGATAGGTAGGCATTGAGTTGTTTTCACTTTTTGCCTATTATGAATAATGCTGCCATAAACATTCATGTACAAGTTTGTGTGTGGACATATGTTTTTTGTTCTCTGGGGTATATACCTAGAAGTGGAATTGCTGGGTCATATGGTAACTCTATGTTTGACTTTTTGAGGAATTGGCAAGCTGTTTTCCAGAGCAGCTACACCATTTTACATTCCTGTCAGCAGCATATGAGGGTGCCGATATCTCCACATTCTTTGTTTTTGTTTTTTTGAGATGGAGTCTCACTCTGTTGGCCAGGCTGGAGTGCAATGGTGCAATCTTGGCTCACTGCAACCTCCGCCTCCCAGGTTCAAGTAATTCTCCTGCCTCAGCCTCCTGAGAAGCTGGGATTACAGGTGCCCGCCACCACACCCAGCTAATTATTTGTTTGCATTTTTAGTAGAGACAGGGTTTCACCATGTTGGCCAGGCTAGTCTCGAACTCCTGACCTGCAGTGATCCGCCCACCTCGGCGTCCCAAAGTGCTGGGATTACAGGCGTGAGCCACACACCCAGCCCTTATAGCTCCACATTCTTGCTAACACTTACTGACCTCTTTTTTGTAATAGCTAGCTTAGTGGGTGTGAGGTGGTATCTCGTTGTGGTTTTGATTTTCATATTCTTAATGGCTAATACCAAGCATCTTTTCATGTGCTTATTTGCTATTTGTATGTCTTTATGGAGAAATGTGTATTCAAATCCTTGGCCCACTTTTAAAATCAGGTTATTTGTCTTTTGTTGTTGAGCTTTAAGAGTTTTTTAATAATTCTGAATATTAGACCCTTATCAGACACATGATTTGAAAAATAGTTTCTCTCATTGTATGGGTTGCTGTTTTGCTTTCTTGAAAATATTCTTTGAAGAACAAAAGTTTTCCATTTTCATGAGGCATCATTTATCTAGTTTTTTCCTTTGGCTACTTGTGCTTTAGGTGCTGTATCTAAGAAATTATTGCCTAATCCAGGGTCATGAAGACTTACTCCTGGAATTCCTTCTAAATTTTTTTTTAGTTTTAGGTCTTTGTTCCATTTTTAGTAAATTTTTGTACATGGTATGAGGTAGGCAGTCTAACTTCATTCTTTTACATGAGAATATCCAGTTGTTCCAGCATCATTTGCTGAAAAGACTATTTTTTCCCCCACTGAATTGTCTTGGCACTCTAGGAAATCAATTGACTATACATATATGAGTTTCATTCTAGACTTTCAGTTCTATTCCATTCTTCTATATGAGTTTCTTTCTAGACTTTCAGTTCTATTCCATTCTTCTATATGTCTATCCTTGGCCAGTACCACATTGTTTTGATTACTGTAGCTTTGTAGTAAGTTTGGAAATTGGGAAGTGTGAGTCCTCCAACTTTGTTCTTTTTCAAGGTTGTTTTGGCTACTCTGTGTCCTTTGCATTTCCATGTGAATTTCAGGATTCGTTTGTTAATCTCAGATTGAATTTTGCTAGGGATTGCATTGAATCTGTATATCAATTTAGAGAGTATTGCCTCTTAACAATGTTAAGTCTTCCAATCCATGAACAGGCATGCCTTTATCTAAATATTCTTTCATTTCTTTCAGTGATATTTTGCAGTTTTTCAGCATATGAACCTTGTACTTATTTTGTTAAACTTAGTTTTTATACTGTTCTAAACTGAATTGTTTTCTTAATTTCTCTTTTGAGTTATAGATTACTAGTGTATAAAAATACAATTGATTTTTTGCACATTGATCTTATATCCTGCAGACTTGCTGGGCTCACTTATCAGCTCAATTGGTTTTACAATCTCTTCTTAATCTGTATTTCTATCCATATCAGTCTCCTGAGTTCCAGACCTTTACTTCCAACCACGTTTGGATGTTTCCACTTAGTTGACCTCATAGAGATATCTCTAACTTAATATGTCCAAAATTAAAGTCATCCCCTTCACCCCACTTACAACAAACACACAAGCCAACCTTTTCCCTTCTGCAGTTTGCGTATCTCAGGTATTATCATTTGCCTGGTTGCCCAAGCCTCTAATACGAGAATCATCTTTGATTCCTCACTGTTTCACCCTGTATAGTCAGTTAGTTCTAACTCCTACGTAGATCTCAATTCTATCCCTCTTCTGTATTGTCACTACCCTGGCTCAGGTTTTTATCATTCTTCTCCTAGAATATTTCAATAATTTCCTTACTGGTCTTGCTGTGCTCGTTCTTCCAGTGCTTTCCTTGCCCCCAGAGTAATCCAATTATATCAGTTAAGATCAGAAATTACTCCAGGCCAGGCACAGCGGCCCACGCTATAATCCCAGCACTTCAGAAGGCCAAGACGGGAGGTTCACTTTAGGCCAGGAGTTCAAGACAAGCCTGGGCAACATAGTGAGACCTCATTCTTAAAAAATTAGCCTGTAGTCCTAGTTACTCCAGAGGCTGAGTCTGGAGGACTGCTTGAGCCCAGGAGGTAGAAGCTGCAGTGAGCCACAGTGGTTGCACTGACTCCAGCCTGGGTGAGAGAGAGACCTGGTTTCAAAAAAAAAAAAAAAAAAAAGAAATCATTCCAATTTGAATATGGACTAGATATTACATGAAAAGAATTACTGTTCATTTTCTCTCTCTTTTTTTTTTTTTTTTTTTTTTTTTGAGATGAATTCTCACTCTCTTGCCCAGACTGGAGTGCAGTGGTACAATCTTGGCTCACTGTAACTTCTGCCTCCTGGGTTCAAGTGATTCTCCTGCCTCAGCCTGCCAAGTAGCTGGGACTACAGGTGTGTGCCACCATGCCTGGCTAATTTTTGTATTTTTAGTAGAGATGGGGTCTCACCATGTTGGCCAGGCTGTCTCGAACTGCTGGCCTCAGGTGATCCACCCACCTCAGCCTCCCAAAGTGTTGGGATTATAGACATGAGCCACCGTGTCCAGCCACTGTTCATTTTCTTAGGTGTGATAATAGTACTGTGGGAGAATGTTCTTATTCTTAGAAAGTACATCCATCTTCAAAAAAAAGAAAAAAAGAAAAAAGAAAAGAAAGAATACTCTGAAGTCTTCAGTGTCAACAGATGTGTTCTCTGTAACTTATTTTCAAATTGTTCAAGAAACTGTGTGTGTGTGTGTGTGTGGAGAGAGAGAGAGAAAGCAAATAAAACAAAATATTAACAATTGTTGAATTAGGTGGAGGGCATATGGGTTTTTCTGTGTGTAATGTGCTCTTCAAACATATATTTGCTGAATGAATGAATTGTGCTTTTTGCTATGAGTTTTCATGTTATCCTCAGTTCATGTTGATCCAGGCTTAACTTGGCAAGGAGGATTTCTAGGAACATTCAAAGAATCAATGCTTAGGCAATAATGCCTATCTTTATTTTATTTTATTTCATTTTATTTATAAATAGATAATAAATATACATGGTACAAAATTCAAAATGCACAAGAGGTTTCTTAACTTTTTGAAGATTGCTTGATTCTGCAACGTATCATTTGCTCTTAAAAGTACTACATAGGGTCAGGTGCGGTGGCTCACGCCTATAATCCCAGCACTTTGGGAGGCCATGGCGGGTGAATCACCTGAGGTCAGAAGTTCAAGACCAGCCTGGTCAACATGGTGAAACCCTGTCTCTACTAAAAATACAAAAATAAGCTGTTCATGGTGGCAGATGCCTGTAATCCCAGCTACTCAGGAGGCTGAGACAGGAGAATTGCTTGAACCTGGGAGGCAGAGGTTGCAGTGAGGCGAGATCGCGCCATTACACTCCAGCCTGGGCAACAAGAGTGAAACTTCATCTCAAAAAAAAAAAAAAAAGTACTATATAGTGTATTTTTTAAATGTAACTGATATATCTCAACTAATTGAAACCTTCAAATAACTGATAGACGGATGCATATACTTTGCTACCCTTTATTTTTTATTTTTTATTTTTATTTATTTATTTATTTATTTTTTGAGAGAGGGTATCACTCTGTTGCCCAGGCTGGAGCACAGTGGTGCTATCGCAGCTCACTGCAGCCTCGATCCCTGGGACTCATATGATTTTCCCACCTAAGCCTCCGGAGTATCTGTGATTAGAGGTGCGCACCACCATGCCCAGCTAACTTTTTGTATTTTTAGTAGAGATGGGGTTTGGCTATGTTGCCCAGGCTAGTCTCAAACTCCTGGACTCAAGCAATCCACCCACCTGGGCCTCCCAGAGTGCTGGAATTACAGGCATGGGCCACCACACCCAGCCCCTTTATTTTATTTTTAATTAACTAGTTTCAATTAAACTAATTCTTATCATAAAAGCAATGCATGTTCTGAGGGGGAATGTAAACTAGGGGTGGGCAAATCAT
This sequence comes from Homo sapiens, assembly GCF_000001405.40. Taxonomy (NCBI): domain Eukaryota; kingdom Metazoa; phylum Chordata; class Mammalia; order Primates; family Hominidae; genus Homo; species Homo sapiens. Next base: position 201,800,404 of record NC_000001.11, read on the forward strand.
GGCCCATCAGCCAAGTCTGGCTCACCACTCTGTTTGTAAATAAAGTTTTATTGGAAACACAGCCACACTCATTAATTTACATAATGTCTGTGGCTGCTTTCATGCTATAACAGCAGAACTGAGGAGTTGTGACCAAGACCCTATGGCCACAAAGCATAAAATATTTACTATCTGGCCCTTTACAGTAAATGTTTTCCTACCACTGAGATAAACTATATAAGAGGGTATATGGTGAAATATAAAATCCCTTTCCCTGAGTCACCCCTTCAAATCCCAATCCGCAGAGGTAAGAACTGCTAATAGTTTTAATCTTGCCAGAAATAAATATCTGTGTATATACAAACAAACATATATGGATACGTATATTCATTTTTACACAAATAAAGATTTTTTTTAACTTCAACTTGGTGTATCTTTTTTTTTTTTTTTTTTTTTTTTAGACAGGGTCTCGCTCTCATTCTGTTGCCCTGGATGGAATGTAGTTATGCAATCTCAGCCCACTACAACCTCCACCTCCTGGGTTCAAGCGATCCTCCTGCTTCAGCCAGCCAAGTAGCTGGGACCACAGGCGTGTGCCACCACACTCAGCTAATTTTGTAATTATTTGTAGAGATGGGGTTTCACTATGTTGCCCAGGTTGGTCTTGAACTGCTGGCTCAAGCCATCCTCCCGCCTTGGCCTCCCAAAGTGCTGGGATTACAGGCATGAGCCACCACACCCAGCCTCTTGAGAATTTCCCACGCCTTTTAAAATAACTGAAGTACTCTGTAGTATCATTAACTGGGTATGATAATCGTTGTACAAAGGGTTTTCCAAATACCTTATGAGCTTTGTAGTTATAGCATCAGATCCTACGATCTTGTTTTCCCTGTAGTATCAAGGGAAAATTAGAGTTTAAAAGATCCATTTCTGGTCATAGTGAGAGTGAGAAAAATAACCAAACCTTACCCACATCTCCTTCATCTAACAGGTTTTGTTTCTAGGAGGACAATTGCAAATAGCCACTTTACTACTCCCCTTCCTCTAGTTTAGTTTCCCTCCATTTCATCTTTCTCATTGTTAACATAGTAAGCTCTATTTTTAAAATATTTTTTTAAATAGAGATGAGGGCCTCACTGTGTTGCCCAGGCTGGTCTCAAACTCCTGGGCTTAAGTGATCGTCCTGCCTTGGCATCCCTGGGTGCTGGGGTTACAGTTGTGAGCCACTGAGCCAAGCCTAAAAAATCTTTGACATTGCACCATAGTTAGGCAAGATGTTTGCATTGGAGGAGGTTAAGTGAAATGTGCAGAGGACCTCCCTGTGCATTTCTTTGCAACTTCCTATGAATCTATAATTATTTTAAAATAAAAAGGATTTTAAAAATCAGATAATATTTTGCCTTTGCTTCAGAATTTCCGTTCTCCATTATCTATGGCACAAAGGCAAATTTCATTTAAAAGACATTGAGGGGGCCAAGCACGGTAGCTCACCCCTGTAATCCCAGCACTTTGGGAGGCCGAGGCAAGTGGATCACCTGAGGTCAGAAGTTTGAGACCAGCCTGGCCAACATGGCGAAACCCCGTCTCTACTAAAAATACAAAAAATTAGCCGGGCGTAGTGGCGGGCGCCTGTAGTCCCAGCTACTTGGGAGGCTGAGGCAGGAGAATGGCGTGAACCCGGGAGGCGGAGCTTGCAGTGAGCCGAGATTCCGCCACTGCACTCCAGCCTGGGCGACAGAGCGAGACTCCGTCTCAAAAAAAAAAAAAAAAAAATTAGCCGGGCGTGGTGGCAGGGGCCTGTAATCTCAGCTACTCGAGAAGCTGAGGCAGGAAAATCGTTTGAACCCAGGAGACGGAGGTTGCAGTGAGCCAAGATCGCACCACCGCACTCTAGCCTGCGCAAGAAGAGTGAAACACCTTCTCAAAAAAAAAAAAAAAAAAAAAAAGACATTGAGGGGCTGAGCATGTTGGCTCATGCCTATAATCCCAGCACTTTGGGAAGCCGTGGCAAGAGGATCACTTGAACCCAGGAGTTCAAGACCACCCTGGGCAACACAGCAAGACCCTGTCTCATTAAAAAAAAAAAAAAAAAAAGAAAGAAAGAAAAGAAAAAGGAGGCCGGGCGCAGTGGCTCGTGCCTGTAATCCCAGCACTTTGGGAGGCTGAGGTGGGTGGATCATGAGGTCAGAAGTTCAAGACCAGCCTGGTCAACATGGTGAAACCCCGTCTCTACTAAAAATACGAAAAAATTAGTGGGCCTGGTGGCGGGTGCCTGTAATCCCAGCTACTTGGGAGGCTGAGGCAGAGAACTGCTTGAACCCAGGAAGCAGAGGTTGCAATGAGCCGAGATCACACCACTGCACTCCAGCCTGGGTGACAGAGCAAGACTCCATCTCAAAAAAAAAAAGAAAGAAAAAGGAAAAAAGACATTGAGGGCTGTGCCTGATCTGGCCTGAGCCTAATCTCCACCCTCACTTTTTTCTGTACCCCCACATGTGCCCTCTGCTGCTTCCATTCCAGACTACCCACAGTTCCTCAAAGCAAAGCCAGTTCCCTGGACAGTGCCTTTGCATGTACCTTTTCTTCAACCCTAAATACGTTTTCCAAAGTTCCCATCTGAAAAATTTCTATTCTTTCAGTACTCAGACATCTCCTTTGTTAACCCCTTCCTCCCCTGTTGTAGAAAAGTAAGATTATTTTTTGTGCCATCACAAACCTTCTCAGAAAGCAAAGATTTTCTACCCACCAGATGAGAAAACTGAAGCTCTTTCAGGTGGAATGCAGGGTACATGGCTAGTGATGTATTTGGCTAGTATATGGCTAGTTCTTGGCCTTGGACCACCAGATAGCTAAGTATTGCTAGAAAAATCATGAAAAATGGTAGGTTGATATCTCCATAAAACTGTAGAGGGCTGGCTTTAGTTAAGTCCTTAGACTGATTCAAGCTGAGTCCATGACTCCATGCTAACTTCTGGTTCTTGAGAAAAGGAATCATTTCTTATTTAATTCTTACCTTTTGCACTTTTTCTATGTTGAAACATGATTGGGACTCAATAAATGTTTGCTGAATGAATGATCCAAAAAAATGAATAATGTGATTGAGGAGTTGGTTGGTTCTCCTTTCTCTTATCTTCTGCCACTAGACTTGCCTGAAGTCTCACATCCTCTCTAAATCTGTTCTATGTTTTTCCCACTTGTACTTGGCCCTAGAACTTCGGATCAAGAGACAAAACTCCTCAGATAGCATCTCAAGCCTCAACAGCATCACTAGCCATTCCAGCATCGGCAGCAGCAAGGATGCTGATGCGAAAAAGAAGAAAAAAAAGAGTTGGGTAGGTAAAGGTTTGGGGGGTGGGAAGTAGGTAGAACCGTGGTGGACCGCCTTCACCTCAGCATAGGGATCGAATCCTTCCAGGATTAACCAAGGTGTAGTCCCGTCTAACACTGAGCCCTAGTGTGATGTCCGCTCAGAGCATGGTCTCCCAGATTCTCCCTTCCCTCAATCATTTCCTACTTGTCCCCAAGGCCACCCCTCTGACCTTTATATGCATCTGCTTTCTTTGGGCTCTCCATACTGGTTAGGCCAAGATGTATTTGGCAACAGAAGGATGCTGAGGATATACTCAGAAGGAAACATCTTATCAGTTCTGTCCCCACCACCCCCCATTCCCTTCTATACTATGGAGAGATTTTATGAACAAAGCTGTTCATTCTAGACTCCTGGAGGTCATTTCTTTAATTTTTGGGGATGTTTTGTGGAGCTTTCCAGATTACTTCAAAGGACTCTTTATTATTACCTTTGGTAGGTCCAGAAGTCATTTTTGTACGTGTGGTTTTTTTCTCTTGCATAATCCTAAACTGACTTCGTATGACCTTTCTGAAATTCTTCAGGCAGGTCTAGACACTCTCAGCCCCTCTTGCTGACTGTGGTAAGAAAGCATCCCCAGGTGGACACGTCCTGCTCCTCTGTCCCCTGTTCAGTAAGACACACCCCCAGACCTTTGTATAATGCAGACAGGTACCAGCTGTGTGAAATGAGTGATTAAGTGTTGATTCTTTTTTTTTTTCCTTCAAAATGCTGACTCCAAATCCCTATTTTTTTCCAGGTCTATGAGGTAAGAGACCCAGTTCCTATCCCCTTATTTTCTCTTTCCCTTTGCCATACCTTCCCTATTTCCAGAGCAACTCCCTTCCCCTAAAAAAAAAAAAAAAAAAAAAAATGAATGACCACTCATAACACTAACTGTAACAACCACCCAGAGTTCCTAACTCACTCCACTGCATGGTCCATCCACAGCTGCCCTATGTGAGGACAGAGGAGTGGTCTGGTTGGGGGCCAAATGGGAAAGTCAAACAAAATTCAAATATATTCCCTACTATCTTCCCCTGTTACAAAATTGGCCTGTTATAAAAAGCAGTCAAATTGAGCTCCTCCTATCCAGAAAATGAACCTTCTTCTTTTTGGTTCCATAATACCTAGAGACCCAACATGGAAGAGAGTCACTGGATGAAAGTTATATTGACCACAGTTTCCAGAGGCCAGTTCAGCCTGGGCCTAACCTGAAGATTTAGCTCTAGAGTAGGATGAACCAGAGATAGGTGAGGGATAGAGACCAGGAGGGCACACTCAAGTCACCCCAAAGCCTAAAACTGTCTAAGCATCCATGGAGTTCCCAAAGACATTTCAGGGATGAGGGTTTGGTCTTAAGATGAACAGAAAATGCATCCAGAATTTCTGTTATGAACCAGATACCTGAGGTCCACTCTAACCCTACCCCAACATTGTGCTAGGTGTGTTGTGAAGGATATGAAAAATGGAATCTATAATCTCGTCATTAAGAAGGCTGCAGTATTACTGGGGAGACCAAAAAAATTATACATATAAAATTAATAGCAATCCAACAGTGCCACAATGCTTATTCGGGCAGTAAGTGCTAAAGGAGTTCACAGATGACGAGACAGTGATTACTATAGGCAGGGAAGACTTCTCAAAGGAGGTAAAAGTTAAACTGAGATGCAATTGTGATGGGTAGAGAGGAATGTGTTGGGATGCTTTCTACACAGACACTGTCTGTGCAGAAGAGAAGCAGAGGGAGATGGAGAAGGCCAGCTTAGCTAGAGCACTGACTGAGTAGGGTATAGTACACATAGGAAGAGCCTGATACTTGTTTAAATTTGATTTTTTAGATTAACATTTCCCAAAGTGTGTTCCACTGATTGCCAGCCCATTGAGATGCTCCTTAAAATGTGATACCATTGACTGGGCACAGTGGCTCAGGCCTGTAATCCCAGAACTTTGGGAGGCTGAGGTGGGTGGATCACTTGAGCTCAGGAGTTCAAGATCAGCCTGGGCAACATAGTGAAATCCTGCCTCTACTAAAAATGCAACAATTTGCTGGGTGTGGTGATGCGTGCCTGTGGTCCCAGCTACTTGGGGGCTGAGGTGGGAGGATAGCTTGAGCCTGGGAGGTGGAGGTTGAGTGAGCCAAGATTGCATCACTGCACTGTGGCCTGGGTGATAGAGTGAGACCCTGTCTCCAAAAAAAGAAAAAAGTGATACCATCGTCAAATAAATTTGAGAAGTACTGCATTTTCTCTCTCTCTCTCTTTTTTTTTTTTTGAGGTAGAGTCTCACTGTGTCACCCAGGCTGGAATGCAGTGACGCGATCTTGGCTCACTGTAACCTCGGCCTCGCGGGTTCAAGCAATTCTCCTGCCTCAGCCTCCTGAGTAGCTGGGATTACAGGCATGCACCACCATGTCCAACTAATTTTTGTATTTTTAGTAGAGACGCGGTTTCACCATCTCGGCCAGGCTAGTCTCAAACTCCTGACCTCAGCTGATTCGCCCACCTCCGCCTCCAAAAGTGCAGGAATTACAGGCATGAGCCACTGCGCCCAGCCTAAGTACTGCATTTTCTACATCTGCACAGAAAAAGTTGTGAGATATCCCCCAGCAAATAATCTTGTTTCATTTTGCTTAATCCATTGTTCCCTAAACTCATTTAACCATGGAACCACTAGCCACATAACACCAAACATCTCGGAACAGTTCTGGCTTTGGGAATACTGAACTACACATATTCTCACTTAGGATCTTATTGATCTTAGGGGCATATGCTTCAGGCAGCTTGTCATAGGATCTCTTTACACACACACACACAGCATCCCATGAGGCAGTGCTATGGAGAAAACTTCACTGGATTGAAAATTAGGAAGCCTGAGTTCTAGTCCTAAGTCTTACGTCAATTATGCAATTTCAAGCAAGTCAACTCTCTGGCCTTTTCAGGCTTGGTTCTTCATCTCTACAGAGAAATGAGCTTTATGGTACTTTTGAGCCCTGACTGCTCAGTGATAAGAAGTCACCTGGAGCCAGCCAGCTGCACACATACTCACTCATTCATGTCTCCACCACAGCCAAGTTGGTCCTCCTTTACATCTTGCCTGGTGGAAACCCCAAGATGCACCACCCACCAGCTCCATCCATCACCTGACGGCCTTCCTATGTTCCAGGAGAGACGCTTAGAAAGCGTACCCTCAAATTTTTCCTTCTTTTTTCTCACCGTCCCAAAGATCTGGTTTGCCTTTGTCCCCTATAACCTTTGACCCCTCCTTTACTCTCTGCCTCTTGCTGCCATTTCATATCTGTGTCCCTGTGTGTGTGTGTGTATGTGTGTGTGTGGTGTGTGGTGTGTGCATGCTGTATGGATGCATGTGGATGGGTATGGGACAGGACCCTGGTTTGCATCTCTAGCTCACATCCCTAACACCCAAGCTCATCAACACCAAGATCAAACAAGCTATGGTCAGATTATAATGCCCCAAGTACTCTAAAGAAATGCTGGGAAATAGCCCTTCTTCTAGGACATTGGAAATCATAGAAAATGCTGTCTGGCTGTTTTAACCATTCTGTGATGTCCTGGGCACAAGAAATACTAAAAGAAGCTTGAGCCCACTGCCTTCTCGTGTTCTCCACAGAATCATATTGTCAGTTTCTGGTTGACAGATGACTAGATGAACAGATTCTGGGCTGATGAGCCCTAGTCAGAGGCATCATGAGGTGGCCTCTGAGGCCCACAGTGAGCCAGGTTCTAGACTGAGCGGTTATTGTTCTGCTGCAGAAGGTGGGATTGGATCACTGAGCTGTATACCATGTGACCTCTGGGACCTTCTCTCTGTCCCCATCAGGGGCACAATTCCCCCTATGAGCAAGAGAACACCCAGGAAGTTCCCATAGCCTACAACATCAGCAAGCTAGAAGATTCTGTTCTTTCTCTTGGTCCTAATTTCCTTTCTTTCTTTCTTTCTTTTGAGATGGAGTCTCACTCTGTTGCCAGGCTGGAGTGCAGTGGCTCGATCTCAGCTCACTGCAACCTCTGCCTCCACGGTCCTAATTTCTAGGCAACTCTTCTGTCCGTATTCTATGAATCAAGTGAAGTGTTATAGAGGGTGGCTTAATTAAAGTAAATCCCCCGCCTCCAGCTCTCTCTGTCTCAGAAGTCTCAATCCAGTCCTCCCCCATCCCAGTAGTGGAGTCCTAATGTCCCTCTACCTGGATCTGCTTTTTTCTAGCTTCGAAGTTCCTTCAACAAAGCGTTCAGTATAAAAAAGGGGCCCAAGTCAGCTTCCTCATACTCGGATATAGAGGAGATTGCTACACCCGACTCTTCAGCCCCCTCATCCCCCAAACTACAGCATGGTTCTACAGAGACTGCTTCACCCTCCATCAAGTCCTCCACCTCGTCCTCCGTGGGCACTGATGTCACCGAGTAAGTGCTCTTTGGCTCCCTGCCACCCAGCCTGTTACCAGTGTAAGCTGTGGGCTAGAGTTGACAGGAGGCCATTAGACCTTAGACAAGCAGTACTTATTACTGACCTCTCCCTGGGCATATGAGACCAACAGATGGACCTTTCTTCTCATGCTGATTGAATATCAATGGGCAGGAGAAGCCAAGACCACCAACCATGCCTCTCAATATTCTCTAGTAACTCTAGTGCTTCTTCATGTAGCCTGGCTTGACTCTTGCTATCTTACAGGGGCCCTGCTCACCCAGCCCCCCACACTAGGCTGTTCCATGCAAATGAGGAGGAGGAGCCAGAGAAGAAGGAGGTATCGGAGCTGCGCTCTGAGCTATGGGAGAAGGAAATGAAGCTTACAGACATCCGCTTGGAGGCCCTCAACTCTGCCCACCAACTGGATCAGCTTCGGGAGACCATGCACAACATGCAGGTCAGTGTCTGGGCGGACAGCTGCAGGAAAGGGAAGACCAAGGCTTGCTGTCTGTCCAGTCTGCCACCCTACCCTGTCTGTTCTTGCCACAGTTGGAGGTGGACCTGCTGAAAGCAGAGAATGACCGACTGAAGGTAGCCCCAGGCCCCTCATCAGGCTCCACTCCAGGGCAGGTCCCTGGATCATCTGCATTATCTTCCCCACGCCGCTCCCTAGGCCTGGCACTCACCCATTCCTTCGGCCCCAGTCTTGCAGACACAGGTACCTGTGTGGGAGAAGAATCTATAAGGGTGAAGGGAAGAAAAGGGCTTATTTCACTGTTACACCATTCCACTTGCTTTGGTCAGGGCGGTAACAATGCCGAAGCCAAGCAGATGCCAGTGTCCTAAGACACTGAGTTGTAATGGTCCTTCAACCTTAACTACTTTTGAGTTTGGGACCTCCATTCCTTCTCTGTGGCAAACAGAGTTATTTTGGAAAGGATAATGATGGGAAAGTTTAGGAAAGGCTGCGGGTACTCCTAAAACCAGTTGGTTCTTTTCAATCCCCACAGACCTGTCACCCATGGATGGCATCAGTACTTGTGGTCCAAAGGAGGAAGTGACCCTCCGGGTGGTGGTGAGGATGCCCCCGCAGCACATCATCAAAGGGGTAAGGAACTTCAGGGAGAGCCACAGTGGGAATGAACAAATACTGTTACATTTATCCAAGAAAATCTGGACCCTGGGTACCTCCAAAACCAAAGAACTCAACTCCTAAGGCCTTTAGGACCCCGGTTCATGGAGTCATCTGCAGTGAAGCTCAAGAGCTTTTCCTTCCTTGGCCTTACAGGACTTGAAGCAGCAGGAATTCTTCCTGGGCTGTAGCAAGGTCAGTGGAAAAGTTGACTGGAAGATGCTGGATGAAGCTGTTTTCCAAGTGTTCAAGGTAAAGGGATACCTGTACTCAAAAAGGTTGTTCATCCTCTCGTGGAATATATATACTTTTTTAGAGACAGGGTCTCACTCTTGCCACCCAGGCTGGAGGGCAGTGGCGTGATCACAGCTCACTGCAGCCTTGAACTCTTGGGCTTAAGTAATTCTCCTGTCGCAGCCTCCTGAGTAGCTGGGATTACAAGCATGTGCCACCATGCATGGCTTCTCACAGGATATTAAACCGTCCAGGCACTGGGATCCTGGGGACCTTTGAGGCTTTATGGAGAAATGCTACCTAGGAAAAGCATATGCTCTGCACTTTCTCCATCTATTTCTGTTTCCTCTGATAGACATTCTTTGTTGTGGCTTTTACACCTGTGTTTGTATATTTTCTTCTTCTTCTGCCTGTCTTTTCTGTCAGGACTATATTTCTAAAATGGACCCAGCCTCTACCCTGGGACTAAGCACTGAGTCCATCCATGGCTACAGCATCAGCCACGTGAAACGAGTGTTGGATGCAGAGCCCCCCGAGATGCCTCCTTGCCGTCGAGGTGTCAATAACATATCAGTCTCCCTCAAAGGTCAGTCTTTGTCTCTTGGGGTGAGGTGGTGTGGCATGAAGGCAGGGACAGGATCATCAAATAATCCATCATGCATTCATTCACCAAGAACTCACTGAGAAGGTATAATATGAAGATGCTTAAGTAATGTGAGATATAAAAAGATGAGTAAGACCCAGTCCTAACTTTGGCTCCCAGGGACACTTTTGCTAAGCCTTGGCTTCTTGCTTCACTCCTCACCCCCAGCTCACAGCATGTCCCTAAAAAGAAGATCTAAGTTTTCAAAACTAGGGGTTAAGGGACTCTTATGGAACCATGGGGCAAGTGGCTCTGAGTTTCTTCAGGGGGCTCCTAGATAAAGAAAGAAAAGCCCTTTAGGATCCCTTGCTATCCTCAAGACCCTGGTCAATACTCATGCTTTCTGGGGTGGGGGTTCAGGTCTGAAGGAGAAATGCGTCGACAGCCTGGTGTTCGAGACGCTGATCCCCAAGCCGATGATGCAGCACTACATAAGCCTCCTGCTGAAGCACCGGCGCCTCGTCCTCTCGGGCCCCAGCGGCACGGGCAAGACCTACCTGACCAATCGCTTGGCCGAGTACCTGGTGGAGCGCTCTGGCCGTGAGGTCACAGAGGGCATCGTCAGCACCTTCAACATGCACCAGCAGTCTTGCAAGGTGGCTGCCCCCCGACACCCCTGCCAGCCTTTGTTCATGCCTCAGCCTTCCCTAAGACCCTTCCTCGGCCCCTTCCTGCCTCATTGTTCCCTTTTCCTCACCTCTGCCTTCATCTTTCTTCTCTTCTGTGTTCATTTCCTTCCCTCTCTATCTATCCCCTTTTCCAGTCTTCTCCTTTCCCTCCCCACGATTTCTTTCCAGCCTCTTGCCTTTAACTTGTTTCTCCACACTTTCCCTTGCCTTTATGGAGAAAGGCTTTCCTCTCCACACTTTTCCTTGCTTTGTGCACCTTCCTCCTCAGTTGGTCATTGATGAAACTGCATTCTCCTCATTTCTACCCCACTGTCTGCCAACCCTGTCAATCCCATCCCTTCTCTTTTGTTCTCTTCCTTCTACTTTTCTTTTCAGTATTACTCTCTGACCTTGGGCTATCTGGGAAGAAGCACTCAGAATTAAATGGTACATATTACACCCTCCCCTGCCAAAACCTGATGATGTCTCTTGAGTACCCTAATACAATGGAGTTGGTTCAGATCTTTGCTCTTCCCAGCTCGGGGAGGCATGCCCATTAGTAGTAGTCCATGGTACCAGTGAAAATCCATCTAGGAAATAGCATATGTTCCCCAACTTTGGGGAATTTAGGGGCTGCTGCTTAAGAGGGTTGCTTTAGAGCCTTTGCAACCACTGCTTATCACTCTGTGGTAATCTGCTGTAATCAAATTTGCAAGGAACTAAAGGCCCCAGGGGAATCTAGATCTAGTAAGACTTCTTCAAAATCCTGATTTCCAAGGCCGATCCAGCTGCTTATTCCCAAGTGCTGACCCACAGCCTTCTTTTATTCCAGGATCTGCAACTGTATCTTTCCAACCTAGCCAACCAGATAGACCGGGAAACAGGAATTGGGGATGTGCCCCTGGTGATTCTATTGGATGACCTGAGTGAAGCAGGCTCCATCAGTGAGTTGGTCAATGGGGCCCTCACCTGCAAGTATCATAAATGGTAAGTAAGCTGGGATCAAGACAAAATTCATCGAAGTGGGAGGAGGGAGAACCCAGTCCAGGACAACCTATGAGTTGTGTGCATGTGGCAGAAAGCAAGTGTGAAGGCAAGTCTAAGTGAATCTTTTTCCCCTTTCTCCCTACAGTCCCTATATTATAGGTACCACCAATCAGCCTGTAAAAATGACACCCAACCATGGCTTGCACTTGAGCTTCAGGTAAGACCTCTAGCTCTGGATGAACCTTCTGACCCTACCCAAGAGTCTTCAATCCTGGACTCTGGCCAGGAGGCAGTAGATAGGAGAAGGAAAGAGAAGTATCCAGAGCTTTTTGGGCTGGAAATAGAAAGTAGATGTATTTGTCATGTCAGTTACAAGGTGGAGGAGGACACTTGAGGAGAGAAAAGGCCTGCTAAGCTAAGAGAGAGCCAGGTAGGTTGCTCTAAGCAGAATTAGGATTCTCTGCCCGCACACGCTGATCTGGGTCAGTGATGTCAGAAGGTTATCCGAAGAGGGCTACCAATTTGAGAATCAGCTCTACCACCCCAGGGCTGCTGCTCTGAGTTCCGATGTCCCCACTATTACTTGAAAAGAAACCAAGTAGGCATTAGTGAGAAGCAGGCAGAAGGAGGGACAGACTGGCAGGGGCTGAACCCTGACAATGTCCCCATTGCCACTCTGACCCCACTTTCCCCATCCTTGGTGGCAGGATGTTGACCTTCTCCAACAACGTGGAGCCAGCCAATGGCTTCCTGGTTCGTTACCTGAGGAGGAAGCTGGTAGAGTCAGACAGCGACATCAATGCCAACAAGGAAGAGCTGCTTCGGGTGCTCGACTGGGTACCCAAGCTGTGGTATCATCTCCACACCTTCCTTGAGAAGCACAGCACCTCAGACTTCCTCATCGGTACTGGGGTCCAGCTTCCCCCGGGGGTCAGGAGGTGGCTTCCCTTTTCCACTGTACCACCTGGAGGGATGCTCCCTTCTCTTCCTGGAGTCTTCGGCATGTAAAGGAGCTGCAAGCCTTGTGGCTTCAGACTTAGAACCACTTAACGAGCCTTCCCAACACAGTTAGCACCACTTCAATCACCAGAAAGCTAACCCCTCTCCTTGTTTTTTTCCCACAATTAACAGAAAAAAGGAGGCACATATGTAGGAAGGAATTAAACAGCTTTCCTCACTCCCTTATCTCACTTCTACCTTGTGAAGCAGGACTTATGAGATTGCCATCTAGGCAGTCAGCACCCACTAGTCTTGACAACTCTAAATTTCCTTTAATCCTTTGACTGTCAGACCCCTCTGCCTGGTACTAAGGAGTAAAAGAGGCACACAACCGGGAAGATCTAGGTTCCCAGCCATCTTCATGGCCCCATCCTCTTCCCTAGGCCCTTGCTTCTTTCTGTCGTGTCCCATTGGCATTGAGGACTTCCGGACCTGGTTCATTGACCTGTGGAACAACTCTATCATTCCCTATCTACAGGAAGGAGCCAAGGATGGGATAAAGGTGAGCCCTACCCCCTTCACTCAAACCCTAAGATCAGGCTGTCCTACCTAACAAAGTAGGAATGTTTCTTTAATGTTAGGCATGGGACTACTAGGATTAGTTAGGTTCTCTTTCTAACAGGTGGAGCAAGGCACTGGGTAGACTAAGCTGCTTTCCTGCCTCCAGCTGCCATTCAGCAAATGGTACAATGACCACTGCCTCTGGGGCCATCTCTCCAGTCCTAGGCCTTCTGGCTCTAAGCCCAATTTAAACCACTCTCTAGGGGTCAGAGCAAACAGAAAAATAATTGAGCTAAGAAGTAAGTAAAACCCTAATTAAAACAAACAAACAAACAAACAAAACCTTAGCTACTTACTACTAATAAGTATGTTATATTAACCAAGTTACTTGACCTTTTTAAATACCCTCATATGTAAAAAAAAAAAGGAGACATCACCTTCTGCTCTACCTAAATCACTGGAGTCTTTTGAAGACAAAATGAAATATGTGAAAAGATTTTTAAAAGTTAGAATAAGGAGACCGGGCGTGGTGGGTCATGCCTGTAATCCCAGCACTGTGGGAGGCCGAGGCGGGCAGATCACCAGGTCAGGAGATCAGGACCATCCTGGCTAACATGGTGAAATCCCCTTTCTACTAAAAATACAAAAAATTAGCCAGACGTGGTGGTGGGCGCCTGCAGTCCCAGCTACTTGGAAGGCTGAGGCAGGAGAATGGCGTGAACTCGGGAGGCAAGAGCTTGCAGTGAGCTGAGATCACGCCACTGTACTCCAGTCTGGGCAACAGAGCGAGACTCTGTCACAAAAACAAAAACAAACAAACAAACAAAAAAACTTAAAATAAGGCTGGGCCTGGTAGCTCTCGCCTGTAATCCCAGCATTTTAGAAGGCTGAGGCGAGAGGACTACTTGAGCCCAGGAGCTTGGGCAACATGGGAGACCCTGTCTATACAAAAAATAAAAAAAATCAGCCAGGCATGGTGGTGCACACCTGTAGTCCCAGCTACTCTGGAGGGTGAGGCCAGAAGATCACTTGAGGCCAGGATATACAGGCTACAGTGAGCCATGTTCTCACCACTACACTCCAGCCTGGGCAACAGAGTGAGAACCTGTCTCAAAAAAAAAAACAATTAAAATTAAAAGTTAGAATAAAAACTTAGTGCAAAAGGAACATGTCATTTTCTTAAAACCACCTCAGTTTTCTTACCTGTAAATTAGGGTATGATGATCACTAAAGTCCATTCCAGCACTAATAAACTGTGATGTAATGGCTAGACCCATGGGTCATATATTATCTGTAAAAGTAACTTGTTATTGAGATAGATATCTCCTGGTGATATAGTAAATTTCTAAAGATGCTGTCAGACTGATGCCAGAAATCATTATTTCATTTATAAATTATATTATTTTAAGGAAATGTTGCATTATTATTAGTAGCTTTTCAATTTAAAAGCATTTTCACACAGATAGTATTTGTTTTCAAGAAAGTAAAAAACAAAAAAAAAGCCGGGTGCGGTGGCTCACGCCTGTAATCCCAGCACTTTGGGAGGCCAAGGCAGGCGGATCACAAGGTCAGGAGATCGAGACCGTCGTGGCTAACACAGTGAAACCCCGTCTCTACTAAAAATACAAAAAATTAGCTAGATGTGGTGGTGGGCACCTGTAGTCCCAGCTACTCGGGAGGCTGAGGCAGAAGAATGGCGTGAACCTGGGAGGTGGAGCTTGCAGTGAGCCGAGATCACCGCCACTGCACTCCAGCCTGGGTGACAGAGGGAGACTCTGTCTCAAAAAAAAAAAAAAAAAGTTAAAAAAAAAAAATTAAGCATTATGACTAAAGCGGAAACATTTCCTACTTGAAAAATGAAATTGTAGGGTCATGAGGTTTGTGCATGTTAAGTTTTAATGAAACCTAGGCATCCATCAGTAGATGAATGGATAAAGAAAATGTGGTATATATACACACAATGGAAAATTATTCAGTTGTAAAAAAGGAGGAAATTCAAAGCCAGGCATGATGATGCATGCCTGTAGTCCCAGCAGCTACTCTGGAAGCTGAGGCGAGAGGATCTCTTGAGACCAGGAGTTAAAGTCTAGCCTAGGCAACATAGCGAGACCTTGTCACTTAAAAAAAGGTGGGGTGGTTGGGGGATGGGGAAGAAATTCTGTCATTTGCAACAACATGGATAAACCTGGAGGACATTATGTTAAGTGAAATAAGCCAGGCACAGAAAGACAAATACTGCATGATCTCACTTATACATAGAATCTAATGAAGTCAAACTCAGAGCAGCAGAAAGTAGAATGGTGGTTACCAGAGGCTGGGCAGGGGGGTAGGTGAGTAGGAGTGGTTGAGGAGATGTTAGTCAAAGGATACAAAATTTCAGTTAGGAGGAATAAGTTCAAGAGATATATTGTACCATATGGTGACTATAGTTAATAACAATGTATCATATACTTGAAACTCACTAAGAGAATAGTTTTTATTTATTTATTTGTATTTTTGAGACGGAGTTTCACTCTTGTTGCCCAGGCTGGAGTGCAATGGCGGGATCTTGGCTCACTGCAACCTCCACCTCTCAGGTTCAAGCGATTCTCCTGCCTCAGCCTCCCAAGTAGCTGGGATTACAGGCATGTGTCACCACGCCCGGCTAATTTTGTATTTTTAGTAGAGACAGGGTTTCTCCTTGTTGGTCAGGCTGGTCTCGAACTCCCAGCCTCAGGCGATCTTCCCACCTCGGCCTCCCAAAGTGCTGGGATTATAGGTGTGAGCCATCGCACGCAGCTGAGAATAGATTTTAAGTGTTCTCACCACACACACAGAAATATGTGAGGTAAAGTCAGGTGCAGTGGCTCACACCTGTTAATCCCAGCACTTTGGGAGGCCAAGGCAGGTAGATCATCTGAGGTCAGGAGTTCAAGACCAATCTGACCAACATGATGAAACCCCATCTCTACTAAATACAAAAAATTAGCCGAGCGTGGTGGCACATGCCTGTAATCCCAGCTAGTTGGGAGGCTGAAGTAGGAGAATAACTTGAACCCAGAAGGCAGAGATTGCAGTGAGCCAAGATTGCACCATTGCACTCCAGCCTGGGCAACAAGAGCGAAACTCCCTCTGGGAAAAAATATATATGTAAGGTAATACATACGTTAATTAGCTTGATTTAGCCATCCCACGGCAAATACATATTTCATAACATCATGTTATACATCATAAATGCATATAATTTTTGTTGATTAAAAAATGAATAAAATAAATTGAAAAAATAAAAATTAAATATTTTTTAAAGTTTTAATACAATCTGCTAAATTATCCTCCAAAATTATTTTACAATTTATACCAACTTATTTCCTTGTTTGGAAACTCAGGAAAACTCCACAGAAATCAGAGCCTCGAGGATTTACATTTGAGGAAGTGCACTTTTTTTTTTTTTTTTTTTTTGAGGCAGAGTCTTGCTCTGTCATCCAGGCTGAAGTGCAGTGGCTCACTGCAACCTCCGCAGGTTCAAGTGATTCTCCTGCCTCAGCCTCCCAAGTAGGTAGGATTATATAGGCACGCACCGCCATGCATGGCTAATTTTTTTTTTCTTTTTTCTTTTTAGTAGAAACAGGGTTTCACCACGTTGGCCAGGCTGGTCTTGAACTTCTGACCTCAAGTGATCTTCCTGTCTTGGCCTCCCTAAATGCTGGGATTACAGGCATGAGCCACTGCGCCTGGCCAGGAAGTGCATATTTTTAAGGAGCCTATTTTTTGTAGGAACTACCAAAAGACTGCATGAACAAGCCTCTAATCTGTTAATTCCCCACAGTAATCATATTTCACCTTCTTTCCAGGTCCATGGACAGAAAGCTGCTTGGGAGGACCCAGTGGAATGGGTCCGGGACACACTTCCCTGGCCATCAGCCCAACAAGACCAATCAAAGCTGTACCACCTGCCCCCACCCACCGTGGGCCCTCACAGCATTGCCTCACCTCCCGAGGATAGGACAGTCAAAGACAGCACCCCAAGTTCTCTGGACTCAGATCCTCTGGTGAGTAGAAGCCATTCTAGAGTAAAAATAAGACTATTATAGAACTGAATTATTGACCAGCAGGGTGGCTCACACCTGTAATCCCAGCACTTTGAGAGGCTGAGGTGGGAGGATTGTTTGAGTTCAAAACCAGCCTGGGCAACATAATGAGACCCTGTCTGTATTTCAAAAAAGAAAAAAATAAGTTAAAAAAAAACCCTGAATTCTTCACACTTTTCATACATACACTGATGGGGGCCTGGAGAGTAAAGAGTGAGCACTAGCAAAGCCAGGACCAGGCTAAGGCCAGTGAGGAGCTCTAAATATCAGAATCTGGGGTTATAAAGATCATATGCCTGAGACCTGGCTTAAGCTAAATAATAGTGCATCCCAGCAAGATGTATTCTAGCAAAGACCCAAGTCTCAGGTAGATCTCATGATGTAGGAATATCAACCAAAGAAGTAGAGCAGTAGGGCACACTAGCACTCTCTCTACTTCTGCTTCTCCTCTGACGCTATCCTGAAGACTACTTCAGCTAAATGAGTTCATGGAACTCCTGTAGAAAGCAGGCTAAGCCAAGTACAAACTGGGGGAATATCTGCAATGCCTGTAGCCAGAAAAAGACTGGTATCTAAAATATCTAAAATTTCCAAACAGAAGAATGGATAAAAGATATAAACAGCTGGGCACAGTGGCTCACACCTGTAATTCCAGCAGTTTGGGAGGCTGAGACAGGAGGAGGATGGCTTGAGGCCAGGAGTGCAAGACCAACCTGGGCAACATACTGAGACCCCATCTCTAGAAAAACAAAAAAATTAGCTGGGTGTGATGGCACATGCCTACAGTCACAACTACTCAGGAGGCTGAGGTGGGAGATTGCTTGAGCCTGGGAAGTTGAGGCTACAGTGAGCCGTGATTACACCACTGCACTCCAGCCCAGGTGACAAAGCAAGACCCCATCTCTTAGGAGAAAGATATGAAGGCCAGGCGTGGTGGCTCACACCTGTAATCCAAGCACTTTGAGAGGCCAAGGCGGGCGGATCATGAGGTCAAGAGATTGAGACCATCCTGGCCAACATGGTGAAACCCCGTCTCTACTAAAAATACAAAAAATTAGCCAGGCGTGGTGGCAGGCACCTGTAGTCCCAGCTACTTGGGAGGCTGAGGAAGGAGAATCACTTGGACCCGGGAGGTGGAGCTTGCAGTGAGCCGAGATCACGCCACTGCACACTCCAGCCTGGCGACAGAGCGAGACTCCCTCTCAAAAAAAAAAAAAAAAGATATGAGTAGACATTTGGCTAGAGCAAATGCAAATGGCCAATAAAAACATAAAAGGATCCTCTGCCTCTCCAATAATTGAGGAAATGCAAATTAAAACAAGAGATACCACTTCACATTGGCAAAAGTAGTATGTATGGAAGCATAGACTTTTATACTCCGCTGGTGGGAGTGGTTGTTGATAAAACCATTTTGGAAGATAATTTGGCAGATTATATTAAAACTTAACATGCGCAAATCCTGTGACCTTACAATTCTATCTTTCCCATAGGAAATTCTTCCAATAATCATAATACATTTTTATTAAAATTTTGACTTTGTTAAAAACAGATGCTATCTGTATAAAAATGCTTTTAAATTGGAAGCTTATTAATAATCACGTAGACAGAAGAGAATTGTGGAGAGCAGATTCAACAGAAAATGCACCAGGCTTACTTAGCTGAAATGGAAGTACCAATCTTGACGTGTCCAGAGAAAAAAGTAAGTAAAGAGAAGGAAGTGAGTACATAGAGGTATTTAGACTTGACATGAAGCAACACGGTTGGTAAGCTGGAGAGAAATAGGTTCATAATAATACAGTGTCTAGCTGCTGGTTTATACTCTATTGGAAGGGGAAATTGTTATTTTATAGCATTTCTCACATTCCTCCCAGTATTCGTTGGTATGTTCAGGCCTTCCCTCCTCTCCTGGAGTGCAAGCACCCTGCAGGCAGAAGTGGTCTCATTCTTTTTTGGTATTCCTCCATAAATGGTACCTTGTCCCTTGTATAGCAGGCATACTCCCAAGTAATTGTTGTACATACACATGTGTCACAGTTATCATTGAAGAAATCCTCATTGCCTTTTCACAAACCACTCTAAACTCTGAGCTCTTCATCACTGAGAAACCAAGGATCAGACCCATGATCTAGATTTTTTTTTTTTTTTTTTTGGAGACAGAGTCTTGCTCTTTCATCCAGGCTGGAATGCAGTGATGATATCAAAGCTCACTGCTGCCTCAAACTCCTAGGCTCATAGGCTCGAGTCATCCTCCCACTTGGGCTTTGGCATCCTGAGTAGCTGGGACTGTAGTTGTGTGCCACCACGCCTGGCCAGTTTTTTATTGTTTTATTTTTATTTTTTGGTAGAGTCAGGGTCTCTCTTTGTTTTCAAAGCTGATTGCAAACTCCTGGCTTCAAGCTATCCTTCCACCTTGGCCTCCCAAAGTGTTGGGATTTTGTTGTTGTTGTTTCCCTTCTGTGGGCAGGACCCAGAGTCCCAACTCTCATAAATCCATCTTTTTGCCCCCCTTTAGATGGCCATGCTGCTGAAACTTCAAGAAGCTGCCAACTACATTGAGTCTCCAGATCGAGAAACCATCCTGGACCCCAACCTTCAGGCAACACTTTAAGGGTTCGGCAATCACTGTCACCCCCGGACAGCAGAACGCTGGCATCAGCTATCTTAGCTCCTCCTCTCCCCTCTCCTCTTTCAGAGCACTGGCTCTCCAGCCCCAGGAGGAGAACAGGAGGGAGGAGGAGATGAAAGAGGAGGGACAGGTTCTTGGTGCTGTACCTTTGAGAACTTCCTAGGAAGGAATGGTGGGGTGGCGTTTGGGAACTTGTGCCCCCTAAACACATTTACTGGCCTCCTCTAATGACTTTGGGGAAAAGATGATTCTGGGTCTTTCCCTTGACTTCTTGTTTCAATTACAAACTCCTGGGCTTTCTGGGGAGGGGTTCAGAAAACATCAAAACACTGCAGCAGTTCCTAAATGATTCTCACAAGCAACCCTGAGAGAGACAGTCTTGTGAGGGAGATCTGGGGGAGGCAGGAAGCTCCTCAGATTTTCTCACAGACCCTTCCCAATTCCATCACCACTGCCAACAACTCCTCCCCCAGAGATCTGGCTGGAGCCCAGAAAAAGAAGCATGTGGTTTAAAAAATGTTTAAATCAATCTGTAAAAGGTAAAAATGAAAAACAAAAACAAGCAAACAAACAAAAAACAATGGAAAAGATGAAGCTGGAGAGAGAGGAACCAGTTGCCAAGGTAGAGAGCTGCCCGCTCCTGCCCTCTGGATGACATAGGGGACATCAACAAGACGGCTGCCAACCTGAGAAGTCACCAAACCACAAAAATAACCTTACAGCCTTCAGGGAAAGACTACCAGCTCTGTCTTTCTACCCTCTAATTTAACAATGCATAAGAGTCAATAAACCCTACTTTTTTATTTTTGGTTTTTATTTTGTTTTCATTTTTTTCTCCCATTTGCCTATTTATTTTTTTGTTTCCCTTTTTTTTTTCTTTTTCCGTTTTTCCATTTCCTCACATGTCCACGAGATGCTTGGGTTGCTTTTCCAGGGGCTAGTTTGGCTTTTCCAAGTGGGTTTTCTTTGGAGAATCTGATGCCATGCAATTGGCATGACACCTGCCATGCCACTATCTTTGGCATCCATGGGGCTTATATGAGACATGAAGCATTGGCTCAGAAGTAGAGGGAGAAGAGGAACCCAGTTCCCTTGACTTCCCTTTTGAGAGCACACGTTCTGCTGGGTAGCTCAATTGCCAGCCTCTGTCATGAGAAGGTATAGCCCCATCTTGATAGAAGAGTTACTCCGAGCTTTATCATGGACCAGAGGAAAACCAGAAAACTGAAAACATTCCTCTGTCTTGTGGCCAGTTTGGCCTTTCACTGCACTATTCTGATGGTGCCTGACTGAATCCAAATATCCTAGCTGGCTCTTACTATTTTTCACAAATGAGTATTCACATATAAGAGATGAACATCCATGTGAGATCATCCCAATCAGAATATAAGACTCAAGGAGTTTGACTTGGTGGCCAATACCTGCCTTCCAAAGAGATCCTACCTTTGCAGATTTGCTCCTTTCCCATTGCCTTGAAGGTCTGGCAATCCCTGTTCTTTCATTTGACAAGTACTTACTGAGTACTCACTATATACAAATCATTAGGTTAAAACAGACACACACACACACACACACACACACACACACACACACACACACACAAGACCTGGGCCCTTAAGTTTACAGTCCAGCAGGAAATGTTAACCTCCATTCAGCTACGCCCCCTTGTTATCTAGACCTTCGGGATCATCTAAGAAATGTAGCTGAAACCCAAGGAGCCAGCTAGAAAGAAGCTTTTGATTAGATGTACAATACATTGGGGGCAGAAGATCTGGGATCAATTAAGATGGAGCCTGAAGGACTATGGAATCTTGCTTGTCAGGAATGGGCAAGTCTACTTCCTGCCATTTCTGAAAGCCCCGCGGGACCAGCTTCTAGGCTGAGCTGCCTAGTAGGCTGAAGCTTCAGGACTCTGCAGGTCAAGGATATGTGATGAGCACCGGCCTAAGTGTTTGCTCTTCAGATTCCTAAGTAGCACAAGACTTTATCAGAATCTATAGGCATACCAACCTGGATCACTCTTCCACCCAACCGAGGAGTAGATGCATCTGAATCTTCATATCGGTATATTAAGTCCAAAAGATGGTCCGGGCTGCCCCTCACAAAAGCTTCTGCATCCACGTGGTAAGCTCCCATGGATGACAGGGTTCTGTATGATGGAGACTATTATTGCTATTGCTGCTAATTCCATGAGCTGTGAAGATCCCTAACCAACTCAGCTGTAACATATGCAATTCTGTGGTGGGAAGAGGCTGTGTGTCCAAGGATGGTGCTGAAATCACTGCCTTAAGGTCTCTGCTGTGCAGAATGAGGAGGCCCCCGAGCTGGCTGTTCTAACTTAGAAGGAAGAGAAGACTGGATGGGCCTGCTTGGGATCTAGGCCTCTTCTAAACCCTATCCTAAGCTCCAGTTCCATGGCAAGGCTCAGACTTTTAATGCCATCTTAATCTGATGGTTGAGCGCTTCACTCTATTTTCTGGTGCTGCCCAGCCAGTGCCTTCTGCCATGGATGTTACTGGCTACTTGAGAAAAAGGAGAGGGGAGAACCCCTTCTTTCATTCCAACTGCCTCCGACCCCAAAGGGATTCTTGGCTCTCTGGTAACCATGGATACCACCATGAATTTTATTTGGATCCTCAGCAGGTTGATTCTGGAGGCCTCATGCTATGACTTTTTATTTCTCTTCCTGGGATCCACCACCCTCTACTCTCAGCTGACTGCTGCATTTAGGCCAGGTCTCCAATTGCTTTCCTCCAGAAAGTGTGTTCCCGTCTAGTGAGGTAGTATTGAAGCCTCGGCTTTCCCTCTGGAGCCTGGGACCCTGTTTACAGTTGCACATCTGGGCCCCTCACTGTGGGGATTGATCATTCTCATGAAGGAATCACAGTTATATGGCAACTGCAGAAGGCTGAGCCTCCTCATGGTGCTATAACCCCTTGGGACACTCATCCAGACTTCTCTGAAGCAGAAAACCTGAGCTCCCCACTCACTGCCCTAGAATTTATGGCAAGGAGCAAATCTACAGCATTCTCTCCCACCTACGTCCTGCTTCTTGGTTGAGACTACTGGGATCCTTCAGAAAAGAAACACTGGGTCCCATAGCTAAATTCTCAACCGCCAGGCACCTTCAGAAGAATCCAGCCTAATACTGGAATTTGTGCTATTATCTTCCTCTCCAGCCCCCCAACTCCATCCCTCACCACAGTTGTCTAGGAAATGACATGAATTCAATATCTAATGTCAACCAATGGGGAGAGCCACAACTCCAGGAGAGGTTCCTGAGCTGAGTCCCTTAATTTCTGGATGAAGAAGACCAACAAGTTTTGTCCAATGTATTTGTTTCTCAGACCTTGCCTAGGCACTAAAAATAAAATACTAGGTCATTGGAGGCTAATGTGGGACCTGATGTCTGCGTGTGTGTGTGTGTGTGTGTGTGTGTGTGTCTCCCTCTCTCACACACACAAGAGCAGTTTGCTGTTGCTGTTTCCTACCTTCTGAGGCTTCAAAGTATTTTTTAAAATCTATGCTTTGTGGCAGCTCTACGGTGCTTATCTCTGTCTTTGTGTCAATCCTTAAGTACCCATGTCTTTTTCATGTCTAACCATTGGGAAGGTAGAGGCTGGCAGGGAAGACAAATCTGCTACAAGTCCATGGGAAGACCCTACAATGAAATGTTCATTGGTTGGTATACTGTTTTAGTCTTGAATTGCCAACTTTCCAACTGATCTATCCATATTCCTTAAGTACTAAAGACAAAATAGAGGGCTTCTTTTTCTCTCTTAATGTCTTGCCTTCTGGTTTTCCTGGTTTGCAAGACTAAGTGTACCTAATCTCACCATCTCTTCACTTCTAGCTCTCTGAAACAAGGGTCACACTACTCAGAGGGATAACCCCTTACAGTGGTCTGAGGAGTAACTATTTCCTAAAGTATTCTAAAAGAGTAGGAAGAGAGAAATGGTAGCCTGCTGCTTCTCACAGACACCTCACATCCTCACTTGGGATGGCATCCACATAGAAACCCTGCATTTAGGTAAAATT
Organism: Homo sapiens; assembly: GCF_000001405.40. Taxonomy (NCBI): domain Eukaryota; kingdom Metazoa; phylum Chordata; class Mammalia; order Primates; family Hominidae; genus Homo; species Homo sapiens. The sequence continues at coordinate 201,823,989 of NC_000001.11, forward strand.
TGCCTGACTGAAGGGGACTCAGTCCTCCAAATCAAGGTCAAGAAGATATCTGCATGAGACCTTAAGAACTCTTTATTGCCATTATTTGGAGAGGGCGGGGGAATTGTCCTAATCACACATTTAACACAGGGAATAAGTGCTGAAGTGACCCAGATCACCAAGCGCAGTTCCTCATCATACTTTATTTTTGCTTTCCTTATTCCTTGGCACTGACTAAGCTAAAGTTAAGAAGCCGACTTCATAAGCCAACCCCTGTGATGGGATGGAAAAATGGGCTTTTGCAGAGGGTTTATTAATAGAGATGGATATACTACTCACAAGTTCTGGCTCATGGCTCCACTGAGAAGGCCATAGTAATAAAATGATCTTATGAACACTGTTCCCCAAAGGCCAAAGCCTGAAGATATTGCCCCTTATAATCCAATCAGCCTTATATTTTAATAAGTCCTGAATCAACCTGACTACGGATATATGGGGCCACCAGGGTGCATGGGTGCATGTCTGCTCAGCCTAGCCCTGGAAGTGAGCACTGCCGGCCACAGATCCTGGGAAAGGTGGTAGTAACCCAGAAGATGTAGCCTTGAAGGGAGGATACCTATCAAAATGCCAAAGCTGCAGGGACACGAAGACGGTTGAAAATTCAACCTGTGTATACTAGATCCTTCCAGTTTGATGGTTTGGTCATTCTTCTTCATGATTATACCATGGAGAATTTTCTGTGACAAGGGTGGTCATGGAAGTAAGTGAGTGATCCCCTGGTTTCTCATTCCTTAAAGCAGTGGTTCGCAAAGTATGGCACAAGACCAGCAGCATCAGCAGCCTTTGGGAACTTGTTAGAAACGAAAATTCTCAATCCCATCCCAGATCTGCTGAATCAGAAACTCTAATGAGAGGACCCGGCAATCCACGTTTTAATAAGCCCTCCTGGTGATTCTGATGCACACTAAATTCAACTGTTTTAAAGGGAAAGCCCTTTATAGTATTGGAGTTCCCACACTGAGAGGCTTTGGGGCCCAAAATAAGAAGGTTCTAGGTTGTCATTCAGACTTTAACATTAATTTCAAAGTCACCTTTCTCATGCTTCCTTGTGTTTCTGTTTTTCCATTTATGATTTTAACAAAGAAAGGTATGTGTGCTTTTGGGTGGAAGTTAGGAGAATGTTTGTGTCTTTCCTAGTTGAATACAACCTTCAGAGAAAAACCTTATGCCTTGGAAATTACTACCTGGCACACAAAGGGGCTTCAACAAGGAAAAGCAGTTGGAGGTCTCTTCCAGATTGCTCTTCTGCCGAATTATTTGTATCTATTCCGAGCTGATTATGTAATAGGATGGAAAAAGTAAAAAAAAAAAAAAAAATCTAATTTGTATTTCCATGACAACGTGTTCTCCCAGCAACATCCCTCTCCTTTATTTGAGTTATAAAGGGCACTGCTGGGCCTGAGAACCAGGCCAGAACCTCCTTCTGTATGGCAGCTAACAGTGTAGGGCTCCAGTATCCCAGGAAGGCCCCTTATCCACACTCCACTCAGCTCATAGGAGAGTCTTGCATAATGAAGACACAGACCTGGGCACTTCAGTCCTTGTGCTCCTCCTCTCTTTTCCCCACAGCAGGACCTGGATACAGAAGTACTCAGCCAAGGTGACAGAATAAAATCCTTTTTTTGTTGTTTTCTGTTTGTTTGTTTGTTTTGGAGAAGGAGTCTCGCTTTGTCACCCAGGCTGGTGTGCAGTGGCACGATCTCGGCTCACTGCAACCTCCGCCTCCCAGGTTCAAGCGATTCTCCTGTCTCAGCCTCCTGAGTAGCTGGGATTACAGACGTGCGCCATCACGCCCAGCTAATTTTTGTATTTTTAGTAGATACGGAGTTTTGCCTTGTTGGCCAGGCTGTGCTGGAGCTCCTGACCTCAGGTGATTCACCTGCCACAGCCTCCCAAAGTGCTGGGATTACAGGCGTGAGCCACAGCACCCTGCCAAATAAGATCCTTTTTAAAAAATATCTGAAAAAAGCTTCATATCTTTACAAACTCATAAAATAGCTGATTGGGCCATGGAGGAGATGAGGCTGTTTAGAACTGGTTTTGTTTCAAGTTTGTCAATTTTCCCTGTATGAGAACTTGGGTAAAGCACAAAGAAACATACAGTGCTAGTAACAGGTCTCCTGCGCCCTGGAACTAAGTGTTTGGAGGAAGGACTAAACCCCGGGGGAGGTGAGTATAAAATAATTCCACTAAGATCACCTCCTCAGTCCCCAGAAGGCTGATGGTGGATCCTCTGGCCATCTCCTGTGGGGTCTTACTGCTCCTCTGCCATTTCTCTATGCCTGAAGACACGAAGATGATATCAAGGCAGAGCTACCATATCGCAGCCAGTCTCTAGGCTACTGCTGTGCAGTGGCTCCCACTTTCTAATGCTTTTTTGTTTTTGCTTTTTCTAACAAAACAATCTTTTTTCAAAATGAATTCCAACCCCTGCTAGCTTCCTTCCCCGCCTCCATACTGTTTTAGGCAGCACCGTTTATGTGACAGAGTCCGTGTTTCTCAAATGCATGGTGTTCCTCAGGTGGAGAGTGGGCAGAAGTTTTTGCAACACTTTTTTTTTAAGTTATTGGGTGCAAAATCCCAAACCAGGATATGTGTATGTCTGTGTGTTTATGTTTTTTATTTGACCCTCCCCTCTTTCAACCTACCCCCTTTTATATCTAATGTAGAAAAAGCGAAATTGAATCTGGAAAGCAAACTGTTGTATATAGTTGCGGTAACAATCATGAAGAGAGAGCCGGGCTGTCCCCTCAGTAATTCATTTTAAATAACAAATTATTTAAAAATAAAATTCATGCCAGAGCCAGCTGAAGAGGCCTTCCTTCATCACCACTGAGGCCACCCCCAATCTGGGCCCTCTGTCCATCTGGCATGTCTCCTCCCAGCAAGATTCATCTGTTCAATGCCATTTGCGTTTCAATAAAGTTATCTCCTGTACTGTCCACTGGTTCTCTAGCTCCCTCTCTGCCTGGTTTCTGTCTCCATTTATCTTGTGGCCCATTCCTTGATTGGCAAGGCCAGACTGCTTGTGGTCATTTGCCTAACCCAGAAGTAACCTGAAACCCTAAGCTAGAGTCTCCTGACTCCCATGGTTGGGGGTGGGAGGAACCCCTGCTCGCACATTATGGACATAGAATCCTTCACCGGATCTCAAAACATCCAGCCCAAACATCAAGGCTCCGGAGTCCTCCATCTGGGTTGCTGCAGTGTTTGAAAACATACCACCCTCTTGACTTTGCTAAATTTTCTTCTTGGGGTAAAAGTGAACTGACCTATTAGAAGCTGTTGTAATCAAGTTCAACTTCTTTTGGCCACTTCAAGAAAGTAAATAGGCTTACTATTCCCCATTGCAAAATTGAAGGGTCCAAGAAGCAATCTTTTCCCTATGAAATTGTAGTAACATAACTCATCTCTGCCCTCTTAACATGGGAGGTGACAAGTGTGTTGAGAACTCTCTTCAAGCCAGTTGCAGTGGGTGTACCTGTAGTTCTAGCTACTCTGGATGCTGAGGTGGGAGGATCACCTGTCCAGCCTGGGCAACATAGCAAGACCCCCCCAACTCAAAAATAAATAATTGAGAAAGCTTTCTTTTGAAGTAATCTTCTGATGAGATGACTTAATCCCTGATTGTTACCAGTCCAGCATCCACAGTCTTGGAAGTGACCTAGGATTTGGTAACTCGTTTCCTTTGCCATGTGAGAATGAACTCACTTGATAAGGGTTCCTGGGAACCATTTTGAAGGCACATAACCTGAACAGCTCACTAAAAAATACCTGTTTCTGTTTGCTCTAGAACCTCCCATTCCAACAACATTCTATCCTTTCTGCCACTACATGCTTGCCACTCTGCCCTGCATTTTTTTTAATTTTTATTTTTTTTTATAGACAGAGTCTGTATATCTTGCCCAGACTGGAATGCAGTAGCTATTCATAGGTGTGATGACAGCACACTACAGCCTGGAACTCCTGGGCTCAAGTGATCCTCCTGCCTTGGCTTACATCTTGCTTTTTCTTCTTTTTCTGAGACAAGATGTCACTCTGTCGCCCAGGCTGGAGTGCAATGGCGCAATCACTGCTCACTGCAGCCTCCTCCTCCTGGGCTCAAGTGATCTTCCCACCTCCACCTCCCGAACAGCCGGGACTACAGGGCGTACGCCACCACGCCTGGGCAATTTTTGTATTTTTTTGTAGAGACGAAGTCTCGCTATGTTGCCCAGGCTGTTCTCGAAATCCTGGGCTCAAGCGATCCTCCTGCCTCGGCCTCCCAAAGTGCTAGGATTAGAGGCGTGAGCCACTGCGCCTCGCCACACCCTGCATTTTTAACACCTCACTGGAGCGCTCATCCTCTCCACCTGCTCCGCTATTCAGGAGCGGCTCTGCACCGTAGGCCATTTCCCACGACCAGCTGCTGACAACCATATCATCAAACTGCTCTTGTTCTCGCACCCCTTAAATGTCCAGCCATAATTTCTCAGGGAAAAAAATTTATACATTTTCAACAAATAGGATTCATTCTCAAATAGTCACATACAACACTCACTCTGGAAGAAACTCCCTTTCACATGCCGGTGTCTCCCCTGCCCAGCCACTTCCCAGCTTTGAGGTTGGGCTCATCTAGGCTGGAAAACCAAGGGACTGGGCCGTGGTTTTCCCACTTCCACTTCCCAGTTTGCTTTAGTTTATTTTCCCCCCTCTTTGGATTCCTGAGGCTAAGATGAAGAGAGTCACTTGAGCCAACTTTTTTTCAGTGTTTGGGGGGAAAAGAATGTGGTTTAAAATAGGGGCTATTTGTGACCCAGACCTCTCTCCTTAAAGCCCTCTACATCTATTCCCATCCCGCCTCCTCTCTCCTAACACCTGAAAGATGCATGAATATAAAGTCATATATCATGAACTTTATTCCAAATGAGATTGCTAACTTACTGTGCAACTTTAGGAAAGCCCCTTAACCTGTCTGGGGCTCAGTTTTCACACAAATCCAGAGATCCTTGCAGAGAAAGGTGCAGTTCTCGTTCAGGCAGCAGGAGGCGCTGTCTCTGGAGGCTTAGATTCATTCCCCGCCCTCCGCCCGCTCCCGCCCGCCTCTGGTGCGCAGGCGCGGCTTCGCGGATTGGCCGCGCGCGGGGGCCGTCATTCGGTGGCGGGTCCCGGCCGCGGGGCTGGCGGGCTGAGGGGAGAAAAGATGGCGGCGGCGGCGGCAGCTGGTGCGGCCTCCGGGCTGCCGGGTCCAGTGGCACAAGGATTAAAGGAAGCGTTAGTGGATACGCTCACCGGGATCCTATCCCCAGTACAGGAGGTGCGGGCGGCTGCTGAAGAACAGATTAAGGTGCTGGAGGTGACGGAGGGTGAGTGAGGCGGGACCGTCACGAGGATGGCTCAGCCGCACAATCCGCTGACCGCAGCTCCGTACCGGCTGGGGACATGGGGAGCCTGAGCCAGTTGGAGATGTGGGCGCCGAGAAGTGGAGCAGGAAGCGAGAGATTGATGTCGCTGGTGGTTGTGAAAGTCCGAGAGAGGAGAGGCGCGCCTGAAGGATAGGGTCGGGGGAGGTGGAGCCTGGGAGTGGGGGAGGGAGGGTGGAGACTTGAAAAGATAGATGGAGCCTAGAATCTGCAGGGGACGGAGATGGAGCTAGACTTGGTGCTGTTGGAGGAAGTAGCGCGGTCGGGGAAATATTTTTTGAGTCCAGGACCAAAGTCTTTCGCTGTTCTCTTCACCAGCTGGATTGTACTGGGATAAGAGTAGGGGGAGCTATTAGTAGGAGTGGTGAAGGGTAGGGCCTCGAAAAGGCGGCTATCAAAGCTTAATAGATGTCATCAAACAAGTTTCTGCCTCTGAGTTATAAACCTAGCTAGTTGTTTGTACTCTTCGTGTTTTCCCAGAAATTAAATGCATATGCGATTGCTTCACTGTCCTGACCATACTTAACGTTTATTTTAAAAATAATTTGCCCTTATTAAATACCTTTGTGCATTTCTGTTTGGAGGAACTGATCATCCTTTGTTTTTGATTCTTTGTCTCCGTCCTCTATTGTGTGCTTTAAAGTGATGGAGAAGAAAATAAACCATTGGTTCGAGATTTTCTATCAATTTCCTGCCGCGTGAGCCTTTCACCGGGTCCAGTGTAGCTACCACAAAGAACAATTTAATCCAGAAACAGGAGGAGAAATCTTCTTGGTCTTTGTGTAAGAAATATATCTGGTCAGAGCTTCACTGGAACTCCAAATCCTCAGAATCTCCCAACTCAGGAATATTTCCACCACCACTTAAATACTTCATCAGAGATATGGGAAATTGTCCCATCACACACCCATCATATTCAAAACCTTCAGTTAGCTCTCCTACTGGACGTATTTCTATTGAAAAGAATTTAGAACAAATCTCTCTTAAATTTAGTTTACATTCTTTCACAGTATGAAAGAGCTGTTGAAAACAAATTTTCTTCTGTTGGAAATATGTTAAGATTTGGGATCTAACAGGCTAAGGACCATTTTGAAGGCCCACTTGTAATTGTCATTGTTTTATAAAATATCAGATCTATACAGGAGAAACCACTGGTTAGGAGAAAGCTGTTTGAGAACCATGTATAAACTAATCTAAAGGAATTTTTAGCGGCTTCTAAATAAAATTCGTTTATGCACATTAATGTCTGTCCCCCTTGAGTATGAGGAAGGAAGAGTGACAAAGCAAAGGAACCTCATCACATTCAAGTTGTCACCTGAATAAAACTTGAGAGTCTGGTGCAAATTCATCTTAACTAAACCTTCCCTGAGTGGTACCCAGTGCTCCTGGTGCTCCAAATGCATGTCTGGCACCTTTGTATGAAAGGTGGACCTTGACTTGTATTTAAACTGTCTTACAACAACTCCACTTTTGCTCTGATCTTTTCAACTTTAGCCAAATGCCATGGTCTCATCTGGGCAAAGTCAATTATAAAGTTCTCGAGGTCTTTTTTGAAACTCTGATTCCTCACTTTATTCATCTTTTTTTTCTTGAGACTGGGTCTCGCTCTATCGTGTAGACTTTGGAGCAGTGATGCCATCATGGCTCACTGCAGCCTCAAACTTTTGGACTCAAGCGATCCTCCCACCTAGGCCTCCCAAAGTGCTGGGATTACAGGCCTCAGCCACCACACCTGGCATCTTTTTGAGCCTTTAAGTGAAAAATTAAATTTCAGAAGTACAGAATTTTGATCTAAGTCACTGATGAGAAATAGATCGACTGCCCCCCGACCCCCATAACTTACTGGTAATGTGCTGTTGGGCAGACTATGAGAATGAAAAGTATGGAAAGGCATCGATGCAGTGACCTGATATTGGTGATCTAGTAATAGAGCATATGACTCAGGTTTTGGATTTGGTTAGAGGGTTGGATCAGTCTCTGGAGTTTAGTGCAATGCTTCGGACCCTTTGGAGGCTGCTTGTGTCTTTTAAGTAGTCTGGCTCCTTAATGTCTATCAAAAAAACTATAGAGATTTACCCCCTTCTGTACCTGTTTTAAGGTGGAGAATGGCGGTCCATTCCCTCAGATGCGGTCTGCTTTCTTCCTCTTGTGGCCTTTAACAAGTTATCTTTGACATTGGGTTCAGAGTACCTCCCACCTTAAACTCTGTCTGAATCTCTCAGATGTTTTCTGAACATGGTGCAATATAGTAGCTGCTTCTTTACCAGCCTCAACCCTTCTTTACATGAAAACATAGAACCCAGCTTTCCAGCCGGGATTTAGCCAACTATCTGGCCTGATGAAACTGGCAGGACATGGTTCCTCCTATTAGAATGCCCTACAGAGCAAGATGAGCCATTCTTGCAAACTACTTTCCACTTCTTTGGTGTTGCTTCACATTTTAGTGTTTTTTGCTTTTGTTGTTGTTGTTGTTGTTGTTGTTGTTGTTTTGAGACAGAGTCTCAGTCTGTCGCCCAGGCTGGAGTGCAGTGGTGCGATCTCGGCTCACTGCAACCTCCGCCTCCTGGGTTCAAGCAATTCTCCTGCCTCAGCCTCCCGAGTAGCTGGGATTACAGGCACCTGCCACCATGCCTGGCTAATTTTTGTATTTTTAGTAGAGACGAGGTTTCACCATGTTGGCCAGGTTGTCTCGAACTCCTGACCTCAGGTGATCCACCCGCCTCGGCCTCCCAAAGTGCTGGGATTACAGCCGTGAGCCACTGCACCCAGCCCACATTTTAGTTTTACCCTGGTAGAAGGAACCTTGTTTTCTGATTCTAGGAAACACTTTTTTTTTTTTTGAGACCGAGTCTCACTCTGTGGTCCAGGGCCCAGGCTGGAGTGCAGTGGCATGATCTCAGCTCACTGCAACCTCCACCTCCCAGGTTCAAGCAATTCTCGTGCCTCAGCCTCCCAAGTAGTTGGGATTACAGGCATGCACCACCATGCCTGGCTAATTTTTGTATTTTTAGCAGAGGCGGAGTTTAGCCATGTTGCCCAGGCTGATCTTGAACTCCTGAGCTCAAGCAGTCTGCCCACCTCAGCCTCCCAAAATGCTGAGATTACAGGCATGAGCCAACCGGCCAGGCCGGAAACACTCTTAAAACTTGAAGTTAATGAGAAATCTGGGATTTGGTGTCTATTATTATTTGTGTTCTGGTAATCTTTTGATCATTTTTTGGTTCCATGGGGCCCAGGATCAGGTGACAACCAGATCTAGTCCTCCCTCTGTCCTCTCAAATAACCACACTGTCTTTGTGAGCTGTTTATTAGTCCATCACATAGGAGACTGATCCCACATGGTCTTTAAGATTAACTGGTCCGTTCCCTTTGCCAAAAACATTTGTTACCTTCCTTGGCTACCAGGTGATGATCCCTTGTCTTGAAGATTAAATGGAAGAATATCTAATTTATGGGGAAAGGACACAGGTCAATTGTCAACTCCCTGTTAAAAGGACAGGCAAGAGAAGTTGACATGCTGTGACCAAATTGTACTATAGATGAGATTTTAAGAAGCAGTTATCTTAGAAAATAAAGATTGCTGGAGCCTAGAGTAGTCCTGATCATTTAGTGTACCAGCTGATATTTTCTGATAAATAAATAAATTGCCTATAATTAATTATCACATTTTCCAGAATGGGCACCTGTTCTCTTAAGCCAAGGAAGTGTGTGTATGTGAGAGATCCATTTGATTCATGTAGCGTGTCAATCTGAAAAGGATAAGATAGGTTACTTCATCAGCCTGGTGTCCTGGAATGATTTTTTTTTTTTTTTTAATTTTATTTTTTGAGACAGAGTCTCGCTCTGTCACCCAGGCTGGAGTGCATTGGCATGATCTCGGCTCACTGCAACATCCGCCTCCTAGATTCAAGTGATTCTCATGCCTAGGCCTCCCAAGTAGCTGGGATTACAGGCGCGTACCAACACGCCAGGCTAATTTTTGTATTTTTAGTAGAGATGGAGTTTCACCATGTTAGCCAGGCTGGTCTCGAACTCCTGACCTCAGGTGATCCACCCACCTTGCCCTCCCAAAGTGCTAGGATTACAGGCGTGAGCCACTGCGCCTGGCTGGAATGATTTTCTTGAGCCCCTGTGCTTGCTATTTTTGCTAGTCACTTGGAATCTGGAAGAAACCCAGCAAACCTCTCTGAATATTTAAAGTCTATTTAACAGGGCTAATTAGATAAGGAGATGATGCCAGTAACCACCTTCATCAGATAGCACTCCCATCCTGAATTGAGAAGAACATTGCTTGAAAGTTTGGAAGTTATTATGGTGTACAGTATTCTGCAGATAATTGTTAACCTTTCATTTTTCTTTCTTTCTTTTTTTTAAGATACAGAGTTTTGCTCTGTCACCCAGGCTAGAGTGCAGTGGTGTGATCATAGCTTACTGCAGCTTCTAACTCCTGGGCTTACGCAGTCCTCCCAACCTCAGCCTCCCAAGTGGCTGTGACTACAAGCACATGCCCATACTTGGCTGATTTTTTTAGTTTTTTTCTGGAGATGGGGTCTTGCTGTGTTGACCAGGCTGGCCTTGAACTCCTGCCCTCAAGTGATCCTCCTAAAGTGCTGAGATTATAGGCATGAGCAACCACACCTGGCCCCTTTCATTTTTCTTAGGAGGATTGAGATTTTGAGTTTGATCAGGTTTGTAGGAAATTTACTTCTACCTAAATAGGGTAAAAAAAATTTTTTTTAAGTTTTTTTATTCGTTAGAGTAAAAAAACTTTTCTTTTCTTTTTTTTTTTTGTTGCACTGCTAAGAGTCTAAAGCATGCTTTCTAATTCTGTTTTGTTTAATAGGCAGGTTCATATTAAGCACTTTACAAACATAGTAGTTAAAAAGACTGGAGAGGTTATGAACCACCGAAGATCTCTTACGTCAAAGTCTCATATTCTGTACTCAGCTTCATCAACTCTTTTTCTTTTGTTTTTGTCTGACTTACGGTGAGATCATGAGAATTACCATCTTTTGAGAATGTCAGCCTTTTATTTTTGGTGTATTCGTGCTTTATTTTTTTATATCTTAAAATGAAGTTCTTTCCCTCTTTTTCTACTTCTTTCTCTACTTTTCCTCTAAGAATGGCATTATCCAAGTGGTGGAATGGGTTGCTTTCATTCAGAAGCTTTAATTCTTCGTGCCAGCATGCACAGACTTTCTTACATAACTAGATTTAGACCCTAGGACATTTTCTTCTTTGCTTATTTCTTTTTTGCCTATTACAAATGATGACATTTCCCCTATCATTTGGCCTTGTCTAGTTCCCAGTAGATAAGTCACAGAGAATACATTTTTCTTCCCTTCTACCACCATTATGTTGAACAGGGGAGGGGGGAAATTATCTCTCCCTCACCTTTCCTGGCATTCAGATGCTGCCGAGATACCTGTATTGATTTCCCCATCTTAGATGCCTAGAGAGATGATCCTGCTGGCTGGAAGTTTGCTTTCTGGTTCTCATGGGCACTTTTCTGGCTCTTTTGCAGTATAGCGTAAGCACTGTCCACCTGCGAAGGGCGCCCCTCAAGGATCCAGACGCACTCCTGGGCATGTGGCGGGCACTGAGCCGAGCGGAAGGCGGCCACGCTCGGAAAAAGGCCAGTGGTGGAGTTTTCTTTTTCCTTTCAGCTGTGGTTTTGTGGTGCTTACCAACTCCCATGAGAAATAGGGGGCTTGTCCAGGGGGTCTACTCAAAACCGCATCCTTCTCCAACAATCCCTGTTCACAATTCTTATTAGTTGACTGTCAAAGTACTGCCAAGTCTTGTCTCTCTAGGAGACCCTTCAGACCAATAGCATGTATTTCTTAAGTGATCCTTTATCCTCCATGCTCTCCTTTGGGTTTTCCCTTCTAAACCAAGTTTTAGATAGATAATGTTTTTGCCATATGGGGTGATAAGAGAGAAAGGGGAGCAAGGATAACGAGAGGGAAGCAAAAGACTAAAAGAGAATGAGACTAGAGAATGAAAGAGGGCAGAGGATTTCTTAGGAAGTCAAAGGATGCCATTTTGGATAGGAATAAAGGTATAATTAAGGAGAATCTAGAGTCAGGGTGAAAACCCAGATTAACAGAATGAACTGTCCTTATTTCACCATGGGAAAGGGAACTAGAGAAATTAAATTTCCTAACAAAAATAGCTTTAGAAAACAACTTCATATAGCCCTCTTGGCAGTGTTGCCCTTTGGCTCAACTTCATAGATTGAATGTTAGTTTAATCTTAAACAGTCGTTTCCAAGCAAAGCAAAATAAAGCGGATATTTATGTCTGTGTTTCTTATATTTTCCCTGCCTTCATCATCCCAGAGTAAGTTATTAGGCTATTCTTTCTCATATTTTTAAAGACATTGTGTTAAAGACACCAGGCCGGGCACAGTGTGGCTCACTCCTGTAATCCCAGCACTTTGGGAGGCCGAGGAGGGCGGATCACAAGGTCAGGAGATCAAGACCATCCTGGCTAACATGGTGAAACCCCATCTCTACTAAAAATACAAAAAAATTAGCCAGGCGTGGTGGCGGGCGCCTGTAGTCCCAGCTATTCTGGAGGCTGAGGTAGGAGAATGGCCTGAACCCGGGAGGCAGAGCTTGCAGTGAGCCAAGATCACACCACTGCACTCCAGCCCTCCAGCCTGGGTGACAGAGCAAGACTCCATCTCAAAAAAAAAAAAAAAAAAAAAAAACAGACACCAATCAGTAAAACCAGAAGTCCCCCAACACACACACACGTACTTTTTTTTTAACAAATATACTTAGTTGTATTTCAAAAAATATTGTATCTCTGTTAAGTGAAAAATCTGTAAGTAGGGTTTTACTACGTAACAGAAACCAATGGATAGGAGCAAATGTGTTGATCAGATTTAAAATAAGGCCAAGAGCTTTAGAATTATTTTCTGGCTTTTCCTTCTTTGCATTAGTTTGTTTCTTAGTTTGTTTTTTAATTGAGACAAGGTCTTGCTCTGTCATCCAGGCTGGAGTGCAGTGGTGTGATCATAGCTCACTGCAGCCTCAAACTCCTGGGCTCAAGTGATCCTTCCATGTTAGCCTCCTTAGTAGCTGGGACTACAGGTGTGCATCACCACACCCAGCTAATTTTGCATCGGTTTTATAGCACGGAGTTTACCATCAACATCATACTCCTTGGAAACAATTATTTATATAGCTTTTAAGTAAACTAAAGTATTATGGGTATGACACTCTTAAATGGTGAGTGATATCCTTGTATTTCTAGTAGGTATGTGGTCTAGACAGAATAAATTGGGTTAAGTAAAAGAATTTTGTATTTTCCCTCTTTCATCCCCCTATAACCTAATGCAAATAAGCTCTTTGTCTTTGAATTTTTGAGGCTTTGAAACATGTGGTCATGTTGGACATGTGGTCATAATTTTTGAAACTGTAGGGGTCTGTAGAGAAGGAAATCTGTTCATCTATTTTATTTTAAAATTTGTCTTTAGTTAACAATGATGATGTTATTTGAAGATTTTCTTTGCCATTATATATCTGCTTTTGAGCAAATATATGTTACTTGAACTTTAATGCTGCTTCTTTCATGCGTGAAAGAAATTAGCTTTTAGAAGGAGTCCATCTTAAAATACTTGTTGTAGGTACAGATCCCTTGGCTAACTTGGGTTTTTGGCCCCTACGTTGGTCTTAATCTTCTGATGATCTCTTATTCTCACCATCCCTTCCAGTCTCAGTGATGTGTGAAGCAAGGTGGTTAGTGGAATTTTGTATATGATCTTTGATAGGTTACCAGACATGATTAACTTATTACTGTATTAGAGTGAAGAGCTTCTAGCTACTGTGATCATCACTGGAGTGCATCCTTCTGGCAGGGATATGGAAAAAATATATTCATGCTAAGCTTTTCTCTGAAGAGAAAAGACTTGGAATTCTCTGGTTGATGAGAAAGGACCCTTAAGCTGTGATAGGACCTATGTGTAAAGTTTGCCTGGTCTTCATGCTCTAATGACTCCTGTGATCAGTGCCAGAGTGAACTGATGGAAAATGTGTGGTTCTTTTTCCCTTTTGTGAGCTGTGAGCCTCAGTATTACCCTACAGCTATATGAATATCAGTGCTTTCATTGGAAGGACAGTTGTTCAGATTTGTTTAAGCTTAAAGTCTTAAGTTTCAAACCCTTCTCAAAAAGTCTCATTCCTCAGTATCTTTTCACACTGTATATTGAAGAATTTCTTCATTTTGATCTTGTTTTAGTTTGTCCCTGTAGTAATGATCCAAAAATTATGCTCTTGCTAGGAACATTAAAAGTCCAAATCATAATGACCTATGGAAAAATTATTTAAATCATGCCTTAAAAGAAAATACTAGGCCAGGCACGGGGGCTCATGCCTGTAATCCCAGCACTTTGGGAGGCTGAGGCGGGCGGATCACTTGAGGTTGGGAGTTTGAGACCAGCCTGACCAACATGGAGAAACCACATTTCTACTCAAACTACAAAATTAGCTGGGCGTGGTGGCACATGCCTGTAATCCCAGCCACTCGGGAGGCTGAGGCAGGAGGATCGCTTGAACCCGGGAGGTGGAGGTTGCGGTGAGCTGAGATTGCGCCATTGCACTCCAGTCTGGGCAACAAGAGTGCAACTCTGTCTCAAAAGAAAAAAAAAGGAAATGCTGTTATGTCCCAGATAATTTGTGAATGTGCTTGTAGATTATTGTGAAGGAAGTTACATAAGGCACACCAGAATTGGTTCACCATGTCCAGGGAGGCCAATCCTGGGTGGACAGTGACATTCTAAGCAGACTTGAAGCCATGAAGTCTAAGTATCATCCATTATCACACTAAGTATCTGAACTCAAAGGAATTGTGGATGCCCTTACTAGTTGTCTTTCTCCTTTAAATGGATTTCACATGTGCATTTTAGAGTGCTTTTTTCCATTGAACTGGAACATTGCTATCCAAGAGATGTTCCTGAATTATCTGACTCATCTGTGTTTTAGAATCAGTTCTGATAGTTGACTCCCATATCTTCGGGTTGTAGATACCTGTTGTTTCTTCTCTTGCTACAAATGGGTTTTATAGATTTAACCAGAGTCTGTACTAACCAAATTAATCCTAAGAATTAGAATGGATTGCAGTATCTGTAGGGGGATTGTGCAAGTTTCAAGTGTTTGCTTGTGATTTAATCATTTAATAACTCTTTCAGAAAGAATGTGGCTTCTTCTGTGGCGGTCATGCCAAAAAAAAAAATCCACTTTCCTGAGTGAAACAATAGGTGCCATAGGAGTGGATCAAAAACTGCAGCTTAAAGGCATAATAAGAATGAATTAAGAATCTAAGAATTCAGTAAAACAGGACATAAAATATAAAAATCAATAGCTTTCACATACACAAACCATAAAAGGTTAGAGGACGTAATGGTTTTTTAAAAACCAAAACCAATTTACAGTATCAACAAAAAAGTAAATGCTTAGGAAATGTGTAAGAACCTATTAGAGGAAACTTTTTTTTTTTTTTTTGAGATGGAGCCTTGCTGTGTCACCCAGGCTGGAGTGCAGTGGCATGATCTTGGCTCACTGCAACCTCCGCCTCCTGGATTCAAGCGATTCTCCTGCCTCAGCCTCCCAAGTAGCTGGGACTACAGGCGCCCGCCACCACGCCCGGCTAATTTTTGTATTTTTAGTAGAGATGGGGTTTCACCATGTTGGCCAAGCTGGTCTCGAACTCCTAACCTCAGGTGATCCACCTGCCTTGTCCTCCCAAAGTGTTGGGATTACAGGCGTGAGCCACTGCGCCCAGCCTAGAGGAAACTTTTTGAGACAAGATTTTGCTGTGTCACCCAGGCTGGAGTGCAGTGGCTCAGTCTCAGCTCACTGCAACATCTGCCTCCCAGGCCCAAGTGATTCTCGTGCCTCAGCCTCCCAAGTAGCTGGGACTTCAGTCACGCACCACCACGCCCAGCTGATTTTTGTATTTTTCGTAGAGACGGGGTTTCACCATGTTGCCCAGGCTGGTGCCTGTAGTCCCAACTACTCGGGAGGCTGAGGCAGGAGAATGGCGGGAACCTGGGAGGCGGAGCTTGCAGTGATCCGAGATCATGACACTGCACTCCAGCCTGGGCGACAGAGCAAGACTCCATCTCAAAAAAAAAAAAAAAAAAAAAAAAGTGCTGCTATGACTGTGTAGCCATTTGGAATTAGACCCATATCTCACACTAGATTTTTTAAAAATAAACTCTAAAATGATTAGGAGTCTAAACAGAAAAAATTAAATCATACAAGTACTAGAGGAAAACATGGGTGATTTTGTCTTTAAACTTGACATAGGGAAAGGGATTCTAAATATGACTCAAGATCCAGAGACAATAAAAGAAAATATTTTATTGATAAATTTGACTACATAAAATTTTTTTACAATTTACATGGGAAAAACACCACATAAAAAATCAAGAGACAACTGGCAAACTGGGAGGAATTTTTTTCCCCACAATGTATACTACAGACAAAAGGATAATACCTTTAATATATAAAGAATTCTTAAAAATTGAGGAACAAAGGACCAAAACAACACTCAGACATACAAAAAGTGTTTAAACTCACTTGTGGTTAGAGAAATATAATCTAAAACAACATTGAATTAACCATTTATCACCTGTCAGGCTGACAAAAAAATTTATTTTATTTACTTTTGAGACAGCGTGTCACTCTGTCGCCCAGGCTGGAGTGCAGTGGCACAGTCCCTCCTCACTATAGCCTCAACCTCCTGGGCTCAGGTGACCCTCCCACCTCAGCCTCCCAAGTAGCCGAGGCTACAGGCATGAGCCACCGTGCCCAGCTATTTTGGTGTTTCACCATGTTGCCCAAGCTGGCCTTGAATTCCTGGGCTCAAGTGATCTGCTTGCCTTAGCCTCCCAAAGTGCTGGGGTTGTAGGTGTGAGCCACCACACCTGGCCAAAAAATTTTAAATATGATAACACATTCTGTTGGCAAGACTGGAAAGATGCTCCTATGTATTGCTGGTAGGAGTACAAATTGGTGCAATCCTTCTGAAGGAAAATTTGATCACACCCAGTAGCTCCACAAATGCACTTACCTCTTGACCCACAATCCCACTTCTGAAAATCTATGCTGAAGACATCTTCAACATTTCAAAAATACATATTCACAATATTATTCACTGCAGCATTTTTATTAAAACAAAATATTAGAAAAAAACTAACTGTCCATACAGAGGAGAGCACACGAATAACATATGGTATATCTACATATATTATGCAGCTGTAGAGAAGAACTTCAGGAATCTCTTTGAACTGATTTGGAAATCCCAAGATATAATGTTAGCTGAAAAAAAGCAAAGTGCAAAAGAGTGTCTGTAATATACTCTTTTTCATGTAAACAAGAAGGGAATATTTAAAAAAATGTGTCTGCTCATTTGTGTAAAAGAAATACAGGAAAGAAAATCAGAAACTGATTTTGGTTACCTGCCTGCATGTAGTGGGTGGGGAATAGTTGTAAAGAAGTGGGTAATGAAAACAAGGTAATAGGGTTGAGGAAGAAGTGGCACTTCTTGGAATATTCCTTTTTGTATAGCTTTGACTCTGAGAATCATGGTAATGTTTCACATACCAAAAATAAATAAATAATTAAAATTAAAATCAAACAATAGGGAGGCACTAAAAATGGAGCAGAAGTAGTAACAAATGAACCTAAATGTTTTACAAATGAATAACATAACTTTTTAGGTGAGAGGAAGAACTAACCTAAGTAACTTTGTAAAATAGTATTTACAAATAGTAAAATAGTATTTGACTGCATCATGTAGGTTACAGTTAAAAAAACTATACACCAAAATTGTAGTTCAATTAATAGGTGTGTTTTTCACAAAGGTATGGATTAATACTTCTGTAATTGCTTTATATTTTAAGATTGAAAAAATAAGTATAGATGATGAGAGCCAAGTGTATCACTGTTAGAGAAAGAAGTTACAAATAAGGGAAGAGTAGAATGAACCTCGAGGTTTGGATTGGCATCTGGGCTATCAGTCAGTATGATAAATGGATGGATGGCTATATGGTTAGGTATACTGTACTTCCTAGCTCTGTTCTCTGAGAACGCCTAGGAATAGTGATACTCCTGTAGCAATGAACATACCTAGTGCTCACATCTTGGTTTCTAAATATAATTCTCCACTAAAAGACAGCAGGGTTCCTTGGAGGAGAAGTTGATATCTTGGCTTGGACAGAGAAAATACAAGATAAGTATAGAATATCTTGTGTATTCAAAAAATAAGGAAGTGCTTGATAAAGAATGGGGATGTATAGAAGTACACAGGAGTTAATTGGAAGGAGTTCCAGTGGCCAAAGCTGGAACAATTTGAGCAACAAAAAAAATAAGATAGTATTGGATTAAAACTCACAGAATAAAATAAATACTTATGAGTTCATATAGGTATAAATAAATATTAGGAAAAACAAACCATTTTTCCTCTGCTCTCACACTACAACAGTCAACACAGAAGACTTCTGTGATCTCAAAAATATGTGGAGATTTCTCCCCACCAGCAAACAAGCAGTCAGTTCTGTAGTGGACACCAGCTGGGTGTCCTCCAATTCAATTCCAACCTGTCTACCTGGAGATAGCATCAGATCCTACAGATTGAAAGCTCAGTCCCCAAAACTGCCCCCACCTGCTTGGATACCAGTTGCAAGTCTAGGCCTCTGGAACTTCTAACAGACCAGCTTCAAGTTGGGGTTCCCAGGACTCCCCTCTTTGGGTTTGATTAATTTGCTAGAGCAGCTCACAGAACTTAGGGAAATGCTTTTACAGATTTTTCTACAAAGGATATTCGAAACGATACAAATGAACAGCCAGGTGAAGAGATACATAGGATGAGGTCTGGAAGGGTGGAATGCAGAAGTGTGTTCTTTGGCATTTTTATGGAGGTTTCATTACCCTACCATGATTGATTGAACCACTGACCATTGATGATCAACTTAACCTTCAGCCCCTCTACCCTGTCAGAGGGTGGGATGGGGGGATGAAAGTCCCAACCCTCTAAGCCTGCCTAGATATTTCCAGTGACCAGCCCCCATCCTGAAGCTACCTAGGAGCTGCCAGCTATCAAGTCAGCTTATTAGCATACAAAAAGACATCACTTTGGAGTTTCTGAGGATTTTAGGAGCTGTTTGCCAGGAAATGAAGTAGAAGACCAAATACATATTTCACAATATCACAGTCCGCCCTTGGGTCTTCGAACCCTGATCCCTTATGTCAATAGGATGTCCAACTCAAAAGATACTGCCACATTACTAGAATCCCATTCAATAATTAATAGTCTAGTTCATCATATTGTATGAGTGTCTCCCAGGGTGAGGCTGCTCAGATTGGCAGGCTTCCTTTCATTCTTGTGAGGTTGCAAAAGCAGAAGTAGTCTTAGCAAACACAGAACTTTACCATTTCATGAGTTTGATATAATTGAGCTAAGAAGCAATGTCATCTCTTGCTCTGAGCCTCTTTTGAGGTGTTAATGTGATATTGGAATCCTCTCAGTTCATAATCCACTTATTCATTTCTTTCCTCTGAGCTACTGTTTCTTCTCTCTTAATAAGTACCCAAACTTTTCCACCTTTGGAAGGAGCATTACAATCAGCCACTGTGATGGTCTAGATTGCAGGCAACAATACTAGTCTAGCAAGTACCTCTTCCTCAGTGCACCCCCTTCAGATAGGGTTAGGTTACAGAGGTGCAGAACTAGTGGGCTATTTTTACTGTCAGGCAATATAGCTGTATTAACTGTTAGCCCCAATTTTGCTGGATGGGGTGAAGGCACAACCCATTCCCATCAGTCCATTAGGAATTCTGACCTAAGTTACAATACGTAGTTAGAATTTCTTGCCTAGGAATCATTCCTGCTTCCAGCACATGTAGTTGCAGCCCTGGTCCTAAGACCATTGCATCAGGTAGGGGAATGGGGGAAAAAAAAAGAAAAGGAAAGTTGAGGTGATGTGCGGGAAAAAAGACAGAAAGAAGTATCTTGTAAGTAAGAAGAGACTGTCTTTCACCTTTATCCTTCAGGAGCTACTTCAGGAACCAAGGACAAAAGCCAAATACTTTTTAAGAAAATATATTCTTGGTCGGGTGTGGTGGCCCACACCTGTAATCCCAGCACTTTGGGAGGCTGAGGCAGGCAGACTTGAGGTCAAGAGTTCAAGACCAGCCTGGCCAACATGGCAAAACCCAGTCTCTACGAAAAATACAAAAATTAGCTGGGCGTGGTGGTACACTCCTGCAATTCCAGCTATTCCAGAGGCTGAGGCACAAGAATCGCTTGAACCCAGGAGACAGAGGTTGCAGTGAACTGAGATAGCGCCACTGCACTCTAGTCTGGGTGACAGAGTGCGATTCTGTCTCAAAAAAAAAAAAAAAAAAGATATTCTTATTACTGTAGTCAGTTAGGAAAGAATAAGGCTTACAGGAGCTGAGAACCAGGAATCATGGATGAAAACCAAAATATATATTTTATAATATTGTAATAAATAAAGGAGAAGGGACAGTACTTCCTTATAAAAGAATTCCAATTAATAAAGTGAAGAGAATAAAAGAAATGCAAAATCACCATTAGGCAGGTAACACCCACAGATGGATGCTAAAATCAGTGGGTGAGACTTTGAAAAGAAACAGGATAATAGCAAAATGTCAAAATATTTCTCCCTAGATTTGGATCAGTTACAAAGGGAAAAACAGTACCTATAAGTAGAGAAACCCAGCAGACCTTGCCATGTGATCAAGGTTACCATAACCAGTAATAAAATTTTTATCAACATTATGTACTCCCTAATATGATATACTGAGAAGGACACAGCATCACTTTCTGGTATTCTTGCCAAAAATGTATAACCTCAATCTAAAACATGAGGAAACTTTAGTCAAACCCAAATTGAGACACGTTCTACAAAATAACTGATCGATATTCACCAGAAGTGTTCTGGTCACAAAAGACAAAAATGAAGACCTGTCACACTTTAGAAGAAACTAAGGAGACATGGCAACCAGATACAATGTGGGATCCTGAAGGAAAAAGGACAATAAGGAAAAAAACTGGTGAAGTTCTTATCAAGTCTAGTTTAGTTAATAGTATTATACCCATGTTAATTTCCTGATTTTTGATCACTGAACCGTGGTTATGTAAGAGGAAAATGGATGAATGATATCCATGAACTCTGTACTGTTCAGCTTTTCTGTAAGTCTTTAAAAATTATTTTGTAAAATATGGACATAGATCATTTTTAGCAGTTATTAACCTGGTTACTTGGATAAGCCCTGAACCTGAAACATTGCATGTAACAACTCTTTCTTGGTATTAAGCTTTTCTATTGTATAAATGCCCTTTGGATGGCTATTTCAGTAGAATCCAATTAAGGTGGAACATAGATGGGAAAGCCAAACAGTGTATTCATGATAGACAATAAAAAATAATAGCAAAATAACTTATTTTTGTTTTCAAGTTTTTACCAGTATGGCAGATATTGTACAAAGCATTTTACATATATTATATTATTCAGTCTTAAAAGGATTGCTTGATATATTGATACCAGTATTTTTTTTGGGAGGGGGGGGCGTACAGAGTTTCCCTCTTGTTGCCCAGGCTGGAGTGCAATGGCGCAATCTCGGCTCATCGCAACCTCTGCCTCCTGGGTTCAATTAATTCTCCTGCCTCAGCCTCTCGAGTAGCTGGGATTACAGGCATGTGCCACCATATCCGGCTAATTTTGTATTTTTAGTAGAGACGGGATTTCTCCATGTTGGTCAGGCTGGACTCGAACTCCAGACCTCAGGTGATCCGCCCACTCCCACCTCTCAAAGTTCTGGGATTACAGGCGTGAGCCACCTTTCCCGGCCCTGATACCAATATTCTTATTTTGTGGGTGAGGAAGCTGAGGTTTAGAAAGGAAACTTACCTAATGACAGGCATGGTGGCTTCAGGATTTGAACCTAAACAGCCTGTTCTCTTAATCACACCAATCCATAGCTCCCTCCAAAGGGAAGTGATGAGCCTATTGTGACCTATGTATCTACCAGTAGTAAGCAAGTCTAGAAAACTGCTGTTCATTCTTTAGCATAGTGCTGTACAACAGAAATATAGTATGAGTCATGTGTGAAATTTTAAATTTTCTAGTGGCTACATTAAAAAGGCAAAAAGAAACATAAAATTAAATTTTAACTCTATATTCATTTAACCTGATATAGACAAAGTATTATTGCAACATTTGATCAATATAAAAAGATATTTTCCTCTTTTTTTCACACTGTTTGAAATCTAGTGAGTATTACATTTATAGGCATCTCAAGTCTCACCAGCCACATTACAGGTACTTAGTAGCCATTGTGACTAATAGCTACTGCATTGGATAGCACAGCCCTACAATGTGAGATGTAAAAATTATGATGCACTGTTGGTTTTACATTCTTCCTCCTCTTTTCACAAAGAAATATTTGACAGTTGACTCCTTTGCAAGTATATATTAGATCTAAGTTCTAATTTGGAGCCAGGCACAGTGGCGTGCATCTGTAGTCTCAGCTACTCGGGAGACTGAAGCAGGAAGTACATTTGAGCCTAGGAGTTTGACACTGCAGTGAGCTATTACTATGCCACTGCACTCCAGCCTGGATGACAGAGTGAGACCCTGTCTCTAAAACAAAATTTATTTTAGTAATCATTTTTTAAAAATAAATTTTAATTTGGAAGTAAGAGTTACTTACAGCCTCCCAATGTGCAGTTCAAGTTCCATTGCTTATTGGAAACTACTCATTTGTAGGACTAAGTTTGTTGAAGCCAGGTTTTCTTGGACTTAATCAGCTCATAACTGGTGGCATATATCTGGACAACTCGTGAAATCTCACCTTTTAAGTTGTCCTCAGGAATAGATGGTCCCATGATATTTTGTTTTTGTTTTGTTTTGTTTGTTTGTTTTTTGAGACGGAGTCTCGCTCTGTAGCCCAGGCTGAAATGCAGTGGCACGATCTCAGCTCACTGCAACCTCTGCCTCCCAGGTTCAAACAATTCTCTGCTTCAGCCTCCCAAGTAGCTGGGATTACAGGTGCCCGCTACCATGCCTGACTAATTTTTTTGTGTTTTTAGTAGAGACGGGGTTTTCACCATCTTGGCCAGGCTGGTCTTAAACTCCTGACCTTGTGATCCACCTGCCTTGGCCTCCCAAAGTGCTAGGATTATAGGCATGAGCCACTGCGCCCAGCCTGTTTTGCTTTTTTGAGATAGAGTTTTGCTCTTGTCTCCCAGGCTGGAGTACAATGGTGCGATCTCAGCTCACTGCAACCTCGTCCTCCTGGGTTCAAGCGATTCTCCTGCCTCTGCCTCCCGAGTAGCTGGGATTACAGCCATGCATCACCAAGCCTGGCTAATTTTGTATTTTTAGTAGAGATGGGGTTTCACCATGTTGGCCAAGGTGATCTCAAACTCCTGACCTCAAGTGATCCACCCACCTCGACCTCCCAAAGTGCTGGGATTACAGGCGTGAGCCACCACGCCAGGCTCCATGTTTCAATTACCACATTAATTGGTCTAAGAGGAAGGTGTTGTCATCTTGGAAGAGAAGATGGCTGGAAGGTGCTATGCAGTGACTGGAAAAAGTGTAAGGGTGTTGAAACTTCATTGTAACAAGGCATGTCCTGCAAGCCAACTTGTTTCTTTTACTTGGAGGAATCAGTCTTAGCAGTTATCAGCTCTTTTTGAAACAACAGATTAAGTTTCTTTCTGGAATCTTGTTGGCATCAGGGTTAGAGCTTAGTAAATTTCTATGGCTTTCCTAGGTACTCTTAGACTCAATAAAATTTTCTCTTTCAGAATTTGGTGTTCACTTGGCAGAACTGACTGTAGATCCCCAGGGGGCACTGGCAATCCGTCAGGTAAGTCCAGACTGGCCCAATTTATAAATAGTTTCCCTTTCCTTGGTAATGAAACTTTCTTATAGGAAAGAAAAATAAGGCCAGTGTATAAATAACCTAGGATGTTGTGCCAGATTTAGATATACTTCAGATGTATCAGGCTATGTATATAGTTTTTATGTGTGAAAAAAATCTTTTTCTTGCTGTACTACTTGGCTTATTCTCTTCACAGCTGGCATCAGTCATCTTGAAACAATATGTGGAGACTCACTGGTGTGCCCAATCAGAGAAATTTAGGCCTCCTGAAACTACAGAAAGGGTAAGTCAGTTACTTGATTAGTCTACCTGAGGAGATTTGAGGGTCCATTTTAAGAGATTAGACTATAACATTCTTTGACAGCATGGAGCAATCAAAAGACTAGGCAGAAAAGGAGATTGGTGGCTGGCATTGCGGGCATAGGGCTATACATTAAAGAGCTCAAGTATCAGGCTGGTCTGTGTTCAAATTCCAGTTTTGCTTTTTACAAGCTATGAGATCATTGGAAATGTAGTTAACACCTAAGCCTCAATTTCCTAAATCTCCAAAGTGAGAATAAAAATACCAACTAAGGGTTTAAGAATTAAATGAAATAACATTTGTACTTAGTGCAGTACTGTGCAGTCATCCTGAGTCCCCAAGAAATTTTGAGGTATAAGGTCTGGAGGAATGTTTTCCACTGGAGCTTTATGCAATTATGGAAATATTCTGTGTCTGTGCTGCCTAAAACAATAGCTACTAGCTGCATATGGCTGTTGAGCACTTAAAATGGGGCTAGTGCAACTGAGGAACTGAATTTTAAATTTTTTAAAATGTTAATAGCTATGTATAGCTAGTGGCTACTGTAATGGACTGCATAAGTTTAGAGATCACAGATGAACCCTCCAAATGAATTGTCAAGTTTGTGTATAGGAGTTTTCTGTAGACATGCAGTACCTTGTACTCATTGTTTTTCCAACACAGTTCCCAATTGAACTGGGCTCTGCCAGTCACTTTTAACCTGATCTAATAGCAGGTGGACTTTTATCCCTTACAGGCAAAAATTGTTATCCGGGAGCTATTGCCTAATGGGTTGAGAGAATCGATAAGCAAAGTGCGCTCCAGTGTGGCCTATGCAGTGTCAGCCATTGCCCACTGGGACTGGCCTGAAGCTTGGCCCCAACTCTTCAACCTGCTCATGGAGATGTTGGTGAGCGGAGACTTAAATGCCGTCCATGGAGCCATGCGTGTGCTGACAGGTACCAGAAGCCCTTTTCCCTGGTATTGGTACTTGGATCTCAAGCGACAGGAGTATTACCAGAAGCTATGTGATATAATGGCCTGGACCAGTAGGAATTGCTGCTGATGTTATTCCTCCCTCCTAGTTTTTATCTCTCCATCTACCCTCCAGCTCTATTGTTTTTTTCTAGGGAATTAAGTTTGTATAGTATTACTTCTACTCCCAAACCTACCACTTACAGATACAGTATTAGCATAGTGATGGAGTATTCAGATTTTGGATTTTTGTAGTGGCTTCACCTTGATCCTTCACTTACCTTCTTTGAGCCTGAGTTTCCTTTTATATAAAATTAAGATGATAGTAGTGTCTGCATCAAAGGAGCTTTTGGTATAGTTTAAATGTTAGCTAATCTATCTTTATTGACTTGTTCAGTAAAGTTTAGTTACTATGATTATCATTATTACTATATATTATTTGTCCACTTAGTTCAACCAAGGCAAAGTTAAGAATTGTAAAATGGATTTTTATAGAAGTATTTAAAAAGAAGATAAAAACAGTATAGCCATGTAATCCTGACCTTCATTTAGCCAGTTAGAGAATATGTAGTCTCAGTATCTTTTCCTTCTCTCTGTTCTGAGAAGTTGATAAAAATACTTCAACTTTTAGTTCAAAGAGATTTGATGGATATCTCTTCTAAACCTGATTAAGCTATCAATCCCTCCCAGAATCTGCTTTCATATATCCTTAGGGATGGCCTGAGTTTCCCAGTCCTTTGCAAGTTCCTCCCTGCTTCTTATTCCCTAAATGAAGTCACTACTCTGTTTTGCCTTCAAGAAATTCTTACCTGGACTTTAGTCATCCTGTACTGATCCTTTAGAAATCATCTTTCTCCTTTGTTCATATAGGTTTGTAGAAGTCCCACCAATATCTTATCTCTTTTTCTATGACCTGCTAGCTTACCTGATATGTATTCTTGCTTAGTTGTGAATGCCAATTCTATTCTTTCTCAATCTCAGTTTACTGAACTTGGCACATAGGCCCAATTTTGCTAGTCCATGTGATGTTAATGGTAGATAATATCAACTCTTTGTCAAATGCAAATCTTTCTTCTCCTTTTGTTTCAAAATGACCTCTTCTCAGACCCCAGCTGCCTTTTTGAATTACCCACTATATTCGTATTGATTGCCTGTGACAAAGCTTCAGTTTTTAGCTCAGATACCGAACAGACTTACCAAAAAGATCAGAATGTTCCTTGCTCAGATTTTGACTTCTCTGCTTATTGCCCTTTCTTCTGCTTAATGACTCATTCATTATTCAGGTGATTTCACACACCCCTCTGCATGGAATTGGCCTTTTAGGATTCTTTATTCACCACTTCATAGTGCCAGGATATCAATTAACAGATACATGTTCTACCAAGGAAAGGAAGCCTGTTCCCTCTCAGTCTTCCAAGATGAAATTCAGGTTCTTTTGACAAACCTAGAGAGAAAGGTTTTGTACATTTATCTTGATTTGGATGCTGAAGAGCTCTTATTGTGTTTGACTAAGGAAATTACTGTTCAGTGAGATCACTTTTCTGCCAGCCACAGGGAAAGAACTGTTGGGGGAAATTTGTCTCCTTTTGTAATGGAGTCACCAGACATGGAGTGGCTAGCAGCCAAGCCCCATTCCCAAATACTTGCTCCAAATATTTTCAAACGAGAGTAGACTGTACTCTGACAACAAAAACTTAGGCATGCATGAAGATAGCAGGACATTGGTGGTTGGACAGAGGCCCATTAGGAGAATGGGACTGATTCTTTTCAGAGTTTTTCAAGATACTATACCAGTTTCCCTTTAATGAGGCTTCCTATTAAACTTATCTATTTATAGATGAGAACCAACTAAGGCTCATGGTGTAAAGGAAATGCAAATATAGCAGCTAAGGATTAGAAGATTTGATCCACCAGATACAGCTTTTTCTTCGTTCTCAAAGAAGTTTGGAGATTGAGATGTTGCTGGAGTCCTAGAATTTTTCTGACTTGCTGAATCACCTCAGAAAACTTTTGGAATTAAACCTATAAAGTATTAATAAATTGATACCAGGGATGAGTATAGGAGAGTAAAAAGCAGTCAAGCACTTTATTAGCAGAATTAAATTATACTGTATTTTTCATAAAACTTGTTATTATGCCATCTATCATATTTGTTTGGACTAATTTCCTTGAATTTCTAAATAAAATAGAACACTCACCATTCAAAGCTCAGACTTTATCCTTGAGGAGGAAATTACAGCTGTAAAGAAAATTCAACCTTGAGTATTTGATCTTCATTTGACTCGTGGGGATTGATATTGTTCAAAATTGTGGAGTACCTTAATCTTGAAAATGCCAGCTTGCGTTTGTAGCTGTGTATCTTCCCCCAAAATGTCCCAAGTGGTTAGCTTTATTTTTAGTTTTATTTATTTATTTATTTATTTGAGACATGGTCTCACTCTGTCACCCAGGCTCAGGTACAGTGGCACTGTTGTAGCTCACTGTAACCTTGACCTCCTGGGCTCAAGCGAGCCTCCTGCCTCAGCATCCTAAGTAGCTGGGACTGCAGACACATGCCACCACATGCAGCTTTTTTTTTTTTTTTTTTAAATGTACTGGCAGATCTTGCTATGTTCAAGCTGGTCTTGAACTCCTGGCCTCAAGTGATCCTCCTGCCTCAACCTCCCAAAGCTCTGGGATTACAGGTATAAGCCACTGTTCCCGGCCCATATGTCCATTTCTATAGTGATAACGTGGAAAAGCATCAGGTAAAGTGGATAGTTACTGGAACTCAAGAGCTTTATTCTGCTGCTTTGTAACATGAATCCAGGGTCCTTTGTGCTGTCTCAGTGCCTTGTGTGTGGTGTATTTGGTTTTTTTTTTTTTGAGACGTGAAGGGAAAGATACGACCCATATTTCCGTCACCTTCGAGTCTCATTCTGTGTATAGGTTGCTTTTTGTCACATTTATATAGAAAATTCCCATTTGTTCCAGTTAGCAGCAGCCTCTGACTTTTAGGTCAATAAAATCTGAGAAGAGTAACATATACAAAGAGGAGTTGAGGCCTAGTAAGTCTGTACATATTTTATTACATGCATCAAACCAGCTTGCCAAGCGAAAGTACTGAAAACAGAAGCAAAGGTAAGAAACCTCGAAGTGTAACTGAATGTTGACAGATGGGCACAAGATAAATTAATACAGAATTTTCCCAAGTTGACCTCACAAGGACTTTTATGCAGTTCTATTACAGATTTTCTTTCAGTATTTATATTAAAGTTTTCTTTTTTAATCTCTTGTATTTTTCTTTATTTCCATATTATTCTTTCTCCTTCTAACAAATAATCAGTAACTCTTGCTACTTTTGCTTTCACAGAATGAGACCACCAGGCCAGTGTCTTTACCTGTGTGCTGTCTGTTTGGGAACTGCCACCTAGAAGCAGTTCAGAAAATATCACACTTAATATCTTTATGAAGCAGTATTTTTTTTTTAACAGTACTACTTTTTTCTTTGTAGAATTCACTCGTGAAGTAACAGACACACAGATGCCACTTGTTGCTCCTGTCATTCTCCCAGAGATGTATAAGATCTTCACCATGGCTGAGGTATGAAATCTCAGCTCCAAGATTATAGTGAGTTCAGGCTCTCTTCAGCCCCCAGCCTTTCAGGTGGGAGATTATGGTGTTTGCAACTGATCTCAATACCTAAAAACTAGAACTGACAAAGATCTGGATCTGAATCTGCATTAACCTTAGACCTTTCACTCAACTACAAGGGCAAGCCTTTGATAAAAGTGTGAAATAGCTGAAATATTTCTTCACATATCGTACTTCCTGGCATCCAGTAGCCCCTAAGTAGATAAATAGTGCCTTCCTTCATGCTACTTCCAGCCTCTTACTGAGTTATCCCACCTACGCTTGCCTACCTCAGCTAAGTAATGGGAAGCAATCTATCACTGCATTGCACATAATAGACCCTTAATATATTGCATATATATTTGATTAGTGTGTATATGAATGATAACTCATTTATAGTAAGGTATAAATACCTGATGGATAATGTTTTAACTTCCCTATTCCCCTCTGCCCCCAACCAATGGTCTGCATTTTAAAGGAAATATATTGGCTGTGTTGGGATTTTAAGCACTACCTAGTCTGGTATTTTTTAATCAAATGAACCCACAGAGGCCCTTATATAAGGTTCATTCCAGTAAGTTCCAACATTATGATTCTGCTACCTTTCATTCTCTGAATTACAGAAGTCTGCCTCCTGGACATAAATGAATTACATTTCCCATTTCTCGAGGGCATCCAATCTCATGTGAGGATTCATTAGTCATAGTTTTACTTCTAGTCTGAGATACACACATACCTACACACTCCAGTCTCGTGGCTATGCTGTTATGCTGTAACCTTTCTTCCAGGTGTATGGTATTCGAACCCGTTCCCGAGCCGTGGAGATTTTTACCACTTGTGCCCATATGATCTGTAACATGGAGGAGCTGGAAAAGGTAAGCAGGTCTTTGGATCAATAACAGACTTCATGCTTAAAAGTTTTATTCATGCAGAGCAGTGAGTCATTTCATGATAGCAGCACGAAAAAGCACACTAACCAGTATTAGAGATAGATTTAACATTTTTATTAAATTATTGTTGTTATTTTTCCAGACAGGGTCTTGCTCTGTCACCCAGGCTGGACTACAGTGGTGCAATCATGGCTCACTACAGCCTTGAACTCCTGGGCTTAAGTGATCCCCTGACCCCCAGTAGGAACTACAGGTGTGGTGTGCACCACCACACTTGGCTGATTTTCTTTTTTAAATGTTTGTAGAGATAGGGTCTCACTGTATTGCCCAGGCTGGTCTTGAACTTCTGGGCTCAAGCAGTCTTCCCCCCTCAGCCTCCCAAAGTGCTGGGGTTATAAGCATGAACCACAACACTCAGCTATATTTGTATTTTTTTTATTTATTTGGGTTTTTTTTGAGACAAGATCTTGCTCTGTCACCCAGGCTGGAATGCAGTGGCATGATCATAGCTCACTGCAGCCTCAACCTCCCAGGTTCAAGCAATCCTCTCACCTCAGCCTCCCGAGTAGGTGAGATCACCAGCATGTGCTACCACTCCTGGCTAATGAATGAATGAGTGAACGAATGAATTTATTTATTTATTTAGAGATGGAGTCTCGCTCTGTCACCAGGCTAGAGTGCAGTGGTGCAATCTCAGCTCACTGCAACGTCCGCCTCCCAGGTTCAAGTGATTCTTCTGCCTCAGCCTCCCGAGTAGCTGGGACTACAGGCACGCGCCATCATGCCCAGCTAATTTTTGTTTTGCAGTAGAGACAGGGTTTCACCATGTTGGCCAGGATGGTCTCAATATCTTGACCTCGTGATCCACCCACCTCGGCCTCCCAAAGTGCTGGGATTACAGGCATGAGCCACCATGCCCAGCCTAATGAATTTATATTTGTAGAGACGGGGTCTCTCCCTATGTTGCCCAGGCTCATCTTGAACTCCTTGGCTCAAGTGATCCTCCCACCTTGGCCTCCCAAAGTGCTAGGATTATAGGTGTGAGCCACCACACCTGGCCTGATTGAATTTTCAACTTGTAAAAAGCTTAGTCTTCTTTTGAGTCTTACTTCTTCAAACACCTTATCCTATATCCTTTTCATAGTAGTCATCCCTTAGAACTTTCCTACTCTTTTATGGCCCTCTTGTGTGAAGCAAAGCTAGCTGAAAAATACCAATCCCTGTGATTCAGAAGCAGTTAGGAGGAAAGTTGGTCTTACATAATAGTTTTTAAGAGGGCTTTGATGAAGAACTGCAAGTGCTGGTTAAGGAAAAATGAAATCTTAGGTAACACCTTCATTGACTTTATAGCTATTCTCTTCTGATCAGGCTTGGAGCCTGAAGAGAGCTTTAGGTGCCTTTCAAATATCAGTGTTTGATATATATGTGTTGAAGCCATGGATTAGGGGTTTGTCCAGTATTGACTTTGGTTTCTGTTATCAGGGTGCAGCCAAAGTCCTGATCTTTCCCGTGGTACAGCAGTTCACAGAGGCCTTTGTTCAGGCCCTCCAGATACCAGATGGCCCCACATCTGACAGTGGGTTTAAGATGGAGGTCCTAAAGGTAAACACTTACTACCAATGAAATATTTGGAGTTTGAGGGGCTGGTCTGAAATCATTTATTTCTTATATATCACTCATAACTTGGGTCCTTTTCTCTTAACTTCTTAGGCAGTGACAGCCCTAGTGAAAAACTTCCCAAAGCACATGGTGTCCTCCATGCAGCAGATTCTGCCTATTGTTTGGAACACCCTAACCGAGAGTGCAGCTTTATATCCTTTCTTGAAAGTTTAAGGGAGCTACTACCACCTATAGTTAGGAATCTCGCACTGGGTTTCACATTCATATGGTTCCACTCTTCTTACACAGGCTTTTTTAAGGTGTCTACTTTTAGTGTTGGAATATGTAACATTTCCATGTAGATTATATGTAAAGCAGACTCCAAATTCTATTTCTTTACTCTTCATCATACTTATGTGAGGACAGAAGTAAATTACACAGAAGAAGTAGAAGATCCTGTGGATTCTGATGGTATGTAGTTTATTTGATCTTTATAGAAATACCAGTTAGTGGGAAAAGAAAAAGAAGCCAGAGATGGGGGCGGGAAACAGTAACTTGAGAGGCTTCACTCTATTAAGTGTTTTCTAATTCAGTTTATTTTCGATGTATTCGATGTGGGGAAATGAGAATTGACAATCTTTAATCTGTTCCACATAGGTAGTTGCATAAATCTCATAAAATCATAGAATTTCTGCATTGGAAGAGATACTTTTAAGGCCATTTAAT
Organism: Homo sapiens; assembly: GCF_000001405.40. NCBI lineage: Eukaryota > Metazoa > Chordata > Mammalia > Primates > Hominidae > Homo > Homo sapiens. The sequence continues at coordinate 201,855,438 of NC_000001.11, forward strand.
CTAGCCTACTTCTGGCATTTTGTTGTGTTTCATTTGGGGGTCCCAGATCATGAATCTTTCGTTTCTGTTTTAACATTTCTCATTATTTCAGATTAGAACAATAGACATACTGGAAAATATATCCAGTGTTTCTGATTCTTTTACTTGAAAAACCAAAGAATATTTAATATCCTCAAAATTACGTTTTGTGACCTCTGAGCCCTCTCTCCCAATTCCTCAGGAATGATCATTAGCAAGTACTTTAAATATTCAGTAATTTACAAAGGTTATGTAGTTCATTTTCTGCATATATGCTTTCCTTTTGCTTTCTTGTCATTAATTTCTTCTCTTCTGTATTTCCTGCAGGTGAAGTCCTGGGCTTTGAAAATCTCGTCTTTAGCATTTTTGAATTTGTCCATGCTCTACTAGAAAATAGCAAATTCAAAAGCACTGTTAAGAAAGCCTTGCCTGAATTGATTTATTATATTATCCTGTACATGCAAATCACTGAGGAGCAGGTAAATAATATTTGAGAGACAGTTACCATCTTGTATTTGGAAAGTGCAACTTGAAGAATATGAGGTCTTGGTCAGGTGAACACTTTATTTCTAAAAATAGACACAAAAAGAATAATTTCATGTGAAGTTCTGGGAAAGGTTTGACATCATTTTATTGCCAAATCCAAGGTTTTGGAGTTCACCACCATACCTGGCTTTTTTTTTTTTTTTTTTTCCCAGCAAAGTACTATACTATGTTGCCCAGGCTAGTAGTCTCTAACTCCTGGGCTCAAGCAATCCACCCACCTTGGCCTCTCAAAGTGCTGGGATTACAGGCATGAGTGACTGTGCCTGGCCCACTTTTGCCATTAGAAAATCTCACAGGACCACTAACCTAAGACACTGATTTTTAGGAGAATCTGTTCCTTCCCTAAAGTAAAATGTAATAATCAGACCATTAGCCTGATGGTGGGTCATCAAAAGCAGCAAAGAACGTTCAAAAATTAGATAACGCCTCGTTTAAAACAGCACAAGAATTGACATAATTTTCACAATAAATAGTCTATCAGACTTAATCTATTCAGAAAATCGATCTATCAAAGGGTAACAGCAGGTTGACATTGGCAGAGAGCTAGTAATCAGCCAGATTCTAAAAGAGAGCAATAGCCATTGCTACCTACCTTGCTACTTAATAGTATTTATTTCTCTACATCAAAAAGAAAAGATTTTTTTAAGCTAGAGTTTTTGTTTCAGTTTTTGTTGTTGTTGTTGTTTTGTTTTGTTTGCTTTTTGGGACAGGGTCTTGCTGTTTTGCTCAGGCTGGAGTGCAGTGGTGTAGACAAAGCTCACGGCAGCCTTGACCTCCCAGGCTCAAGCCATCCTCCTGCCTCAGCCTCCCGAGTAGCTGAGACCACAGGCATATGCCACCATGCCCAGTTGACTTTTTTATTTTTTGTAGAGGTGGGGTCTCACTATGTTGCCCAGGCTGGTCTCAAACTCCTGGGCTCAAGCAGTCCTCCCACCTTGGCCTCCCAAAGTGTCAGGATTACAGTTGTGAGCCATTGCATCCAGCAAAAGGCTAGAGTTTTTTCAGGATAATAGGTTGAAATCTTCCTGTATCTGTTGATGAAAAGCTATGAATCAGATTGGCAGCATCACAAAGACATAACTTGATCTTTTCAGATTAAAGTATGGACAGCCAACCCCCAACAATTTGTAGAAGATGAAGATGATGATACATTCTCCTATACTGTTAGAATAGCAGCTCAAGACTTGTTGCTGGTAAGTTTACCTTGATACTTCAGCCACATAATTTCTATCAGTCACTTGAGCATTTCTTCTTTTTTGTAGACAACTAATCCAAGGTGAGCAGTGTTGTTGGGTGGCTTTATCTCAGACTTTATTGGGGATGCAAGAGAGTTTCTGAAATGAAATTCGAGACTCAGAAATTCTAAAATCATTGCTACTGGTTCTAACTTAAAACTAAATATTAGATAAAAGAATTGTGCAGACCATAGGGCCGGGGTGCGGGGGAGAATTGTATAGAGGATAAAGTGTTCCATGGAGTAAGGGTAGTTGAATCAAGAACATTTCAGTTTATGGCTGGGCGTGGTGACTCACACCTGTAATCCCAGCACTTGGGGAGGCCGAGGCGGGCAGATCACCTGAGGTCCAGAGTTCAAGACTAGCCTGACCAACATGGAGAAACCCCATCTCTACTAAACATACAAAATTAGCCGGGCGTGATGGCGCATGCCTGTAATCCCAGCTACTCGGGAGGCTGACGCAGGAGAATTGCTTGAACCCGGGAGGCGGAGGTTGTGGTGAGCCAAGATTACACCATTGCGCTCCAGCCTGGGCGACAAGAGTGAAACTTGGTCTCAAAAAAAAAAAAAAAAGCCATTTCAGTTTAATTCACTCTTCAACAAGAATCTATAGCACAGACAAAAGGTTGGCAAACCTAGCAAAACAAAACAGATTGCTGAAAGATTAACATCCAAATACCTGCTCATGTTTTCTTTGCCTCTTCTGACTAGAGCATAGAGTTGTCTCTAGGCTGAAATACTAAGAAGAAACTGCCACTTGCTTCTTGTTGGGTAGGAGATTTGTTCTCTGTTGATGAATCACTTCTCATTATCATTTAGTATTTCTAAGGAGCTGTGAAAGATTATATTCAGTTCCAATTAGTAGATTAGACTTATTTTTCTATCATCAGTCTCCAAGAGAGCAAATATTTGGTCCATTGTCATCCAAAGCTAGATCTATTATTGCTCACTTATGCTCTGCTGAATATAGCCAAAGGAGCCAACTGGTTAGCCTTACAATGCCTAGGCACTACCGAAATACAGATACTACTTTAATTTCATTAGAGACCCTGACCTACTGGTATAACATTTTTAATACAATTAGGGGTTTGCACATGTATGTGAAAGAGCTTGAACCAATCACTTCTAACAGTCATGACTGAAGCGGTTTACAATTAAAATGCATTTAATGGGCACAAACAGATTTATTAGCTCTTCTCTCTCTATAGGCTGTGGCCACAGATTTCCAGAATGAAAGTGCAGCAGCCCTGGCTGCTGCAGCCACTCGACATTTACAAGAAGCTGAGCAAACCAAAAACAGTGGCACTGAGCACTGGTAAGAGTGAGCCGCTAATTGGTTAAGATGCTTTTGTTTACCCCTTCTTAAAAAGTCTTGAAAGGATGGATTTATTTTTATCTTAATTTGAAAATCTGGTTTTAATTTAATAACAGATTTTAATCTCTTATTATTAAAATTTCACTCTTTTCAGCTATAGGTTAGAATGGAAGGGCTTAAGGTAAATGACTCTTTTGGAAGAGATTGTGCTGGAGTGCCCTTTTCTGAATCTTGTTTCCTCAAATATTTATCTCTTTTGGCAGTTTAGTATGTTTTACTAGGCTGTAGTATCCTTTCACAGGTGGAAGATCCATGAGGCATGCATGCTTGCCCTAGGCTCAGTGAAGGCCATCATCACTGACAGTGTGAAAAATGGCAGGATTCATTTTGACATGCATGGGTTCCTGACCAATGTCATCCTTGCAGACCTCAACCTCTCAGGTATGTTTCAGCACGTGCCAGGATTCTAGAAACTCTTTAAACCTGTTGTGGGGTTGGGGGAGGGATCAGCATTAGGAGATATACCTGATGTAAGTGACAAGTTAATGGGTGCAGCACACCAACATGGCACATGTATACATATGTAACCTGCACATTGTGTACATGTACCCTAGAACTCAAAGTATAATATATATATATATATATATATATATAAAGGAAACTCTTTAAACCTGTCATTAACTTGGTTATATTGTTCACTTAGACTGGTAGGCCAGATATTCTTGTGTCCTTTGAGTGAAAATTGTTTGCACCCTACAGCTTGAACTCATCCGAACCTCTAAAACAGCCCAGAGGCCGATTCAAGCTTCACCTAATGACAATCTAATATTGCCTAGTTCATAATTCTTCCGTGATGTTTATGTTTCTTCCCAAATTGGCGTTCCCATTCATGGTTGTTTTTGGCATTTGAATGGAATCCAAATCTGGTTGCTGTACCTTGAGAATTATCGAGTACTGCTCCCATTGTTAAGTCCAGAATGCCCTCAGGCATTCTGTATCAGGCACATTCTTCCTGTTTGTTTCCTGTCATTTTTCTCAAACTTTATTTTTGGCCAATATCCAAATAATTAAAATGTTCCATTCTCATACCCATGTTAGCCATCTGTCTTAAAAAGAAAAAAGTAGGCCAGGCGCGATGGCTCATGCCTCTAATCCCAGCACTTTGGGAGGCTAAGGCAGGTGACTCACCTGAGGTCAGGAGTTCAAGACCAGCCTGGCCAACTTGGCGAAACCCCATCTCTACTAAAAATATAAAAATTAGCTGGGTGTGGTAGCAGGAGCCTGTAGTCCCAGCTACTCAAGAGGCTGAGGCAGGAGAATCACTTGAACCAGGAGGCAGAGGTTGCAGAGAACTGAGATCACACCACTGTATTCCACCTTGGGTGACAGAGCGAGACTTGGTTTAAAAAAAAAAAAAAGGTAGCCCTTTACTATTAGACCGATTTCTTCCGCAATACAGAGCAGTAGCTGAGAATCATTGTTGTCTATGTGGCATTTTCTGCTACTTGCTTCTGCCATGCCATGCCTTTTCTCATCCTTGGAGCCAGATCACCATCCGAAAACACTGCCTTTGCTTTCTCTCTCAGTACTTAAATCATGGAACCTTTGGTATTGTTTGCTCCATTTTCGGTCCATTTACTTCCTCTCCATAGGATAGTTCTGGGAGTAGCTTATGTCATTTGAAAATGTTCTGCTCTGTGATTTTAAATAGGTAATCTATTATCGGGTGTCTCAGTCCATCACTTCCATTCTCTGAATCACAAATTAAAATGGTTGTACATCCAGAGCTCAGATGCGTTGGGAATATCCTGTTTCACTCTGTACTTATCATATGCTGCATTGTTGAATATGTTTTCTTACTCCTACTAGTAAGGTCTCTGAGAGTAGAAATCATGTCTAATCTTTGTATCCTACAAGTGCCTTGAGTAGGCATCCCATAGTTACACATTGAATGATTTCTGAAGCCCATCAACACATTTCTTATAGAGTTTACCCTAGCAAAGATTTTTCAAAAACTTTGGAAATTTTAGAATATTTGTTATTTAGTCTGGAAAAAGGCTCAATATATATCATTTGTTAATCCTACCTGTAGCTAAAACCTTTTCTACACCAACCATTCTGAAACTTTTTGGTTACAAATTATCAATAATTTAAAAGACATTTTTATGTGGCTTTAATTTATTAATATTTAACATACTAAAGATTAAAACTGAGTTGTTTTTAAAATAAAAGAAATGGAAACATGTTTTCCCCTGGCTGTCAGAGCCATGATATCACATACCATATAACCTCTGGAAAACTCCACTGTATACTTGTGAAAGAATGAAAGTGAGGCCGGGCATGGTGGCTTATGCCTGTAACCCCAGCACTTTGGGAGGCTGAGGTGGGCGGATCATGAGGTCAGGAGTTCGAGACCAGCCTGGCTAACATGGCCTAACCCCATCTCTACTAAAAATACAAAAATTAGCTGGGCGTGGTGGCACGCGTCTGTAATCCCAGCTACTCAGGAGGCTGAGGTAGAGGAATTGCTTGAACCCAGGAGGCGGAGGTTGCAGTGAGCCGAGATTGTGCCAGTGCGCTCCAGCCTGGGCAACAGAGCGAGACTCTGTCTCAAAAAAAAGAAGGAATGAAAGTGAAAAAAATAATGTTTCTGTATTACTGTGAAAATAGTTTTAACTTTAGGGAATTTCTGGACCATCCTTTGGGAACTGCTTCTGTACATTATCAGTTTCTCACTTACAGTGGTTGGACTTATGATTTTTCATCTTTACAGTGATGCCAAAGCAATATGCATTTAGTAGAAATTATACTTCAAGTACCCTTACAACCATTCTGTTTTCACTTACAGTATAGTATTCAATAAATTATATGAGATATTCAACACTTTATTATAAAATAGGCTTTGTGTTACGTGAGTTTGCCCAACTTTACGCTAATGTAAGTGTTCTGAGCATGTTTAAGGTAGGCCCGGCTAAGCTGTGATGTTCAGTATTAAATTTAAATGCATTTTTAACTTACAGTATTTTCAACTTACGATGTGTTTATCAGGAAGTAACCCCATCATAAGCAGAGGAGCATCTGTATTGCGTAATTTGACTGGCACAGTTTATTAGGTTCTGTTCAGTGTTTTCCGTCAACAAGATGTTTATTGTGTGAGTAAACAAGTTAAGCCCTGTGACAAGCTGAATAAGAATAGTCTCTCCTCAGCAGCTTATAGTAAACAAGGGTAGTAATCCTTACATTAGTGGCTAGACTATCAAACGAAATATATAACATGTAAGAACACTAAAGACAGAATTACTGTGGCATAGAGATAGTTAGAATTGCTTCAGCCTAAGAGATGAATTAGGTAATGCAAGGAGGTGAATATGTTGGCTTGCAATATGAACAAGGCAGAGAGCTGGGAGAGTAAGATGTAAGTTGCTAAGGAGGGATGTGTACTTGAGTTTGGAAACCATAAAGGGAAATCATAGGTAATGCTAGAGTCACTGATCTTAGGGAGCCTTGAATAACGTGATGACTAAGGTAATCTTTATTTGGTGGACTATGGAATTAATTGACAGATTTTAAATAGAAGAATGACATGATCAGAGCTATAATTTATGTTTTAAGAGTGGTCCAAGGCTGCACGCGGTGGCTCATGCCTGTAATCTCAGCACTTTGGGAGGCCAAGCCGAGTGGATTGCTTGAGTTCAGGAGTTCAAGACCAGCCTGGCCAACATGGTGAAACCCCCTCTCTACTAAAAATACAAAAATTAGCCAGGCGTGGTGGTACGCACCTGTAATCCCAGCTGCTCGGGAGGCTGAGGCAGGAGAATCGCTCGAACCCGGGAAGCAGCGGTTACAGTGAGCTGAGATTGTGCCACTACACTCCAGCCTGGGCAACAGAGCAAGACTCCATCTCAAAAAAAAAGAGTGGTCCAAAAGTGGGAATAAACTAGCAATGGAGATGGCAACTTAGAAGATTAAGTGGGCGGGTACCATGGCTCACACCTGTAATCCCAGCACTTTTGGAGGCCAAGGCAGGCAGATCACCTAAGGTCAGGAGTTTGAGACCAGCCTGACCAACATGGAGAAAGCCCATCTCTACTAAAAATACAAAATTAGCTGGGCGTGGTGGTGCATGCCTGTAATCCCAGCTACTGGGGAGGCTGAGGCAGGAGAATCACTTGAACCAGGGAGGTGGAGGTTGTGGTGAGCCGAGATCGCACTGTTGCACTCCAGCCTGGGCAACAAGAATGAAACTTCATCTCAAAAAAAAAAAAAAAAAGATTAACTAGTAGTACAGGTAAGGAATAATGAGAGCTGGGGGTGAGGACTGGGGTGGTAAAGTCTTTTTAGTCTAATAATATTCAAGATCTACTTTGCTCAGAAGAGACAAGGGAAAACTGGGAAATTGATTTTGTACCACAGGTCACACATTTGCTTTCATCATACAAGGTTATGCTTTTTCTCTCAAATGAGTTGTACATATTATGTAGCATCTATTTACTTCTAAAAAATTGAGGAATGGAGGGCCGGATGCGGTGGCTCATGCCTGTAATCCCAGCACTTTGGGAGGCCGAGGCAGACAGATCACTTGAGGTCCAGAGTTTGAGACCAGCCTGGCCAACATGGCAAAACGCCATCTCTACTAAAAATACAAAAAATTAGCCGGGCATGGTGGCAGGCGCCTGTGATCCCAACTACTCAGGAGGCTGAGGCAGGACAGTTGCTTGAACCCGGGGGACGGAGGTTGCAGTGAGCCGAGATCACGCCATCGCACTCCATCCTGGGTGACAGAGTGAGACTCCATCTCAAAAAAAAAAAATTGAGGAATGAATGTGGGAAAGAGAAAGAACAAGTAAAAGGAATTTTCATTTTCCAGCCCCTAATTGTTCTGTCTTTCTCCCAGTGTCTCCTTTCCTCTTGGGCCGGGCACTTTGGGCTGCCAGTCGGTTCACTGTTGCTATGTCCCCTGAACTGATCCAGCAGTTCCTACAGGCAACAGTTAGTGGTCTTCACGAGACACAGCCCCCATCAGTTCGAATTTCTGCAGTGAGAGCCATCTGGGGGTGAGTATGCTACCCTAGCGTGATAATTAAGGGAAAGTTGCTCAGGTTAGATATAACAAATCACAGTTTTCCAGTGTATTATGTTGCTTGGAAATCCCTGCTAATGATATCCTTCAGGGTGAATGTTGGAAGGACAGGGAAAGAAACCATGCTAGAGACATGGCTTTTGTGAGTCCAGAAGATGTCCTGTTCCTTTCTGCTCCTCTTCCTCTTTAAATTCGCTCCAGTTCTGGAATCATCTAGGCAACTCCCTTTCTCTCAATGGTGAAGAACCTGAGGTTTGGAGAGAAAAATGTTTTGCACAGGGTTGCACAATTGATGAATGATAGAAGCAGGATTAGAGTCCACATCATTTTGTTGGTTGATTATATTAGAAACCAAATCTGGGATAATGTGACCTAGAAACACTGCTTATTTTTTCCCAGTTTTACCTATCTTTTTTAAGGCTAGTGTTACTAATGGATCAAAAGTCATTTATTTATATTCCTACGCAGACTAGAAGGACCATTGTTGTTTTAAGGAATATCTTAGGCTCAAACTTAAACATCTCAACTGAATCCTATAACTACCAACACAAAATTTATTTTCCATGTGCCTGCCCTGTCTTATCTTTTGAGGCAGAGGAGTATCTTTTGAGATGCCGTGTGTTATATGTCATTAGAAAGCATTCAAGAACTGCCTGTTTTAATTAAATGGTTAATGTTATGACCATAAACACCGTCCCATCTTTTTCTGCTTCAATCTAGGTGAAGCAGATCTTTGGCTCTAAAATAATTAGAAGTATCATCTTAAGAGGCAAACTAAGTATAGCTTTTTCAGAAAGCTCTAACACCATTTTAAATGTCTGAGAAGAGAGAGCCCTAAGCTGCTTAAGGCATGAATGTTATTTTAAGGGTTTTTCTGAGTTTGTACCTGTGGTCACTGCCTGTTTAGCTTCTGACCTTAGTGAAACTTGATTTCATTGGAGAATTATCCACTTTGTGTTGTGATTTTATGGAAATGTTTGCAGCTGCAAGCTGTGAGAGGAGTTTGGTATGAATGTGAAAGTACTTTGGGTAAAATAAGCCCATTACTTTCCAGAGTGTTTTAGGTAGACAGCAGTACCTATCAGGCATACTTACCAACATTGATTCTCTCTGGGGGAGATTAGAGTACAAAGAACTTTCATTCTCTGTTATATATATAAAATATTTTGTTTGTTTGTTTGTTTCAACAAGTTTATATTACTTTTATAATCAGAAGAACTGTGAAGAAAACTTTTATTTTTAATGTTCATATCTCTTGGACCACATGGGTAGTGGTTTAATAGTTTTCTTGAGAGATGTAACAGATATCTCTGTAGGATGACAAAAGCTGTGGATATGTGGGCCAGAGAAATGGACACTCATATATGTTTACAAAATTTTATATTCATTGTCAAACACTGGATTCCTTGAAGCCTATCTGTGGATCCCGATTAAGAACTGTCCTATGAATGGATCATTAGCTATCTTTCTTTCAGTCAAGAGTTTCCCTTTGGTCATTTCCTATTTAGTTTACCAGCCAATTGCAGACTGGCTTATGTCCGTGTCACACTATTGGAACTATTTTTCTTTTTTTTTTTTTTTTTTCTTTTCTGAGACGGAGTCTTGCTGTCTGTCGCCCAGGCTGGAGTGCAGTGGCGCGATCTCGGCTCACCACAACCTCTGCCTCCTGGGTTCAAGCAATTCTCCTGCTTCAGCCTCCCCAGCAGCTGGGATTACAGGCATGTGCCACCACACCCAGCTAATTTTGTATTTTTAGTAGAGACAGGGTTTTTCCATGTTGGTCAGGCTGGTTTCAAACTCCTGACCTCGGGTGATCCGCTCGCCCCCACCTCCCAAAGTGCTGGGATTACAGACATGAGCCACCGCGCCCGGCCTGCAGCTGTCTTTTCTAATGTCACTAGTAACCTTTTAATGATCAGCATTCCACCGTTGCTTTTCTTTTTTTCTTTAGCCCCAGTTTTAATTTATTCCTTCATGTCATAGTTTATGTATCATTGCAAACTCCCTTAAATAATCTCTGAAACAAGATACTGATTGACAAATAATTATACTTGTTTCACATTTTTCAACTCAAATTTATGTCAGACTGTATTCGCCTCATTTCAATCAACAAATATTTACTGAATGTTGCTTATCATGTCCAATATGATACAGTTGTTAAAAATACATTGTCTAGGACCAGACACGGTGGCTCACACCTGTGATCCCAGCACTTTGTGGGGCCAAGGCAAGTGGATCACCTGAGGTCAGGAGTTCGCTCCATTTCCCACTTCTATTCTAAGGGTTTATAGTTACTTTGCCCCTCTAATGAACTTGAAACTGTACCGTATGGTAGATTACAGAGTTTGCATCATCTATCTACATCATGCTGGATCTTAAATGCCATGCTGAAAGAGGTTGGACTTTATTTTGGAAGTCGGTGTTTCTTTAACTTGTGTTACTCCTAACACCTAATCTTCTCTTTACCCTGAAGTCTCCAGGGGAAACTGATGTCCCACGAAAATATTATATATATATCCTGTGGCTTCCTATACTGCCTGACATAATATGACTTTCTTCTGAAGTACCTCTGTCTCAAGTTCGAAGAGAACAACTGGGCCACCTGCCTTGGCCCCCCAAAGTGCTGGGATCACAGGTGTGAGCCACCGTGCCTGGTCCTAGACAATGTATTTTTAACAATTGTATCATATTGGACATGATAAGCAACATTCAGTAAATATTTGTTGATTGAAAAGAGGCTAATACAGTAAAACTATAGAGGGAACTTTAAATCCTACAGCTAATAGGCTGATTTTGAAAGTGAAACATAAAATGTTTATATAAATTAAGCTTGTTTCAGGATGCAAAAAAAAAAAACCTCAAGAAAAAAAGCAGAAGTTTTTAAAGAAAATAGCAAAAGTCAAAGAAATAAATTACAGAACATAGAAATGGTGGTGTTGATGTTTATATAATACATCCAGAAAGAAGTAGAAACTTAAACCTAACTTTAGAATTAGCTTTATAAAGCTACACATACAAATGCTATAATATGTGAGATTGATTGGGAAAACCAGGAATTGAATTTTTTTTAATAATTCTTGCTTATCTATCTCTCTCTAGTTATTGTGACCAACTGAAAGTCTCAGAGAGTACCCACGTGCTCCAGCCCTTCCTCCCCAGCATCCTTGATGGCTTAATTCACCTAGCAGCCCAGTTCAGCTCAGAGGTCCTCAACCTGGTGATGGAGACCCTGTGCATCGTTTGTACAGTAGACCCCGAATTCACAGCAAGCATGGAAAGCAAAATCTGCCCCTTCACCATCGCCATTTTCCTAAAGTACAGTAATGGTATGCTGCCAGGGAGGATGTATTATGAGGGGCACCAAAGAAAAGGTGGTGGCTGGTGAATTTAAATGAAAGATTCCCTAGGTCTGGTCTTAGCTATGAAGCTATGGTTTTAACATCGTAAGCAAAGAATCTGGCTTTCAATTAGCAAAAAATAGAATTGTGCTGTAAATGTAGCAGCATTAAAAAATAGAGTACCTATTTCTGTAACACTTACTCTCTAGTAAGGACTTAGGGATAAAGATAATAAATAAAGGGCTAATAAGCAAGAGACATAATTCAGAACTTTGATGATAGAATAGGAAATTGGGCAAATGAAAAGCCTCCTAAAAGAAAAGGGCTAGGACTATAATTTAGAAAAGGAGATACTAAAGAAAGATATATGGAAAAGTTTATAAACAAAGGTATTCACTAGATATTTTTTACAGTAGTAAAAATTTGGAAATTATAAAAAGACATTAGTTAATTATATCCATAAAATGAAATACTGTGCAGCCATTAAAAATCAAGCTTAAAAGGAATATCTGAAACCATGGGAAAGAGCTTACATTATAATAAATGAAAAGATACTTTTCCCAAAAAATCCATAGAATATGATCCCAAGTTTTGATTTTTCTTTTAGAAAAGCATGTATGTATAGATAGGTATGTTTTAAAAAAAAATACATCAAAATGTTGAGTGTTTAGGTAGTGGAATTACAGGTGTTTTCATTATTACTTTTCTGCATTTTAAGTTTTTTTTTTCCTGTAGTGAATGTATTTATTAATACCTTATTACTAGTAAAATATTAAGGATTCTTTTTTTAAAGAGAGAGCTCCAATATTGAAGCTCAGAAAGATGTACAGGATAAGGATTATTTATATAATGTGATATACTGAACATGTTATTTGATAGCTTTTTCACTGAAAAATGTGTACTGAGGAGCTTTCCACATTGTGTTCTTGGATATATCTCATTCTTTTCAGCCATTACTAATGTTCCATAAAATGGGTATATCATAATTTACCCATTCTGTTAATGGACATCTAGGGTATTCCCAATTTTTTTCTATTACAAACAATGCTGCAGTGATCTTTTAAGGTATACTTTAATGCACATTGCCTATATTTTTCCATACTAAATAGAGGAGGATGTTTTGTTCTATAGATAAAGAAGATTGAGCTAAAGTTCCCTTTCTTCATAAGGCTCTGCTTTTTAGGAGTTTTGCCTTTTGCCCCAGAAGTAGCTTTGAGAGTTCTTCATGTCTACCGTGGCTACCCCATAGGAGATATGTATGATTTCTCTCATGCATCAAAGCCAGTGTTTTGGCAATTTTTGCAGCTTTCATGTCTTCTTAAAGTATCAGTTGGGCTTTTTTTTTTTTTTTAAGCATTTGGTTTTATAACGTAGGTTTCACAAGAATAAAGACTTTAAAGATTTTTCTCTAGAAAAAGCCACATTTTGTTTTATGAGTAGCTGTTAATGACTAGTCCCTACTTTAATGAAGCCATACAAAGTGTACCTCTTGCAGATTTAGGATCTCTCCTGTTCTTTCAGGTTATTCATGTGGCCCCACTAGGTCCCGGGTATGTGATAAGTAATCAATGCAGAAGTTGTTAACTTAGGTTAGGGCCAAACAACAGGCATCATTAAGCGAGAAGCAGATGCAGACCATCAGGCAGGGGGATTCCGTGTTGCCTTATCCACTTCAGATCCCGTCGTCGCCTCACTGGCTCAGGACATCTTCAAGGAGCTGTCCCAGATTGAAGCCTGTCAGGGCCCAATGCAAATGAGGCTGATTCCCACTCTGGTCAGCATAATGCAGGCCCCAGCAGACAAGATTCCTGCAGGGCTTTGTGCGGTAAGTGGCCGTGTGTGTGTGTGTGTGTGTGTGAGAGAGATCTACAAGTGCCACCCACAGATGCATCTAGCTGACAAGAACCTAATAGCGTTAGAGATTCATGGGGTGATTTTGCTGAGCTCTTTTGCCTGCAAGGACAGTGGGTGATTCTCTGAAGCTTTAAGAAAATGGCTTGGCTTGGCGCGGTGGCTCATGCCTATAATTGCAGCACTTTGGGAGGCCGAGGTGGGTGGATCACAAGGTCAGGAGTTCGAGACCAGCCTGGCCAATGTGGTGAAACCCTATCTCTACTAAAAATACAAAAATTAGCCGGGCATGGTGGCAGGCATCTGCAGTACCAGCTACTCAAGAGGCTGAGGCAGGAGAATCACTTGAACCCAGGAGGCAGAGGTTGCAGTGAGTGGAGATCGTGCCACTGCACTCCAGCCTGGGTGACAGAGCGAGACTGCCTCAAAAAGAAAGAAAGAAAGAAAATGGCTCTTCTTGTTCCAGAGGTACCCTCAGTGAATTGAACAGAGTGCCACCTTTACACAGTGCCACTAAGTATGTCACCTGGTTATCCAATCCACTACCATGTACTACTGCCCACCCCTATGGCTAATCAATTAGTAAGCTATTATGAGAAGGCTGAGAGTACTACCCATTTAATTATTCCTTTTATTTTGGAAACTTGCCTTTCATTAATAAGCTTTCTCTGGGTTGCTATGTAATACCCATCCAGTAAGGATCTTGGTTGTTGGGCAACCCCCACCCCAGAGGCAATTCTGACTTTTCTTTTTCTTCTCTCTTTCAGACAGCCATTGATATCCTGACAACAGTAGTACGAAATACAAAGCCTCCCCTTTCCCAGCTTCTCATCTGCCAAGCTTTCCCTGCTGTGGCACAGTGTACCCTTCACACAGATGACAATGCCACCATGCAGGTATCTGAGACATGGAGAGTAGAAGAGGGAAGATAGCTCCCCAGCCATGGGCTTATACTATGCTGAGAAATCTGACATGGTTTTATGCTTTTGAAATACGGAATTCTCAACTCCATATTTACTTAGCAGATTCAGGAAGGGTTCAGTCTGCAAAAGCCAAGCATTTCTGGTGCTTTGGAGCATGTTACAGTTTTTAAAAATATGGATACCAAGCACCCTGCCCATCTGTATTGGGTATTGCTACTGTGAAAGAGGTTACAGACATCTAGACTTGGGGCCATAAGAAAGTCTTTCTGCATATTTCTTCTAGTAATAAAGTCAGCAGAGTGATGGGCCTCTAGAGAGGGGAGACATGCCTGAATATTTTTTCTCTTTTTGTTTCTTGGGTGAATTGGTTACCTTTTCAGGTGTCTGCTACTGTGATTGATTAGAAAGGTTATAGGAACTTGCCAGTGAATATTGATCAGCTTGGAAATCCCTAGGCAACTAGTGGTTTGTGTAAGACCTATATAAAGACCTACAGTATCCCCAGTTATTCCAAGATTGTAAGCATATTTTTTTAGTACCAGAGGTAGACCTTTATGATTAAAATTCATTTTGCTTGGCCATTGTCCCTTGTGATTAAAAAAATATATATACACATTTGTGAGATAGCTGATTAGGTAAAGGGGGAATTATGTAATGCACGTCTATGTCTGTAACAGTAAATGTCTTAACTCCAGTGGTATGAGCCCACCACAAACATTATAGACTCACCGCTTTTATGAGGCATAGGCCTCTGGGAACATTTGTTTATACAGACTGAGGGCCTTCTGGCATCTGTCCCTCGATTACTAATCTTGCTTGCCACCCCTGTCTCCCCAGAATGGCGGAGAGTGCTTGCGGGCCTATGTGTCAGTGACCCTGGAACAAGTAGCCCAGTGGCATGATGAGCAGGGCCACAATGGACTGTGGTATGTGATGCAAGTGGTGAGCCAGCTCCTGGACCCCCGCACCTCAGAGTTCACTGCGGCCTTTGTGGGCCGCCTTGTTTCCACCCTCATCTCCAAGGCAGGGCGGGAACTCGGGGAGAATCTAGACCAGATTCTTCGTGCCATCCTCAGTAAGATGCAGCAGGCAGAGACGCTCAGTGTCATGCAGGTAAGAGAGCAGTGGGGAGTGGGCTTCCTACTCCCTGGCTGATAGAAATGAAAATTCGTATTTTGGTCCTGAGTTATTTTATTTTACCCTCTTACTAGCCTTGTAGGACAGTTAAGTAAAATGGGACCTGTCTGATCTGTTTGGCCTAAGAAACATGGACAAGGAAATCTCCCATGTTTTCTTGTCCTGTGGATAATACCCTCAGTGTAGACTGTATTTCTTATCTGACTGGCCAGTTCCCTCTCATCTCCTATGTCTCTGAAATTGATTTCCCTGAAGCAAATGTCCTTATTTTCTCCTAGTCCCTGATCATGGTGTTCGCTCATCTGGTGCACACTCAGCTAGAACCTCTCTTGGAGTTCCTGTGTAGCCTCCCAGGACCTACTGGCAAACCTGCTCTAGAGTTTGTGATGGCTGAGTGGACAAGCCGACAGCACCTGTTCTATGGACAGTATGAAGGCAAAGTCAGGTAGAACCTCATCTTTCTTTTCTGGGCATTCTGCCACCACTCATATTTCTTTTTTTTTTTTTTTTTTTTTTTTTTTTTTGAGACAGTCTCGCTCTGTCGCCCAGGCTGGAGTGCAGTGGCACAATCTTGGCTCACTGCAACCTCCACCTCCTAGGTTCAAGCAATTCTCCTGCTCCTGCCTCAGCCGTCCGAATATTACACACATGCACCACCATACCCAGTGAATTCTTTGTGTGTGTGTTTTTAGTAGAGAGAGGGTTTCACCATGTTGGCCAGGCTGGTCTTGAACTCCTGACCTCAAGTGATCCACCCACTTCGGCCTCCCACAGTGCTGGGATTACAGGTGTGAGCCACTGCTCCTGACACATATTTCTTTTTTTTCCTGATTTGCTCCATTGATTTTTGTTTGACATTTCAAATGGCTCTCTGTATTCCCTTTTCCCTGTCTTTCTTTATTGCTAACGCACATATGTGAATAGCTGCCATCTTGAAATCCCCAAAAGACAGTCAACACAGGTAGACTATATATTTCTGGTCTCTGTTTACAAGAGATCCCTTCTCTACCACAGACTTCACACAGCTAAGTGCTGCTAGTGGCTTATTTTCCTTTATAAGCCCAAGCCTTGGCCAGGCACAGTGGCTCACACCTATAATCCCAGCACTTTAGGAGGCTGAGGCGAGCAGATCACCGGAGGTCAGGAGTTCAAGACCAGCCTGGCAAACATGGTGAAACACTGTCTCTACTATAAATACAAAAAATAGCTGGATGTGGTTGTGGGTGCCTGTAATCCCAGCTACTCGGGAGGCTAAGGCAGGAGAATCGCTTGAACCAAGGAGGCAGATCACGCCATTGCACTTCAGCCTGGGCGACGAGCGAAATTGTCTCAGAAAAATAAAAATAAAAAACCCAACCTTCTAACCCTGGCTTCCTAACTTTTTATCCTGGATTTTTATACCACTGATTCTTATCACCTCGTTGCACCTTACAATATGGTGCAACCTTAGCTTTGTTCAAGAAGAACAGGTCACCTGTAATCCCGGCACTTTGGAAGACTGAGGTGGGCGAATTGCTTGAGACCCACCCGGGCAACATGGTGAAACCTGTGTCTACCAAAAAAATACAAAAATTAGCCAGGCACGGTGGCGCATGCCTATAGTCCCAGCTACTTGGGAGGCTGAGGTGGGAGGATCACCTGAACCCAGGGAGGTCAAGGCTGCAGTGAACCATGATCACACCACTGCACTCAGCCTGGGTGACAGAATGAGACCCTATCTCAAAAACAACAACAACAACAACAACAACAAAAAAGCACAGATCTCATTAAACCACCTCATGAACTCTAAAATCTCATTTTCAGCTGAACTCTCTTAGCTCTCCTAATTAGTTGTTAACGGAATTTTCACTATCAAATAGAGGGTCTTAGGACATAATTGCTTATCTCCTTGGAGTGAACTCGAGATGGGCGGCTGATTGACCTTTTTTTGGATCTTCCTTGCCAGCTCTGTGGCACTCTGTAAGCTGCTCCAGCATGGCATCAATGCAGATGACAAACGGCTACAGGATATCCGTGTGAAGGGAGAGGAGATCTACAGCATGGATGAGGGCATCCGCACCCGCTCTAAGTCAGCCAAAAGTGGGTGCTGCTGCGATTCTTCCAATCCTCTCCCTATACGAAGGGGCTAAGGATACCTGGGTGAAGGGAAGGAATGCACTGTGGTGTATATTTTTAAAACAATTGTTGGTGATGGGTTTGATAAAGAAGAAGCAGGAAACTTAGGTAAAAGGGATCAGAACATACGGTTTCTTCCTGTTGTGGAAAATGGACAAAAATAGGCCGGGCATGGTGGCTCACGCCTGTAATCCCAGCACTTGGTGGGAGGCCAGAGCGGATGGATCACTTGAAGTCAGGAGTTTGAGACTAGCCTGACCAACATGGTGAAATCCCGTCTTTACTAAAAATACAAAAATTAGCCAGGCATGGTGGTGGGCGCCTGTAATCCCAGCTACTTGGGAGGCTGAGGCAGGAGAATCGCTTGAACCTGGGAGGCAGAGGTTGCGGTGAGCAAAGATCGTGCCACTGCATTCCAGCCTGGACAACAAAATGAGACTCCGTCTCAAAAAAAAAAAAAAAAAAAAAATGCAGGCGTGGTGGCTCACACCTGTAATCCCAGCACTTTGGGAGGCCGAGGTGGGTGGATCGCCTGAGGCCGGGAGTTCGAGACCAGCCTGACCAACATAGAGAAACCCCGTCTCTACCAAAAATACAAAGTTAGCCAGGCATGGTGGCGCATGCCTGTAATCCCAGCTACTCGGGAGGCTGAGGCAGGAGAATCGCTTGAACCCGGGAGGTGGAGGTTGCAGTGAGCCAAGATCACGCCATTGCACTCCAGCCTGGGCAATAAGAGCAAAACTCTGTCTGAAGAAAAAAAAAAGACAAAAATAGTCTCAGGCACCAAGCATCCCAGCTTCCAGCTTCATTCAGAAGCGTGGGCACAGATAGTCAGCATGTCTTTGTTACTGAGTTGCCTTTGGCCTGTAACTCCAATGATTTGCAGGTAGGGAGTATAGAGCTGCTATCTTTAATGTAGATTTATAATTACCTCCGCTGTCTCTCAAATTCTAAGTCATTGGGACTGGAGTACTGGCTCTATACAGTTCCTTGGTTTCAGAGCTTTATTACTAACAAGACTGTATCTCCTTTAATCCCTGAACTCTCATCTCTCCCAGCTTCTGAACTGTTACAATACCAAACAATAAAGTTATTTAACTTTAAGTCACTCTTTGGAGACTGGATATAGTCAGGTACAGTGAAAGTCTGAGGGGTGGTGAACTCTGGTGAGTGGCACTGAGGAGAGGACAGGGGTACTTCCAGAAGTAAGCTCAGTGACACTCTGACTTGAAACCTTTTTCTTCCTTCCCAGACCCAGAACGCTGGACAAACATTCCTTTGCTGGTCAAGATCCTAAAGCTGATCATCAACGAGCTCTCCAACGTCATGGAGGCTAATGCCGCTCGCCAGGCCACTCCTGCAGAGTGGAGTCAAGGTGCACCAGGCCCTTACTCCCAGGAGACTTTTAGCCTGGCAGATCAAGTTACAAATTGTCAAATTATCAACTTGGTTTGTTGAGTCACTAATTGAAAAAAAAAGTTGATGGAATGGCTGCTCTGTGGCTGGCACCATGCTAGGCACTAGGCATGTAGAGCTGCTTCTCCAGTCTGCCATATGAAATCTCACAGAGGCTGGGGTGGGAGGCAGCCAGGAGGCAAGCTAACATAGCCCTTCTTTGGTTTGATTCTTCTTAAGAGCCTGTCAACACTTATATCTCCAGGTTCTTTCATTGAGACTAACCAGGAGGGTTTGGCCATTTCTGATTCTCTTTCACTGGGGACTACAAGCCACATTGCAGAAGCCTTTGGGGCCCTTCTATTCTGGCCTATTTGGATTTGGGGAGGGAAAATGCATGAATGTGCTCTAGCTCTAGCTGCTTTTCATCTCCAAGTAGATGACTCCAATGATATGTGGGAGGACCAGGAGGAGGAAGAGGAGGAGGAGGAGGATGGTTTAGCTGGCCAACTTTTATCTGACATTCTTGCTACAAGTAAATATGGTAAGCTGTTTGATAAGAGGACAGCCATGGTAAATACCTTTTCTTTGCACACTGATCCCAACAGTGGGGTACCCAAGAAAGGGGAGAGGTGGGCCCACAGGGACATTTCTTGGGCTTTTGCACCTTCCGCCTCAGTCATGTGGTAGTATATCACCACTCAGGGCCTGATCATGGGCCTTTGTCCTGACCCGCCCTGTGTTGGCTATGTCTAACAGAGGAGGATTACTACGAGGATGATGAGGAAGATGACCCTGATGCCCTGAAGGATCCTCTCTATCAGATTGATCTGCAGGTGAGGGTGTCCAGAGATATCTTGCAAATGACAATGTCCCAGGCCATGGAAACAGGAATATGGGCTCAAATCCATTTATAGCCAGGCATGGTGGCTCATGCCTGTAATCCCAACACTTTGGGAGGTCAAGGCGGGAGGATTGCTTAAGCCCAGGAGTTCAAGACCAGTCTGAGCAATGCAGGGACACCCTGTCTCTACAAATAATTTAAAAATTATCTGGGCATAGTGGCACACCCCCGTGGTCCCAGCTACTCGGGAGGCTGAGGTGGGAGGATCGCTTGAGGCCAAGAGGTCAAGGCTGCAGTGAGCTGTGATCATACCACTGCACTCGAGCCTGGGCGACAAAGCAAGACCCTGTGTTCAAAAAAAAAAAAAAATCCATTTATAATTTAACATGGGAGCCTCATGGGAAAGAGTTCCTGTCTTGTTGAGTGGTCCAGGGTTTTGGGTGGGCTGGAACTTTGCACTTGATGTGTTGTAATTCATCTTCTAGAGGCTATGTTGTGAAGGTCCTTGGGGTGATACAGCCTTGGAAAAATGTTGTTTCCCTGTGGATTACCTAAACTAGATCCAAGAACATGAAAGACCATCCCTCAGGGAGCTGGCATTTGTCTAAAAACCAGCATTCCCTGTGCCATTTGATTGTGGTTCTTGCTCCACTGCAAATGGGTGACTTGCAATGTCTCACTAATGCCACTCTTGCTCTTTCCTCCAGGCATATCTCACAGATTTCCTCTGCCAGTTTGCTCAGCAGCCCTGCTACATAATGTTTTCAGGCCACCTTAATGACAATGAGAGGCGAGTTCTACAGACCATCGGCATCTAAAAAGGGGAGCCTTTCTACATTTGCTCCTTCTGGGCCAGCCGCAAACCATTTTGCAGCCCTCACTGGCCTTGAGATGCACTTTCTTCTCAACCTAAAGTGGCATCTTGACCCTTGGCCCTTGGCCTCGGCAGTGACACTGATGACAATTCAGACCAGGCTCACCGGTGCCGTCACTTAGGAATGCTGGAACAAAGGACATTTCTCAAAGTTCCCCTGAAGACATGCCATCTCTAGAACCTTTTTTCTCCCCGACTCTACCCCCACCTCTGTTCCTAGAGCCCTCTGCTGGCGAGTCCAGAAACATTATTGCCCAGAAGGATTATGTGTTTATGGATTATTTTGCCCCGCCTCAGGAGCGCAGGAAGTCACTACCATTTATATTCTAAAACAGACCTATCTATGTTCATAGGACTTCTGATGTGTTCAGATAGGAATCCTCATGAGAGATCATTATGCTTTGTGCCCTGGACCACTGCTGCTCTGGGTTCTCAGGAGGAACAGGCAAGAGCAGCTTCATTCTAAGCCTTTCCAGTGACCTCAGCCTTGCTTCTCTTCTACAACACTAAGGCTCCTCTGTCAGAGGAGGTCGTCTTGTTTTTGCTTCATTGCATGACATAACCCTTCCCCTCAAGCTGTTCCTATATATACATGCACACACAAAATAAGCCAGACAGATGGCAATTTGATCTTCCTTTTTTAGAAAAAAAAAAAAAAATGGGGAAAAGGGATTTTTTTTAAATCCACCTGACCCAACTATATTTAATATGCCTCTCCCACACATTACCACAGAGTCTGATATTCAAAGGTTATCCCCTTTCCCTCAGGAAGCCTCTAAAGTGCTTAAGTTGTAGCCCTCAAATTTGCAACATGTATTTTTCTAGGACAGTAAAGTAATCTTTACAAATGAATTTAGTTGCATGGTATAAGGTGTCTCAGCACCTGTTTGCCTTCTATTCCCTTTAGAAGGTAAGTAAAAGTAATGGGGGAAAGGATTAGGTGGAGCCTGTCTAAACATTCTAGTGTGTCTTGGCAAACATAGCCTGAAATGATTCTTAAAGAACTGGCATTGTTTAATCAAATATTTTTAAGGGAGATTCCTTAATTGGGAAGTTTAGTCTGTTTGGGGTTCAAAGAGTAAATGAGGATTAGAAAATCATGGAGAGAGGCTGGGCGCGGTGGCTAACGCCTGTAATCCTAGCACTTTGGGAGGCTGAGATGGGCGGATCACTTGAGATCAGGAGTTTGAGGCTAGCCTGGCCAACACAGTGAAACCTGCATTTCTACTAAAAATACAAAAATTAGCTGGGCATGGTGGTGCATGCCTGTAATCCCAGTTAACTTGAGATGCTGAGGCAGGAGAATCGCTTGAACTTGGGAAGCAGAGGTTGCAGTGAACCGATATCACACCGTTGCATTCCAAGGCAAGACTCAATCACACACACACACACACACACACACAAATCATGGGGAGAAAGATGAAACCTGTGTTCCCCTTTTTTTGGTAGTGCCCACATCTGGTGCCCCATTTTTAATAACCACAGGATATTTCTTTAGATTGATATTCTCACAAAGAAGAAATAGAATATAGGCTGGGCGTGGTGTGTCACACCTGTAATCCCAGCACTTACGGAGGCCGAAGCCAGCGGATCACCAGAGGTCAGGAGTTCGAGACCAGCCTGACCAACATGATGAAACCCTGTCTCTACTAAAAATACAAAAATTAGCCAGGCATGGTGGCATGCACTTGTAATCCCAGCTACTCGGGAGGCTGAGACAGGAGAATCGCTTGAACCTGGGAGGCAGAGGTTGCAGTAAGCCAAGATCGCACCATTGCACTACAGCCTGGGCAACAAGAGGAGCGAAACTCTGTCTCAAAAAAAAAAAAGAGAAAGAATATAAAGTGAATCTGAATCTCCACTCAAGGGGATGGCCCCAAGGATATTGTAGCTGGTAATTTCTTCATGCCACTAGGTGTCCCCAGTGTTCAACCTCCATGACTGAGATTGGAAGAAGTAGAGTTAAAAGTTTTTACTACCTTTGAGAAGCCTGCGGGCATGTTCACAGTCGTCCCATGCCAGCCAGGTTCTGAGGCTAACTGCTTGTGCCCCTGCTGCTTCACATGGCATTGTGGGAGTTGCTGATACTGGGGAAATGATGGCAGATCTGACCAAGTGGTGCTGAGAAAACCACCCTCGGCCTTGCAGACTCCATAGTTTATCTCAAGGCAGTGCCAGTCGGATTTGGTGCTAAAGGCATAAGGCCAAGTCAGCCTCTGATATTGGCACAAAAGAATGGTCTCATGCCAGTAGCATTGAACTGCTGAGCTTGGGAAGGCTTAAGGCTCCCACACACAGACTGAGAATGATGGGGGTCCCTCTGCGTCTGCTAATTAGACAAACATTCTATATCTAGTGCCAAAAGTGGTCCTAAATCCTTTGGCAAGGGTCCTTTCTGCTCTCATGCTGATTTGGGGGAGGACTGGGCATCCTGCCTCAGGAGAACTTGAGTCCTGAGGAAAGGGCCCTAGTAACACTTAAGGGCTACCCCTGGCTAACAGATACTCGGCTGTGGGTGAGAGCAGAAGGTCTTGGACCCCTCGATGTGCAGGTACTTAATTGTGTTTCCAGTGCATTTTCATATACATTATCCCATTTAACCTTTATAACAGGTTCACAGAGTGGATATTCCCATTCTGTTGATGAGAAAAAGAGTGGAGAGACTGTGTCCAGTGTCAGCAGGAAGAAAAAAGATCTGTTGGAGGCCAGTACATGTTGACAGAAACTCTAGACCATATTTTGTCTCCTGTCTTTGGCCAAAGAGAACTAGCTTCAGTCTGAAAAGGGCAGGGCTAAGTGGTTACAAGGAACTAAAAAGTTCAAGGTAAGACAAATGAGGTAAAAATAAAAAAGAGCACTTAGCTGCTCTGAGACATTTTAGTCTCCTGACTGGTAAACAGCAGCTGGGGCACCAAGGGGCTCCCAGGAGTTTGTCGAGCTTTTATTGGAGTGAACTGAAAGGAAAATGGAAGGAATGCTATAAGACTGAAAAGAAGTTAAAGCCCTAGGAAGGAAGCTGATAACACAAGTTACAGACGTATATGTGACATTGATTTGGGAGAATGAACCTACAACAAATGACCCAAAAGCACCTAAATAAGAGTGACGAGAGTTTAACAGACATTCATTATGGACTTCAGAGAAAATGATGCTAAACTGGTCTTAGAATCTTCTTTAATTTTGTTAACTAGGTAAATAATCTGGACATTTTAGTCAAAGCATTAGACAGACAGAGAAGTTGGTAACTGACCACTAACTAACAAACTATAAATTCACCCATTGTGGGTTGACCTGGTAAGTTCCCCCAGGGCTGTGTCCTTGGCCCCTCCTTTGATATTAGTGACAGATGACTTTTTTTATGCCTTACCCATTCCACAAAAGAATTTGAAGCCATTTACACAAGAGATAGTACTAGTAAATTAGGAGTGCTGATCAAATTTTTAGATAATAAGAAACCCTTAGGAAGGATGACAATTTAGAATCCAAATTTAGGATCCAAACAAATACCATTACAAACTATAAAAATGAGCAGAATCTAAATGTAACATTTCAATAAATGCAGATTGATAATAACATCTGTGCAGAGTTGAGGACTATAGAGTACTGTGCTGTCACTAACAGTATTGTGTGCTACTAAGAGTTTAATGGCTGGGTGTGGTGGCTCACACCTGTAATCCCAACACTTTGGGAGGCCTAGGTGGGTAAATCAGCTGAGATCAGGAGTTCGAGACCAGCCTGGCCAATGTGGTGAAACCCCGCCTCTACTAAAAATAAAAAAATTAGCTGGGCATGGTGGCACGTGCCTGTAATCCCAGCTACTCGGGAGGCTGAGGCGGGAGAATCACTTGAACCTGGGAGACAGAGGTTGCAGTGAGTCGAGATCACACCATTGCACTCCAGCCTGGGCAACAGAGCAAGATTCTGTCTCAAAAAATAAAGTTTATTATGCCAGGAGGGCCAGGTGTGGTGCCACACCCATGTAATCCCAGCACTTTAGGAGGCTGAGGAGGGCAGATCACTTAAGCCCAAGAGTTTGAGACCAGTCTGGGCAATGTGGCAATACCTTGTCTCTTAAAATTTAAAATAAAAAAAAAGTTTATTATGCCAGGAACTGTTAATGTGTCCAAAAAAACTCCAGTGTGGTTCTAGGATGAGATAATAAAAACAGGTTGTCTAGGGTAGTGTGGAAGGTCCTTTCAGTCTTCCTGTGCCTATCAGTGATCCTCATTGCCATGTTCCCTTCTGGTGCTCAACCGGAGGCTCCCTGACAGATGAGTCCTCTGCCAGAGGAAGGCTAAGATGTAGAGGACAAATCGTGTCAAGGAAAAGAAGCTTGAAGGAGCTAAGAATGCTTAGCTTAGAGAAGACAAGAGGAAACAGGACATGGCTTTGGGAAGTTCAAGGATGGTCCAGTGAAATACATACTATACTTTTGCACCCCAGCTAAGCTGACCCATGATCAGTAAGTAGGAAATAAAAGGCCAATTTCTGGCTACTCTTGCCCCCAACCCCATTTCAGTGAACTATGAACCTCTATTAGATATGCAAGGCCGGTGCTAAATGCTGGAGGGCTTTGGCCCTTTCCCTCAAGGAGCTAGTCTAGTAGGGGGTCAGAAATACAGATGGGCCTGAACATAATGATGGTTTGACTTCCAGTTTTTCAACTTTAGGATTGTGCAAAAGCTATACACATTCGGTAGAAACAGTACTTCAAGTATCCATACAATCAGTACAGTATTCAATAAATTACATGAGACATTCAACACTTTATTATAAAATAGGCTTTGTGTTAGATGAGTTTGCCCAACTGTAAGCTAATGTAAGTGATCTGAGTAGGTTTAAGGTAGCCTAGGTGTATTAAATGCATTTTTCACTTAACGGTATTTTCAACTTTTGTTGGGTTTATTGGGATGTAGCCCCATTATAAGCTGAAAAGCATCTGTAGTATAATAAATGTGGGGAGTGCTGTGAGAGAAATAAGTGTACTGGGTTTAGTTCCCACTGCCCAAAAAAGGAACTGGCTAATGGTAACCTGGGGGAGGAAGTCGGGTAAGTTGCATGGAGAAGGCAACCCTTGAACACTTGCAAGGAGCTAACAATACCTGCTTCTGGAGTATTTAAACGCCAGTGGGTATGCTAAATACTTTTACCTCAGACCACCTACTAACCTTACAAAGTAGTCCACTTTGCTCACCCAGTTTTACAGATTGATGAAACTGAAGCAGACAGATATTGTTAACCTATCAAAGGTCACCCTGCAAGTGTGTGATTATAGTCCAAGCAGCTTGTACTTGTTGCCTATTTGTTTTGCCTTTCCTGTGCATTTGCCAGGCAGATGAGAGTGGGGTAAGACATTGCAGAGAAAAAGTAAGAAAAGGCCGTCATGAAACAATTTCATTTTCAGACCTTATAAGCACGTTACAAGTACTGATATTTATGCTTAAGTTCACGGGAGTCCTGGCCAGAAATAAAGCTGGAAGGACAAGTGGGGGGCAGATTGTGAAGGATCCTTCAAGACCTGCTTCCTCTAGAGAATGGGAGACTACCCAAGATAACTAAACAGGGAAGTGATCAGGTTTTGTGTCTTAGAAAAGTGTTGCAGTGTTGATGCAAATGTGACTAGAAGGGTGACTTGGAACCTGGATTGAAGGGGTGGGAGATGGGAGAAAGGAATGCAGTCTGGCAGCAGCTACAGCAGTCCAGGTGGGAAAACCCAGAGCCTGAACTAAGGTTGTAACTAGAGGGGATAGGGTGGAAGAGCTGGATTAGAGATGTTGACAAGATAAAGTCAGTAGGACTTAAAGACTGACAAGTAAGGATTTTCCAAAAGTGAGAGCTGTGGAATGAATTGTCTTAAAATGTTGCAGTGAGTTCCTCCTCATCAATCCAAGTGCTCGATCAGAGGCTAGACCTTTAGTTAGCAGTCACGGGAAAATTCCCCATTCTCACGGGGATTTAGACTAGGTCTTAACCATACTTTACCAAGATTCCAGTAGCAAAGCACCCAAAAGTAATCGCAATAAAATTCCAATTTTTGTAGGCCGGGCATAGTGGCTCACACCTGTAATCCCAGCACTTTGGGAGGCCGAGGCAGGCGGACCACGACATCAAGAGTTCAAGAGCAGCCTGGCCAGCATGGTGAAACCCCGTCTCTACTAAAAATACAAAAAAATTAGCTGGGCATGGTGGCGCATGCCTATAATCCTAGCTACTCAGGCAGCTGAAGCAGGAGAATTGCTTGAACCCGGGAGGCAGAGGTTGCAGTGAGCCAAGATCATGCCACTACACTCCAGCCTGGGCGACAGAGCGACACTCTGCCTCAAAAAAAAAAAAAAACAAAAAAAAAAACAAGTTTTGTGAATTTAAGTTTCCCTAATGGATGGTACAGGTCAACATTTGCCATCTAATGACACTTACATTCCAGTTTTTTCCTTTTTTGAGTAACTGGGAAAAGGGTGGCATTACTGCTGGCTTCCTAAAATTGAAAAGTATACTAGGGTTTTTAAACCTGTGTAGAATACATGATATGGTAGCAAATGTGCTGTAGGAAGAAAAGCAATGAGGAACTACTGGCCTGACTAGGAGGCCTAGAAGTCCCTCCCAGGCTTGAGTTGTTCTGACTTGGCATGATTACATAGCTGCGGCAAGTGACGTTTCCTTCAAGCCTTGGTTCCCTCATCTGTAAAATAGGGAACTAATACCTACCTCACAGGATTGTAGTTAGAATTAAGGATGACTTCATTAAAGCACCTCTAGTGGTGGAAGATGTCCCATCCTATCCCCCACCCATAGCTGGGAGCTATGTTTGGCTCATTCTTCCTGACTCACTGGATTACACTGTGACTCAGTTCAATTTCACACATGCTGCTGCTAAATTAGGGTCTTGGTGAGCCTTTGGGAGGACAGCTCTGAGGAATGAATTGTAGCACTGCAGCCCTGCCTGAGGAACATGATAGAAACAGGTGGTAGGCCCAGCTCTTGCCTTCCACCTACTAAGCAGTTTTTCTGTGGTTAGCTGTGTGACATAAACTATCGGTGTATTAATTTGCTTTCACTAGATTCCCCCCCCCCCAACAACTTAGTCCAAGAACATACCTGAATTCTTTGCATTTCCTTGCCTTAGTTGCTTTTGTAGGGTGGACAGCAGGACTGCATGAGAATAGCTGTGCTTCTGGACCCTATGGTGAAAGCTCTAGTGAACTGCAATTAGGCCCAGGGTCCCGGAGGAAGAAGGGGAGAGAAAAAGGGGGGTAGTTTTCCAAAAGATAAGTAGGGGACAAAAAAGTCCACGGGGCCTATGAGCGGTGAGACTCCTGCCCTGATTGTGGCAAAGCACCTGGAGATGATAGAACTTCCTAGGGAAAAGGCTGCATGGAGTCCCCAGGGATGCTGGGCCCTGGTCACCAAGGCTCCCTGGGAAGGTCTCTTGTACCTGGGGCACACAGACCAACACTTCTGAATTTGCAAGCTTAAGAGCATGTATGAGCAGAACCTGTGCAGACCAAGGCTTAGAGGGCTCACCTCAATGTTTTGCACTGTGTGAGACCCCAGGACCTTTTCGTGATTCTGGAGAGGGGAACAAACCATAATAACAACAAACCAGGTAGCAGGATAGAGACTCATTCTCATCTATTTTGGTTAAAAGAAAATAAATGTATTTCTTCCACACCTGATTTTGTGATTGCAAATTCATAACTAATATCCCTCGTCAGCTCCGCTGACTCATCCCTGCCACAGGGAGGTTCACAGCAAGAGCACAGAAACTAGGGCCAGTGCCCGGTTGTGTGACCTTGAGTAAGTTCTTTTTCCCTTGAACAGGGAGAGAGACACAATGGATCAGAGTGTCTCTGCCAGTTCTAACTTGGGGATTCTAGTGGGTTGAACCGAACGGTAGTCCGTTTCCAAAAGAGGAAGCCAAGACCAGAGGGGGAGTGGTTCCTTCAAGTTTGCAGAACCAGTAAGTGGCAGAGCAGGACTCATATCTAGTTAGTGGTTCAGAGCATGGGCTCCGGAGCTAGACTGCCTGGATTTGAACCCTGGCTTTGCCACTTGCCTGTTGGGTGACTTTGGACAAGCTGCTTAAATTATGTCTCCATTTCCTAATCCACAGAACAAGTGTAATACTAGTTATCTGTTTCATGGAGTGATTGTGAGGATTAAATAAAGTTAATATAACACAAAGCACTTCGTAGTGCTGCCTCATAGTAAGTGTTAATGTTACCTATTATTAGTCTGATCCCAAGTCTAATGCAGTTGTCACCACCTAAACCTGCCTTTACAGAGCTGGCCTTTCTGAGAAACCCTGTGCCTCTGTAGATTCAACACTCCCATCTGTGCAGATGGCTAACAGCTAGGCTGAAAACAGAAACCTTAGGTTGGAAAGGGTCAGCTGGAGGGCTGAGGCCCATGGCCCCAAATCCTCCCCAGGAGAGAGAGTAGGTTCAGAAAGGAGAGAGCTATAAACAGAGCCTTCCTCCCTTGCCCTCAGATCCCAAAATAACACTTGTCTACCGCCATCCTGCCCAACTGGCAGAGTGGCAGGCTGAGTAAGGTGCCATTTAAAGATAACCTGGCCCTCACCATCTGCCCCACTGGCTGGGCTGGGCTCCTGAGGCCAGGCCTTGGCTGCCTGGGACTGCTGCTGCTCCCACAGCCACCCAGAGTGTGCCTGAGTAGGGGGCTGCTCACAGCTGCCATCCAAGCCAGCCTGGCTACACCCTCTTCTTTCCTGAGGCCCAGGCTGTCCTGGGCTCTCTACAAACAAGCAGAAGCCTGGCGTTCTGGGAGAGGCAATCCTACAAAGGCATTGGTAGAAAGTCCTTCTGGAGAAGAGTGCTCCATATATATATATATAAATGTATAGGATACTTGTGCAACTTTGTTACATGGAAGAGTACACCTTCTTACCAGTAGCTTGGCAGCAGTGAGGCTCATCCTCACTGTCCTTCACCCACCCTCCACTTGCTAGTCCCTCCCACCAAGAGGACAAACAGGAGACAGTCTTTCATTTACAGCAAGAAAGATTAAAGCTGGATGCCAAGAAAAGCATTCTGATTTAAGAGAGATGTTTGTTTATTCCGGGGCAGTGAGAGCCAAAAGACCTGGTTCCCCAACTAAGCCATGAGACTTGGCCAAGTCCTGGTGCTGTCCTAGGCCTTACTCTTCCTAGCTGTGGACTGCAAGGAGAATTAATGTGTCCAAGACCCTCCAGGAAGGATCTGACATTAAATCAGAGTAAAGAACTCAGGGTCCTATGGAGTGGGGGAATGTATAATTACCTGTCTGCAGGAGTTGGGTTGCCAGAGGCTGGGCAAGGAGGAATAGAAAAAAGGAGGGCAGAGTAATGTAGAGTGCATTCCTGGAGAGCACTGACTGACCAGAGGCAGGAATTAGGAAAGGAATGGAGTTTCCCTTATCTTGGAATGGTTCAACAAACCACTGGCCAGACAAAAGTGGAGGCAGGAGCCTCCACGGCCAAACAGCATGGGTGGGGTAGGACCAGGGTGGGATGGAGCCTCCAGGGCTCATGGCCCAGGAAAGTAAGGAAGGCCTCAGGAATGCCTGTGTTAGTCTGCTCTGATAGAGGAGCATGGAAGAGGTTGGGAGGAGCCCTGGGCTGGTCATTCAGCCCAGGAGTGAGGTGACTCAGCAGAGCACTCCTACCACAGCCCCTAGCCAAGCCCAAACTGGGTCACAGGCAGGGTCCCAGCCCTTCCCCTCCTCCTGCCTTTCCCCACTTCAGATATCCCTGGCTACCTTCTCACCACATGCAGAGGCCTGCTAGAGATAAGGGCTGGGCATCAAAGTTTCCCTGAATACATGCTTTTTATGCCAGGCATAGCACTGAACATTTTAGACTTGTTTTTTTGTTTGTTTGAGACGGAGTTTCGCTCTTGTTGCCCAGGCTGGAATGCAATGGCGATTCCCGGGTTCAAGCCTCCCGGGTTCAAGTGATTCTCCTGCCTCAGCCTCCCGAGCAGCTAGGATTACAGTCATGTGCCACCACACCCAGCTAATTTTGTATTTTTAGTAGAGACGGGGTTTCTACATGTTGATCAGGCTGGTCTCCAACTCCCGACCTCAGGTGATCTGCCTGCCTTGGCCTCCCAAAGTGTTGGGATTACAAGCGTGAGCCACCGTGCCTGGCCCTTTAGACTTGTTTAAAGAGAAGCAGGTGGTGAAGCTGAAGGGCCTGGGCTTTGAAGCCACAAAAGTCCAACTGCAAATCCCAGCAGTGTGAGCTGGGGGAATTGAAGTTCTTCCAACTTCAGTTTCCTCATCTGTACAATGGGATGAGCTCATCAGCAATGTTCGCTGCTGGTGGTATCATTACCATCATATTCCAGACACCCTGAGGAGAACCTCCTACTGGCAAAGCCTATGTTTTGTCTCATCTGATCACAAATTACTCTGCCTCCTCTTTTCCAGGAAAGCGTTTCTTTCCCTTGCTGGGGATTAAGAGACCAGCTTGGTGAGCGGGGGGTATTCCTGCCTGCCCTTACCTAGAGAAGGTGTAGTGAAGCCCTTCCAGGCCTGAAGATTTAGACAACTTCTTCCAGGGCCCCCAGTCCTCCCACCCAAGCCCCTCCTCACTCCTGGCCAATCTACAGACTCTTTCAAGACCCAGGTTCATTATGGCGACATAAGCTAGCCCCAGCTCTCCATCTCCGAGCTCCAGCATCCCTTGTCAAGGTAAGAAGTGCCAGTTCTCCCAGTGCAGCCAGTTCTCCCCTCTGGTTGGCCCACAGCCCCCTCTCTTCACTCTCTGTCCTAGTCTAGTCACCTCCCATCCCATGAACTGAAACACATTCTTAGAATTTTGCAATTAGAAAATCACTGATGATGTTGGTGCGTGCTAGGTGTCATTGCAAGCTGGAAGTGTCAACTAGGGGTATACACTTTGAGGAGGGCGTGTCAACTAGGGGTATACACTTTGAGGAAGGCTAGTTGGAGAAAAAAGCAGGAAAGTAGCTAGAGAGGGATGAGTTTTAGGAAGGATGTGGTTTGGTTTGGTTTGCTTTGCTTTGCTTTGCTTTAAATAGGAGAGACTTGAGATTTCCTAGGGAAAAGAAGCTGGTAAGGTGTGAGAAGCTAAAGACACTAAAGAGATGGGATAATGAAGAGACAAATCAGCAGGGGTCAAGGGTACACATGGGAGATTCAGCTCTGGGCAGGAAAGACAGTCCCTTATCTGAAGATGATTCAACCAACAATGACAACACTGATGGCTAGGGCTGGATGGCCACATTGAACACAGCCACGTGGTCCCTGCAGTCATGGAGCTTTTAGTGTAGGAAAGAGGAGATGGATGGCAATGGGCACACTGAGTAGGTGGTGCTGGATTCAGAGGCGTTTCTCTTTGTCCCTGCTGCTGCATTTATGACTGTGTCCTGCGTGAGGACATACTCTTGCCCATCAGGCTACCAGCAACTTTCTGGGGCAGGAGCCTATCCTCTCCTATTCCAGCTCTCTTGGGTAGGTGTGCCAGCACCCACAGGGGCCCAGGATGGGGTAGCTCCTCTTTCGGCTGTCCTTCCCTAACCTACTAAGATTCTACTGGGCCTTCCATGGACCTGTCCTGATTCTCTCACCCCAGAACACAAGAAATACTCACTGTCTACACTGTCTGCTGTTGCGGCTGGGGATCAACCCTGATTTAGATTTGGGTCTTCCTGATGCCTCTACCATTTACTGGCTGTATTACCTTGAACAAGTTCTTTAACCTCCATGAGTCCTAGTTTCTCAGTCTGTGAAATGCGATTGATAACACTGATGAACCTTGCTTAGTTCATGGAGTTGTGGAAAGATTCCAGTGAGGTAGATGTGGAAGCCCAGAAGTGTGTGAAAGGGTGTACATGGCAGGGGATTAAGGTAGGCTTTTGATGATCTCCCTGGCTTAATTTGCAGTTCCTCGGAGGGTACCTCATGTAGCATGGGGCATAGTCACTGGCACTCAGTATAAACCTGTGAAGACTGACCTCTCCCATCCTAAAACACTGTCTCCACCTGGAATTAACTGTTGCCCACCTGAAATTAACTGTTGCCCTCCCTATGCTCCGGTGGCTATTGCAGTACAGGCTTGCTCTGTGAAGGGCTTTCACTGTGAAGAGTGTTTAACTGGATGGGCCCCAGGTGGCCCCAGCAGCCTGCCTTCCCTGCTAGTGAGGCCATGGGCTGGTGCATGCCAGCTCTGTCCACTTGAAGGGGGAAGGGTCCATCGTAGGGAGCCAGTGCAGCTGGCAGGGTTCAGGCCTGTGGGCACCGCTGGGGACAAAGCCACTCTGAATGCCTCTCAATGAGTGCTTGTGTTCTGGGAATGGGGGCGGGGTGACATCCAGCCTCTTTCCCTCTCCGCCCCCGACAGGATGTCCCAGGCTGGACGCGGCAGAGGAGGTCCCCCACAAGTGAAGGTCCAGCCCTGCTCCTCCAGGGTTGGCCCATGTGTCTGGGCATTCGGAGGTGGCACCAGGATCAGGGCTTCTGGAGTCCAGCATAGTGATTGGGCCCAGGCCGGGGGCGGGTCCAGGACACAGCCAGGCTTCCCTGGCCGCAGTGCCCAACTGCCCGCAGTGCCCATGGTGGCTCGGATGGGAGGAACCACCGCGGAGCCGGGGACAGGGGGAGCAGGGCAGTGCTCTGCTGGGTGAGGGGCACCCAGCTCCAGAGGCTAGGTGGGCGTCGCTGGTGGGTGGACTCCTGGGCGCTGCGCGGAGCCGCGCCGGCTGGGTTAGCGCGGGCGGGGCGCTTAGTCCCACCCCCAGAGGAGGCGGAAGAGGAGCCCGAGCCTGGCCGCGGGCTGGGCCCCGCCGCAGCTCCAGCTGGCCGGCTTGGTCCTGCGGTCCCTTCTCTGGGAGGCCCGACCCCGGCCGCGCCCAGCCCCCACCATGCCACCCGCGGGGCTCCGCCGGGCCGCGCCGCTCACCGCAATCGCTCTGTTGGTGCTGGGGGCTCCCCTGGGTAAGGGGATGGGGAGAGATGCGGCAGGAGTGGGATGGGGGCGGAGGAAGGGGAGGGACCGATCCGAGGGGCTTGGGCTCGGGGCTTCTCCGAGACCCTCCGGCTGCCACGGGAGCCTTGGGTGTTGCTGGGTCCTCAAGAAGCGGGAAGAGGGAGCTCCAGGATGCTGGGCCATGGGAGGCTGATCCCGGGGTGCAGGGTCAGCTTCAGGCAGAGGCCTCGGGGGCTCTGGGGCTGAGACCCTCAGGGTGGAGACAAGGGGCAACCCTCAGTGTTCGGGAGCCGTCAGGCTGGGGACCGCCGGGGGAGTGGGGCCGAGCGCGGCTGGGGATGAACTGGCCTGGTGGCCACTGGGCACCCCCAATCCCTGCCCGCAGTGCTGGCCGGCGAGGACTGCCTGTGGTACCTGGACCGGAATGGCTCCTGGCATCCGGGGTTTAACTGCGAGTTCTTCACCTTCTGCTGCGGGACCTGCTACCATCGGTACTGCTGCAGGGACCTGACCTTGCTTATCACCGAGAGGCAGCAGAAGCACTGCCTGGCCTTCAGGTGGGTTCCTGCCTCCTCACCCTCACCACCTCCTCTATCCTTTTCTCCAGAGGCCTCCTCTTCCTCCCTCCCGGACTCCTGCCTCCTCCGTTGTCGACCTCCACATTCTTAGCTGAATAGAGTCACCAGGACTCAAGCCTGGCGGCAGAGCTAGGTGCTTAGGTGCTGGTGCCTGGGAGTTCCAGAAAAGGCATGTTAGTTACCTTCATAGGCTTTGACTGGGCCCGGGGTTTCCAGGTTCTTTCTGGAGCCCTCCCTTTGGTCCTGCCAGGTCATGGGGAGGGAGGGTTCAAGGTTAACACCCGGACGACAGTGTAGCTTTGTGGAAGAAGCTCTGGCACAAAGGCAGGAGACTTGGGTTTGATTCCCAGGTCCACTTCTTACTAGCTGTGTGATCTTGGAGAAGACACTTGCCTTCTATGGGTCATTGCTTGCCAAATTAGTGGTTGTCAAACTTTTTTTTAATATATCATATATAAAATAGATATAGAGACTTCTGATTGAAGCGGGGTTTGGAAAAAATGGCTCTAGATTATTTCTAAGGCTCCTTTCAGTGTTATGCTGTATGTCTAATCATTTAAGTTGTAGATATAAAAGCAATGGTTGGGGGCGCACTGCAAATCCCCGTATGCTTCACACTAGCCAGCCAGGCAGCATAGCCTTCTGGGAAGTGGAGGTCCTCTAAGATCTCCTTCACAGGGACTGGGCAGAGCCCCACAAGGAACCCCAAATCTCAGCATGCCATGGCCCCCCTGCTGGCCAGGAGTTGGAGCCAGCATAATGAGGACTCCGTCCTATGAGTGTTGGAAGGTGAGAGGACCTGTTCTTTGTCTAAAGCCCCAAGACCATAGCAGGCATCGCCTCAGCTGTGATCCTCTTTGTTGCTGTGGTTGCCACCACCATCTGCTGCTTCCTCTGTTCCTGTTGCTACCTGTACCGCCGGCGCCAGCAGCTCCAGAGCCCATTTGAAGGTACACCCAGTACTGGGCAAGAAGGGCCTCAGATGGGCTGGGCTAAGTCCAATAATGGGCAGCAGAGAGTTCATGGATTGGGTAAATTCTGTAGTAGTATGTGCTTCTGTATACACACACCTGCCAGCATGAAAACCCAGAAAAATGCTTGTAAACCCGTGAATATTAGAATGTGCCTGGGATATATGGAACATCAGACTTTGTGTGCATTTCTGTGCATACACATGAAGATTCAAATGTGTACAGGAGTGCAGTCTGTCAACAATAGTGGGTGCAGTGGGTGTATGCATACATATGACTCTTAGTAAGTACACGGGGTCAGGTCTGTAGTGATGAACATTAATTGAGTGTGCTCCAGTGGATGGCAAAATATGTGCCTGAGTGTTGGCATGTGATGCACATATGCCACAACCTGATGGACATGGGGACAGTGATGCCATACGGGAGATCAGTGTGGGAGGGAAGGGCTAGGAGAAGACCCTCTTAGTGGCAGCTCTGCTGGATTACAGGATACCAGCCCTGAGCTGTCCCCTTCTTGCCCAAGTGAGATATTCCCTGGGCTGTGCTCCCTGGTTCATGAGGTCTCTGAAACCTGCTGAGGGGAGCAAACTTGCTCAACACAGATTGACCAGCTGGGGCCACGTGCACAGCTCCCTGCTTAACTCTGCCAAGCAGGGTGTGGGAGGCAAAGATGGCCAGCCTGGAGCTTGCCAGAGGCCAGCACCAGGGTGCTTACCTTGGTTTCCTGGGCAGGAGGAGGAGGCTTCCCATAGGAGATGGGTCTCTGAATGCTGATCCTTCTCCCCCATCTAGGCCAGGAGATTCCAATGACAGGCATCCCAGTGCAGCCAGTATACCCATACCCCCAGGACCCCAAAGCTGGCCCTGCACCCCCACAGCCTGGCTTCATATACCCACCTAGTGGTCCTGCTCCCCAATATCCACTCTACCCAGCTGGGCCCCCAGTCTACAACCCTGCAGGTAAGTAAGCAATCTGGAGCCCCTTGCTGCTGCCTTCCCCCACCCCTTGCCCTGCGACCTCCCCTGTGCCTCTCTCATTCTCAGATTCCCTCTCCCAGACTTCCTCCACCTCTAGCCCGAAACCTCCAGGCCCACTCTTCCCTATGGGTCCTGTCTGCCCCGGGGGCAGGGGTGTTACTTTTCGTCCACCTATGCCACCACTCACCCTCATCCTGTCTCTTTGGCTTTCAGCTCCTCCTCCCTATATGCCACCACAGCCCTCTTACCCGGGAGCCTGAGGAACCAGCCATGTCTCTGCTGCCCCTTCAGTGATGCCAACCTTGGGAGATGCCCTCATCCTGTACCTGCATCTGGTCCTGGGGGTGGCAGGAGTCCTCCAGCCACCAGGCCCCAGACCAAGCCAAGCCCTGGGCCCTACTGGGGACAGAGCCCCAGGGAAGTGGAACAGGAGCTGAACTAGAACTATGAGGGGTTGGGGGGAGGGCTTGGAATTATGGGCTATTTTTACTGGGGGCAAGGGAGGGAGATGACAGCCTGGGTCACAGTGCCTGTTTTCAAATAGTCCCTCTGCTCCCAAGATCCCAGCCAGGAAGGCTGGGGCCCTACTGTTTGTCCCCTCTGGGCTGGGGTGGGGGGAGGGAGGAGGTTCCGTCAGCAGCTGGCAGTAGCCCTCCTCTCTGGCTGCCCCACTGGCCACATCTCTGGCCTGCTAGATTAAAGCTGTAAAGACATAACTCATATCAGTCGCATCATTGGACCCATCCACACCTTCCAGGAACACCGCCTTCAGCTGGGCCCAGACTGTTGCCCACTCCATATTCCAAAAGTAGGGGAGGGCCAGCACCAGCATCGGAGCACAGCACCATCCTCACCCCCATCCACAAGCAGACCAAGGCGGACTGTTCCTGGCTTCCTAAAGGCTTCCTAAAGACAATGAGGTGAATTTTGCCACAGCTCTGAAGAGATGCTCGTTTGCACTACAGATATTCCCTGCTAGGGATCAACAGCTCTACAACAGCTGAGGCACTGCTAACTGTACAAAGGCAGTTCCCATTCAGGTACCCTTAGATTCATTCTGGGCCCCACCACTTTCTGACCTTGGCCATGTCTCCAAAGGTTCCCAAGCCTCAATGTCCTTATCTATAGAATGGAGATAGGACAGGTGCGGTAGCTCATGCCTGTAATCTCAGTACTTTGAGAGGCCAAGGGGGGGGGATCGCCTGAGGTCAGGAGTTCAAGACCAGCCTGGCCAACATGGTGAATCCCTGTCTCTGCTAATATACAAAAAAAAATTAGCCAGGCATTGTGGCAGGCGCCTGTAATCCCAGCTACTCGGGAGGCTAAGGCAGGAGAATCGCTTGAACCCAGGAGGCTGGGGTTACATTGAGCCGAGATTGCGCCACTGTACTCCAGCCTGGGCAACAGAACCAGGATCTGTCTCTAAATAAATAAATAAAAATAAATAAATAAATAAATCAAATGGGGATAATACCCCATGGCTGTCAGGAGGGTGAAATAGTATGTACATGAAACTGTTAGTCCTGTGCTTTCCTTCCTGATTAGAGATCCTAGAACTAGGAGCCAGGTAGAGACACTGGGTGACCCAAGAATCTGGTGCAAGGTGCTTCTGTCAGCTGCTTGGGTTGCCAGTCCCCAGGCCCATGTCTGTGACCCCCACTGAGCCACACAGTGGGGGATATGACCTTTTCTCCCCCTCCTCCCACAAATATTGCCTAGAAGAGCCCCCCTACCTCTGGAGCTGCCTGGCTGTCTTCCCTCTCCTTGTTCCCTGGGGTCATGGTCCTTGTGCTCTCAGGACTTGTCTGGTGACAGATCCAGGGAAGGAAGTTTTATTGTTTTTAACTCAAGTGGGAAAAGTGTCAGCTCAGCTTGGCAAAGCCCCACCAATGAAGAGCCCCTCCCCTCTCCAAGCCCCTTATCCAAGTATCCTCTAAGCCCAGCCCTCCTTTTCTCCCCATCCACAGGTACTCCAGCCCCACTGCAGCCTCAGGCTTTGCTCTCCTGCCCTGCCCGCTCAGACCTCTGGGATCCTGCAGCCCAGCTGGGTTCTGGATATGGCCGTTGTGCTGACCATGCCCCCAGGGCCTTCTGCCACCCACATACTCTTGAGGATTATCTCTTGTCACGCAGCCTGGAAGGCAAGAGCTCCTGGGCCAGGGTTTTGGGGCCAGGGTCAGAAATTCCCCTGGGCAGAGCTCTGCCCCTAGATTCATGGCTTTCCCCTTCCCAGTGAAATCTTCATGGGGCCCACATGTCTGCCCCTGGATCAGACCCAGACAGGGAGGGGCTGCTGATGCTGGTAGAGACAGAGCTGAGGCCACAGGTACAAATCCTCTTTCTCTTTGAGGGTGGGGACAAGAGGTGGGAGCTGGAGCCCTGGAGTGCCTGGCTTCACAATTTAGGAAAGAGGGTCTCCAAGTCATCTGAGGTTTGGAGTGCAGTCTCCTCTCTCCTGAAGCTGGGAGCTGGAAGAGATCTACATATTAAGGTTTTTTAGTTTCTCCGAGAAATGATGTGTAAATGTATGCAAGGTGATGCCAGTCAGAATTAATTATCCTTGAATCAACAACCTGGTGCCAATGAAAAAATGCTTTGTAGTCTGGGATAGGAGGCAGGTTTACCCTAGCCATAGCTGAGACTGGAAGAGTAGAGTTGCCCCATTTCCAGTCAACTAACTCTGCAAAACACTGAAGAGAATTCTAAGAAAAGGAGCAAAACTGTGACAGAGTAGGACTTTCACATGCTCTGAGCAGTGAAGAGGTCTCTCACATATCCTGGAGTTCTTTAAATGGAGGCAATCACCCCTACGTCTCTTCCCAAACCACTGCAGTCTCCTCTGACCCCACCTCATCTGACTCATCATCTGGGAAACAAGGGGAGCCCAGCAGGGCCAGGGGAGTACAAAGCTGTAGTTGCCCCTCCGGATCGCCTTGTTCCTCAGCTAGCACCCCTGAAAGCCAATCAGGCACTCTATAAGGGCAGGCAGGAGTGAGGGTGGGAGGGGCAGTGTCCCTCAAGGATTGGGGGACCTCAATAGTGTCAATAGGGTCCTGCTAGGCTGGGAGGGAATGGTGAATCCCCCAAAGGGCGGTCTGGAAGGCACATGTGGAGAAGAGGGGCATTTTTAGACAAAAGCAAGAGGAGTGCATTCTTAGGGCAGGAATCTTGCCAGGCTGGGCCTGCTCAAGGGAAAGCGGATCTCACAGGTGGATGGGAGGGGTCAGGTGCAGGGGAAGGAGCTAGGGCAGGGACACATGGAAATACAATGGGCAGGGGGAGAAAGGTTGGCAAGAAAGGAGAGACACCTTGGGTGAGGGGAGAAGGGGAGCCCCCCACAAGAGGTGAACAGAAGGGAGGTACTTCAGGCAAAGAGTAAAGGAGGGAGGGGCAAGTAAGGGAAGGGCCCTAGAGGGCTGGAGGAAGGAGGGAGGGAGGGAGGGGTAGGAGGGGCATAGACAGGATGAGTGGGAGGTGCTGGGGGAAGGGTGCTGAGGGGGGCCACACTCTCTTGGCCACTCTTAGGCCAGCAGCCTAGCCCAGCACCACAGCAACACAGGCCCTAGTTAGGCCAAACTCAGAGGTCAGGAGCCCCAGCCTGGCCATGCAGGGTGAAGGGTAGGGGGCAGCACATGGCACTCCCGACTTGGTGGTCCAGAAGCTCATGGGTGACCTGCATCCAGATCTCATGTTTCTTAAAGAGTGCCACATGTGTGACACAGTGCCCAGGCCTAGAGCCCCTTGCTCACCTGCAGGTTGAGCTTCTGTAAGGACAAGTGAGGCCAGCGCCTTGGCAGCTGCTGGTGCCTGCCATCCCACCCACAGCCAGCACCAGGGCCTAGGTCCCAGTGCTGGGAAGGTGGAGGGAAAGACGCTTTTCCCATCTGGATAGGACCAGGAGGCAAGAAGCTTGGGGTGCAACGGCTGGGCCCTGCGGGCCGGGAGAGCTGAGAGGTGAAGCCTCCCTTCCTTGCAGGTAGGAGCTAGGGAATGTGATTCTCCAGGAAGTGATGGAGGGTGGGGGGGCAGAGTGGAGGATATGACAGTGGGGGCTGCAGGCAGAGACCGTGGAGGTCAGACCGTGGCTTCATCCAGGTTGCTAGATGAACCCAGAGATAAGAGACTTGGGTTCAAATCCTGATTCATCAACTTCGACAAGTCATTTTCTATCTTCGAACCTCTTTTTTTGTCCTTGTACAGTACAGGCACCAGACAAGGATAGAGCCTTTCTGGATTTCCCTCTCTAAGTTTTAGGAAAGGAAGCAGGATAGATGGGTGACTGCCAGTGTTGGTGGGGCAGGTGGGCAGCAGTGGGTGCGTGGCGCAGCAGAAACACAGCCTCCAGAGTTTGGGCCCCTTTTCCGAAGCTCACCAGGCTATCTGCCCATCTTTTCCTCCCCCTCCCTCTAACTGCCTCCCTCCCCTGGTCCCTAGCACAGCTCCAGGGCACCCCTGGAGCAGCTGGAGAATCTGGGTTGCGGTCCACCCCCAGGTGGCGCTGTGCTCCCGCACCAGGTTCAAGTGCACTAGAGGAGTGATGACATCATCCAGGACGGAAACAGCATCCCCACCGCGGGAGCACCGAGGAAGAGGGCAGCTCACTTGTTGCTCAGGACAGTAGGGAGTGGTTTTTCTCTCTGGCTAAATCATGTTTGAAGTTTGGTAGAAAGGGCTTCCTAAGGTGACAGGTTCTATTGGACCCTTAAGATTTGGAGGCAGGTTGTTTGGGTTCAGGTGAGCGTCCAGTGCTTTCCTGCAGCACCGTCACAGCCTTATTTCAGTGAGGGAAGGAAGGGGAGCTGTTAATGAGAAGCAGTTCTATGGCCTGAAGACCTGGGCTCAAAACAAAACCAACAAACAAAACAGACCTGAGCTCTGACTTTTATTAGCTGTGTGATCATGGATATATTAGTTAACCTCTCTGGGCCAAATTCTATCTGCAAAATAGAATATTGGTATCCACCTCACAGAGTTGAAGGATCAGCTGAAGCAACCTAAAGCATCTAGCTAGTGCCCAGTGCCCAGCAGGCACAGGGGGGTGCAGTGGGACTGACAGTGAGGGCTGACAGTGGAAGCTCTAGCTGGCCTTAGCTCCAGCTCATACCCTTTAGGTCCAGGAGCCAGTGTGTGTCTGTCTCCTCTCCTCTGGGCCCAGTGATTGCTTAGGTGACTGGGGTGACAGGCAAGTGGGTGGAGGGAATGGAGAAGAGTGTACCCTGGGATCTGAGGGCTTTACCCCCAGGACTAGACTGCCCTCTGGTTTTGGTCAGACCTAGCACAGCGATCTTGCTTCCTAGCTGGGGCACCCCACCCTCACCTCAAAGATGGTGAAACTGCTGTGCCTCCTGCTGTTGAGGCAACCTGGAGGCAGAGAAACCTACAAGTGACACAGACCCAAGGTGGCAGTTCCACAGTGCCAAGGGGTGGCAGCACCTTCAAGAGAATGAAATTCAGAAAGATGCCTTTCACCTACACCC
This sequence comes from Homo sapiens, assembly GCF_000001405.40. NCBI lineage: Eukaryota > Metazoa > Chordata > Mammalia > Primates > Hominidae > Homo > Homo sapiens. Next base: position 201,897,064 of record NC_000001.11, read on the forward strand.
GATGGTGGGCATGGCAGCATTGTCAGCATTCCTGCAGTTGGGGCAGGAAGTGGAATTGGTGAGCAGGTGGGGAGGGCTGGGGAAGATGAGGCCCCTCTGAGCCCTAGGGCACACAGATATGGGTGCTATTCTCCAAATAGTCACTCCACTTCTCTGCCTGCCGCCTTCCTGGGCCTGTGACTGCTGTGAGGACCTGGCCCTGAGCCCATGGTTAGGCAGAGTCATGGAATGAGCATCCCTGAACATGCCTAATATAGCCATCCCAGCACCCTGGGCTCCACTCTGCCCCAGCACCCCTGAGAACAACTCTGGCTACTGACTCCAGGCAGCAGGACTGGTTCAGGAGCAGACCTAGTAGAGGCCTGGCCTTCTAGACCTGGACAACCAGGTCAGTGGAGAGTCTTCTGCTTAGAGTTCAGATTTTCCTCCATGCTGCACTTTCTGAGGATGTGAATTTATTTCTTGGCCAACTCAAATAGTGTGGCAGGGAACCTGAGCTTCTAGAGTCCTCCAGGGAGCCCAGGGTTAGGATCAGGACTCACAGTTCAGGACAACAGGTGGGGCACAGCCATTCACAGCTAAAGGTTTGTATATATTATCAAAATCTTATGGAAAAACAGATACACAGCTATTCATACAGCAGCAGGTGGGTGTGAGGAAAATGTCTGCTTTGGCATCAAACCTTCAAGTCCAGCTGCTGTCTGTCCCACTCCTCCTGTCTGGAGCCTACTCCCATCAGGCACTGTGCATCCAGGCCACTGCCCCTGCCACATCCTCTAATTAGCCTGGACTTTGGGGTATCCTCAGCCCCTCCCCACGCTCCCCTTTGGGCCCCCATGCCTCTCCATCTTTCTGCCATTTTCCCACACAGAGTGCCACTGGCCCAGCAGCTTTGCCCCGTGGGCTCCTCAGAGGCCTGAATCCTGGCCCTGGAGGGCAGTGGGGCTGGGGTGGATGTGGTCCCTGTGGGACATCTTTCCTGGATCACAGGCCTTTTGCAGCTTGCCAGCTACATGGGCCCTGGACAGTGCCATCTTCTCAGTGATGTGCTAAAAGGACTCTTCTTGTCCAGAAACCTGAGCTCCATGTACTAAAGCAAAATTTGGAGAGCCTCAGAGACAAGAAAAGGAAAGTGAGAAGAGATAAGGCATCCTTCCTTGAGCGTGACCCAGGCCTGGACTCTCCCATGGCAGAATAGGGACATCCACAGCAGGTCAGCCAGGGATGGGGTGGGCAGGGTCTGTGTAGCCCTGGGAGGTGAGGCCTGAGCAGTCATGGCATTGGCAGATGGTGCCTGGCAGCCTGGTCCTACTGAAGCAGTTTGGGCACTTCCACCTGTAGGGGCAAAGTAGAGACAGGTTAGAGAAGGGAGCTCAGCCACCTCACCTCCCTCCCTACTGGAAGGACACACAAGACACTGCAATATGTTATGTCTGTGGAATGTGAATGAGGTGTTGACACTGAGGGAGCATTTTTCATTGTCTGTAAAAATTGGATGTCATTGAGTGACCACTGGAATTACAATTGAGATTTTCCTTTATCTCATGATACCTTGTCCCAGATGATGTTGTGGGGGTTGGGTATCCAACCAAATGGACAAACGATCGTGGACTTTGTCACCCAGGCCAGACTTCCAGGGGAGGCAGGGCTTGGAGAAGTAGGGTGTCCAGGGATGGCTCCTGTGTCCATGGCACTGGCTAGGCAAAGGTAGACTCTCCTGAGAGGTGAATCTCCCAGAGACCTTTCGGATGGACTGACCTGTAGGACTTGGCTGGTCCTGAGAGGAGGCTAAGTAAAACGTGGATCATTTTTGTTTGGGGAAATGGAGAAGACTTAAAGGAAGGACCCGAGGCAAAACTACTCTGTAGAGGCCATTTCTCCATTTTAAGGAGAAACAGGCTTCATTGCAGAATGAAAGAGAAGCATGGAGTGAGGTATTAAAGGAAGCTCCTTAAAGGAAGGGTAGAGTCTCAGCTCTAGGGGATATACAGGTGTGACCTGCCTGCAGGCAGGAGGATGCATGAGATGACCTGAAGTCCCCTATGGGCCCTGGGAGTCTATATCATCTGCAGCCGACATAAGCTCCTCTGCATGCCTTCCCTTTTGCAGTCCTACCCTCTCCTCCAGGCCCTACCCAGCCCCGCCCTGTTGGCTCATGCCCACAACTACTTAACTTCTTGAGCTGCTTGAGGTTGCTGGAGCGGATGGCAGCCAATAGCTGGTCACGGGAGTTCTTCTCCTGGGCAGGGAGGACTTTGTCTCCCATCTTCCTCTGGGTAGCTGGTGAGAGTGAATTCTTCAGGTTCTCCATGATAAGGGGTGGAGCCAAGGGAGGGGGAGGGGGTGGTGGGGCAGCTGGAGCACCCCCTTTTTTGGGTGAGTTCTTTGGAGAGGGCTTTGGAGATGGTTGAGGTGAAGGTTTTGGGGAGCCCTTAGCCACGGCCCCGGCCTTGGGTACCTCCAGCAGATCCTTCTTCTCTCCCTTGGCTTCCTGTGCCTGCCTTTGCTCCTGCAGCCGCTTTTGTCTCTGCTTGTCCATGTTGCGGCTGAGCAGATTGGTGACAGTCATTCGGGGCCCGGCCAGCTCAAAATGGTAGCCCAGCTTGAGCAGGGTAGTATTCTCCTTCAGCAGCTTGGCGATCTCCATCTCCGTCTTGCCTCCACAGATGTGTCGCTGGTTGTGGAAGCGGAGCTCGGTCAGCGTGTTGTTCTGGAGGAGGGCCCGGAAGATGGCCAGGATGCCTTTGCCTGTGATGTGGTTGGAGTCCAGGTTGAGGCTGGTGATGGTCTTGTTGGCCTTGAGCATGATGGCAATGGCAAAGGCCACGTGGTCATCGGCTCGCGTGTTGGCCAAGGCGAACAGCTTAACCACAGTGTTGAACTCCAGAGCCTCAGTAAACCGGACCAAGATCTCATTTGTGATGCAGTCTGAGTTGTTGACGTTCACCTCAGTCATCTCGGGGTCATTGTTCTTCACTCTCTCCAGAGGCTCATCAAATATGCTGGGAGCTGCCTCCTCCTCCACCTTGGCCGGTCCTTCAGAGGGCTTGGTGGGGCCACTGGGCGTCTGTTTCTCGGGTGTTTTGGTCTTGCTGTCATCCTTGGCTTCCTTTTCATGTAAGGGTTCATTCTTCTTGACTTTTTCATCGTCCTTTTTGGTGTCTGTGTTCCCAGTTCCTCTTTTTACCTTCTCATCCTCCTTTTTCATGTCTGTGTTCCCACCTGCTCTTTTCATCTTCTCACCCTCTTTTCTGGTGTCTGTGTTCCTACGCTCCCCTTTTACCTTCTCATCATCCTCTTTCTTGGCCACCTCCTTCATCTCCTCTCTCTTTTTATCCTTGTCCCTGCTCAAGCCTGTGTTCCTGTCACTCCCTTTCTTCTCCTCTTCCTTCTTGGTGGCCACTGCCCTCTCCTCTCCTCTCCCATCCTTCCCTGCCTCCTTCTTATCCACTGCAGCCCTGACCCGGCCCTTGTCAATGCCCCGGATGATCTTCTCCTCCTTGGGCTTCTCGCCACTCTTGCCACCAGCTTCATCTCTGTCTCTAGAGAAGCTTTTCTTTAAACCACCCCTCTTTGGCTCCTTCCCCAGATCTGAGTCCCGTCTGGGGCCCAGGGCTTTTTTGCTGGCATCTCTGCCCCTTTCCTCTCCATTCTTGGCATCTGTCTTGGTCTCCACTTGCTTGCTTTCCTAAGAATTCAGAAAAGAAAAATAATCATGAAAAGCTGGCTACAGAGGGAGAGGAATGAGTATGGGGATGTGTGGGGGAGCGCTTACATAACTGCCCTTGAGCCTCTGAAGGACAGTTGTGCTGTTTGGGAGAGTGGGGTGGATGTCTCCATTGAGGGCAGCAAAAGAGGGACTCAGGTTTAAGCTGCAGAAATGGGATGACATCAGACTCAAGGCCTCAGGGTTGTGAGACAACCAAACAAATACCTGCAAAGGTTGTGGCAGTTCCTTTTATGGAGTATTCTCAGACCCAGAATTGCCCTTTCCTATCATGGGTGATTTAGAAGGACTGCTTCCAAGCAATGCCCTGCCAAGCACATTGGAACCTGAGGCAAAAGGAGAAATACTAACACTGATCCTGTCTTTAAAATTTTGCATTGGTGTTTATTGTGGACTTTTTGCATTCGTTTTATTTTTAAAAATATACATGAAGTCCGGGCGCGGTGGCTCATGCCTGTAATCCCAACACTTTGGGAGGCTGAGGCAGGTGGATCACCTGAGGTCGGGAGTTTGAGACCAGCCTGGCCAACATGGAGAAACCTGTGTCTACTAAAATACAAAATTAGCCAGGCATGGTGGTGCATGCCTGTAATCCCAGCTACTCGGGAGGCAGAGGCAGGAGAATCACCTGAACCTGGGAGGTGGAGGTTGTGGTGAGCCAAGACTGCACCATTGCACTCCAGCCTAAGCAACAAGAGCGAAACTCTGTCTCAAAAAAAAAATATATATATATATATATGTATATATATATATATATATATACATATATATATGTATATATATATATATATATACATATATATATGTATATATATATATACACATATATATGTGTGTGTGTATATATATATATATATACATATATATGTGTATATATATATATACACATATATATATGTGTATATATATATATATGTGAAAACATCAGTTATCTTGCTCACTGAGTTTTTGGCATCCGCTTATATTCTGTGCCCAAGGTGAGTGCCTCACATCCCTTCACCTTAGTCCTGGCCCCTGCTTTTAAGGAGTAGGCCAATAGTTCTGAGATACAGAAATTTTATAAGGCAATACATTTCCAAAGGAAAAAAAGGTAGAGGGATCAACATATGCTAACATTTTATTTTACCAATTAAGGATATTTGTAAATTATTATCATTATTATTGTTATTATTATTATTTTTTTTTTTTAGAGATGGGGGTCTTGTTATGTTGCCCAGGCTGGACTCAAAATCCTATCCTCAAGCAGTCCTCCCACCTCAGCCTCCCAAAGTGCTGAGATCACAGGTGTGAGCTGCCATGCCCATCCGATATTTTAAAATTCTATCTACCATCATCATCTCATTAAAATAAGAAGGAGCTAATTTTAAAGAAGGTAGGCATAACAGAGTAAAGAATATACCTTAACAGCAAATATGTGTATTTTTTTAAATTCACAGTATTGTCCTTATTTTTAGTAAAAACTTAGCTAAGGACAAGCATCTCTCTGTGGAGAGCCCTGGAATTCATTGGGTCAGCTGATCTCTGGAAGACTCTGCCAGATTCTAGATCTTGGATTCTATGACTCAATTTTGACCCCCGAGACACTGAGAAGTTTGTGAGAGAGGCCATGGGACCAAGTCAGTTGAGCTGTGATGGGGGCTTGAGGTTTTTTTTGGTTTGTTTGTTTGTTTGTTTTTGACAGAATCTTGCTCTGTCACCCAGGGTGGAGTGTGATGGCGCAATCTTGACTCATGGCAACCTCTGCCTCCCGGGTTCAAGTGATTCTCCTGCCTCAGCCTCCTGAGTAGCTGGGATTACAGGTGCACACTACCATGCCCAGCTAATTTTTGTATTTTTAGTAGAGACAGGGTTTCACCATGTTGGTCAGGCTGGTCTCGAACTCCTGACCTCATGATCCACCCACCTCGGCCTCCCAAAGTGCTGGGATTACAGGCGTGAGCCGCCGCGCCAGGCTGGGGGCTTGAGTTTTATACACAGCATAAGCCACCCACACCTCCATGGATCCCTGTTTCTTCCTCCGTAAGGTTGCACCGAGCCTGAGCCCTGTTTTGAGAGCACTTGCTTCTCGTCTTCATCAGAGAAGCAGAGGAAGTGGCAGAGTTAGACATTAGACATAGAGTAGACATTAGACTTAACTGTCCAACTGTGACCCCAGAGCAACTGGGACTTAAAGGGAGGCTGTGATGTCCTCCCCTAAAGGTTTTTCAAGAGGAAGAGACTATGGTTTGAATATTTAAAAAGTTTTCTTTCAAGAGTGCCAGGTTGGGGTGTGGGGAGAGGGCAGGGAAGAAAGGAAAGCAGCTCTCTGTCGCACTCTCGGGCCCAAGTAGCATTTCTTCAACCTCCGCTCTTCGCCGAGGGAATGGAAAGAAAAGTGAGTCCTATGGAAACGGTTTGTACCTGCACCACAAACACATGCCATTGGGGACCAGCCCCTGGGTTTTTTTAGCAGCGAGAGTCCTTGGCTCCTCTGCTAGAATCACAATAAGCAGCCAAGGGGCACAGGGCCTAGTGAGACAGGGCCTTGGAATGTATCTGTTCTAGCCTCCTGCCCTGCAGGCCCCAAGGTCCAGCTGCACTGGAGGCCCCACTGGGGCTATGGTGATGGAGCAAGGGGCAGAGAGCTCCCCCTCCCACTCACTCAGGCCCCCAGGGAACTGGGTTTGACCCTCAGATCAACTGGGTTTGACCCTGGAGCAGAAGTGATGGTGACCTTACTGAACCTTGATTTGAAAGGGACAGAAGGAGAGGAGTATGCAAATAGAATGGAAACAAGGAAACCCAATGGATCAGCCCTTTTAGGATCTGCCCATAGTTTGACCAGGAAATTCCCTCTCCTATTCCCTGATCCCATCAAGTTGAGAGCAGTTCCATCACTGATTCTGTCCACTTTTGGAGCTTGGAGGTGAGAGCTGGAGGGACCAGCCTCTCTAGGCCCATGGTCTAGAGATTAGGCCTCCAGGGCAAAGACTCCTGCCCTCCCCTCTTCCTTCCTTTCCCAAAATGTGCACATTTCAGGAGTTCTCAGAGCCCACTGTGCACTGCATAGCTTCCCTTTCCAGAGTTCCCACGCCACTTGTAGGCTTCACTCAGAGAGAAACTGGGGATCCAGAGAGATGATGAGTTAACTGACTTCACCTAGCAAGTTCGGGAAAAGCTGGATTTCAGACCTGACTGTCTCACTAACAGCCACCAAGTCAATGTAACCATCTCTAACCTTCCCCATCAGGGGCCAAAGCAGCTCCTCTCGGCCCACCCAGCATCCCTGGAGTACTCAAGTGCCCAGCTGCCCACAGAGCCTCACCCACCAGCCTCCTCTTTTCACGCAGCCCCCTTCAGAGCTAGGACTCCCATTCAGACCCTTCCCTCTCACCCCTAGCCAGGACTCAATTTAACCTTCTTTCTTTCTTTCCTTTTCTTTTCTTCTTTTTTTCTTTGAGATGGAATTTCACTGTTGTTGCCCAGGCTGGAGTGCAATGCCGCAATCTCGGCTCACTGCAACCTCTGCCTTCTGAGTTCAAGCGATTCTCCTGCCTCAGCCTCCCAAGTAGCTGGGATTACAGGCATGTGCCACCATGCCTAGCTAATTTTGTATTTTTGGTAGAGACGGGGTTTCTCCATGTTGGTCAGGCTGGTCCCGAACTCCTGACCTCAGGTGATCCACCTGCCTCGGCCTCCCAAAGTGCTGTGATTACAGGCGTGAGCCACCACGCCCAGCCTCAATTTAACCTTCTTTCTTCCCTGACACCGCACATCCTGACTTCTCCCCTTTATCCTAATCCAGGACTACTCCCCACTCCTTCCTAGTTACCTCCCCTACCCTGGGGTCCTAGTTGGCAAGGATCTGCCAAGTGTCTGTTCTTGAGGAGGTGTGCCAACACTTTAAAAAGAACCTAATGAAAAACAGGCTGGGGGTGGGAGGGAAAGGGTTGATTAATCATCAGTTTCCTCCAAATAGCCAGGAATGAGAGGGGCTGGAGCTTGTTGCCGCTTGTGTAGCCCTGAGCACTCAAACGTTGCCTTAAAAGGAGAAGGAGCCCAGAGTCCTCCCAGGGCTGGGATTTCTGTTGAGCTGAGCTCCTCGGAGCCGGCACATAGCAGAGCTGCTTCCTTCGTGCTAATCTGAAAGGGAGGCTAGGAAAACTTCTTCTTGCTTCCAGAATTGATGGTACATCCCGGTGACCTCCAGAGGTTATTTTTGCCTGTGTTTCTGTCGCTAGACCTTACTCAACTGTCTATCCCTTATAGCAGGAGGAATTTAGGTTAGATATAACAAAGAACTTCCATGCAGTAAAGGTCCACAGGCCTCTTGATGAGAAAACTAGGTAGCAACAGTTATTTTTTCCCTTTGCGAAAAGCATTAGGGTTAGGGGAAGCCCGCAGGGGTGGTTTGGGAGTCCCTGGTTGGAGGCAGGGGAATGGAAAGGATGACCTCTGAAAGCCGGTACTGACCTGTGACACATTGAGGTACCTAGTGATTGGGCTCAGAGTAAGAAACGGCTCCTTGCCCCCATCTCCTCCAGGCCTTATGGCTACATGATGTTGCTCTGTGTCTGCCACGTGCGTTAGGATCCAAGTTTAATGCCTTTGATAGGTTCAGATGGGCAGAGCACAGCATTTTCTCCCTTACCTTGGCCCTTCTGATGCTGCTTTCTTTAGAAGTCTTATCTGATTAAACAGAGGAGAGAACATTTCACCACCTCCATTGGCAAAAGATGAGAGGAAAAGGATTATTTGTCTATCCAGAAAGTTTAAAATGAGAACTTGCTGAGAGCAAGGGCCAGAGCCTCTGTGTGCTGCATTCGGCAACCACAGCCCACTGATACCTTGCCAGCCCACACCGTCCCCCACTGAGGTCACCTTCTTCCTTCCTGTGACCCATCACCTGAGGAGGAGGCATCTCCCTCTCTGCAGAGTCATTTGGACCCATGTAGCTGCAAGGGAGGAAGTCTGCAGACAGACCCTGGGGAGAATGGCTCCAGCAGGAGGTTGGAAGATGAGTCTGCCTGTGCTTGCAGAGGTCACTTTCCAGGCACTCGCCTAGGAGAGGGCAGAGCCAAGGAGGGCAGGGCTGACTAGCATTGACTGCACCCTCACAGGTGATACCACTGCCGTGAATTCAGAAGTATTTGTTCCTTTCCCAAAGCAAGACCGAGGTGATGGCAGTTCCGACGGTTTGATGCCACCCTTGCTACGTCCCCTCAATGTGGCCTGGTGATACCTGTGCAGTCTTTTCATCTGGAGGCATCCGGAATGCCCCTAGCTCGAGCTCCTGGCTGAGGGTAGGATCTATGGGGTCTCCAAACTCTGCTTCTAGGAGACTTTTTCTAGGCCTTGGCTAAAGTCCCCTAGGACATTAAAGCTACAGTCTGTGTGGATCTGGAGCTCATTAGAAGACAGCATTTTTACCTTGGCCTAGGCTGTGGCCTACTGCTGGTTTCTCCTTGACCAAAGTTATATTTACCAGGAAAGCCCCAGGGAAATATGTGACATCTCCCAGTCCCACTCTCATGCACAAACTCCTTACCACCTGTCCATCCGCATCCTGCATCAGTCCCCCCACCCGCCTCCACCATGTCTCAGAGCCCCTGAACATTCCCCTGCATTTCCCATGAAGCTGTCCCACCAAGAACTGGGGCTCTGGCCCACTCCCTCCAGCCACCTAGGGACTTCCTGATACCAGGCACTGCAGCTGCCAGTCTCATCTATCTTTACAAGGGAGGGCAGGGAAGAGCTGACTATGGGCTGGAGGGCCTGTCAAAGGTCCCCTGGGACAGCAGATGCCTTACAGGGCTGGTGTGCAGGGCAGGGCAGGCAGCAGGGCCCAGGGCTGGAAGGGACCGGGGGAGTTCACCCACTGCAGTCTCCTGCCGCATTCCATGTGGAGTGCCAAATCTTTTATTGTTTTCCACCAAAAAGAAAGATTCTAGAGTCTCTGGAAAAGAAGTTTAAGGAGGGGCCAGGCACAGTGGCTGACCCCTGTAATCCTGTCACTTTGGGAGGCTGAGGCAGGAGGACTGCTTGAGCCCAGAAGTTCAGGACTAGCCTGGGCAACATAGTGAGTGAGACTCTGTCTCTATTTAAAATAAATAAATAAATATATAGACAAGTTTAAGGGAGGTCCATTGTCCTATGGGGAAAGTTGGATTCCTGGCACCAGCTGTCCTGGGTAGGGGCCGTAATGCCTGTTTCCCTTGGTGGAATGTGGAGCAGGAGTCCTCTACTGAGGCTAGGCCCAGCTCATTAGACATCAAAGATTCAGATCTTGTAACAACTGATATTGCCCCTAGAAAACTACAGGTTCCCTTTACGGCTGCCAGGAAAACTGGGGGCTGTTCCGGAAAAGTTCTGCCCATAGTGGCATATGAGCCCACTGGGTCTTTAGACAGTTGGCCTATGTGCAAATCCCAGCTCTGCCCCTAACTAGCTCTGTGACCTTGGCTGAGACACTTAGCACCTCTGAACCTGTTGTCTCATATGTACAATGGGACTGATCCCTCTGGGGATCCTCACTGGGTTGTAAGTGGTAGAACCAGGACTCAAACCTAGATCCCGATGACAAGAAAGCCTTGAATAGGAGATAGGCTGTAAAAATCTGGGTCCTTCTGAGAAGTGATTAAGCCTCGAGGGCAGGCAGTAGGGCCCCAACCTCCTCCTATCTGAGCCCCTGCCCCCTTTGCTTAGTATCTTGGTATTGTTTAGCAGGGTGAAATTTGTTCTTACCCAGAATGGAACTACATTGTGTGCTTTTCCATGGAAAATGAAATGACCATGTATTAAGCCCTGGAGACCTGCCTGGAGGGCTACAAGCTGGGAAGGGATGAGGCTGCTTTGAGAAGCCTCCCCCAAACCCACCCCAGTCCTATGGTGACAGAGGCCAGGGTGGAGTGGGATAGGGACAGGTATTATCCCCACCAACAATAGCAACTAGCACTTGTAGGGAGCTACACTTGTTGGGCCCTGTGGGTGCCAGGAGTCTGTCCTCTCAAGCCATTCCACCAAGAATCCTGCTGCGGGCCTTGCTCGTTCATCCATTCACGGCCCCATTCACCAAGAGGCTTCTGTCAACACTGTATGAGGGACACAGTGCTACATGAGAAACAGTCTTGCCCTCACAACTTAGGGGACGTGGCCGACCAGGGGACAAGTTCACATCAAAGTGTATGTAGCAGAGGGTGTTGAGGGCATGCCCCCCACCATAGAGCAGGCCTCCCCGCTGCTGAAGAGCTACCGCTTCAGCCAACAGCATTCCTTCAGGCCAGCCACAGAATCACTGCAGCCTCCCCCAAAAGGCCAGCAGCCCCTTTCTTAGCCATTCTCAGACTGAAGTTCTTCAACTCCTGTTCTGGCAGTGGCTCAGGGACTAGGTCTCAGCACCTGCCAGCAACCCTCTTTTTTGGTTATCCCAGCTCTGACCCTTCCCAGCCCATCCCATACCTGCTTCCGCTACTTCAAAGCCCCCACTCTGGTGAAACATTGGCTGTCTCCACTGGCCTGTGCTGGATGAGTTCTAAGGGAACCCTTCCATTCACCCCTCCAAGTTATAAGAGACTTCTGGGGAAACTGTGACCCAGAAATGGGGTTGGAGAAGGGAGAAGAAAATGACAAGTGAGGATGGAGTGCAAGTATAACCTCACCCCCTTAGGTTAACATCTCTGGAAACATACTTTTGGGAATGTTCAAGGGCTTATACACAAAAACCCAAACAGATGCTCAGCTCCTGCCCATACTGGAGCACAGTTAATCCCCTGAAAAACAGGGGCTCAACACAGAATTCCTAATTTGGGGTTGGGGGCTTTGGTATATGTTGTGGGGGTGCTACAGGGCGGCCTTCTTGTGTACTTTCCGAGACTACTGACAGCACTGCATAGCTGGAGCTCCCAGCCCCTGACCAAGGCAGGAGAGAGTAAGAACACTCAGCAAGGGGGTTTACACACCGCAGGTACTCTGGAAATGCTTGGTGATGACAGCAAAGTGCACCATCCCCAAATAACCCACATGGAAACTGTCCGAAATGGAAGGGAGTCAGGCTCTTCCCACATGGCCCCAGCATGGCCCCTCAACTCCAGAGCCCTCAGAGCTCTCAGCCATTCCCTGCTCCCAACCTTAGGCCCTGTTGATAGACAGCATGCGACCCAATCCGCACCCAATAAACCTGACAAGCAACGCTGGAGGCTTGTGCTCTCATTCCGCAGAAGAATGCTGGCCATGTGGGCACAGCCTCCCACATGCTCAGGGCTTCAGAAGGGTCATCCAGGGCACCCCCCAGGGGAACATGTATACCTGGTAAAATGTGGGCTGAGAAGCTAAGGCCCATGCAGTCATGAAGCTACGAAAAGCTGTGCTCCTGCAGGCATCCCAGATGCCCATACTGCTCCATTCCCACCCTGCCTGACCTCTCGGTGGCTTCTCACTGCACTCCAGGAGCCAACCCACTTGTGAGTGTGTGAGGCAACTCGTGGGGGTGGGGCGTAGCATGCAGCCCCCTGGCAAAATGTCTGCAGATGATGGGGTCTCAGGTGTGAGAATGGCCACCCCTTCCATCCAGTGAAGAAACCAGAGAAATTCTAACACTGGAGGAGCTCATTTCATAGCTTTGAGCCCATATTTCTTTCTTTGTTTCTTTTTCTTTTTTTGGGAGGAAGAGACGGAGTCTTATGTTGCAGGCTGGTCTCAAACTCCTGGCCTCAAGCAATCCTCCTGCCTTGGCCTCTCAAGTCCTGGGATTACAGGTGTGAGCTGCCATACCTGGCCTTGAGCCCATATTTCTGAAGGGCATGGTCCCCATCCCTGGTCGCCAGTCCACCTGAGAAGTCAAGTTCCACAACCTGAGTTTAATCCTTTTCCCCAAATCTTTAGTCCAGGGAGTACCCAAGAGCTTCCTAATACCTCACTTCTCCAGCATAACAGTAGCTAACCGTGGTGAGTGCTGGCTGCCATGCCGCCCCAGGTGCCTCTCATCCAGTTATGCACTCATGCAGTCCTCAGATGACTCTACAACGCATCCCCATGTTACAGAAGAAAGTGAAGCCCAAGATTATGCAGCTATTACACGATAAAGCAGGATTCAAGTTCAGGTTCTTAGGCTCTAGAGTCTGAACTTTTAACCTCTATGTTATGCTCTTTGCATTAGTGGGGCTATGTACTAAGCCACTCTTTCACCTGAATGCCTGGTCCAGACACAGCCCTTCACCCCCAGCCACCCAACACTGAAATAAGAATGTTAATCACAATATCCACAGCCATCACTTAGTGTTTACAAGGTGCAAGACACCGTGCTAATAAGTGCTTTACTTAAGTCATTGATGTAATTGACTCCTCAGCACTGCCATCTGAAGTGGGCAGAGCTTGGTGAGGCTCCAGTCTCAGCAAGAGGAGGCTTGAGGGAGGAGCCCTTTTGGGCTGCTGGGAGCCAGGGGCCTTCACATGTGCCCACCTTCACTTCTACCTTGAGGTCTTCCTTTCCCACTGTTTCCTATACGCATTTTTTTTTTTTTTTTTGAGACAGGGTTTCACCCTGTTGCCTAGGTTGGAGTACAGTGGCGCAATCATGGCTCACTGCAGCCTCCGTCTCCCAGGCTCAAGCGATCTTCCCACCTCAGGCTCCTGAGTAGCTAGGACTACAAGCGTGCATGACAACACCTGACTAATTTTTATTATGTTTTGTTTTGTTTTCCAGAGATGCATTTCACCATGTTGCCCAGTCTGGTCTCGAACTCCTGTGCTCAAGCGATTCTCCTGCCTCAGCCTCCCAAAGTGCTGGGATTACAGGTGTGAGCCACCATGCCCAGCCTGTATGCTTTTATCATCATGGTCTTAACAACCATCACATTACTGTGGTGCCTAAGAAATTAACTGCTGCAAATTCACTACCTCTGGGCAGTGTGCTCAGGGGGAGTTACAGTTTCTGGGAGTCGGTGGTAACATTTTCCCCTTTTGCAGATGGTGTCATTCTTTTTTTTTTTTTTTTTTTTTTTTTTTTGAGATGGAGTCTCAGTCTGTCACCCAGACTGAAGTGCAGTGGCACAATCTCAGCTCACTGTAACCTCTGCCTCCTGGGTTCAAGCGATTCTCCTGCCTCAGCCTCCCGAATAGCTGGGATTACAGGTGTTCGCCACCTTGCATGGCTGGTGTCATTCTTAAACTATATCAGTAGTAAGTGGGAGGACTGGAGTTCACACTCAGATCTCTTGGGTTATAGCACATATACTCTTAACTACTATGCTGTGCTCCCCACGGTCACAGTGATACACTAAGGAGTGAATGCCACACTCCTGCCAGGAGCTCCCTGCAAAGCACACAACACAAACCCAAAGAGAGCTATCTGGGCATGTGATCATTTGGCCAGATGCACTCAAGTGCCAAGGACTGGGCTCAGCTCTGGGGACACAGGGATAGATAAGGTATGAATCTCTGCAGAGAGATGGTGAATCGAATGTCACCCCGGAAGTTTCTCCAGCATTCCCTTGGATTTCATGCCAGACTGAGAGGAGGGACCATCTAGAGGAAAAGGTCCAGATGGCTTTTGCTAAGGCAGAGTTAGGGAGAAGGCAGCCTCAAGAAACTAAAGCCAAGGTCAGAAACCCACTGGGGGCTGGGGGCAGTGGCTCACACCTATAATCCCAGAACTTTGGGAGACCGATGTGTGCGGATCACTTGAGGTCAGGAGTTTGAGACCAGCCTGGCCAACATGGTGAAACCCCACCTGTACTAAAAATACAAAAATTAGCCGGGCGTGGTGGTGGGTGCCTGTAATCCCAGCTACCCGGGAGGCTGAAGCAGGAGAATCCCTTGAACCCGGGAGGTGAAGGTTGCAGTGAGCCAAGATCATGCCACTGCACTCTAGCCTGGGCGACGGAGTGAGACCACCCTGTCTTGAAACAAACAGACAAACCCATTGGGCTTCTAATTTTCACACCATCAGGAGTCAGGGTTTATGGCCTAGGGACCTCCACTGTATGCCACCTTACTCTGTGACTTCCCTGTGTTGCTTTCCCCAGTGCTTGGCAATGAGACTCAAATGAAAAGGCCTGTGCTTAACTTTGAGGCCAAAAAGGAAATAAATGGAAGTAGGAAAACTATGCTCCACAACATAATAAGGCTGGGAAGAGGCAACCCGAAGAATACATGAATGGCACTAACTACAGGGAGCCTGGGGCACAGAGCAGGGCCTGTGGAGGAGGCCTGGCTGAGCACTAACAAGATCCACAGGGGGTTTCTGGCAGAAGCAAACAGTAAGCCTGAGAAAGCCCTTCCAGTCTGCTAATGTATGTGGAGCACAGAGCCAGGAGGTTGCACCTGGAAGGAGTGAAGGAAAGTTCCATGCAGGCAGAGACATTTGAGCTGGTTCCTGAAGGAGGAGTGGAAGTTTGGTAAATGGATGGAGCAGAGCATGTAGAGGAAGAGGCTTCCCTCTGCAGCCTCATCTACTTCCTTATACCCAAGCTTCATCCTACAACATTGTCCCTTCGCACAGGCATTGCTCCACCCCATTTTTACCCGGCCTCACTCTACTCATGGTCCAGGATCAATGTCAGCATCAAGCATGGTGTGCTTTGGGAAGTGACCCCTGACCCCCAAGCCCTTCTCCTCCCCCTCCCCCACAGCTCCCTTCACTCCCTCCCTTATCTTGGCCCCTATCACTCTGTTTCTTTGTCCATCTCCCCTGCAGGATCAGGGACATGAAATATGGTTTATTACTGACTCGATGCCTGGCACACAGTATGATGCCTTGGCACATAGTAGATGCTGAGAATTGCTGAATGAATGAATAAGAAAATGGTGTCAGCCAGGTGCGGTGGCTCATGCCTGTAATCCCAGCACTTTGGGAGGCCAAGGTGGGTGGATCACCTGAGGTCGGGAGTTTGAGACCAGCCTGACCAACATGGTGAAACCCCATCTCTACTAAAAACACAAAAATTAGCCGGGCGTGGTGGCGGGCGCCTGTAATCCCAGCTACTCCGGAGGCTGAGGCAGGAGAATCACTTGAACCCGGGAGGCAGAGGTTGCAGTGAGCCGAGATGGCACCACTGCACTCCCAGCCTAGAGGTGACAGTGTGGGTGACAGAGTGAGACTCCATCTCAGAAAAAACGAAAACAAAAACAAACTTCCTGGAGTCCACACTGAGAAGGACACCAGGGTGTTTGGTTACCTGCTAAGGCCTGCAAACTTGAGGATGTCCAGGGCTGTGAGGAAGGCGGTGGGAGCTGAGAGGCAGCGAGGCAAGGCAGGCCAGCTCCCAGAGCCTGCCCACCACTGACGTTCCCTAAAGGAATGTAGTAAACAAGGAGAAGCCCAGCCTCACTGGGCCAGAGGTGGGAAGCTGGGACCAGGCGGGGGACTGACAGCCATTTTATTGTCCATCTTCACCCTTTCTCCCAAAGGACTGAGCAGCTGGAAAGAAGTTGAGTTTGTTTTAGCAAACAAGAGACTTGTCAGCATCAAGCAAAGACACAACTCCCAGAACTGTCCTCTGTTAGCTACTTTCTTTAGTGGCTTTTCCTTGGATCACCACTCAGAAAGTGATGTTTCAGGCTGGGCACAGTGGCTCATGCATGTAATCCCGGCACTTTGGGAGGCCGAGGCGGGTGGATCACTTGAGGTCACCAGCTCGAGACCAGCCTGGGCAACATGGTGAAACCCCATCTCTACCAAAAATACAAAAAATTAGCCGGGCATGGTGGTCAGCACCTGTAATCTCAGCTACTCAGGAGGCTGAAGCAGGAGAATCGTCCGAAGTCAGGAGGCAGAGGTTGCAGTGAGCTGAGATTGCACGACTGCACTCCAGCCTGAGCGACAGAGCCAGACTCTGTCTCAAAAGAAAAAAAATAAAAACTATGCTGTTCCAGGACAAGGCTCGCCTCCTTAATCCTCAATTCTCATCTAGATCATTGCTAACCCTTTTGCTGCTGAGGAAGGTATGTGGGCAAGAGTGAGGCTTAAGCCCTGCCAAATGGAGGCTGCTGCCTGTGAAATGGGGACACCTCCAAAATTTGAATTCAGAGTTTCCTTCCTGTTTAAGGCTGAATAGTATTCCATTGTATGTATATACCTTGATAATTTTAGCATTTTATGTAAATTATACATAAAATGTATAATTTATGTAGCTTGTTTATCTATTCATCCATTGATAGACACTTGGGCTGTTTTTGGCTATTGTGAATAATGCTGCTATGAACATATCTGTGTGGGTCCTTGCTTTCAACTCTTTGGGAGTGTAGATGGACCCAAAAGTGGAACCGCTGGCCATGAGACCCAAATTCTGACTTCTCTGCACCACCCACCTTGACTGCTTCACCTCTTGTTCTATCCAGCACGTCAGTCATCACCTTGCCAGTATCCTCAACCCCAGTCACACGTGCCAGCCAAAGCCCCAACCCTACAGCCAAAGCACTGACTGCAGGCCTGTGTGGCTCCTCCTCCCAGGTGCTGGGCTATCTGGGGAGAGTAGCCCACACCCCACGTGGTGCCGTCCACTGTCTGCAGCCCCTGTGAACCCTAACACTCACAAGTGGCGCCAATGCTGAGGACCAGCTTGAGAGTCAGAAGGCCAGGGTTCCACACTTTGCTCTTATGTCAACATGGACAGGTTAATTTGCCTTCCTCATCTGTAAAACGGGGATCACATCTGGTACGGGGCGGTATTAAGGCTTCATTGAGGTGAGTGGATAACACATCCACTTCCTGTGGCTGCACAGGAAGCTTTCAATAAAAGGTAACTGTCATTATGGGTCTAGCTCTCTCCTGGTTCTTCATAGCATCTATCCGAATTCTTCTCCCTTCTCTTAGTATCTCTCGTCCCACTCCACCCCTATTCTTGGCAGACAATCTCCTCTAATTTCTTCCCAGGCAGACAGAGGAAACAACCCATGGCAATTCTCCAACTTCCTGCCACCTCTTCTACAAACTCACCTCCAGGCTCATCTTTCACCTTCCCTCTCCTCCTGCCCAGGCTCACCCCTCCCCACGCACTCTGGTGCCCACCCCTCCTCCCCACATTGCACTCCCGCACCCTCTTCCACAGCCTTAGCCTCTCCCTCTTTCCTGGCCCCTTCCCACCACCCTTTAAACCTGCCCATCTCTCCCGGTTAATCAGATCCTCCTTCTGTCCACAGTCCCTTCCAGCTGTAGCGCCAGCCTTCCCGTATACCCAAACTTCCTCAAAGAGCTCTACTTTTTGATCCGTATTCATTCCTCAATCCAACACACTCTTGCCTCACCCCCAACATTCCATGGAAATTAGTTTCATCCAGATCACTTCTGACCCTCCTGTCACTAAGTCGGATTTATCTTTTATTTCATATATTGCTCAAACTGCGTGGGAAGCATCTGGCGCTATTGGCCAGGTCCTTCCTTCAAAACGCTTCCCCATCGGTTTCCACCGCAGCCTTCATGGCTTTCCTCCTAGCTCTCTGATAGCTCCTTTAGGCCTCCTTCAAGGACCCTCTTCCTTGAGACATGTGGGTGTTGGCAAGGTCTTATTTTAGGCCTCCTTTGTTTTCACCTTTAGAGCCTCTCACCGGATTATCTCATCCATTCTGATGGCATCAGCTGCATTCTACGTACTGATGTCTCTCAAAGCTGGATCTCTGGGCCAGACACTACTAGGAAGGTAGTACCGTCTAATGAATATCTTGGTTTGTGTGCCCCAAAGTACCTCAAAAACTGGACTCCTTATCTTCCCCCACTGCCTTGCCGACCCCTGCACTATTCCCTATCTGGGCAAGTGGCTCCTCTAAACACCCAGTGACTCCAATCAGAACCCGGCTGGGAAGAGGAAAGGAGGGATCTGTGGGGAGGCAACGTGGACCCCTCTGCACCCCGCTCTGCACTCACTCACCCTTCCCTACCAGTAGCCCAAGTGATTTTGGGGGAAGGCTGGGAAATCGACCTATTATATACTCCCTCGTTACCTGCACACAGATACTACAGCCTGAACCCCACTCAGATCAATCCCTCTCCTCCATCCTCACAGATGTTCCCTTGGTCCAGGCCACTATCACCTCTCATGGGGTTATAGCAACAACCTCCTCTCGGTTTCGCTGACCTCCTCCAGGGCGATCCTTGCACGGCAGCCCCAGGGACCTTGCTGAAGGCCAGACCCATCCGAAGCCTTTCAGTGTCTAATGTCTGAACTTTTTTTTTTTGATACAAGGTCTCATTCTCTCCTCTGGGCTGCAGTGCAGTGGTGTGACACGGCTCACTGCAGCCTTGACTTCCTCCAGCTTGTGATCCTCCCACCTCAGCCTCCTAGGTAGCTGCTACTACAGGCATGCACCACCACACCCAGCGGATTTTTGTATTTTTTGTAGAGACGGGGTTTCGCCATGTTGCCCAGGCTGGTCTTAAACTTCTGGGCTCAAGCGATCCACACACCTTGGCCTCTCGGAGTGCTGAGATTACGGTGTGAGCCACCACACCTGGCTTGAACTACTTTTATGATCAGAAAAATACAACAAAGGCACATCTATTCCAGGACTTTGGAAGGTCAGGGTGAGGGGAAGCTGGAGCCCAGGAGTTCAAGACCGTCCTGGGCAACATGGTGAAACTCCATCTCTACAAAAAATACAAACATTAGCCAGGCGTGGTGGCATGTGCTTGTAGCCCTAGCTACCTGGGAGGCTGAGGTGAGAGGATCACCTGAGCCAAGGGAGGTCGAGGTTGCAGTGAGCCGTGATCATGCCACTGCACTCCAGCCTGAGCAACAGAGAGAGACCCTGTCTCAAAAAACAAAACAAAACAAAACAAAACAAAAACCAACAAAAGCTGTTTTATGAAAAAGAAACAAAATTGTCTTTAAATAACTGAGTTTCACAGCAAAAACAAAACAAAATTAAAAACCAAGAGGCATCAGGCCGTGGTGTGGGGAGGAGGGATGGATGGGGCCAGAGGTGGGAGGGAGGGGATTCCCCGTCACTGTGCTCAGTCTTCAGCCCGGCTGTGCTGTGCCCAGGACCTGCCTCGCAGCCTGACCTTCGCCTGGCTCTGTTCCAGCAATTACACATCAGCCCCGGTGATAAACATCAGTGCTGAGCAGAGGGCCAAAGGGTCTCAGGCACTGCCTCCAGCTCCAGCATAAACAGAAACGCCATGATTCATTTTTACCTCCCAAGATGATCTCCAGGGGTCGGAGTGGCGCAATGGCAGCCAAGAAAAGGGCAGCGGTTTGTGAACCTGGGAAAAAAAGGGCATTTTCTGATGCAGTCCTGCGGGAGACCAGGCTTTACAAGAGGAGTGAACGCCACCATCTCAGGGCCTGCTCTGTCTTTGTAGGGAAGGGGAGCAAAGAAACCTTCTGGAAAAGACAAGGATAATGTGCAGATGTGGGTGGCTGGGCACTTACACTGCATGTGTCACCAAACTCTGCCAAGGCTGGGAGGGTTCTTGCCTGCCTTGAGTCTTTAAGGACCAGGGTTTCTAGTGAAAGGGATGGTAAATGGGGGAAGGTGGCCTGACCTCAAAAGCCTGCCAAGAGCCATCAAGAGGCACCAGAAAGGAAGGCACGGTGAGCGGTGTCTGTGTTTCACCTAGGCCCTTACCCCTACCACCAAGGCTTCTGCATTCACTGCAAGTAGAGAAAGACAGAGGCGTTTTGAGGTGAGGGCATGCAACACAGCCTGCAATAGCTAAGACTTCACAGTCAGCGCCATTCTGGCTTCTGCCTGGGGGTTATGCAGAACCCATCACTAGGGGGATGAAGGTTCTTGTGGCAGATCTTCTCGGCCAATGAAGGGTCAACTCCATTGCTCTCAGCAGAACTAAATGCTTTGCCAACTGGTCTGGTGACTCATACTGGGAAGCTTGTAGCAAACCCCATTTTTGGAGAAACCGGGAAATCTCTTTGGGGAGATAAACAAGTCACTGTAGCACTCTGCTCTCTGAAGTGCCTGGCTAGTACTTTCTGCTTCTTCATTTTATCCCAGCACCAAGGAAAACCCAAGCAAGTCTGGGAAATGTTGTAAAGATCTACACAAATGCAAGCTATTTGTCCCAGGCTTCTGGGTCCCACTTAGGTCCCGGAGGGTGGCAGAAGGAACATACTGTTCTTTTACTGCCTGGGGCTGTGAGCAGGAGGCCTGGCTTTCATACAGCCCCTCTCCTGTTCCTTCTAAACAGAAAAGGGTACATTGGCTAAAGCAGGAGCAGCTTTATGGTGTCTGACCTCTGCAGTGCTCCAGGGCCCCATGCTCAGAGGGCCCTACGCTTGGTTTAATTCTCTGCTGTCATCGTCTTGAAAGTTTTAGTAATTCTTGAGCACATTTTCATTTTGCGCTAAGCCCTGCAAATTCTGTAGCCAGTCCTAGGCCTAAGAGGCCAGGGATCAGGGATGGTGCAGCTCTCTGTCTTCCCGCCTTCTCCCTCTTCAGGAATGGCTCTCCCACCCCACAGACACTGGGACATCAGCCTTGACGCTTCCTTTTTCCCTCACCACGTTCCCTTCATCCCACCTTCCTAACATAGCTGAGATTAGCTTCCTCACATCCCCTCACCATTGCTGTGTTTGCGGCCTCCATCATCTCTTGCCTCCCCACTGAACCCCCTGCCTCCTGTCTTCCTTCTCTTTGAGTGCA
The DNA here is from genome assembly GCF_000001405.40 of Homo sapiens. Taxonomy (NCBI): domain Eukaryota; kingdom Metazoa; phylum Chordata; class Mammalia; order Primates; family Hominidae; genus Homo; species Homo sapiens. Next base: position 201,918,362 of record NC_000001.11, read on the forward strand.
CTCTGTCTCCAGAAAGACCTTTCAAAATGTGATTCTGATCCATGGCTCCCATGCTTTCAGGATGAAGTGCAGACTTTGTAGCATGGCAACAAAGCCCTCCGTGACCTGGCCTGTGCCTGCCTCTGTGCGCCCTCCCCTTCCTGCCTGCACTCTGGTTACAGTGAGGAACAGCCACGCTGGGCTCTCTTGGGTCTTGCTGCCCTACCCCATGCTGGGCTCTCTTGGGTCTTGTTGCCTATGCATGCTGCTCCTGCCACACAGGATGTCCTCTCGCTTTCTTCTCTGCCTGGCTAACACTTCTTCTTTTGTTCCTCCTCCTTCTTTTTAACTTTATATGTGGAAAAGTTCGACTGTACAACAAACTAGAGAGAACAGCACAATGAACCTCAAGGTACCCATTGCCCAGCTTCAGCGATTCTCTACATATGGCCAATCTTGTTTCATCTGATGCCCACCCATTTTTGTCACAATCTCACATTATTTGAAAGCAAATTCCAGGTGTATCATTTCATGCATACATATTTCAGTGTGTACTCTATTTCTTTTTTAGGGACAGGGTCTCACTCTGTCACCCAGGCTGGAGTGTAGTGGTATGATCATAGCTCACTATAACCTCAAACTCCTGGGCTCAAGTGATCCTCCTGCCTCAGCTTTCCGAGTATCTAGGACTACAGGCATGTGCCACCATGCCTGGCTAACTTTTATTTTTGTAGATCTGGGGTCTTGCTATGTTGCTCAGGCTGGTCTCAAACTCCTGGCCTCAAGCAATCCTCCCGCCTTGGCCTCACTTTTGCTGGGATTACAGGTGTGAGCCACCATGCCTGGCCTCAGTGTGTATCTCTAAAAGACAGAAACTTTTTTTTTTTTGGGGGGTCAGAGCCTCAGTCCTTCACCCAGGCTGGAGTGCAGTGGTACTCACTGCAACCTCCGCCTCCTGGGTTCAAGCAATTTTCCTGCCTCAGCCTCCCAAGTAGCTGGGATTACAGGTGCCCACCACCATGCCCGGCTGATTTTGTATTTTTAGTAGAGACGGGGTTTCACCATGTTGGCCAGGCTGGTCTCAAACTCCTGACCTCAGGTGATCTGCCTGCCTTGGCCTCCCAAAGTGCTGGGATTACAGGCATGAGCCACCACGCCTGGCCCCTTTTCTTCTTTTTTAACCTGACTCTGTGTCAGAAAGCCCATTTGGTCCTGTTATTCCCAGGGACTGTATAAAGCAAGGTGACCCCTTCTCTTCTATGTGAGTGCTCTGTAGGTATTGGGTCCTCTCCCTGAGGCTGCTTTTCTGTGGGCTAGAAAAGTTCATCTGTTAGACTAAGCCTGCCATTCCAGCCTGACTAGAATTTTCTAAATCCTGGTTCTGCTGTTTAAAAGCTCACTGTGACTCTCAGCTTCAGATAATCTGCCAGTGTGGTACATGTGCCTTCTGGATCTTTTTGTCCACTAACCAGGGCAGACTCCAGGGCAGAACTCTCTGGTATCCTACTACAGGCCTCCAGGGAGCCACCAATCAGCATCCACCTGCATCACCTTCCAGTCCACATCTCTCCATCCTGGCCACTAAACTATTGTAAGCAGCCTTTTTCAGTGTCTTCCTAAAGTCTCCAGAAGAGCCCAGGACTTCAAAGAGTAGAAGGAATATATTGGCTTCAATGCCATCTCCACCCGCCACTGGCTCTCTCTCTTTTTTTTTTTTTTTTTTTTTTTTTTTTGAGACCAAGTTTTGTTCTTGTCACCCAGGCAGCTGGGGTGCAATGGCATGATCTTGGCTCACTGCAACCTCAACCTCCGGGGTTCAAGTGATTCTCCTGCCTCAGCCTCCCAAGTAGCTGGGATTACAGGCACCCACCACCACGCCTGGTTAATTTTTGTATTTTTAGCAGAGACAGGGTTTCTCCATGTTGGCCAGGCTGGTCTTGAACTCCTGACCTCAGACGATCCGCCCGCCTCAGCCTCCCACCCACCATTGACTCTCTGACTGGGGATTACTACCCCAGTAAAATGACATACTTTCCCAGGCCTTGTGAATTGTTCTGGAAAGACATCATGCTACAGGGTCAATACAACTCCTAAATGCAGCTCCCTTTTAGCAGCTGAGGCCCTTGGAGACACCGGTTTTTCCTATGCCAAGGCCACAGAGACCAGAATTCCACTTGCTTGCTGAGGAAGTCAATCATAGTTGAGAAATAGCTGAGGAGTAAGCTGAGTCTTTAAGCTCAAGGACAATTAGGAGGTGGGTCTGGATATTCTACTGGAAGGGAGAAAGAAAAGCCAAGACCTACTGGGAAGACAGGGAGCAAACAAGGATGTCAAGCCATTAAATCAAGGAGGCCAAGTGGCCTCTACACAGTGCAGGACCCAGCGAATATAGAATAGGGGGTGGGAGGCTGGGCGCGGTGGCTCACGCCTGTAATCTCAGCACTTTGGGAAGCCAAGGCAGGAGGCTTGCTTGAGCCCAGGAGTTTGAGACCAGCCTGGGCAACATAGTGTGACCCTGTTTCTAAAAATAAAAATAAATAAATAAATAAAAAAGTAAGAAAGAAGAGAAAAAAAGAAAGGAAATGATGAGATCTTGGACCAGGCTGAGCAGTGAACACAGAGGAGTGGAGATGCATTCCATGGACATTTCTAGGGTACAGTTAATAAGATTCAGTGAAGTGGACAATGCCGAGGAGAAGTGGAGGATGACTCCCTGATTTCCAGTTTGGTTGCCTGGTTAGAGAGTGATGCTTATAACCATGGCGGGGAATATGGAGCGGGGAGATGAGGGTGGCACTTGAGATGATCAACTGTTTTGGCCATGACAAAATTTAAATGCCTAACAGGTTGGCATTAATAAAGATCTGGGCTGGGCGCAGTGGCTCACACCTGTAATCCCAGCACTTTGGGAGGCTGAGGCGGGCAGATCACGAGGTCAGGAGTTCGAGGCTAGCCTGGCCAGCATAGTGAAACCCCATCTCTACTAAAAATACAAAAATTAGCTGGGCATGGTGGTGCGAGCCTGCAGTCCCAGCTACTCGTGAGGCTGAGGTTGGAGAACTGCTTGACCCCAGGAGGTGGAGGTTGCAGTGAGCTGAGATTGCACCACTGCCCTCCAGCCTGGGCGACAGAGTGAGACTCCATCTCAAAAAAAAAAAAAAAAAAAAAAAAAGATCTGGGGCTCAGAAAGGAGATCTAGGCTTGACAGGTAGGTTTGGGAGTCATTGGTGTATACGTAGCAATGAAAACCACGGGAGTAAATATGGTGACTCTGAAAAGTGAGTTATCAGGAAGAGGAAAGGGACTTACAGAATAGGTCAAGAAAATCACCGCATTATGGCCGGATGCAGTGGCTCATGCCTATAATCCCAGCACTTTGGGAGGCTGAGGCGGGCGGATCACGAGGTCAGGAGATCGAGACCATCCTGGCTAACACAGTGAAACCCCATCTCTACTAAAAATACAAAAAATTAGCCAGGCGTGGTGGTGGGCGCCTGTAGTCCCAGCTGCTCGGGAGGCTGAGGCAGGAGAATGGCGTGAACCCGGGAGGCAGAGCTTGCAGTGAGCTGAGATCATGCCAGTGCACTCCAGCCTGGGCGACAGAGTGAGATTCCATCTCAAAAAAAAAAAGAAAAAGAAAATCACCACATTATTTAATGAAACAAAATCCATGCCCTTTGAGATTGGCAAAACCGTGATGAGATATACTTCACACCTATTGGGTGTCTATAATCAAAAAGACAGACAATAATAAGTGTGGACAAGGATGTGGAGAAATTGGACCCCTTGTATGTTGCTGGTAAGATATAAATAGTGCAACCACTTGGGAAAACAGTCTGGCAGTTCCTCAAAAAGTTAAACATAGAGTTGCCACATGACCCAGCAATTGCATGCCTCAATACAGACCCAAGAGAATTGAAAATATATGTCCACAAAAAGCTTCCACACAAATGTTCACAGCAGCATTACTCCTATTAGCCCCCAAATGGAAAGCACCCAAAGTCTATTAACTGAAGAATGACTCAGCAAAATGTCATACCTCATTAAAATGGTATAATATTCAGCCATTAAAAGGAATAAAGTACCATGCTCTATCATGGATGAACCTTGAAAACATAACTGAAAGAAGCCAGATCTGAAAGACCACATATTTTACGATTCCATGTACACAAAATGTCCAGAATAGGCAAATCTGTAGAGACAGAAAATGGATTAGCGGTTGCCAGTGGCTGGTGGGAGGAGAAATGAAGGGTCACTGATGATAGCTGTGGGGTTTCTTTTGGGACTGATGAAAATATTCTGGAATCAGGTAGTGGTGTTGTACAACTTTGTGAATATACTGAATATATATTCACACTGAATATACTGAATATAATATTGTTATATATAATATAATATATATAATACACTATTATATTCAGTATATTTGCCGAATATACTGAATACTGCTTTTTTTCTAAAAACACTGCATTGGGTATTTTAAAGGAGTGAATTTTTTTTTTGAGATGGAGTCTCACTCTGTCACCCAGGCTGGAGTGCAGTGGCACGATCTCGGCTCACTGCAACCTTCGCTTCCTGGGTTCAAGTAATTCTCCTGCCTCAGCCTCACGAGTAGCTGGGATTACAGGTGCGCACCACCATGCCCGGCTAACGTTTGTATTTTTAGTAGAGATAGGGTTTCACCATGTTGGCCAGGCTGGTGTCAAACTCTTGACCTCAGGTGATCCACCCGTCTCGGCCTCCCAAAGTGCTGGGATTACAGGCGTGAGCCACTGCGCCAGGCCAGGAGTGACTCTTGACAGCCCTTCCCCAGGGTCTCCCAGAGGGCAGCGCTGGAGCATGGCCAGTACCCATCTCAGAGTGCAGAGGGTTTCCAGAGTGCAGCACGGTGACAGGAAAGCTGCTGCTGAAAGGGCCACCAAGACTGAGCAACACCCATCCTGGAATTTGACACACAGTGGATGCTTCATAACTGCTGAACAAAGAGATGCATCTCCCATTCAGATGGAGGCCCAAAAAGAAGGCTGGAGGGACAGATTATTTTTTCTATTAAGTTATGCACAGTTTGTTGCAACTTGAGGTCAAAAGAAAGTGTTCAGAGCCAGCACAGTGGCTCAAGTCTGTAATCCCAGCTACTCAGGAGTCTGAGGCAGGAGGATCCCTTGAGACCAGGAGTTTGAGATCAGCCTGGACAACATAGTGAGACCCTGTCTATTGAAAAAAAAATTGTTTTTAATTGTAGCCGGGCACAGTGTCTCATGCCTGTAATCCCAGCACTTTGAGAGGCCAACGGGGGGCAGATTGCTTGAGTTCAGGAGTTCGAGACTAGCCTGGGCAACATGGCAAAACCCCATCTCTACTAAAAATACAAAACGTTAGCTGAATGTGGTGATGCACGCCTGTAGTCCCAGTTACTCAGGAGGCTGAAGTGGGAGAATCATATGAGGCCTAGAAGTCGAGGTCGCCTTGAGCTGTGATCGTGCCACTGTATTCTAGCCTGGGTGACCGGGAGTGTGATGCTGTCTCAACAAGAAAGAAGAAAAAGAGAGAGAGAGAGAGAGAGGGAGGGAGAGAGAGAGAGAGAGAGAGAGAAAGAAAGAAAAGGAAAGAAAGGAAAGAAAAAGAAAAAGGAAAGAAAAGAAAGAAAAAGAAAAGAAAGAAAGAGAAAAGAAAGAAAAAGAAAAGAAAGAGAGAGGCTGGGCACAGTGGCTCACGCCTGTAATCCCAGCACTTTGGGAGGCCGAGGCGGGCAGATCACGAGGTCAGGAGATCAAGACCATCCTGGCTAACACGGTGAAACCCCATCTCTAATAAAATACCAAAAAAAAAAAAAATTAGCCGGGAGCGGTGGCGGGCACCTATAGTCCCAGCTACTCAGCAGGCTGAGGCAGGAGAATGGCGTGAACCCGGGAGGCGGAGCTTGCAGTGAGCCGAGATAGCGCCACTGCACTCCAGCCTGGGTGACAGAGCAAGACTCTGTCTCAAAAAAAAAAAAAAAGAAAGCAAGGGAAGGAGGGAGGGAGAGAGGGAGGGAGGGAGGGAAGGAAGGAAGGAAGGAAGGAAGCAAGGAAGGAGGGAGGAAGGGAAGGAAGGAAGGAAGCAAGGAAGGAGGGAGGGAGGGAAGGAAGGAAGGAAGGAAGCAAGGAAGGAGGGAGGGAGGGAAGGAAGCAAGGAAGGAGGGAGGAAGGGAAGGAAGGAAGGAAGGAAGCAAGGAAGGAGGGAGGGAGGGAAGGAAGGAAGGAAGGAGGGAGGGAGGGAAGGAAGGAAGGAAAAGAAAGAAGAAAGAAAGGAAGAATAAAGAAAGAAAGAGAGAAAGAAAGAAAAAAAAGAAAGAAAGAAAGAAAGAAAGAAAGAAAGAAAGAAAGAAAGAAAGAAAGAAAGAAAGAAAGAAAAGAAAGAAATAGCCAGTCATAGTGGCATGTGCCTGCAGTCGTAGCTACTTGGGAGGCTGAGGCCGGAGGATGAAGCCAGGAGTTCAAGGCTGCAGTGAGTTATGACTGCACCATTGCACTCTAGTGTGTGTGACAGAGCAAGACCCTATCTCTGGAAAAAGAAAAAAGAGAGAGACAAAGAAAAGAGTTCAAGATATTCCGGCTGAGCGTGGTGGCTCATACCTGTAGTCCCAGCACTTTGGGAGGCTGAGGCGGGCAGATCATTTGAGGTCAGGAGTTCAAGGCCAGCCATGGCCGACATAGTGAAACGCTGTCTCTACTAAAAATGCAAAAATTAGCCAGCATGGTGGCGCCCACCTGTAAGCCCAGCTCATGAGGCTCAGGCAGGAGAATTGCTTGAACCCAGGAGGCAGAGGTTGCAGTGAGCTGAGATTGTGCCACTGTACTCCAGCCTGGGCTACAAGAGCAAAACTCCAGCTCAAAAAAAAAAGAAAAAAAAAAAGATCTTCCTTGGCCACCAGCTGGTGACCTCTCTAAGCCTCAGATTCTTCACCTGTCAAGTAGATTAAAATTTACCTCCCCTGTCTACCTTATAAGGCTGAAGCAAGGATCAAAAGAGATAACGTATGTGGAAGCCCATAAATCTTCAGACCCAAGGCATTAGGTTCTGCTTTTATTGCGCATGGATGAGCTGGGGCATATTGTGTGATGTTCTAAGACAGCAACTAAGTACTTACCTACAAGCTTCTGGGAGTAAGACACTTTCCATTTTTCTTGGAAGGGGAAAATTACTTTGCATGACCATTTGGTTATGGTTTGGTATTGGTGTGGAATGTTTTTAGGGTAGGGCCCTGTAGAAGCAGGAGGATGAACCAGTTGACCTTCTCTTCTTGACATCCACCCAAGACCTGAAATTTTTCAAGGCTGGAGGCTTGTTTTTTTTTTTTTCAATCTCTTTCTCTTTTCTATTTTTAATTTTTTAAATTTTTTTGAGACAGGGTCTTCCTTTGTGCCCAGGCTGGAGTGCAGTGGTGTGATCATGGCTAACTGCAGCCTCAACCTCCCAGGCTCAAGTGATCCTCCCACCTCAGTTTCCCAAGTAGCTGGAACCACAGGCGTGCACCACCATTCCTGGCTAATTTTTAAATTCTTTTGGAGAGACTGGGGGGCGGGGTCTCCCTGTGTTGCCCAGGCTGGTCTCGAACTCCTGGGCTCAAGCAGGCCTCCCATCTCAGCCTCCCAAAGTGTTGGAATTACAAGTGTGAGCCACCACACCCAGCCAGTTTTCTTTTTAGGTAGTAACATTTTTTTCCTCCCCAAAGGAAGAAAAACCAGGCATATGTGCTCTATCTATACTGCATACAAACCGACACATTTCCCCACAGGGAGTCAAAGCGAGAGGGAGGTGGGGCTTTGCTCTGCTTGGCAGATGGTCCAATATTAGGAACTTGATCCTCTAAAAGAATAACATGTGTGGCCTTATGTTTCTCTGGGCTATGGAGTGTCTGTGCTGTGAGCTGACCATAAGTCTCTGCGTTTCCAGTGCCCAGTGAGTCTTTTTTCTCTTTTAGGGGCTTTGTTTCACCCATCAGCCCATAAGGCTCAGCTGGGGAAGCAGTGTGTTAACTGTTCTGTTTATCATCTTGTTTGGCTGACTCCATCTCTCTGGGGATGGGCGCCAAAGGCCAAGAGAAGGAGCCCGTGCTGAGGCTCTGGGGATCTGTTTAGGGCCTTGGAAAGTGTATTTATTGGGAGCCATGTAAATGTCCAAATATAGGCAAATGGTTCAACACAGCCATACAATAGACTATGATGACATCCACTGAAAACAATGTTTAGGAAGAATTTTAGTGACATGGGAAAAGCAATTATAATATGATAAGCAAAAATATAAATAAATAAGGTAGGGAACACAATTTATGTGAATATGTGGCTGTGCATTAAATGATCTCAACTACAAAAAGAAAAATACATACAGAATTATACACTCAGAAAAAACTGAAGCAGGGAGCCGTAGCTCACAACTGTAATCCCAGCACTTTGGGAGGCTGAGGAGGGAGGATTGCTTGAGTCCAGGAGTTTGAGACTAGCCTGGACATCATGGCAAATCCCTGTCTCTACAAAAAATACAAAAAAATTAGCTGGGAGTGGTGGCACGTGGGAGCAGTAAGCTGAGATTGCACCACTGCACCCCAGCCTGGGCAACAGAGCAAGACCTTGTCTCAAAAACAAACAAACAAGAAAATTGACAATGGCTGATATCTTTAGCTAAGACAAAGAATTATTGGCTATTTTCCTTTTTTTCCCACGTTTTGCATACTGTCTATGATGAGCCTTATTACATTATAAGCATACTTTTCTTCAAATAAAACAAATTTAGAAATATCATGTCTGTGTTCTTTGTATCACCCCCTTCTCCTGCTTTTAAGGCAAAGATTACAGAGACTGGAAGTAAAACCAAAAGCCTCCCAACCTGAAAGAACTTTGACCACTGGAACACTTGAGTCTTTAGTACTCTGGGATCATTATTAGATATTTTCTTGGTGATTTAAAAATTATTATACTTGGCTCACGCCTGTAATCCCGGCACTTTGGGAGGCCGAGGTGGGAGGATCACGAGGTCAGGAGATTGAGACCATCCTGGCCAACATGGTGTAACCCCATCTCTACTAAAAATACAAAAATTAGCCGGGTGTGGTGGCGTGTGCCTGTAATCCCAGCTACTCAGGAGGCTGAGGCAGGAGAATCGCTTGAACCCAGAAGGCAGAGGTTGCAGTGAGCCAAGATCACGCCACTGCACTCCAGCCTGGTGACAGGGCTAGACTCCATCTCAAAAAACAAACAAACAAAAAAAACAAAAAAAAAAAAAGAAGAATTTGTTATACTTTTCAGTGAAGTTGAGGACATGGGACAAGTGGGTTATCACTAAGTAGCAAGTGGAAGAGATGCTGCCATTGGGGTAGGTGAGATGATCCACCTTGAGGAAACTCAGTGTAAGCAAAATGGCGCAATGTCAGCCCTTGACAACTGGAATTTCAGAAGACAATTTAAGCCCTTACTGCCCTAAGGCATCCATTATATAGAGTTAATTTCTTCCCTATGAATTCAGAATGGGACCAGCTAGAATCTTTGGGAGTGCTGTGTTTGGAATGTGTCCTCCAAAGTTCATACATTGGAAACTCAATCCCCAGTGCAGTGATGTTGGGAGCTGGGGCCTAATGGAAAGGGTTTGGGTCATGGGGGCACTGCTCTCATGAATGGATTAATGCCATTATCATGGAAGTGGGTTTGTTATAAAAGGACAATTTCAACTTCCTGGCTCTCTTTGGCCCTCACTTGTCCTTCTGCCTACTGCCATGGATTGGATAATGCAGCAATAAGGTCCTCACCAGATACAGGCCCTTGATCTTGGACTTCCCAGCCTTCAAAACCATGAGCAAAATGTACTTCTCTTCATTATAAATCACACAGTCTGTAGTATTTTTTTATAGCAGCACAAAATGGACTAAGACGGGGGAATTGAGGATATAGTCTCTCAATTCATTTTTTCCAGCGCTTAATTCTCTTACAGAAGCCTGGCTGAGAAAAGCTGATCAGTTGCCTACAAGGACCTAATCCCAGCTCTGCTCCTCCTTTGCTCCAGCCTCACTACTTGGGCGTCAGAAAGGCAAGTCTGTGTCGACCCAGCTGCAGAATTGGTATATCCAGATAACTTCCAGGCCATCATAGCCACATACCCAAGCACTGGGCCTCCCAAAGGGGTGGGCTCTGTGAGTGCTGTGAAGAGGGCCACTCCCTCTCCTGCTCTTGTGTGTGTGATCCAAAGGGAAATCTGCTTATAGCAAGTTCTCTAGGAGAGCTGTATTACTTTTCCTAGATCTAGAGGCAATGCTGCTGAACTTCTCCAGATATTTTATGGAAGAATCCAGATGATGGGAGCTAAAGGCCTTATCTGGGTGCATATAGAGCAAATTATCAGCAAAAATATTATTACTATTATTGAGACAGAGTCTCCCTCTGTTGCCCAGGCTGGAGTACAGTGGCGTGATCTCGGCTCACTGCTACCTCTGCCTCCCGGGTTCAAACAATTCTCATGCCTCAGCCTCCTGAATAGCTGGGATTACAGGTGTGTGCCACTATGCCTGGCTAACTTTTTTGTGTTTTTAGTAGAGACGGGGTTTTGCCATGTTGTCCAAGCTTGTCTTGAACTCCTGACCTCAAGTGATCCGCCCACCTTGGCCTCCCAAAGTGCTGGGATTGCAGGCATGAGCCACCACACCCGGCCTGCAAAAATATAATTAATATTTTCTTTAGGGTCTATCTGTGGCCCCAGGGATCATAGGTGGACTTTATTTATTTGTTTATTTATTTATTTATTTATTTATTTAGAGACGGAGTCTGGCTCTGTTGCCCATGCTGGAGTGCAGTGGCGTGATCTTGGCTCACTGCAACCTCTGCCTCCTGGGTTCAAGTGATTCTCCTGCCTCAGCCTCCCAAGTAACTGGGATTACAGGCGTCCACCACCACGCCCAGCTAATTTTTGTATTTTTAGTAGATCAGGCTGGTCTCAAACTTCTGACTGCAGGTGATTCACCTGACTCGGCATACCAAAGTGCTGGGATTACAGGCATGAGCCACCACGCCTGGCAAGTGGAATTAATATGTTAGTCTGTAATCTCAGGTTACTACAGAGCTGGAAGACAGAATTGCAAGGAAATGAAGAAAAAGTGGAACAAGTTTAAACTGAAGGGGAAATATGGCAGTGATCTATCCCAACAATTCAGACCTCAGAGTGTAAATTTTAGACTGATTTAATTGGTTATTTTTAAAAAGAGGATAAAAAAGGATCACTGCCAAATCTTTCTTCATTTGAGAAGTTGGATACAAAATCATATTTTCAAATAGTCTCAGAAGGGTATAGATGAATTACAAATTTTGTAGATTCAATCAAGTATGATAGAACTGCCTTTGTAAATTCCTCATCCTTCATTCATTCAACAGGCATCCATTAAGCCAGGGACTGTGTTCACTGCTGGGGACATGAAGATGAATAAGAGTCAGCCCTCACCCTTAAGAAGTTTGGGAAAAGCACAGAAACAGACAATGCTGAAATGATGTGTTACATGCGAATGGAACAGGAGGTGCCAGAACTTGCAGGAGGTGCTTTGTGAACACAGAGGTGGAGCACACAACTTAGGCTGGGGGGGTCCGGAAAGCCTCTAGAGAAAGTGTCACCTGAGTTGAGCCTTGAAAGAGGAATGAGGGTTGGCTAGGCTTGGCATCCCAGTTGGAGGCGACAATATGTTCAAAGGCACAGAGGAAGCAAGATAAAGCCTGGCGCTCTGGAGAACCAATGGTCAAGTACAACTGTAGGGTGAGAGTCAAGGAGAAGAGTATTCGTAGCTTGAGAAATAGGAAGGCACTGGAACATCAGCAGCTTTCTAAGCCATGCTAAGAAGTGTGAATTTGATCACGGAAGCTACACTGAGTAATTGAAGGCTTTTACACAGGGAAGGTCAACTGTGGGGAGGATGGATTCCAATGGCACGAGAAGAGAGGTTGGGAGATCAGTTAGGAGGCTGTGACGTTCTTCTAGTTGATAAGTGATATGCATGGGAGTAATAGAAGTTGAATTGCGAGGAGGGGCAGAGTTCAGAGAGATCATAGAGGCAGAAACAACAGGATCCTATCACTAGGAAAGTCTGGAGACACTGGGAGAGGGATTGGAGCAGGACAGCCCAGGGTTATGATGTAGGTGTCTGATTAAATGGTACTTCTATTCATCAAAGTGCAGAACACAGGAGGAAAAACAGGTTTAGGGGTGGGGTGGGGTGACGATGATTAATTTATTTGCAGACCAGTTGAATTTGAGACACTTGAGGTGTCCAAGAGACAACTGAATGATCTAGAACTCAAAATAGAGATCTAGGCCAGAGATAGAAAGAGAGCATACGGGGATAACTGAATCCATGGGGTTGGATGAAGGTAGCCATGAAGACTGCATAGGAAGGGCAGAGCCCTAAACAATCATATTTAGGCAATAGAGTATGAGCTGCTCACAGAGGAGATTAAGAAGGAACAGCTAGAGAGATGAAAGGAAAACAAGGAGAATGTGCTGTATTGGCACCGAGGGAAATGAGTGTTTAAAAGAATGACAGAGTGGTTAAATTCCACAAAGTAAACAAATAGAATAAAGACTAAAAGGTGTGTTCAGATAAAGCAACAAGGAGGTCCCCAGTTACCTCATCAAGGCTGATGTCTGTGCAGTGCGGGGGCAGAGACGTCCAGGGTGATAGTGAGCATGGATGCCATTTCCTACAGCTTAGCTAAGACGGAAAGGAGAGAATGTGGGAATTGGGGAGAAAGAGCCAGTAAAAGGGAATGTTGAAGAGAGAGAGAGATGTTTAAAGGAGCAAAGGTCGTGTGGAGGCAGGAGAGAAAAGATTCTAAAAAGTGGGTTTGGGTAATAGTCTGGGACAGAAGAGGGATATCCTTTCCATGGGATAAAAGAGAAACGGAAGGCCGGGTTCGGTGGCTCACGCCTGTAATTCCAACACTTCGGGAGGCCAAGACAGATGGATCACTTGAGGGCAAGAGTTCGAGACCGGCCTGGCCAACATGGCGAAACCTCGTCTCTACTAAAAATACAAAAATTAGCTGGGCGTGGCGGTGCGTGCCTGTAATCCCAGCTACTCAGGAGGCTGAGGCATGAGAATCGCTTGACCCCAGGAAGCAGAGGAGGTTGCAGTGAGCTGAGATGGTGCCACTGCACTCCAGCCTGGGCGACATAATGAGACTCTGTCAAAAAAAAAAAAAAAAAAAGGGAGAGAAAGCTTGCATATAAAAAGGGAGAGAAAGGCGAAAACTTGCATACATGGATGCTTACAAGTTTTCAGGTGACAGAAGAGAAATTTGAAGACATTTTCATCTGATGGCTTCAAGTGTCTCCACGAAATATGAGGCTAGATCATCTGTTGAGGGTGAAAAGAGAGATGGGACAAGAGAGTTTGTAAAGAAAGGCTGGCTGGGCACGGTGGGACATGCCTGTAATCCCAGCACTTTGGGAGGCTGAGGTGGGATGATCACTTGAGCTCAGGAGGCAAGGTTGCAGTGAGCCATAATCATGCCACTGCACTCCAACCTGGGTGACAGGGCCAGACCCTGTATCAAAAAAAAACAAACTAATTTTTAGAATAGTGTCCCAGAGGAGTGAGAAGAAGGAGTGTAGATGTTTTCTGGGCAGCTTTGAGGGCTTGGCTGAGGTTATAGGGTTTTAATCCACAGAGGCACCAATATAGTGCTATCTGAGGCTGCTGGGTATGTTCAGTAGCTTGGATGCACAATAGAATTGCTAAATGGTTACTTTCATTCAGGCTAGGGGTGATGGAAGGTTGGGGAGGACTGAGCATGAGAATTGAGGATAATGTTCACAATAACCATAGTAACATATAAGTTAAAGAGGAAAATTACAAGTAAAGCCTGAAAATTGAGTGGAAGAGAAGTCAGTCCATACTGAGAGTAGGTAAGGCTAGGAATGAGAAGAGGCCATGAAATGGGATATGCCTCTAAGTCATCATCTTTGGAACAGATGAATCCTGAGGTAGAGGAATCTGACCTGGGCTTTAGTGAAGTGTCCAAATCTCGATAGAGAGGGTCAGGAGGACAGGAGGCAGAACACGCTGAAAAGGTTATACAGCATCTAGTTGCTCTCAAAGATGTACTCCATTAGAAACGATGGGCCGGGAGTGGTGGTTCAGGCCTGTAATCCCAGCACTTTGGGAGGTTGAGGCTGGTGGATCGCTTGAGCCTAGGAGTTCAAGACCAGCCTGGGCAACATGGCAAAACCCTGTCTCTACTCAAAATAAAAAAATTAGCCAGGTATGGTGGTGCACACCTGTAGTCAGGAGGCTGAGGTGGAAGGATCACTTGAGCCCAGGAGGCAGAGGTTGCAGTGAGCCAAGATTGCACCACTGCACCCTGGCCTGGGCGACAAAGACCTTGTCTCAAAAAGAAAAAACAAAAAGAAAGAAATGATGTTAATGACTATCACTTAACTTAGTGCCTACTGTTTGCAAAGCACTATGTTAAACCTTCAAATTTTTGTATCTTTTCCTCATGGAGACCTTCAAATTAGGTGGTATCATCCTTATTGACAGAAGAAGAAATTAAAGTTCACTATGCATTCTCTACGACGCAGAAATTCCATTCTTAGGTACATACCCAACAGAAATGAAGTCAGAAGTGCACTAAAAATGTCCGAAAATGTTCATAACAGCATTGTTTGTAATAGTCCCAGACTGGAAACAACCCAAATGTCCATTAACAGTGAAATGAATAAATAAACTGTGGTATATTCACATAGTAAAATGCTGCATAGCAATGAAGGTTTAAAAATGCTACAGATGGTGTGGTGGCTCACGCTTGTAATCCCAGCACTTTGGGAGGCTGAGGCGAGTGGAACACCTGAAGTCAGGAGTTCAGGACCAGCCTGGCCAACGTGGTGAAACCCCATCTCTACTAAAAATACAAAAATTAGCCAGGCTTGGTGGTGGACGCCTGTAATCACAGCTACTTTGGAGGCTGAGGCAGGAGAATCGCGTGAACCCGGAAGGTGGAGGTTGCAGTGAGCCAAGATCTCGTCATTGCACTCCAGCCTGGGCAACAGGAGCAAAACTCTGTCTCAAAAAAAAAAAAATGCTATAGACAACAACATGGTTGCATGTCACAAACATAAAGTTGAGTGAAAGAAGCCAGATACAAAAAATACACACTCCATGAGCCTTTCTCTCTCTCTCTCTCTATATATATAATACATATATATATAATACATATATATATTATATATGTACACATATACATACATTATATATATATATATATATATATATATATGGCAAGACTAACCTAGGGGATTAGAAATCAGGATAGGGGCTATCTTTGGAGAGGAAGCTTGGGCAGGGACAATGCTGTGGTGCTGACAACATTCAGTTTCTTGTTCATTTTGTGATAATTCATGAAACTCCACACTTTTGTGCACATTTCTGTAAATATTTTATATTCCAATAAAAATGTTATAAAAACATTATTGTCAAGTAAAAATGAAATATGGACAAGGCAATAAAGAATAAAAATAAAATAGAGTGAAGCTTAGAAATATTAAATGCTTGTCTGAGACCACCCAGCTGATAAATAGCCAAGTTGGGAATTAGCCCCAGGTCCCCCTGGTTTGGCTTGCAAGTCCAGTGCTTGTCCCACCACGCCAGCTGTCAGTCATATGCTGGGAAGGGACCAGTGTGCTCCCTCCTTCTCCTTGGGCATGGGTGACTTAAGGGACAGAAGATCGATGCACTGGAGGTGAAAATCTACTGGATTTTCAAGCAGCTCTGGCAGCTGGCTGTTGTCTGTTGACTGTTCTCATGCCAGATTTCATGTCCGGAAGTACTTTCATGTTTTCTCTGCCCTCATCCGGGGAGCACTGAGCATTTTTCTTGTGACCTGAGGCTTAACCTCTGACTATTGTCATAGCCTCCTTGGTTTCTCCTCCCTTCAGACCAGCCTATGGCTGCCAGTGCTGTCCTTCCAGAGCAGCACATTGCACGTATGAGGCAAACCTCAACCTCCCATCACCACACTTATCAACCTGGCTGTATCTTGGCCCATCTCTGCTGCCTTCTCTCCTAAGTGATTACCTGCTGCTGAGATGTGACCCCTCGACTGCATTCTATCCCTTTTTGCCCCCTTCACTGGTGTTATCAGTCTCCCTGTCTACTGAATTATCCCCATCAGCCATGCTATAATATTCCTTGTCTTTCAAAAATATCCTCCCTGATTCCACATTTATCTCCAGCTGCCACC